>NC_000018.10:3760000-5010000 GCF_000001405.40 Homo sapiens | reverse complement strand
CCACCCCACAACAGTCCCCAGAGTGTGATATTCCCCTTCCTGTGTCCATGTGATCTCATTGTTCAATTCCCACCTATGAGTGAGAATATGCAGTGTTTGGTTTTTTGTTCTTGCGATAGTTTACTGAGAATGATGTTTTCCAATTTCATCCATGTCCCTACAAAGGACATGAACTCATCATTTTTTATGGCTGCATAGTATTCCGTGGTGTATATGTGCCACAGTTTCTTAATCCAGTCTATCATTGTTAGACATTTGGGTTGGTTCCAAGTCTTTGCTATTGTGAATAATGCCACAATAAACATACGTGTGCATGTGTCTTTATAGCAGCATGATTTGTAGTCCTTTGGGTATATACCCAGTAATGGGATGGCTGGGTCAAATGGTATTTCTAGTTCTAGATCCCTGAGGAATCGCCACACTGACTTCCACAATGGTTGAACTAGTTTACAGTCCCACCAACAGTGTAAAAGTGTTCCTATTTCTCCACATCCTCTCCAGCACCTGTTGTTTCCTGACTTTTTAATGATTGCCATTCTAACTGGTGTGAGATGGTATCTCATTGTGGTTTTGATTTGCATTTCTCTGATGGCCAGTGATGATGAGCATTTTTTCATGTGTTTTTTGGCTGCATAAATGTCTTCTTTTGAGAAGTGTCTGTTCATGTCCTTTGCCCACTTTTTGATGGGGTTGTTTGTTTTTTTCTTGTAAATTTGTTTGAGTTCATTGTAGATTCTGGATATTAGCCCTTTGTCAGATGAGTAGGTTGCGAAAATTTTCTCCCGTTTTGTAGGTGGCCTGTTCACTCTGATGGTGGTTTCTTTTGCTGTGCAGAAGCTCTTTAGTTTAATTAGATCCCATTTGTCAATTTTGTCTTTTGTTGCCATTGCTTTTGGTGTTTTAGACATGAAGTCCTTGCCCATGCCTATGTCCTGAATGGTAATGCCTAAGTTTTCTTCTAAGGTTTTTATGGTTTTAGGTCTAACATTTAAGTCTTTAATCCATCTTGAATTGATTTTTGTATAAGGTGTAAGGAAGGGATCCAGTTTCAGCGTTCTACATATGGCTAGCCAGTTTTCCCGGCACCATTTATTAAATAGGGAATCCTTTCCCCATTGCTTGTTTTTCTCAGGTTTGTCAAAGATCAGATAGTTGTAGATATGCGGCGTTATTTCTGAGGGCTCTGTTCTGTTCCATTGATCTATATCTCTGTTTTGGTACCAGTACCATGCTGTTTTGGTTACTGTAGCCTTGTAGTATAGTTTGAAGTCAGGTAGTGTGATGCCTCCAGCTTTGTTCTTTTGGCTTAGGATTGACTTGGCGATGCGGGCTCTTTTTTGGTTCCATATGAACTTTAAAGTAGTTTTTTCCAATTCTGTGAAGAAAGGCATTGGTAGCTTGATGGGGATGGCATTGAATCTGTAAATTACCTTGGGCAGTATGGCCATTTTCACGATATTGATTCTTCCTACCCATGGGCATGGAATGTTCTTCCATTTGTTTGTATCCTCTTTTATTTCCTTGATCAGTGGTTTGCAGTTCTCCTTGAAGAGGTCCTTCACATCCCTTGTAAGTTGGATTCCTAGGTATTTTATTCTCTTTGAAGCAATTGTGAATGGGAGTTCACTCATGATTTGGCTCTCTGTTTGTCTGTTGCTGGTGTATAAGAATGCTTGTGATTTTTGTACATTGATTTTGTATCCTGAGACTTTGCTGAAGTTGCTTATCAGCTTAAGGAGATTTTGGGCTGAGACAATGGGGTTTTCTAGATATACAATCATGTCGTCTGCAAACAGGGACAAGTTGACTTCCTCTTTTCCTAATTGAATACCCTTTATTTCCTTCTCCTGCCTAATTGCCCAGGCCAGAACTTCCAACACTATGTTGAATAGGAGTGGTGAGAGAGGGCATCCCTGTCTTGTGCCAGTTTTCAAAGGGAATGCTTCCAGTTTTTGCCCATTCAGTATGATATTGGCTGTGGGTTTGTCATAGATAGCTCTTATTATTTTGAAATACGTCCCATCAATACCTAATTTATTGAGAGTTTTTAGCATGAAGGGTTGTTGAATTTTGTCAAAGGCTTTTTCTGCATCTATTGAGATAATCATGTGGTTTTTGTCTTTGGCTCTGTTTATATGCTGGATTACATTTATTGATTTGTGTATATTGAACCAGCCTTGCATCCCAGGGATGAAGCCCACTTGATCATGGTGGATAAGCTTTTTGATGTGCTGCTGGATTCATTTTGCCAGTATTTTATTGAGAATTTTTGCATCAATGTTCATCAAGGATATTGGTCTAAAATTCTCTTTTTTGGTTGTGTCTCTGCCCGGCTTTGGTATCAGAATGATGCTGGCCTCATAAAATGAGTTAGGGAGGATTCCCTCTTTTTCTATTGATTGGAATAGTTTCAGAAGGAATGGTACCAGTTCCTCCTTGTACCTCTGGTAGAATTCAGCTGTGAATCCATCTGGTCCTGGACTCTTTTTGGTTGGTAAGCTATTGATTATTGCCACAATTTCAGCTTCTGTTATTGGTCTATTCAGAGATTCAACTTCTTCCTGGTTTAGTCTTGGGAGAGTGTATGTGTCGAGGAATTTATCCATTTCTTCTAGATTTTCTAGTTTATTTGCGTAGAGGTGTTTGTAGTATTCTCTGATGGTAGTTTGTATTTCTGTGGGATCGGTGGTGATATCCCCTTTATCATTTTTTATTGCGTCTATTCTTCTCTCTTTTTTTCTTTATTAGTCTTGCTAGCGGTCTATCAATTTTGTTGATCCTTTCAAAAAACCAGCTCCTGGATTCATGGATCTTTTGAAGGGTTTTTTGTGTCTCTATTTCCTTCAGTTCTGCTCTGATTTTAGTTATTTCTTGCCTTCTGCTAGCTTTTGAATGTGTTTGCTCTTGCGTTTCTAGTTCTTTTAACTGTGATGTTAGGGTGTCAATTTTGGATCTTTCCTGCTTTCTCTTGTGGGCATTTAGTCCTATAAATTTCCCTCTACACACTGCTTTGAATGCGTCCCAGAGATTCTGGTATGTTGTGTCTTTGTTCTCGTTGGTTTCAAAGAACATCTTTATTTCTGCCTTCATTTTGTTATGTACCCAGTAGTCATTCAGGAGCAGGTTGTTCAGTTTCCATGTAGTTGAGCGGTTTTGAGTGAGATTCTTAATCCTGAGTTCTAGTTTGATTGCACTGTGGTCTGAGAGATCGTTTGTTATAATCTCTGTTCTTTTACGTTTGCTGAGGAGAGCTTTACTTCCAAGTATGTGTTAAATTTTGGAATAGGTGTGGTGTGGTGCTGAAAAAAATGTATATTCTGTTGATTTGGGGTGGAGAGTTCTGTAGATGTCTATTAGGTCCACTTGGTGCAGAGCTGAGTTCAATTCCTGGGTATCCTTGTTGACTTTCTGTCTCGTGGATCTGTCTAATGTTGACAGTGGGGTGTTAAAGTCTCCCATTATTAATGTGTGGGAGTCTAAGTCTCTTTGTAGGTCACTCAGGACTTGCTTTATGAATCTTGGTGCTCCTGTATTGAGTGCATGTATATTTAGGATAGTTAGCTCTTCTTGTTGAATTGATCCCTTTACCATTATGTAATGGCCTTCTTTGTCTCTTTTGATCTTTGTTGGTTTAAAGTCTGTTTTATCAGAGACTAGGATTGCAACGTCTGCCTTTTTTTGTTTTCCATTTGCTTGGTAGATCTTCCTCCATCCTTTTATTGTGAGCCTATGTGTGTCTCTGCACATGAGATGGGTTTCCTGAATACAGCACACTGATGGGTCTTGACTCTTTATCCAATTTGCCAGTCTGTGTCTTTTAATTGGAGCATTTAATCCATTTACATTTAAAGTTAATATTGTTATGTGTGAATTTGATCCTGTCATTATGATGTTAGCTGGTTATTTTGCTCGTTAGTTGATGCAGTTTCTTCCTAGTCTTGATGGTCTTTACATTTTGGCATGATTTTGCAGCAGCTGGTACCAGTTGTTCCTTTCCATGTTTAGTGCTTCCTTCAGGAGCTCTTTTAGGGCAGGCCTGGTGGTGAGAAAATCTCTCAGCATTTGCTTGTCTATAAAGTATTTTATTTCTCCTTCACTTATGAAGCTTAGTTTGGCTGGATATGAAATTCTGGGTTGAAAATTCTTTTCTTTAAGAATGTTGAATATTGGCCCCCACTCTCTTCTGGCTTGTAGGGTTTCTGCCGACAGATCCGCTGTTAGTCTGATGGGCTTCCCTTTGAGGGTAACCCGACATTTCTCTCTGGCTACCCTTAACATTTTTTCCTTCATTTCAACTTTGGTGAATCTGACAATTATGTGTCTTGGAGTTGCTCTTCTCGAGGAGTATCTTTGTGGCGTTCTCTGTATTTCCTGAATCTGAACGTTGGCCTGCCTTGCTAGATTGGGGAAGTTCTCCTAGATAATATCCTGCAGAGTGTTTTCCAACTTGGTTCCATTCTCCCCATCACTTTCAGGCACACCAATCAGACGTAGATTTGGTCTTTTCACATAGTCCTATATTTCTTGGAGGCTTTGCTCATTTCTTTTGATTCTTTTTTCTCTAAACTTCCCTTCTTGCTTCATTTCATTCATTTCATCTTCCATCGCTGATACCCTTTCTTCCAGTTGATCGCATCGGCTCCTGAGGCTTCTGCATTCTTCACGTAGTTCTCGAGCCTTGGTTTTCAACTCCATCAGCTCCTTTAAGCACTTCTCTGTATTGGTTATTCTAGTTATACATTCTTCTAAATTTTTTTCAAAGTTTTCAACTTCTTTGCCTTTGGTTTGAATGTCCTCCCGTAGCTCAGAGTAATTTGATCGTTTGAAGCCTTCTTCTCTCAGCTCGTCAAAGTCATTCTCCATCCAGCTTTGTTCTGTTGCTGGTGAGGTACTGAGTTCCTTTGGACGAGGAGAGGCGCTCTGCTTTTTAGAGTTTCCAGTTTTTCTGTTCTGTTTTTTCCCCATCTTTGTGGTTTTATCTACTTTTGGTCTTTGATGATGATGATGTACAGATGGGTTTTTGGTGTGGATGTCCTTTCTGTTTGTTAGTTTTCCTTCTAACAGACAGGACCCTCAGCTGCAGGTCTGTTGGAATACCCTGCCGTGTGAGGTGTCAGTGTGCCCCTGCTGGGTGGTGCCTCCCAGTTAGGCTGCTCAGGGGTCAGGGACCCACTTGAGGAGGCAGTCTGCCCGTTCTCAGATCTCCAGCTGCGTGCTGGGAGAACCACTGCTCTCTTCAAAGCTGTCAGACAGGGACATTTAAGTCTGCAGAGGTTACTGCTGTCTTTTTGTTTGTCTGTGCCCTGCCCCCAGAGGTGGAGCCTACAGAGGCAGGCTGGCCTCCTTGAACTGTGGTGGGCTCCACCCAGTTTGAGCTTCCCGGCTGCTTTGTTTACCTAATCAAGCCTGGGCAATGACGGGCGCCCCTCCCCCAGCCTCGCTGCCGCCTTGCAGTTTGATCTCAGACTGCTGTGCTAGCAATCAGCCAGACTCCGTGGGCGTGGGACCCTCCAAGCCAGGTGTGGGATATAATCTCGTGGTGCGGCGTTTTTTAAGCCCGTCGGAAAAGCGCAGTATTCGGGTGGGAGTGACCCGATTTTCCAGGTGCCATCAGTCACCCCTTTCTTTGACTCGGAAAGGGAACTCCCTGACCCCTTGCGCTTCCCAAGTGAGGCAATGCCTTGCCCTGCTTCGGCTCGCGCACGGTGCGCGCACCCACTGACCTGCGCCCACTGTGTGGCGCTCCCTAGTGAGATGAACCCGGTACCTCAGATGGAAATGCAGAAATCACCGTTTTCTGCGTTGCTCATGCTGTGAGCTGTAGACCAGAGCTCTTCCTATTTGGCCATCTTGGCTCCTCCCCCCCGGTATTAGTTCTTTAAACTTTTAGTAGAATTCAGCAGTGAAGATATTGGGGTCTGGGGCTTTTTTTTTTTTTTTAACTGGGAGAGTTTTTGTTACGGCTTTGATCTCATTACTTGTCTTTGGTCTGTTCAGGTTTTGGATTTCTTCATGGTTCAATCTAGGTAAGTTGCATGTGTCTAGGAATTTACTCATTTTTTTCTAGATTTTCTAATTTATTGGCATATAATTGTTCATAGCAGCCACTAATGATCCTTTGAATTGCTGTGTTATCAGTTGTAATATCTCTATTTTTATCTTTGATTTTATTTATTTGGGTCTTCTCTCTTTTTTTTCTTAATTAGTCTGGCTAAAGATTTGTCAATTTTGTTTATCTTTTCAAAAATTCACCTTTTTTTTCACTGATCTTTTGTCTTGTTTTCTTCATTTCAAAGTAATTTATTACTGTTTTGATCATTATTATTTCTTTTCTTCTCCTAGCTTTAAGTTTGATTTGCTCTTGCTTTCCCAGTTCTTTAAGATGCATCCTTAGGTTATTTATTTGATGTTCTGATTTTCTTTTTTGATGTAGGCACATACAGCTCCCTCCTAGTACTACTCTTGCTATATCTCATATGTTTTGATATGTTGTGTTTCCATTATTATTTGTTTCAAGAAAATGTTCAATTTCCTTCTCAATTTCTTCATTGGCCCACTGATCAATTTAGGAGCATAGTTTTTAATTTTCATGTGTTTGTATAGTTTCCAAAATTCTTGATTGATTTTTAGTTTTATTCCATTGTGATCAGGGAAATACTTGATATTTCAATTTTTCGAATGTTTTAAGACTTTGTTTTTTTTACTTTGCAGATGCAGCTGCCACTGGGAGCCCTGTGCCTTAGCCATGGTCAACCCACCATGTTCTTTGACATCGCCATCAACGGTAAGCCTTTGGGCCATGTCTGCTTTGAGTTGCTTGCAGACAAGTTTCTGAAGACAGCAGAAAACTTTCATGCTCTGAGCACTGGAGAGAAAGGATTTGGTTATAATGGTTCTTGCCTTCACAGAATTATTCCAGGGTTTATGTGTCAGGGTTTATGTGTCACTTATTTCTACATACCATAATGGCCCTGGTGGCAAGTTCATCTACGGGGAGAAATTTGATGATGAAAACTTCATCCTAAAGCACACAGGTCCTGGCATCTTGTCCATGGAAAATGCTGAACCCAACACACATGGTTCCCAGTTTTTCATCTGCCCTGCCAAGACTGAGTGGTTGGATGGCAAGCATGTGGTCTTTGGCAAGGTGAAAGAAGGCATGACTATTGTAGAGGCCATGGAGCACTTTGGGTCCAGGAATGGCTAGACCAGCAAGAAGATTACCATTGCTGACTGTGGACAATTCTAATAAGTTTGACTTGTGTTTTATCTTAACCACCAGACCATTCCTTCTGTAGCTTAGGAGAGCACTCCTCCACCGCATTTGCTCACAGTATCCTATAATTTGTGTGCTCTCACTGCAGTTCCCTTTGGGTTCCATGTTCCCTTCCATGCCTAGCTGGATTGCAGAGTTAAGTTTATGGTTATGAAATAAAAACTAAATAACAACAAAAAAGACTTTTTTTTACCTAACATATAGTCTATTCTTAAGAATGATCCATGTGCTGTGGAAAAGAATGTGTATTTTGCAGCCACTGGATAAAATGTTCTGAAAATATCTGTTAGATTAATTTGGTCTGTAGTATAGAGTACGTCTGATGTTTCTTTGCTGATTTGCTGTCTGGGAGATCTGTCCAAAGCTGTAAGTGGGGTGTTGAAGTCTCCAGCCATTATTGTATTGGGGTTTATCTCTCTCTTTAGCTCTAATAATATTTGCTTTATATATCATGTGCTTTAGTAGTGGGTGCATATATATTTACAATCATTATATCCACTTGCTGAATTGACTCCTTTATTATTATAAAGTGACCTCCTTGTCTCTTACAGCTTTTGTCTTGAAATCTATTTTGTCTGAAATAAGGATAGCTACTTCTGCTCTTTTTTGGTTTCCATTGGCATGAAATATCTTTTTTTATCTCTTTTTTTCAGTCTATATGTGTCCTTATAAGTGAACTCTATTTCTTATTGGCAACAGATCATTTAATCTTATTTTTTTTAATCCATTCAGTCACTCTATGTCTTTTGATTGGAGAGTTTAGTGCATTTACATTCAATATTATTGACTACTAGGGACTTCTTTCTACTATTTTAAAATTTGTTTTCTGGTTCTTTTGTGGTCCTATCCTTCTTTATTTCCTTCTTGTCTTTCTTAGTGAACATGATTTTCTCTGGTAGTATTCTTTAATTTCTTGCTTTTTACTTTTTGTGTATCCATTGTATGTTTTTAGATTTGAGGTTACGATGAGCCTTGCAAATACTATCTTATAACTTATCATTTTAAACTGATGACAACACTGATTGCATATACAAACAAGTATGCAGAAAGAAAACTAAAAAAACTCTACACTTTGACTTCATCCCCCACTTTTTAACTTGTTGTTGTTTCTCTTTATGTCTGATTGTACTGCGTACATCTTGAAAAGTCTTTGTAGTCATTATTTTTGATTGGTTTATCATTTAGTCTTTCTAGTTAACAATGGTAATTAACACTACCAATGGCAATGGTGGTTGTTACTTTTGCTGGATTCTTTTTAATTATTTTAATCTCTTTGTTAAATGTATCTGATAGAATTAATGTAATCACTAATTCTATCATTAATTAATCATTAACAAATCATTTATTATTAATAAATCTAATTAATTCTATGAATTCTGAATTTCTTCTCTGTGTTATCTTGAATTTTCTTGAGTTTCCTCAAAATAGCTATTTATTCAGTTTTCTCAAAATAGCTATTTTGAATTATCTGTCTGAAGGATCATATATCTCTGATCCTCTGGGGTTGGTCCCTGGTGCCTTATTTAGTTCATTTGGTGAGATGTTTTCCTGAATAGTGTTAATGCTTGTAGATGTTCATCAGTGTCTGGACATTAAAGAGTTAGGTATTTACTGTAGTTTTCACAGTCTGTGCTTGTTTGTACCTGTCCTTGGAAAGACTTTCTAGGTATTCAAAAGAACATAGGCCCCAAGCCTAATACTGCTGTAGTTTTTTTAGACTCATGGAAGCACCACTCTGGTGGTTTTGAATAAGATCTGGAAGAACTATTTTGATTACCCGCAGACTCTTGTTCTTTTCCCTTGGTTTCTCCCAAATAAATGGAGGCTCTGTGTGTGTGTGTGTGTGTGTGTGTGTGTGTGCTGAGATACCTGGAGCTGGGGATGTGGTGATGCAAGCACCCCTGTGGCCAGCACCACGGGGACCATGCTGGGTCAGACCTAAAGTCAGCACAACACTGAGTCTTGCCCAAGTCCATTCCCTTCAGGGTGGCAAGTTCTTCCAGTCACCAGGCATGTCCGGAGATGCTGTCTGGGAGCCAGGAATTGAAGTCAAACACCTTAGCAGTTTACTTAATGTTATATTCTGCTGCAACTAAGCTGACACTCACACCACAATACAGAGTCCTTCCCACTCTTCCCTCCCCTTTACTCAGGCAGAGGAGCCTCTCCCTGTGGTCACCACCACCACCAGTCCATGGGGGTTCTGCCAGGCCACCGTTGATGTTCACTTAAATCCCAAGGGCTCTTTTGTAAGCTTGTGGTGAATGCTGGTAGGCCTGGAGCTTACCCTTCAGGGAAGTGGGCTCTCTTCTGGCCAAAGGTAGTTCTAGAAATTCTGTCCAGGAACTTAGGGCTGGACTTAGGGATTCCAAGAGCCTTCTTGTTGCTTTGCCCTACTGTGGTCAAACTGGTGTTAAAGATACAAGACAATGTTCCCTTTATTTTTACCTGTACTTTTCTCAAACAGGAGTCTTTCATCATAGCCACCACAGCTGGAAAAGTGCTTGGTAAACTCTGAGGTAGCATGTCTCAGATCCCAAGGCCCATGATGTGCTTTCTGGGTATTTCTGCTGGTTATTCAGCACCCAAGGGTTCTTGAGTCAGCAGGTGCTTTAGTCCATTCTCACACCATTATAGAGAACTACCTGAGGCTGGGTAATTTATGAAGAAAAGATGTTTAATTGACTCACAGTTCCACAGGCTGAACAAGAAATATGGCTGGGAGGCCTCAGGAAACTTATAATCATGGCAGAAGGCTTAGGGAAAGAAGCACGTCTTACCATGGCAGAGTAGGAGAGAGAAAGTGAGGGAGAAGTGCTACATACCTTTAAACAACCAGATCTCACAAGAACTCACTATCACAAGAACAGCAAGGAAGAAATATGCCCCCATGATCCAATCACCTCCCACTAGGTCCCTCCCCCAACATTGGGAATTACAATCCTACATGTGATTTGGGTGAGACATAGAGCCATATCATTCATCACAGGTAATGAATTCTGCCAGGAATGGTCCTTCCCTTCAAGGAAGCAGTTCCCTTTTAGCCCAGGGTGTGTCTGGGAATGTTGTTCAAGACCTAGGGCCTCATGACTCTGTTTGCTGCCCCATCCTACCATGTCTGAGCTGGTTCCTAAGATGCAAGACTTTGTTACTTTTCACTTTCCTCTCCTTAAGCAGAAGGAAGGTGTCACATTTGTTGCTGCAAGCTGCATTGATTGGGGTTCAGGGAGAGATTGTGCAAACACTGCCTTAGCCACACCAGCTGGTGTCTCCCTAGGTCATGTGCTAGTCCACTGGTTCTAAGCACAGCCTAGTACTAGAAGTTGCCTAGAAATTGCACTCCTGGTATCCTGGACTGCCCTTCAAGTTTACCTAGGACCCCAGAACACTTCAGTCTGTGGTGGCGAGGCTTGCTGAGAAACTCAAGTTCTAACTGCTGGGATGGGCAATTTTCCTCTGGCTAGGGCTGGTCCAAATGCTCCCTCCATGTGAAGGTGCTGGCTGAGCCCAGTACAGCTTTATTCTCTACTGTGACAGGGAACCACTGAGTTCAATGTAAAGTTCCTCAGTCACTGCACTCTCCCTCCACAAATTGCAAAGTTCCTCTCTCTTAGCTACACAGCTGCTGCTGGGGATGAAGGAGGGGGGGTATCAGTGATTCAAGACTGTCTCTCCTACCCTCTTCAATGTCCCTTTTTGTGATATGAAATTAAAACCAGATATTATGATTGCTCACCTGATTTTTGGTTCTTGTGATGGCAATTTTCTGTGTGCAGATAGTTGTTAAACTTTGATGTTCCAGCAGAGAACTAACTATGTAGGGTCCTGTTCCGCCAGTTTGCTTTGCCCCGTTACAGGTGTCTTTTTGATAAAATGGTTTATTTTCCTTTGGACAGATACCCAGTAGTGAGATTGCTAGTTTGAATATTACTGCCATTTTTAGTGCAGAAATGTATTTTTTAAAAGTCACAGATAGTTTCAACAAAACTGATGACTAGATTTTAAGGAAAAGCATCTGTAGTACCTTGAATTCTGACCCTGCTGCAATAGTGCTGGGGAGTCCGTCTTCACTAACATGGGGGCTCCAATCATCTCCCATCCAGTATTATCATAAATAGCTCTGTAGTGAGAAGGGAGACTACATCTCTTAATCAAAATCAAAGTGCTTTCTCTGTGGATTAAACTAACCAAAGGGCTACACTATTTATTCTCAAGAAAGTAGAACTTAATTTATTTGTGTTAAAGCAAAGCATTGAAAAACTTTTCATGTGTTGGCCATTTATTTCCTTTGTGTATTATGTGTTGGCCATTTGTATATCTTCGCTAGTAAAGTGTCTAGTTAAGTCTGTACCCATTTTATTAAAGGGTTGTTCGTATTTTAAAACCGATTTATAGGAGTTCCTTACATATTCTAAATTAACATTAATATATTCATGTTATTAATACTAGCATTAACAAAATAGTATTTAATATAAACCAAGTTAATATTCTAAATTATAATTTGGCAAACTATGGCCTCCAAGCTAATGTGACCGGCAATCTTTTTTTTAAATAAAATTTTATTAAAACACAGTCATGCTCATCAATCTTTACATTGTCTGTGGTTGATTGGTCTTATAACTGAAATGTTGAGTAGTTACAACAGAGATTGTGTGGTCCATAAATCTTGAAATACATACAGTCTGAATCTATAGAAATAGTGTTCTGATCCTTGTCCTAGTTTAGCATCTTAACAAAATAGTATCTTACAATCTATAAACACACTATATCTTTTCATTTAGTAAATTTTTCTTTTAGAGGTTTTTGATAGTTTTCAGTGTAGAGGTATTGACTACCTTTTATTAAATGTATTACTATTTTGTGTTTTCTTGATACTATTTTAAATGGCAGTGCTTTTAGAATTTCATTTTTCTATTGTTTGTTACTAATGTCTAGAAATACAATTGCTTTTTTGTATGTTGACCTTGCATTCTAAGACCTTACTAAATTTATTTTTATTTATTTATTTTTGAAATGCAGTCTCCCTCTGTCGCCCAGGCTGGAGTGCAGTGGCACAATCGCGGCTCACTGCAAGCTCCACCTCCCAGGTTCACACCATTCTCCTACCTCAGCCTCCTGAGTAGCTGGGACTACAGGCGCCCGCCACCACGCCCGGCTAATTTTTTTTCTACTTTTAGTAGAGACGGGGTTTCACTGTGTTAGCCAGGATGGTCTCGATCTTCTGACCTCATGATCCACCTGCCTCGGCCTCCCAAAGTGCTGGGAATTACAGGCGTAAGCCACCGCGCCCAGCTAGACCTTACTAAATTTATTTACTTGTTTTACTAGTTGTTTGTAGATTCCATTGCATTTTCCATATGAAAAATGGTGTTTATTAATAGAGACAGCTTTACTTGTTCCTTTTTTAATCTTTAGGCTTCTTGTGATTTGCTCTTTGCCTTCTTTCACTAACTAGGACCTCCAATACAGTTGCTTAGAAGTTATGAATGTAAACATACTTGTCTTGTTTCTGATTTTCAAGTGAAAAACTTTTCATGCTTTCCCAGTAAGTATAATGTAAGGGTATTGTTTCTTTGATGAGAATTTGTTCTTTTAAAGTAAGGATTGTGTGACTTTGTTCTTTAATGTAGTAAATTATATTGAATTATTTTCAAATCTTAAACCAACCTCACATTCTTCAGGTAAATACTACTTGGTCATGTTGTAATAAAACACACTGGATTTGATTTGATAGAAGGATTACGCTGACCTCATAAAATAAATTGTGAGGTGTTCCTTTTGTATTCTTCTAACGAATTTGTGTAAGATCCATATTATTTCTTCTTCATAAATGTTTGATAGAATTTACCAGTGAAGCTATGTGGGCATGAAGTTTTCTTTGTGGGAAAGCTTTAATTATGACTTCCATTATTTTTAATTTAATTTTATTTATTTTTATTTTTTTGAGATGGAGTCTCACTCTGTCACCCAGACTGGAGTGCAGTGGCACAATCTCAACTCACTGCAACCTCTGCCTCCTGGGTTCAAGGGATTCTCCTGCCTCAGCCTCCTGAGTAGTTGGGACTACAGGCACACACCACTACGCCTGGCTAGTTTTTGTATTTTTAATAGAGACAGGGTTTCACCATGTTGGCCAGGGTGGTCTCACTCTTCCAACCTTGTGATCCACCCGCCTCAGCCTCCCAAAGTGCTGGGATTACAGGTGTGAGCCACTGGGCCTGGCCGACTTCCATTATTTACTAAATATAAGGTTAATCATATATTCTGTTTCTCCACATATCAATTTTTATAAGTTGTAATTGACAAGAAATTTATCTATTTCATCTAAGTTGTTGAATTTATTGGCCTTATGTTGTTAAAAAGATTTTCTTGTTATCATTTTTTTCTGTGTTATCTGTGATATTATTCCCTATTTTATTCTTATACCAGTAATCTGTAATTTTTCTTGATCTTTTATTCTTCATCAGTCTTATTATGGTGTTGCCATTTTTATCAACCTTTTCAAAGAGAACCCAACTTTTAACATGTTAGTTTTTCCTATTCTTTGTCCATTTTCCATTTCGTTTATTACTGTTCTTCTCTCATTATGTCCTCCTTTTTACTTACTTTGGTCATAATTTCCTTTCTTTGTCTAATTTCTGAAGTGGGAAATCTATGTCATTTGATTTTAAAATTTTATTCTTTTTATCTATGAGTGTATGAAAATAATAACTCATGATAAAATGGTGGAGATCTCAGAGTATATATTGGGTAAATATAATCATAATCTTGGAATAATGAAAAGGACTTTATGAAACATGAATAATCAAGAATGGCATGGGGGATCCAAGGATGCTAAACTCTCTCTGAGGGAAGCCAATTCTGCACAAGTGTAGTCTTCCAAGTTGCCTTTTCAGCTTCTCTTTCCCTGAAGTAGACAAAGGGCCTTATAACACTAATTCCTTATTATTTCAGAAATAAAGTGAGACTTTATTAAGGACTATTCTTATCAGGGCTGGAGCTAGTCAAAATGAACGTTTAACTAAAGTTTGTTAGTAGTTCCTGTGAGTCTCATGTTGGGGCTCTTTATTTTTATCTCACTCAAGACTTAGAACAACATAGTGAGCACACCTGGCACCCAGACCTTGGCTTCTAATAACATTCTCAATTAAAGGAGTCAGGGATTCTTGGAGAAATAGGTGACTGGATTGGGACAAGAATTATACAGGCTAAGTCATCTTGTAGCGTAAGAAAGTAAGGAAGTGCTTTAGAAAAACTCACTTTGATGGGGGATGTATCAAAGAGCACAGGATCCAAGAGTTTTCACTCACCAAATTGAAACAATTTGAGCAACAACATAAATAATGTAGAATTGGGTTTGAACCCCACATATAATATAAATATCCACAAATCTTTAGTAATATAAATAAATAAGATTAATAAATAAATGGGAAGAGAAGAGACAAATCTCTCAGACAAAAAAAGAATTTCAATTAATTTATGTCTCACCCTCAAGGAGGTAGCTCAAAACTCTTCACTCTTTAAGTGTGAGCTATGCATTGTGACTTTCTTCCTAAGAGTACAGTATTGATAGAGGGGAAAGGTTGCCTTTATAGTGTAGAGCCCTGGCAAGCACTTCCTCAGCTAGGTGATTAAGGTCAACATGAACTTTGAAAATCATACTGATATCTACTACCCTTGGTGTGATGGAATGAAAATGGTACTTTACCTCTGTGATCTTCCTTCAGAAACTCATAACCGTAGTCTAACCGTGAGAAAAATATCAAACAAATCCCAATGGAGGAACATTCTACAAAATAGCTGACGAGTGTTCTCAAAATTGTCAAGGTAATCAAAAACAGGGGAAGTGTAAGGATTTACCACAGCAAGAAGAGCCTAAGGACATAGGACAAATATGCTAGACTGGATGGGATCCTGGAACAGTAAAAGGATGTGAGGTAAAAACTAAGAAAATCTGAATACAGAATGGACATCAGTAAATAACAATGATTCAATACAGGCTCATTAATTGTAACAAACGTATCATACTAATCTAAGATACAAATAATAGCAAAAACTGGGTACTGAGAATATGTAAATTCTGTGCTATCATCACAATTTTTCAGAGAGTCTAAAACAGTTAAAAAATATTTATTAAAAAAACATAAGGAGAGAACTTTTCCAATATTTCATATGAGAAAACAAAGCTTCAGTGAGCTTAGGTAACTTGCTGAAAGTCAGATAATTATACAATAAGTGGCAAATTGGGAGTTTGAGCTATATCTTTGGACTAAATGGCTTGTTTCAACACCTCACATTATGTCTTTTATGTGCCACCATCCATTTTAGTGCCATCTACCCACTGTCAGAATTTCTCTTCCTTCTCACTCATCAGGTTTTCACTGTTTGCATGCACCCCACTTGCTTCTAGGCAAGAATATAACCGCAAGCAGTTGATTTGGGAAGTGATTCCAGGAAGCACAAATGAGAAAGAGAGACAAGGAAAGAAAAAAATGCCAATAAATTGTGTGTAATGAACTGATTTTGCTTTAGGCAACTGGAGCTTAATCCTATTTGGGATGTTCTGAGACACCATATGGAGCATGGCTCACAGTTATCTCTCTGGGGACAGAGAGGCTTCCACTTACCCTCCGACTCCCATCTTCCAATGGCTGAAGTTTGCTCTGGAGGGATTAACACTCTTATATCTACCTAGTTCTGGAGAAATCGTCATTCACAAAAGAAGAAAGATTCAGGCGCTTAAAATAGGTTGCTATCAGCTTACCAGAAACTGAAGTAGCTAGAGAATAATTCAGACGGAATGAATATGGGGTGGGGTCTGCAACATCATACAGAGGAATTTGGGATGTGTGAGTTTTTACAGACATAGCTACATTTTAAATGTATGCAAAGGATAATTTGTAATGCAAAGGTATGAATAACCAATTTTAAGTTCAAGACTATGTAGAGCAAGTATTGGTAAACTGTGGATGGTGAACAAAATCATGCCTACTGTCTGTTTGTGTAAAGTTTTATTGTTATACAAATAAAGTTTCACTGTAACAAATTTACTGTAGCATTTTTATGGCAGCAGAGGTGGCCTGTTTAGAGTGGCCACTGCAAAGATGCCAACTGCAGTGGGGAAGGCAAGGCCAGGGCTGTGCATTCCATGAAGTCTGACGGAGAAGGAACAGGAAAAAGTCCCACCCCCTTCTACGTTGGTGGGGCTAGAACCCCAGCCTCAATGTCACAGCTATAGCCACTCAGCCATGGTTGCAGACCCAAGCATCCCTGCACTCTTGGGGGCCCTGGAAGCCTCTTGCCCCTGCAGGTTCAGAAGTGCCTGCTCCCACTGCCTGGCCTCTCCCTGCTCCCAGCACCCACTTAGATTTCAGAGCAAAGTTGAAGTCGAGCCTGGGTGCTGTCATAACCTGGCCAGATGTGCACATACTCAGGGTGCTGCTGGCACACCAGCCCCTGCTGCCTTGGCCCCCTCCAGACTTTGGGTGCTGGTGAGCATAGAAGAGAGACCAAGTCAGGACCTGAGGGTGGCTCAACACAGGGCTTCAGGTGCCCCTTGGCACAAACAGCCTGAGCACCATGGACAGCAGGTTGATGGTGGCAAAAGGCAGACAGGCTCCTAGGCAGAAGGAGGTGGGTCCCTGGTGAAGCCCCACCTTCAAGCCAGGGATGGCTTGAAGCCTAGGGGCTGGGCTGGGGCTGTCAGTTCTGCGGAGCAAACTGGAGTGAGAACTTGTGCTTTTTCCAGGCCTGCCCATCACTGCCCATGGATCAATCAGCATGCACTTCCTCCCCTCTGAAGCTCATAAAAACCCCAGACTCAGCCAGACTTGGGCAGAGGATGGGATGATCTGCAGGTAAATAAGAGTTACCAACTTTGGGTCTCCTAGGAGCTGTACTGTCACTAAATAAACTCCTTGCCTTGCTCACCCTCTAGTTTTCTGCATATGTCATTCTTCTTGGATGCAGGACAAGAACTCTGGACTTGCCAAATGGTGGGACTAAAAGAGCTATAACACACAGAGGACTGAAACACGCATCCCCCCCCACAACTCACCACATTGCAGGTGACAAGAAGGAGAGAAAATACAAGGAGAGAAGAGCTGTAGCCCTTTGGGAAGCCCAGACCTAGGAGCTCCTTGAGCCAAGGCTATGACACTCTCTTTGGGGCTCTGCAGTTACTAGCATCTCCAAGCTTCCAGGCAGCAGTTACTAGCATCTCCAAGCTTCCAGGCACCACCACATTCCCTGGTGCCCACAGTGGAAGCCACTTGCAATACACCTTGTCCAGCACAGCCTTGCAAGGAAGCAGCACCTGACCTGGCTTCTGGAGCTGCCTGCCCTGTGACAGCCACCGTGCCTGGCTGTACACAGTGTCTGGACCCCACACTCACTCACTCATGTACTGCTTTGTGCCTGGCTTGCCCTTGACAGGCATGGGATCCAGGCCAGAAGCGTGAGCTGAGCACAGCCTGCCAGGCCGAGTGGGCAGAATGAGCCCAGTAGGCCCAAGCAAAACTCAGACAAAGACATCACTGGCCACAAAGGTTTCCAGCTGAAAAAGTGACACCACAAAGATCCTGTGGCATTTTGGGGGGCTCATCCAGGATCTGTGGAAGGGTGAGTAAAAGTGGATTTGCTGCTTTCTGTCCTTTTTTAAGAGTCCCTAAACTCCACAATAGCCAAAATGAAAGCAAACTACCACACCTCTGCCAGCCAGTTAAAAGCAACTCATGTGGCTGCTGGACTTAAGATACAGAGGACAGGTTTGCTGAAGAGGACACTGTCAATCCCCCATCACCTTAGGCGTTGGGAATGTTGGCTTTGTTCTAATCCAGTTTCCCTTCAGAAAGGTCTAGTTGTCAAGTGGGATCAGAAAAAGGTCCTGGGGCAACTGAGAGTATATGGTTAAGGTTACAACTTGGTGTTATCCAAAGGCCCCTGGACTAACTCCAGTTCCCAACTGCCAGTTAGAGTGTCAGCACTAGGACCTCCAGTCTTTCCTTTTCTTTCTTTTCTTTCTTTCTGTCTTTCTTTCTTTCTTTCTTTCTCTCTCTTTCTTTCTTTTTCTTTATTTTCTTTCTCTTTCTTTCTCTCTCTCTCCCTCCCTCTCTCTCTTTCTCCACCCCCCCACCTCCCTCCCTCCCTTCCTTCCTTCCTTCCTTCCTTGGCTCCTAGATCTTCTTTATATACAATGTTAAGGGTGTTGTTGCAAACCACAGAGATAATATTACTGGGTAGAATGAGTATTTGGCTTGGTCATCAGGAATGTAAATTAGAACAATTTGGTGTCTGTCTCTTCTTAGAATCAAGGAGGATATAACAATTGAGACTTCTCTTTCCCATGTTGAAGAAACCCATTTGCATAGGGCAAGAGGCTTTTCCTCCAAGCACCTTCCCCTCCCTTGTGCTTAAGTTGTTTCTTTTCTCTTTCCTTCACCATGTTGAGTCAATAAAGTCCTGCAAATACAGGGAGATTTTCTAATGATTTTTTCCTCTTGGGAGGCATCTTGTTAGGCCAGGTCCCCAATTCCTCGGACTCCCTTTCTCTCCCTTGTTTGAGGAGGACCTGGTCCTACAGCTTCACCTTCTTATGATAGGGAAGCAATGGAGGAGCAGCCCCACTGGTTGCTGGCTGCAATTTTTCAAGGGCCATCTGGGCCTAATTTAATGGGTCCCTACACTCTCCCAAGGCACCCTTTTGTCCTAAGCTTTGGTTTGATGCCCTAGAAAGGAAAATTAGATCTGAGAGATACAGAGGCAGATGACAGGGGAAGTCTAGGGGCACAGCACAGGTGAGCATGACTAATTCCTTCCAATTAGGCCCTCCTGCTTCATAGATGGAGGTTATGCTCACATCCATGGCATAGATAAGGTCTAGGAAACTCAAAGGTTACTTACAGTTGGAGGCTTAGGCATCGAGTAGGTGAGTGCTAACATTCCTGCTGGCTATGCCTTTCTGCTTCATGGGTGAAGGTTGCACTTTCACCTGTGGTCAGCACCTGCAAAGGTCACCAGGACTCGTGGATATAAGGTCAGGAGAAAGAAGGGGATGCCTTTTTTTGTCTTCATCATGTACCCCTGGTATTTGCTGGAAAGAAAAATGAACAAAGGAATGACTTTTCCCTCTTTCCATATGGGTAACCAACAATCTTCAGCCAGCACTCCTCTCTAATGCATCCTGAATCATTGGGACCCCTTTGACCCTCCAACTCTGGAGAGAGAAAAAGCACCTTTTTCTGCCTCTGTCTTCTTTTCCAAATGGGCAACCAATCATCTTCAGCCTGCACTGCTTTTGAGTGAATCCTGAATCACTGGGACTGCTTTGACCTTCAGACTCTGGAGAGAGGGAAAAATGCATTTTTCCTCTTCTGTCCTCTCCTCTAGATGGGTAACAAATCGTCTTCAGCCTACGCTCTTCTAGAGTGTATTCTGAATCACTGTGGCTCCTTTGACTCTCAGTCTCTGGAGAAAAAGTATCTCATATTCTTTTGCCCAAAGGTGTGGCTGAATTATTTTCTGTAGGAAGGAGAAACATGGCCTCAGGAAGGAAGCATTAATTTCAATACCATCCTGCAGCTGGACCTTTTCTGTAAACATGAGGGCAAATGGTCCAAGGTCCCATATGTGCAGGCTGTCTTTCCCTTGCAGGAGTATAAATTGCCAAGATTGTCAGATTGATTCAGTCCTCCTAGCAGCCATCTCAGGAGAGGTTGCAAGGTGCAATCCCGGGGAACTTGGGAAGCAAACCCCAGAAGTACCTCCAGTGGGGGAATCAACTCTCCCTCCACTCCTACTTATGTAGGTTCTCTCTCAAGCTTGCCCCATCCTAGAAATCCTCATTTTAGGCAGGTCCCAGTCTCATTCCTGCCCCTACAACAGAGGCCTGGTGAATATGGCCCCATTAAGGTCTGGGTCCCCTTTTCTCCACAGGACTTAAAGCAAATTAAGGGGGATCTTGGAAAGTTTTCAGATGACCCTGATAAGTATATAGATGCTTTCCAGAAATTAATCCAAGTATTTGAACTCTCCTGGAAGAACGTTATGTTACTTTTGAATCGGATCCTCAGTACTGCTGTAAAGCAGGCTGCTGTACAGTGGCAGAGAATTTTGGAGATGAACTTTGGATCTTATTTAGTGCCAGGGAAGGGGATGAGCTTTATCCAATTGGAAGAATAGCAGTACCATTGGAGGACCCTAAATGGGACCCCAATGATGAAATGGGAGAATGGAAGAGGAAGCACTTTCAGATGTGTGTACTGGAGGGCTTATGGAGAACTAGGACTAAGCCAATCAATTACTCCAAACTATCCATGATAGACCATGGATTAGAAGAGAATCCCACTGCCTTCTTAGAAAGGCTAAGAGAGGCCTTGGTAAAGCACACCTCTCTATCTCCTGATTCAGTCGAAGGAAAACTAATTCTAAAGGATAAATTTATTACTCTTGCAGCCCCTGATATCAGGAGGAAGCTGCAGAGACAGGCCATTTGACCAGATAGTGCTTTAGAGAACCTCCTGAAAGTGGTCACCTTGGTATTTTACAATACAGATTAGAAGGAGGCCCAAGACAGGAAAAGGAGACACAAGAAAAAGGCAGAGGCTCTAATAGCCACTTCACATGCTCACAAACCCCAGAGTCACTGGATACACTTGATAACCGCTACAAATGTGGCAAGCCAGGGCAGTTTAGGAAGGACTGTCTGGACAGCAGGAGGAAACCACCTTGATGCTGTCCAATATGCAGTGGGGATCACTGGAGGGCAGACTGTCTCTGGAGACATAGGACTCCTGGCCCAGCCCAAATGATCCAGCAGGATTAATGGGTCCCGACGCTCCTCTCCCCAGCTCCAGTGGTTTAGAAGTTGAAGAGAGGAAGGTGGACCTCCTCCTGGAAATTGGAGTGAGCCTTTCATTTCTCCTCTCCAATTCAGCCCCCTGCCTCCTCTCTTAGCACGACTCTGGGGGACATCTCAGGAAAACCTTTAACCCAATATTGTTTCTAACCCCTCAGGTGTAGTTGAGAAGACCTCTTCCTTACTGTTCTCGCCTTTGTTCTGTTCCTCATTATAAAGCATCTTTGTCAAGGACTCCTTAATCCTGAACTCCCAAGGAATTATCTACACCCCTAAACAATTATTTCTCTATTAAAGTTTAACTGCCCCCATACCAGATTCACTTTTTTCCACCGGGGTGTAACAGCTCTAGCCACAACATTGTTATCAGAATAGTCTATTTTTTTCCTTTTAGCTCCTTTTTGTATAACACTCCTATTTGGTAGATGTATACTTAGCCTCCTTCTAAAATTTGTTTATTCTCAAGAGGCTATCAAACTCCAAGCATCATTCAATTAGAGGCTCAGACAATGGCTCCGTTTTTTACTAAGGACCCTTAGATAGACCTCTGAGAGAGATCTGACTCCCGTATTCACCAAAACAATGGCCCCTCTCAGCATGAAGCAGTTAAGAGCAGTTATTGTCCCTATCCTAACAGCAGTTAGTTGTACCTCTTCAGGGGGGGGGATTGATGGCAGCGGCAGCCCATCTGGAGTGGCCACTACAAAGATGCCAGCTGCAGTGGGGGAGACTTGGCCAAGGCTATGCACTCTATGGAGCCAGCAGGAGCTGGAAACAGACAGAAGTCCCTCCTCCTTCCAAGTTGGTGGGGCAGGAGCCCCACCATCCTGGGTGCAGCTGCAACTGTCTAGTGACAGCTGTGGATTCAGGCATCCCTGCACTGTCGGTAACCTGGGAAGCCCCCCTGACCCTGCAGGGTTGGAAGTGCCTGCTCCTGTTGCCTGGCCTCTCCCCACGCCCAGTGCCTGCTCTGATTTTGGAGCAAAGTTGAGGCTGAGCGTGAGCACTCTCATGACCTGGCATGCACTCAGGGTGGTGCTGACACACCAGCCCTCTGCTGCCTTGGCCCCCTCCAGACTTTGGGCACTAACAATAATGGAAGAGAGGCCAAGTCGGGGGCTGAGAGTGACTTGGCACAGGCCTGCAGGTGACCCTACAC
Organism: Homo sapiens; assembly: GCF_000001405.40. Classification (NCBI taxonomy): domain Eukaryota; kingdom Metazoa; phylum Chordata; class Mammalia; order Primates; family Hominidae; genus Homo; species Homo sapiens. Next base: position 4,987,710 of record NC_000018.10, on the reverse strand, counting down.
ATGAACAACCTGAGCACCGTGGATGGCAGGTTGATGGTGGCAAGAGGCAGACAGACTCTTTGGTGGAAAGGGATGGGTCCCCAGTGAAGCCCCCACCTTCAAGCCAGGGACAGCCTGATGTCTAGGGGCCAGGGTGCCTGTTCTGCAGACCAGAGTGAGAACTTATGGTGCTTTTTCCAGGCCCACCCATGGTCACCCATGGACGAATCAGCATGCACTTTCTCCCCTCTGAATCCCATAAAAACCCCGGACTCAGCCAGACTTTGGCAGATGATGGGGTGACCTGACTGCTGATAGGAGCTACCCAGTTTGGATTTCCTCTTTGCTGAGGGCTGAAGAGACAATGAGACATCCTCTCTGTGGAAAGGAGCTACCCACTCCAGGTTTCCTGAGAGCTGTATTGTCGCTCCATAAAACCCCTCTTCACCTTGCTAACCCTCCAGTTGTCCGCTTATCTCATTCTTCCTGCACACAAGATAAGAACTTGGGACTTGCTGAATGGTGGGACTAAAAGAGCTGTAACACAGATAGGGCTGAACCCCCAACCCCCAACTCACCATGTTGTGGGTGACAAGAAGGAGAAAAGAGAGAAAAGGAGTGAAAAGCTGCAGCCCTTCAGGGAACCCAGACCTAGGAGCTCCCCAAGCCAGGGCTGTGACACCCTTTTTGGGGCTCTGCGGTTCCTGGCATCTCCAAGCTTCCAGGCACCACTGCATTCCCCAGTGCCTGCAGTGGAAGCTGCTAGCAGTATGCCTGGCCCAGCCATAGCCTCACAGGAAACTGGTGCCCATGCCGACAGCTAGAGCTTCCCCCCCTACCACAGCCAGTGTGCCTGGCTGTACACGGGCCAGACCTTGCACTCGTTCACTCATGCACCCCTCACCACTCTGTGCCTGGCTCGTCCTTGGCAGGCATGGGATCTGGGCCAGTAGTGCAAGCCGAGCACAACCTGCCAGGTCAAGTGGGTGGAACAAGCCTAGCAGCCCCAAGCAAAGCTTGGGCAAAAGTGCAACTAGCCACAGAGGTTTCTGGCTGGCAAATTGACACCCCAAGGATCCACGACAATTTGTTTTCATATTGTCAATGACCATTTTGGCACTACACTGGCAAAGGTGAATAGTTGTGACAGAGCCTATATGGTCCACAAATATTTTACCATCTGGGCCTTAAGGGATAAAGTTTGCTGACCTCTGATGTAGAGCCTACATAGGAAAACTTTTATACGGGGAAGTGCTCTCTGCTGCACCAAATTCTCTACTGCAGGTGATGACTACTTGTACTTTTGTGAGATAATTGCTGGTCTGTGGGATTATTTAAGCTCTTTGAGAACTGGTACTGTCTATTATATAGACAGTGGAAAGTTCTCTACACTGAGTTTGAGCAGCTTCTTGGAAATAATCATAGATTAAAGGTCTCTTGAGGCCCTTTCATGTTTAAGCCTGGCTTTGGAAAAATGTAAAGTTCTGGCCAAGAAATGACAGCACAATTTTGGAAGATTACTTATGAATCTATATATATTTCTTCATAATAGGCAGATGATACACTCTATAGAAGGGAATATGTATTCTTTATCCAGTTGGGAGCATCCTGTGAGAGTTAAATAATTTGTTTTGATTATAAGGAGATTTCAAAAAACTCATTATAGATAATAGATCACAATTATGGGCAATTTCTACCTGTATCATCACAAAGAGAAAATTTCTAATACTTTACTACCAGTTCTCATTATCTTCAATTTACTGTAGAGGCCAAAGAGCTTTGCAAATACGTAAGAACGTTCTTTAGCAGGATGATACATTTATAGCAATGCTGAGTTATTGAGGCACTCCTACGCCATCAGCTAAATTCAGCCCAGTCCAATTGATGCACAGTAGATATATTAAACTCACATTTTTCAAATTGGGAAACATTTTGCTACCTAAATTGTCAAAGCAAAAACAGAAAGTTCATTCAGCAGCTGCATATGGCAAGAAAAACTAATGGCGACTCTTCAGTGAAAAATTTCTGACTGTTTAGAAGGACAGTAAAAAAATGCAGTCAGAGGTCAAAGATGATTAAAGGGAAAAAGTAATTCACCAATGCTGCATGCTCATGTAAAACAGTTTCATAAAATTTAAAAGTTTAAAAGTTTTGATTGAGCCATGAACATATACAGAGAATGAAATCCCAAAGTTAAGTGTCAGACCAAGATGGAAACATTCAGAAGAGTATTCTAGAATGTGTTCCATGACTGTTTGGCATTTCACCTGTAGTAAGGCCATAAAAAGGTAGGCTTCTTAGATGTAGGCAGAGAATTTAGTGAGGAAGACAAGAGAAAGGTATTGATTCATGGGGACAGAAAGAAGAGTGGTGGTTAGCAGGTGTAGGGACGGGGTAATGAAAGTTATTGTTTAATATGTACACAATTTCTGTTTCGGATGAAGAAAAAGTTCCAGAAATGGATAGTAGTGATGGTTGCATAGCATTGTCAATGTGATTAATGCCACTGAATTTTACACTTAAAATGGTTAAAATAGCAAATTTTATGTTATATATATTTTGCCAACATTTTTATAGAGAAATCTATTGTTGTACTGTGAGTTTCCTCTCTCCAAAGGGAAGAAGTGGGGGTGTATTTTCTTCACTTCAAGCACAATGAGAGGCTATTCAAAGGAACCATTTGGAAGCTTGATATTTATTCACACTGCTACTCTGTCCCCACATAGTGGGGCATTTGAGGACATGGTCCCTAACTTATGCCTAAGAAAAGAAAAGTCTTTAGAAATAAGACGGGAGCTTGTAGGAGAATAAATACTGTCAACTACAGTGGGGATATGCATGCATGAATCCTACTTGTAATACAGAGCAAATGCAACTCTTGTACACTAGTGGTGGAAGTGTATATTCGCAGCCATGTTAGAAAATCACTTGGCTTATGCACACACAATCACACAGGAATTCCACTCTTAGGTATACATCTAACAATACTAAGTTTGTATAGACACCAAAGGACATATAGAAGAATGTTCCGTAGCAGCTCTGTTCACATCAGCTCCTAAGTGGAGTCAAAAACAAAAAAGCCAATTTATAGTAGAATAAGTAAATGAATTTTGGTATATTTACACAGTGACATGTAACAGTGAGATCAATTAACTATTGCCATATGCAACACCACAAATGAATTCCTCCCCCTAAATATGTTGGTGTACAGAAATGCTAGTGATGTTTGCACATTGGTTTTGTATCTGGAGACTTTGCTGAAGTTGCATATTAGCTTAAGAAGCTGTTGGGCTGAGACGATGGAGTTTTCTAGATATAGAATCATGACATCTGCAAACAAAGAGAGTTTGACTTCCTATTTGAATATGCTTTATTTCTTTATCTTGCCTGATTTCCCTGGACTGAAGTTCCAATACTATGTTGAATAGGAGTGGTGAGAGAAGGCATCCTTGTCTTGTGCCAGTTTTCAAGGGGAATGCTTCCAGCTTTTGCGCTTTCAGTATGATACTGACTGTGGGTTTGTCATATATGACTCTTAATATTTTGAGGTATGTTCTTTCAATACCTAGTTTATTGCAAGTTTTTAATATAAAGGGATGTTAAATTTTATCAAAGACCTTTCCTGTGTCTATTGAAATAATCATGTGGTTTTTGTCTTTAGTTCTGTTTATGTGATGAAATCACATTTATTGATTTGTGTATGTTGAACCAACCTTATATCCTGGTGATGAAGCCAACCTGATCTGGTGGATAAGCTTTTTGATGTGCTACTGGATTCAGTTTGCCAGAATTTTATTGAGAATTTTTACATCAGTGTTAATCAGGGATATTGGCCTGGAGGTTTTGTTGTTGTTGTTGTATCTCTGCCAGGTTTTTGTATTAGGATGATTTTGGCCTCATAAAATGAGTTAGGGAAGAGTCCCTCCTTTTCAATTGCTTGAAATAGTTTCAGTAGAAATGGTATTAGCTCTCCTTTGTACCTCTGGTAGAAATTCAGCTGTAAATATGTCTGCTTCTTGGCTTTCTTTTGGTTGATAGGCTGTTTATACTGTCTCAATTTCAGAACTTGTTATTGGTCTATTCAGGGATTCCATTTCTTCCTGTTTTGTCTTGAGAGAGTGTATGCATCCAGGACTTTATCCATTTATTCTAGATTATCTTGTTTATGTGCATACAGGTGTTTATAGTATTCTCTGATGGTTGTTTGTATTTCTGTGGGGTCATTGATGATACTCATTTATCATTTCTAATTGTGTTTATTTGATTCTTCTTTTTCTTCTTTATTAGTCTAGCTAGCAGTCTATCTATTTTATTTTTTTTCAAAAAACAGCTCCTGGATTCATTGATTTTTTATGGCATTTCATGTCTCTATCTCCTTCAGTTCTGCTCAGATCTTGGTTATATCTTGTCTTCTGCTAGCTTTGGGGTTTGTTTGCTGTTGGTTCTCTAGTTCTTTTAGTTGTGATGTTAGGTTGTTGATTTGAGATCTTTCTAGCTTTTTGATATGGGCATTTAGTGCTATAAATTTCCCTCTTAACACTGCTTTAGCTGTGTCCTAGAAGTTCGGGTGTGTTGTCTCTTTGTTCTCATCAGTTTCAAAGAACTTCTTGATTTCTGCCTGAATTTCATTATTTACTCAGGAGTCATTCAGGAGCAGGCTGTTCAATTTCTGTGTAGCTGTGTGGTTTTGACTGAGTTTCTTGAGTTCTAATTTGGTTGTGCTGTGGTCTGAGAGGCTTGTTTTTTAATGATTTCAGTTCTTTTGCATTTGCTGAGGAGTGTTTTACTTCTGATTATGTGATCAATTTTAGAGTAAGTGCCATGTGATGATGAGAAGAATGTATATTCTATTGTTTTTGAGCAGAGAGTTCTATAGATGTCTATCAGGTCCAATTGATCCAGAGCTGCATTCGGGTCCTGAATATCTTTGTTACTTTCGCTTCAGTGATCTGAATAATATTGCCAGTGGGCTGTTAAAGCCTTGCACTATTATTGTTGGGAATCTAAGTCTCTTTGCAGGTCCCTAAGAACTTGCTTTATGAATCTGTGTGCTCCTGTATTGGGTGCCTATATATTTAGGATAGTTAGCTCTTCTTGTTGAATTGAACCCTTTACCATTATGTAATGCCCTTCTGTGTCTTATTTGATCTTTGTTGATTTAAAGTCTATTTTGTCAGAAACTAGGGCTGAGACCCCTGGTTTTTCTGTTTTTTTATTTGCTTGGTAAATTTTCCTCCATCCCTTTATTCTAAGCCTATGTGTCTTTGCACATAAGATGGGTTTTTTGAAGACCGCGTACTGATAGGTCTTGAATCCAGCATGCCACTCTTTGTCTTTTATTTATTTATTTATTTATCCATAGGTTATTGGGGTTCAGGTGGTGTTTAGTTACATGAGTAGGTTCTTTGTGGTGATTTGTGAGATTCTGGTGCACCCATCACCTGAGCAGTATACCCTACACCCTATTTGTAGTCTTTTATCCCTTGCCCCCTCCCACTCTTCCCCAAAGTCCATTGCATGATTCTTATGCTTTTGCATCCTCATAGCTTAGCTCCCACATATCAGTGAGAACATACAATATTTGGTTTTCCATTCCTTAGTTAGTTAACTTGGAATAATAGTCTCCAATCTCATCCAGGTCACTGTGAATGGCATTAGTCATTCCACTCTGTGTTCTTCAATTGGGGCATTTATGCCATTTACATTTAATGCTAATATTGTTATGTGTGAATTTGATCCTTTCATCATGATGCTAGCTGGTTATTTTGCAGACTTGTTTATGTGCTTGCTTCATAGTGTCACTGGTCTGTGTACTTCAGTGTGTTTTTGTAGTGGCTGGTAACAGTTTTTTTGTTTGTTTGTTTGTTTGTTTGTTTTATTTTGAGATGGAGTCTCGCTCTGTAGCCCAGGCTGGAGTGCAGTGGTGCGATCTCGGCTCACTGCAAGCTCCGCCTCCTGGGTTCATGCCATTCTCCTGCCTCAGCCTCCCAAGTAGCTGGGACTACAGTGGTCTGCCACCACCCCCGGCTAATTTTTTGTATTTTTAGTAGAGACGAGGTTTCACCGTGTTAGCCAGTGTGGTCTCAATCTCCTGACCTTGTGATCTGCCCGTCTTGGCCTCCCAAAGTGCTGGGATTACAGGCGTGAACCAACCTCTCCCGACCAGCCCCATCCTGTTTTTTCTCGCTCTCCATTGGTCAAGCCATCCCCTACTCAGTCCCAATGTGAAAACCTCAGCACCTCAGTTGAAGGTGCAGAAATCACTGGCAATTTTCATTCCTCTCCCCGAGACTCACAGACCACAGCTTCTTCTAATTGGCCATCTTGGCCCCTATGCTCTGATCTTTATAATTTTTTTTTTGTCTGATTGCTTTTGGTTTGATTTACTCTTCTTCTTTTCTTCATTTTCTTAAGGTAGAAACTTAGATAATTTATTTAAGAACTTTCTTCTTTTCTAGTATAAACAATTATTGCTATAATTTTCCTGTAAGCATTATTTTAGCAGCATTTTACAAATTTTGGTATGTTGTGTTTTTATTTTTAGTCAATTCAAAATATTTAGTAATTTCTTTTGTGACTTCCTTTTGAACATTGTTGTTTAGAAATGTGTTACTTAATTTCCAAATTTTGGGGAGTTTTTAAGAATTTTTCTTTTATTGATCTTTAGTTTGATTCTATGTGATCAGGGAACACATTCCGTTTGATTTTGTTTTTACTTTCTTGAGACTTGGTTCATGGTACTGGACATGATCAATCTGGATGAATGTTCTATGTGCACTTGAAGAAAGTTTGCATTCTATTAAGTGGAACATTCTAGAAATATCAATTAGGTTAATTTGGTTAATAGTGTTATTCAGGTCTTCCATATCTTTACCTGTTTTCTCTCTACTTGTTCTGTTGTTTACTGAGAGAGGATCTTTGAAGGTTCAACTTTAATTGTGAATGCGTCTATTTTCACTTTTAGTTTGCTCAGGTTTTGCTTCAAGTATTTGGAAGATCTGTTGTTAAATGCACATAAATTTTTTATGCTTTCTTGATGACTCATCCCCTTTGTCATGGTTTTTTTTTTGCAATGTCACTTTTTATCCATATTTCTTCTTCTAAAGTCTACTTTTTCTGATATTAATATAGGCATTCCAGCTTTCTTTTAATTCATGTTTATATAATATATTCTTTGCCATCTTTTTACTTTTAATCTATGTCTATATCCTTAAAAACGGATTACTTGTAAATAGCATATAATGGGATCACTTTTCTCTTTTTATTGGTGTGTTTCCACCGATCCCTGGGCAAAGTTGGCACTGACATTTTTACCTTACTTCTCTGGCTGTGCAGTTATTTATTTCTTTTACCTTTGTTTGTTGACTAGGTATCTAAGCTTTTCTAAGGAAAAGTCAGGATGTGCACAGATTCTTACTGCTCTCATGAATTTCTGCAAAGATATTTTGGTAACAGTTTTCCAAAAATTCTACTATAGTTTTACTCATTCGTTCCATCACACATTCATTCATCAATTATTTAATAAACATGTATTATGTGTCAAGAACCATCCTATCTGCAGAAGGGGGTGAACCATCAGTTCAAAAGGAAGGGAAAATTCAGTAGGGAAAAAGATACGGCACTTGATCTCCAGTAGATTACACATTTTCTCCCCATCATTCTCTCTATTTGTCCTTCCTTTTCTTTCTCCCTCCCTCTCTTCCTCTCTCCTGCCTCATGATTTCTCTTGCACATGAATACCCTCACATAAACTTTCATACAGAGCAGCTCAATCTTAAGCGCTTCTTAGTAAAATACAAAGTCAGTTTTTGACTTATTAGAAGAAATCTCGAAATGGGTTGACAGAGTTTGATACTGAAATCCTGGAGATGGTAAAAATCAGATCTGGACTCTGCAGGGAATAATAAAAACATGGAAAGTAAAATATATATTTCAGGTCATTATTAGTGGAATCTGATCATTTTTAGATAATCAAACGGAAACACTTTTAGACTTTCAAAGTAGATTAGTAGACCCATAAAGGATTGGAAGGCAAATGGACTTGGAGGTAGCCTAGCTCAGCCCTCTTGTTTTGCAGAAGATGGTGCTGAACCCAGGAGAGATTAACTTTTGGATACCGGATTATAAGTAAACTCTGCCAATTGTTCAGTCTGATGTGCTTTTGAGGATGCCTCTTCCTGGCTACCGCTCTTTAGAATAGTCAAGAAAGATTACATCCAATGTTACAAAATTATATCCAATGTTATAATACTTACTGAATGCCCACTATATGCCAGGTGTTGGGTGAAATATGAAAATAAACTTTGTGATGAACCTTGCCATCATAAAATTTATTGTCTGATAGGGAAGGCAGACATGTACATGTCTAATTATGTGACAGACAGAAAGAGTTAAATGCTGTTAGTTAAAGAGCAAACAGAAGGGAGAGATGAACTCTCCTTTTGTAGGAAGTTCCAGAAACAATTTTTGACATTAGACCTCATTTGATTTATAAACTAAACAATCTCCAAAATGTGGCTGCCTTTTGCTTTGTTTCTTCTAGAAAAATGATGCAGCAAGGACTTTGTAGCTCTCTACAACTTGGTTGGCTCAGCTGAAAAGACTCTCAAGTAGTCCTCATGGGCATGTGCCCAGTAATGAGCTTAGAGACCTGATCCAAGTTGTTATAACAGTTGCTTCACACTGTCATCCATGCAATAGTTAGAAGCTCTTCTCTGCTCTTTCTGGCATGGCCTGGTCTTGTGTAGCAAACAAGTTAAGCTTCTCTAAGGGCTACGAAATGAGATCAGAGGAAACCATCATAGGCAATAAAACATGTTGCTCATCTAGAGATAAACCTTTTAAAAAATATAATGTATAATATTTCATATTAAGTCTGCATCAGAGTTAATGAATCATTCTTCTCTTAATAGAGATCAAAGTGGTACACACACCTTTTTTGAAAAGCTTTTTTTTCTTGATATTTTGCTCAGTTAACAAGTGTGAGGTAAAATTATTGTTATTAGTTTCTATTCAACCTCATTGAATTCAGTTTTCTCTCAGTTTTTAAAAATTCTTTTAATGAAATCAAAGCACAGAAGTTAGAGATCTGATAATAGATGGGATGGATCTTGAGAAGTTACAGGTTTTACTCCCCTGCCTTTAATTATTTTATATTTAAACTATTTCTAATACTTTCAAATCCATGTTGAGCTAATACTACTCGTCTGGGTTTTGGTAGAGCCACAAGCTCCTATCTTCTTCTTTGTTAGTAAATATAAACAATATTGTATTCAGGTAACATGTTAAATATTTTGACTTTTCTTTGCATGTATATTCAAACACAGCTTCTGTTCCAGATTTTGCCTACTGTGCTCACGTAGCAGCAGTTGTGTGAAGCATATGGTAAGAAAATAATAGTAATCAATAGTGAATGAACATGTGGTTCCCATGGTCTGAGGGCCTAAAACTGGGGAAGATGTGCAGGAACGCTTGCTTGTCCTCCCCTTTCACACATCCACATTGTTCTCTCATGTGGCTTCCAGTGGCCTGAATGGTCTGTCTAGAAAGCAGTTGCCCAAGGCTTACAAGCTTACAGGTGTGAGCCACCACGCCCGGCCGCTTCTGCAGATTTCTGTTATGCAGGAGAAGGATACTTAGACTACAGGAAAGCCACTTGTATTTACTCTGGCCAATAAAAATATAATGCGAGCCACATATGTATAATTAAAAAATTTAGTAACATCATTAAAATATAAAAAGAAATAGGTAAAAAGTTCTTGTATTTCAACTCAATATATCCAAACACATTATTATCACATATAAACTCCATAAAATTATTAGTGAGATATTTTACATTCTTTTTTTGGCACCAAGTCTTTGAAATGTTATATGTGTTTTGCAGCTAAAGCACATCTCAGTTTAAACGACCCACTTTTCAAGTGATGTTCCTCAGACCATGAGTAGTGTGGGAACTTGATGGGGCTTGAGTGAGGGTCCTAACATGAGAATGCACTCTGTTACCCAGACTGGAATATAGTGGTTCAAACACAGCTAAACCTCCTGGGGTCAAGGAATCTTCCTGCCTCAGCCTCCTGAGTAGCTGGGACTGCAGGTAGGTACACCCATGCTCGATTAATTTTTTTAAGTTTTGTAGAGACAGAGTTTCACTATGTTGCCCAGGTTGGTTTCCAACTCCTGGGCTCAAGCAAGCCTTCTGCTTTGGCCTCCCAAAATGCTGGGATTACTGGTGTGAACTACCATGCCCAACCTCTGCGTTCATTTTTCAGCAGTTAATTCAGCCCTTCTGAGCTTGGTTGTTTCTTGCTACTTACCAACTTTTTGTCTTTCTGGCTGTGAATTTTGTCCATCTCTGTCTTTGACAAAGTCACTGGAGTTCGAATTTGTTAAACTTGTATCAAATAGCCTACAAATGGCATGATCTCAGCGAAGTTATTTAACCTTTATTCTGTGTCAGTTTTCTTGCCGGTAAAATAAAGCTAATAATAAATATTACATTTCTTGCGGAGTTGAGGGTTGATGTAATATATGTGAAGTATTAGCATATTGCCTGGTCAATAATAGGTGTTTAATTAATAAGAGTTGTTACTACATTTGGTAGGAGAAAGTTGTGTCACAAATAGGCTTTTATGTGAATAGTGTTTGATATATGGTAGATGGGGCTTAGAGTTATCCTCAAGCAGCTTGTGATAAATAAAGTCTATTTGAAAACAGCCGTACACCTAGGAAACAGTTCCTATCCAATCAAGACAGTGTCTCTTCAGTATAGCAAACATTTGATAACATTATCTGTTACTATCCTGAAATAAAATTCATAGATGATGTAGCTTACCAACACCTATAATATTATTAAAAATCAATATGATATTCTAGCATAATGGGAAAATACCAGGAAAGACTTTCGTAATAAAATATAAATGTTAATATGCAAATGCATAGAAATCACTGCTCTAGAAAGCATGGTGAAGAGGTCAGATGATGGGACCCATATGTAGAATCATTATGAGTGAGACGGCTTCAAAACCAGTTTGACAGAGTTGATTCAAAAACTAGAAGTGGCACAGTTAATAATGATTTTTCTGAAATAATGATTAGTTTTTGGTAAAGTTTCCAGCAAATCAAAGTGACACTGTTCTTTTTTCTTTGTGTTTGTATCCCTGAATAATTCAGTTTATATAAAAACTGTGCAAAAAATACTTTATATTTGAAGGTAAAATGGACTCAGACCCTAGGCTCAGATACTTAGATATTTTACTTATGCTAAGTGTTCTGCGTAATATTCAAGAGTGGTGCAGGACGTAGAATGATTTTCACCAAGCAAGAGTGTTACTTGTTGTATTTGTAATTGATATATTATAGTTGTACATATTTTGGGGGTACATGTAATATTTTGATACATGTATAGAATGTATAATGAATGTGGGATATCCATCACATCAAACATTTATCTTTGTGTTGGGGACATTACAATTCTTCTCTTCAAGCTTTCTAAAAAATATGCAATAAACTATTGTTGACATAGTTTCTTTATTGTACTGTTGAATACTAGAACTTATTACTTCTATCTGGCTATATTCTTGTACCCCTCAACCTACTTCTCTTCATCTCCCTCCTCACTTCTCCCCTGATTTGGTTTGCCTCTGTGTCCCCACCCAAATCTGCTCCCATAATTCCCATGTGTTGTGGGAGGGACCCGGTAGGAGATAATTTGAATTATGGGGGTGGTTCCTCCCATACTGTTCTCATAGTGAGCAAGACTCACAAGATCGGATGGTTTCATCAGGGGTTTCTGCTTTTGCATCTTCCTCATTTTCTCTTGCTGCCACCATGTAAGAAGTGCCTTTTGCTTCTTGCCATGATTCTGAGGCCTCCCCAGCCATATGGAACTGTAAGTCCAATTAAACTTCTTTTTCTTCCCAGTCTCGGATATGTCTCTATCAGCAGCATGCAAATGAACTAATAGAGTAAATTGGTACCAATAGAGGAGGGCTTTGCTGAAAAGATACCCAAAAATGTGGAAGCGACTTTGGAACTGGGTAACAGGCAGAGGTTGGAAGAGTTTGGAGAGCTTAGAAGAAGACAGGAAAAGGTGGGAAAGTTTGGAACTTCTTAGAGACTTCTTGAATGGCTTTGACCAAAAGCCTGATAGCGATATGCAGAATAAGGTCCAGGCTGAGGTGGTCTCAGATGTAGATGAGGAACTTGTTGGGAACTGGAGCAAAGGTTACTCTTGTTATGTTTTAGCAAAGAGACTGGTGGCATTTTGCCCCACCGTAGAAATTTGTGGAACTTTGAACTTGAGAGAGATGATTTAGGGTATCTGGTGGAAGAAATTTCTAAGCAGCAAAGCTTTCAAGAGGTGACTTGGGTGCTGTTAAAGACATTTGGTTTTATAAGAGAAGCAGAATATAAAAGTGTGGAAAATCTGCAGCCTGACGATGTGATAGAAAAGAAAAACCCATTTTCTAAGGAGAAATTGAAGCCAGCTGCATAAATTTGTATAAGTAACAAGGAGCTGAATGTTAATCCCCAAGACAATGGGAAAAATATCTCCAGTGCATGTCAGTGGTCTTCACGGCAGCCCCTCCTATCACAGGCCTGGAGGCCTAGGAGAAAATGATTTCATGGGTTCGGCCCAGGGTCCCTGTGCTTTGTGCAGCCTAGGGACTTGGTGCCCTGAGTCCCAGCTGCTCCAGCCATGGCTGAAAGGGGCCAATTTAAAGCTTGGGCTGTGGCTTCAGAGGGTGTGAGCCCCAAGTCTTGGCAACTTCCATATGGTGTTGAGCCTGTGAGCGCACAGAAGTCAAGAATTGAGGTTTGGGAACCTCCACCTAGATTTCAGAATATGTATGGAAACTCCTGGATGCCCAGGCAGAAGTTTTCTGTGGGGACAAAGGCACTCATAGAGTCACAGAGAACTCTGCTAGGGCAGTACAGCAGGGAAATGTGGGTTTGGAGCCCCCACACAGAATCCCTACTGGGGCACTACCTCTTGGAGCTGTGAGATGAGGGCCACTGCCCTCTAGACCCCAGAATGGTACACTGATGGCTTGGACCGTTCACCTGGAAAAGCTGCAGACACTCAATGCCACCCTGTGAAAGCAGCTGGAAGGGGAGGGTGTACCCTGAAAAGCCACAGGAGTGGAGCTGCCCAAGACCATGGGAACCCTCCTCTGGTATCAGTGTGATCTGGATTTGAAACCTGGAGTCAAAGGAGATAATTTTGGAGCTTTAAAATTTGAGTGCCCCACTGGATTTTAGACTTGCATGGGCCCTGTAACCCCTTTGCTTTGGCCAATTTGTTCCATTTGGAATGGCTGTATTTACCCAATTCCTGTACCCCCATTGTATCTAGGAAGTAACTACCTTGCTTTTAATTTTACAGCCTCACAGGTGGAAGAGACTTACCTTGTCTCAGATGAAACTTTGGACTGTAGACTTTTGGGTTAATGCTGAAATGAGTTAAGACTTTGGGGGACTGTTGGGAAGGCGTGATTGGTTTTGAAATGTGAGGGCATGAGATTTGGAATGAGCGAGTGGCAGAATGATATGGTTTGGCTCTGTGTCCGCAACCAAATTTCATCTTGAATTATACTCCCACAATTCCCACATGTTGTGGGAGGGACCCAGTGGGAGATAATTTGAATCATGGAGGTGGTTTCCCCCATACTGTTCTCGTGGTAATAAGTAAGTCTCATGAGATCTGATGGTTTCATCAGGAGTTTTGGCTTTTGCATCTTGCTCATTTTTTCTTGCCACCGTCAGGTAAGAAGTGCCTTTCACCTCCCGCCACGGTTCTGAGGCCTCCCCAGCCATGTGGAACTGTAAGTCCAATTAAACCCCTTTTTCTTCCCAGTCTCAGGTATATCTTTATCAGCAGCATGAAAACGAACTAATACACTTTCCCAGCCTCTGGTAACTACCATTCTACTTTCTACCTCTATGAGATCAACTTTTTTAGCTCCCATATATGAATGAGAACATACAGTATTTGCCTTTCTGTGCCTGGCTTATTTCACTTAACAAAATGACTTCCAGTTCCATGCATGTTGCTGCAAATGACATATATACATATGTATAATATATGACACATATATATATATATATATATATATATATATATATATATATATAATGTTCTTGTTCAACCATCTGTTGATGGACACTTAGTTTGATTCCATATTGTGGCTATTGTGAACAGTTCTGCAATAAACATGGGAGTGCAGATATCTCAATATACTGATTTTCATTCTTGTGGGTATATACCCAGAAGTGGGAGTGCTGGGTCATATAGTACTTCTATTTTCATTTTTTTGAGAAAACTCCATGCTGTTTTCTATAGTAGCAGTACTACTTACATTCACACCAACAGTGTATGAGCATTCTCCTTTCTTCATGTCTTTTTCATAACAGTGACTCTAAACGGAGTGAGGCGATATCTTATTGTGGTTTTGATTTGCATTTTTCTGATGATTAGTGATGTTGAGCATTTTTTTCATACAGTTATAGTCCATTTGCATGTTTTCTTTTGAGAAATGTCTATTCAGACCTTTTGCCCATTTTTTAATGGGATTAATTTTTGCTGTTGAGTTGTTTGAGCTCCTTATATATTCTGGTGACTAATCCCTTGTCAGATGGGATAGTTGCAGATATTTTCTCCTATTCTTCAGATTGTCTGTTCATGTTGTTAATTTTTTTCTTTGTTGTGCTGAAGCTTTTTAGCTTGATGTTATCCCATTTGTCTATTTTTTCTTGTGTTACCTGTGCTTTATAGGTCTTACCCCCAAAAATCTTTGTCCAGAGAAATGTCATATAGCATTTCCACATTGTTTTATTTTATTAGTTTCATAGTTTCAGGTCTTAGATGTAAGTCTTTAATCTATTTTGAGTTGAGTTTTGTATATGGTGAAAGATGGAATCTAGTTTCACTCCTCTGTATATAGATATCTGGCCTTCCCAGCACCATTCATTGAACAGAGTCTCCTTTTCCCAATGTATTTTGAAAAAAATAAGTTATCTGTCAACTCACCAATTTATTTTTGGGTTTTTATTCTTTTCTTTAAGTATGTGTCTCTGTTTCTGTGCCAGATCATGCTGCTTTGGCTACTATAGCTTTGTAATATAATTTGAAGTCAAGCAGTGTGATACCTCCAGCATTGTTTTTTAACTCAATATTGCTCTAGCTATTCGAGGCCTTTTGGTTTTATATGAATTTTAGTTTTTTCTATTTCTGTGAAGAATGTCATTAGTATTTTGATAAGAATTGCATTGGATATGTATATTGTCTGAGTAACAAAGACAATTTTAACAATGTTAATTCTTCCAATCCATGAGAATAGAATATTTTTCTATTTTTTGTGTGTCCTCTGCTCTTTATTTCATCACAATTTTATAATTTTCCTATAGAAATCTTTCACTTCTATGGTTAAATTTATTCCTAAGTATTTTAAAATAGCTATTCTAAAGGGATTGGTTTCTTGATTTCTTTTTCAGATTCAATTACTATTAGTATACAGGAATGCTACTAATTTTATGTGTTCATTTTGTATCCTGAAACCTTATTGAATTTACTTATCAGATCTAATGAGTTTTTTGGTGGAGTCTTTAGCTTTTCCTAGGTATAAGATCATGTCATCTGCAGAGAAGAACAACTTGACTTCCTCTTTTCCAATTTGGATCCTTTTATTTCTTTCTTTGCATGTTTGCTCTGGCTAGAAATTCCAGTACTCTATTGAATAGAAGTAGTAAAATTGGGCATCCTTGTCTTGTTCCAGATCTTAGTGAAAAGGCTTTCACCTTTTCCCTATTCAGTAGGATATTAGCTGTGGGCTTGTCATATATGGCCTTTATCATGCTGAAGTATGTTCCTTCTATAAACAATTTGTTGAGGGTTTTTTCCATGAAGAGATGTTAAATTTTATCAAATGCTTTATTCAGCATCTGTTGAAATCATCATATTTTTACCCCACGATTCTGTTAACATATCCCTGTGATTCTCTTTAACATATCCCCATGATACGTTGAAACATCCTTGCATTCCTGGGATAAAACCCACTTGATCATAGTAAATCAAATTTTAAGTGTGTTGTTAAATTCTATTTGCTAGTATTTTTTGAGAATTTTTGTACCTATGTTTGTCAAGGATATTGGTCTGTAGTTTGTTGTTGTTGTTGTGTCTTTGTCTGGTTTTGGTATCAGGGTAGTGCAAGAATGTTCTTAATACTGCATGTCATAGAACATTCTTGCCACCACCACCTCAACCCCATCTTCACCACTAATGCCAGTACCCACAGGCTTTTGTGATAATCATAAAAAGCCCTACGGATTTCTAAAATGACTATTAGAGGGTGGTACAACCCAGTTGAAAACAACTGCTTTAGCACTGTTTCCTTTTTTTTAGGGAGGGCTCTATGGTTTAGAGACATGCCCGAGGAAGGAAACACTTGCCCATTCTTCAAAACTGTGCCAGGCACTATGAGCACTCACCTGTTTACACTAAATTGAAAACAATTAGTATACTAGTAGGTGTATTAGTAGAAATGGAGTGGCTCTGCTCATGTCAAACCAAAGTATTATTTCAGAGAGAACTTGGGTGGTAGAGTCAAAGTTACTGCCATGTAGTGCCCAGGTAAATTAAAATCTTCCTTCAGACTCATACTGACTTCAACTGTAGTGTGAAAGGGGGTGGATGTCAAAAGTGAAGAGGCCATCATCAATGCCACATGGAGTTAGAGAAGAAGCAATGCTCATGTAGTCAGTCTGCCCACTGGAAAAGCATCTATTTAATAAATGGTACTAATATAAAAAATAGAAAAACTCTGCCTGTTACAAAACCAGCAAAAATCCTGTACTAAAATTTCAGCAAGAGAAACAGGAAGGTGAATGTGAGAAGGGGAAAAGAAGGGAGAAGTGTGTAGTCATGTTGATCTTACTCGTTTGTGACATCTAAAAATAATGTGACTTTAAGCTCCCAAGGGGATGATGAGGATTATTTCTCAGGCTCAGAGAAAACAGCAAGTTTAGAAGTTCTCTGTGTGGGTCATATCTCTGACCTAATCCTTTCAGTTTACCCAGCACACTGGTCCAGCAAGGAGAATGAATGTAGGTTAGGTTGACATGAGTTCATAGCTATGCTGCTGAGTTTATCAGAAGCAGAGAAAATATGAAGCAAATAGGCCAGATCAGCCACATTAAGTAAATCCCGTTGCTATGCTTCAGAATTAATTTGAGGAGCTAAAACGTTATTAGCCACAATAGTAACCAAGGGAGACTTCAGTTAGAATGATGTCCTAAAGGACTGTGTAAAGGAAGATCAAAAGAAATCTGTCAGAAAATGCAATAGCTTCAAGATCGAACATTAGGTTAGAGGACAATATAAACCTGAATTGTTTGGTACAGTTCTATATAGATTGTCTGTGCCAGCCAGGAAACATGTTGAGTAGCATTAAGATAGGCTTCAGGTGATAAAAGAGATCAGAAATTCAGTGACGAGTGATAATTTCAAAGAGGTTATTTAAGTACCTGTGTTCCCATCTAAATAATGCTGAGTCCCCTTAGTATTGTGAAGAATAATTGTGGAAAAAACATATTATTTTGAAATGCCAATTTATCATACAGTTTTTTATCTATTGAAAATTTGGCATTTAAAATTATTTTGTAAACTGTGTTTTCCAATAAGTACGGCTTAGGTCAGGGATGTTTAAGTGGGAATGTGCATCAGAAACATCTTGGGAGATTTTTAAAATACGGAGTCCCAGAATCAGTCTCGGATCCCTGAATCAGAAGCCTTAAGAAGGGAGGCCTGGGCTGTTGTGTTTTGAAAAGCTGTGAAAATGCCTTAGGTGGTTTTAATGTGGCATTGCCTTTGGAAATATAATGACTAGAACCTAGTACAGTTTGTTTCACATGGAAGACTGTTGCCCTTTTTAGTATATTTACAATTGAGTAAGATTTTAAAAGTCAGGGTGATTTTTTTTGAAGAGAAAAGCATGATAGTTTCCTGACTAAACATCTTCAGTGACTTCTCATGGCACTTTGAATAAAATCCAAGTCCTACATGTTCTAGCCCAGGGCCACCTCTCCAATGTCTTTTACCACTCTCTTGCTGCCTTAGTCTGTTCTCACTGCTATAACAAAATACTGAAACTGGGTAATTTTTAAACAATGGAAATTTATTGCTCACAGTTCTGGTGGCTGGGAAATCCAAGATCAAGGCATCAACATATTTGGTGTCTAGTGAGGGCTTAGTCTCTGCTTCAAAGATGATGCAGTCTATCTGTGACCTCACATGGTGGAAGGCATGAGAAAGCTCCCTCAAGCGCCTTTCATAAGGGCACTAATCCAACCTCTTAAAAATTCCACCTCTAAATACCATCACATTGAGGGTTTCAACAGATGAATTTTGGAGGTAGAGGCACAAACATTCAGATTATAGCACTTGCCCTTCGTTCTATTTGGCTTTATTATTCTGTTCCTTAGAAAAGCCAAGTTTGGGCTGGGCACAGTGGCTCATGCCTGTAATCCCAGCACTTTGGGAGGCCGAGGTGGGTGGACCACGAGGTCAGGAGATCGAGACCATCCTGGCTAACACAGTGAAACCCCGTCTCTACTAAAAATACAAAAAATTAGCCGGGCGTGGTAGCGGGCGCCTGTAGTCCCAGCTACTCGGGAGGCTGAGGCAGGAGAATGGCGTGAACCCGGGAGGCGGAGCTTGCAGTGAGCCGAGATCGCGCCACTGCACTCCAGCCTGGGTGACAGAGCGAGACTCCGTCTCAAAAAAATAAAAAAAGAAAGAAAGAAAGAAAAGCCAAGTTCGTTCTTTCTGTTCTTTTTTGTTCTTTCTCTTCTTTCTGCCTAGACCATAATTTTCTGAGATTTTTGCATATTTTGATCCTAATTTGAAACTTAGCTCGTGTCAATTTCTCTGAAAGACCTCTAACCCCTACTCTATCACTCACTAGCATTACTTTATTTTTATATCATTTATTACAATCTAAAATTCTTATTTATTTGTATATTATATAGGTACCTCAGCTAGAATGTTAAATATTACATTGGTTCTGAGTCTGAGACTCCAATAACACAGCACACTGTGGATCTTGAGAATGTGTTTAAAAATGAGATGAAATAAAGCAGCTCATAAAATATCACATGAACAAAATTAGTAAGTTTTAACCTTGAAAGGACAACTAGTGAACACTATTGACATTCCACAGTCTAGCGTTCAAAGGCCCACTTTGGGAAAATCTGTCATGTGCTCTGTATTAGAAGCACTAATACTTTAGTGGGTAGAATAAGGCATAATTAAATAAATTGAATCTAATAGTGTCTTACCTCTTCAGGGAAAAACAACAGAGTTAAGATTTGGGGGTAAGTTTTCTCTTAAAAATTCTCATGCTGAAAAGTGATCACTTGAATGCAATTTGAATTCCAGTATGAGCAGAATAGAAAAAGAAGAACTTGATAATATGGAATAATTGTTTATGTGTGTCAAAGGAAACAAACTAAAAGAAAAAGTAAAACAAGGGAATTTCAAGCTTGCATAATTTATTGGTTCCAGATTCTTTTTTTAAATATGGAATTAGTTATTTTATTGGAAATAATGTTAAGCATAGTTCAGTATCATGGAAATACAATGACCTGCTGGCAAAACAAAGATGTTGCTACATTTTGATGGTGACAGAGCTAATGGCATGCACCAGAACAGCACACGGGAAAGTAACATTTCTGGTATGATTGATTGTTGTCTAGGCTGTACTGCTTATTAAATATTTTTATTTCTATTATCTTTAATTCTGTGGGTCCATAGTAGGTGTATATATTTATGGCATACATGAGAGATTTTGATAAAGGCATGCAAAACATAATAAACATAATGAAGAATGGGGCTCCTATCCCCTCCAGCCTTTATTCTTAGTGTTACAAATAATCCAAGGATACTCTTTTAGTAATTTTAAAATGTACAATTAAATTATTTTTATTATAGTACTCCTGTTGTTCTATCTAACAGTAGGTCTTGTTCATTCTTTCCAACTATGTTTTTTTGTATCCATTAATGGATACAAAATTGTATCCACCCACTCCCACTACCCTTCCGAGCCTTGTGTAAGCATCCTTCTACTCTTTATGTCCATGAGTTCAATTGTTTTGATTTTTTAGATCCCACAAATACGTGAGAATATGCAATGTTTGTCTTTTTGTGCCTGTCCAATTCCACTTAATACAATAATCTCCAGTTCCATCCATGTTGTTGCAAATGACAGGATCTCAATCATTTTTATGGCTAAATAGTACTCCATTGTGTATATGTACCATATTTTCTTTATCCATTCTTCTGTTGACGATTAGGTTGCTTCTAACTCTTTGCTATTCTGAACAGTGCTGCAGAAAATGTGGAAGTGAAGATATCTCTTTAATATAATGATTTCCTTTATTTTGGGTCTATACCCAACAGTGGGATTGCTAAATCTTAGGGTAGCTCTTTTTTTAGTTTTTTGAGAAACCTCTAAACTATTCTCCATAATGATTGCACTAATTTTCATTTCCACCAATGGTGTATGAGGGTTCCTTTTTCTCCATATCCTCACCAGCATTTGTTATTGCCATCTTTTGGATATAAACCATTTTACCTGGGTTAGTTGATATCTTATTGTAGTTTTGATTTGCGTTTCTCTGATAATCAATGATGGTAAGCTCATTTCATATGCCTGTTCACCATTTCTATGTCTTCTTTTTAGAAATGTCTATTCAAATATTTTGCCCATTTTTCAATTGAATTGAAATTTTTTTTCCTATAGAGTTGTTTGAGCTCCTTATATATTCTGGTTATTAATCCTTTCTCAGATGAATAGTTTGAAAATATTTTCTCCCATTCTGCGAGTCATCTATTCACTTTGTTGATTGTATTATTTGCTGTGCAGAAGCTTTTTAACTTGACATGATCTCATTTGTTCATTTTTGCTTTGTTTGCCTGTCCTTGTGGGGTATCGCTCAAGAAACTTTTTCCCAGATCAATGTCCTGGAGATTTTCTCCAATTTTTTTTTGCAGTAGGTTCATAGTTTGGGGTCTTAGATTTAAGTCTTTAATACATTTTGATTTGATTTTTGTATATGGCAAGAGATAGAGGCCTAGTTTTATTCTCCTGCATATAGATATCCAGTTTTCCCTGCGCCATTTATTGAAGAGACTGTCTTTACCCCAGCGTATGTGCTTGGCACCTTTGTCAAAAGTCAGTTCACCATAGGTATGCAGAGTTGTTTCTAGGTTCTCTATTCTGTTCCATTGGTCTATATGTCTTATGCCAGTGCCATGCTGTTTTGGTTATACAGCTCTGTAGTATAATCTGAAGTTAGGTAGTGTGATTCCTCCAGTTTTGTTCTTTTTCTCTGGATAGCTTTGGCTATTCTGGATCTTTTGTGGTTCCATGTAAGTTTTAGGATTGTTTATTCTATTTCTATGAAGAATGTCAGAGTGATAGCATTGAATCTCTAGATTGCTTTGGGTAGTATGAATATTTTTAACAATATTGATTCTTCCAATCCATGAACATAAAATAGCTTTCCTTTTTTATGACACCATCTTCAACTTTTTTCATCAGTGTTTCATAGTTTTCATTGTAGAGATCTTTTACATCTTTGGTTAAGTTAATTCCCAGGTATTTAAGTTTATGTGTGGCTATTTTAAATGAGATTACTTTTTAAATTCTTTTTTTTTTTTTTTTTTTTTTTAAGACAGCGTCTCTCTATCTCACCAGGCTGGAGTGCAGTGGTGTGATCTCGGCCCACTGCAACCTCCGCCTCCAAGGTTGAAGCGATTCAGCCTCCCAAATAGCTGGGACTACAGCCACACATTACCATGCCCAGATAATTTTTGTATTTTTAGTAGAGACAGGGTTTCACCATGTTGGCCAGGATGGTCTTGATCTCCTGATCTCATGATCTGCCCACCTCAGCCTCCCAAAGTGCTGGGATTACAGGCGTGAGCCACCACACCCAGCTTTAAATTCTTTTCTTTAGGTTGTTCACTGTTGGCATACAAAAATGCTATTGATTTATGTACATTGACTTTTATCCTGTAACTTTAATGAATTTGTTTATCAGTTTTAGTAGTTTTTTGGTGGAGTCTTTACATGTTTTCAAATATAAGATTGTCTTCCACAAGCAAGAATGATTTTACTTTTTCTATTCCAATTTGGAAGCTCTTTATTCCTTTCTTTTATCTGATTGCTCTAGCTAAGATTTCTAGTACTTTGTTGAACAACAATGGTGAAAGTTGGCATCCTTGTTGTGTTCCAGATCTTACAGAAAAGGCTTTCAGTTTTTCCCATTCAGTATGCTACTAACTGTGGGTCTGTCATATATGGCATTTAATATCTTGAGGTATGTCCTTTAATCCCCAGTTTTTTTAGGGTTTTTATCATGGATGTTGAATTTTATCAAATACTGTTTCAGCATCAGTTGAAATGACCATATGGATTTTATCCTTCATTCTGTTGATAACATGTACCATGTTGATTGATTTGCATATGTTGAACCATCCTAGTATCCCAAGGATGAATCCCACTTGGCCATGATGAATAATCTTTCTAATATATGGTTGAATTTTGTTGCTAGTATTTTGTTGAGAAGTTTCGCATGAATATTCATCAGGGATATTGGCTTGTAGCTCTTTTTTTATGTTTCTTTGTCTGGTTTTGGTATCAGAATAACACTGGTCTCATACAATGAATTTGGAAGTATTCCCTTCTCCTCTATTTTTTGGAAGAATTTGAGTGGAATTGGTGTTAGTTCTCAAAATGTTTGGTAGGCTTCAGCAGTAAAGCCATCAGGTTCTGGACTTTTCTTTGCTGACAGACTATTCCAGCTTCAATCTTGTTACATGTTATTGTTCTGTTTAGCTTTCAGATTTCTTTCTGGTTCAATCTGGGTAGGTTGTAGGTGTCTTCGAATTTGTCCATTTTTTCTAGAGTTTCCAGTTTATTGGCATGTAGTTGCTCATAGTAGCCACTAATGATCCTTTGAATTTCTGGACTATAAATTGTAATGTCTCCTTTTCATTTCTACTTTTATTTATTTAGCTATTCACTATTTTTACTTAGTTTGGCTAAAGGTTTGCCAATTTTGTTTAACTTTCCAAAAAACCAACTTTTTGGTTCATTGATCTGTTGTATTGTCAGCTCTGATCTTTATTATTTCTTTTCTTCTAATTTTAGGCTCAGTTTTCTCTTGCTTTTCTAGCTCCCTCAAATGGGTTATTAGGTTGCTTATTTGAAGTTTTTTCTCTTTTTTGATGAAGGAACTTATATCTATAAACTTCCCTCTTAGTACTGCTTCTGCTGTAACTCATAGGTTTTGATGTGTTGTGTTTCTATTATCATTTGTTTCAATAAATTTTTCACCTTTCTTCTTAATTTCTTCATTGAACCATTGGCTATTAAAAAGCATATTGCTTAATTTCCATACATTTGTATAGTGTCTGAAATTCTTCTTGGTTGTTGATTTCTAGTTTTATTCCATTGTGGTCAGAAAAGATGCTTGATATTATTTAAAATTTTGTGGAATGTTTTAAGACTCATTATGTGACCTAACATATGGTCTGTCCTAAGAATATATATTCTGCAGAATTTGGATGAAATGTTCAGAAAATATCTATTAAATTTATTTGGTCTATAGTACAGACTATGATGTTTATTTGTTGATTTTCTATCTGGGTGATTTGTCCAATCCTAAAAGTGGGGTGCCGATGTCTCCAGCTATTATTGCATTGTGGGCTATCTCTCTGTTTAGCTCTAATAATATTTACTTTATATATCTGGGTGCTCCAGTGTTGGGTGCATATATATTTAAAATTGTTGTATCCTCTTGCTGAATTGACCTCTTTATCATTATATAGTGATCTTCTTTGTCTGTTCTTATAGTTTGTGTCTTGAAATCTATTTTGTCTAAGTATAGCTACTCCTGCTCTCTTTTGGTTTCAGTTTGCATGGAATATCTTTTTTTCCCCTTTTATTTTTAGTCTATGTGTGTCTTTTTAGATGAAGTTGTCTACATTTCTTATAGACAACAGATCAACTGGTCTTGTTTTTTCATCCATTCAGCCAGTCTATGTCTTTCAATTGGAGAGTTTAGTCCATTTACATTCAATGTTATTACTGATAAATAAGGATATACTCCTAACATATTGTTATTTGTTTTCTGCTTGTTTTGTGGTCTTGTCTTCCTTCTTTCTTCCTTCCTGTCTTCCTTAGTGAAGGTGATTTTCTCTGGTGATATGATTTAGTTTCTTGCTTTTAATGTTTTGTGTATCCATAGTATGATTTTTGGTTTGAGATTACCATGAAGCTTGCAAATACTCTCTTATAACCCGTTATTTTAAGCTGATAACAACTTAACACTGTTTATATAAGCAAACAAACATAAAAGCAAGCAGAAGGAAAGCTAATACAAACTCAACACCTTAACTTCATTCCCCCACTTTTTAGCTTTTTGTCGTTTCTATTTATATCTTATTGTACTGTCTATGTCTTTAACAGTTGTTATAGTTATTAGTTTTGATTGGTTAATCATTTAGTCTTTCTACTTAGGAAAAGAGTAGTTTATACATCACACTTACAGTGTTATAAAATGTCTGTGTTCTTCTGTGTACTTGCTATTACTAGTGAGTTTTGTAACATCAGATGATTATTTATTGCTCATTAATGTCCTTTTCTTTCTTACTGAAGTGGTCCTTTAGCATTTCCTTTAGGACCAGTCTGATATTACTAAAATCTCTCAGCATTTGTTTGTCTGGGAAAGTCTTTATTTCTCCTTCATGTTTGAAGGATATTTTCACCAGATATATTTATATCTATGGTAAAATTTTTCTTCCTTCATCACTTTAAATATGTTATGCCACTATCTCCTGGCCTGTCAGGTTCTACTGAAAATTCTGCTGCCAGACATATTGTAACTCCACTGTATATTATTTGTTTCTTTTCTCTTGCTGCTTTTAGAATCTGCTCTTATCTTTGACCTTTGGGAATTTGATTACTTAATGCCTTGCGGTCGTTTTCTTTCGGTTAAATCTGCTTCGTCTTCTCTAGGTTTGGGAAGTTCTCCTTTATTATCTCTTTGAATAAACTTTCTACCCCTATCTCTTTGTCTACCTCCTTTTTATGGCAAATAACTCTTAGATTTGTCCTTTTGAAGCCATGCAAGCATGGTTTATTTTTCTAATTCTTTTTTCTTTTGTGTCCTCTGACTATGTATTTTCAAATATCCTGTCTTCAATCTCACTAATTCTTTCTTCTTGTTGTTCAGTTCTGTTATTAAGAGACTCAGGTGCATTTTCTGTACCTCAATTGCATTTTTCAGCTGTAGAATTTCTGCTTAATTTATTTTAATTATTATGGTCTCTTTTTAAAATTTATCTGATAGAATCTGAATTACTTTTCTGTGTTATCTTGAATTTCTTTGAGTTTCTTCAACACAGCTATTTTGAATTCTCCGTCTGTAAGGTCATATATTTCTTTCTCCAGGACTGGTCCCTGTTGACTTATTTCATTCATTTTGTGAGGTCATGTTTTCCTGGATTGTCTTGACACTTGCAGATGTTCGTCTGTGCCTGAACATTGAAGAGTTAGGTATTTATTGTAGTCTTCACTGTCTGGGTTTGTTCGTACTTGTCCTTCTTGAGAAGGCTTTCCAGAATTTGAAGTTACTTGGATGTTGTGATATATCCGCTTTAATGGGGACCCCAAGCCCAGTAATGGCTATAGTTCTTGCAGAATTGTAGAGGTTCTGCCTTGATGGTCTTGGACAAGATCCAGCATAATTTTCTGGATTACCAGGCAGAGACACTTTTTCTTCTCTTGCTTTCTCTCCCCAAAATGGAGTCTAAGGTGACTGTTCTGAGCTATGTGGAGTTGGAGATGGAGTAACACAAGCACCCCTGTGGCCACTATCACTATGACTGCACCGAGTCAGACCTGAAGCCAGCACAGCACTGAGTCTTGCCCAAGGCTGGCACTCTCTGGCTACTGTCATGGTTTGCTCAAGACCGTGGGGTTCTACAACCAGGAGGTGGCAAAGCCAGCCAGGCCAGTATTCTTCTCTTCAGAGGAGTGAGTTCCCCCAGGCCCTAGGTGGTTCCAGAGGTGCCATCTGTGAGTCAGGGACTAGAGTCAAAAGCCTTAGCATTCTACCTGGTGTTTTATTATATGCAGCTGAGTTGGCACTCAAACCACAAGACACAGTCCTTTCCAGTGTTCCCTCCCCTTGCCAAAGGCAGAGGAGCTTCATCTCATTGTCACCACTGCAATGGGCCCACAAGGAGTACTGTCAGACTACTGTTGATGTTCCGTTAAGGCCCAAGGGCTCTTATATAAGCTTGTGGTGAATGCTGCCTGACCTGGAACTTACCCTTTGAAGCAGCAGGCTCCCCTCTGGCCCAGGGAAGGTCCAGAAATGCCATCCAAGATTCATATCCTGGAATCGGGAAACTCAAAAGCCCACTTGGTACCCTACACCCCTGTGGCTGAGTTAGTACTTGAAACTAAGAAGACTCAGAGGATCATCTAGGGCTCTCTATGTAGCACCTGGGTATTGCTGCTGGTTATTCAGGGCCCAAGGGCTCTTCAGTTAGCATGTGATGAATACTGTCAGGACTGAGTACTTTCCTTCAAGGCAGAGGGTTCCAGAGGTGTGTCTAGACATGTCATCTGGGAGCTAGGGCCTGGAAAAGAGGTGTCATGACTCTGGTGGCATATCCAAGATGCAAGACAAAGTCCACCCCACTTTTCTCTTTCCTTTACTTGAGTGGAAGGAAGTTATCGCTGTTGGAGCCTTGAGCTGTGCAGCCTGGGGTTAGGGTAGGAGCGATGCCAGCACTTCCTTAGTCACCTGGGCTAGTGTCTCAGTAGTAACATGCCCCCAAGGTCTGCTGGCTCTGGGCCCAGTACAGCACTAGGAGGCACCTAAAATTTGCAGTCCGTGTGGTCTAGACTGCATTTCAAGTTGCTTTAGAGCTCTAGAGAACTTTAGCCCATGTTGGCAAGGTTAATAGGAACTCAAGTTTCAGCCACTGAGATCAGCAGTTCCGCTCTGGCTACGGCTGGTTTAAGTGCTCCCTCCATGCATGAGTGTCAACTGAGTTTGGTCTGGTTTTCCTTTCTGCTTGAACAGGACAGGACTGAGTTCAATACCTCACAATGGCTGTGTTCTCCCTTCCCAAGCACAGAGAAACACTCTCTGCACCACTTTGCCACTGCCGGGGGTGTTGAGGAGAAATGACACTGCTGATTCAAGACTATTTTTTCTACTTCTTTCAGCAATATGAAGTTGAAACCAGATACTGTGATTTTTGGTTCTTATGAAGGTGCTTTTTTGGGTGCAGATAGTTGCTATATTGGTGTCCTTGCAGGAGGAGCAATTTATGGAGCCTTCTATTCTTCCATCTTTTTCTACCCCACTCCTGATTGTTAAACATGGGGTCTTTCTTTTGAGGCAGATACTTATTTTTTATTTTTATTTTTTTTTAGATGGGATCTCACTATGTTGCCCAGGCTGGTCTCAAACTCCTGGGCTCACACAATCCTCCCATCTTGGCTTCCCAAAGTGCTGAGATTACAGATGTGAGCCATTGCTCCCAGCCTAGATACTTTTTAAAATGTTAAGATTCCTTAGCTAATAATGTGAGGGACCCATGTTACATGCATCTAAAGTCCCCTTCTACCCTGAGACTTTATGCTTTTAGTAATTGATTAGTATTTTTCTTCTTAATTTTTTTTTTATTATTTCAATAGTTTTTGGGGAACAGCTGGTGTTTGGTTGCATGGATACGTTCTTCAGTGGTGATTTCTGAGATTTTGGTGTACCTGAGCAGTGTACTTTGTACCCAAGATGTAGTCTTTTATCCCTCACTCCCCTCCCATCCTTCCCCCCAAGTCCCTAGAGTCCACTATATTATTCTTATGACTTTGCCTCCTCACAGCTTAGCTCCCACTTATAAATGAGAACATATAATGTTTGGTTTTTCATTCCCAAGTTACTTCACTTGGAATAATGTCTCCAACTCCATCCAGGTTGCTGAGAATGCCATTATTTCATTCTTTTTTATGGATGAGTAGTATTTCACATTTTCTTTATCCACTTGTGGTTGATGGGCATTTAGGCTGGTTCCATATTTTTGCAATTGCAAATTGTCCTGCTAGAAACGTGTGTGCAAGTGTCTTTTTCATATAACTTCTTTTCCTCTAGGTAGATACCCAGTAGTGGGATTGTTGGATCAAATGGTAGTTCTACTTTCAGTTCTTTAAGGAGTCTCCATACAGTTTTCCACAGTGGTTGCACTAGTTTACCTTCCCACCAGCATTGTAAAAGTGTTCTCTTTTCACCACATCCACGTCAACATCTATTATTTATTGATTTTTTTAATTATCACCATTCTTGTAGGAGTAACGGGGTATTGCATTGTGGTTTTGATTTACATTTCTCTGATAATTAGTGTTATTGAGCATTTTCTAATATGTCCATTGGCCATTTTTATATCTTCTTTTGACAATTGTCTATTCACGTCTTTAGCCCACTTTTTTAATAGGATTTTTTTTTTACTCTTGATGATTGGTTTGAGTTCATTGTACATGCTAGATATTAGTCCTTTGTCAGATGCATAATTTACAAATACTTTCTCCCACTCCATGGGTTGTCTGTTTACTATTTATTTTGCTAAGTAGAAACGTTTTACTTTAATTAAGTCCCATCTATTTATCTTTGTTTTTGTTGAATTTTCTTTTGGGTTCTTTGTCATGGACTCTTTGCCTAAGTCAAAGTATAGAAGAGTTTTTCCAGTGTTATGTTCTAGAATATTTATGGTTTCAGGTCTTAGATTTAAGTCTTTCCTCCATCTTGAGTTGATTTTTGTATAGGGTGAGAAATGAGGATCCAGTTTCATTCTTCTACTTGTGGCTAGCCAATTATCCCAGCACCATTTGTTAAATAAGGTGTCCTTTCCCCACTTTATGTTTTTGTTTGCTTTGTTGAAGATCAGTGGGCTGTAACTGTCTGGCTTTATTTTGGGGTTCTCCATTCTGTTCCATTGGTCTACATGCCTATTTTTATACCAGTACCATGCTGTTTTGGTGACTATAACCTTGTAGAATTGTTTGAAGTCAGGAAATGTGGCACCTCCAGATTTGTTCTTCATTCTTAGTCTTGCTTTGGTTATGCAGGCTATTTTTTTGGTTCCAAATGAATTTTAGGATTGTTTTTTCTAGTTTTGTGAAAATAATGATGGTATTTTGGTGGAAATTTCATTGAATGTGTAAATTGCTTTTGGCAATATGGTCATTTTCACAATGTTGATTCTGCCCATCCACAAAGCTGGGATTTGTTTCCACTTGTTTATGTCGTCTATAATTTCTTTCAGCAGTGTTTAGTAGTTTTCGTTGTAGAGATCTTTCACCTCCTTGGCTAGGTATATGCCTAAGTATTTTTTATTTTATTTTATTATTTATTTATTTATTTATTTATTTTTTGTAGCTGTTGTAAAAGGGTTTATTTGATTCTCAGTTTGGTCACTGTTGGTGTATAATAGTGCTAATGATTTGTGTATATTGATTTTGTATCCTGATGCTTTACTGAATTTGTTCATCAGATCTAGGAGTTTTTTTGGATGAGTCTTTAGGGTTTTCTAGGTATACAATTATATCATCAGTGAACAGCAATAGTTTGATTTCCTCTTTACTGATTTGGATGCCTTTATTTCTTTCTCTTGTCTGATTGCTCTGGCTAGGACATCCAGTAGTATGTTGAATAGAAGTGGTAAAAATTGGCATCTGTGTCTTATTGTAGTTCTCAGGGGGAATGCTTTCCACTTTTCCCCACTCAGTATAATGTTGGCTATGGGTTTGTCATAGATGGCTTTTATTACCTTAAGATACGTCCCTTCTATGCCAATTTTGCTGCAGGTTTTAATCATAAAAGGATGCTAGACTTTCAGTGCAATGAGAATTGCACTGAATTTGTAGATTGCTTTTGGCAGTATGGTCATTTTCACAATATTGATTCTACCCATCCATGAGCATGGGATGTGTTTCCATTTGTTTGTGTCAAATGCTTTTTATGCATCTATTGATATGATCATTTGAGTTTTATTTTTAATTCTGTTTATGTGGTGTATCACAATTATTGACTTGTGTATGTTAAACAAACCCTGCATCCCTGGTATGAAATCCAGTTGATCATGGTTTATTATCTTTTTGATATACTGTTGGATTCAGTTAGCTAGTATTTGGTTGAGGAGTTTTGCATCTATGTTCATTAGGGATATTGGCCTGTAGTTTTCCTTTCAGTTATGCCCTTTCCTGGTTCCAGTATTATGTTGATACTGACTTCATAGAATGATTTGAGGAGGATTCCCTCTTTCTCCATCTTTTGGAATAGTTTAAGTAGGATTGGTATTAATTCTCCTTTGATTGTCTGACAGAATTTATATGTGAATCTGTCTGGTCCTGGACCTTTTTTGTTGGCGATTTTTAAAACTATTATTTCAGTCTCACTATTTGTTAGTGATCTGAGTTTCTATTTCTTCCTAGTTTAATCTGGGAGGGTTGTATATTTCCAGGAATTTATCCATCTTCTCCAGGTTTTCTAGATTGTGCACGTAAAGGTGCTCATAGTAAGTAGACCTGAATGATATTTTGTATTTCTGTGGTATTGGTCATAATATCTCCTGTTTCATTTCTAATTGAGTTTATTTGGATCTTCTGTCTTCTTTTCTTGGTTAGTCTTGCTAATGGCATATCAATTTTGATTATCTTTTCAAAGAATCAGCTTTTTGTTTCATTTATCTTTTGTATTTTTTTTTTGTTTCAATTCATTGAATTCTTCCCTGATCCTTGTTATTTTTTTTCTTCTGCTGGTTTGGGCTTGTTTTGTTTTTGTTCCTCTAGTTCCTTGATGTGTGACCTTAGATTTCCCATTTGTGCTCTTTCAGAGTTTTTGATGTAGGCATTTAATGCTATTAAATTTCCTCTTAGTACTGCTTTTGTCTTATCCAGAGGTTTTGATAGATTTTGCTACTATTATTGTCCAGTTCAAACAATTTTTAAATTTCTGTCTTAATTTCATTGTTGACCTAGAGATCATTCAGGAACAGAGTCTTTAATTTCTATGTACTTGTATAGTTTTGAGGGTTCCTTTTGGGGTTAATTTCCAATTTTACTCCACTGTGGTCTGAGACAGTACTTGATATAATTTCGATTTTCTTAAATTTATTGAGACTTGTTTTGTGGCCTCTAATTTGGTCTATCTTAGAGAATGTTCTATGTGCTGATGAAAGGAATGTATATTCTGCAATTTTTGAGTAGAATGTTCTGTAAATATCTGTGAAGTCCATTTGTTCTAGGGTACAGTTTAAGTCCATTGTTTCTTTGTTGACTTTCTGTCTTGTGACCTAACTAGTGCTGTCAGTGGATTACTGAAACCCCCCACTGCTATTGTGTTGCCATCTATCTCATGTCTTAGGTTTTTTAGTAATTGTTTTATAAATTTGGGCGCTCCACTGTTAGATGCATATATATTTAGGATTGTGATATTATTAATTTCCTGTTGGACTAATCCTTTTATTATTATATAATTTTCCTCTTTGTCTTTTTTAACTGTTGTTGCTTTAAAGTCTGTTTTGTTTGTTTGTTTGTTTGTTTTTTTGAGACAGAGTCTCGCTGTATCGCCCAGGCTGGAGTTCAGTGGCACAATCTCGGCTCACTGCAAGCTCCGCCTCCTGGGTTTATGCCATTCTCCTGCCTCAGCCTCCTGAGTAGCTGGGACTAGAGGCGCCTGCCACCATGCCCGGCTGTTTTTTTTTTTGTATTTTTAGTAGAGATGGGGTTTCACCATGTTAGCCAGGATGGTCTTGATTTCCTGACCTCATGATCCACCCACCTAGGCCTGCCAAAGTGCTGGGATTACAGGCGTGAGCCACTGTGCCTGGCCTAAAGTCTGTTTTATCTGATATAAGAATAGCTACTCCTGCTTGCTTTTGACTTCCATTTGCATGGAATACCTTCTTCCATCCCTTTACCTTAAGTTTATGTGAGACCTTATGTCTTAGGTGAGCCCCTTGATGACAGCAGATACTCTGTTGGTGCATTTTTATCCATTCTGCCATTCTGTATCTTTTAAGTGGAGCATTTAGGACATTTACATTCAACCTTTGTATTGAGATGTGAGATACTGTTTTACTCATCATGTTAATTGTTGACTGAATACCCTGGGTTTTTTTTTCATTGTGCTATTGTTTTATAGTTCTGTGATATTTATGCTTTAAGGAGGTTCTACGTTAGTGAATTTAGAGGTTTTGTTTCAAGATTTAGCATTTCTTCTAGCATCTATTATAGTGCTGGCTTCATAGTGGTAAATTCTCTTAGCATTTGTTTGTCTGAAAAATACTTTATCACTCCTTCATTTATGAAGCTTAGTTTTGCTGGATACAAAATTCTTGGCTGATAATTATTTTGTTTAAGGAGCTAAAGATGGGACCCCAGTTCCTTCTGGCTTGTAAGATTTCTGCTGAGAAACCTTCTGTTAATCTGATAGGTTTTCCTTTATAGGTTACTTGATGCTTTTGCCTCACAACTCTTAAGATTCTTTCATTCATCTTGAATTTAGATAACCTGATGACTATGCACCTTGGTGATGACCTTTTTGTGATGATGAATTTCCTGGGTGCTCTCTGAGCTTCTTTTTTTTTTTCTTTCTTTTCTTTTATTTTAAATGGAGTTTCGTTCTCGTTGCCCAGGCTGGAGTGTGGAGTGCAATGGCGTGATCTCGGCTCACTGCAACTTCTGCCTCCTGGGTTCAAGCCATTCTCCTGTCTCAGCCTCCTGAGTAGCTGGGACTACAGGCATGTGCCACCACACCTGGCTAATTTTTTTGTATTTTTAGGAGAGACAGGGTTTCACTGTGTTAGCCAGGATGGTCTCGATCTCCTGATCTCATGATCCACCCACCTCAGCCTCCCAAAGTGCTGGGATTACCAGTTTGAGCCACAGCACCCAGCCTTTGAGCTTCTTTTATTTGGATGTCTAGATCTCTAGCAAGACCAAGGGAGTTTTCCTCGATTATTCCCTCAAATAAGTTTTCCAAGCTTTTAGATTTCTCTTCTTCCTCAGGAACATCAATTATTCTTATGTTTAGTCATTTAACATAGTCCCAAATGTCTTGCAGGCTTTGTCAGTTTTTTTTTTTTAATTCTTTTTCTCTTTGTCTTTGTCAGAATGGGTTAATTCCAAAGATTTATCTTCGAGCTCTGAAGTTCTTTCTTCTACTTGTTCAATTCTTCTACTTGTTGAAATGCTCCAGTGTATTTTGCATTTCTCTAAGTGTGTCTTTTATTTCCAGAAGTTGTGATTCTCTTTTCTTTATGATATCTATTTCTCTGGAAACTTTTTCATCCATATTCTGTATTTTTAAAATTTCTTTAAGTCAATTTTTACCTTTTCTGGAACCTCCTTTGGTAGCTTTTTATAATCAACCTTTTGAATTCTTTATCTGGCTTCAGATATTTCTTAGATTCTGTTTCTTAGATTTCTTAGATTCACAGTTTTTCAGCTGTCTCACACAGTTTGCAGTGGCAATCTCTGCAATGGAAACACATCCCATGCTCATGGATGAGTAGAATCAATATTGTGAAAATGACCATACTGCCAAAAGCAATCTATAAATTCAATGCAATTCTCATTGCATTGAAAGTCTAGCATCCTTTTATAATTAAAACCTGCAGCAAAATTGGCATAGAAAGACATACCTTAAGGTAATAAAAGCCATCTATGACAAACCCACAGCCAACATTATACTCTGAATTTTCAGATATTCAGAGATTTCTTCTTGGTTTGAATCCATTGCTGGAGAGCTAGTGTGAACTTTTGGGGGAGTTATAGAAACTTCTTTTTGTCATATTGCCAGAATTACCTTTCTGGTACCTTCTCATTTGGGTAGAGTGTTTCAGTGAAAGATCTAGAACTCAAGGGTTCAGATTCTTTTGTCCCACTGGGTGATCCATTGATATGGTGCTCTCTCCTTTACCCTAGGGATGGGGCTTTCTGACAGCTGGAATGCAGTGATTGTTATTGTCCTTCTGGGTCTAGTCACCCAGCAGGGCTACTGGGCTCTGGGCTGGTTTGGGAGATGATCAGCAAACAGTCCCCTGATGTGATCCGTCTTCAGATCTTCTAGCCCTGGTTACCAGCACTTGCTCCGGTGGAGGTGGCAGGGGAGTTAAGTGGACTCTGTGGGAATTCTTGGTTGTACTTTTGTTTAGTGTGCTGATTTTCTCAAATGCTGGTTATGATAGCAGTGAAGTTGTCATGTGGACAGACTCATGACCTCTGGTTAGCCAGAATGTTGCAGGTAGTGGAATTAGCTGTTGTTCTCTCCTTCTTTGGAGCAGGGTTGTTCTGTTATGAGTTGCTCTAATTGCTTGAGTTGATTGGCCTCCAGCTAGGAGGTGGCACCTTCAAGAGAGCACCAGCTATGGTTGTAGAAGGGGGATAGAAGTTTGCCCTACATGGGCCAGTGTAAGTATTCTGGTTTCTCAAGAAATAGTCAGGGCCTTAGAGCTCCCAAGAGTTTGTCTTTTGTCGTCACCTACCAGAATGGGTAGAGAAAAATCATCACGTCGGGGTAGGGTTAGGCAGGTCTGAGCTCAGACTCTCCTTGGGTGGGTCTTGCTGCGGCCACTGTGCAGGATGGGAGGGTGGTTCTCAGGCCAATGGAGGTATGTTCCCAGGGGGATTATGGCTACCTCTGCTGCATCATACAGATCACCAGGGAAGTGGGGGAAATCTAGCAGTGTCGGTCCTCACCCAGCTCCCATGCAGCCATCAATGCCAGTCTCACTCCCATGGTGCCCTGCCAACAGCAGTGAGTTTATATCCAGGCAGCAGGGCTGAGATCTTGCCCCAGGCTACATACCTCCCCACTGAGAAAGCAAGCAGGGCTTGTCGGTCTCACCCCTCCATGCTTCTGGCATCTTCAGCTGTGGCTTCTGCACTTGTATTCACACTTCCCATTCCTCACACGAGATTCTGCTCAGGAAAATTCATGTTCAGTTTAAATTATTACAAAGTTTGGCTAGAAGCTTCCTTCACCCTGTGATACCTCTCCAATTCCGCTGGCTGCCTTTCCCAAGGACTCTTGTGAGATAAAGCCAGTGATGGCTTCTGTAGGCTTGAGCTGGGGACCAGGAGTGCCTACAGGGCTCTTCCTGCCACTTCTTCTACTTTTATATTTTGCTTAGCTCCCTAAGTCTGTTTCAGCTCTATGGAAGGTTAAATCCTTCTCCTGTGATCTGGATTTTCAGGTTCCCTGGTGGAGATGTGTTTTTGGAGGTGGATGTTCCCTCTCTCACACTTTGGGAATTCACAGTTTTTCAGCTGTCTCACAGAGTTTGCAGTGGCAAGCTGCTTCTTTCAAAGGGTCTGTGAATTCTTTCAGTTTTCCTGGTATATTTCTGCAGTGGTTCTTGGAGCAAAAGTTCACAGTGTGAGTCTCCACATGCTGTTCTGTCTGTCCAAGTGGGGGGCTGCACATTAGTCCTGTTTTCTATCTGCCATTTTTTTCTCTGTTAAATACTTTTAATAGTATTCCTTGTGTTATAAATATAGTCTGAATTTTCATGTGTTTGTGTTAAAGTAGTAAAGATTTAATAAATAGCCCTAACACTCATATTTTATGCATTGTAAGCATTTGCTTTAGAAATGGCAGTATATACCTTCTTTGTGGTCCCTTTGGCTCATTTTCAAAGCACATAAGTTTAATTTAATATTGTTTAATATTTTGTCTGGATAGGATTTTTTATGCCAGATAAAAACACAGAGCAATGCAACATGATATTGAAACAAGATCGAAGGAACTCACTTCTTTTTATTGAAGGGCAAAATTTTAAAAGACCATGATCAGCTTGAAAGAGAACATTTGGCTTCTAACAGGCATGCATGTGCATGCATATATATGGGTTTGATAAATACGCCTCCATTTTCTGTGATAGAAGGAAAAAATTTAAATGTAAAATTGACAGTTTGTAACTTTCACTAGATAAGCTAATGCTTGGATTTTTCTGAGCTGAAATCTTAATTTGACAGAAATGAGCTACTTTTTAATCTCATCTTTACAGTTCCTTTAAATTGACATAATTGCACATATTTATGGTATACATCACGATATTTTGTTATATGTGCTCATTGTGCAATGGTTAAATCAATCTAATTAGCATGTCCATTACCTCATATACTTACCTTTTTTCATGATGAGAACATTTAAAATCGACTTTCTCGGCAGTTTTTTACAGAAAAAAATACAGTATTAACTGTAGTCACCATGTTGTACAATAAAGCTTATGAATCTTTGGCCACATATTCTGAGTTAGAAGAGTGAGGTGACAGAAGTAAATTAAACCCTTGTCCAATCTCATTAACTAATGTGATGAGGGCTCACACACCACTGGGAGAACACTCTTACCTAGAAATGACAATGTTGTTAATGATGATAATAAAGGAATGAATGTCACTTTTCAAGTATCAAGGACTTACAAAAACTTCTCCAGGCTAGTAACCCTTTAAATCACTGGAAAATAAGACACTAGAATTTTTCCCCAAGAAAAATTCAGCAGATTAACTTCAATTATAATTAGACAAAACAACTTAGAGCTTTCTAAACTAATAATGGTGAAGTTAAAATCAAATCTTTAAGCTCCCATCAAAACAACATCAACTAAATAATAGTGTGTAAGTTCTTAACAACATTTTAGTTTATGTTATTGATTAAACTGAGTTTAAAATGTGAAACTATAGAATTATTAATTTGCTGAACTATCACTTCAAGCTTAAGCCTGCATTCTTATTAGCCATCTGATGCCTTGATTTCTTAGGTCAATGTTTAACATGAGAATAAACAGGCCATATAGGTAGAGCTATTTCAGTCTGACTACTGTCTTACTCCATTTAGTCTATTATAACAAAATACTACTGACTGAGTGGCTTATAAACAACAGAAATCTATTTCTTACAGTTCTGAGGGCTGGGAAATCCAGGATCAAGACACTGGCAGATTCAGTGGCTGGTGAGGACTTGCTTCCTTGTTCATAGATGGTACCTTCTTGTTGTGCCCTCACAATAGGGCAAACAAATTCCTGTGGTCCTATAATGGCACATATTATATTGCCTCCCAAAAGGTTTTATCTCCTAATACTATCACTTTGGGGATTAAGATTTAATATATAAATTTTTGGGACTTAAACATTCAGCTCACAGCTGCTATTATACTATTCATCATCTTGTGGTTGAAAGCTCAAATAGCATTTTAGTTTCCATTTTTTAGTTTTAGTTTTTTTGTTCTATTATATTTAGTAACTGTGTGTGTGCATGTGTTGTGTGTGTGTGTGTGTGTGAGCTAGTTTTGGATTAAAATGCCTAAGTTAAAATAGAGCCCTGAATCATATCATCTGTGAAAATACATAGTTTGATGTCCTCTCTTCCTACTCGGATGACTTTCATTTCTTTCTCTTGCCTGATTGCTCTGGCTAAGACTTCTAATAATATGTTGAATAGGAGTGGTGAGAGAGGGCATCCTTGTCTTGTGTTGGTTTTCAGGAGGAATGCTTCCAGCTTTTTTGCCCATTCAGTATGATGTTGGTTTGTCATATACAGCTCTTATTATTTTGAGGTAGGTTCCTTCAATGCCTAGTTTATTGAGGGTATTTAACATGAAGAGATGCTGAATTTTATTGAAAGCCTTTTCTGCATCTATTGAGATAATCATGTGGTTTTGTCTTTAGTTATTTTTATGTGATGTATCACATTTATTGATCTGCATATGTTGAACTAACTTTGCATCCCAGGTATAAAGCCTACTTGATCATGCTGGATTATATTTTTGATGTGCTGCTGCATTCATTTGCTAGTTTTTCTGTTGAGAACTTTGCTTCTATGCTTATCAACAATATTGGCCTAAACTTTTCGTTTTTTATTGTGTTTCTTCCCGTTTTTGGTATCAGGAGGATGGTGGCCTCATAGAATGAGTTAGAGAGGAGTCACTCCTCCCAAATTTTTTGAAATAGTTTCAGTAGGAGTGGTACTAGCTCTTCTTTATACATACGGTAGAATTTGATTGTGAATCTTTCTGGTCCTAGGCTTTTTTTGGTAGGTAGGCTTTTTATTACTTATTCAATTTCAGGACTCATCATTGATCTGCCCAGGGATTCAATTTCTTCCTGGTTTAGTCTTGGGAGGTTTTATATATCCAGGAATTTATCCATTTCTTCTAGATTTTCTGGATTATGTGCATAGTCTCTCATGGATTTTGCATTTCTATGTCATCAGTCATAATGTTCCTTTTGTCATTTCCAATTATGCTTATTTGGACCTTCTGTCTTTTCTTATTAGCCTAGCTAGCTGTGTATGTATTTTATTAATTTTTTCAAAGTACAAACTCCTGGATTTGCCATTCTTTTGTATGTTTATTCCTGTGTCAATTTCTTTCAGCTTACCTCTGATTTTGGTTATTTTTTGTCTTCTGCTAGCCTTAGGGTTGGCTTCATCTTTCTTTTTAGTTCTTTTAGTTGTGATGTTAGGTTGTTAATTCAAGATCTTTCTAAGTTTTTCATGTGGCTCTTTAGCACTATAAATTTCCATCTTAACATTGCCTTAGCCATGTTTCATAGATTCTGGTATGTTGTATCTTTGTTCTCATTAATTTAAAAGAACTTCTTGATTTCTGCCTTAATTCCATTATTTACCCCAAAATCATTAAGGAGCAGGTTGTTTAATTTCCATGGAATTGTATAGTTTTGAGCAATTTTCTTAATATTGATTTCTATTTTGATTGTGTTGTGGTCTGAGAGCATAATTGTTATGATTTTGATTTTTTCAAATTTGCTGAGGATTGTTTTATGTCTGATTATTTGGTCAATTTTAGAGTATGTGCCATGTAGCAATGGGAAGAATGTATATTCTGTTGTTTTTGGGTGAAGAGTTCTGAAGATCTTTATTAGGTCCATTTGGTCAAGTGTTGAGTTTGAGTCCTGAGTATCTTTGTTAATTTTGTGCCTTGATGGTCTGTCTAATATTGTCAGGTGTGTTTTGAAGTCTCTCACTATTATTGTGTGGGAATCTAAGTCCCTTCATGAGTCTCTAAGAACTTGCTTTATGAATCTATGTGCTTCTATGTTGAGTGCATATATATTTATCATAATTAGGTCTTATTATTGAACTGAATCCTTTGCCATTATGTAATGCTCTTCTTTATCTTTTTTGATCATTGTTTGTTGAATGTCTGTTTTGTTCAAAATTAGCATTGCAACCCCTGCGTTTTTTTGTTTCTCACTTGCTTGGTAGATTTTTCTCCATCTCTTTATTTTGAGCCTATGGGTGTCATTGCCTGTGAGATCAGTCTCTTGAAGACAGCATAACTTTGGTATGGCTTTTCTATCCAGTGTACCACTCTATACCTTTTAAATGGGCATTTAGCCCATTTATATTCAATGTTAATATTGATATGTGTGGGTTTGATCCTGTCATCATGTTGTTAGCTGGTTATGATGCACACTTGTTTGTGTGGTTGCTTTATAGTGTCACTGGTATGTGTACTTACATATTTTTTGTAGTGGCCGATAGTCATCTTTCTTTTCATATTTGGCACTCCTTTCAGGATCTCTTATAAGGCAGCCCTGGTAGTAATGAACTCTCTCAGCATTTGCTTGTCTAAAATTGATCTTGTTTCTTCACTTATGAAGCTTAGTTTGGCTGGAGATGAAATTTTTGTTTGAATTTTTTTTTTTCTTTTTGAGATGGCGTCTCACTCTGTCACCCAGGCTGGAGTGCTGTGGTACGATATCAGCTCACTGCAAGCTCTGCCTCCCAGGTTAATGCCATTCTCCTGCCTCAGCCTCCTGAGTAGATGGGACTACAGGCAACTGCCACCAAGCCTGGCTAATTGTTTTGTATTTTTTAGTAGAGACGGGGTTTCACCATGTTAGCCAGGACGGTCTCAATCTCCTGACCTTGTGATCCACCCGCCTCGGCCTCCCAAAGTGCTGAGATTACAGCCATGAGCCACCGCGCCCAGTCGAATATTTTTTTTTAAGAATGTTTAAGATAGACCCTTAATCTCTTCTGGCTTCTATAGTTTCTGCTAAAAGGCCCACTGTTAGCCTGCCAGGCTTCCCTTTGTAGGTGAGCTGCCCTTACATGTCTTAGGGATAGTCTGCTTTGTGTTGTATTTTGCAGGAGTTATGTGCATTTCTTGAATTTGAATGTTGGTCTCTCTAGAGATGTTGGGGAAGTCTTTATAGATGATATATTGAAATATGTTTTCCAAGTTAATTGCTTTCTATCTTTTTCTTTCAGGGATGCCAGTGAGTCATAGATTTGGTCTCTTTACGTAATCCCGTAATTCTCAAGGGTTTTGTTATTTTTTTTCTTTTTTTTGTCTGTCTTATTTCAGAAATCCAGTCTTCAAGCTCTGAGATTCTTTCTTCAGCTTGATCTATTCCACTGTTAATACTTTCAATTGCATTGTGAAATCTTTAGAGTGTGTTTTTTAGTTCTTTTTTTTTTTTTTCAGTTGGTGTCTCCCTCTGTCACCCAGGCTGGATGGAGTGCAATGGTGTGATCTCGGCTCAGTGCAACCTCTACCTCCCAAGTTCCAGCGATTCTCCTGCCTCAGCCTCCAGAGTAGCTGACATTACAGGTGCCATGCCCAACTATGGGGATTCACCATGTTGGCCAGGCTGGTCTCGAACTCCTGACCTCAAGTGATCTGCCCACCTCAGCTTCCCAAAGTCCTGGGATTATAGGCATGAGCCACTGCTCCAAGCTGAGGTGTGTTCTTCAGTTCTATCAAATCAGTTTGCATCTTTTCTATACTGGTTGTTTTGTCTATCATCAGCTCTTGTATTGTTTTGTATTGTTTTATTATCATTCTTAGATTTCTTGGATTGGGTTTCAACATGCTCCATCTTGATAACCTCCATCCCTATCCATATGCTGAATTCTATTTCTATCATTTCAGCCATTACCTCCCAGTTAGGAACCCCTGTGGGGGTACTAGTGTCATCGTTTGGTGGAAAGAAGACACAGGCTTTTTGAGTTATAAGAGTTCTTGTGCTAGTTCTTTCTCATCTCCGTGGGCAGGTGTTCCTTTAACTGTGGTATAAATTGAGAAGTCA
Source organism: Homo sapiens (assembly GCF_000001405.40). NCBI lineage: Eukaryota > Metazoa > Chordata > Mammalia > Primates > Hominidae > Homo > Homo sapiens. The sequence continues at coordinate 4,946,534 of NC_000018.10, read as the reverse complement.
GTAGACTTCTTTCTTGATGTTTTCAGAGTGTCAAGGCTTTCTACCAGGTCTTTATTTATAGCTGCCTTCTTGTCTTTAGTTTCACAGGGGGGTATGTTAACAAAGTATTTTGGTTATTGAACTTTCAATTGTGATCCAGTACATGGTGCTTAAGCATAATGGTCTGGTTGGTAGATAGGCTCTTGCTCAGTCAAGTGGCTCTTCTGTATTTCCTCACAATTGCAGCCATGCTCCTTCTCAGTGCTTTGAAAGTGTGCGCTCCTCTCTCTATTAAAGAGCTGGCTGCCAATCTCAGCTTTGCTCTCCTGGGCTGCCCACCACAGCTCTGGGATGATCTCAGGGTTTATATTCCCTCCTCAGCTTGGAGACAGCAGGAAAAGGAACCTTAATAGTGGTTGTGGCAGAAGACCTTTCAGTTTTCTCTTGATCTTTACCCCAGAGAGATGCAGAGCCATAATCAATCAGTGTGATAGGCCCAGGGCAGGTGGCTGTGTTGTGGGCCCAAGCCAGTGGAGTTCTGCCTTGTGACTAGTAGAGAGGCAGGTGGGACCTGGGGGAGACAGACTGACCTCCTCTCCTTGGAGCAACTGCACCTTGCTGCAGGTGTGGATAAAGCACTCAGGGTCATTGCTCCTTTTTCAGTTTTAGGGCAGCAAGGGCAGTACCAATGCAGTGGCAGAGGAGTTTCTGGTTGCTTCTGTGAGCTCCACCTCTGAGATACATGGAGCTGTGACTAGTGGGTATGTTCAGCCAGGGAGTGAGGCAGCTGCATTGCTGGCCTGAGCTGGGGGCTCTGCTTGTTGGGGAGCAAGGGGTAGAGAGCTCACAGGGAGGAGAGATTGAGCTCCTCTCCATATGGTGGCTGTGTTATGCTGTAAGTTCATGTGAAGCCCTCAAGCTCTTTGTTTTTTCCTCAGACCAAGGGCAGTAAGGGCAGAAGCATGGCTGTGGCAGTGACAGAAGGGCTGTCAGTTGCCTCTTGGAGCCTCTCCACAGGGAAACTCAGAGCCACTCCCAGTGGTTGTGCTCATCCATGGGTGGGGTGGCTGATCTGTGGTCCTGAGCAGGGGGCCTGCCTGGTGAAGAATGGGGGTGGGGCTCACAGGGAAGGGAGCCTGGGCTCCTCTCTGTATGGTGGCTGCAGTGTGCTGGAGGTGCCAACATAACGACTAGGCCCTTTGCTTCTTTCCCAGCCTGAGGGCGGTTAGGGTGGTACCATTGCAACTGCAATGGCAGAGTGGTTATTGGTTGACTCTAGGATTTTCTCCTCAGAGAAATGCAAAGCTGTCTCTGACTGAAGTGTTCAGGCTGGGGCAGGGTAGTTGTGCTGGAGTCCCAGGTTAGGTGGTCCCTCCCAGTGAGGAGAAATGGGAACGGAGACCCATGTGAACAGTCTGGCCAGTTTTACTTGGGGCGGCTGCACTGGGCTGGGGGTCTGCACCAGTCTCTAGTCACTGTAGACTCTCTAGAGCCTGATAGTAACAACAGCAAGGGCTGTGAGACAGCAAAGATGACAGTGTGCCCCTCCCTCTGGGAGCTCTGTCCCAGGGAAATGCAGAGCTGCTACTAGCCCAAGGGCAGGGGCAGGGGGTGGCTAGAGCCCCAGCACAGGAGGTTCTGCCCAGTGAAGAGAAGCAAGATCAGGGACCCACGTAAAAAACATTCTGGCTGCTTTTATGTGGGGCTGTAATGCTGTGCTGAGGGTCCACACCAATCCCTCATCACCATGGACTCTCCAGAGTATGGAGGCAACAACAGCCAGGATGGCAAGACAGTAAAGATAGCAGCCTGTCCCTCCCTGTGACAGCTTCATCCAAGGGAAGTACAGAGTTGTTACCAGGCCAAGAGCCCCAGTGGCAGATGGCTGGAGTCCCAGCTTAGTAGGTCTTATCCTGAGAGATTCATTGGAATTGAGGCCTGCAGACCATCACTGCTCAGTCCTCTGGATTCGGCCCCTTTCCTGGGGGCCTGTGAGGGAGCCTAGCCTGCCCCTTTGCCAGAGCTGCAGTGCTGATGCCGGGATGCTCAGAAATCCAAGGCTACCAGTACTCCAGGTGTGCCTAATTGGCAGCTCTTCCAAAACTCCATGTTATCTCTGCATGTCAGTCTGATGGCCCTGGTGGGATGGGCTCATGAGGGGATCTTCTAAGGCCAGGGCTACAAAAATCCATGGGAGAAGTGTGGGTCAACAGAGTTTCTCACTCACTCCCCATTTCCCTGCTGTTGGGGAGCCTCCCCTGGCTCCATTCCACTACTGAATGGGTGGTCATCCTGTCTTGCTCCTCTCCATTCTCTGTGGGTCAAGTTGTTTCCTTGATGAATCCCATATGTCCACTAGTATGTTTCAGTTGAAGATGTGGCATTTACTTGCCACTTTTTATTCTCTCCATGAGAGCAGTGCACACTAGCTGTTTCTAGTTAGCCATCTTGGCACTTCTCAAAATCTTGTATTTCATGATAAAAATTAATATAACTTTTGAATTATGGCTCATAATATTTTGATTTTTAAAAAGACAACAAAGTTGTATTTTAGATGACCCTCAAGCCCAGGTGATATTCCAAAAATATGTTCCATATTTTTTCTGTATTCTTAATCTATCTTAGGAGGTAGGCATTAACACTTAGATATTCATCTGATTGTCAAGAACATTGACATTTTTTGGTGCACTAAGGGCAAAAACAAGACATGTTTTGTTCAGTACTGGGCCACAGACGAAGCCATCAGGATAGGATGTTCTGGTTTCTTTCCCAGGCTGCCTTCCCTTTGAAGAATCTGGGCAACATCTTTTAATGCACTTTGGAAGTGAAGTAGAACATTAAATTCATTGATTTGTGGATTCCCTCAGTGTTTATCCATGTGAATTAATAATATTTCTCATCATTCCACTTTGGTAAGATTCTGGACTTCACTAAATATTACCAGCAGGTAAAACTGGATGGAAATAATATGTTGCAAGGAAGATGTTCGATTTCCTATAAAGTCATGGATTGCTCTAGCATGTTGTCCTCTGAGAAGGGTATGTCTTCAGGAAAGTTATCTTGCTAATACCACCCAACACACTGAAATTCTTTAGAGTGGGATTCAAATTTTGAACAAAACAAGTCTAGAGAACACTCGCTTTTTCTACCCCTGGGGAGCCTGGGAGAAATGGTTATTCATTTGACCTTGTTTAAAATTGATTTGAATGTACATTTTCTTGCTATAAAAATTGAAGAGAGTAAGACACATATGTGTGGCTTGTGTATCTTGTCATTACAACATGAAAGCAATACATTATTTATTTTGCCAGTAATTGAGATAAATCAACTCTATAACTAAAACAATTGCATTTGACAGATATTTCAAGAAATTTAAAAAATGATATTACCTAAAATGTACTGAGCCAAATTATTGACATTCATTGTCTTATTTAATTTAGCTCATTACTGACAGCACCCCATGAGTTGGCATTTTTACTATCTCCATTTTACGTATGTGATATAGAGTCTGAATAGGACACACAATTATTTAATAATGGCCGATAGTGAGACAGAAGCCTCATCTTGCTGTCTATCTCTTGCAACTAATAACTCTTGCTCTATACCACCATTTGATCTCTTGAAAGTTTGGAGTTAAGAGCATCAGCTTTGCAGCTTTATTGGATTCCCAGCTCTAGCACTTATTAACTCTATAAACTTGCATCATTTACTTAACTTGTATATTTCACAGTTTTCTTGTCTGAAAGCAAGGGTAAAAGTAGTGCCTGCCTCAAAAATTTGTTATTATGAGAGAATGTAGTGCTCAACTAATTCATTCTATGATATTATTTTATAGGCCACACCAGACCGAAGATTTAAAATATATTCACAAAGTAATATACAAGACTTTTTGCATTTATAAATGTAATATTCGTGGTTTAACCTGTTTGTGAACAACCCTGAAGATCTGTGACATGTGATAATGTGTAATATTGCTGTAGTATCAACTTTAGTCATAGGTCTGAAGAGGCTGGTGTGGGAAGGGGTGCTTAGCTGTTCACCTCTTAGCTCTATTGTTTCTTTTTATCACAATGCTGGCAGTAGTTCTTGAAAAGTGATAAAACAAGAACAAAAACAATTTTTTTTGAGTTGGTGTGTCTGTGAAAATGGCTCTAAAAGACATTGGTGATGGAAATGAAGAAAATGTGCTGAGATCTAAGAACTAGATGGATCTTAGCTAGAAAATATTAATGTTGAGTAATATAAATTCCGGCATATCAGATTCAGCATCAATCAATTTCTTTTTAGAATCAGTCTACCATAACATCTTTAGGGAGTCAAGACCAGATGAAAAAACTAATGAAACTGTTTCTCTGGATACTCAAATCACATTTATTTTAATCTTGTTATAAATGAGTTTAGTCTTTGTCAAAGTCAGAATCTAAGTTGGAAGAGGATGGTACACTTAAATATGGGAATTGAGAGAAGATGAATAAAGGGATTATTTGCAAAGGTGAAGACAAGTTTAAGGGAAACAAATAAACAGAGGCTCAGAGCCCCAAGGCAAGCAAGAGTAGGAAGTTGCTACCATTCCTGGGTCTAAGGTGTTAAAGTGTGGGAGGAATTGCCTGAAACTGCAAAGAGCAGCAGATATTCTAAGGGCCATGGCCTTCAGAGGAATGATGCAGCAAATGCATGGCAACTTGGCAGAGATGGAGCCAGGGAAATACCCATTCTTACACGCTTCCCACCATCTGATCTCCAGCTGAGGCCTGCCATTGGCTGAGCCTTAGTTGAAGCCAAATAGTAAGGAAACCTCTTGATGAACTCAATAAACCTCTTGATGAACCCATTTCCTTTATTGGACCTTTAATAAAGGTCCAGTGAACCTTTGTGCAGTTTTTATAGAGTGGATCTGGAGGGATTAATGAAAAATATTCAACACAATTCTTCATTTATTATTATTAAAGTTTTCTTAAAGTGGCTTATTAATGCATATTCATATTTTATATGCTAAGTATTCTTCTAGTAAATAAGAATATAGCAGTGAACAAAAGAGTTAAAAATTCCTACCTTCATGGAGCTTACATTCTAGTTGGGGTTATATTTAATTATATTTTATGAAAACAAATTTTATGCTCTAAAACTGTGAATTTGCATATTCACGAAGGTTTCTAAATAAATTCTTCTTGAATACTAAGATGCTTTATCTATTTATTTATTTCTCATGCTTTTCATCCAATTTCTTCCAAATTATTCTAATAATCTTATATTTTTTGTATAAACTACTTTTCTTTCCCTTAGAATAAGTTTATTTCTAGAAACTTTCTATCATTCATGTAAATAAGTATCCCTTGCAGACAATTGTTATTATTCCTTCTATAATATCTGAATGATAGGATAAAGAGTAATTTTCAAATAGTAAAAACATTATTTAATATAATAGTGTATAATAATATGTTATAATAGTGTATAACATAAATTAGTAGAGAAAAAATTGAATGAGGAAAAATAGTTCCAATATAAGAGAAGGTAAAAAGGAAGAAAAACGTACAAAGAACTGGTAGACCAAATCTAAGCACAAAATAAATCAAAAATTACTTGTAATTGCAATAAATACAAAAGAATAAAATGTTACAATTTAAATAGATTGTCAAACTAGACTTCAAAACTAAAGGTGTTTCTGTCTATAAGAGATACATCTAAGAGATAATGACATAGAAATTTTCAAAAGTAAATGTTTAGAAAAAGTAACTCATGCCAATAATAAAAAAAATAAAGTGTCCCAATGCAAAGAAAAGATAAATGCTTGCAGTGATTGGGTGGAAGTTTCAGTTACCCTGATTTGATCATTACACATTGTATATAGGTACCGAAATATCACATGTACTCCTAAAATATGTACAACTATTATGTCAATTAAAAAAGAAAATCGATTGTAGTCTTTTAATTTCAAGTGAAATAAACTTAAGAGGTAGAAACATTATAAGAGTTAATGTCATGTCATAATGATAAATAATTCTGAAGTTGTATGCATCTAATAAGAAAGACTCAAAATATATACAGCAAAAAATAATAACAGCTATACAAAAATAAAGCAACCTATCATGAAGATGGGCATATAAAAATATCTAGATCAGTACTTATTAGAAAAAGCAGACCAAAAAATATCAGCAATGATACAGATTTGTTAAAAACAGGTTAATCAGTTTGATGTAATGGACATATATGTTACCATATTCAGGAGCTATAAAACATTCTTTACAAGCATACACAGACAATTGACTAAATATTGGCTTTATAAAGCAAGCTTTAATACATCTCAAAGAATTAATGTCATAAAAGTCACATTTTTTACCATTATGCTATCAAGTTAAAAATCAGTAACAAAAAGTTGATGAGAACACACTTATAAAAGATATATAGGTCAAAGAAATCAAATATTAGAAAAATATTAGACACCAAATGATAAACATATGATACAGACAATTAATTTTGAAATATGGAATTTATACAGAACTATGAAGCCTAAAATTTTGTATCTGAAAAGAAGAAAGGCTGAGCTAAGCATCCATACTAAACAGTTAGAATGAGGACAGCACTGTAAACCTAAAAAACTGGGAAATTACCTGTCATTACAGAATTGCTTATTAAGATTCTTAAATCCTTGAGTTTTTAGGATAATTGAGAACAGAAAGACAAGATGCAATGAAGTGAACAGAATCTTAAGCAGTTCTAAAATGAGAGGTAATAAAGATCCTTCAGCAAGGAAAAAATCAGCATGTATCATAGGCTTCGTAGCAATCTTTGGTAACAGAAAATCTTTCAATATGCTTAACAGTTCAGGCAAATCATTTTTTATTTAGCTAAGCTATAAATTGCATCAAGCAAGCATCCCTCTACTATGGCTAAGGTGTCAGAGAAAAGTAACAGAAGAACATTTCTGTCCTAAATCCATTCTCCTCACCACTACATATATTGTCTTGCTTTTTTCACCTCTTTTTATCACATATAGCCCTTGACCAAGTAAAACTGCTTTTGTCTGATACCAGAGTTTTATAGGCTAAAGCAATATTTTCCAGAGTTTTGGATTTCATAGTTACATGCACACACACATATTACATATGTGTATATATATTACATATCTATCTATCTCATATATCTATATTACTATATATGTAATATATACATATATATATTAGAAATACACACATACAACACATACACACACCCACCCTTACACAGCCCCCATATATATGTGGAACATATATATATATATGTATATATGTATTTTTTATTTAAGGTTAACACAGGTGTGCATACATGTTATTTTGCTAGGAAAAAGTATCATTTCACTTAAAAAGGGATATTTTAATTTTTGAAAATGTATAAAGAATAGTTAACTCAATTACACTGAAAAGAAATGCTGCCTTGTCTTTTTCTTGTAATTTGCTATGGTTTGCTGATAGTTTTACTTTGGAAGCACACAAGTTGGCAGAGCAGTGTTTGACAAACCCTGGGGAAGAGAGGTTGATGCTTGTTTATTGATGTTTGAATTACCTTAAGGAAACATCAACTAAAATTCAGAAACTCCAGTACTTTCATTGAGGTCCTTAGTGACCTTCCGATGACAATACTCAGTTTTATCTTCCTTGACCTCTAAGCAGCATTTGATACTGACAACCTCTTCTGTTCTTTTGGTACCATTTCTTCACTTGTATCCGGGATATCATCTTTTCATACTCCCCAGTTTGTTGTTTGCTACTAAACACTTCTTAGCTTTTGCTGATTATTTCTTCTCTTTTTTTTTTTTTCCCCAATGTCTTAATTTTGGAATGTCCCAAAGCTAAGTCTTTGTTCTCTCCCTCTCTCCATACACTGACTTGGTGATTGATGGCATCAAGTTCCATAGATATAAACATCATGTATATGCTGACAATTCCCAAATATATATCTCCATTCCAGACCTTTCTCTTGAGCTCCACACTTCTGTATCCCATTGTCTGTCTACCTGACCCCTACACTTGGATGTCTAATCTCAAACCGAATGCATTTGTAAGTGGTCTTCTGCTTTCTTTTGTGTATCACAGGCCCCTGGTGCCTACATCAATCCTGTCTGCTCGCATTTGATTTCAACTTCAGCTGCAGTGAATGGTTTTATGTAGGCTCACTCTCATTTTGCGTCGACAGTGACCCATCTCAAGCAAGCACCACAGCTTTTTTCATTTGCCCCAGTGCCTTTTCCAGTGCCACAGGAATTTGTTTATTCTGTGCTCTGGAGCATCCCAGAAATGAAATATGCTAGGGACAAACTTCAAGTAATAGGGACTGGAACATAGTGGATAAATATGCCCATATTCCAGACAGAAAGTTCTGGGAGGCATTTAGTATGGCCTGAGAGGGCCATTGGAACCAAGCCCCCTTGCCTGTCTCACCCTCTGCTCCTTCACTCTTGCTTCCCAGATTACCTTCCATATAAATATCTACACCCGAATTCTTGTCTCAAGCTCTGCTGTTGGGCTGAATTATTTTTACTAAATATTTTGTTTGATTTCTTTTTGTGTCTATGCTCATGAGGGACATTGTAGGTTTTCTTTCCCTTATAATGCCTTTGGATGGTCTTGGTGTAAGGGTAATACTGATTTCATAAAAATAGGTTTGGGCCGGGTGCGGTGGCTCACACCTGTAATCCCAGCACTTTGGGAGGCCGAGGCGGGTGGATCACGAGGTCAGGAGATCGAGACCATCCTGGCTAACACGGCGAAACCCCGTCTCCACTAAAAATACAAAAAAATTAGCCGGGCGTGGTGGCGGGCGCCTGTAGTCCCAGCTACTCGGGAGGCTGAGGCTGGAGAATGGCGTGAACCCGGGAGGCGGAGCTTGCAGTGAGCCGAGATCGCGCCACTGCACTCCAGCCTGGAAGACAGAGCAAGACTCTGTCTCAAAAAAATAAATTAATTAATTAATTAATTAATTAAATGAAATAAAAATAGGTTTGGAAGAATCCCCTCTCTTTATTTTCTGGAATAGTATGTAGATTTGGTGTTATTTCTCTTTTAAATGTTTTGGAGAATTCACCAGTGACTTGGAATTTTCTTTGTGGGAAGGTTTCTAATTTAAAAAATGTTTCTTTAATAGATATAGCACTGTTCTGTTTCTCTATGCTTATTGAGTGAGCTTTGGTAATTTTTGCCTTCTGAAGAAGTTTTACATTTCATCTAAGTTTTGAATAAGTTTTTTTTTTTTTTTTTTTTTTTTTTTTGAGACGGAGTCTTGCTCTGTCGCCCAGGCTGGAGTGCGGTGGCGCCATCTCGGCTCACTGCAAGCTCCGCCTCCGGGGTTCACGCCATTCTCCTGCCTCAGCCTCCCGAGTAGCTGGGACTACAGGCGCATGCCACCTCACCTGGCTGATTTTTTTGTATTTTTAGCAGAGACGGGGTTTCACCATGTTAGCCAAGATGGTCTCAATCTCCTGACCTCGTGATCCTCCCGCCTCGGCCTCCCAAAGTGCTGGGATTACAGGCGTGAGCCATGGCGCCCAGCCAGAAGTTTTCTATTTTACCTAGTTCAGGAGTTTATTGACAAATGTTTTTAAGCATATTTATCAATTAACCTGTGAAGTTCAGTCTTTCATTCCTTTTATAGGTCTTTAGTGTCTTTTCTTCTTTTGTTTTCCTTTTTTGGTCATCTGACTAGAGATTTATCAATTGTATTGGTCTTTCCAAATAACTAGCTTTTTAAAATTATTTTTTCTCCTTTATTTTTAAATTTTTTTATTTTCTTCCTTTTTGTTTTTATCTATGACTTCCTTCTTTTGTTTAGCTTGGGTTAGATGATTTTTTTTAGTTTCATAAGGGGAAAGCTTGGATCATTGTTTTGAAATTTTTCTGTTTTAAATAAAAGTATTAAAGATTGTGATTTTTCTCAGCACAAATGTTGCTGTAACTCACAAATATTTATGTTGTTTCCATTTGTACTCAATTCAAAATACTATCCATTTCTCTCATAATTTCTTTTCTGAGACATTGATTATTTAGAAGAAAGATACTGAATTTTTTAATAGGAATGCATTTTCTGTTTTTCATTTCTAGTTTTAGTCCACTATTGTCTGAAGACATATTCTGTATTATTTTTGTCCTTCCATATTTATTGGGAGTTTCATTATCACCCAGACTGTGTGGCCTATGTTGGTGAATATTCCATAGGGACTTAAAAATAATGTGTATTCTGCTACTGTCACCTATATTTTTACTGATTATTTTGATCTATTTATTTTATTAATAACTTAGAGGGTGAATTCTCCAACAATAATTATGGATTTGTTTCTATCTCTTTTCATTTCAATCAGTTTTTCCTTTGTGTATTTAAAGCTTTGTTATTAGATTAATACACACTTTTAAAAAGATTAAAATAAACTTACTCCCTTATCTTTATGTTCTGATTTCCGATAATTCTGATAATACACATTGTTCTAAGTCTGATTTTTTTGATAGTAATACAAACTCTCCAGTTTCCTTCTGATTTGTGTTTTACATTGTATCTTTCTCATCTTTTACTTTAAATGCTAAAATTCACATGGAACCAAAAGTAACCCAAATAGCCAAGGCAATAGTAAACAAAAATAATGAAGCTGGAGGCATTTAATCAAATTATACTACAAGGCTATAGTAACCAAAACAGCAGGTTACTGGTACAAAAATAGACACACAGATCAATGGAACAGAATAGAGAACCCCCAAAAAAGCTGTATAACTACAACCAACTAATCTTTGACAAAGTCAACAACAAAAAATACACTGGGGTAATGACACCCTATTCGATAAATGGTGCTGGGATACCCATATGCAGAAGAATGAAACTGGAGCCATACCTCTCGCCACATAGAAAAATTAACTGAAGACGAATTACAGACCTAAACATAAGATCTGAAACTGTAAAATCCCTAGAAGAAAACCTAGGAAAAACTCTTCTTGACATTGGCCTGGAAAATAATGTATGACCAAGTCCCCAAAAGCAAACACAACCAAACAAAAATAGACTAATGAGACTTATATCCATCTATATCTTTATATTTAAAATAAATTTCTTACATATAGGGCTGTGATTTTAATTTGAATTCCAAAAATTGGAATTTTTTGGTTATTTACTCAATATAATTTTTGATATGCTTGGGGTTTTATCTACTTTTTGCTTTTTGGTTTTTTTTAAATTTGTCCTATCTGTTGTTTTCTCCTTTTTTCTACCTTTCCTCTCTTTTTTGGATTAATTGAATGTTTATTTATGATTCCATTTTATTGCCACTAAAAACTTTATAGTTGTTTTATATCTTAGTGGTGGCTCTAGATTTTACTACACAAATTTGTAACATATGAAAGTCTGCTTTCAAAAAATACATTACTTCATGTATGGTGAAAGAACTTCAAAACCAAATAATTATGTATTTACCCTCCTGTCTTGTTGTCATACATTTTACTTATGCATATATTATGAACTGCCAAATAGATTTATATTTTTGCCCTAGATTCTCAGTTTTACTTTTATGTTTTTTATTTTATTTTTATTTTTGCTTTTGTGTTTCTTTTTTACTTCTTATTATATTTTTCAATTGTTTAAGAAGATTAAAAGTAAAGAATAAAAGATATTTTTATATTTATCCACATTTATACATTTTTGTTAATCTTAATTCCTTTGAATAGATAAAATTTTCTATGCATACCATATTTCTTTTGTCTGAAGAACTTTGTTTAACTTTTCTTGTCACTCAGGTTTATAAGCCATGACAGTTCCAACTTCTGTGTCATCTCTGTGTCTGATTATATTACTTATTTTATCTCTTGACAATGGTTTTCGTAAAACAATACTAGAAACTGAAGTAAATAATTATTTTGGCCAGAAATGGGTATGCTTCTTTATTCTCATGTCATTAGTCTGGGGATCTTGGCAATGTGGCCAGTAGTTGAGCTAGGCTTTTGTTTTGTTCCTACTACGGTTACTTTTAATGGGCCACAGACTTCAAGTTTCTCCAGTGATGGACTGCCTCTGCTTTGTGGTTACTGTGAAGCCTGCATAAAATATATTTCTATAATACTAATCCTCCTTCCTGCTTTGCCATGGCATTTTTTATCTTCATGAATGATTTCCTTAATTCAAATAATTCTAATTATTAACAACCTATGACAATATACATATATTGTTATATCAATAGTGTCTCCTGGAGTTTGCAATCTGATAGTCTTTCTAAGAGTTTTAGTTGATATAGCATTTTCCCAAGCTGAGCCCATCATGATACCTCACTTTTCTCATTAAGAGGTGTGGTTCAGGGTGGGTATGTGGCCCACACAGAACAAAACTGTTCTTTTGGATTTTTCTGGATGCAAATTGTGTGAATGAGCTCTCCGTCTCTGACATTAAGACTGTAATGCAGTTGTTCTCAACTGGGGACAATTTCACTGCCCCCAGAGGACATTTGGCACTGTCTGGAGAAAACTTTTGTTGTTACAGCTGGAGTTGGTGAGGAGTAGAAGGCACTACTGGCATTTAGTGGGTGGAGGCCAGGGAGGCTGCTTGACATCCTGCACTGCATGGAGCAGATCTCCAAAACAAAGAATTATCCAGACCAAAATGTCAATAGCTCTGATGTCAAGGAACCTTGCTGTAAGAATATTAGCTCAGAACTGGCCGTGGCTATGATTCCATCCATAAAGGAATGGCAAATTTAAATTAATGAAGAAAAGCAGAGCTAAGAGGTAAATAAAAGGATTAAGAATGAGTCCTAAAGCTGCCTAATGTCCTGGATCCAGTCTTTCCAGAACCTGGATTCATCCATACTGTTTCTTTGACTTTGTTATTGAACCCTTTTAAAATATATGATTCTATATTTCATTTCCGTCACTTGCAACCCAACTATTATGTAAAATATAAAGCTCTTGCAACAGGTTCTGGGTTACGTTAAAACTAGGAAAGTGAAGCAGCTACTGTCCATACCACCCCTTTTCAACTGGTGTGCACTTTCTGATAGATATATGTTTAAAAAATTCCAAGAGAAAGTAATTAATGAATCGATACACAGCAAAGTTTTGTAGCACGGGTATTAATTTTTTCTAAGCGGAAGGAAACTTTAGCTATTTTTAATTATTAGATCCCTAAATTTCAGCATCTAAAGTGTCGAAGCCATAGATTTCATTAAGGTTTATTAATGAATGATTTATTAACGAATAATGATATGACTCCATTGGAGAAAATATGAGATCCATACATGAAAATGAAAATGTGGAATTTGTCTTAGTGGATTTTCTTAAGCCTTTATTGCCTTAAACTACACTTACACCCTGTAACACACACTAAACAGCTGCTTGTGACAGCCAATTATTGGAACATTGAATTTGTTTTCAGGTCTTGGTCTTCTTGACCTATAAAACACAAACTTTCATAGAGGATAAGTCACAAAATGATCATTAGCATTGCATTGCACATTAATGCAGTTAATTTAGGGTATCCACATTTAAAGCTGACATTCCTTACAAATTTATTCAAGGTCCTTCCTGATCAAGCTAACTTTCAATAATCTTTTAAAAATATATAATCACCTTCTAGGTGCATATAGTCTTAGACTGCAATTGTTATTACTCACTATTTTCTAAATATTGTCTATACTTTTAGGCCCCTATTCTTAAATCAGCTGTCCTTGCTGCCTGAGATATCTCCGTCCCCCTTTACATCTGCTGAAAATACACTGATTCTCAGTGTTTACTCGAAAGACCTCTCTTCCCTGAAAGACCTCTCCTTTCCGGACCCTTAATCACCAGATTCTATAATCTGTCCTCCATGTTCCTTCACACATTGCTTGCAATAGCACTTGTTGTCCTTACTAGTTATATAGTTCATGCTTATTTTCTCCTGGTTAGACTCCAAGTGCATTGAGGTAGGAACCTGATCTTCTTCATCTTCTCATTCTCCTGTCTCCTGTTGCATTAGTCACTGACTTGGAAGATGTCTGGGAAAGAGATTTCTAGTTTCAGAGTGCAGAAACAAAGAGCATGAGGACAAACTTAATGTAGCTTAAAGTATAGGAAATTAATCTGCAAAAACATATCTGAAATTATAAATAAAATTTTAAAGTGGGTTCTAATTTGCTACTTTTCCAAAGTAAGGACAATTTGTGTTGTGTTGTGACAAATAAAAATCATTTTATTTATTTTATTATTCATGTACTATAAAGGATCAGGGAGGTGAAGCGAGAGCAAAACATATGTCTGATAATTCCATAAGTAGGCTGCTTAATTGTGAATGACAATGTATGTTTATACTTACATATTACTTAGCTGTGGAATGGAATGGCTAAGCACTATATGCTAAATTGGAATTTAAAAAATGATCTCAACAGATATTTCATATTCTCCCATATTGGATCAGGAGCTCCAATCTCTCTATGATTTATCTTGATTTATATAGCTGTTGGAAGTGGCTATTACTAATTATCCTGGCCTGCCAACTCAGCATCAGGTTCCCAAGCTATATATACCAGTTTCTTTTGAATTATACATTACATAGCCTCACCCCAGGGACAATTTGAACAGCTTCCTCCTCCAAGTTCTGTAGAAACTTCCTGGATATTTAATTTCAAAAAGGGACCTTAACTCAAATTCCAGTCATTTGAGTTACATTAATAATCTACTTATTTTATAATTTGCAACCATGCTAAGGCATTTCTCCTTAGAATTGTAGTCTGGACTATTGTGTCCCTCTCATAGGAAAGAAACAAAAAAAATTGGAGCATGAAGCAAATGAATCCCATAAGTGCTCATTTATTTCCATTAATATATGTTCCATAAAGGAAAGGGAGAATTTGCATACATGAAAAGCAAGTCAAAGAAGGGCTCATGTACCAGACTGAAACAGCAGTTTTCAGAAATCAAACTTCAAGTAGTCTCAGGATTAAACAACAGAAACTAGGCCTCCATTTGTACCCTTCCCTCAGGCTGTAATGCTTCTACTAAGTTTCTTTCTGTTAGTTGAATTCCTCCTTTAAGACCTACCTCAAATATCACCTCTTTCTTTGTTAAGTCTTCCCTGAAACCTTCACAACTAGTAACTCACCATCTGTAGTCCATTAAAAAGTTTTATTTTCTCTTTCACTGTCACCACCAAACCATATGTACATACCTTCTCAGCGTTATCCCAGCCACAGATGAATCTATTTCAGCACAATGTGAAGCATCTCTCTTTATGGCTAGGACTCAGAAAATCCACATCCTAAAATCACTCTGGGCACTCATCTGTCCAAGGCATATTCAGTTAAGTATTGTAGACTCAAAATCCTCTCACCCTTCTTCACCCACCCAATTCTAAGTTTTGCCTTCATGGCACTTCATGTCCTGGTGCCATACCCATGCCCTCTCTGAAATATTAAACTTAGTCTCTTGTGCTGACCCAAACTTCTCTACTTTGAGTCCTTTTCCTCCTTTATTTCCACTTCTCTGTACTTTGTCATCTTTTTAGAACTTATAATCTTAGCTTACTCAGTTTATCACTGCTCTTCTCATTTCGCTTCTTTAACCAATAAAAATATTGTGGTTAATTGCTACATGTTGCCTCTTTCTGGTCCCACAACTTACAGTCCTTGTTCTTCATCCATATCCAATGAGTTCACTTAGAAAACCACTTGCTTACTGTCTATTATACCAAAGTTGCCAATCAACTGGAGAAAAATATCTACAAATTAATAGGTACTAAACGTGGCTGGGCACTCAGTGTGAGTCAGCAATTACTGAATATATTCTTGGTTACCCGATTTCCTTTACCCATAGAGCTATTCCACTTCTTCTTGACCTGTTCCTTTCTTGTTCAGCACATGAACCCTTCCTCTTCCTAGAAAATTTACTTATTTATTTATTTATTTATATATATATATATTTATTTATTTATTTTTGAGACAGAGTCTTGCCCTGTCGCCCAGGCTGGAGTGCCGTTGCACGATCTCTGCTCACTGCAACCTCTGCTGCCTGGATTCAAACAATTCTCCTGCCTCAGCCTCCCGAGTAGCTGGGATTACAGGCACGTGCCACCACACCTGGCTAATTTTTGTATTTTTAGTAGAGATGGGATTTCAGCATCTTGGCCAGTCTGGTCTTGAACTCCTGACCTCTGAGTTACTTTTAGTTTTCTAATTAAAAATGCATGATTAAATATTAAATTCAAACCAAATATCCTGTTTACCCCTGACTAGCACTGTTTTTCCCCAGGCAAACCAATGTTAAGTTTCTTATGATCTCCTCAAATGTATTTTGTGCATATGCAAATGTAAATATGTATATGTTACTTCTTCATGTAATACCACTTGCTCTGTAACATGCGGCACTCCACACATATGGAACTGCTTGCAGCTGCTCAATCCACTATAGGAGTTAATACCTCCAGAGCTTTGCATTTGACCTCCTTTGCTGAAATGTCCAGGCTGCCCATACTCTTCACTCCACTGTTTCCTGGGCAAATAGCTTTTATCATGATAGCACTGCTGAGCACATTACCTGGGATATAAGAAGCACTCAATGAATGTTAAAGTGTTATTATTTTTATTATTATTTGTAGAGGACTGGTGTTTTCTATCTTCAGTTTTTCACTGGTAAAATTTAAGCACTTTTTCTGGTTCTTGATCAAGCACCTGCTCTTGAGGTGTGGAGAAGAGTAGTTAAGAATTTTCCAAAAGGATTGTGTGAAGTCTGGAAAAATGTCAAGGGATAATTTTGCACAATTTAGGTGGAAAGAGTATATGGAAAAAAAAAGACTCAAACTTCAGGAAACACTGTATGACATCATATCACTGAAGAATGGTCCTAATTTAGGAAATATTTCTGAACTCTGAGTTGGTCAGATTGGAGCCCCAGCTGTGTTTTGCCCCTGAATATTCTGATGGGATTTCAAAATTCCTTAATCAGAGACAAGAATTTACTCTCTTCTGTTCCTCTATAAACGGTACTTTACAAAATCTTCACAGTGAATATGATATTAGAAAATGAGAAATTATATTCTTGGGTTAGCAAGATAGCAATTGTAGCTCTGGAACAGCTACTTAGGAGTATCTTGGGAAATGATTGATTGGAAGTCAGGACAACAAGACTTGTTTAAAGCTACCTTTAGGTAGGAAGTGTTGTTTTTACTTTCTGGGGTGGTTTCCTGAGGGTAATGACTTCCCATATCCTAGTCATCCTTTAGAGCTACCCTATTGTCCAAACTCAAGTTACAAAATCTCTTCTTCATGTCTGTTCTGGTATTTTGTATGTGTGCTCTACCAATCTTACTGAAAATTATTTGATAAAAGAGTAACTAAACTAGATTAGAACAGAAAGACATTTTGGAGGAATCATAACTTGGGGAAAAAGTTGTTTTACTTGCTTATGTTATATTATTTAGAACACAGCTAAGATATAGGTCAACTTCCCTCTGTAATTTTTTGTTATTGCTGCTAGATCTATCTGTGGAATAGATCTAAGAAGTGTATTCGTCTCCTCATCCTCACACAAACGTGTAGTCTGCAGGATTCAGAGCTTGCAACTTAAAATGCATCTCTCCAAGTATATCTGTACCTTGACTAATAGCTTTATTAATAATGAAAACTATGGATTGCTTTGGCAGCAAAACGAATTAAAGAGTAGAACACCTTTGGGACTTCTGTCACGAATGTCAAGGTCAGGAGCAGAGACTTCTGGAGTCAGAGAACTGATTTCCAAAATGCTTGATGGTAACTCACTGCTTCTGACACTGTTTACACTAAATATCTTCCTAGCTGAGGACTTCTTATTTTAGGCCAATAAATATATTCACAGGGGAAACATGGCAGTAATTAATGACATGTCTGGCAACAACAAATGTGGGGCAAAACAAGATAAACAAATAAAAACAGTGAAAACTGCTTGATGCCACTTCCTTTTATTTCCTGAAGAGTAGTTTTCTAACATGTAAATTCAAATATAACTATTTGGACAAAAAAAAAAAAGGCTAGACAAATTCAACACTTCTAGCTTTTCTAAGCACCAAGATTTTGAGAGCTCTGGTTCACATTACCATAATTATGTTGTTAAATGTATGCATTTTTTTTCTTTTTTTTTTTTGAGATGGAGTCTTACTCTGTTGCCCAGGCTGGAGTGCAGTGTGGTGATCTCGGCTTACTGCAGCCTCCGTCTCCCAGGTTCAAGTGATTCTCCTGCCTCAACCTCCCGAGTAGCTGGGATTACAGGTGCCCACCACCATGCCTGGCTAATTTTTATATTTTTATAGTAGAGACAGGATCTCACCATGTTGGCCAGGCTGGTCTTGAATTCCTGACCTCAGATGATCCGCTCACCTTGGCCTCCCAAAGTGCTGTGCTTACAGGTGTGAGCCACCACGCCTGGCCTGTATGTATTTTTAAAGGCTTGCTAACTACAATTTTTTTTAATGTCAAATATTTAAATAATTTTAACTGTCAGAACATTTGCACTGGCTTCTTCTAGAGATCACCATTGTGAATGCTTATAAAATATGTGTGTGTGTGTAAAGACCCAACTTTATTAACAATAAAAAAAAAACATGGAATTGCCTTTAGGAGTACCAAACAAAACTGCTTTTTATTGGAAGAAAACCTTTTGGTTTCATATATATATATATATATATAATTTTTTTTTTTTTGAGACGAAGTCTCACTCTGCCACCCAGGCTGGAGTGCAGTGGTGCCATCTCAGCTCACTGCAGCCTCCACCTCCGGGGTTCAAGTGATTCTCCTGCCTCAGCCACCACCACACCTGGCTAATTTTTGTATTTTTAGTAAAGATGTGGTTTCACCGTATTGGCCAGGCTGGTCTCGAACTCTTGACCTCAAGTGATCTGATCGTCTTGGCCTCGCAAAGTGATAATAACTTTTATTTTTCCCCAGGCTGGAGTGCAATGGCGTGATCTTGGCTCACCGCAACCTCCGCCTCCCGGGTTCAAGCGATTCTCCTGCCTCAATCTCCTAAGTAGCTGGGATTACAGGCATGCACCATCACACCTGGCTAATTTTGTATTTTTAGTAGAGACAGGGTTTCTCCAGGTTGGTAAGGCTGGTCTCGAACTACCGACCTCAGGTGATCCACCCGCCTTGGCCTCCCAGAGTGCTGGGATTACAGGCGTGAGCCACTGCGCCCAGCCAAAAATAATTTTTTTAACTCAACTAATTTGCTGCCTTGAATGTTGCCAATGCAGATATAGGCACAGAGCTTTAAAAAGCCACTTGACCTATAGACTTTGGGGAACATTGTCGTCGACTGTGATTGGAGTATTTGGAGGGACAGCCTGTGTGATGCTAGTGAGTTTCCTTCAGACTCTGCCAATGACCTGGACTCAGGTGTCAGGGTGAGCACATAGTATACTGAGTAGAACTAACAGTACACTTTATAATATTAGATTTTTTTTCTATTGGATATAATTTGTTCAACTTAATTTGCAATTGGACAATATGTATATTTTTAAAGATTGATAGACATTACAACACTAATCTTTAATGTTCTCAATTGTTCTTTAGTCCAGCTAGTTTAAATTTAGGGTAGGACTGGATAAGACTCAATGTCAATCCTTGGAAATAGATGTATGCAAGTGTGTGTGCAGAAAGAGCTTTAGGAATCTTCTAAGCTGATGGTGATTTCCAGGCTGTGCACCAGAGTCCTAGTGGCAACAAGTTAGTTCTTTCTCCAACTTTGATTCAATTAGGGCAAGCCTACTTTTATCTGTTTTAGAAATTGTGTCTTTGAAAATAATTTCATTTGTGCATAGTATTCTGTAGCTGAACCATTGCTTTTGTGGAACAACTTAAAGTTGTAGGTTATTATTCTTTTAATATTATTCTTTCTCATTTTATAGATGAGAAAACTGAGGCTCACAGAGCTTAAACGATTGTCCTTAAATTGCCCAGCAAATACACGACAGCAATGAGATTCCAATTCAGGAAGTTTGCCTTTTGATTTCATAGTCTGAACCACCTCTTTTTGGAATTACAGCTTCTGAGGCCTGTCCACATCTTTCAACAACTTCATCAACTACTAACTCACAATAATACCTGTGTTTCTTTTAAATTGTATTTTTACTGTAAGAGAATTATCAGCTTGGCTTCTTGCTATTCACAGGAAAAATCTTCAGGGACTTGTTTTTGTACACCCTCCCTACCTCCATTCACATTCTATGTATTCTCAGAATTCTATATATTCCCCTTATAGAGTAAAAAGCAGAGGAGGACCTAACACAGCTCTTCACACCCTACATTTTCCATCTGACTCCACAGGGGCTGTCCTGTGCGCAGGTTGGGGAAGTCTCTTCCTCCATGCGCCTGACTGCCTCCTAGTTCTTTGCCCTTCACATTTTACAGCAAGGGTGATGCTCATCACCACCCGCAGCCGTGCTCATTCATTACACACACCCACAACGTGGCTTTGAAGAAAAACAGCCACTTTCAAAGGAATTTTAATGCCTTTTCCAGAATGTAGCATTTTATTAATTTCTTTCCTTTCAAAAAACTGACCTTAGGTATCATTTATGGACGAGGTAATCTATTCATTCCCATGGTTCAAAACTCAATGGACCCAAAAGGGAAGTGAAGAGTCTTCCCTCTGTTCCCGTCCCCAGCTATGCAGTTTCACTGATCAGAGACATCCAAATGAATGAATCTGTCACAAACATATTTCCTTTCCAGTTTGCCTTTGACATCTACACCAATCAATTTCACATTCTGTCTGTGACTACTGATTATACATGTAACCACCTTTGGCTTTGCTTTTCTCTGATTTTTTCATGATTGTTTTTGTTCATTGAATGAACTAGTTCAAGTAAACAACGTGTATATTTGCAAAAGCAGAATACTGCAGTAGTAAAAGACAAGTGTAAAATATTTGAGACATCTAGATACCAGATGAAAGTTTTAGTCATGTGAATGATTCATTCAAGTGAAGTAGAAAAAAATAGACAAAGATAAAATAATTTTAAACTCTGCATGGAGTACATTCTTATTCTACCTCCCATCCTAACTCACTGTCTCACTTTCCTTCTTAATCTGTCATCAGCCTGAATACAAGAGATTTGATAAAATACAAAATAAAAAAGACCAGGATTTTCTTCTTGGCCTGCCACAAACTTGCTGTTTTCTACCCTACTTTTGTTTTCACGGGTGTCGAATACATAGACCTTTTGCCACCGTCCTAAGTAGGGCACTGTAAGGATCTTTGCTTCTTAGCAGCCACACATGTTAAGGGCAGCATACAGTAGAAGAATTTGAATCAGAAGGTCTAGGTAAATTCCTGTTCCCACATTAGTAACATGATCCTGGGAAAACTATTTTACCTCTTAGAATATTTTACCTCTTAGAAAATGCACTTTTGCATTTTCTGATGCAGAAGTGGTCATGTGAGGACTAAAGGAGATAATGAATAACAGATGTGAAAAGCCAGGCACATACTAGATGCCCAGTGGGTGGCATTTCCTCTATACACAGCAATTTCAGATTTCTAATCTTGTATTTGTAGCAGAACTAGGGGTACCTTTAAATTGAGATGTAATCCATATACCACGATATTATTGCTTTTAAAATGTATGACCCCGTGGTTTTTAGTATATTCACAAAGATTGTAACTGTGACCACAATCTAATTTCTGAACATTTTATCACCCCAAAAGATCCTCATATCCTTTAAGCAGTAACTCTCTGTTTTGCCTCCCCCAAACCAGCCCTGGGAAACCTCTAATCTGCTTTCTGTCTTCATGAATATGTCTGTTCCGGGTATTTCATATAATGAAATTATACAATATGTGGCAATTGTGTCTGACTTCTTTCACTCAGTATAATATTTCTGAGGCTCATTCATATTGTAGCATGTATCAGTACTTCATTCCTTTTTATAGCTGAATAATATTCCATTATATGGACCATATTTTGTTTATTCCCTCATCAACTGATGGATATTTGAATTTTTGGCTATTACGAACAATGCTACTATGAACATTTGTGTGCATGGTTTTGTATGGACATATGTTTTCATTTCCTCTGGGTAAAAACTTAAGAATGGAATTGTTGGGTCATATGGCAACTCTATGCTTAACTTTTTGAGGAACTGCCAAACTGTTTTCCATACTTAACTGCACCATTTAAAATGTCTACCACCAACATATGAGGATTCCAATTTATCCACATCCTTACGAACACTTGTTACCATCAGCCACATTCTTGTGGGTGTGAGGGGTATCATATTGTGGTTTTGATCTACATTTCTCTCATGACTAATGATGTGGTTATTGGACAGTTATCTATGTTCTTTGAAGTAATGCCTAGCCAAACCTTTTGTCTTCTTTTTAAATTTTGGTTGTCTTTTTATTTTTAAGCTGTAACAGTTCCTTGTCTGTTCTTTATATAATCTCTTATCAGATATATGATTTGCAAATATTTTTCTCCTTTCTGGGCTTGCATTTTCTCACTCTTGGTGATGTTCTCTAATGGACAAAATGTTTCAAGTTGAATGAAGTCTAACATGTTTTTTCTTTTGTTGCTTGTGGTTTTGGTATTATATTTATAAATCCTAATCCATGGCGATGAAGATTTAAGGGTATCTTTTCTTCTAAGAGCTTCATAGTATTAGGCCTTACATTTAGGTCTTTGATCCATTTTAAGCTTTTTTATTTTTAAAATATGGTATGAAGTAGGGCTCCAACTTTATTAATTTGCATGCAGATATTCATTTGTCTCAGCAGCATTGTGGAACCTCAGCATTTTCCACACCATTGAATTTATCTTGCGCACCGCTGTTAAAAATCAATTGAACATAAATATAAAGGTTTATTTCTGGACTCTCCTTCTTTTCGTTCTTCTATATGTCCAAACTTATGCTGGTATTACATTGTCTTGATTATTAAAGCTATTTACTGTACCTTTATAGAAACTTTTGAAATTGAGATGTGTGAGTCCTCCAACCTTGTAGGCATTACTGTATATGTAAGATTTTTTAATGTTGTGTTTCCTTTTTATTCATTTCAAAGTATATTCTAATATTCATTGCAATTTTGTGTTTTACTCAGTGTTTATTCAGGAGTATGTTTTTAATGTTGTTATATTTGTGAATTTCTCTATTTGTTGTTTTACTAATTTGTAATTTATTCCTTTGTGGTCACAGAACATACTTTGTATTTTCAAATCATTTTAAATTTGTACATACTTAATTTATGGTCTAACATGAGGTCTCTCCTGCAAAATGTATCATGTGCACTTGAGGAGAATGAGAATTCTACTGTTAAGTTCACTGTAGACATCTTTTAGGTTTGGTTAGTTTATATTGTTGTTCAAATCGTATTTTTGTTCATTAATCTACCTAGTTGTCTTGTCTATTATTAGAATAGAGTACTGAAGTCTCCAGTTATTATTTTTAAATTTTTTTATTGCAATAAAACACACAAGCATAAAATTTACTATATTAGCCATTTTAAAAATAAATTTTATTATGGGCTGGGTGCAGTGGCTCATACCTGTAATCCCAGCACTTTGGGGGGCCGAGGTGGGTGGATCACCTGAGGTCAGGAGTTTGAGACCAGCCTAGCCAACATCATGAAACCCCATGTCTACTGAAAATACAAAAAAAAAAAAAAAATAGCCAGGTGTGGTGGCATAAGCCTGTAGTCCCAGCTACTTGGGAGGCTAAGGCAGCAGAATTGCTTGAACCTGGGAGGCAGGGGTTGCGGTGAGCCAAGATCATGCAACTGCACTCCAGCTTGGGTGACAGAGAGAGATCTCAAAAAATAATAAATAAATACATACATTTTATTATGCATATTTAAGGTATACAACATTATGTTATGGAATACATATAGATAGTAAAATTGACACTGTGTGACAAGGTATGTGAAGCAAATTAACATATCCATCATTTCACAGTTACCCATTTTTTTGTGGCATTTAACCAAAGCGATAAAAGATCTGTACTTTGAAAACTATAAAACATTGATGAAAAAAATCACAGAAGACACAAATAAATGAAGATATTCTATTCTCATGGATCAAAAGAATTAATATTATTAAAATGCTTATACAACCCAAAGCAAAATGCAGATTCAAGCAATTCATATCAAAATCCCAATGCCATCCTTCTTTCACAGCAATAGAAAAAAATCTTAAAATTTGTATGGAACAACAAAAGACCCCGAAGAAACAGAGCAATTATGAGAAAGAAAAATGAAGTTGGAAGCATCACCCTTCCTGATTTAAAATTACATTACAAAGCTGTAGTGATTAAAATAATACGATATTGACATAAAAACAGATACACAGACCAGTGCAACAGAATAGAGAGCTCAGAAATAAATCCAATAATATAAGATGAACTAATTTTTTTCAAGACCCCCCAAGAGGACACAATGAGGAAAAGATGGTCTCTTTGAATAATGGTGCTTGGAAAACTAGAATTCCACATGCAAAAGAATGAAATTATGTAAACATACAAAAAAATTAACCCAAATTGGATAAAAGATCTAAATGTAAGACCTGAAACCATAAATCTCCTAGAAGAGAATATAGAGGAAAACTCCTTGATAGGTTGGCAATATTTTTAGGATATTATATCAAAAGCTCAGGCTACAAAAGCAAAAATAAATAAATGGAACTACATTAAAATGCAATTCTGCACAGCAAAGGATACAATCAATAAAATGAAACATCAAGCTATGGATTGGGAAAAAAATTATAATCCATGTATCTGATGAGGAGTTAATATCCAAAATTTATAAAAGAACTCATAGAAGTCAATAGTAGAAAAACAAATGACCAATTAAAAATGGACAAAAGACCTGAGTAGACATATTTTAACCATTTTTAAGTGTACAGTTCAGTGTTATTAAGTAATCAAATTGTGAAACCATCACCAGCATCCATCTTCTGAACATTTTTCATCTTGTGAAATTGTAACTCCATACCCATTAAATGACAACTTCCCATTCCCTCTCCTCTTAGTCCCTGGAAGCTACCATTCTACTTTTTGTTTCTATGATATTGACTACTTTAAGTGTCTCATATATGTGGAATTGCACAATATTTGACCTTCTGTGACTGGCTTATTTCACTTAGCATGTCTTCAAGATTCATCCATGTTATTTATTGCATGTGGCAGGATTTTTTTCTGTTTTAAGGCTGATAATATTTCATGGTATGCATACACCACATTTTCTTTATCCACTCATCTGTAAACAGACATATAAATTGTTTCCATACATTGTCTATTGTAAATAGTGCTGCAGTGAACATGGGAGTGCAGATACCTCTTTGAGATCCTGATTTCAATTATTTTGGATAAATACCAAGAAGTGAGATTTCTGGATCATATTTAATATTTTTCAGGAATCTTCATACTGTTTTCCATAGCAGCTACACCATTTTACATCCCTGCCAACAATGTACAGGTGTTTCCATTTCTTTATATTCTTGTCAACACTGGTTACCTTTTTTTGCTGTTATAATAGCCATCTTATGAAGTGTGAGGTGATAGTTCACTATAATTTTGATTTGCCTTTCCCTCATTAGTGATATTGAGTATCTTTCTATATTCTTATTGGGCATTTGCATGTCTTTTCTGGAGAAATGTCTATTCAAGTTTTGTGCCCATTTTTAAATTGGGTTTTATGTTGTTTTGCGTTTGTTGTTGTTGTTGTTGAGTTACAGGAGTTTCATACACAATTTGGATATTAGCCTCTTATCAGATATGTGGTTTGAAATTATTTTCTCCTTCTTTGTAGATTTTCTTTTCACTCTGTTAATTGTTTCATTTGCTGCGTAGAGCTTTGCTTCTTAGTTTGATGTAGTTACTCCTGTCTAGTTTTGCTTTCGCTGCCTGTGTTTTAGGCATCATATCCAAGACAACATTTCCTAGACTAATATCATGAAGATTTCCTCTTATGTTTTCTTCTAGGGGTTTTACAATTTCAGGTCTTATATTTAAGTTTTTAATCCACTTTGAGTTAATTTTTGTATATGGTATTAGGTAAGGGTCCAACTTCATTTTTTTCATGTGAATATTCTATTTTTCCTGCACATGTTGAAAATACTGTTTGTTCTTTATCAAATGGTCTTGGTTCTCATGTTGAAATCATTTGACTGTACATGCTAGAGTTTATTTCTGCACTCTATTATTTTTCATTGGTCTATATGCCTGCCTTTATGCTATTACGTGTCTGTTTTGATTACTGTAGTTTTATAGGAAGTTTTAAAATCAGGAAGTACAAGTTCTCCAGCTTTTCTAAGACTTTTTGGCTATTTGGACATTCCTTGTTTACGTATGTATTTTGGAAAAAAATTTCTATTTCTTCAAAGAAACATAATTGGAATTTTGATAGGCAATGCCTTGAATCCACAGACTCCTTTGGGTACTATTGCCATCTTAAAAATGTTAAGTTTTTCAATCCATAAACATTTTATGTCTTTCCATTTATTTGTATCTTCTTTAGTTTCTCTCAATAATGTATTGTAGTTTTTAAAATACAGTTTTTACCTCCGTGGTTAATTTCTAAGTATTTTATTGTTTTTGATGCTATTGTAAATAGAATTATTTTCCTAATTTCCTTTTCCATTGCTCATTGTTAGTGTATAGAAATGCAAGTGACTTTTATTTTGTATTCACCTTGTATCCTGCTACTCTGCAGGATGTGATTATTAGTTCTAACAATTTTTTTTCTGTGGAATCTTTAGGGTGTTCCATTAGTTTGGTGCCATTTTTAGATGGCAAAAACTGCAACTACTTTTGCATAACCCTAATACATATGAGAAAATATCATCAGTGAGAAAAGATTATTTTGCATCTTTTATAATTAGAATGTATTTTATTTCTTTTTCCTGCTTAACTGTTCTGGCTAGAAATTCTACTACTATGTTGAGTAGAAGGGCTAAACATGGACTTCCTTTTTTGTCCCTTATATTGAAGAAGATTTCAGACTTTCAGCATTGAGTATAATATTCACTGTGGCTTTTTCCTTTATGTATCTTATTATGTTGAGATAGTTTCTGTATATTTCTAGTTCATTGAGGATTCTTTTCATGAGTTGGTGTTGAATTTTATCAAGTTCTTTCTTTTGCATTAATTAATGTGATCAATGCTGTTTTCTCCTTTATTCTATTAATGTGGTATATTACACTGATTGCTTTTTGTATGTTGAACCACCCTTGCATTCCAGAAATAAATCCAACTTGGTCATGGTTTTTAATCCTTTTAATATGTTATTGAATTTAGTTTGCAAGTATTTTGTTGAAAACTTTTCTATCAGTGTTTATAAGGAATATCTGCCCAGTTTTATTGTAGTGTCTGTCTGGCTTTGGTATCAAGGTAATGCTGGCCTCATAGAATGAATTAGGAAGAATTCCCTCCTCTTCAGTTGTTTGTAAAAGTTTGCAGATTGGTATTAGTTTTTTTAAATGTTTCATAGAATTCACCAGTGAAGCTATCTGGTCCAGGGATTTTCTTTTTCAGATGTTGATTCAAAAAATTAAATCTTTACATATTGTGTTCAAAAATATAAACTAATGTTTTTTAGTGTGCATTCGTCTCTTAAATTATGTAGAAAACAGAAAGTGAAGTTACAAACCAAAATAAAAATAATACTAGCTTTTATAATTGCCCACAGGTTCACCTTCCCTGAGAACTTTATTTTATCATCCAGCTTTAAGTTGCTTTCTAAAGTCCTTTCATTTCAATTTGAAGGACTCCCTTTAGCATTTATCATAGGGCAAGGTATGGTTTGGCTGTGTCCACAGCCAAATTTCATCACAAATTTTAGCTTCCACAATTCCCATGTGTTGTGGGAGGAGGGACGCAGTGGGAGGTAATTGAATCATGGGGGAGGGCCTTTCCCATGCTGTTCTCATGGGAGATCATGATAGTGAATAAGTCTCATGAGATCTGATGGTTTTATAAAGGGGAGTTTTCCTGCACAAGTTTTGTCTCTCATCTACCACCACATAAGATGTGCCATTTGCCTTCTGCTATGATTGTGAGGCCTCCCCAGCCACGTAAGAGTCCATTAAACCTCTTTTTTAAAAAACAAATTACCCAGTCTCAAGTGTGTCTTTATCAGCAGCATGAAAACAGGCTAATACAGTAAATTGGTACTAGTAGAGTGGGGTGCTACTGTAAAGATACCCAAAAATGTGGAAGTGACTTTGGAACTGGGTAACAGGCAGAGGTTGGAACAGTTTGGAGGGCTCTGAAGAAGACAGGAAAATGTGGGAAAGTTTGGAACTTCATAGAGACTTGTTTAATGGCTTTGACCAAAGTGCTGATAATGACACAGACAATGAAATCCAGGCTGAGATTGTGGGGAAAAGCAAGAGAGATCAGATTGTTACTGTGTCTGTGTAGAAAGAAGTAGACATAGGAGACTCCATTTTGTTCTGTACTAAGAAAAATTCTTCTGCCTTGAGATTCTGTTAATCTATGACCTTACCCCCAACCCCGTGCTCTCTGTAACATGTGCTGTGTCAACTCAGAGTTGAATGGATTAAGGGTGGTGCAAGATGTGCTTTGTTAAACAGATGCTTGAAGGCAGCATGCTCCTTAAGAGTCATCACCACTCCCTAATCTCAAGTACCCAGGGACACAAAAACTGCAGAAGGCCGCAGGGACCTCTGCCTAGGAAAGCCAGGTATTGTCCAAGGTTTCTCCCCATGTGATAGTCTGAAATATGGCCTCGTGGGAAGGGAAAGACCTGACTGTCCCCCAGCCCGACACCCGTAAAGGGTCTGTGCTGAGGAGGATTAGTAAAAGAGGAAGGAATGCCTCTTGCAGTTGAGACAAGAGGAAGGCATCTGTCTCCTGCCTGTCCCCAGGCAATGGAATGTCTCCGGTATAAAACCCTATTGTATGCTCCATCTACTGAGATAGGGAAAAACCGCCTTAGGGCTAGAGGTGGGACCTGCGGGCAGCAATACTGCTTTGTAAAGCATTGAGATGTTTATGTGTATGCATATCTAAAAGCACAGCATTTAATCCTTTACATTGTCTATGATGCAAAGACCTTTGTTCACGTGTTTGTCTGCTGACCCTCTCCCCACAATTGTCTTGTGACCCTGACACATCCCCCTCTTCGAGAAACACCCACAAATGATCAATAAATACTAAGGGAACTCAGAGGCTGGCGGGATCCTCCATATGCTGAACGCTGGTTCCCCGGCTCCCCTTATTTCTTTCTCTATACTTTGTCTCTGTGTCTTTTTCTTTTCCAAATCTCTCGTTCCACCTTACGAGAAACACCCACAGGTGTGGAGGGGCAACCCACCCCTACATGAGATGGTCTCAGATGGAGATGAGAAACTTCTTGGTAACTGGAGTAAAGTTTTTGCTGTTTTAGCAAAGAAACTGGTGGCATTTTGTCCCTGCCCTAGAGATTTGTGGAACTTTGAACTTGAGGGAGATGACTTAGGGTATCTGGAAGAAGAAATTTCTAAGCAGCAAAGCATTCAAGATGTGACTTGGGTGCTGTTAAAGGTATTCAGTTTTAAAAGGAAAACAGAGCATAAAAGTATGGAAAGTTTGCAGCCTGACAACGTGATAGAAAAGAAAAACCCATTTTCTGAGGAGAAATTCAAGGTGACTGCAGAAATTTGCATAAATAGTGAGAAGCCAAATGTTAATATCTAAAACAATGGGGAAAATATCTCCAGGGAATGTCAGATACCTTCATGGCAACCCCTCCCATCACAGGCCCGGAGGCCTAAGAGGAAAAAAATGGTTTTGTGGGCCAAGCCCAGGTCCTCACTGCTGTATGCAGCCTAGGGACTTGGCGCCTTGCATCCCGGTTGCTCTGGCCTTGGCTAAAAGGGACCAAGGTAAAGCTCAGGCCATGGCTTCAGAGGGTGCAAGGCCCAAGCCTTGGCAGCTTCCACATGGTGTTGAGCCTGTGGGTACACAGAAGTCAAGAATTGAGGTTTGGGAACCTCAGCCTAGATTTCAGAGGATATGTAGATCTGCTGACAGCTTGCACCATGTGCCTGGAAAAGCCATAGACACTCAATGCCAGTCCATGAAAGGAGCCAGGAGGGGCACTGTGCCCTGCAAAGCCACAGGGTGGAGCTGTCCAAGACCATGGGAACCCACCTCTTGCATCAGTGTGACATGGATGTGAGAAATGGAGTCAAAGGAGATCATTTTGGAGCTTTAAGATTTGACTGCCCCACTATATTTTGGACTTGCACAGGGCCTGTCACCCCTTTATTTTGGCCAATTTCTCCCATTTGTAATGGGTATATTTACCCAATACCTGTACCCCCATTATATCTAGAAAGTAACTAACTTACTTTTGCTTTTACAGGCTCATAGGCAGAAGGGACTTGCCTTGTCTCAGATGAGACTTTGGACTGTGGACTTTCAAGTTAATGCTGAAATGATTTAAGACTTTGGGGAACTGTTGGGAAGGCAAGGTTAGTTTTGAAATGTGAGGACATGAGATTTGGGATGAGCGAGTGGCAGAATGATATGGTTTGGCTGTGTCCCCACCCAAATTTCATCTTGAATTATGGCTCCCATAATTCCCACATGTCATGGGATGGACTGGTGGGAGGTAATTTAATCATGGGGTGGGTCTTTCCCATGCTGTTCTCATTATAGTGAACAAGTCTCACATCATCTGATGGTTTTATAAAGGGGAGTTTCACTGCACACATTTTCCTTCTTGTCTGCCACCATGTAAGACATGCCTTTTGCTTTCTGCCATGATTCTGAGGCTGCCCCAGCCATGGAACTGAGTCCCTTAAACCTCTTTTTCTTTATAAATTACCCAGCCTTGGGTATGTCTTTATCAACAGTGTGAAAACAGACTAATATGGGGCAGATCCAGCAGTAACAAACTTTATTAGCTTGTGTTATCCAGGAATGTTTTAATTTCTTCCTCACTTTTCGAGGGCAGTTCTGCCAGACAGGATACTTGCTTGGCAATATTTTTTCCTTTTTAGCACATTAAGTATATTATCTCACTGTTTCTGGCCTTCAATATTTCCACTGAGAAATCTAATAATCTTAATGAAAATCTCTTCTTTGTGATGAATCACTTTCTCTTGATGTTTTCAATATTCTCTCTTTGTCTTTTGTATATTTTATTATGTGTCTTGATATAGGTCTTTTTGACTCCATCCTACTTGAAGTTTGTTGAGCTTCCAAGATATTTATATTAATGTCTTTCATCAAATGTGAGAAGTCTATAGACATTATTTCTGCAAGTATTCTTTACTGTTCTCTCCATGGAACTCCTACAATACATATGCTGGCCCAATTTTTGGTGTCTCACAGGTCCTTTAGGCTCTGTTTATTTTTCTTCAATATTTTTTCTTCCTATTTTTCAGACTGGGTAATTTCAAATATCTTGACTTCAAGGTCACTGATTCTTTCTACTCCCTGCTAAAATCTATCTTTGAATCCCTCTGGGGAAAATTTTCATTTCAGTTGTTGCACTTTTTAGGTCCAGAATTTCTTTTTGGTTTCTTTCCATGATTTAAAAAAATCTCGTTATTGATATTTACATTTTTCTCAATTTTTAATTTTTATACATATACAGTAAGTGTATATATTTGTGCATATATTTATAGGGTATATTAAATATTCTGATATGGGCAAACAGTGTGTAATTATCACATCAGGTTAAATGGAATATCCATCACCTGAAACAGGTATCATTACTTTGTGTTTCAAACATTGCAATTATACTCTTTATTATTTTAAAATGTACAATAAATTATTGTTGACTGTAGTTAGCATAACTGTTATGCTATCAAATACCTGATTTTGTTCATTCTTTTTAACTATTTTTTGTACCCATTAACCATTCTCACTCCATCCCTCACTACCTTTCTGTGCCTTTCATAACCATCCTTCTACACTATGAGTTTAATTATTTTAATTCTTTGCCCTCACGAACAATAAGTGAGAACATACAATGTTTGTCTTTCTGTGCCTAGCTTATGTCACTTAGAATAATGACCTCCAGTTCCATCCATGCTGTTGCAAATTATAGGATCTCGTTCTTTTTTATGGCTGAATGGTACACCATTGTGTATATGTACTACATTTTCTTCATCATTCATCTGTTGACAGACACTTAGGTTGCCTCCAATTCTTGGCTATTGTGATTAGTGCTGCGATAAACATGGGAATGCAGGTATGTATTTGATATACTAATTTTCTTTCTTTTGTGTATATATCTAGCAGTAGGATTGCTGGGTCATGTAGTTGTTCTATTTTCAGTTTTATGAGGAATCTCCAAACTGTTCATCATAATGGCTGTACTAATTAAAATCTCCAACAACAGTGTATGAGCATTGCCTTTTCTCCACATGCTCACCAGCATTCATTATTGTCTATCTTTTGGATATAAGCCATTTTAGCTGGAGTGAGATGATATCTCATTATAGCTTTGACTTGCATTTCCCTGATGATCAATTATGTTGAGAATCTTTTAATATATCTGTTAACCATTTGTATGTCCTCTTTTGCAAATTGTCTGTTCAAAATTTTTGCTTATTTTTATAAAATATTATTAGATTTTTTCTTGTAGGGTTTTTTGCACTCCTTGTATATTCTGGTTATTAATCCTTTATTAAATGGATAGTTTGCAAATATTTTCTCTCATTCTGTGGGTTGTCTCTTCACTTTTTTTTTATTGTTTCCTTTGCCGTGCAGAAGCTTTTTAACTTTATGTGATCACATTTGTCCAGTTTTACTTTGGGGTATTATACAAGAAATCTTTACCCAGACAAGTGTTGGAGAGTTTCCCCAATTTTTTGGTAGTATTTTCATAGTTAAATGTCTAAGATTTAAGCCTTTAATCTATTTTGATTTGATTTTTTAATATAGTGAGAGATAGGGGTATAGTTTTATTCTTCTGCACATGGATATCCAGCTTCCCAGCAGTATTTGTTGAATAGACTTTTTCCCACCAATGTATGTTCTTAGCACACTTGTCAAAAATGAGTTCACTTTAGATGCATGGATTCATTTCTGGGTTCTCTTTTCTGTCCCATTGGTCTATGTGTCTGTTTTTATGCAAGTATCATGCTGCTTTTGGTTACTATAGCTCTGTAGTATAATTTGAAGTCAGGTAATGTGATTCCTCCAGTTTTGTCTTTTGCTCAGGATGGCTTTGGTTATTCTGAGTCTTTTGTGGCTCCATACATATTTTAGCATTAATTTTTTCTATTTCTGTGAAAAATATTATTGATGTTTTGATAGGGATTGCATTGAATCTATAGACTGCTTTGGGCAGTATGGACATTTAAAAAATATTGGTTCTTCCAATCCATGACCATAGACATCGTTCCAATTTTTGTATCCTCTTCAATTTCTTTCATCAGTGATTGACAGTTTTTATTGTAGAGATCTTTCACTTCTTTGGTCAATTCATAGGAGGCCAGGCATGGTGGCTCACTTTGGGAGGCCGAGGTGAGTGGATTGCTTGAGCCCAGGAGTTTGAGACCAGCCTGGGCAGTGTGGTGAAACATTGTCTTTACAAAATATACAAAAAGTAGCCAGGAATGTTGGCACACACCCGTAGTCCCAACTACTTGGGGAGGCTGAGGTAGGATGATCATCTGAGCCTGGGAGGTTGATGCTGCAGTGAGCCATGATTGCACCATTGCACTTCAGCCTGGGTGACAGGGTAAGACCCTGTCTCAAAAAAAAAAAAAAAAAGAAGAAGAAGAAGAAGAAGAAAGAAACTAGTAATTTAATTTTATATGTGACTATTTGACTTTTTAAAAATTTCTTTTTCAGATAGTTCACATTCTTTTGGCATATAGAAATTCTATGGTTTTTTGTATATTGGTTTTGTATCTTGCAACTTTACTGAATTTTCTTATCAGTTCTAATAGTTTTTTTGTGGAGTCTTTAGGTTTTTGCTAATATAAAACCTTATCATCTGTAAACAAGGATAGTTTGGCTTCTTCCTTCCTAATTTGGATGCCCTTTATTTCTTTTTTTTGTCTAATTGCCCTAGCTAGGCTTTCCAGTACTATGTTGAATAACAGTGGTGAAAGTGGGCCATCTTGTCATGTTCAACATCTTAGAAGAAAGGTTTTCAAACTTTCCCCATTCAGTATGCTGTGGGCCTGTAATATATGCCTTTTATTGTGTAGAGGTATGTTCCTTCTATTCTCAGCTTTTTTAGTTTTTTTTTTTTTTGATCAGTAAGTATGTTGAATTTTATCACATGCTTTTTCAGGATCAGTTGAAATGATCATATGGGTCTTGCTCTTCATTCTGTGATATAATGTATAACAATAATACACTCATGTATGTTGAACCATCCTTGCATCTCAGGGATAAATCCCACTTGGTCATGATGAATGCTCTTTTTAACATGTTGTTGAATTCATTTTACTAGTGTTTGTAAGTATTTTTGCATCAATGTCCATCAGATATATGGACCTATAGTTTTCTTTTTTTGATGTGTCTTTGTCTGATTTTGTTATCAGAGTAATACTGGCCTCTTAGAATAATTTTGAAAATATTTTCTTTTTGTCTATTTTTTTGGAACAGCTTGAATATGATTGGTGTTAGGTCTTTTTCAAATGTTTGGTAGAATTCAGCAGGAAAGCCATTTAGTCTCAGGCTTTACTTGAAAAAATTTTTTTACAGCTTTGATCTCATTACTTATTATTAGTCTGTTCAGGTTTTGTATTTCTTCACAGTTCAATCTTGGTAGGTTTTATGTGTCTAGGAATTTATCCATTTCTACTAGTTTTTCTAACTTAATGGCATATAGTTTCTCATAATAATCTGTAATGATCTTTTGAATGTTTGCAATATCAGTTGTAATGTCTTCTTTTTAAATCTCCGATTATATTTCTTTGAGTCTTCTCTCTCTTTTGTAGTTAGTCTGGCTAAAGGTTTGTCACTTTTCTTTATCTTCTCAAAAAAACAACTTTTTGTTTCATTAATACTTTGTATTTTTTGTTTCCATTTCATTTTTTTCTGCTTTGATTTTTATTATTTCTTTTCTTCTACTAAATTTGTGTTTGATTTGTCCTTGCTTTTCTAATTCTTTAAGATGCATCATGAAGTTGTTTATTTTGGATTTGAATGTCCTAGTCTTTAATGTCTATCTCCCAAAAAGGAAAAAAGAGAAAATTTAAGTGGGGTGGGAGAAGACACTGGAAGGAAGAAAATTCTGGGGAAATAAAAAGAAAAAAAAGGGGGGGCCAAGAAGCTTTCAACAATGGAAGGAAGTGCAACAATGGCTGCCTGTCTCTGCGTTTGTACTTACATAATCAGAAACTGCAATCAGTGATTGGAAATCAAATATCCAGTATTTGGAGAGCCGGATCCTTACTGCCCACCCTGGTTCCCACAAGCTATGTGCAAGCTTTTCCAGGAACACATGCACAACTGCCTTCTGTGGAGCTGGGGGAGAGGAAACAATAACCACTACCAAATTAAGAGTTAAAATTAACTGAATTTAATCACCATTTACTGTCTAACTTTCCTTTAGAAATTGCAAGCCTTCAGCAGACTCCAGAGTTCTAAAACGTTTACATCAGACATATTTTGCCAATGTAATTGTTGTCTGAGTAGGGAGATAAATTCCTGGTGCTTCATACACTGCTATTTTTTCAGAATCTCCTTTCCAATGTTATTTATTTATTTATTTATTTGTTTATGAGATGGAGTCTCTCTCTGTCACCCAAGCTGGAGTGCAGTGGCACAATCTCAGGTCACTGCAACCTCCACTTCCTGGCCTCAAGTGATCCTCTCACCCCAGCATCCCATGTAACTGGGACTATAGACATGAGCTACCATGCCAGGCTAATTTTTGTATTTTTTTCTAGAGACAGGGTTTCACTATGTTGCCCAGGCTGATTTCAAACTCCTGGGCTCAAGTGTTCCACCTGCCTCAGCCTCCCAAAATGCTGGGATTACAGGTGTGAGCCAATGTGTCTGGCCTCCAAATGTTATTTTGAATTGTCTATTTCTGTCTTTAATTTTGTCAGTTTTTACTCTATGTATTTTGGGGCTCTATGGCTAGGTGCATGTATGCTTATACTTAGTATATATTCTTGATGGATTGGCCCTTTTATAATTATAAAATATTTCTCTTTGTCCAAGTTAACTTTTTTTTTGTCTTAAGGGTCGTAATTTTATCTAATATTAGTATAGCAACTGAAATCCTTTTTCATTCTTTTACTTTCAACCTATCTGTGTCTTTGAATCTAAAGTATGTCTGTTATAGACAGCAATTGTTTGTTTTTTAAAAAAAATTCAGGTTTTTTCATTTTGATTGGAGTGTTTAATCCAATATTCATTTAATAGTTACTGATAAGATAGGATTTTTGCCCATAACTTGTTATTTGTTTATGTACTTTTTTGTTCCTCTTTTTCTCCATGATTACATTCTCTTAAATAACGTTTTTTTATTGTACCATTTTAATTCCCTGTTGTAGTGGTTGCATCAGATATTACAACTAACAAATGACCATGTAACATTATAGTTCAGATGAATATCAACTTAACTTCCATAATATATATATATATATACTATATTGCTTCCTCCAACTATCATTTTTTTCATCTATAGAAAGATGGCAAGCATAAGAATACATATCAGAAGAAGTAGTATTAAGTTAAAAAAGTAATATTAAGAATTTGAGAAGTACAGAAAAGGCAAATCATTACAGACTATCATAATAGTATTTTCCCCCACAAATTCAAGTCAATATGTAGGAATTCAAGTTTATTTTGACTCAGCTTTTCAATTTAACATTCTGTTCTGAGTTTATTTTGCTTCAAATATTCTTTCTTGTGCACATATTCATCTTACTCTAGCTGAGCAATGTTACAACCTTTTACCATATATTTTTGGGCAATGTTAATTCCCCCATTAAAAAAAACAACTTCCCTTGTTCTTCTCCTACTCTTGCTCACAATAGGCACCTTCCAGCTTTCTGAGCAAAGGGGCAGCTTAATCCAGACTAATGGTGGAAAATGATCAGTGGGTATTCCTTTGAGTAGTTAAATTTCTGTTTCATGACAGTAATGAACACAAAACTACCAATTCAGTCATTATTTTATTCACTCAGTAAGCATTTATTTTGATTAAAGTTAGATACTTTATATGTCATATTTCTTTAGAAAGCAGTAAATTGTTACAGAATAATCCATTTTCTTCCTAGGAGCTTCTACTTATTCAATTTACAGAGATTCTCTAATGTGATATCAGTTAAGAGCTAATGTATTGTCTTGAGACTGAACAGCTGAGAACTAGAACCAGTTGCGCTGCTTTAGAAAACAATATTAAAAGATGAATATGAACCTATAAAGCTAAAATAACACAGAGCTGAAAGACAAAGAAATATTACGTGGCATGTTTACATGAAAGGGACAATGAGAGTTATATAAATTATTTAAAGACAATTGTGCTCAACTGCTTTTTCCTCAAAATATTACTCTGAAACGTGAATGAACTCACTGGATCTCTGAAACCACTCAACAGCAGCTATTCCCCTTTGGGCAGACTTCTTTCTGGAATTTTGGAAGAATGACTGTTGAGGTAATATCATTGGTGAGGTATTTGGGGTAGCTTTATTTTTATGGCAGAGAGGAAGGAATTGAAACTGACTGTTTTGTCAAGCTAGAATTTGAAAGGAATAAAAAGCCACTCAAATAAAAATATAAGCAACCACGTTATTACCTACGTGTAATTTTGGAAGCAGCTCTAGGATCTTGTGTGTGTGTGTGTGTGTGTGTGTGTGTGTGTGTGTTTGAGAGAGAGAGAGAGAGAGAGAAGAGAAAAGAAGTGATGATTTTTAAGTTGTTGTACTCTCCTGGTAACTCTCTTCTCTTAGGGCAGCTTAAAAGGAGACTGAAATTTGGCCCGGACCCTGATATGCAATCTGCCATGTATCCCCCACCCTGCAAAGCTGTCTCATACGTGAAATGATTTATAACCATGGCTGAGTACTTTAGGCTAGTATCAATGTAAATGGAAATATTTGAGTCTTTTCAGCTACTAATTTCTAATTGGATTCTGGCTGACACCCTGGAACAGGAGTGTCATTGTTTTTGCTTTTATGCTGTCCATGCTAATTAATGAACAGACTCTTTCATAAGTAGATTAATGGAGGTTGTCTCATTACCCAAAGTTATTTCAGGCATGACTATATCGCACCTCATTAGAGAAGCATGAATTGAGGCAGCTTTCAATTAGAAGATAAAGGCCATGTACAGTGTGGGTCTCATTTTTTTAGAATAGTTTATTTGTTTTGTTTGTGTGTGTTTCTAGAAAGGATTCTCAGCTTTTATTCCTCTGCCTGTGTTCTCATCTGTGATGAAAGAGCTTTTAAGTAAAAGTAGCCTTAATTTTCTACTGGATTTGTAATCAATCAGGTTTTGTGCAGCCCCAGATCTGTCACTTAAAAATGTATAATCTTAGTGGATTTATTTAAAGTCTCAGAGCATCCCTTTATTATTTGCAAAATTATAAAAAATACCTTGATATCTTACCTATTTAATAGAATTGAGAGATTTGTTAATAAAATCACTTAATAATCCTTATTGTCTTCCTCCTCCACAAATCCCTCTTCTGCGTGTCCCTCCTTCATGGGACTCCTGCCTTCCTTGGCTTATATGGTACTGCTCTGTTCTGGTCCTTCTTTCTACCATGTGTTCTTTCTTAATTTCAGTATTCAGTACAATGACTCATCCTTGACTTTATCATCTCCAGCAAGCTGCACCTCCAACTTCACTTCATGGACCTAGACACACCCTAATGTTATAATTTCTGTGAGCTTCTCCCATGAAAACTCTAACCTTTCATCCTTCCTACTTCTGACCAGGACCTTCTATGTTTAATCTTCTTTTAAACCTACTATCACTTCATCTGTTAATTTGATCATTTAAAATGTTTTGACTTTATGTATTAATAAATGAAAAGCTAGCCCTTCCTTCCACCCCTTCACCTACTTGCCAGATATTTAAACAAAGTCAAGAAAAGAGGATTCTTATTTAAAGAAATTAAGCAAATAATCTGAGAAACACCAGGGTAGTTATTGTTCCAGAGTAAAGTCATTCTCTCTGTGGCATTTGGGTAGATCCCATGGTAACTGACTCTCTTTGCAGGCTTTTGAAAGATGAATTCTTTGGCTCTGCTTAATTACATTTCCTTTGACTCTTGTTTGTAATTAATTCTTATTATTAAAGTAATACAATAAAAAAAATCAGAGGAATTTCTGAGGGAGAGGATTTCAACGACCATGATCTCTGGTGTTACTTTCATGGTTGTGTTACGTTATATGGCAAAAGGGAAACTATGGTGATGGGCCTTTGAAAAGAAAAGAGTTTTCTCTGACTGGTGGAGGAAGAAGTAGTTGTAAAGATTCAAAATACAAGGAAGATTCAGTGCACTGGCTTGAAGATGGAGAAAGTATGTAAGGAAGAATGTGAGTGGCCTATAGAAATTGAAACCAGGTTCCGGCTGACAGATAACAAGGGCCTCAGTCCCACAAACAAAAGGAAATAAATTCTGCCAACACACAGTGAGCTTGAAAGAGGATCCCAAGTTCAGGAGAGAGCCGTAGGCCTCATCAAAACCTTGAGTTTAGCCCAGTGACATCCTGAGCAGAGAATCCAGTCACACAATGCTCAGACTTAAGACCTACGGAACTATGAACCCATAAAGGGGTGTTGTTTTAAGCCACTAAGTTTGTGGTAATTTATTACAGCAGAATTAGAAAACAAATAAAAGACTATAATGAAAAAGGCAGAAGTTCTCTGACTTCACCAAACCTTCTCCCCAAAGCAAACACTTGTCAAAGTCAAAATAAAAATGTAGGAAATGAATCTTTAAATTTAACATTTTATTTGGGAAGAAAAAATTGGGGGCATATATGCAAACTAGGTGAAGAACAAAGAGAAGGTTGGGGGTTTTATGAAAATAAGGAATGTTATATGTGGTCCCGAGAGAATGTTTATTGGTACTAGCAAAGCTTTGGGGAGATGGTGAGCTCCAAGTGGTGTGTGACAGTGATGGCAGAATTAGTCTTAAGAGTTGCAAGTTATCTCAGCAGCTATAGATAAAACTGGTTTCAGGTTATAACAGGCAGTTGTAACGGCTGTGCTTGCAGAGAATTACATTTCTAGAGCAATGTCATGTACTCCAAGTGATTTTTGCCCCTGGTCCCATGACTCTGATTTAATTGGGTATGATAAGAATGGCACAATTTGGATGACTAACTTTCACATTTTTCCCTTTTGATCAAGATCTTTATCCAAAATCACTGATTAATCATTTTGTAGGTAAGTTTAATTGTCCCTTGATGCTGGGATAATTCTGTCCCAGTTGCTTCTGTCCGTGTTTGGGGAAATGTATGGGGGTCTATGTCAGGGACTTGGCCACATTTGAATAACAAAGAGACCAAAAGGAAAACTTTCTTTAGAGCAGGTCTACATGGAGCCCAGCATTGGGCTCTATTTTATTAGTTTTATAGGCTTCAGGAGTCATCTTGAAGTGTTGAGCTAACATTGTCTTGTTGAAAGAGTTGGCTTTACATAGATTAGACAATCAATAGCAATGAAGCTTAAAAATCATCATATAAAAATAATCAACAACAATATAATAAATCTCCCATGAATAATAGTTCACAACCATGATCCTAGGGTTGAAGGTAACTAACTAAACAGATCAGAAAGTCTAGACATATCTGATGAGACTTACTGAAGCCAAGTAGCTTATTTTTTTCTCTTATATAATTGAGTTTCTACTTTCCCAGAGGAATTTATTTATGTATCGCAAGTAGTGTTATCTACTGAACAAACACCACCTTGTTCAGCTAGTTAGTAATCTAGAACATTTTTTTAATCTAATACTACTTTAGTAAGATAATCTAGAGAAGTTTATTGAGCTGCATTGTCCTTAGCTATGGAGTCAGCTATAGATCTAATCATTAAGAACAGGTTTGTAACCATTGTTTTTAAGTGACCAACTCTGCTATTGTTTGGATCTATGTCCCCACCAAATCTCATGTTCAAATGTAATTCCCATTCTTAGTGGTGGGACCTGGTGGGAGGTGATTGGATCATGGGGGCAATTTCTTTTGAATGGTTTAGCATGATCCTCTTGGTGCCATTCTTGTGATAGTGAGTGAGTGAGTTATTGGGAGATCTGGTTTTTAAAAGTGTGTAGCACCTCCCCACTTTCTCCTTTGCTCTTTCTCCAGCCATGTGATGTGCAACTTTCCCTTTGCCATCTGCCACGATTACAAGTTTCCTGAGGCCTCCCTAGAAGCTGAGCAGATACCAGTATTATGCTTCCTGTACAGCCTGTGGAACCCTGAGCCAATTACACCTCTTTTCTTTATAAATTACCTGGTCTCAGGTATTTCTTTATAGGAATGCGAGAACAGACTAATACAAACTCTAAAGGACAAAAGCACTGATGACTAAGGCCCATCTGGCTGGATTTATGCCTCTTGGAAGGATATCTTTTTTAGTATGGTGGTGTAAGTTAACAGGTTTCAACCAATGTTTAGATTTTATTAACTTAAATCAAGTCTAGAAATATCTTAAACCACATTGGCCTTTTATTTTTTATTTATTGAGGCATGATGTCTATTTATATGGTTGTTTAATAATTCCCTGCAAATAAAAAATATTTTGGTGGGGCACAATAAGTAATCTTATCTGGGTACTTTGTATACTAAAATAGTTATTGTAGGGATTTGACAGCAGTTTTTATCTAATATTCTGTTACCCAATTATTTCATTATTGGAGACCATCAACAATTAATGGATTAATATTATATTTTTATAGCTTGTCGTTTTGTTTTTTACAATTTTTAATGTAATTTAAAAGTCTTTTTTGAGGCCCGCAGGCACAGCTAGGAGGAAACAGAATCTGAACATGTGGGTCTAAATGTTTGATTTTCTAAAAAGGACTGGACATACAATTTGAACAAATAGTTACATTAGGAACATGAGTAAAATTTGTTGTGGAATAGACTAAAGTTTTAATTATATTATAAACAGATCAGGGTTTTTGGTGACAAATCTAACAATTAGTTATATATCTTTCACCTTTTGGCAATGGACTAGGCATTATCTTTTTAGGAAAATGTAAGCATAAAATCAGAGACAAAAAAATAAAAAGAAAATGGTATAGTGGCCTAGTCTGAGCATCTTGGGACAGCAGTCTACTACAGATGCCATCTGTTTTATTTCAGGGTGAGTTTTAGTTTTAAATACCCTGTTGGGATGCCAGTCAAGTCAGGAGTAAGAGCTTTTTTAGAATAAGAGATGTGGATCTAGGAGTCAATGCTCTAGTTTCACAGCACAGAAATTGGTGAGAAGGAATTAATATAGACCATTCCAGCAAAGCTGGAGAAAATTCTTATATAGTATCTTCTCTAGTAGACAAAGTCACCAGGCTGCCGACCATGATGTTTTTAAGCCTTTGTCTTTTGGGAGTGTGCTGTGGAGAGATTGTTCTACCACTGTATGATTTTAATGTATTGCTGAAATAATTTATTTATGATACTGAAAAAATGTCTCTTTTTATCAACTGAAGCTCAGAAGCAGAGGGAGCCAAATTCATAGGATGGCCTATGACTATTTTAAATGGGTAAGTTTATGAGCTTCAAAGGGAGTGGCCCTTAGATTTAATAATACAATAGAAGAACTTTAGGCCAAGGAAATTGTAGAGTTTCTACACCTTTTGCCAACTGGGTTTCTATAGTTGTATTTGTTCATTCTGCTATGCCAGATGATTGGCAGTGGTAGGGACAATGGAAATGCTGTTAAATTGACCAAACTGAGCATTCTTGTTTTTATTACCTGGCCAGTAAAATGGGCTTCTCAATTATTATGTAGTTTAAGAGGAATTCTCCATGTGGGAACAACTTTTTCTTAAAGAATTTTGGCTACAACTGAAACAGTGTTTTGTTTAAAGGAAAAAGCCTCTAACCAATGGGAGAACATGCAAACCATTACTAGAACATATTCATATCCATGAGAAGTGGGTAACTGGATGAAATCTATTTGCCAAACCTTGAAAGTTCTATTAGGTAAATTAAAATGTGTAGGATTAGTATGTATAGGTTTCCTTGGATTAAATTTAGGGCAGGTAGCACAAACCAAAGAGGCATTTCTTTGCAGGTTTTTAAAAAATATCATCCAACCAGTATTGTTTTCTCCCAGAAACTAATGTGTTAACTTGCCCAATGGTTCAACTTTAGTTAGCAATGAATATTTCATTGATTCGAGAGAAATCGTTTGTTATCAGGTCCAAATCACAGGGATTTGTTTTGTTTGTCTAATGATTGAACCAGTAGTCATGATTTTAAAAATTTTGTTTTTTAGGTTCTGGTGTCTAATTTTGTTATCTTTGGTAATTATTTTTAGATCACCTTCTGAAGGCTCTTTTAGTGGGGCCATAACAGAGTTTTGATTAAATGGACCTTTAATAACAGCATTTTTTGAAACATTTTCAGCAAGGTTGTTTCGTTTAGCTTCTACAGAGTCTAACCTTGAATATTCGGGAATTTTG
Organism: Homo sapiens; assembly: GCF_000001405.40. Classification (NCBI taxonomy): domain Eukaryota; kingdom Metazoa; phylum Chordata; class Mammalia; order Primates; family Hominidae; genus Homo; species Homo sapiens. Next base: position 4,903,044 of record NC_000018.10, on the reverse strand, counting down.
ATAATAGCCAAGGCAGCAGGTCCCTGGATGGCATCTAGTAACCCTTAAATATAGGGTTTATTTTTAATTTGATCTCCAGTGGAAGCAAGAAGTCTCTTTTGTTTCCATTAGATTTCAAAATTGTGAGCAACTTTAAAGGCACACATGGTATCTGTATATATATATTAGCAGATTTTTCTTTAGTAAGGGGGCAAGCCTGAGCAAGAGCAATAAGTTCAGCCTGTTGGGTGGAAGTAGCCATAGGTAAGGGGGCTGCTTTAACAACTTCAAAGGAAGTGGTAATAACTGCGTATCCTGCACAGTAATTGCCGTTGTCATCTTTTAAATAGGATGCCTCTGTAAACCACGATAGTTCAGAGTTCTCTAGTGGAGGTTTTGTAAATCTTTTTGGGGAGTCAACGGATGATCAACCAATGTCAAAGAATCATGAGGGTCTCATCAGAAAGAAGGGGTAAGAGAGTAGCGTGCTTGAGATTATTACATCAAGAAAGAGTTATGTGAGAAGCTAGTAAAAGGAGTTCTGAGAGGTAAGAAAATGGCAGAGAGATGATGAGTAGGATGTGAATTTAGAAGAGCTTTAACAGCATGGGGAGCAAAACTCGTTAAGGGAAATCTCATATACAGTGGTAGTTAGGATAGTTTTAAAGTAAGGGAATAATCCTCAAGCTGTTGGATCTAGTTGCTGCCTGTGATCATCTAATGGGGCAGTGCTGATTTCTATGTTTTGGGGTTAGGATACCCAAGACATTTCCTTTTTGTTTATAAACAAAAAGGAAGAAAGGAAGTTGATAATTGAGGTGACCCAGGTTAGGAGGATTTAAAATAACTTATTTTAATTTTAATAAATGTAATGTCTTTCTCCATATAATGGGATCAGATTTAGATGCTTTAAGTAGGGCATGTAGAGTTCGAGCAGTCAAAGAGGTGTCCTTATCCAATTATGGCAATGTCTATTCTGGCAAGTCTAAGAAACTCTTAAACTTGTCATTTAGTTTTAGGGTTAGGGAATTATAGGACTTGTATTCATTTATTTAGGGTCAACATGTAGTCTTGCTTTAAAAATCAAATGACTCAGATATATAACTTATGTCTTAACTAGTTGGTTTTTTTTTTCTTTTTTTTTCTTTTTTTTTTTTTTTTTAGGAAAACTTATGACCCTTGGTGGTTAGAAGTTTTAATAAATGGATACTATCTTCATTGTAGGCTGCCTATCAAGGAAAACAAAGTAAATCACCTACATATTATAGTGAAAATGAACCTTGGGAAAAAGCCACATCATCTAAATCAGCTTTCAGAATTGGGAGAAGTAGGAAAGATTTTCAGCATAGCCTTGAGGCATAACAGTCCGGATATATTGTAGTTTTTCCTAGGTGAAGGTAAATAAGTATTGACTGTCTTAATCAACAGGGATGCTAAGGAAAGCATGACAGGGGTCAATTATAGTGAAAAACTTACTCTCAGTTGGTACTGAAGTCAGCAAATTATGTGCATTTGAAACTAGGAGATCATGAGGTATAACAATATTATTTACGATGTGGAGACACTGAAAAAATTTCTATCTTTAACTGTTAGATTTTCTTTCTGGGAGAATGAGAGTATCACAAGGGTTGGTACAAGAAATTATTAAGCCTTGGCCGGGCACGGTGGCTCACGCCTATAATCCCAGCGCTTTGGGAGGCCGAGGCGGGTGGATCATGAGGTCAGGAGATCGAGACCATCCTGGCTAACATGGTGAAACCCCATCTCTACTGAAAATTCAAAAAATTAGCCAGGCGTTGTGGCAGGCTCCTGAAGTCCCAGTTACTTGGGAGGCTGAGGCAGCGGAATGGCATGAACCTGGGAGGTGGAGCGTAAAGTGAACCAAGATCGAGATCGTGGCACTGCACTGCAGCCTGGGCTACAGAGCAAGATTCTGTCTCAAAAAAAAAAAAAAAAGAAATTATTAAAGTTAAGGAAGTTTTGTATTTTTTAGTGATGAGCTTTATCCCTTGTAAGGCAGATTGGCCAAAGGCATACTATTTACTATTAGGCAAGGGCTTGGTGGGATCAATTTGGATTTTGATTGGGGGCGAACTATAAATCCTACTGACATTTATTCACAGTGTAGCCCATAAAAAGACAGGTTTTCTTCCAATAAGACATTTTGGAAATCAGCAGAGATGACTTTGGCACATGAAACAGCATAACACTCATCCCAGTAAGAGAGCTGGAGCAGACCCCAACAGTAAAAAAGGATAGGTGTCCTGTATAGGTCTAAGGTAAGAAGTAATCGACTGGAACAGAAAGAATGTCAATGGTTTATTAGATACTCCCTCCATTTGAATATGTTTATTAATCTGAGGGAGGGGCTAATTGAGGTTGGTAGGATTGAGTCCTAATAAGGTTTCTCCCATGTCTATGAGAACAGTTAGAGCCTCATTGCCAATTAGAGTACTCTCGTTACGGTGATTAAAAGGGAAGATTGCAAAAAGCAAAATCAAAACAAAACAAAAACCCTGTAAATACTCAAATCTCCTTTATTGGAAAGGATAAACTGGAGAGTCATGTGAAGACTGTCTAATTTGCTTAAATTTAGAAGGGTCTTTCTTCCAGTGGCCTGGCTTGTTACAACAGCAACGATTTCCAGGAGATAGCTCTCCTGGATCAGAGTTGTGCCATTAGGGTCCCAATTGTTTACTCGTTTTTTCTTTTTTTCTGGGAACATTTATCTGTGGTTGTTAGAGATTTAGAATTTTAGTGACATTTTTAAAAAACTGGTGTTATATAGAGCATGAGCCAATTGTTTTGCCAAATTAACAAGACCAGCAGTGGGTGTTGTCTCCCATTTTAGGTGGGCTCTTTTAACAAGGTGAGAAAGTTTTTGAGAGAGACCGTTAATTAACACAGAATTAAAGGTGATTCTAGTAGAGTCAGCATCTATGGGAAGGCAAGGATTTTCTCTAAATATAACTTGGAGCCTGCTGTAATTGTTATGGACTGATTTATTTGGCTCTTGGGTGCAAGTTTAAATTTTTTTCTGGTCTATGGCTTTAGGAAATGTCTTGAGGATGGCCCTATATAAATTTCTTGTAAGTTTTGGAGCCTGCCCCCAATATTGTAGATCAGATTCTGGGGAGATGAGGGCAGTTTTTGCTAAATCCCATTGTGAATGGGTTCAATCTGCTTTTGCCATCTAGTGTTGGGCCTGGCCTTCTTTCAGAAGTATGCAAACAAGTTGGTAAAGATTGGAGAAACTGGGCTGGTAAGCCTGAACTGTAGTGTTAAATTCATCAGCAAAATAATGCCGGTTTTCAATAACTTTAGAGAATTCCTTTTGGCTATAGCATGGAGTTCAGCTTTAGCCGAAAAGACATAAGAAATCTGAAGAATGTCAGGATTGTTAGAGGGCCTGATCTGAAAGGGGCAAGTATTTACAGGTTGAGGTTAGGAAGCTGAAATAGGCGTGTTAGTGGAGAAAGATGTATCAGAATAGGAGGGAAGTTTGGAAAGGTTTGAGAGGAGATATGGTAGATGGCACTTGAGATACAGAAAGATTTGGGGCTTCTAAAGCCTTTTTTTCCTCTTTGAACTTTTTATTTCTCCCATTAATTTAGAGACAGTGTTTTGGAGTTCAATAAATTTTATTTTATTTTATCTTGTTTTATTTTAAGACGGAGTCTCACTCTGTTGCCCAGGCTGGAGTGCAATGGCGTGATCTCTGCTCACTGCAACCTCTGCCTCCCAGGTACAAGCGAGTCTCCGGCCTCAGACTCCTGAGTAGCTGGGATTACAGGCGCCTGCCACCATGCCCGGCTAATTTTTGTATTTTTTAGTAGAGACAGGGTTTCACCATGTTGGTCAGGCTGGTCTTGAACTCCTGACCTCAGGCGATCCACCCACCTTGGCCTCCCAAAGTGCTGGGATTACAGAGGTGAGCCACTGCACCCAGCCCACAAATCTTAATTACTGATTTCATTTTGAAGCCTCGAAGTGCTATTTATATTGTATTTCCATTGCTTAGAGTTGCAGTTTTCTGATTATTTCTGAGATAAACTTTTAAAGAGGTCAAAAGAACCCCAGAAAGGCCATGTTAATTTCAAGTCATCTTTTATTGAGATAAGAATACATGACAATGGACCATAATGCTAAACATATAACTGGCTAGAGTTCCCAATGGGAGGTTATTTTGGCATGCTTTTGAATTTGAGAGCCCATCGTAATTCAATTTTAAAGCCAAATGCACAAAGGCCAATCAAATACAAGTGCTGAGTACTAGAAAGCCAAATTAAAATATAAGCACTGACAACACAAAGAATTTTCTTTCTTTTCTTTTATATATATATATATATTTTATTATACTTTAAGTCCTAGGGTACATGTGCACAACGTGCAGATTTGTTACGTATGTATACTTGTGCCATGTTGGTGTGCTGCACCCATTAACTCGTCATTTATATTAGGTATATCTCCTAATGCAATCCCACCCCGCTCCCCCGACCCCACAACAGGCCCCAGTGTGTGATGTTCCCCTTCCTGTGTCCAAGTGTTCTCATTGTTCAATTCCCACCTATGAGTGAGAACATGCGGTGTTTGGTTTTTTGTCCTTGCAATAGTTTGCTGAGAATGATGGTTTCCATCTTCATCCATGTCCCTACAAAGGACATGAACTCATCATTTTTTATGGCTGCATCATATTCCATGGTGTATATGTGCCACATTTTCTTAATCCAGTCTATCATTGTTGGACATTTGGGTTGGTTCCAAGTCTTTATGAGTAGTGCTGCAATAAACATACATGTGCATGTGTCTTTACAGCAGCATGATTTATATTCCTTTGGGTATATACCCAGTAATGGGATGGCTGGGTCAAATGGTATTTCTAGTTCTAGATCCCTGAGGAATCGCCACACTGTCTTCCACAACAGTTGAACTAGTTTACAGTCCCACCAACAGTGTCAAAGTGTTCCTATTTCTCCACATCCTCTCCAGCACCTGTTGTGTCCTGACTTTTTAATGATCACCATTCTAACTGGTGTGAGATGATATCTCATTGTGGTTTTGATTTGCATTTCTCTGATGGCCAGTGATGATGAGCATTTTTTCATGTGTCTTTTGGCTGCATAAATGTCTTCTTTTGAAAAGTGTCTGTTCATATCCTTCGCCCACTTTTTGATGGGGTTGTTTGTTTTCTTTCTTGTAAATTTATTTGAGTTCTTTGTAGATTCTGGATATTAGCCCTTTGTCAGATGAGTAGATTGCAAAAATTTTCTCCCATTTTGTAGGTTGCCTGTTCACTCTGATGGTGGTTTCTTTTGCTGTGCAGATGCTCTTTAGTTTAACTAGATCCCATTTGTCAATTTTGGCTTTTGTTGCCATTGCTTTTGGTGTCTTAGACAAAGTCCTTGCCCATGCCTATGTCCTGAATGGTATTGCCTAGGTTTTCTTCTGGGGTTTTTATGGTTTTAGGTCTAACATTTAAGTCTTTAATCCATCTTGAATGAATTCTTGTATAAGGTGTAAGGAAGGGATCCAGTTTCAGCTTTCTACATATGGCTAATCTGTTTTCCCAGCACCATTTGTTAAATAGGGAATCCTTTCCCCATTTCTTGTTTTTGTCAGGTTTGTCAAAGATCAGATAGTTGTAGATGTGTGGTATTATTTCTGAGGGCTCTGTTCTGTTCCATTGATCTATATCTCTGTTTTGATACCAGTACCATGCTGTTTTGGTTACTGTAGCCTTGTAGTATAGTTTGAAGTCAGGTAGCATGATGCCTCCAGCTTTGTTCTTTTGGCTCAGGATTGACTTGGCAATGCGGGCTCTTTTTTGGTTCCATATGATCTTTAAAGTAGTTTTTTCCAATTCTGTGAAGAAAGTCATTGACAGCCTGATGGAGATGGTATTGAATCTATAAATTACCTTGGGCAGTATGGCCATTTTCACGATATTGATTCTTCCTATCCATGAGCATGGAATGTTCTTCCATTTGTTTGTGTCCTCCTTTATTTCATTGAGCAGTGGTTTGTAGTTCTCCTTGAAAAGTTCCTTCATATCCCCCATAAGTTGGATTCCTAGGTATTTTATTCTCTTTGAAGCAATTGTGAATGGAGTTCAGTCATGATTTGGCTCTTTGTTTGTCTGTTATTGGTGTATAGGAATACTTGTGATTTTTGCATGTTGATTTTGTATCCTGAGACTTTGCTGAAGTTGCTTATCAGCTTAAGGAGATTTTGGGCTGAGATGATGGGGTTTTCTAAATATACAATCATGTCATCTGCAAACAGGGACGATTTGACTTTCTCTTTTCCTAACTGAATATGCTTTATTTCTTTCTCCAGCCTGATTGCCCTGGCCAGAACTTCCAACACTATGTTGAATAGAAGTGGTGAGAGAGGGCATCCCTGTCTTTTGCCAGTTTTCAAAGGCAATGCTTCCAGTTTTTGCCCATTTAGTATGATATTGGCTGTGGGTTTGTCATAAACAACTCTTATTATTTTGAGATACGTCCCATCAATACCTAATTTATTGAGAGTTTTTAGCATGAAGTGTTGTTGAATTTTGTTGAAGGCTTTTTCCGCATCTATTGAGATAATCATGTGCTTTTTTGTCTTTGGTTCTGTTTATATGATGGATTACGCTTATTGATTTATGTATGTTGAACCAGCCTTGCATCCAAGGGATGAAGCTGAATTGATTGTGATGGATAAGCATTTTGATGTGCTGCTGGATTTGGTTTACCAGTATTTTATTGAGGATTTTTGCATTGGTGTTCATCTGGAATATTGATCTAAAATTCTCTTTTTTTGTTGTGTCTCTGCCAGGCTTTGGTATCAGGATGATGCTGGCCTCATAAAATGAGTTAGGGAGGATTCCCTCTTTTTCTATTGATTGGAATAGTTTCAGAAGGAATGGTACCAGCTCCTCCTTGTATCTCTGGTAGAATTCGGCTGTGAATCCATCTGGTCCTGGACTTTTTTTGGTTGGTAAGCTATTAGTTATTGCCTCAATTTCAGAACCTATTATTGGTCTATTCAGGGATTCAACTTCTTCCTGGTTTAGTCTTGGGAGAGTGTATGTGTACAGGAATTTATCCATTTCTTCTAGATTTTCTAGTATTTGCATAGAGGTGTTTATAGTATTCTCTGATGGTAGTTTGTATTTCTGTGGGATTGGTGATGATATCCCCTTTATCATTTTTTATTGCGTCTATTTGATTCTTCTTTCTTTTCTTCTTTATGAGTCTTGCTAGTGGTCTATCAATTTTGTTGATCTTTTCAAAAAACCAGCTCCTGGATTCATTGATTTTTTGAAGGGTTTTTTGTGTCTCTATCTCCTTCAGTTCTGCTCTGATCTTAGTTATTTCTTGCCTTCTGCTAGCTTTTGAATGTGTTTGCGCCTGCTTCTCTAGTTATTTTAATTGTGACGTTAGGGTGTCAATTTTAGATCTTTCCTGCTTTCTTTTGTGGGCATTTGGTGCTATAAATTTCCCTCTACATACTGCTTTAAATGTGCCCCAGAGATTCTGGTATGTTGTGTCTTTGTTCTCATTGGTTTCAAAGAACATCTTTATTTCTGCCTTCATTTCATTATGTACCCAGTAGTCATTCAGGAGCAGATTGTTCAGTTTCCATGTAGTTGAGAGGTTTTGAGTGAGTTTCTTAATCCTGAGTTCTAGTTTGATTGCACTATGGTCTGAGAGACAGTCTGCTATAATTTCTGTTCTTTTACATTTGCTGAGGAGTGCTTTACTTCCAACTATGTGGTCAATTTTGGAATAGGCATGGTGTGGTGCTGAGAAGAATGTATATTCTGTTGATTTGGGGTGGAGAGTTCTGTAGATGTCTATTAGGTCTGCTTGGTGAAGAGCTGAATTCAATTCCTGGATATCCTTGTTAACTTTCTGTCTCATTGATCTGTCTAATGTTGACAGTGGGATGTTAAAGTCTCCGATTATTATTGTGTGGGAGTCTAAGTCTCTTTCTAGGTCTCTAAGGACTTGCTTTATGAATCTGGGTGCTCCTGTATTGGGTGCATGTATATTTAGGATAGTTAGCTCTTCATGTTGAATTGATCCCTTTACCATTATGTAATGGCCTTCTTTGTCTCTTTTGATCTTTGTTGGTTTCAAGTCTGTTTTATCAGAGACTAGGATTGCAACCCCTGCCTTTTTTTGTTTTCCATTTGCTTCTTAGATCTTCCTCCATCCCTTTATTTTGAGCCTATGCGTGTCACTGCATGTGAGATGGGTTTCCTGAATACAGCACACGGATGGGTCTTGACTCTTTATCCAATTTGCCAATCTGTGTCTTTTAATTGGAGCATTTAGCCCATTTACATTTAAGGTTAATATTGTTATGTGTGAATTTGATCCTGTTATTATGATTTTAGCTGGTTATTTTGCTCCTTAGTTGATGCAGTTTCTTCCTAGCCTCGATGGTCTTTACAATTTGGCATGTTTTTGCAGTGGCAGTACCAGTTGTTCCTTTCCATGTTTAGTGCTTCCTTCAGGAGCTCTTGTAAGGCAGGCCTGGTGGTGACAAAATCTCTCAGCATTTGCTTGTCTGTAAAGGATTTTATTTCTCCTTCACTTATGAAGCTTAGTTTGGCTGGATATGAAATTCTGGGTTGAAAATTCTTTTCTTTAAGAATGTCGAGTATTGGCCCCCACTCTCTTCTAGCTTGTAGAGTTTCTGCCGAGAGATTCGCTGTTAGTCTGATGGGCTTCCCTTTGTGGATAACCCGACCTTTCTCTCTGGCTGCCCTTAATATTTTTTCTTTCATTTCAACTTTGGTGAATCTGAGAATTATGTGTCTTGGAGTTGCTCTTCTCGAGGAGTATCTTTGTGGTGTTCTCTCTATTTCCTGAATTTGAATGTTGGCCTGCCTTGCTAGGTTGGGGAAGTTCTCCTGGATATTATCCTGAAGAGTGTTTTCCAACTTGGTTCCATTCTCCCTGTCACTTTCAGATACACCAATCAGACGTAGATTTGGTCTTTTCACATAGTCCCATATTTCTTGGAGGCTTTGTTCATTTCTTTTCATTCTTTTTTCTCTACGCTTCTCTTCTTGCTTCATTTCATTCATTTGATCTTCAATCACTGTTACCCTTTCTTCCAGTTGATTGAATTGGCTATTGAATCTTCTGCATTAGTCACATAGTTCTCATGCCATGGTTTTCAGCTCCATCAGGTCCTTTAAGGACTTCTTTGCATTGGTTATTCTAGTTAGCCATTTGTCTAATCTTTTTTCAAGGTTTTTAACTTCTTTGCCATGGGTTTGAACTTCCTCCTTTAGTTCGGAGAAGTTTGATTGTCTGAAGCCTTCTTCTCTCAACTCTTCAAAGTCATTCTCCATCCAGCTTTGTTCCATTGCTGGTGAGGAGCTGCATTCCTTTGGAGGAGGAGAGGCGCTCTGATTTTTAGAATTTTCAGTGTTTCTGTTCTGTTTTTTCACCATCTTTGTGGTTTTATCTACCTTTGGTCTTTGATGATGGTGATGTACATCACCATCATCATGGTGTGAGGTGTCAGTATGCCCCTACTGGGGGGTGCCTCCCAGTTAGGCTACTCGGGGGTCAGGGACCCACTAGAGGAGGCAGTCTGTCCGTTCTCAGATCTCAGACTCCATGCTGGGAGAACCAGTACTCTTTTCAAAGCTGTCAGACAGGGACATTTAAGTCTGCAGAGGTTTCTGCTGCCTTTTGTTCAGCTATGCCCTGCCCCCAGAGGTGGAGTCCACAGAGGCAGGCAGGCATCCTTGCGCTGCAGTGGGCTCCACCCAGTTGGAGCTTCCTGGCCACTTTGTTTACCTACTCAAGCCTCAGCAATGGCAGGTGCCCCTCCCCCAGCCTCACTGCCATCTTGCAGTTCAATCTCAGACTGCTGTGCTAGCAACGAGTGAGGCTTCATGGGTGTGGCACCCTCCAAGGCATGCACGGGATATAATCTCCTGGTGTACCATTTGCTAAGACCATCAGAAAAGCACAGTGTTAGGGTGGGAGTGACCCTATTTTCCAGTTGCCGTCTGTCACAGCTTTGCTTGGCTATGAAAGGGAATTCACTGACCCCTTGTGCTTCCCAGGTGAGGTGATGCCTCATCCTGCTTTGGCTCATACTCAGTGCGCTGCACCCACTGTCCTGCACCCACTGTCCGACAAGCCCCAGTGAGATGAACCTGGTACCTCAGCTGGAAATGCAGAAATCACCCGTCTTCTGTGTCGCTCATGCTGGGAGCTGTAGACTGGAGCAGTTACTATTCAGCCATCTTGCTCTTTAGTGAACAAAGCATTTTCTTACCAGGAAGCATGAAAAGCTATCTCCAACTGAAGGAAAAAATTCCCTCATCAAATCTCAAGGTATCAAACCTCACAGCCAAGGTCAACAGGAGGAAAATAACCCTCTCCAAAAGGAGATCCTCCAAATGGGAGGAGGAAATAATAACTTTCTTTAAACAGGAGAGGAAAAGTCCCCTCCCTAACTGAATCCCATATGAAAAAATCTCAAACCAAATTTGGGAGTTCTCTCCAAGAGAGACTCAACAGGGGGAGAAGAGATAACCTGTGAAAGTTGGGGGAAGGGGCTCAAAGTAACCAATGCAGGTACCTCATGCCGTAGTTCCAAGGGCCTGTGATTATTCCCAAGGGAAATCAGCTTTGGATCCCACTTCTGACACCATGTATATAAAAATGTAGAAACAAATATTTGAATTTAACATTTTATGTGGAATGAAAAAATTGTGATTTGGGGCATATACACAGACTAAGTCATCGTCTGTGTATCTAAAGAACAAAGAGAAGTTTGTGAATTATAAAAAAGAGAAATGTTATGTGTAGTCTTGAGAAAATGTTTGATAGTATTAGTAAAGCTCTAGAGAGCTGGCAAGTTCCAATTAGTGGGTAATGGTGGTTGGCAAAAATTAGTTTTAGAGTTTCAGCAAGTTATTTCAGTAGCTATAGATAAAACTGGTTGTAGGTTAAAACAGTTTTAGCTTCCTGACTTTAGAGAATTACATTTCTAGATGAATATTAGGTATCCTAAGTGTTTTTTCCCCTGGTTCCCTAACTATAATTTAGTTGAGTATGAAAAGGATGACCCAATTCAGATGATCAACACTCACACACTTCACACTTTTGTAAGCATTAGATTTCATACTTTTACCCCTTCTGGTATGTTTTATTTTACATTAATAGACCATGCTTATAGTACTGTTTATAAATTTATCTGATTTATAATTTTTTATTGTGGTCAGAACATTTCACATGATATCAACCCTGTTAACAAATTTTTAAGTGTATAATATGGTCTTGTTACCTATAGGTACAAGTTCATACAGCAGAGCTCTAGAACTTATTCATCTTACATACCTGAAACCATACACCCATTAAACAACAACTTCCCATTCCCTTTGAGCCTTTGGCAACCTCTTACTCTCTGCTTTTATGAGTTTGACTATTTTAGATACCGCTTATAAGTGGAATAAGGCAACCTGGGCAACATGGTGAAACCCTCTCTCTACAAAAAAAAAAAAAAAAAGCCAGGTATGATGTCATATGCCTGTAGTCCCAGGTACCTGGGAGGCTGAGGTGGGAGGATCACTTGAGCACAGGAGGCAGATGTTGCAATGAGCTGAGATCATGCCACTGAACTCCAGCCTGGGTGACAGAGTGAGACCCTGTCTCAAAAATAAAAATGAACGAAAAAACAAACAAATATACCTAAAACAAACAAACAAAATAAGTGGAATAAGGCAGTATTTGTCATTTTGTGTCTAGCTTATTTTACTTAGCATAATGTTTTCAGGATTTAGTCATGTTGTAGCATGTATCAGAATTCCATTTCTCTTTAAGGCTGAATACTATTCCATTGTGTGTATATATCACATTTTATTTATCCATTCATCTGTCAATGGACATTTAAGTTGTTTCTACATTTCCAATTTTAACCTGCCTCCCCTACCATCATAGCAGCAAACATCACTTGATAAGTATTAGAGATACTTTCTGAAGATACAAGAAAGTGAGACAAGTGGAACTATGAAGTCTCCTAGTTAAAAACTGTTTTTCCTAGAGAACTCAAATACATACACACACACAGAGAGTTTCTTTTGGACTTTGTGCAAGTACATCACCTTCTTTGGGATTTGGAAAAGCACTCAGAATTATCATTATGAAATACCTGAGGCATTTCTTCTCAGAATTATAGCCCGAAAGATGTTGGTCTACCTCTATGAATATCTTCTTCTATGTCTAATCTCAATGTTTGGATAAATACCTAATTTACATCATTAATCCATGTCAAGCAATGCAAATGTGAAGGATTCCAGATTTATTACTATAAAATTTTAAAGATAAAACCAAATGTAAGTGACCATCCAACTGTTCAATCCTAATAAAACAGATAAAATAAAACTGTAAAAGTTTTTTACTTGGAGAACCAAAGAAAGTGCAAGAAGTATGTACTGATTTTAAATCTCTGCTCTTAATCTTGAGTATTACCTATAGCTTATCTAAATTCTAAATCAGCAATTCTTTTTTTCAGTACTCATCACTTGCCCTCAGAATATTTTCATAACTTTATAGCTGTAGTGTGAGCTTCTGGAAGAAATGCTGTTTCATTTTGATCTGCAACACTCAAATGGGTCATGATGTCAGGACTCTGTACAGCGCATGGCAGCTATGGGCCCCGAACCCAACCCCTATCTTGATAAAGAGCCTTCTGAATTCAGAATTGCTCTGAATGCTGCAAAACACCATTTATGTAATTGCAATTGAAATAAATCCTAAAGTCTTACAATGTAGACCAGATTAAATGCCCCAACCCTTATCTTCTAGCTTCTCAAAACTACTTTTAAAATGTTCTTAAATTTCACAAAGATTAAATGGGCTATACTGAGATTTTCACACACAGAAATAGCATCTATTAGTAATGACTGCTAAGAGAATAATCACACTGAAACAGGCAGAAACTTTGACTTACACAGAATCATTAATGTGACATTTAAAAAACATTTTTGGTCTTCAAGCACCAAGACCAAATTAACTTATAATCATTGGTTTCATCAACATAGAAAGGTAGAAGTTAAATGACTCAATTTGGTCAAATAAGTTGAAACAAAATATTTTATCATTATACTAGTTCTAGTGCAATGCCCACCTATTAAGCATTAAAGATTTATCTGTTAGGACTTTGAAATAAAGACCAAAACACAAAATAGTGTGAAGGTTAATCTTTTAAATGGACAGTGTTATCTAGGATTATGGCATAATCAGTAAAAATTATAAAATATTTACTGATATATACTGTATAAAATGTAGTTTCACATAGTGTTTTAGAAAAACATCCCAAAGTTTAGACAATGATCCTGACTAGAGAGTTGATAATCTATTCAGAAAGGCAATTTTAAATTACTTTTTAAATAACGATAATGTATCTGGAAGTGACTATGTGTTTGACATGAATCACTCAGCTAAACATTTTATAGTCTCTACATATAAGATATTTTAGATTTTTTAAAATGTTGTCAAACACTTAAAGTAATAAAGAAAGTAGTAAATGAAAATTTTAAAATAAAAACTGAGTCTCTGCTGAGAAAACAGAAAAGTCAGTGAAAGGAGCTTCTGATATTTACCTTGACATTCAGAACATCTCGACGACCTGAAGAAAGAAACGGAGGCAAATTAGTATCAGTAGAGAGTTTATTTGGGCCAAGGTTGAAGACTGCAGCTCAAAAAACACTGGGAAATACTCTGGAGAACAAAGGAGAGGCTTGTTTTCAGAGAAAAAAGGACAAATCAGGAGAAGGGTTGATTACAGAAGTTGCTTTTCAGGAATTCTCATTGGTTTACAGAAGTAACATTAATTAGTGATTGGCTATACATTATTAAACTGTGAGGTATGAGATATGACATCCAGTGTATGGCATTGTTAAGTTAATTTACAGCTACTTGACATCAGTTAGTGTAGAGTTCATGTAGCAAATAGCTTCAAGAGGTGATTACTTAGCTTAAAGGAGAAGTAAGACACGACTAATGTCACATTTCAATGCCTCTCTGGACCTGATAATTTAAAGGGGACTCATATTCATCAGATAACAAATTTCTTTTCTTTCTCAGTCTATTATGGCGAATATTCTCCCACATCATACACAGCAGGTCCTCAAAACACTCTCTGTAGCATGAGGGTGTGTTATTATAGAGCTACTTTCATTACACAGGTCACTGGCTTCCTAGAGAGTGTGATAGCAGCTGTAAATCTTTTGCCTAGAAATGTATCCAGACACACAGATCCATGAAGTTTGCATACTAATAACTCCCTTCACGAGTCTGTGATCTCTCATGGACTCTACAGTCAGCAGGAACACCTCTAGGACACTTTGAGAACTGCCTTTGAAAAACAAGCATCTGGTGATCACAAAAACATAGATTTAACAACCCACATTCATAACCCTGCTTTTTTTTTAAATGAAGACTTTATCAAAAACAACCACCTGCCTATGCCAAATGTCTTATAGATTAACAAACCACCCTAAGGATACCAGCTGTGGCACCACTGTGGTATGTGGGGCCCATAAATAATCACTGATGATGATTAATGGAGGAATTAATCCCCAGGAAGTAGTGTTTAGGCTCGATTTCATAGACACTGGACAGGTTGAGTAGGAGGAGACCGGATTAGCTTTAATTGACTCTTCATTTTCGACCTGCTCACAGGCTTTTAAAACATAAATCAACCCTCAGCACATTAATCAAGTTTGAAACACTCCTATTCAAGAAACATCCGTCAAAAGTCATTCCTTTAATATTTCTAAAAATTACACAAATCAAGTTAGGATGTTGGAAAACCTGGGTAATAATCATTTATATTCATTAATTAATGTTTTATAAAAAATGCTCACGTTATCTCCCTATATTCTAATATTATATTCTTATACTAATTCGGTAAATAATGTATTGAAGGTCTAGTTTTATCTTGCCATTAAAAAAAAAGCACACACATAGAAATGTCAAATTATCTTCCCAAAGTCATACAGCTAAGTACAGGAAGAGCTGAGACAATTAAACAGATTTTCCTTTTCTTTCTCACAGATATCAAGTTCATTGCACACACCAAGTTAAGGAGCCATAGTGATAAACATTAGGCAACCAAAAAGCTATATTAGAAAATATCTATGGTAACAAAAACAAGTTGGCTTATTTTTTAAATTTTTTTCCTCCCACCTATTTGAAAATGCCCTCATCAAGACAAAACGTCATGATATCCATGTTAGAGTATCACTGTGAATTTAGTCCTCTACAAACACTGCTTGTAGATGTGCTCTGGCTATAACAAAACGAGAAATAAATGGTGACCTCACAGAAATGTATTGTGTGTGCTACAGGTGAAATCAATTTCAGGTTCATGGAAAAGTATCCAAGAACTCTCAATCCTGTAGAAGCCTTTCTGTTTACTGTAAATTGTTAATACATTTTAGGCCTCCATGAGGCTTTTCTATATTGCAACCATAGCTTATCAGGTTATGCAATAGAAAATTCCATTCAATAAATTGGATTTACTTCCTATAAGCAGGCTTCATCAACTAGAAAATGAGCTAGTTCAGGAAACATAATTCAGAATTAAGATATTTATGAAAACTAAGTGCTTTCCCCTGTTGTCTTTTAACTTTACACATCTGTGCAAGCAGAACTATGATAATGGCTCTGGGACAAAATTCCCTTGTCTTATATTTCTTAAAGTGCTTTATAAAGCACGCATTCACTTAGTATTTAATCTGTCAAAACTTGTTTGGGGACATCTCCACTGGCAAATTCTAGGTATGATGGGGATCAGGAGAACAGGGTTTCCTACAGAAGTACAGAGTATGACTAATTCTTGAAGGATCATCTGAGCTTGTTTAGGGGTAAAAGTAGTTTATAAGCAATAATTAGAAATTCATAAATAGTATCACATGCTAGACCACTATTATAAATAATGAATTAAGTAAGGGATGAATGTGGGTTGCTTTTACTTGAAAGTTCAGCTTTAACTTTTAAGATTTTTTTTCTCATTGTGAAATCAGTAGATGACTGAGATTCTCCAGAGAAACAGAACTAACAAGAGATAGAGAAAGAGAATGGAGAGGCTCACAAGTCTGAATTCAGACAACAGTTTATGTTTCAGTCTTGAGTTCATAATCTGCAGGCTGAGCACTCAGGTGGGATTTCCATGTTGCAGTTTTGAGGCAGAATTCCTTCTTCAAGAAATCTCAGTGTTTGCTCTTAAGGCCTCCAGCTGAATGAATGAAGTCCACCCACTTCAGGGAGCATAAGAAGCCCACCCACTTCAGGGAGCATAAGAAGCCCACCCACTTCAGGGAGCGTAATATACCCAAAGTCTACTGATTTAAATATTAATCACATTTAAAGTAGAACCTTGAGGTTGCTTCTAAGATGGCCGAATAGGAATAGCTCCAGTCTGCAGCTCCTGGGGAGATTGGCAGAGAAGACGGGTGATTTCTGCATTTCCAACTGAGGTACCTGGTTCATCTCATTGGGACTGGTTGGACAGTGGGTGCAGTCCATGGAGGGCGAGCCAAGGGGGGTGGGGCGTCGCCTCATCTGGGAAGCACAAGGGGTCAGGGGATTTCCCTTTCCTAGCCAAGGGAAGCCGTGACAGGCTGTACCTGGAGAAACAGTACACTCCTGACCAAATACTGTGCTATTCCCAGAGTCTTAGCAACTGGCAGACTAGGAGATACCCTCCCATGCCTGGCTTGGCAGGTCCCACACCCATGGAGCCTTGCTCACTGCTAGTGCAGCAGTCTGAGATCGACATGCAATGCTGCAGCTGGAATGGGGGAGGAGAGCCCACCATTGCTGAGGTTTGAGTAGCTCACAGTGTAAGCAAAGAGGCCCAGAAACACGAACTGGGCAGAGCCCACTGAAACTCAGCAAGGCCTGCTGCCTCTATGGATTCCACCTCTGCGGGCAGGGCATAGTAGAACAAAAGGCAGCCGACCGCTTCTGCAGACTTAAACGTTCCTGTCTGACAGCTCTTAAGAGAGCAGTGGTTCTCTCAGCATGGCGTTCAAGCTCCAAGAACGGACAGACTGCCTCCTCAAGTGGGTCCCTGACCCCCCTGTAGCCTGACTGGGAAACATCTCCCAGTAGGGGCCAACAGACACTTCAAACAGGCAGGTGCCCCTCTGGGACAAAGCTTCCAGAGGAAGGATCAGGCAGCCATATTTGCTGTACTGCAGGCTCCGCTGGTGATACCCAGGTAAACAGCATCTGGAATGGACCTCCAGCAAATTCCAACAGACCTGCAGCTAAGGGGTCTGACTGTAAGAAGGAAAACAAACAAACAGAAAGGAAAAGCATCAACATCAACAAAAGGGCATCCACACCAAAACCCCATCTGTAGGTCACCAACAGCAAAGACCAAAGGTAGATAAAACTACAGCGATGGGGAGAAACCAGAGCGGAAAAGCTGAAAATTCCAAAAAACAGAGGACTTCTTCTCCTCCAAAGGATTGCAACTCCTCACCAGCAAGAGAACAAAACTAGACAGAGAATGAATTCGATGAGTTGACAGAAGTAGGCTTCAGAAGGTCGGTAATAACAAACTTCTCTAAGCTAAAGGAACATGTCCTAATCCATAGCAAGGAAGATAAAAACCTTAAAAAAAGGTAAGATGGATGGCTAACTAGAATAAACAGTGTAGAGAAGACCTTCAATGAACTGACTGAGCTGAAAACCCTGGCACGAGAACTTCGTGACGCATACACGAGCTTCAGTAGCCAATCTGATCAAGTAGAAGAAAGGATATCAGTGATTGAAGATCAAATTAATGAAATAAAGCAAGAAGACAAGATTAGAGAAAAAAGAGCAAAAAGAAATAAACAAAGCCTCCAAGAAATATGGGACTATGTGAAAAGACCAAATCTACATTTGATTGGAATACTGGAAAGTGACGGGGAGAATGGAACCAAGTTAGAAAACACTCTTCAGGATATTATCCAGGAGAACTTCTCTAACCTAGCAAGGCAGGCCAACATTCAAATTCAGTAAATATGTAGAACAAAGATACTCCTTGAGAAGAGCAACCCCACAACACATAATTTTCAGATTCACCAAGGTTGAAATGAAGGAAAAAATGTTAAGGGCAGACAGAGAGAAAGGTCGAATTACCCACAAAGGGAACCCCATCAGACTAACAGTGGATCTCTTGGCAGAAACCGCACAAGCCAGAAGAGAGTGGGGGGCCAATATTCAACATTTTTAAAGAAAAGAATTTTCAACCCAGAATCTCATATCCAGACAAACTAAGCTTCATAAGTGAAGGAGAAATAAAATCTCTTACAGACAAGCAAATGCTGAGAGATTTTGTCACCACCAGGTCTGCCTTATAAGAGCTCCTGAAGGAAGCACTAAATACGGAAAGGAACAACCAGTACCAACCACTGCAAAAACATGCCAAATGGTAAAGACCATCGACGCTATGAAGAAACTGCATCAATTAACGGGCAAAATAACCAGCTAGCATCATAATAACAGGATCAAATTCAATCATAACAATATTAGCCTTAAATTTAAATGGGCTAAATGCCTCAATTAAAAGACAGAGGCTGGCAAATTGGATAAAGAGTCAAGACCCATCAGTGTGCTCTATTCAGGAGACCCCTCTCATGGTGCAAAGACCCACACAACCTCAAAATAGAGGGATGGAGGAAGATCTACCAAGCAAATGGAAAGCGAAAAAAAGGCAGGGGTTACAATCCTAGTCTCTGATAAAACAGACTTTAAACCAACAAAGATCAAAAGAGACAAAGAAGGCCATTACATAATGGTAAAGGGATCAATTCAACAAGAAGAGCTAACTATCCTAAATATATATGCACCCAATACAGGAGCACCCAGATTCATAAAGCAAGTCCTTAGAGACCAAGAAAGAGACTTAGACTCCCGCACAATAATAATGGGAGACTTTAACAGCCCACTGTCAATATTAGTTCAGTAAGACAGAAAGTTAACAAGGATATCCAGGACTTGAACTCAGCTCTGGACCAAGCAGACCTAATAGACATCTACAAAACTCTCCACCCTAAATCAACAGAATACACATTCTTCTTAGCACCATATCACACTAATTCTAAAACTGATCACATAATTGGTAGTAAAACACTCCTCAGCTAATGTAAAATAACAGAAATCACAACAAACTGTCTCTTAGACCACAGTACAATCAAATTAGGTCTCAGGATTAAGAAACTCACTCAGAACTGCACAACTACATGGAAACTGAACAACCTGCTCCTGAATGACTACTGGGTTAATAAGGAAGGCAGAAATAAAGATGTTCTTTGAAACCAATGAAAACAAAGACACAATACACCAGAATCTCTGGGACACATTTAAAGCAGTGTGTAGAGGGAAACTAAATGCCCACAAGAGAAAGCAGGAAAGATCTAAAATCGACACCCTAACATCCCAATTAAAAGAACTAGAGAAGCAAGAGCAAACACATTGAAAACCTAGCAGAAGGCAAGAAATAACTAAGATCAGAGCAGAACTGAAGGAGATAGGGATACAAAAAAAACCCCTCAAAAAATCAGTGAATCCAGGAGCTGCTGTTTTGAAAAGATCAGCAAAATTGATAGACCACTGGCAAGACTAATAAAGAAGAAAAGAGAGAAGAATCAAATAGATGCAATAAAAAACAATAAAGGGGATATCACCACCGATCCCACAGAAATACAAACTACCATCAGAGAATAATATAAACACCTCTAGGCAAATAAACTAGAAAATCTAGAAGAAACGGATAAATTCCTGGACACATACACCCTACCAAGACTTAACCAGGAAGAAGTTGAATCTCTGAATAGACAAATAACAGATTCTGAAATTGAAGCAATAATTAATAGCCTACCAACCAAAAAAAGTCCAGGACCAGACAGATTCACAGCCGAATTCTACAAGAGGTATAAAGAGGATATGGTACCATTCCTTCTGAAGCTACTTCAATCAATAGATAAAAGAGGGAGTCCTCCCTAACTCATTTTATGAAGCCAGCTTCATCCTGATACCAAAGCCTGGCAGAGACAGAAGAAAAAAAGAGAATTTTAGACCAATATCCCTGCGAATATCAATGCGAAAATCCACAATAAAATACTGGCAAACCGAACCCAGCAGCACATCAAAAAGCTTATCCACCATGATCAAGTCAGCTTCATCCCTGAAAAAAAGCTCATCATCACTGATCGTTAGAGAAAGGCAAATCAAAACCACAATGAGATATCATATCATGCCACTCAGAATGGCGATCATTAAAAAGTCAGGAAACAACAGATGCTGGAGAGGATGTGGGGAAATAGGAACGCTTTTACACTGTTAGTGGGAGTATAAATTAGTTCAACCATTGTGGAAGACAGTGTGGCGATTCCTCAAGGATCTAGAACTAGAAATACCATTTGACCCAGCAATCCCATTACTGGGCATATACCCAAAGGATTATAAATCATTCTACGATAAAGACACAGGCACACATATGTTTATTGCGGCACTATTCACAATAGCAAAGACTTGGAACCAACCCACGTGTCCAACAATGATAGACTGGATTAAAAAAATGTAGCACATGTACACCATAGAATACTATGCAGCCATAAAAAAGGATGAGTTCATGTCCTTGGCAGGGACATGGATGAAGCTGGAAACCATCATTCTAAGCAAACTATCAGAAGGATAGAAAACCAAACACGGCATGTTCTCACTCATAGGTAGGAGTTGAACAATAAGAACACATGGACACAGGGCAGGGAACATCATACACAGGGGCCAGTCAAGGGGTGGGGGGGTGGGGGAGGGATAGAATTAGGAGAGATACCTAATGTAAATGATGAGTTGATGGGTGGAACAAACCAACATGGAACATGTATACCTATGTAACAAACCTGCACGTTGTGCGCATATATCCTAGAACTTAAAGTATAATAAAAAAATAAAAAAATAAGTAAAGTAGAACCTTAACAGCAACATCTAGACAAATGTTAGATCACACACCCTGTCTCCATAGCCCTGGCCAAGCTGACACATAAAAGTAATCATCACAGTAGATATGTTGAAGACAAAAGAAAAAAATTCTTATTTTGTGAATGGCGAGGAAAGTTATATTTCTTTTTTTTAAAATTTTTATTATACTTTAAGTTCTAGGGTACATGTGTACAATGTGCAGGTTTGTTACATATGTATACATGTGCCATGTTGGTGTGCTGCACCCATTAACTCATCACTTACATTAGGTATATCTCCTAATGCTATCCCTCCCCACTCCCCCCACCCCACAACAGGCCCCAGTGTGTGATGTTCCCCTTCCTGTGTCCATGTGTTCTCATTGTTCAATTCCCACCTATGAGTGAGAACATGCACTGTTTGGTTTTTTGTCCTTGTGATAGTTTGCTGAGAATGATGGTTTCCAGCTTCATCCATGTCCCTACAAAGGACATGAACTCATCATTTTTTATGGCTGCATAGTATTCCATGGTGTATATGTGCCACATTTTCTTAATCCAGTCTATCATTGACAGACATGTGGGTTGGTTCCCAGTCTTTGCTATTGTGAATAGTACTGCAATAAACATACGTGTGCATGTGTCTTTATAGCAGCAGAATTTATATTCCTTTGGGTATATACCCAGTAATGGGATGGCTGGGTCAAATGGTATTTCTAGTTCTAGATCCCTGAGGAATCGCCACACTGTCTTCCACAATGGTTGAACTGGTTTGCAGTCCCACCAACAGTGTCAAAGTGTTCCTATTTCTCCACATCCTCTCCAGCACCTGTTGTTTCCTGACTTTTTAATGATCGCCATTCTAACTGGTGTGAGATGGTATCTCATTGTGGTTTTGATTTGCATTTCTCTGATGGCCAGTGATGATGAGCATTTTTTCGTGTGTCTGTTGGCTGCATAAATGTCTTCTTTTGAAAAGTGTCTGTTCATATCCTTCACCCACTTTTTGATGGGGTTTTTTTTTTTCTTGTAAATTTGTTTGAGTTCTTTGTAGATTCTAGATATTAGCCATTTGTCAGATGAGTAGATTGCAAAAATTTTCTCCCATTTTGTAGGTTGCCTGTTCACTCTGATGGTAGTTTCTTTTGCTGTGCAGACGCTCTTTAGTTTAACTAGATCCCATTTTTCAATTTTGGCTTTTGTTGCCATTGCTTTTGGTGTCTTAGACAAAGTCCTTCCCCATGCCTATGTCCTGAATGGTAATGCCTAGGTTTTCTCCTAGGGTTTTTATGGTATTAGGTCTAACATTTAAGTCTTTAATCCATCTTGAATTAATTTTCATATAAGGTGTAAGGAAGGGATCCAGTTTCAGCTTTCTACATATGGCTAGCCAGTTTTCCCAGCACCATTTGTTAAATAGGGAATCCTTTCCCCATTTCTTGTTTTTGTCAGGTTTGTCAAAGATCAGATAGTTGTAGATGTGTGGTATTATTTCTGAGGGCTCTGTTCTGTTCCATTGGTCTGTATCTCTCTTTTGGTACCAGTACCATGCTATTTTGGTTACTGTAGCCTTGTAGTATGGTTTGAAGTCAGGTAGCGTGATGCCTCCAGCTTTGTTCTTTTGGCTTAGGATTGTCTTGGCAATGCAGGCTCTTTTTTAGTTCCATATGAACTTTAAAGTAGTTTTTTCCAATTCTGTGAAGAAAGTCATTGGTTGCTTGATGGGGATGGCATTGAATCTAGAAGGAAATAAAGGGTATTCAATCAGGAAAAGAGGAAGTCAAATTGTCCCTGTTGGCAGATGACATGATTGTATATCTAGAAAACCCCATCATCTCAGCCCAAAATCTCCTCAAGCTGATAAGCAACTTCAGCAAAGTCTCAGGATACAAAATCAATGTGCAAAATTCACAAGCATTCTTATACACCAATAACAGACAAACAGAGAGCCAAATCATGAGTGAACTCCCATTTACAATTGCTTCAAAGAGAATAAAATACCTAGGAATCCAACTTACAAGGGATGTGAAGGACCTCTTCAAGGAGAACTACAAACCACTGCTCAACGAAATAAAAGAGGATACAAACAGAAGAACATTCCATACTCATGGATAGGAAGAATCAATATCGTGAAAATGGCCATACTGCCCAAGGAAAGTTGTATTTCAAAGCTCATCATGAGGATTTGTGAATTTTAGTTTTCTACCAAAATGTTCTATTTGAGTTCTATTTAAATGATCCGAGTCATTCAAATTTCAGTTGAAAGAAATGTTTAAAATTTAATTTCTGAAGTAAAAAAAATAATTTCTGTACTTTATTAGAGTCTTTGAGATATTTGTATAACTTTAGTAATGCAAACGTGATTGTTCATTTAGCTCACATATATTACATATAATCATTTCAGTGATAATTTTATGTGCTAATGGGTAATGTAAGTACTTCTTACGTGGGCAATATGATGTTCACCTTCTTCAAATTAATGATATTGTCTTTATAAATGATAGTGTAACACAGCAGATGTGCCAGGGAAATGCTTCATAACTAGAGGGGAAGAAAAAGGGCTGGCATTTATGGTGGTTCCCATTTGTAGGTACTTTACATAAGCTGAATCACTTCAGTCTCGAATCTCATCACAGTGTATTTATCCCCATCTTACAAATGGAGACTTAGATCATGCAACCAATTCACATGAGACGTCTAATAAGTTGTCGAGCTAAAATTCAAACCTAGGCTTATGTGACTACTACGTAAGACTCCCTCTCAATGTCAGAGTTCCATTTCTACTTTAGAAAGACATAAGATTAAAGTTGACCATTTTCTTATTTGCATATTGAGTTACCTGAGTTTTCAGAATAATTTTCAAGCATGGAAATCACAGGAAATGAATCAGGATGAACAGGTATGGGGAAAGGAAGAAATCAGCTTTACCTCATCCTTCCTTCCACCGCCACAAAGTGTGTACTATCCTCAGAGGAAGAGAAAGGATGCTCACAGTTCACATTAACCACATTGATCAAATGGGGCCCCCTCCTGGGGAGGGGTAACTAACATGGAGTACAGGCAAGCTTACTATCTAGGATCAACGCAACAAAATATCAATTACATTTAAAAACAAGTTTTGTTCAACTGATGCCCTACCCATTAGTCCTTGTCCATCTAGACCTACTTGTTTTCAATCTCTGTCTCGAGCCCCACATTTTTCATGGTGTTCTTATACTAATCAAGCTGATTTCATTTGCAAATGCAGAAACTTTCATTCAAGTTGCCTTTAAACCACAAGGTTACTAACTTGAATATGTGGAAATCTAGAGATAGGGCCATCTCAGTGTTGTCTTTAGGGACCCAGATCCTTTTCTTTCCATTGAGACTTTCTAAACTGTCTTCGACCCATGCCTGGCTACCCCCCGGCCACAAGATGGCCATCAGTGGCAGTCGGTGTTATGTGAATCCTTGCTTATGTGCAGCAGAAAGGGAAGAAACTTCTTTCCAAGCAACGAATATAAGTCCAAAATAGTATTTTTATAATTTGCCCATAAAATTACATTTTTTCCAAAATATATTGCAATTAAGTTATTTTGAATGTTTTTTTTTTAAATTAACTAAACTTCAGACTGATTGAGTAAAATTAATTTGTCCAACTCAGGTCACCTATGTCTTCCTATTCAAATAACTGTTGCTGAGGTTTATGCAGAATTCCTCTCTGTATCTGGATATTAAATGCAGACAAGAAAAAGTCAAGGTTTATTAGGAATGAGGCAGGGAGAAAATGATATTGTATGGGCAACATACAGTGTTCACAACAATCACCCATCTTTGATCTATATAGTTTGGCTCTGGAAGAATTACTTGCGTACCATAATTGCTTATGTACGTTAATTTTGTAAAATTTTGAATTTTTAAAACATTTTATACTGTGAAGTATTGACGTTGATTTACCTTATTTTATGATATGTTATGTTATGTTATGTTATGTTATGTTATGTTATGTTATGTTATGATGTTATGTTATGTTATGTTATTTTGAGATGGAGTCTCACTCTGTCGCCCAGGCTGGAGGGCAGTGGCATGATCTTGGCTCACTGCAAGCTCTGCCTCCCAGGTTCACGCCATTCTCCTGCCTCAGCCTCCCGAGTAGCTGGGACTACAGGCAACTGCCACGACGCCTGGCTAATTTTTTGTATTTTTAGTAAAGACGGGGTTTCACCGTGTTAGCCAGGATGGTCTCGATCTCCTGACCTCATGATCCGCCCCCCTCAGCCTCCAAAGTACTGGGATTACAGGCGTGAGCCACCACACACGGCCGATTTACCTTGTTTTATAAATTCATTATGAAATATTTTATATGTACACTAGAAGGCATATGGCAAATATGGAAAGCATGCAGAAAAATAGAATGCACATTTCCTAGTGCCAACGCCTAGGTTGAGAAGCAAAACATTAACTCTACCATTGAAGCCTGCTGTATATCTTTTCATCATTTGAGTATCCCTCCCTCCATTCAGAAGTAATTGCTACCTGGAATTTTTGGTTCTCATTCCCTTGATGATTGTATTTATAGTTTTTCTATATATTTAACTTGTCCTAAACCACATAGAAATTTTATATTTTATATAAATAATAATACTACATGCACAGTTTTGTTTGACATTTTCCCTCTTAATATTCTGCTGGTGTTGCTCATCAATGTTCTTATTCACTGGTATATAGTATTTTATTATAGGACTATACTATCCTGTTTTTTTGCGGGTGACCTTTCTAATGATAAGGGACATTTGGGTAAGTTCCAATTTCCTGTTATTTTAAACAATGTTGCCATGGACCTTATATGCCCTTAGGCATACAAGGTGTGCAAGGCTTTATTCTAGTGTATGCATATCAGAAACTTGAATTGCTGGATTCTGTAGAATATGCATCTTCAACCTGAATTAGTAGTCTTCCAAGTGGTTCTATGAGTTTGCAACAGTACATAAGTCTTCTTTGCAATACAGTCATGCAGCAACTGGTTTATAAGACTTAAATTTTTTTTTATATTTACGTATGTGGATTTAAAATGGTGTCTCAGGGCTGGGTGCAGTGGTTCATGCCTGTAATCCCAGCACTTTGGGAGGTCCAGGCAAGTGGATCACTTGAGGCCAGTAGTTGGGGACTGGCCTGGTCAACATGATGAAACCCCATCTCTACTAAAAATACAAAAATTAGCCAGGCGTGGTGGCACATGCCTGTAATCCCGACTACTCGGGAGGCTGAGGCGCGAGAATCGCTTGAACCTGGGAGGTGGAGGTGGCAGTGAGCCTGGGAGACAGAGCAAGGCGTGGGCTCAAAAATAAATAAATTAATTAAATAAAATAAAATTAAATAAAATAAAAATTAAACGGCATCTCATTCTGAACTTTTTCCTGATTACACATAAGGGTAAACAAGTCTTCTTGTTATCTTGGGGCATTTATGTTTCTGTAAAATGCCTGTTATGCATTTTGTTCTTTCTTCTTATTGCCTTAAAGATATATATTATGAATAATAATCCTTTTTGTGGTTAATATTGGGCAAATATCTCTTCCCAGCTTTTTGTCTTGTTCTTCAATCTTTAAAATACTGTCTTTAAATCACTGAAAATTTTAAAATTATTACACAAATTTGATTATTTCTTTACAATATGCACTTTATATGTTTTAATTTAAAAACCAACACTTTACTAACCCCAATTATATAAAAGTCTTATTTTTTCTATGTATTTTAAGTCCTGCTTTTTACAAAATTTAATTCACTTGAAATTTGTTTCCATGTACAATTTAGTTTAGAGATTCTCATTTTAGTTCCTTTTTCCATATGGATCATCTATTGCCCAGTAGCATTTTACATTTTTTTCTTTCTTTTCCCATGATCTGCCACGATAGCACTGAAATATAATAGGTTTTAATTTATGCATGGATCTAATTTTAGACTCTATTCTGTAAAGTTGGGTCATTTGTCTATTTCTGCATTTATACCACACTGTGTTATAAAAAGCCTCAATCTATTGTAGGGCAAGTATCTCACTTCATTCTTTTTCAAGAGTGTTTTATACTTTTTATACTTCTTGACCCTTTACGCTTCCATTTAAATTTTGAAACAACTTGTCAAATTGCATGAATTATCCTGTTGGGGTTTTGTTTAAAATTCCTTTGAATTTGTAGGTTCTTTTGGGGAATTGTTATCATTACAATAGTGAATCTTCTTGTCCATAAAAATAGTGTATTGTGCCATTTATTTAGAAATTTTTATGTTTCATTAATATTTTTATAGTTTGCCCATAAAATTCCTTTTTTTCCAAAGTATATCACAATTCAGTTGCTATTTTGAATGGTATTTTTTATTTAATTACATTTTAACTGTTAGCATCAGATGTAAAAGAAAGATATGCAATTACTTTCTGCTTGGTACATTTCTTGTCTTTTTCTATCCTTTTACTTTCAACTTTTCTTTCTCCTTATATCCTGTTTCCCCATTTAAGCATTCTGGAGTTTGGAGATTTTGAAAATCTAACCTTGTAATTTGTCTTTTAATTTGATGATTTATGAATTTTTATTTCCTGATATTTATGAGGTTCTACTTGTATTTATATTATTGTCTGTTTGTGTTATCTGCTTTATGTTTTTTCTGCTTATTTTGAAACAATAATATATTTTAAATTCAGTTTTTTACCCTCTAATGACTTGCTAGTTATATTCTTTTACTGATATCTTGTGGTTACACTAAAGAATAAAAAGTATATTTGATACTAGAGTTTAATATAAATTAGCAATTTTATTACTTCCCGGAAAACTCTAGGACATTAGAATTCCATTATTCCTCTCGTGTTTTGTGTTACTGCTATCACATGTTGTAGTTTTATATATTACATATTATATATCATATATTATAAGCCCCACTGCAAAGATTCTCCACATAACCGAACTCTAGCCAGTCTCCCCTGAGCCCCCTGTAGATGAGGCCTCAACAATGGCCTATAAGACTTAAAAACACTAACACAGTAATAGCTCAAGGCCACATTCTGAAGATGACACCTCACTCCCTTTAAAGGGCCTGCTTGAGAAAACTTGAGACTGCAAAAAAAAAAAAAAAAAATTCATTTGTTTCAGCCAATTCCTGAGCAATAACTTAATTGGTTTCAGCCAATACCACCCAGGCTCTGTGGGAGGATAGAAATCTAACTTCAGTAATTTCCAACTAGCTGAAACAGCAGGCCTAATCTCATTTATACTGACTAACTTTTGTAATATTTCACTTGCCTGACTCTCTTGAGCTCCCACTAAACTTCCCTACTCCTTTATTCTGCCTTTAAAACACCCAATGACCTCTGTACAAATTAAAGTTGAATTTGGTATATGCTGGACTTGTTTCCCTACTGCAATAGCTGATTAAAATCTGTCCTTTTCCCCTTCATATTTGGTAGCTATTTTACACTGAGTATAGAATTCTATGTTGACTGTTGTTTTCTTTCAGTACTTCAAATATGTCATTCTCTTGTCTTCTAGATTACATTGTTTCTGTTGCAAGATCATCTAGAAAGTTTTGTCACTTCATTGAAAGCTGTGTATCATTTCTCTCCCTTTGGCCACTTTGAAGATTTTCATTTCCTCTGTTTTTCAAGTTTTCCTCTGATGTTTCTAGGTATGTTTTTATTTGTATCTATCTAACTTAAAGTCTGTAGGGAGTTGTAAGTTCTGTATTTTGATATCTTCAGCGAGTTTTGAAAAATCTCAGGCAATTATATCTTCAAGTATTGTTTCTGTTTTGTTTACTCTCTGCTCTGCTTTTGGGACTTGATTTGCATGCATGAATTTGAGTATTCTAAGTAACTTAAGTAATGGAATCATACAATGTTTATCCTTTTTTTGGTTGGTTTATTTCATTTAGCATAATGTTTTCAAGATTCTGCTATGTTGTAGCATATACCGCAATTCCATTCCTCTTTCAGGTTGAATAATATTCCATTATATGGATATACCACATTTTGTTTATCCATTCATCTGCTGATGAACAATGAGGTTGTTTCCACCTTTTGGCTGTTGTGAATGACACTTCAATGAACATGACTGTACAAGTATTTGTTGAAGTCACTGCTTTTATTTCTTTTGGTATACATTAGAGATGGAATTACTACATCATAAGTTACCTATATTTAATTTTTGAGGCCCCATCGTATTGTCTTAGATAGTGGCTACACTATTTTACTTCACCACCAGCAATACATGAAGGTTCTAATTTTTCCACATCTTTCCCAATATTAGATGCTTTCTGCTGCATTTTGCTTATTTGTTTTGAGAATAGCTAACCTAGGTCATGGATGTGAAATGGTAGCTCTTTGTGGATTTGATTTGCATTAACAACTAGTGAACTTTGGGAGTCTGAGACGGGCGGATCACGAGGTCAGGAGATTGAGACCATCCTGGCTAACATGGTGAAACCCCGTCTCTACTAAAAATACAAAAAAATTAGCCGGGCATAGTGGTGGGTGCCTGTAGTCCCAGCTACTCGGGAGGCTGAAGCAGGAGAATGGCATGAATCCGGGAGGTGGAGCTTGCCGTGAGCCAAGATGGCGCCACTGCACTCCAGCCTGGGCGATAGAGCAAGACTCCGTCTCAGAAAAAAAAAAAAACTGGTGATGTTGAATATCTTTTCATATGCTTGTTAGCCATTTGTGTATCTTCTTTGAAGAAATGTCTATTCAAGGCTTTTGCCATTTTAATTCGGTATTTGGTTTCTTTGTTGAGCTATAGGGCTTCTATGAATTCTGGATATTAATCCCTTACTAGATAGATGCTTTGCACATATCTTCTCCAATTTGTGAGGTTTTTTTTCACTCTGTTGATATTGTACTTTGATGCATAAAAGTTTTTAATTTTGATAAAGTCCAGTTTATTTGTTTCTTTTGTTGCCAGTACTTTTGATGTCATATTCAAGAAATCACTGCCACATCCAATGCATAGAGAATTTACCATATGTTTTCTTCTAAGAGTCTTAGGATTTTAGTTCTTACATTTAAGTATTTGATCTATTTTGAGTTAATTTTGTATATGGTATAAGGAAAGAATGAGGCTGGAAACCATCATTCTGAGAAAACTATCACAAGGACAGAAAACCAAACACCGCAGGTTCTCACTTATAGGTGGGAATTGAACAATGAGAACACTTGGACACAGGGCGGGGAACATCACACACCAGGGCCTGTCATGGGGTGTGGGGGCAAGGGGAGGGATAGCATTAGGACAAATACCTAATGTAAATGACAAGTTAATGGGTGCAGCAAGCCAACATGGCACATGTATACCTATGTAACAAACCTGCACGTGGTGCACATGTACCCTAGAACTTAAAGTATAATAATAAAGAAAAAGGTTCCAATTTCATTATTTTGCATGTGGACATTCAATTTTCCAAATATAATTTGTTGAAAAGTCTGTCCTTTCTCCATTAAATGATCTGACACCCTTGTGAAAAATCAGTTGACCATATATGCAAAGTTTTATTTCTGGGCTTTTAATTAGAATTCATTGTCGTATATATCTGTTAGTCAGTTTGGGTTGCTACAACAAAGTAACATAGCAACTGAATGGCTTATAAACAATAGAAATTTATTTCTCACAGTTGTGGAGGCTGGAAGTCTGAGATCAGGGTGGCAGCATGGTCAGATTCTGGTGAGAGTCCTCTTCTAGGTTGCAAACTGCCATCTTCTCATTGTATAATCCACATGGCAGAAAGCGGGCTACGGCACTCTCTGGTGTCTCTTTTATAAGGGCATTAATCTCATTCAATCTCCACAATCATGATCTAACTATTCCCCAAAGATCCCACCTCCTAATTCCATCACATTGAGAGTTTATATTTTAGGAGGACACAGTCTGTCTATACAAATCTGACCTTATGTTAATACCACGCTGTTTTGATTACGGTAGCTCCACAGTAAGTTTTGAATCCAGGAAGTGTGAATTCTTCAAATTTGTCCTTTTGCAAAATTGCATTGGCTCTTCAGGATTCCTTGTCATGCCACATTAATTTTAGATTGTGGTTTTTTTATTTATGCAAATATTTTTGTTAGGATTTCGATAAGAATTGCATTGAATCTATAGATTGTCATCTTAACAATATTGTCTTTAATGCGTGAACATAAAATGTCTTTCCGTTTATATATTTTTAAATTTCTTTCTGTAATGTTTTGTTTTCAACATATAAGTCTTTTGCCTCCTTGGCTAACTTTTAATCCTAAGGTTTTTTTTTTCTTTTGTTGCTATTGTAAATAGATTTCTAAAATTTCCCTTAGGATTGTTTATTGTTAATATATAGAAATTTATGTGTGTTAATTTTGTATACTGAAACTTAGTTAAATTCATGTATAAGCTCTTTCCAGTTTGGATGCCTTTTACTTATTTTTTTCTTGTCTTTATTTTTCTTGCAATTATTCTTTAATGAGAATAATTTAATATTAAAGAATAATAGCTATTATTTCTTCAAATAGTCTGGCTGGAACTTTCAATATTATGTTGAATAGAAGTGGTGACAGCAGGTATACTTGTCTTGTTCCTGATCTTAAGGCAGAATCTTTCAACCTTTCACCAATGATTATGAAATTAGCCACAGGTTTCTTTTATGGTCTTTTATTATGTTTTGTATGTTTCCATTTATAGTTTGAGTAGTTTCAGTGGTTTTTTTTTTATCATGAAAGTGTATTGAATTTTGCCAATTGCTTTTTCTGCAACAATTGAGATAATCATGTGGGTTTTCTTTCTTTCATTTTGTTAATGAGGTATAATACACTCATTGCTTTTTGCATGTAAAACAATCATTATAATTCTAGAAATAAATCCCACTTGGTCATAGTGTATAATCTGTTTAATATGTTGATAAATTTAGCTTTTGAATATTTTGTTGAAAATTTCTATATCAATATTTATAAGGGATATTTTTCTATAGTTTTCTTGTAGTGACTTTGTCTCATTTTGGTGTCAGGGAAATGCTAACCTCATAGAATGAGTTAGAAAGTGTTCTTCCTATCGGAAGAGTTTGAGGATTGGGGTTAATTCTTCTTTAAATGTTTAATACAATTTACTAGTAAAGCCATATGGTCTTTTCATTTCAACCTGCAGGACTCTCTTTAGCATTTGTTGTAGGGCAGATGTAGAGATAACAAATTTGTGCAGCTTTTGCTTATCTGGGAATGTCTTAATTTCTTCCTCTCTTTTGAAGGACAGTTCTTCCAGAGATAGAATACTTGGTTGACAGCTTTTTTAAAGTGAATTAATCTTTTAAAGCACATTACATGTATCACCTCATTGCTTCCTATTCCTAAATATTCCTCCAATATTTTTGATAAGAAACTGGCTGAAAATCTTAATGAGAATCCCTTGTATTACAAATAAATTTTAGGTGCTGCAAAAGAAATAGCACTTGAGCATTAATTTTCTCAGCAAGGCAATTTTACTTCTATAGATGGTGTGACTCATGGATGGATCAATAGTGAGAGCACACCTGAACAAGAGAGAAGAAGGGGTTTTTATTCCTGACACTGGTAGCCCCTACTGCTGTGTCATTCCTCTGCTGGCTAGGGTTGGACCGAACAGTCTAAGCTAATTCCAATTGGCTATTTTAAAGAGAGCAGGGGTACGAGTCAGAGTGGCGGGTTGAGTAGATTGGCAGGAAGGATGGTTACAGAATAGGTGACTCAGGATGACTCAAGTCAGAGCAGGTGACCAGAGCTGACTCAGGATGGAGCAGGTGACAAGGGGTGACTCAGGATGGAGCAAGTGATAGAGGATAGGAGGGGGTTGTTTACTGAAACTAGGGGCAAGGAGACAAAGAGAACGAGGAAGTTAAACTTTGAAATGAAGAACAAAGAACAGGGGAGTTGAATGATACATTGGTTCCTTGGAGAGGATCTCAGAACTCATTGTACTTAACAATTCACCGGCTAAAACTTTTGAAGAAGAATTTATTATATCCTACACTTGTAGGTGATTAGTTGCTTTTCTCTTGCTGCTTTTGAGAGTCTTTCTAGGTCTTTTGACAGTTTGATTATCATGTGTCGTGGTACAAGTCTGTTTGAGTTCTACTTGGAGTATGTTGATCTTCTAGTATTTGTACATACACGTGTTTCATCAAATTTGGGAAGTTCTCAGCCATCATTTCTTCAAATAATCTTTTCCTTATCTCTCTTTTTTTTCTTCTTCCAGGATTCCATAATTTTTATGTTGTGCCACAAGTCCCTTTGACTCACTTTTATTTCTTCTTTTTTCTTTCTTCTCCTCATACTCAAGAATTTTAAGTGTCCTATCTTCAATTTTGCTTATTCTCTTTTCTGCCTGCTCAAATCTGCTGTTTCACACTTGTAGTGAATTTTTTATTTCAGTTATTTTACTTTTTAGCCCCAGAATTTGTTTGGTTCCTTTAATAATGTCTATTTCTTTATAGATATTCTAATTTTGTTAATATATTGTTTTCCTAATTTCTTTTAGTCCTTTGCCTATTTTTTTCCTTAGATTTTTGGTCATATTTAAAGCCAAATTTTCCTCCAGTTGTTTTAAAGCCTTTGTGTGGTAAATCTTATGTCTGGAATTCCTCGTGGATAGTTTTTGTTATTTTGTTCCTTTGAATGAACCGTATTTTTCTGTTTCTTTGTATGCCTTGTTTTTTTGTTATGTAACATTTG
The DNA here is from genome assembly GCF_000001405.40 of Homo sapiens. Classification (NCBI taxonomy): domain Eukaryota; kingdom Metazoa; phylum Chordata; class Mammalia; order Primates; family Hominidae; genus Homo; species Homo sapiens. Next base: position 4,869,400 of record NC_000018.10, on the reverse strand, counting down.
GACCTCTGACCATTATAATGCGGTAACCTGGAAACCAGATTCTCTTTGTCTTTTTCTCATTCTCTCTTTCTCCCTCTCTTTGATTGTTCAATGCTTTAGTAGCCCATTTGTGGTTTTTTTGAGACTTTACCAAAATATTTTTGCAAAGGCTATGCTTTAATATGTAATTACTGAAGTCTTTGTTCCTTTAACTTGTGTTTACCTAATGTCTTGACAGAAATGTACTTGAATGCCAAGACCTGAAACAAACATAATAATGAACAAACACACACCAGAAAGAAAAAGTAACCCCCTCTCCTAATCTTTGCAGTTTGGCCCTGTGCTGAGGCACTTCTTCACCAATTAACTTAAGTTTTTCTGAGCCCAGGGATCAGCCCACGATGAAAACTTAAGGTCTTCCAGGATTTCTCTGAGCATATGTCTTGGCTAGGTATATGCGAGGTTTCAAAAAATTTCCCCATTTATCTAGCTGCTTTTGAATGTCCTTATTTCCTAAGGAGTCTCACTTCAGCTTCTTCTTCAGTGTCTCCTGCATGACTGAGATGGCCTATTGTATGCTTCTACTTGTAATATTTTGCCCCAAGCATCTGTAGGTTTGTAGTCAGTCCTGTAGATTTTATGAGTAGTTCCTGCCACTTTTCTTGCATGTTTTCAAAATTATGCAAAATGAATGCCTTGCATAAGTCCTTCGGGCATTCATCAGACAGGCGAGAAGAGATGTACACAATAACTTGCCAATAAGATCTCTTCTGCAATCTCTGATTTGGAGGGAGGGGTTGGAAACAGGGCTGCTACCTGCAGCAAACCAATTCTGCCATCATGTCAGGGAGGTGCCTGAATAAGCGTAAGAGCCCCACAAAACCTTCCTTCCTTTTGAAAATGGCTTTTTATTGTTTGGTCATTTGCTTGGTTGCAGTAAATATTTGACTATTATTTAGAAATTCTATAAAGTTGTTTCAGACAGCTTCTGGTTGTTCTTTCAATGTTTCTATGGAGAAATAAGAACTGGGAATCTCCTAATAACAGTTGATCCTTTTGCTGATGTTATTCCTCCAATTTTCCTTTGATTAGTATTCGCATGATGTATCTTTTTTTGGTACTTTTACTTTAAACTAGTTATATTGAAAGTTAGATTTATATAGACATCATATTGGTGGGTCATGTTTTTAAAACCTCTTCTCACAATCCATGTCTGTAAATTAGTGTGTTTTGACTACACTTAATTTAATTATTGATGTGTTTGGATCTAGGTCTACCATTTTATCATTTGTTTTTTGTTTGTACCCTTGTTTTTCACACCTCTATTTCCCATTTCCTCTCATCTTTTTGGATTATATTTAAGTGGAAACATTTTTAAGTATTCCATTTTAATATATTTGTTATAATTTTGACAATACCTCTTTGGTTTGTATGGCGTTTGTTCTAGGGGTTACAATATATATACTTGACTTTTCCTAGTCTACTTAGAATCAGTAGTTTACTACTTAAGTGGAATGTAGAAACATTATTCTGTATAGTTCCTTTCCTGTCTTTATTTTATACCATAGACATCCTTTATTTGACTTATATACATTCAAAATGACAATAGATGTTATTTTTTGTTTCAACTGTCCAATAAATTATAAAGAGCTAATGAAGAGAGGAATAGTCTTTTATATTTACCCAGATATTTATTACTTCTGTTGTCAGCCCTTCATTCCAGTTATCCCACATTTCCTTTTGTTGTCATTCACCCTCAGTCTGAAAAACTTCCATTAGCAATTCTTTTAGAGCAGGCCTGGCAACAAGTTCTCTTAACCATCCTTTATTTGTGAATGGGTTGGATGGTGTACTCTCCAGAAAGACATGCTGGATCCTAAACTCCAATAATTTAGATGTGAATAGGGTTTTTACAGAGATAATCAAGTTAAAATGAGGTTACCATTAATCTAATATGACTAGTATTCTTATAAAAAGTGAGAACTTTAGACAAAGAGGCAGATATGCATCAGTGACAGGAAGAGTCACAAGGAGAAAGCATTCACCTACAAGCCAAGGGAAGAGGTCTGGAACAGACCTTTCCTGCCCAGCTCTAAGAAGGACCCAACCAGATGGCACCTTGATTTCAGACTGCTAGCCTAAAGAATTGTGAGACAATAAATTTCTGTTGTTTAAGCCACCCAGTTCATGGTACCTTGTTACAGCAGTCCTTGCAAACTAATGTAGTCTTTATTTCACCTTCATTTCTGAAGGCCTTTTCACTAGAAATAGAATGAGGGGTTAATTTTTTTTTCAGAATTCAAAAAATGTTATGCTGGTCCTCATAGTTTCTTATGAGAAATCTGCAGTAACCAAACAGCTGTCCCTCTCAGGGTAATGCATTGTTTTTCTCTACCTTTTTCAATATTTTTACTGTTTTTAGTTTTCAGACATTTCATTATGATTTGTCTGAGCATAGATTTCTTTGTGTATCCTTTTTGGGGCCCACTGAGCTTCCTGAATCTGTCCTGTTTCACACTTGGAATGTTTTCAGTCATTATTTCTTTATATATTTTTTTCAGCACCAGTTTTTCTCTTCTTCTTAATGAATTCTGATGACTTGAATATTAGATATGGATATTACTGTTTTATAGGTCCCTGAAGTTCATCTCACTTTAAATCTTTTGTTTAGATCAAATCATTTCCATTGATGTATGTTCAAATTCACTAACTCTTCTGTCATTTCCAGTCTGCTATTGAGCTCATCCAGTGAGGTTTTCCTTTTGGTTATTGTGTTTTTCAGTTATAACGCTTCTATTTGTTTTTTCAAAGTCTTCTATTTCTTTACTAAGAATCTCTATGTTTCTATTCATTTCAAGAGGGTTTACGACTGCTCGTTGGAACACTTGTATAATAGCTGCTGCAAAACGTCTTTTAGATAATTCCAACATGTGTGTCATGTCTTGATTTTTGTTGATTGTCTTTTTCCCAGATGAGTTGGGATTTTCATACGCTGAGTAATTTTAGACACTTTTAATATTATGTTATGACATGCTGGTTCTTACTGTATTTTATTAAACATGATACTAGTTAGTGGGCAATTAATGTGTTTAGACTCATACCACAAGTTCCTGCCTTCTGTGTGTTATGGTTGAATGTCAGTTCAGTTTTCAAAACATTTGTAGCGCTATTTGAATTTTCTCATGTGTGTGCCACCCACTGGCTAATCTGTGACTTGTAGAGTGTTCTATTTCTTAATTCAGTTCTCAAAGACTTTGATATGCTGACTAGAATCAGATCCATTTATTCATAGCTGTGGGTAAGACTGGGAGCTCATAAACAACTTTACGGTGTTGCTTTTTAAAATTCTTCCCTCTCCTTAATATTTTCTGGCTGTCTGGAGTTTCTCTTTTCAGTTATCTGGCTAAAAAGCTGGGGCTTTAGTTATCTGCTCTGCCATGCAGTTTTGTGGCTGTTCCTAAGTGACATGAGCACAAACAATGGGAGAAGAGAGTTAGAAAAAAAAAAAAAAAAAGCAATGGTGATTTGCCCTGCCATCTTAGCACCACAGCTTCGCTCATCAGAGAGGAGCTTTCCTTTCTATCAGGGTTTTGTTTCCTGCAGACTCCAACTGGGACCTCTACTACCACCACCAGATGATTGTTTAGGGGCTAGGTTGTACAAGAATGGAGAAAAGAAAAAAACACCTTGAGGATTTCCTATTCTATCTGAGCATGAGGAGTTCTCCTTCCTACTCTTTGAGCTAGAGGGACTGTCTTTGAATTCTGGATTTCTTCCCAAATCTGCCTGCTAGTATTTAATTTTCAGAGCCCTCAAACTGCTCCATGCAGTATATCCAGTTTTACATTCAGTGGTAAGACAAGGTGTTTATTCATCTTAGCCAGAACTAGAATTGTGTGAAATCTTTACTCATAACACTCTTTATTTTCATTATTTTTGGCATTCATTCTATCTCTCTCTCCCTCTCTCAACATTTCTCAGTCTAGCCAGAGATAAACCAATTTTATTAACCTTTTAAAAAGTTTTTTTGTTTCATTGACCCCTATTTTGCTTTTCTATTTTACTGATTTGTTTTTTTTATTTTTTCATTTCTGCTTCTTTTGTGTTTAATTTTTTATTTTTTTCTAGATTTTCAAGATGCATACTAAGTTCATTGATTGATGGTTCAAAAACTGGATAATGGTAAAATTTTAACTTTGCATTTTCTTCTTATAATAATATAAACATTTGGCCAGGCGTAGTGGCTCATGCCTGTAATCCCAGCACCTTGGGAGGCCAAGGCAGGCAGATCACGAGGTCAAGAGATAGAGACCAGCCTGGCTAACACGGTGAAACCCCGTCTCTACTAAAAATACAAAAAATTAGCCGGGCGTGGTGGTGGGTGCCTGTAGTTCCAGCTACTTGGAAGGCAGAGGCAGGAGAATGGTGTGAACCCAGGAGGCGGAGCTTGCAGTGAGCCAAGATTGCACCACTGCACTTCAGCCTGGGCGAAAGAGCAAGACTCTGTCTCAAAAAAATATATATATATACGTATACGTATATATATATATATATATATATATATATATATATATATATATATAAACATTTGGTATTACTTATTTCTTAGACATGTTTTCTGTGCATCATACACATTTTAATACATTGTTCATTTTTATCAAATTTAAAATATTTTCTGTACTGTCATGTGATTTCTTCTTTACACCATAAGGAACTTAGATGTGTTTTGGTTAATATTAAATATTTAGACTTTTTACAATATCCTTATTTTTATTGTTTCAATTTCACTTGTGATCTGAGAACATACTGTATGTGATCTCAATTATTTACATTTAATTTTCTTTTTTCTTCATTTTATCTTTTTCAAACTATTCTGCATTTTAATATATACATTGTTTATAAACAGAACTTATGCTGAGTTATAGATTTTTCTAAATCAGTGCAACAAAAATACTTTAAAATAGAATTCCTTTGCTTTTCCAATGCATTTATATAGTTCAAAAATATAACAATAGTATTTTCATTTTTATATTTAATATTTAGCCCCCTTCTTTTTACCAACCACTTTCTATCATTCCTAAACTCCTCTTTCTCCAAAGCAAATAATCAGTATTACAAGTCTCTTGAATAGTCTTCCAGATGTTCTTTTTCAAAAAATTTTTTTTGATTGTTATTTTTTTGAGATGGAGTCTTGTTCTGTCGCCCAGGCTGGAGTGCAGTGGCACAATCTTGGCTCACTGCAGCCTCTGTCTCCTGGGTTCAAGTGATTCTCCTGCCTCAGCCTCCCAAATAGCTGGGATTACAGATGTGCGCCACCACGCCAGGCTACTTTTTGTATTTTTAGTAGAGACAGGGTTTCACCACATTGGCCAGGCTGGTCTCGAACTCCTGTCCTCAAATGATCCCCCTACCTCAGCCTCCTAATATGCTGGGATTACATGCATGAGCCACTGTGCCTGGCCCAGATGTTCTTTACGTATGAACAAACAAATAGGAATATATATATTTTTTATTTTTTATAGATACAACTTTGCATAATATACATATTGTTGAATTTCATTTTTGCAAAAAAAATCTTTGAGCACTCTTCATATCTGTACATAGAGAACTTCATTTACTTTCCTGCTGCATAATATTCCATTCTGTAAATTCTATATAATCTGACTCCTCATTACAGATATCTACAATTTTCTCTTCTTTGTCATTAAGATAACGCAGAAATAACAAACACTGTCTTATTCATTTTGTACATGTGCAAATATATTTATCTAATAAAGTCTCAGAAATAGTAGAAAAGCATTATAATTATATACATTTTAAATATTAAGAAAGTAATATTAGCTTTGCTAAATTTACCTCCAAAAGAAGAGCAGTAACTTATATTTACATAAGTAATGTATGAGAATGTGTTTGCGTAAACTCATCAAAAAAGTATGTTAAGAAACTTTTGGATAGTGATCAGATGACTAAAAAATTATAATGTGGTATACTTCTAATCTTCATTTTCTTTACCATTAAATAATTGAGCATCTCTCACATTACAGCGCTATTTATATTTCCTTTTCTGTTAAGTAAATTTCATATCCTTGGTTCAATTTTCAATTGAGTTTCTATTACTTTCTTCTTATTTCTAGGAATTTTGTATATATTAAAAAGAATTTTTACTTTTGTCTTTGATATGTGTTACACATATATTTCCCAATATTTGTCTTTTGACTTTCCTTAAGATACTGTTTTCCTCATGCTACATTTTATATTCATAGAATCCAATTTATTTATGTTTTTAAAAGCTGGATTCTGGGTTTGGGTCATAGGTAGAAAATCCTTCACTATTTAAAGATTACAAGTTTTTCTTCTAGCTTTTCAAAGTTTCATTTTTTTATGTTTAAATCTTGATCTACTTGAGTTTATCCTGAGTGTGACAATTGACTCCTCTATTTCTTCATCATTGCTAATTGTTCCATTATTCATTAAATGGTTCATCTTTCAGTCAGCTTTTTGAGATGCAATACTATATTGTATACTATGTTCCTTTATGCATTTAGATTTATTTCTGAACTTTATATTCATCATTCTGCCTATGTATGCACCATTACCACAGAGTGAATAACTGGATTCATGTCCAGAGAAAGCTGAAGACTTTGATGGAACTGTAGGAAGCCTGGACAGGCAGATTAGAAATAAGACCCACAGATTCCTTCTGAAGGTACAGGAGCATGCATGTCAGAGAATTGGTTGGTGTACTATAAGAAGTGAAAAGAAACCTCACTGCACAAAGTTGAGATTTATGAGATGTTCAATATCTTGAGACTCTCAGGAATAGCTAAGGGGGGATTGCATTATTGAAAACAGATTCAGTGAAAAGTCTATGACTGAAAAGTAAGATTCCTGTCCTCCCCCTTCACTTGGATCTGGGAAGAATGCCCAAGGATCACCAAAAGTATAAGGGACCCTCTGATACGGAAAAGAAGGAGCAGAGATAAAGCAAGAGACTCAGAAACAACAGACACAATGCAAGAGGCAAATGAAAACTTCACAAAAATATGTAACTCAGATTTCTCAGTTAGATAACAGAAGATGTCACATTAGGGAAATAGGAAAGCACAGAAGAGGAACATTCACAGAACAAAACAGTAGCCCTTGGAAATCAAATATACATAGATCTAGAAATGCAAAGTTTAGTAAGAGGATTAGAAGGTAAAAATAAGGAAATCTCACAGAAAGTAGAGCAAACAGATGAAAGACAGAAAGCAGAGAGACCACATAAGGAACTTAGATAATGATTTCAGAAAAGTCTATTTTTAATTAAGCAAGTCCCAGGAAAATAGTGTCAAGAAACTGCAGGGAGAAATTTATCAAAACAGTAACTAAGGAAATTTCTCAAACTGAAGGATATGGGTTCCAGATTGGAAAGCCTCATCAAGTCCTTCAGCACAATGGATGTTTATAATTAGTTATGTAGAATGTTATGACTTTCTAAAACGATGAGTATATTTTAATAAAAATAAAATATTAAAAAGGAACAAAACCACTAGTATGTTGGAAACAAAATAATAAAAAAAAATGCTGAAAGATCATACTGCTGTATTGATTTTAGGTATGAGATCAGTGCAAGGTCTTCTGCCTGCAATTAATAAAGCAAAATAGCAGAGAGGGCCTTATAGCCACAGGTTTCAAATCATGTCAGACTGCACCAGAAACTTTGTGAAAAACAAGCTTGAATGGGAATGGGTTAAAACCAGGCAAGCAAGCAAGAGTCACTCAACCGGAATCCAAAGCCATGGCAAAAATCAGGAATATTCTATAAAATGCATCAGATTGTCTAGCAGGATTTGGCAAAATGCTCAGATTTCACAATTTTCAATGTCATATCTTTAAAGCACAGAAATTGAGAGTCTAACCTGAAGCATGATATGTCTCCATTTGAATCTAGGCACCCTCCCTTACTGGCTGTGTGACCTTGTACAAGTTGATTAAACTCTCTGAGTTTAAGTTACACAGTTATTTTGAAGCAACATCTAAGTCACTTAAATCAGAGTCTAGAATATAGTACATGATCAGTAAATGACAGATCATCCTCATTATTTACTTTATATTAATTGGGTTTGATAATTTGCTGGTGTTTTCATATATTCAAACTTTACATGTCAGTTTCCTCATCTGTAAAATAGAGATCTTATTGGCATTTATTTAACAAAGTTATGAGTATTAAAGGAACAAATATAATTAGTGTTTATAGCACCTAGTAAATGCTAAACAAATAATGTTGATGATAGCAACAACATTACTAATCTTTAAGAATCATGTTTTGGGGTATTTTATTTTTTGTCCAGCCTTTTCATGGCAGGACAATTAAACATTTTGTCCACTAGTGACTGGTCTCTTTTTCACTGAGCAGTCTGTTACTTGTAGCCTCTTTGGTAGCCATGCAGTCTAAGCTCTTTTTATATAACAAAATATTATGAAAAATATGTCTTTCATAATAATATATGTTTTCCCTAAAGGGAGCATATTACTATTATATAAAATACATGATTATAATACATTAATTCTGAAAAAGTAGAAAGCAAAACCCATTTAAAAAAATATAGCCTCACCACCTGAGTAAAAGCACTATTTTTGGTGTAATACTTTTAGAAATTTATTGTATTTATTTTTATTTATATGAGAATGAGGAGGTAATGTGAATTTTTCTTCTACTTCCAAGACCACACCATGTGTATATTTCCATGTTCTAAATATCATTTCTAACACTTGCATAGTAGGAGTCATAATTTATTTCTTTTTCTGTTGAGAGTGGTTTAATTTTTCCCCCCCACCTTTGTGTCTTGTAATTTTTGATTAAAAGCTAAACAATTTGTGTAGAATAGTAGAAATGGGTCCACCTGTTTTTTGGTAGGTCCTTGGTGTAAGTGACTGAGTCCATCAGGTGAGCTGGGGTTGAGTTTTCCTGTTGCTGTAGTTACTTACAGCGCACCCCAGATTTCAAATTCCTCCAGCTGTGGGTGGCTGCTATCTTGTACTTAGTGTGAGGCCTGGAGTGTGGGCAGGTATTTTTCAGGCTCCTGCTTCATCTTCAGTTTTCAGTAGTCCCTTCACATCCAAAAAAGTGATCTCTTTCTCCATACTCTTGGTCTTCTCTAAGCAGTGACTTGTTAGATTTCTTGTGAGGTTGAATATTTCACCAAACTCTTGGTTATTTTCTCCCTTTCTGTCCCTTTCTATTGCTTAGTTTATCATTGCTTTTGCTTCCTTGTTTATTTATTATTAATAAGCACACATATACAGGTGTAACAGAAAGTTGTTATGAATTTCACCTTCAGAGAAACATGGTTTAAGCAAATTAACAAGAGCATCATATACCGAATTCATCTATAAAATTCTGTATTATGTGCACTTAAGAGACCTCTCCCTAGGCTGCATCCTTGGGTTAGGTATGTGGCATGTCAAATACCAGCCCTCCACTTTCTGCACCATGACGTTTTAGCCCTGACAATCTCTCTGGAGAACCCTAAACCAGAGCATATCACTAGCTAACATGCATGGACCTGTAGATTTGGTTGTCTTCAGCTTATATGGAATAAAATATGCTGTTTTGTTCTCTCATTCTGATTTAGCTAAACAGACTTCAGACCAAGTAAAACTGACACTTGCTGAGTGTCCTTCTTCCTGCCTCCATCTGACTTTGGAATCCACCTCACAATGTTTTCACTCTGTACTGGCTTCCTTCATTCCTAGCATGAGGCTGAGCCAGTTTTAAATAACCCAAATTATATTTTTAATGTCTTTCCTTTCAATGCTGATGGATAATCATGTGAGCTAGAAGCACAGACATTTCTCATAAGCAACATCCACATGGTATAAAATTTTGAATAGTATATTTGAATACCTTCCATTGCAATGGTTTTCCTCATAGTTCATTCACAATATGAATGGTAAAACTTAGCCTAAGAAAAGTTAAGAAGGCTGAGGAACAACTTTTATCAGAAGAACATTTTCCTAGAATGATTATTGTCACTGTTTAGTACTTTCTACTGTCTTTTGAGAAATTATTCTGCTTCATTTCTTCACTTCTTACATTTATATTTATATTGCACTTACTTTTTATATGGTACATCATAACATTAACTATAATACATTCACTTGGAGTGCATCAAGTATAGGAATACCTTTTGATGAGAATTTTTTTCTAGCTTTATTGACTAGAAAATATGCACATTCCGGAAATTTCCAAACAAGACTTAACTTTTTTTTTTCCCAGTGAATACCATTTTGATAATCTAAATCTTTCCTTCCCAAATTAAGAATCATCTTATAAATATAACAGGAACTGAATAACATAACACATTCCACGTGGGTGATTTCATATTTCTTTTGCTTTTTTTGAATTAAAATTATTAATGAAATGTTAAGCTAATGCTTTTGCATTCAACTTCTTCAGAGGTTTATTTTTAAATGAGAAGGTGGGAAGAACAGAGTCTGTACATAGCTATCCACCTCTGCAGCAAGGGAGCAGCATGAAACCACAGCTACATAACTATCAAGGGTACTCTTTTTAAAATCTATAGTCAGTGAAATAATTATGTAACTCAGAATGTGCATGGGAATCTCAAATGTCATGAAAAGTTCCATATCCAAAATGCTTGTATAATACAATTGTTTTTCTTATGTCCCCTTAAAAGCTTCATATGACTATAGTCGATATGACAGTTGTAGGGACATAACTAAACTTCAAAGCAAAACCTCATTGCAAACCCAACAGTGTATGAATTTGAGTGTTGAAGTTCATTACATATTGTCAAGGGACTCCAGGGAAAAGAGTGAGAGAAAATGCTGACTGAGGGGAAAATCTCTCTCTAGAATAATTTTCCTTAAATATTATATATCTAGAACATTTACAATAGTGTGAAGTCATGTGAAGATTTTAGTTTTTATTGTTAGATTAAGAATTGTATAGCGGTCCATTGAAATCAGTAATGAAAATGCTGTAAATATCAGTTTTGGCAGATTGTTCCCTATACAAAACACATTAAAAATAAGTTGTAACTTATGATATTGCCAAGTTTTATCCTTCTACAAAAGCTGATTCTGCATTTAGCTCAAAACAAAAAAATAAAACTTTAGGGCTGAGATCAATTTTAAAAAAGCACCTCAGTCAGGAAACAGCTCCTTCATAATTTCTCAGCACCAACATGAATTTGATGGAAGTTGATACCACCTTAAGTAGGATTTGCTTCAGGACAAAGACCTGGTACTCTTTCTGTTTTGAGAATGACTAATATGTTTATTTTATTTGGAGATTGTTTTCAATAAACTTACATTCAATTGATTTTGTTCTGTTGAAGATATTGGTTCTTTGAAATACCAACCATTTCTGTCACTATGGAGACTGCAGTACTTATCCACAGTGGTAGCTAATTGGCAAAAAAAAAAAAGAATGCTTTTTAATAGGCAGCAAAATGAATCTCATTAGTGCATGCCACAGCCTGCACAAAAGATATATGATTGTCACTCTTCCTTCAAGTGAAGCACCTGGGCTAATGGATGCAGCTAAGGCAAAGGGTCTTTTATCTGTTTTTGTTGTGTCTTAGTTTTTGGCTACATGTCTGCAAACTCTTCATCACCGACCTACTCCTTTAATATGAAGAACAATTATATACAGAAAGGTGTAGTCTTTCTCCATAGTCACAGTCAATGCATTGACAATCACTTTGAGTGACCTATTCCTGGCAAACATAAATGAGGTAACTGTCTACAGCCTTATTTAGATCCAGAAGCCCTCTCAGTTAAAATAATAAAAATTATGTCTACCATTAGTGGGGGCAGGCACTTTATATATAGCGCTTCCTGCATGTTCATAGGAACTCTTCAAGGTACTATACACATTTCCTCTTTACAGATACGAAAACGGAGACTCAGGAAATTTAATAATTTGTTCAAGTAAATGGCAGAGTCGGTGCTGATCTTAGATTAGACTGGGAGATTCACTCTGTCCCTTTGATATGCAATTAAGGCAAACCCAATATAATACTTCTTACCTTGCAGAATAACAACAGAAATTACTTTTTGAAAGTATTCCATTTTCCCCCAGTGTTTGACATCCATCTTTAGTGCTTTTGCTGTTATTTCTTCCAGCTTCTAAATAGATGCATTTGAAAATTTTCTTTTTCTCCTCTAGCATTTTAACTTCGTAAGAATTGAACAATACTGAAATATGCTGAATACTGAAATAAATAAAATTTTATTTTATTTATTTATTTATAAAGTCTCGCTCTGTCACTCAGGCTGGAGTGCAGTGGTACCATCTTGGCTGCCTACAACCTCCACTTCCCAGGTTCAAGCAATTCTCCTGCCTCAGCCTCCCAAGTAGCTGGGATTGCAGGCATGCACCACCACACCAGTCTAATCTTTGTAATTTTAGTAGAGACGGGGTTTCACCATGTTGGGCAGGCTGGTCTTGAACTCCTGACCTCAGGTGATCCACCCAACTTGGCCTGCCAAAGTGCTGGGATTTACAGGCATGAGCCACCGTGCCTGTCCCTGAAATATGTTATTTTAGACTAATAGGAAGTCATGTCTTATTATGCTAGCATATTTACATATATTACCACTTGTTATAGGGTGAATTGTGTTCCCTAAAATTCATATGTTGAAGACCCAACCCTCAGTCCTGAAGAATGCAAGCTTATTTAGAGATAAAGTCTTTTTATTTTAAAGTAAGTTTTATTGTGTATATTTAAAGTATACAACATGATGATATAGAATACATAATAGATGGTAAAGTCATTACTATAGTGAAGCAAATTAACATATTCATCAACTCACAGTTACTCTTTTATTTTTCGTTTGTTTTTGTGGCAAGAGCAGGTCTTTAAAGAGATAAGTAAATTAAAATGAGGCCCTTGGAGTATGGCCCTAAGCCAGTGTGGCTGGTGTCCTTAAAAGAAGAGGAAGAGACCAGGAATGGGTGCACACAGAGAAAAGGCCACGTGAGGACACAGAGAAAAGGTGGCCCTCTGCAAGCCCAGGAGAGAGGCCTCAGGAGAAAACAACCCAGACAGTACCTCGATCTTGGGACTTCTGGGCTCCAGAACTATGAGAAAGTAAATTTCTGTTGCTTAAGCACCCCAGTCTATGGTATTTTGCTATGGCAGCCCCATGAAACTAATAGTCTATATAATATGCTATTTATGTATATTCCTGGTATCCTTTTAGGAAAAGAATGTAAATGGGATCCCAGTTCAAAGGAGATGCTTGGAATCTGTTATCTCTTGATTAAATCTATTTGATTCCTGAAGAAGTGTGCTGCGTATACTGTATTCTAGAAAAAGAGAGAGAAGGAATCCGAAAACCTTCACACATTTTTAAATGTGAATAGCACCTTTAAAAAGAAAAATTTCAAACAAAAAAACCAAGTGTCCATAAGCACTTTCTTCTTGAAAAATAGATAGATGATTGGTCTCTTAGTTCTTGTTCTTGATATAAATAAAATGCAGAATACAGAAGATAGGTGATTTTTAGTCTAGAATGGGGAAAATGCAAATATACTTATGGTGACTTTACTCTCTCTCCATCCTTGACACTGCATCTCAATTCTCCCTTGGTCCTTGTTTATATCCTAATGGATTTTTTTTCAGAGTACTTTCTGCTAGAGATCTTTTTTCTTCTGAAGGTAAAGGCAAATTTCATGATGCTGTCTGAGCTCCATCAGTGAGCCAGAAAGGGTCTTACCTTTTGAGTTAAGCCACTGGCACGTTTTGTTTGTTGATGTGTGCCTCGTTCAGTAACGTGGGGAATGAGAATCCTCTCTAGACTGTGGTAGGAGGTTGTAGGCAGTGTGGGTAACTGCACATCCCACCCAGCATCTTCAATTCTGCACAGCTAATGTTTACTGCTATTTGATCCACGATCCCCATTATTCTGCTCAAAGACGCAATCATAAAAAGCTTCCAAAAAACCTGCGTGTAGTTAGAGGCAAACCACAGACAAAAATGGAAAGGAAGAACTTTTTTATAAAATTTGGGTTCAGGGGCCAGGCATGGTAGCTCACGCCTGTAATCCCAGTGCTTTGGAAAGCCAAGGCAGGAGGACAGCTTGAGGCCAGGAGTTCAAGTTTACAGTGAGCTATGATCGCACCACCATTGTACTCCAGCATGGGTGACGGAGCGAGACTCTGTTTCCCCTGTCTCTAAAAAACAAAAACAAAAACAAAAAAGGATGGGGTCATGATGGCTACTTCCATTTCTTTCAGGAGATCTTCTGTCTGCTAGGTTCCTAGAAGCCTGGAGTAATGATGCGCCATTTCCCAGTTCTTCACTTTTCCATATTAACTGTCACAGAGGAGGGAAAGGAGCAGTAGAGGAGGAGAAAATACCACTGAGAACATTCTTAATCTCCTTCTGAAGGCTAGCTCATATGCTACGTCCTTTATAATACAAACTCTATGTCCCCAGCTGGAAGTAATTATTTTCCTCTCCTGGATTCCCATATTCCTCAAAATGCAAACTCTCTCATGGTCCTTGTTACTCTGTTTTGCATTACAATAACCTGCAGTGCCACTTAGTAAGCTATTGTCTTTCAGCTCCAAATCCTTCTGTTCTTCAATCTTCTGCTCTGTGCTGCTGGCTGGGGCTGCCACTCTGCAAGCCACAGCACACTTTTGCCAACTGCTCCCTGTTAGGCTGTCTAAATAGGGAACAATGTCAGGAGACAGGAAAACTAGAGGAGAAAGGAGAGACTCACTCTTTCCTCTTAGCTTTCTGTTTCTTGTAGCAGTGAACTATAGGCAGTGGAAGTTCATTCCAGTTGCAGGGGTTGAGTCCACTTTGCAGTTTTTACCAAAATTTGCAGAATTAGCTTCAATATGCCCATGTCAGAGGCACAAGCCTAGCAGCACTCTCTCCTCGGAGATCTCACTTCCGATTTCACTGGCCTTTTCCTCCTTCAAACTTCCAAATTTTAACGATTCCATCTTATTTGGTTATTCTCACAATCCTTGACCTGCTTCTTGTAGCTACCAACTCTGTGATAACCTGGTATTCTCTTTTTGCCTTTTCTGTTCTTACATAACCTAGCTAATAGTTCTTTTTAAGCAAACTGTCCCTGTTAAAATAACATGTGATTTCTGTCTCCTTTGAGAAGTGTTCATGTTTTCTTCCCTACTGATCCATGAGTTTCTGAACCATACCAAATAATAATGAAAATGATATTATCATTGTTGAGCAATTGTTACATGCCTTGCTCCATGCCATTATCTTTACATGTGGTTTCACTTATTCTTCACAACTTTCTAAATCATGTTTTATTAGCCCCATTTCACAGATGAAGTAATTAAGGCTGAGAATTAAGGAAGAAGGGTGATTCTAGAACCAGGATTTTAATCTGACTCCAAAGCCCAAGCTCTTAAGTATTCCATTAACCTGTCTACTTCATATTTGCACACTAATTATCTGCTTTCTGTCCCTATTAGACACATAGTATACTGCCTTTCTAGAGTAGGCATTCTGGGAATGGTTGCTAAATAATAAGTATGGTAATTAATTAAGCTGGCTAGGCTTATAATGCATTCCTTTGAGAAAATAAAGCTTAAACCTATTTGTTGTAAATTACCTCTTGTGGTCCAGAAGATATTTACCTTATGCCAGTAAGAAGCATGTGATACCAGGTTGACAAGTAACCCATTCACCTCCTTAGTTGCTAAATGCTTATCTTTGTAAGTGGAGTTTGAATTATAGGATCTATAATTCCTCTCTAGATGTAGAGTTGACCCTTGAACAAGGTTTGAACTGTGCAGGTCCACTTCAATAAATCTCTCTCGCCTCCCCTCCTACCTTCTTCACCTCTTCTGCCTCTGCCACTCCTGACACAGTAAGGCCAACCCCTCCTTGTTCTCTTCCTCCTCAGACTACTCAACATGAAGGCATCCAGGATGAAGACTTTCATGATGGTCCACTTCCATTTAGTGAATAGTCAATATATTCATTTTATTTTTCTGCCTGTCTGGGAGTGGAAAGAAGAAAATTTCGTTCACTTAAACTATGTCAACACATGCAAACAATCAGAAAGAATATAGTTTTAAATCATATACTACAAAATAACCTATGGAAACATGCAGGTGGCTGGAGTGAAATGTCCATGTTTCATCAGTTGGCCATCTTCAGTACCAATGCTTTCTAGACTTCACTGTGCGCATGAATAACCTGAGGACCTCGTGAAACTGCACGTTCTGATTCGGAAATTCTGGGCTGTGGCCTAAGAGTCTGCCTTAGCCAAAAGCTCCATATCACGACTGTTCCAGGAGGAGCAATGATAGTATCACTTATTGATCACTTACTATGTGCCAACTACATTATCTCTAATCTTCACAAGGATCCCATAATTTTATGATTAGTATTCTACCTTTGAAAATAAAGAAACAGGCAGGGCGCAGTGGCTCACGCCTGTAATCCCAGCACTTTGGGAGGCCAAAGAGGGCAGATCACGAGGTCAGGAGATCAAGACCATCCTGGCTAGCACAATGAAAACCCGTCTCTACTAAAAATACAAAAAAATTAGCCGGGAGTGGTGGCAGGCGCCTGTAGTCCCAGCTACTCAGGAGGCTGAGGCAGGAGAATGGTGTGAACCCGGGAGGTGGAGTTTGCAGTGAGCCGAGATCGCACCACTGCGCTCCAGCCTGGGCGATAGAGTGAGACTCCGTCTCAAACAAACAAAAAAAAATAAAATAAAGAAAATAAAGAAACAAAGACTGGGAACAAGTTTAGTAACTTGTTCACATAGTCACACAGCTGGAAAGTGATAGGATTGGAATTCAAACCCTTGTCTCCTGACTTCAAATTTTTGCTGTGTACTCATCACCAGTGCAGCACCGCAACCAGCAAAGTGGTAAAAATAGGACATGAGACTTCTATCTGTAGGTTAGTGCTGTAAGACATCAGAGTACTTATTTTTGGTAAATTCTTTGATATTTTGAAGTCAAGTGGTTTTAAAGGGTTTCGTGAAATTCATTATTTAAATTTTAAACTCTTGTTTATAACGTCTTAAAAATATCACAACAATTTCAGCAGGGTTACATAGTTCAGGGTATTAGTTCTAATTGAGCAATTTATTAGAATAAAACTGTGATGTAGTTAAAAGGTGTGTGTGTGTGTATATATATATCTATATATACATATATATGTACTTTTTTCCTGTCAAACTAGGAAAAATTACAGTTGATTGGGAATTGGATGTGAGCATTAGTGTGCCATGCTACTTAAAGGCTAAATCCATATTAACACCAGTGACTTTTAACTGCTCTGTCATTTATGGTCTATAGGCTGAAGCCAGATTAATAAAAAAAATTTCACCAGCAGCCCCAAAAGATTTTACCTATAGATGTAGATGAGTGTTGCCATGGATACAGTATAATTATATTACCTGAATAGAATCTAACGGAATTAGAAAACAAGAGACAAAGAAATAAGCTTAATTATTCATTTTTTGAAAAATCTCTACAGGCAATTTAACAGTAAAGTAGGATGACTAAGGAACACATACATTTCATGCCCATATGCCACAGAAATAACTAATTAGGCACAATGTGCCAGTACTAATTATAGAAATGATTGCTGGAAGAAGGAAGGCTGAATATAGAGTATCTGGCAACTTGATGGTCCTCTTGCTATGTAGAGTGTGCTGAATGTTGCAAGTGGCTGATTGGTTGTTTTCTTTTCTGCATAAGAATTGGATTGTAACTGGTTTAATTTTTTTTGGATAACTTCCTGATTACTGAAGAGGATGCTGAGGCAAAGAAAGCAAAGTAAGCCTCTGGGGATGAAGAAAAGAGGAAAAAATATGACTTGGTAGTTCTTATGCAAGAGCAATGCTCCTGTGTATTTTCTTTGCTCAGATGATAGAACCCTCAACCCCAGGAGAATAGGGTGGTGTGAACATTGTGGTCAAAAGTTACACATGAGCTGGATGCAGTGGCTCATGACTGTAATCCTGCCACTTTGGGAGGCTGAGGTAGGTGGGTCATTTGAGCCCAGGAGATTGACAGCACCCTGGGCAACATAGTGAGACCCTGTCTCTAAAAAAAAAAATTAAAAATTAAAAAAGAAGTTACTCATCGCTTTAATGTAAGTTCTACCCCCCAACTCACCTGTCCCCAAATATCTTCAAAACATTGCCAAACATGCCACAAGGAATCATTTTAAGTTAATAAGCCGATGTCACTGAAGACTAAGGTTATCAAAATAAGCTGTTCTTATACATTAGTCTGAATTGAATTAAACCACATTCCCAAAACCTACGTGAGAGAAAAGAAACTATTGTTAGTAGAGGGGTGTGTGGTAGGCAGGACTCTGAAATGGGCCAAAAATTTCCTGCTCCCTGGTGTACATACCCTGCCTACTCCCCAAGCCTGTGAGTATGATGGATTTTATTTCAATGTTTACATTTTGTTAGATGACACTGTTGACCTTAAGTTAGAGAGAGTCCCCGATGGATCTGACCTTACCAGAAGAGCCCTTCAAATCTGGGTCTAGAGGTTGAAGATGAAGAAATCTGGAGATTCCCTGCATGAGAATGGCCTGAAAATGGACGAGGCTGAGTGACAAGGACTAGGGTGACTTTAAGAGCTGATTAGCTCCTGGCTGACACCTAGCCAGGCAAGGGACCTCAGTTTTACAACCACAAGGGTCTGAATTCTGCCAACAAGAAGAATGAACTCAGAAGCAGAGTTTTCTCTAGGGCTTCCAGATGAGAATTTAGCCTGGCCTCACCTGGATTTCAACCCCGTGATCCCTGAGAGGTCTCAGAGAATGTAACTATGCTGTGCTGGACTTCTGATCTACAGAACTGTGAACTAAAAAAGTCGATGTTGTTTTAAAGCACGGAGTTTGTGGCAGTTTTTTACATAGCAATAGAAAATTAGTACAGGAGTGTGGAGAGGAAGGGGCCAGAGAAGACCTTTGAGTTGCAGATCAGGAAAGAACATGTGGGCTGAGGGGGTGAGAGGAAGGTGGCTGGAGGACAGCACAAACATGGACAGTGAATGTGAAGGCTCTCAGGTGGGCAGAGAGCTCTGGAAGAGAGGTGAAGGATTCATGAGCTCTGAGTCCCTTTGGACTCTTCCATCTGTCATTCCCCATATTCAGTTAGCCCATGAGGCATACTACTTCTACTCTCACAGGGCTTTCTCCATCCAGTTCCTTGTGTTAATCCCCTGATATTTCCTTTTTTGAATTTGACCCGTAAGTTGGGTTCTAGTTCCGATTTACCATGATGAGTTGGTTAAATGTGGTTCAATCAGTATCCCTATCTAGACCTCAGTTTTTATTTTTTAATTTTTAAAATAAATGGATCGACTAGTAGGGATTTCGATATGGTTGACTGTGTCCCCGCCCAAATCTCATCTCAATTGCAATCCCCATGTGTCAAGGGAGGGACCTTGGATCACGGGGGCAGTTTTCCCCATGCTGTTTCATGATAGTGAGTGAGTTTTCACAAGATCTGGTGGTTTAAAAGTGGTACTTACCCTTTCATTCTCTCTCTTCTGCTGCCTTGAGAAGAAAATACCTGCTTCCCCTTTGTCTTCCGCCCTGATTGTAAGTTTCCTGAGGCCTCCTCAGCCATGTAGAACTGAGTCAATTAAACCTCATTCTTTCATAAATCACTCAGTCTCAGGTAGTTCTTTATAGCCGTATGAAAATAGACTAACACAGATTTATTGAGTCTTTTCTATCAATAACATTTTAAAATCAGAGACTACCGTCACTGCCCTGGACTTGTCTTCCTATCTCTAGTGTCTCTTTCAATTGATTGTATAAATCTGATCTCATTATTCTTTTCCCCAAACCTTTAAAGTTTAAACTCCTTAGGATGTAGAGGCAAAGAGGGAAATCTTCCCCTCTACCCACTGAAGGCTCACTGGAAATAAACTCGCAATAGGCAGACTAATAGGAGAAAAAAGCATACAAATTCATTTAACGTCCATAAGCATGGTGGGGCGGGGTCACAGGAAAATGATAGCCCAATCACACAATGAGGTCCACATGCTTATATATCCTTCTTCATAGGCAAAGGGGAGATGAGGAAAATGTGGCAATTTTGAGGGGTAATAAAGAATTTTTAGGGAAATTGAATGACCCAGGAGACAGAAATTAGATGTAAATGATTCTCCTTGTAAAGTAAACAGGCCAGAGAACAAACAATAGTTTGGGACAAAGTGTGCCTGAGCTTTAGGTATAGGACTTAATTTTTCATCTCTTCCTCTGTGATATTAGATTTAATCTTCTCTGGTTAATGAAATTTCAGGGGAAGAATTAAAGGCAATACTGTTCCTCTTTGGCAAGTCCAGTTTCTAGGTAGATAAGAGAACTTCAGGAAACAGCCTCATCCTGTGCTTTAGGAGAGATAAAGGGTTGAAAGGCAGGAGGTGGGGGAAGCTCAGAGAGACTTTGAGCTTGCCTCTATAGTTCAGTATGTCAAAGTGCCGTATTTGGGGGTATCAATTTGTGGGCCTCAACAATATTATTCAAAAATCTTTCATGAACTGACATCAAAAGGTCATTTTAGTATCATACACCACTATTCATCCGCAAAGCACTTCAAATTCTAGGCAGTTAGGATATTTCATTATTCTCAGACATGATTCCAGGTTTCCTTATGCTTCACTCTTGTTTCTTTTGAAATGGTATATTCCTTTATCTGAGTCTGGTGATTGAGTTCAACTAATTCATTAGGATCTAGGTCAAACAATACCTCTTCCAAGAAGTATTTCCTATTCCATTTAACTAAGTACAATAGCCACCTTCTCTGAATGCTCATTTGACTTTGTAATCTTTTTTTTTTTTTTTGTAGCTTTCATCCTTTATTAGAGTATTTAATTGTAAATATACCTGATATGTGTGTTTATATATAATGCACATGTATACCTTTATATCTGTTCATCTCCAGTTGATTATAAACTCCCTGAGGACTAGAAACTTACTTATTTGCTGAATCTCTGTATTTTCAACAGTATTTGGCAATAGGGCTTAGCTCAGCCAAGCATTGGGTAAAATAAGAAATACTAATCATTTGCACCTGTGCTGCATCTGGCCTAATATTGTGCTGTTATAGTGAACTTAAAGGACACTTTGTAAATGATCTTTTGATCTATTTGGTATTTACCTTTGAGATTAGAGATTTGCCCAAATAGCTTGGATTTCTCTTCTCTAATACTTATATGACTGTGTATGTATATATCTATATATGTACACACACATGTTATTTATTTTTTAATTTTCAATTTTTTTTGAGATGGAGTCTCGCTCTGTTGCCAGGCTGGAGTGCAGTGGCACAATCTTAGCTCACTGCAACCTCTGCCTCCCGGGTTCAAGTGATTCTCCTGCCTCAGCCTCCCAAGTAGCTGGGACTACAGGTGTGCACCACCATGCCCAGCTAATTTTTGTATTTTTAGTAGAGATGGGGTTTCACCATGTTGGCCAGGATGGTCTGGATCTCTTGACCTTGTGATCTGCCAGCCTCAGCCTCCCAAAGTGCTGGGATCACAGGTGTGAACCACCGTGCCCAGACTACATATGTTATTAATGCATCATTTGGAATTCAGCTTCTGCCATTTTTGGATATTTTAGATAACAGAAATCTTCAGCTTAATTCCCAGCATGCAAAGACAGACTCCATTTTATGTATTTTAAATTTACTTCTTTCCAACTTTCCCAGCATCCTCCTTCTGTCACAAACTTCATGACAATATAAATTTTAATTACATCTCTCTACTTCCATGACTGCACACTTGAGGATAGACCTTCTCAGTCTTTACTCACGGGGTAATCCTTCTTTCCACTTGACCATTTCATTTCCCTTTTTGTGATCCTTTTCTAGTACCATCTACAGCTTGCTTGAGAGTTGACACAGGTGTGAAGTTTTTCAAATACCCATTCATGATTATAAAACTGCCCCGTTGTCAGAGTCCAGCAAAATCATTGAATAAATGCCTATTGAACATCCTGTAAAAAAAATTGTGTGGTATTGAACAAACATTTCAAAGAGAAACAAAAATGTCCAGTTTTCAAGAGATCCAGTTAGTTCATCAATAGCTCCTCCATGTGACACACCAATAAACAGCTTGAAAGCTGGCAACTCAGCTGTCTGTAGTGCATGCCAAGGTAACAGATGGTAGTAATGCAGGAAGAATGGTTTCCATCACTTGGCATTAGGTTCTTTTGAGTATGCACCAAAATGGAGAAGAAATCGACAGGCACTGGGGTGCCTAAAGCAACCTTTATCACCACACTTGTCAGCTGCAATATTTTAAACACACATTCATTAAAAACCCTTTGGACTCACTCTACTTTCTCCCAGGATCTCAAAGGACTTATGTAGAAAGAATTGCTCAAGTGATGGGAAAACTAAGATCTTGAATGAAAGATGATTGAAGGTGACTGGCTCTAGATCAAATGTTGAATCATTTCCAAAATCAGCCCCCTAGAAGCTGAGCTTTCCATGTCCTTCTTTTATTCTAATATGTTCACAGAAACAGCCACACCACCATGCTGATGCAATTACATCATGTATTCCCGATTGTACTTGTTGTAGCAATTCCTTTTGTCTTTTGTTTTAAAAGAAAGAAACCATGCAAAAAAGTAAAGCAGTAGAGCTAGCAGATGTTAAGAGAGAGAAGCTTGTTCTTTAGGATTTAAGAGTCTGTGATTACTTCTAAACTATTTCAATGCATCTGAGTCAGTCAGTTATCAACTCAGCTAGCTGAGTTGCAGAAGGAAGCAGGTGGTATTGCAACAAGAATACACAGTAAAATGCTTTCCTGCAACACCAGAGTTTCCTGCACCTTAATACCTCCTATGTGGGATATAATGTATGTCCAAAATTGACACTGAGCCATACAACTGGAAAACTGAGGTTAAATTCATTTCCAATTTGCTTGGTTTTGTGTCCTAAGGTTCATAATCTGTTACGGCTATAATAATAATAAAAATAGCAGGGATAAATTATTGCTATTAATTCTGGAATAATTTTAAATGAGGAAGGAGGAATGAGTGGGTGAGGTTGTTTTGTTTCCTAGCTCACTCTTTTCTGTAACATTTGACACTGTGGCTGGGCCTCTACAAACTACTTCCCAGACACCCTTGCTAGCTGACTTTGGGTTAAATTCTGCCAATAGAAGATGCTATTGGAGGAGATTGGAAGGTAGGAAGAGTGGAGAATTAACTTCCTTCTCATATTTTCCTGTTCCCATCAGTGTCACTCCAGCAATGACCATTGCCTTGGCAGCCACTTGGCTTCAGCACTCCCAGAATCAGCCTTATTTCTCCCCCTGTAAAGCACTAATACAACCTGGCAATGACCTCTCATTACAGTCTGAGCATCAGCAACATGGAGCTGAGTTCTTGAGACCCCCTACTCTTTCTTGTTCCCCCAGCTCTCTTTAACCCCATAACACCAATTTGTAGTAGGAAATACCTGAATCTCTGCATCAACTCTGACTGAAAGAGTGGCAAAAAGACAAATTAACTTGGAACAGGAATGCACAGGGAAGTTCAACAGGCAGATTTTGGCTCAGCATAAGGGTGGACTGACTTTCTAACTGTAGGGGTTGTCCCTTAATGGGTGGAAAGAGCTCTCTGTGGCTGGAAGCAGTCAGCGGGAGCTAGATGACTTGTCAGAAGTGCTATAGCAAAAACAATGAGATATATGTTTCCTAGAAGGCTGCCAAAGGTTTAGAATATTGGTAATACATATGGTTAGATTGGTGATATATATGGTAAGATTAACATGCATG
Source organism: Homo sapiens (assembly GCF_000001405.40). Classification (NCBI taxonomy): domain Eukaryota; kingdom Metazoa; phylum Chordata; class Mammalia; order Primates; family Hominidae; genus Homo; species Homo sapiens. The sequence goes on along the minus strand of NC_000018.10, from coordinate 4,845,639 downwards.
AAATTAATATGCTGATTGGGAATAGAAATTGGCACAGTGTTCCTGAAGGGGAATATGACAATTTACTTTCAGCTACTATTTCATTCTGGAAAAGAATACAGAAAATAAGTGTAATATCACTTTAAAAATAAATTTATCAGAAAAAAATTCTAAGGATGTACATATTGTTGACAAAAAGAGTCAAACTCTGTGAAATATTTGAAGAGACTTATTCTGAGCCACATATGAGTGACCACAGCCCCTGACACAGCCCACAGGAGGTCCTAAGAACATGCGCCCAAGGTGGTTGGGGTACATCTTGGTTTTATATATTTTAGGGAGGCATGAGACATCAATCAAATACATTTAAGAAATAGATTGGTTTGGGGGGCCGGGCGCAGTGGCTCACACCTGTAATCCCAGCACTTTGGGAGGCCAAGGTGGGCAGATCACGAGGTCAGGAGATCGAGACCATCTTGGCTAACACGGTGAAACCCCGTCTCTACTAAAAATACAAAAAATTAGATGGGCGTGGTGGCGGATGCCTGTAGTCCCAGCTACTTGGGAGGCTGAGGCGGGAGAATGGCCTGAACTCGGGAGGCGGAGCTTGCAGTGAGCCGAGATAGCGCCACTGTACTCCAGCCTGGGTGACAGAGCGAGACTCCATCTCAAAAAAACAAACAAACAAACAAACAAACAAAAAAAACCACATTGGTTAGATTCAGAAAGGCGGAACAACTCAAAGCAGGGGGGTGCTCCCAGGCTATATGTAAATTTAAACATTTTCTGGTTGACAAGTGGTTGAGTTTATTTGAAGACCTTGGATTAATGGAAAGCAATGTTCAGGTTAAGGTAAAGGACTGTGGAGACCAAGTTTTATTGTGCAGAGGAAGCCCTCAGGTAGCAGACTTCAGAGAGAGAGCAGATTGTAAAATGTTTCTTATCAGACATAAAAGGGTGCCTGGCTCTTAACTGATATTCTCTTGGATCTGGGTAGGAAGGAAGGAAAACAAAGCAAAACGGGATTCCTATAGAATGTGGGTTTTTCCCACAAGAGACTGCAGGGCAATTTCAAGGTATGGCAAGGAAATATATTTTGATTTTCTTCCTTGTTATTCCAGATTCAGATTGGAAAGTAAGTCACGTGATATACAGGGTCAAATAAAACTCATCTGATGAGAATTCATGGTTGGTAGGGTATGACTGCCCAGACTTCTTAAATAGGAATTTGAGCAAGGTAAAAAATCAGAGCTTAGTCCTTAGTATGGACAAGAATGTTCACTAATAGAAGATAACTTTTTAAGGAATTATTGTAACCCTGATGAGTTCTTCCTGCCTACGCACAAAAACTAGTGCATTGCAGTAGAGACAGAATTTAATCGACACAGGTGGGCCACACCATGCAGGAGACAGAGTTATTGCTCAAATAGACCTCACTGAAGGCTCCTACTAAGGGGTTTTTCAAAGGTAATTCAGGGGAAAGGGCTGTGCAATGGTAATTCAGGGAAAATGCAAAGGTAATTCAGGGAAAATGGCTATGCAATGGGTGCTTGCTGCTGATTGGTTGGGTTGGAGATGAAATCCTAGGGAGTTGAAGCTGAGCTCTTGTGCTGAGTTGCTTCTGTGTGGGTCCAGATGGAGCCATGGGTGTTAGACATGCAAAAAACCTGAAAGGATACATCAAAAGGCCAATCTACAGTAGTGTTGTTATCTGCAGAAGTAATTGAGGAAGTTGCATATTTTGTGCCTAGTCTACACCTTAGTGGAATTTAGGCTCCTCACCTCCCCCTAGGCTGGTGGTCTCTCATTAGGTTTACTAAGGTAGTTGAGTTCTGGGGAAGGGCTATTATCACTTAAACTAAGTTGAATGTCTTCCAAAGTTAGCTTGCCCACTTGAAGGCAAGAGGGGGATAGGCTACATCAGCTCTCCCCAACTGCCATAATTTTCTCACTGATAATTATGTCAGTGAGAAATCGCAAAGACAATTTCATTATCACTTGCCAAACATTAACCCAAGCCCTTTATGCATATCATTTTTTAATCTTCATAATATTTCCATGAGAGGGATATTATCCCTATTTTGCTGATAAGAAAACTGAGACATAGAGAGGTTAAGTATCTTACCCAAGATATTAAGGGGCAGAGCCTAGATTTTAATCCAGGGAATCTGGCTCCAAAGTCCACATTTTAACCACTTGGTTATAAGTGAAAATATGCCCACATCATAATTTTCAGTGAAAAAAGCCATATTATCTAACTGTGTGCAGCTATTTTCATTCTAAAAATATAAATGCATCTTTAGATTTGCATATGATACAGTGAGTATAGTGGGTATTTCTTCTTTGTATTCCCTGCATTCCTCCTTTATTTGGGAAACAGCCCCTGTGCCTTGTGGAGAGAACATTCCATCCTTCACTTTGCCTCACAGCTGTAAGCAAGGATTTCAATCAGAGCCCCTAGGTGGGGTTCTTGACCCATTGGGTCTAGGAGTGAGTACAGATAAGCCTTTCCTCTCTAGGACCATCACCCACCTTCCCAGCTTGCGCTGATTTATCCAGGGAAGATCATGCAGCCCACAGTGGCCAAACTCTCTCTCCCAGAAACTGAAACAAAAAGCCATTCCCCAAAGCCTGGACATTGTTGGAATTGAGCCACATTAAAGACAGCTGGCCCCTGGAGAGTCCATATTTTCTGGTTATCAGACTTAGGCAGTGTTGAACCAGTGCTTCCCTGAAGCCTGGCAGCTCAGCATTTCCTTTGATTATCTGAATAACTCCAACAACAGTCAATGAAATATTGTGGTTTGTTTACATAAGCAAGGATTGCTGCTGCTGCTTCCAAAAAAAAAGAAAGAACTTTATCTGATCTGGAAGGATGCAAAATGTTAACAGTGAATGAAAGAGTTTTGCCTAAATTTTGTCTTTTTTACATGTGACAAATAAACAAAAGTGAGATTAAAAATGCCTAAGTTGATTTTGCTTCCTACTTATTTATATAAACTTCTCTGGAATCTAATTGTAGTTAATACAGCCTAGAGCACATATAGGCCAGACTTGAGTAAAGTAGACTTATAAGACTTTGGATGATGATAAAACACGAGTCATGGAAATGCCTCAGAGTGAGATTAAAATTCAGAAAGTTTCAGACCAGAGGGTAGAACATACAGTAGAGAGTGGAGGTGGATGTGGGAAGGGAACTCATGACAAACCATATTTCAAAATCTCGGTATTATCATTTAAGCTATGACTGATGTAATAAGCACTCATGGAACTTTGTGGTTTACCTACCTGAACACATTATTAAAAGCAATTAGCTTTCATGATTTGTATTACAGCCAAAGAGCATTTGCCATACTTTGCCTGTGTTGGAACAAACATGCTAGAGCATCAAGGTTTTAATCTTGCATACCAACAAAATAGAGACTGATGATGTAAATGTGTTATGAATAAAATAAGTGTTTGTGAATGGAAATAAACAAGCAAAAATATGTATTTCAGTCATTTCTAAGCAACGGCCTTTATGATTTACTGCCTGTTTAGTTAGGTATTCAACAAATCCTAAAATTCATTCATAGCCTTTAATTATTTGAAGTTTCCCCAGACCTTTTTGAATTAATTCCACAAATGGTTATTGGGTGCTCACTATCAGTCATGGTACTAGGGAGTGGAGATGCAGAGTCACCTAAGACTCAGCCTGCATCCTCAGTACCTTCACACTGGAACAAGGGAGATATGGGAGACAAATTTCATTACATACCAAAACTTTTAAATGTCCAAACATAAGACTATATAACAGTCATAATTATACTGATTAAAAAAAAAAACAAAACTATGCTCTGTGCCTACTGCTTTACATTGTTACAACACTCTTTAGTAGCAGATGCTATTATTACCATCCTCATTTTACTGGTAAGGAAATTGGATCCAGAGAGTTAAGTAACTTGCTAAGTTTACAACATTCAAACACTGTGGACTCAGGATTATACACACACAAACACACACACACACACACACACTGTAGCTTTGAACCACTGCATATAATTTTTCCCAATCTGTACTTCAGTGAGGAAAGATTAACTCCATCTGAAGGGATAGAAAGTCAGGATCTGTTATGGATAGAATGATTGTATCTCCCCATATTCATAAGTTGAAATCCTAACTCAAATGCAATTATATTTGGAGATGGGGTCTTTGGGAGGTAATTTGGTTTAGATGAGGTCATGAGAAAGGGGCCCTAATAATGGGACTAGTGCCTTTAGAGTAGAGACTCCTGGCAGTGCACTCTGTCTCTCTCTCCACCAGCATGCACTTGGGAAAGGCCATGTGAGCACACAGCAAGGAGGTGGCTGTCTGCAAGCCAGGAAAAGAGCCCTCACCAGAACCAGACCATGCTGACACCCTGTTCTCAGAGTTCCAACCTCCAGAAGTGTGATGAATAAACGTTTGTTGCTTAAGCCACTGAGTCTGTGGTATTTTGCCATAATAGCCCAAGCAAACAAGGACAGGATCACATTATAAAAAGAGACAAGAAGGCACATTCTTTCTCTGGCATGGAGCCCTTACCTCTTGTCACTGGTCATTTCTCTAAGATGCAGGAGGTTTACTAGGAATGCCCTTGTGATCATCACCTAAAGGGCGGCTCAAGAAGCAGGGCTGGACAGAGATCCAGTTGCACCAAAGGCCTCAGTTGATCCTCTCCAGAGCCCTACAGCTGGGGTGGTCCTCCAAATAAGGTGAGAAGAGGGCAACTTTACACCCCTGTATAGGCCAGTCCTTGAATGGTGGCTTTCTACACAAGGGGCTGTGACCTTAAAGGAGGCATCTCTAATCCAGGGTAGGTGCCAGAGAGGGTCCCAGCTGAGGGCTGTGTCTGTCCACACTGCCAACTATAGAGATTTGGGGGCTCCTATCCTGGAAAGGATCTGAGTGGGACACCACAACATTCCCTACATCTCTACCCTCTGTCTCCTGGGCCCCAAGGTTTCCATGCTTTAAGATCCAAATTCAACTTCAAGTGGCATCTGTGTGCACTTTTGAATGATAGGAACATTCAAGTTCTGGAGTAAAATCTAAAATAACTTCACTATATGTTTAAAGACTCACAGACACTAGTGTGGATTTAAATCTCACATTTTCACCACTGCTCTCTCAACTTCAACGTTTAAGCAGAAAAATAAGATTGTATTCTCTGTATAATTTTGCATTAGCTGATGATCACTGTAAGTAAGATGAATCTGAAACTTCCAAAATTCTGGCAAGATTTGTGTCTATAAACTCAAGGCAGGATTTTCAGGACTTCACATAATAAATGGTGAATAAATGTTGCCAATGTTCATTCACTTTTACTACTGTACGAATCAGGTCTCTGCCTTTTAGCTTTTTAATACTGTGATGTATCTTCTTGACATTTAGCATGGGAGAAGCATTCTTCTGCCAACTTTTCTGACATCATTGTAATTAATGTTGATGATACTTGGAGCAGGTTAACACCCTCTTTTTTTGGATGGGAATTGTTCAAAAAACAGCTATGTCACTTATAACTGTGTTATACTTATCTTAGATGCTAAATTAGGATTGAAATTCTAGATCCCACTCTCAAGAGAAATTTGGAAAAAATTACCAAATAATAATACAAAAATAAAAGAACAATATATTTTGATAACTTTATAGTAATAAAGAAGCTTCAAATGAAGGCTTCATGGAAGCAGGCCTGCAGAATATTCAAGAATGTCCCTACAGAATCACTGCACCCATGTGGGATCATCACAGGGCCATAGGAGGGGCAAGCTGTGTGCATGAGCCAGCTGAGCATCAGGAGGTAGCCTGGGACTCACCCACACTGCATAACCATGCAAATCTCCTGTTAGGGTTTTAAGGGATCTCTTGCTAGAGAGAAGGGGAGGGGTGTTGGGACAGAAAAGCATTTTTCATCAGGGTTCAAGCTCACATTTGGTAGTCCTGGTCATTATGGCATAGTGTCTGATAATAGAGACAGTCAGGCTTGTTTCTGCTTACAATTGCCCAGACTTACTAAACCAAAATGTGCAGATTCTGGATAGAAATAATAAACATCCCAATCTATTAATTTAAAATGGGAAACATAACTGCCAGGTAGATTAGAAAATTGAGTTAACATACCCCTGCATGCTTCCCTTATAGGCAAATATACCATCGTAACTTAACACTGTTGTAATTAGTGAGCTATTAACATCCAGCTTGATACCCAGAACTCCCTTAGGTTTATACCTAACAATGAGTCCTGGAATCTGTGTCACCCATTCAGTGTTGTGGCGCTGGAGGCACAAAGACCAGTTCTTGCTGTTTGACTCACCTTGCATAATCACCATTCAAAAGACCCCTCTTTTGTACAAACAAAAAAAATAGGTTAGGAGGCAACTGATACAGTAGTCCCTCTTTTTACATTCCAAAGTGTTTTTCTAAAGCTGTACCAACAAAACAAAAGACACAACAACAACAAAAAGTAAGTAATCAATAAAAATAGGTAATTCACAATATAGTAGACTGTATTTAATGATTGTTCCTTTGCCAGGAGAATAATAAACGATGTGACCACAGTTGTAGGAAGAAATTTATTTTTTGATGTTTCTTTATAATATAAAATGAAAGGTGGGTAGAGAATCTAAAATGTTCATTTGGGTATGTCCAAACCTTAAAAGAAACTATGAAAGAATGCGATTATGCAATAACTTCACAGTGATAATCATGGTAATTAGTAGAAATGTATCTTAAAACAGGATAGGTAATGCCAGCTTCTAGCTGTATTGTGGTGTTATATATACGCACATAACACAGAATGTGGGAGTTATGAGCCAGGAATCATATATACATATATATGATTATATATACACACACATATATGTGATTTTATATATATACATATATATGATTATACACACACACACACAGACACACACACATATACCCCAAGGCAGGACTCTACTCTTCCCTCACCTTTCTGACTGTGGGTCATAAAACCCTCCCAGAGAGGGTTCCACCCTATACCCTGGGAGAAGGAATGCTGCTGCCATGAAGCTTCCATTAAAAACTCAAGAGGACTGGGTTGGGGAGCTTCAGGACAGCTTAACACGTGTAGGTTCCTGGAGGGTGGTGCCCAGGGAAAGCATGGAAGCTCCGTGCCCCTTCCCCCGTACCTCGCCCTACACATCTCTTCATTTGTATCCTTGGTAATATCCTTTATAATAAACTGGTACATGTGTTTCTCTGAGTTCTGTGAGTCACTCCAGCAAATTAATCAAATCCAAAGAGGGGATCACGGGTACCCCAACTTGAAGTCAGTTGGTCAGAAGCTCTGGAGGCCCAGACTTGAGATGGCGTCTGGGTCTTGGGAAGTGTTGCGGACTGAGACTTCAACCTTGGGATCTGATGCTATTTCCAGGTAGACAGTGTTGGAATTGAATCGGAGGTCACCAGCTGGTGTCTGCTGCAGAACTGGCTGCTCACTTGGTGGTAGAGATGTTACTGGAAAGGGGTCCAGATTCAGACCCCAAGAGAGGATTCTTGGATTTTGCACAAGAAAGAATTCAGGGCAAGTCATAGAGTAAAGTGAAAGCAAGTTATTAAGAAAGTAAAGAAATAAAAGAATGGCTACATCATGGGCAGAGCAGTCCCAAAGGCAGCTGGTTGCCCATTTTTATGGTTATTTCTAATTATATGCTAAACAAGAAGATTATTCATGCCTCCCCTTTTTGGAGCACATAGGGTAACTTCCTGACGTTGCCATGGCATTTGTAAACTGTCATGGCGCTGGCAGGAGTGTAGCAATGAGAGCAACCAGAGGTCACTCTTGTCACCATCTTGATTTTGCTGGGTTTTAGCTGACTTCTTTACTGCAACCTGTTTTGTCAGCAAGGTCTTTAACCTGTATCTTGTGCCAACCTCCTGTCTCATCCTGTGACTTAGAATGCCGTAACCTCCTGAGAATGCAGCCCAACAGGTCTCAGCCTTATTTTACCCAGCCCCTATTCAAGATGGAGTTGCTCTGGTTCAAATGCCTCTGACAGAGATACCCCCAACATATCTTTGGTCACAGAAGTCTGTGTTGCTGACTGTTGTGGTGTGAGAACAGAGGAAAAACACTGTTTGAGAGAGTGTTTCCCAAAACACATGAAGACTCATGAGATGTCTGGCGCAGGGAGCACTCAGAGCTTGTCTTCATGGCTTTACCATATTAACTAATATTTTTTCTCAAAACATTCCATGTCTTCCCCATTATCGTTATCCTAACATTAGAGTCAGGCTTCTTATCAACACATTTCTAAGTTTGATTTTGGTTTCCCTTAGTGGCCACTTCGAATGAAATCAGGGATAAACGCTCAGGTCTAGCAAGTAGGGCTTTAAGGCAATGATCCTCTCTTACTGCTGGGCTCTCAGTTAATCTGCCTGTTTTCTCTCTGTCTCTCTATTTCAACTGCATCTTTTCATTTTTCATGAAAAAAAAAGTTGCCTTGTGACAAAAGCCACAATAGAGTCAAGCCCTAAGAAAATATCATTAGCTCAATTATGGAAGAAGGACTGAGAGTTCACGAAGTGGGTCACAGCAGGAAGAGGAGGTTATTCTACTTGTTGATCAATGTCTGGGGGCCCTCCTTTTTAATATTAGCATTTGCAGGATGAGTAAATACAGTAAATGAGGAAGAAGTTGAAATATATAGAAAAGGGAGACATGCCATAATTTTATGAGTTTTAATTTCTTCTTGGAGCTTATATGTATGTAATTTCCCAATATGCTATATTAAATATATATCACCTTTGCAATTAAAATGATTTTAAATTTCAAAATAAAATTTAAAGTAGGAAATACCATGAAGTCATAAACTGAGACTAACAAGCAAAATATCTCATTTTTACAAAACTGGAGAGATCAGAATTACTATCCTATCTATAAGCAGGCAGGAAGAAAAGACCACCAAGCTTTGTTTATTTCATCTTATATTCACAATTCACAGTGCCTAGCCATGTGGCAGGCTCACATTACGTATTTGTCAAATGTCTTAATGGGTGACTCATTAATGGGCGACTTAATGAACACATTAAGGAGGATATTGTTCCAATCCACAATCAGTACCACTGGAATTTTTAGTACTGGATAGAAATACCTTTGCTCAAATTGTCCTCCTGGGGTCTAAGAAGTTCCTGAAATTTCCTTCTTTGCCCATCTCCTTGACTCTGTTGGAGGCACAGAGTATTCCTGTGGGTAGACAGGTGAGCTGCCCTGTGAATGAGGCACGTTGACTAAAGTGCTGATTTGGTACACATCTTTCACCACAGGGATGCCAGAAATATCACAGGAACAGAATGGCAAGTTCTGCCTGTTGCCAAATTTATTTTGTATTTTCTGCCTGTTAAAAGTGAAAATGCATGCAAGCAAGAGCACTCACTCTTCTGACAGGAAGTGATTAGGAAGGAAGAGGCTTGTATCTGGGAATACAATTTTTAAACATCCTAAAAAGTGCCATGAAATATGCAAATTTTAGCATCATCCTTAGGCCCTGGCAAAAGGGGTTCCTGCCTTGCACTCTGGCTTTAGGAGACCCCACTGTGGCTCTTTACTGGCTACAACTCTTCCTATGGGATGAGAAGTCTGTAGGGCCATGGGTTGTTTTCCCCAATAGTCTTTGCTCCCTCCCTTCTAGACCACACCATGGTGTCCCCTGCCAAGATAACCCAAGATCACTTACAGGGCCTGTGCAGTACCTCCCTGGGAACCATTCTCTTAAGGGTAGGCTATGTTGTGGGTGTTCATGCCCGGGTTTGAATGGCTACCAAGGGTAGCTGTTTGCAGTGGTGAGACTGAGAGTGGAAACCAGGTGGGGTGTCCACATCTGCTGTGAGGCCCCTGGTGCTGTAGGAGACCATGTGCAATGCAGCAGGTGTTGGCTATTGCCAGGGCAGGAAGAGCCGTCTGGCTGTCTGTTGCAGGCTCTCCTTACTGTGCCATATTCCTGAGTGGGACTCCAGGGATTCTTGGAATTCAGGTCATTATGAAGGCATTATTTTTCATAGTAAGAGGATAGAACAAATTTTAATAGTTGTATAGCTTGATTTATATCTTTTAAATATTTAGATATATAGGGTGAAAGCTTCTGTGTACTCTTCTCCCAGACCTGACAAACAGTACCAAGACTGGAAACATAGACCCAAACTACTATATACATTTGAAGATATTTTACCATTTCTTCTTTCCTTTTCAGGAAAGGTGTTTGGGTCATAAAAACATACACTTAGGGCATGGTGTTCCTTATTAGTTTTAGAAAGAAGAAATGAATTTGACATGTTTGAATTTTAAAAGGAACAAAAAATGAAAGACTGGTTTAAATCATTGTATCTGTAACTGTGTGATTGTTTTCATGATTGGTGTTTCCCAGGTAAAGCTAAGATATGGCCCAGCTGCGCCTGCACTATCTTTTCCATTTGACCTCTCCTCTCTACAGACTTGGGCTCAAATGCAGCCACTCTTCAGAGTGAACTTCTTGACGGCTACCTAGGCTAGAGGGCTCCAAACTTTCTTTGTTCATGGTGTGTTTCCATCATTTTTCTATGAATCTCCTAGGCCAAAAGAAATACCCAACATTTCCACTTAGTGAGTAGTTAGGTTCAGTAAGTTTATGTATGTCCTGATGACTTAGTAGCCATTTGAAAAAATAAAATGAGGCCGGGCGTGGTGGCTCACGCCTGTAATCCCAGCACTTTGAGAGGGCGAGGTGGGCGGATCACGAGGTCAGGAGATTTGAGACCATCCTGGCTAATACGATGAAACCCCGTCTTTACTAAAAAAATACAAAAATTAGCTGGGCGTGGTGGTGGGTGCCTGTAGTCCCAGCTACTTGGGAGGCTGAGGCAGGAGAATGGCATGAACCCGGGGGGCCTGCAGTGAGCCGAGATCACGACACTGCACTCCAGCCTGGGTGACAGAGCGAGACTCTGTCTCAATAAATAGATAGATAGATAGATAAATAAATAAATAAATAAATAAATAAATAAAATGAAAGGAAAAATAACATATTTTTGAAAATTCTTAAATGACTCCAATTTCTTGCTAATGGAACATTGGTCACCTGTTGGACACCACACAGCTTCTCAAACATTGGAATCAGATTGGATACTACCACTCTCACTTTCTGTTCTGTGTTGATTTGTGTGCAGTACTTGCTTTCTCAGCAACTGCAGAAAATCCAGTTTGGCAAAGATGATGCTATCTAAAAAAATGTGGTATGGGCCGGGTGCAGTGGCTCACGCCTGTAATCCCAGCACTTTGGGCGCCAAGGCGGACGGATCACGAGGTCAGGAGATCGAGACCATCCTGGCTAACATGGTGAAACCCCGTCTCTACTAAAAATACAAAAAAAAATTAGCCAGGCATGGTGGTTGGGAACCTGTAGTCCCAGCTACTCGGGAGGCTGAGGCAGGAGAATGGCGTGAACCCAGGAGGCAGAGCTTGCACTAAGCCTAGATCGCGCCACTGCACTCCAGCCTGGGCGACAGAGCGAGACTCCATCTCAAAAAAAAAAAAATGTGGTGTGATCTCATATTGAAACTGTGAACTTACTTGAACTAGTAGTTTGCATGAGGTCCAGCAGTTGTCGAGTACTGCGTGTTTCCCTCAAAAATGGAGAATATCTCACAGTACCACTGTGAGTCCACTATAATACACTGTGTGCCTTGGTGCACGGTTTGAGAACCACAAATGTAGCCATTTGTAGAGTCAAGAGTACAGAAGAGCTTGAAAATGATGGGTGATCATTTTCCTTGTACACTGGAGCAAGCCATGCCAAAACTCTATTGCTGATTTCAATAAATATTAATTTGTTTCATGAAGACATTAAAGCATTATTTTAATGTGGTATATTTTTGGAAAAATGCTTTTGAAAATTAATATGTAATATTGGTGACAATCTAACACTTGTTTAGTACTTGAAGTTTATAAGGGCTTTTCTTATATTTTGCTATGTTATAGCAAGTAGAACAATTCCGGAGAGGAAATAGGTCCTCTGCTCATCCTCCTGCGATCCCACCCACCCATCCATGTCCTCCTCAAACCCTGCCATAAGTTTGCCCTGAGGCACAGGTGATTGTGCTGTTTCCTTTCCCTAAATATTTATACTTGTTTGCTTCTAATTTCCCTGGTGGCACTTTCCATATTCTACCCTGGGTTTCAGCAAACTTTGTTACTTTTATGGTATCACTTCTTGGGTCATAAGCACTTTGTTTTCACAAATCACTTCGAATTATTCTTAGTTAGAATCTTAGTTCTAATTATTCTTAATTATTCCTGAAAAGCACCTTGATCTAGAGCATCATTAGCTCACAAAAACTATTTGTGGAGTAAGTGAATGAACAGTTGAAGGAATAAGAAATTCCCCTGGGCCTTTCACCCAAAGGACAGATATTGGCACTAATCTGGAGTAAAAGGAAAAATTGGTTTAATTTCCTCACCTTTAGATCTATGTTCCAAGTGCTACTTAGCCTATTTTAGAAAAGAATAAAAGAAGAGAGAATCACTAAGAACATTAGTATTTCGGTGAAAATAAATCTGTAGCTTTCTCAAGTCCACAATACCACCAGGAGTGTATTTAAAGCAAGGGCAGTTTCTTAGTAAGTCTGAGAGAAGGAGGGTCATCTGGAAAGTGCATTTTCACCACTGTAAATTTAAGTGGAGAACTATACTCACTCTTTCCCTAAACACTCAAAGAGCTTCTTAGCTATTTTGAAAATAGTTGGTATAAATGCATAAATTTTTATGGATCAGGAAGTTAAACCACCAAGAGACTAAAACTTTTGGCCCTAATCACACAGGTATTCTCAAAAGCAAGAACTGAATTCAGACTTTCCGTCTTGCAATGTAATTCACAGACCACTGTGAGTAATATGAAACAAATATTGCTTTTGAGTTCCTATTAATACAGTTCAGCAGAGCATAATACCTAAAGCAGCTAAAATTCAGTGTTTTATGTCTGTGTTCCCACCATTAATACAGTCAACTCTCTAGTGAGAAACATTTTAAATCAAAACATTTAATTATTACTTCCAACTGAGAAGTGCATCAGCCTCACAGGTAAATCTCTGCCAGTGCTTTGCATTTGTCTGCAAGATGGATTACTGGGAGTTTGGACTGAGAAGCAGGAAGGAATACTGAACAGGTGATTAAATGGAACTTTTTATAGTTTTTCCTGAATTAGAGGTTCACTGGATACATTTTGTCTTTAAAGTGGTATGGATTTCTAAAACATTAGACCAATGTATTTTTTAAAAAATACAACTGAAAATATATTCCAAAATCAAATACAAATGACTTGGATTTTTGACCTTTCTAGTCAATCGGAGTTGCAGCAGGAAACAGAATTTACGCCAGATGTTTCAATAAAGAAACTTCAATGAAAGGACTGCTTTCAGAGGTGTAGGCAGGATGAAGGGATGATGAAACGCTTAGCAACTATCAGAGCAGGAAGCTGTTACCTTCCTCCAGGCAGAGCTGGAATTGGGTCTTAGGGCTGCCTGGTGGGAGCTGGCGGAATGTAGTTCCTGGCAAATAAGTGGCACCAAGCAGGGTAAGAACTTGGAAAACAATCCATTTTCTCTCTCCAAGACAACTGTCTCTTGCTGCTGCCTCTCACTGACCCATCCCAACTGAAAGCTGGCTGCCAAGAGAACTCCAAAGACACAATGTACAGAATTGTGCCTCCAGGCAGATTAAAGGGTGTGCAATGGGACAAGGGAATTCCCATAATCTTTTATTCTTTTCACAGATCACTTACATACCAAACGTAAAACCATAATATGATAGAGCTTAAAGTATATTAAAGTAACCACTCCATCATATTAATAGATGAGGACACTATGATTCAGAAGCATAAGAAGATTGGCCCTTCCCAAGAGTATTGTCGGTCCCCTCTGCTCAGGCTTCCTATTAGCAATAAACAGGACATAGGTAACAACAGAGATTTGTGAAAATCATCTCAAATAACAGGTTTGAGTGATTATGTGTGTGCATGTGTGAAAGTGTATAAGAATTCTCTTTGTCATTGAAAAGCATTACATAACTTTCTTCAAGACACATTTCTATTAATCTTTCAAAGTCTTTACTTTTGAATTCCTAGGTTATAAAAGCTGAAACACGTGGGGCTATCTGGCTCTTGGAAAGATCTGATTGACGTTGCAATATGTTACCATCAGAACCTAGGATCCCTTCCATCCTGTCTGCAAGGATCAGAGCTTTTCTTTCCTCCTTTTATATCTTCTCTTGTGTCTAAGTGAAGAGAAGACATTATTTTCCACCCCCCATCTACAAGTTGTAACTTGTCACTTGTATGGAGCATTTTCATCAGCTCTTATCACATCACCTTTGAGTATGGGTGTGGGGAAACAGCATTACTCAGGCTAATTTTCTAATTGTGAATATCACAAAGAACTAGTTTCCCTGACATAACATAGGTGCTTCATTTTTCATTTCCCTATCTATTGATTGATCAATCAATCATCTATGTATCATCATTATCATCATCATCATCATTTAGCTATCTATTGTACAAAACTGTAACTGGAATAACATCTCAGACCCTTCACAGTTCTTAGCACAACTCATATAAACACGCAGTATTTTAGGCCTACTCTTTGATGAATTTTGACAACTGTATGCACCCATGTATGACACCACAACTACTACAGGTATATACTTCGATCACTGCAAAATGTTTCCTCTTGCATCTTCATAATAGGTTCCCTTCACCAGGTCACAGGTCACCACAGTTCTGTTTTCTGTTACCTTTGACTAGTTTTGCTGTTTTATACCTGGAATCATACAATAAGTGTTCTTTTGTGTCTGGCTTCTTTTGCTCAGCATTGTGTTTCAGGGACTCACCCATGTCATTGTTTATATCAGTGGTTATTGCCTTTATTTGCTGAGCCTAGTCCACTGTTCATATACACCGCCATTTGTTTATTCATTCACTTGTGGTTACATATATGGGTTGTTTACAGGTTTTGGCTACTATGAAAAAAAAAGCTTCTATGAACTTTCTGTACATATTTTTATGTGGCATATGCTTTCATTTCTTTTAAGCATATAGTTAGGATTAGAATTATTGGTTAGAGTCATCCCTCTCTATCTGCAGGCTCTGCACCCATGGATTCAATCAATCAAAGTTCAAAAATATTTAAAAAAAAGAAAGATAACACTACAACAATAATAGAAATATAAAATAATACAGTATAACAATTACGTACATAGCATTTACATTGCATAAGGTATTATAAGTAATATAGAAATGATTTAAAGTATTTGGGAGGATGCGAATAGGTTATATGCAAATACTACACCATTTATAAGAGGGACTTGAGCATCCATGGATTTTGGTATCTGCAGGGAGTCCTTGAACCATTCCCCCATGGATACCATGGGATGAATGTATATGGTAAGTATATTTTTAAATTGAACTTTATATGAAGGTGCCAAACTCTTCTCCAAAGTGGTTTTAACAGTTTACACTTAAGTTAGCAACAAATGAGAATTTCAGTTGTCCCACATCCTTGACAACCCTCGGTGAGGTCAACCTTTTTAGTTTAAGCTTTCCTAGTCAGTATGTCATTGAAGTCTTAATTTGAAATTCCTTGAAACTCATCATGAGAACTTTTTCTATTACTTATTGGAGGTTCATGTATCTTCTTTTGTGATTTGTCTCTTCAAGACTTTTGCCCATTTTTGATTGATTTATTTACATTCTTCTTCAATTCTAAGAGTTCTTTAAATATTATGGATAAAAATTATGGATAAATATTATGGATAAATATTATGGATAAAACAGATGCACTGAAAAGATTTTCTTCTAATTATATGTCTTCTTCTATTTTCATTATCTCAACAGTGTTAGTTTAAGAGCAGAAGCTTTACGTTTTGATTCAGTCAAATTTATTTTCTTTTATATTGAGTGCCTATAGTGTTCTCTTTAAAAAAATCTTCGTGTAACTCAAGGTCACACAGGTCTTACTTTACATTTTCTTCTAGAAATTTTATAGTTTTAGTTATTACTAGGTATATGATTCATTTTGAGTTAATTTTATGTATAAGGTAATGATTATGGTTGAAGTTCTTATTTCACATACAAGAACCAGCTATTCTAGCATATTTTATTAAAAATTCAACTCTTTTCTCATTGATTTACCTTAGCAACTTTGTTGAAAAATTTCTTGAAAAAATGTATATGTATATATGTAAAGCTCTCTTTTTCTCTCTCCACAGAGCGTTTTAAAAGAGTATGTGTTCTGCCATTACATACCGTGTATATATGGACTGTTTATTCTCTTGCATTGATCTGTATGGCTATTTTTATGCCTTTACTATCTTATATTAATTTTTGTAGCTGTGTTGAAATCATGCAGTGCAAGTTCTCCGACATTATTTTAATTTTTTCAAAACTGTTATGACTATTCTAGATATTTTGAATTTCCGTGTAAGTTTTAGAATCAGCTTGCCAACTTCTACCAAAAAAAAAATATGCTGGGATTTTGATTGACATTATATCAAATTTTTAAATCAATTCGGAGAGAATTTATAGCTTAATGATACTAGCTTTCTATGTATACTGTGAATGCAGTATATACCTTTTATTAATCAGGTTTTCTTTATTTCATACACGTTTTCCAAGTGTCAGTGTATAAATCTTAAAATATTTTATTGAATTTATATCTAAGTATTTCAAGGTTTTTGTGCTGTTGTAATTATAATTTTATTTTATTGTGCAGTTAGTTGCTGTAATCCATAATTGCAATTTATTTATGGGTTGACTTTTCATGTGTAGTAACTTCCTGAACAAATCAACTGTTCAATTCACTTAGTTTTAACAGTTGCTTTTGTTTTAGATTGTTTTGGATTTATCTCTGTGCTCAATAATATTGTTTGAGAATAAAAACCGTTTTAAACTTTTCTTTCCAATCTGTATACTTCTTCATCCTTCTTCTTGCTTTATTGCTTAGACTATGATCTCCAACATAATGTTTTATAAAAGTGATATTAACAAAGTGTACATTCTTCATTATTCTTGATCTTAGTGGAAAAAGTTTCAATCTTTTTATTATATACAATGTTAGCTGCAGATTTTCTATAAATTTTCTTAAAAATTCAAGTTGAGAAAATTCAGTTCCTTTTTTGTACAAGTCATTGATGGGTGTTGAATTTTTCAAATCCTTTTTCTGGTATATTTAGATTTTCTGCTTTTTTTTCATTTTTAGTCTGTTGATTTGGATAATCATATTAATTAATTTTTGAATTCAATTCAAAAATAGAGAATTTGCAACCTCTGCCTCCCGGGTTCAACCGAGATTCTTCTGCCTCCCGAGTAGCTGAGATTAGAGGGGCCCGCTACCATGCCCCACTAATTTTTGTATTTTTAGTAGAGACAGGTTTTCACCATGTTGGTCAAGCTGGTCTCGAACTCCTGACCTCAAGTGATCTGCCTGACTTGGCCTCCCAAAGTGCTAGGATTACAGGCGTGAGCCACCACTCCTGGCCTTATCTTTACTGATTTTTTGACTACTTGTTCTATCACTTATCTAGAGGAGAATGCTGAAATCTCCAACTGTAATTGCAGTAAACTCCTTGAGTGCCTTCTAGTGTTATTGTATTTAAACATTTTTGTCACAGTTCTATAAACGTTATAATTGTGGATAGGTGAGTAAAATATAAGTTATTTTGCTATTAGGAGAATCACAACTATCATGTAAGTTACTTTTAGTGTTTTCTAAGGAAAACAGTTGAAAATGTATCTGTATTCTTTTTACTTAATACCAAACATCTAGAAATTATGGTAATAAAGCATTATAATTACAAAAGAAATGTTTTTCAATGTTATGTTGCAAAATTAACAAAGTCTTCAATTTAGATAAATGTGTTTCCTGTTGTGGAAATGAATGAGAAACAAAACGAGAATTCAAATGAGAACAAAAAGGTTATTTATTTAGGGCTTGCTATACAAAGGGAGTCAGTCACTATCCCTTGCTTTTAGCAGAAACTAGCAAAAGATACTGATTTTCCTAGTCTAGAGGCAGACTGAAAAAGGCAAAGCAGAAATCTGTTACAAGTGAAGCAAGTGACTTACGGTAGAATTGATGGCAAGATGGTATTTGTGCTAGATACTGCTGGGAAGCAAGGGATAACAATTTTGTTGGTGGCTGTGAGGTCTAGGGGAAAAGCTGATACCTTCATTTATTTGGTTCACGCACTGGCAGGATGGGAGTGTTACATGGCTCATACACAGAGTATGAGAAAATCCTTGCAAATAAGGCTTTCAGGTGAAAAGTTTCAGCACTTCCTTTGCTTCTGGCTTCAAAGGATATTGGGGACATTTAGGGAACAGTAGGATCTCCTTGAACTTTAATAGGCTCTGCTCAAATTGTTTTTCCTATGCCAGTGGAATTTTCAGCCCACAAAGTATCAAGTATGGCATCAAGGTCGGCTTCTGAAATATGCATCAAATACAATGGAGAAGAAAAAAGTATAGGCAGAGCAGACACAATTTGTTTATGACTATAGGAGACCTCTGCAACCTCAAGAAATAGTCTCTCTGTTGTACATTCACTGTTATAGTTCCATCTACAAAGTAAGTCCCTATTAGATTTGTGGAGGTGGTATCATGGAGCAGGAAGAAATGTTCTTCGTCAAATGCCCAAGGGTTACAGGGAAGGGCTAGGAGATAGAGAAAATATGTGGGTTATTCGAAATACTACCACCTGTGTTGTGTGTTTATGCTGAGGAAAAGTAAAGAGCTTGAGCAAGGGTGGAGGGTTTGTTGTAGAAAGAGCAGGGCTGTTATCTACCAGGAATTAATGAGAATAACCATCTCTATTTAGAGGTAATTCATCTTGAGTGTTTAAGGGTCCAGCAGTGTTTTGGGTGCTTTTTTCTTCCTCAGAGCACACATATTGATCTGAATGATGGAATTTTTCTACGTCTTGGGTTTTCTTTTGTAAGGTAGGGCAATCTTTCTTCTCCAGTGTCCCTCCTGTTTTTGATATTTGCAAGTGTCTTTGTCAAAAGGTGATCCACTGGGAAGGGAACCACATAGCTGGTAAATCTGTAGGGTCATAAATGTATCGAGGGACTGTCTCATTTTTGTCTTAAAGCTCTTTCAAAGTGTTTTGCTAGGTATTGTAGACTACCTAAAGGTCTTCTGTCCCATTCTAATTTATGCTTTGAAATTAGGTCTCTAATTTCAGTTTTAACTCCCCTGACAAAATGAGATGAATTGGCCACTGTTTACATTGGCACCTTCTTCAACCTGTAAATGTTTTCAGAAGGTATTTTATAGCCTACCCTCCCAAATCTCCTATAGTTGCATCTTTTCTTTTTTTTCATTTTTTTTTTCCCCAAGATGGACTCTTCCTCTGTCACCCAGGCTGGAGTGCAATGGTGCAATCTTAGCTCACTGCAACCTCCGCCTCCCGGGTTCAAGCAATTCTCCTGCCTCAGCCTCCTGAGTAGCTGGGATTACAGGTGCGTGCCACCACAACAGGCTAATTTTTGCATTTTTAACAGGGACAGGGTTTCACCATGTTGGTCAGGCTGGTCTCGAATTCCTGACCTCGTGATCTGACCGCCTCACTCTCTCAAAGTGCTGGGATCACAGGTGTGAGCCACTGTGCCCGGCCTAGTTGCATCTTTTCTCTGTTTGCAGAGCAAATTATGTTTCGATCGATTTGTATTGAAAATATCTGGCTAGAGTTTTTTTTAGATGACTTTGCTCCACCTTTTGGGCCCCTTTTGACTCTGATTTATTGTGGAACGAGGGATCTTTTCAGTCTCTTTGCAGGTTAGCCTAATCAGCTTTTGCCATTCAGCATTTGGCATCTGAGATTTCAACCAACATGTGCACAAGTCTATATAGGTCAGGTAACCCTGAGTTACCCAAAAGAGTTTGAAATTCTTCTATGAATAGTTGCTGGTCTTCTCTGGGTGTAGGGAAATCCTTATTGTAGCACTTGTTTAATCTTGGGTCCAGGTTTAAATTCTATACTTGCCACATACCTGGTTCATAGGAGGGATGAATCCTTAGAGGAAATGGCATTTTGGGGGTATTAGAAGAATTGTTAGGAAAAGGTAGAGGGTCTGGACAAGGGGAAGAGGAAAGAAGAGGAACAGAAGGAGAGAGAAGCAGCAGCAGCAGGAAGAGGGAGATTTGAATATACGGAGGCAACTAGGGGACAGATTTACTAGGAAAAGAAGTCTAGCTTGGGCTGCTTAAATTTGTCCACCTGCTTATTAGCTTTGGCCAAAGATTCTTTTATTAAAACAAATTTGAGTCAGGAATTTTGTTTGGGAAACTCTGCATATCAATCAAGAAATGTTGCCCATTGGGCTTGTGAAATCTTATTTCCTTCTTTCAAAAAAAAAAGTCAACTTTTATTTTAGATTTATGTGCAGGTTTGTTACCTGGGGACATTGCATGATGCTGAGGTTTGGGAAATGAATGATCCTGTCACCAAGGTAGTGAGCGCAGTACCCCACAGTTAGCGTTTCAACCCTTGTCCCACCCCTGCAGTAGTTCCCCCATGTTCTTTGTTGCCATCTTTATGTCCATGAGTACCCATATCCCTTCTCTTCTAAGGTGTCTCTCAAATGAACAATATTGTTCAAATCAATGTTTCTTAAAGGGGCCCGAATCTTCCTTGTTGTATTTATGGCATTTAGAAAGATAGGTGCAAGAATTAGGATTGTTACGAGACTATGTATAAGAAGCAGGAGTTTTTCCTGGTGGTGGAGACGATGTAGACTTAGACCACCCCATGAGAGCCAGTGATAGTCAGAATATAGCACTGTGCACTCATGTCTCTGGCCCTCACACCATGACAGTTGGCCACCTCCGAATGTGGACCTCACAATCTGCACCTCCCAGGAGGCAGGAACCTGAAGAGAGCACTCACGGAATCAAAGCCAAGCTCTCAGGACACAAAATTGAGACAGGAGCAGAACCTCATACAATTTTATTGGTGACCCAAAGCACAGGCGGTCCAGGTGGACACCAATTTGGAAGGATTGCATCCTTGTTAGTTTGTGCAGTTGGCTGGAAAACAGAGTTATAGGGTCTATGCCTCTGTTCTATCTACCCCACGATTCTCTTTTTTATAAGGAATGATGCTTTTAAACTGTACAGCACACAACAGTAGCATAAAAGAGAACAAATAAAGGATTTAAAATGGCCACCTAATTCTATCAAAAATGCCGAACAAATGAGAATCAATAACGAAACGCTGGCTCCACACTAGGAATGTGGGACACAATACAAAGGGCTTGGAGTTCAGACCAGGTTCTGGCCTACTACGTTAGTGCTGACTCCATCAATCACAAGCAGCAAACAACAAGGGAATTCACACCTGGGCAAAGCCTGGGGTCTGTGGCAACGGACAGAGCTGACTATCTTGGGGAAACCTTCAGGGAACTGTGGAAATAGGTGAAGACCATCTATGTGAGAAGAAATAAGGCTATTTAGCTCTTGGTATAGAAAGGAAGTTGGCCACTGTCACTTTGTTTGGTAGACTCAAAGGCAGGAGAGTGGGAAAGTGTGATAGTGGGGAAGAAAGGAGCCTTCAGGTGTGCCCTTACTGGAGGCTGCTTGCCTGAAGAAGCTACGGGCAGCTAACTGGAAGTAGGCATCTTCTGTGATTGGCATGGGGAGCATGTTTGGCTTATTCTGGTTGGTCGTATATTGGAAACAGGGATAAAAATGGAGAAAGCTGGCAGTCATTGAGAAAGTACCGATTGTTGTGTCATGCAGAAGTTGTGGATTGGAGTTCTATGGTCTCATTTGGTCTGGCTATTGACCATTTTGTATATTCAGTCTTGTAAACCAAAAATAAATTTCTAAGTCCCTCAGCTAACTGAATAGGCCCCCTCCTCTCAGCCAAGGGCTTTCCAAAGTTAACTGGAAAAACTAGCTCAGCCCTGATGGGAATAGGAGCCAGAAATGCCTCATTATATCCTACCCTCCTCCCTTTGGAGTTTAGACCAGCGTTAACATTAAAACAGAGATTTTAAGACTGATCAAAGAGACTGTTCATAGCAATAAGACACCAAATTCCAAACTGACTCTAATATAGCATCACACAATGGATAGCAGGACCTGAAAGTATTTTACCCTAAAATATATTTCTTTGACATGTTTTGAAAATGGCTCTGTAAAGCTGTCTCTTGAGAAAATCTGCATTCTGTAGAGAATCCCTATCCCTTTCCAGGTCTTTTCTTTGATCCCAGAGAGAATTAACTAAGAGTCTGGCACTTTTTTAAGTCTGATAAGAAACATTTACGATCTATTCTCTCTGAAGGCTTCATCTGCATAATAAGAACCTTGGTCTCCATAATCCCTTATCTTAGCCCAGACATTCCCTTCTATTGATTCCAGGTCTTTAGAAAATAAATTAACTCTTCAACCAATTGCTAATCAGAAAGTCTTTGAATCGACCTATGACGTGGAAGGCTAGCCTTGCAACCCCACCCCATTCCTTAACCCCCAATCCCCACCAGTCCTGCCTTCCAGTTGAAGTGCCTTTCCTAACCAATGTTCATCTTGCACTTAAATTTTTTTCCTTTTCTTTCTTTCTTTTTTTTTTTTTTTTTTTTTTGAGACAGGGTCTCACTCTGTTACCCAGGCTGGAGCGCAGTGGCACAATCTCGGCTCATGGCAACCTCTGCCTCCTAGGTTCAAGTGATTCTCAAATGCCTGTGCCTCAGCTTCAGGTGTAGCTGGGATCGCAGGTGTGCACCACCACGCCAAGCTAATTTTTGTATTTTTAGTAGAGATGGGGTTTCACCATCTTAGTCAGGCTGGTCTCAAACTCTTGGCCTCAAGTGATCCACCTGTCTTGGCCTCCCACAGTGCTGGGATTACACGCGTGAGCCACTGCACCCAACTTATGCATTGCTTTATGTGTCTCCCTAGAATCTATATACAAAACCAAGCTGTAGCCTGACTATCTTGGACATATGTTCTCAGGACTCCCTGGGGTCATCTTTCCTTGTATTTGGCTCAGAATAAATCTCTTCAAATAATTTTCAAGTTTGACTCTTTTTGTCAACAGTGTCTTTTATTTATGTATAGAACCCCAAAATATTATTTCCTTTGTACGTTATTGAGGGACCTTTCAGTGTCATGATTAAGTAGATGACAAAAATGACAAATTTATTTGCATCACATAGATAACAAAGTATGTGCAATACATTAAACAGTCATATTTTAAATTAAAATAAAATAAACCCAAACAACTCTTCAGCCTGGAAATTAATCTCAAAGAAGTTCTTAAAGAAAAATCCATTTTTATCTCCCGCAAATATCCTAAAACATCATTTCAGTGTCATTGCCACTTCTCTTTGAGGCTGTTTCAAAGTGAAAAAGTGTGATCCTACCAGGTGCGAGCTAAACCTCTTTACAGAGAGAAGGCTGACCTAATTTAGACTGTTGCACCCCTGACAAGTGTTGTACTGTGTGACTAAGTAGCAAGGAAACCTAGAGGGCTGAAACTGGAAGAAATCTTTGGAATATTTGCTTCTTCCCTGCAGCTAGTAAACTGAATTTTTAAACCATAAGAATTTTAGCACTCTCAATATTCTGGCTGACAACTGTAGGCTCATAGCTCAGTGCCAAGGGGAACCTGACTGGCTATCAGAGTAACAGTGCTCCCGGGAACATGATGTACCACTTTCGTTGTTGCTTTCAGTCATCTCTGCCCTCCTTCCTCCACCTCTTGCTAGTCTTTCACACACACCTCCTCTAACACCTCCATTTTCATTTAAATTTCTCCAGGGCAATGCAAATCAAAAACAATTTTTTTTTTCCCCTGAGCTTGACATAGAAAAAGATAGTTCACCTTATCTGGCTCCAAGCCTACCATGACTGACTAGTTTTAGAGTTCATGCCTCTGACTTTTTCAAACTTCATTTCATCTTAAAGAGCACACATTTCCTCATATGAAAGTGCATTTTAAGCACTAAACAAACACATGGCAATGTTAGTTTTTGAATCAGTTCGGTTTTAGATTTGACTCGGAAAGATATTTTTAAAAAGAAATATGAGAGAATGAAACCCTAGGACACCAATGTGGAATTAAGATGAGTTTCACCCATGAATACAAATCTTCCAGAATGCCCTAACACAAGTGGGATCGCAGTCACTTCACCAAAGAGAGGCATAGCAAAGCCTCAGGCAGTTACTGAACTCAGCTGCAGGTTCCAGGTTCTCTATATGTTAGGTAGTTGGAATGTATCGTCTTATGATGTGGTTACATATGAAAAGTTTCATCGCTGCAAACAATTCAATATACAATTATGGAGAGAGAAACATCAGTGCAACAGGAAAAGTTAAAAACTCTCACTTAATTTATGTAGGATATAACATGATCTCTGGTATTGGTTTTAAAATACCACAGCAAACAAAACAGGGAGAAAGAGACGTAAAAAGACTGGCAGAATATCAATCACTGTTAAACTGCGTGTAAAGTATTTGTTATATGATTTTTTTTCTGTTATTGTATATGTTCAAAATTTTTTACAATAAAGGTTAAAAAACACCTCCCACCTTGGCAAGGGAACTATGAAAGATAAGAAGCCATATGATATAATGTGGGGCAAACTTAGCAGGTATTATCTGCCTAGCAAAGGATAGGGTTCTTGGGTCAAGTGCCTGGCTCTCTTGGGTTCTGAGGTCAGGGAATTCTCTCTTGCTTATTACCATCTGTGGCCACCTGAGAAGAGAAATCTAGAAGATGGCCCTTTGAGGGACTGTATTTTTAGTGGCCTACTTTCTATTGACATGTGTTCAGAGTCTAGACATTGCTTTAGGGATTTAGCAAACACAGCACTAGTAGCTGGGGTCTCTTGGGCAATACAACTCCATTAAAAATGAAGGTTTTTGATGTGTTTCAACTTTTGCACTCCTGAGTTAGTAAACAAAGTGAGAAATCTTGCCAGGCGGCTCATTGTTTCCTAGTGGAGAACACAGTCTAGGAAGAGCTCTTTGGTTTCTCTCTCAAACTCTGCCTCAGGAAGTTCCTAAGAATGGCTTAGAGTGAGCAAAACTCAACTATTTCTTGCTCCAGCAGAGTCAGATTTCCCCAGTTGTCCCCAAATGTCTGTTGTAGCTGTCCTCCCTTCTCTCACAAATCAGGATCCGACCAAGCTTCACTCACTGCATTTGGATGTTATGGCTTCCAATCTAAAACAGCTTTTTTTTTTTTTTTTTTTTTTTTGAGAACAATGGTTTTATTTTTGAAGAGACCAATCTAATTGTCATACACACAGTGCTACTTCAAATACTGGTTAGAAAAGTGTTACAGGTCCATGAACGGAGTTGTCTTCGTTGACTAAGAATTGCTATGAAAACTACATCACCTGAACCATACGCGTGTATAGCAATGTGACATAGATGATTTCAATTCTTAGGCCAGCTCCTGGTTTTGTGGTGGGTTTATAGCAGATAGATATGCAGCTCAGTAGCCATCTGAAACCCACGTGCTATGTGGCGCTGTGGTAGAATGCTCTCCATGTTGGATTTGGCTAATTGTACCTGGTGCCTTTTAGCTTTTTCTTTCTCTTGTATTTCCTATAAACTAGAAATTGGGAGAAGGCAGCACTTTCCAATAGAAGTATAATGTGAGCCCAAAATGAGAGCCATATTCGTGATTTTAAATTTTCAAGTTGCCACATTAAATATGTAGAAAGAAACTGAAAATTAATGTTAGTAGTAGGTTTAACTCAATGTATCTAAAATGTAGTCATTTTAACATTAAATATAGTAATTTTTAATGAGCTATGTTACTTTTTTACTTTTCATCCTAAGTCTTCAAAATCCAATGACTACTTTATGCTTATGCCATATCTCAATTGGAACTAGTCACATTTCAGTAGCTCAGTAGGCACATGTGTCTAGCACTACCATATTGGATGGTATGGGTCGAAGGTCTTGATTGCATTCAGAATAAACATTTTCAGAAACAATTATTCAGAGCTGGGTTTTTCACATCAGATGGTGCATACTCCACCATTTAAGTTATTAGAAATATCATTTTCTTATCAAAGACCCACTTGCTATCTAACCATCATTTTAAGTAAAATATAATTCCATGTGCCAACTAGAAGTACATGGGTAGGAAAATATTTTAATTGGTTATAACAGACCAGTTAGGAAAGAGCAGAACATAAAGAGGACTGTTTTAGGTGACACAGACTCCTTTACAGGCATCAGTAAGTTTGAGGAATTTTAAAATTTGATAACATGGGGTAAAGTTGATCAAACATTCATGCGCCAAGACGGTCTCATTAACATGTCTATTTTACATGTTTAATGTAAAATAATGAGCTGCTATGCAGCAGACAATAGTGTATACCCTAGCAATGCTAGCAAGGTATAAAGTTGCAGCAGGAACTGATGCTAATTCTTTGAGTTTTATATCATAAATACCTTAGCCATTTCCTCAGTGCCTGCATAAAGAAACCTTACAACCCAATAGGCTTAAAGATTATCTCAATAAAATTGACTGATGTGTCACACGTTGCCTTTAAGAAATACTACATTTGACTATGTCTTCTTTCAATGTATACATTCACCATTTAATGACATAAAAAGTGCTTTGGTAGAAATTTTGTTAGTAAATTGTGTATTGAGCATTTATCATGGGTTCAAGTCAGAGGTAACTTAGCTTTTTTGTAAAGTTGGTTCCCATTGAATTTGACAAGGGACTAAGTGGAATTGAACACTCCCCATTTCTTGAGCCCATTCTAAATAGGATTGGCTGACTGCCTCCATCGGGGCTGCCTTTCTTTGGGGTATCCCTGCCCCTGGGTAGGACATGCAGGAAACTGTCATCATGGTTTCTGACCTTTCCTCAGCAAAAGGAGGAAGGGAGGCTAAGAAGAGACAGCCCGAAGAGACGGAGGTTCTCAGTATACAACTAGGGCACCAGTCTCCCACCCCATTTCTCTTAGACCTCTAGAGTCAGGCCACTTTTGGGGGGCCCAAAAGAAGGCACTAATATTTTCTTTTTTAAATTCATACATTTATTGTGTATATAGAGAAAGACCTACTCCTTCAAAGAGCTCAGCATTCAAAATGTGTTAAGCTGTGGAGCTGGTCAAGCTCTCTGAGCACTGAGGGCTGCCGAGGATTTTACTAAAAGCCTGAGAAATAAAAGGTGAGGAACTGTCTCTGTTGTGATCTCTACCTATAAAGTGGGAATTGAAACAGCCTGGTTGTTAAAACCTTTCAAATTCTTTAGCTATAGTCACATACCAAATCATAAAATATTATTTTGCCCCCTTTTTAGTGTGTTGAGAGTAGCTTCAGTTCAATGCCATAAATTACTACTAAAGGGATGAAGAAACGAAATCTGCTTTTATTCAATGAGTGTGTGATTCCAGTTTACAGCCTCTGCCATATCGCGCCATCGCTGAAGATCATTTCTCATTTTCCCAGCATACAGTGTCTATTACTAAGGCAAACGAAAATCAGTTGGAACCCCCCACAAAAATAGAAGTTGGTTTCTAATTATCGTATGTTGTCAATGAGCTTATCAATGTGTGAACATTGCCCTTAGTAAACTGGCACACTACATGTACATATTGTACATAAAATATATAATCTTCTGTAAGCTAGCATAAGCTTTTCTTCCATGGGCTAACATGCATAAGCTGGCTTTGTTACAGAACAGAGGGAACAGAGTTGCTGTGGAAAGAACAAAGCTCTTAGCCCTTCTTTATGTTCAAGGTAGTGGCATGTGGCTGATGAAGAGGCAGTGCAGTGCAGTGGAGAGAATAATGGCTTTGATTCAAAAGGCCCAGCTAATTTTCTCAACTCAGCCTGTGTAATCTGGATGAGATCAGGCAAACATAAACCTCTATGAGTGATGGTTTCATACTCAGTAAAATGGAGACGAGGATACCTTTCTTACAGAGATGTGAAGAGGTTTGAATGAAATACCACTTCATCTCCCATGATTCAATATCCTTCCATGGCACCTACTCCACAATACCTAGCTTGAGATTAATCCAACAGCTGATTTCTCAATGCCTATACCCAGCTGATGAGTCCTGCTGGAGAAGACTTCATAGCGTGAAATCTCCAAACTGAAGGAAAAGCTTATTTTAAATAGGAGGGAGTACTCATGAGTACATAGACGTTAAGGTCTGGACGTCACCCCTGGGTTTTAAAACAAGATAATTATAGATAATCTTGGGGGGCCTCTATCAGTTGATACTCTCCAACCTAAGCTGGGTGCCCTGGATACCTGGCCTTCCTTCTGTTTTCCTAGTCAGGCTTGCCTCCTCTCTCTCTCCATGCTATTTTTAAAAAATTAATTTCTCAAACCCTATATGCTATGACCTAATTCCAACTCTCAGCAAATGACTTTGCCTCTTCCTGTTCTTGGAAAACAGAGAGAGACGAAGACAACAATATAATGGGAAGTCTCTGGACTTTATCTGCCCTACACTTAATCTTACAGCATTTCCGTTCATTTTTCCTCTTCTGTCTTCTCACTATGGGAGAATGGACAGATTCAAGGCTAGTCTTCTTTAAGTTCTGGATCCCATCCACATCACCTCCTGAGGACCTAGTCTGTTAATCATTCACTCTCTTCATCTTATGCTCATTTCTCCCTTTAATAGTGACACCTAATTATGTTCAGCATCTTCATTGTAACAAAAGAAACCTTCCTTAAAGCTGACTTCTTTCATTGCTAGGAGCCAATGGTCTTCACTTCCCTTTCCCATCAAACTTCTCTGAAAACCTCATTTTCTGCCTCACTTTTATTCACTCATCAACCCACTGAAGTTTGACTTTTATTCTCCATCTTCATAAAAGCTATTTTTCCCAAGACCATCTACAATTATCTTCTTTTAAAACCCAGGGATCATGTCCAGGTCTTTACACTAATTTCTATGTACTCATGAGTACTCCCTCCTATTTAAAATAACCATTTTCCTTCAGTTTAAAGATTTCACACCCTCCTTGAATTTCCTCTTACTTCTCTGCCTTCACATTCTCAGCATCCTCTGCCAGTACATTCCTATGATGTGGTATTCCTCAGGTTTCCATCCTCGGATTTCACCCCTTGTCACGTCTACATTATCTTCCTGGGTGATTGCACCCACTTTCATGTTTTCAGCTAGGAATAATGAAGCTAGTAGCTGTGACTCCAGGCCAGTCTGGTTACTAAGACTCTACAGACAACAGTACTGTTCGTGTAATAATTCAGAGGGACCCCATGAATGGGGGAAATTTCTCTCTCTGGTGATTTTGTGTCTGGAATTGGTTCCTTCCAGTGGGTTCTTGGTCTCACTGACTTCAAGAATAAAGCCACAGGTGCCCGATATTTAGCCCCCAAATTCTAAGGAAAAATAGGACACAATAGCAAGCAAAAGGGGTATGACGGTACTCACCGCTCGGCGATAGTCGATGGTCCCTTCATGGTCGCCAAAACGTGTCCAGAATTGGTTCCTTCTGAGTGGGTTCGTGGTCTCACTGGCTTCAGGAGTGAAGCTGCAGACCTTCGCAGTGAGTGTTACAGCTCATAAAAGTGGCACAGACCCAAAGACTGAGCAGCAGCAAGATTTATCACGAAGAGCAAAAGAAAAAACCCTCCACAGTGTGGAAGAGGACCAGAGGGTTGACCCTGCTGGCTCAGGTGGCCTGCTTTTATTCCCTTATTTGGCCCCACCCACATCCTGCTGATTGGTCCATTTTACAGAGGGCTGATTGGTCCATTTTACAGAGCGCTGATTGGTCCGTTTTGACAGAGTGCTGATTGGTGTGTTTACAAACCTTTAGCTAGACACAGAGCACTGATTGGTGCATTTACAATCCCTTAGCTAGATAGAAAAGTTCTCCAAGTCCCCATCTGACCCAAAAGCCCAGCCAGCTTCACCTCTCAATTGCAAGGAATTGAAAGAGAAGGGGATAGAAAATGTTAAGTCAGAGATCACACAAACTCAAATCCTACAAACTATCAGAATCGCTGTGGCTCCTTCTATAACTTAATATTCATAAAACTAAAGAATTCTACAAAATATATGCTGTTAGTTGGCTTACATATTCAGGTGACCTTGATTTATATGAGATGTGTTTTCTCTATATTGAAGGTCAAATGCTAATTTTTACCTAAAACGTGTATCCTTTGCTTGTGAGAAGAATGTGAAATTCTTTGTTTGATTAACACTACATAATATATTTTCAAGTTGTCAGGACTGTAAATATTCAAATGAGAGAAGTCATTGTACTTCAGTAGCATGTACACCCTTAGTTCTGGCTAATGAGCACAAATATAAAAGCCTAATTATCACTGCTGTTTGACACTCCATGGAGTGTTGACAGCAAGTAAGATGCCTTACAGGGTGTAGAAAAAATGCAAATCTCTGACCTGAATGAAGATTGATAGTCCCTAAAAAAATATAGTTTTAATTGGTCACCAAATATGTTATTACATTTACAAAAATTAATTTTGAAAACAATTCTTGTCACGATGCCGTATTACTCTTAAGCGTTAACACAAATGAAAACAAAGGCAATATTTGTCAAATATATTTTAATCACCTATTCTGTAGATAGAAATACATGAACAATTTTCTATGTTGGGGAGTACAGTCTTCTGAACTGTTGCTGAAGCTAGGCTTGATGGTAGCTCTATAAGATGCACTTCTGTGTATGGTGGTCTTCTGCTATGTTCTGGCGTTGCAAGGCTAACTGTGGCCTGGTCTGTGCCTCACCACTTCTATTATAAGGCCTAAAAGTGATCCATCTACGTCAACTGAACCATGGAAAAGGTTAGAGGAAGCTCCATGAGCAGTGTGATCAGTGTGATCATTTGCCGGAGAAAAATGGTCCTAGTGAAGCAGGTGATTTAAGATGATGAAAAGCTCTTCACCAGGCAGACAGCAAAAGAAGTGGATGGGAAGTAGATCATGCAGAACATCATTAACAAAGTCATCTAATAACTTATTGTCTAAGTCAGGGCACTTTTCATAGTCAAAGGGTGTTATTTAATAATTATGCTGG
This sequence comes from Homo sapiens, assembly GCF_000001405.40. Lineage (NCBI taxonomy): Eukaryota > Metazoa > Chordata > Mammalia > Primates > Hominidae > Homo > Homo sapiens. Next base: position 4,814,599 of record NC_000018.10, on the reverse strand, counting down.
AAAAACAGGCCAAAATTGGGTAAATAAAAACAAATTATCACTCTGTAACTTAGTACTCCCATTTTTCATAGAGAAAGAGAATGAGTTTTTTGTTTTTTGTTTGTTTGTTTGTTGTGAGGCAGAGTTTCACTCTTGTCGCCCAGGCTGGAGTGCACTAACGTGATCTCAACTCACTGCAACCTCCGCCTCCTGGGTTCAAGCGATTCTCCTGCCTCAGCCTCCACAGTAGCTGGGATTACAGGCGCTCGCCACCATGCCCAGCTAATTTTTTGTATTTTTAGTAGAGACAGGGTTTCACCATGTTAATCAGGCTGGTTTTGAACTCCTGGCCTCAAGCAATCCACCCATCTTGGCCTCCCAAAGTGCTAGGATTACAGGTGTGAACCACTGGGCCCGGCCGAGTTATTTTTTAAATTACTTTTTTTTTCTATTCCTTTTTCTTCTTTTCTCCTGTTCCCCACTTCCTACTTTGCTGTTTAGAAATGCAATTATAAACTTTACCTTCCCTTTACCAGACACTCCCTACATAGCAAGCTTATCTATGTGCTCACTTAACTCTCTCCCACCAGAAGATTGCCTCAAGAGACAACAGTCAATTTACAATCTAAAGTATGTGCATGATGAAAGTCTTTCCCACCTGGAGAGTATCTTGAGCCAACAGCCAATTTACAACCTATTATTGCCCACAATAGCACCGCTTGCTAGACCACCTGGTGGATAAGGCACTGAAGTGAGTCCTGTAGACCCCTACCTGCTCGCTGTCTCTCCTGCATACTGTTCATGCTAAGTTCCCATTTAAAGCCCCTGATTTCTTCCCTGAAAGCTAAACAGTACCTTTAAAGGCAGGAGCCTGTACTTCTTCCCCTAAGCTAAGCTTTGAAACAGAGTCACTTTCTTTATACCAGAACTTACTCTTGTTGATTGGACTCTGCTAGTGGCAAGCAACTGAACCTGTATTTCCGTTACAACCCTACTTTTATGCCATGCTTGTGTGATGAAAAGAGGCTAAATGGGCTTAAGGTTGGACAGTGAAATGAATAAATTTGAGTTCTTAAAGGTCATTTTTGGTGGTACTGCAGTAGATAGCTAGGAAGAAAAAGAGTGTGGTCGCAGAAAATTCACTTGGTTGCAAAAAACCATCTTCTAGATGACAGTGCTAAGAGCCTCTTCTAAGGCAGAGACCATGAGCAAACAGAAGAGGCAATAAATTTGAAAAATATCTAGAAGTTAGAATCAGTAGGGATGGTGACTAAATTGGAATATTAAGAGAAGAGAATATTCTGGGACCACTACAGAAGTTCCAGGTTGGGTGACTGTGTTGATGATGGTACAACCAATTATAATAAAGATCTTAGAAGATCGGTAGGTTGTGGTAGAGGGAGATCATAAGATTTGTCTTGGTAGACTTAGCTTGATATGTTTGTGGGACATTGTTTTGTAAAAATGTCTAGTAGTGGATTGGAAAGAGGAACGGATGTTTAGAAGAAAAGTCAAAGCTACAGATGAATATATGAAACTATTGTGATTACCAAACCACACGTCTTCAGTGGAATGTTCCTTAGTGCAAGTACTTGCTTGAATTTCTGGAAGACACTCTGTTTTTTCAGGATTAATTCTTTTAATGTGAATGTGTCTACTAGAAATACAACTGTAACAATACTTTCTATTGCATTCATGTTTTATAGCAAACGCGTTTTTCCCCTGTCTAACTGGAGAATATTTGTTTTTATAGTTTTACTTCAATACATTTTGCACAGGTTGTTTCCAAAACAATCACACATAAAACTAGAAGGATCGTAGTATCCACTGACATACATTGAATGGTGCTAAAATAGCAGCATTAGGCCCAAAGTTGTGACCCACATCACACATTCCCTTCTATTGTTGCATCTATCATTGTCACTGAGGCACATTTAGGCATGTTGCATTGAAACAATCCAACTAGGAAACACTATCATAAGCTCAAACACACAGACCCTCATTTGTTTACTATTCAGTTATTAAGGCCCTATTACATTCTCAGTGCTTTAAAAGATAGGATTCAGTAAGCAAAAGGTGCTCTTTCACTACTACGTATAATGCAGTTGCAACATTGATTTTGGTTGAGAAGATGTAAGGTTGTCCTATATGACTCTTAATTTCTACCTCTGACCTTGCTATGAATACCTGGTCACAGCCTTTTTAAGTTGGAGTAGTATAAAACTTAATTAGTGGACAAAATTTTCAAACAGCAAATATTAATTTATAACAAGTTTGATAATGTCACCCTCCCACTTAAGACTTTTTCAGTGGCCCCCAATCCCTCTAGGATAAAATCTAAACTCTTTGGCATGTCATATTATGCCAATCATGATAATTCCTGGGCCTGTCTCTCTAACTTCTTTGAATTCTACCTACTCCTGCACATTCCTCTGTCCAGTCATATGGGCTTCTTCTTCACTTGCGTTGCTCACAATGGTCCCTTTTCTTCTCATTCTGGGTTATGCTTTGTTCCCTTAATAGCTCTTCTCCTTCTTGTCCTAGATAACTCTTACATGACCTTCGAGATGGTGTTATTGAAACATCTCTGAGAAACATTTTTTATTTCCAAGGCTGAGTTCAGGCTTAGGCTGAGTTCAGGCTTGGACTGAACTCCTACTTGCTTTTATAACAATCTGTATTTATTTTTATTCCAGTTCCTACCATGCTTTTACTATCTGGGTTTAATTTATCCCTTGCAGTAGATAGTTTCTTGAAGCCAATAACCATGTTTTAATCTTAATATCCCTAGCACTTTGCTTAATACCTATATTATGTAACTTTGAAATGATTCCAAACACCTACATAATTTGCAACATGAGTGATGTATATTTTGCTGTAATAGAACTTGGAGTGCATTCCTCCTCTTCTGAAGAATGGGACATCTTATCAGACTCTACATGTGTGAACATGGAGTATACTTCCCCTGCCCTTAGGAATGTAATACCACACCTTAATCAGACCCCATATGTGAGCTACTGACCTCAACTACTGGATTTCAAATACAATAAACTCAGGAGTTTGGCAGACACTGTAAGAGCTGAGGCCATGGCAGGCTGCACTTTCAGCTGCCTTGCCAATACTCACAGCTTAGGCAGCCACAGCACCACAGCCTGTTAGCCTTTGAAGTTATCTCCAAAGCCTGGCCTGGCAGCACCAACACCACCCTTCAGCTTTAGGCTCATCATGGATATCTGCTGTGTTTGATCTCTGCTGTGTTGGATGCCAGCTTTCCTGAGAAACTTTTCATATAAAGGTACACCTTAACCTTTAACTGGACTTTACTTTCCACAGAGGTCTGCTTCCATCCTAATTGATTAGCTAGAGTTTAACAGTTTTGGAACTCACTCACTATGTGGAGATGTACCTTGTCTATCAAAATCAAATGTATTCCCTGTGAGTTTGTTCTCATTGTTCTCCCCCTCTTCAAGCATTGTGAACCTAACAAAATATTCTCTTTGTATTAAAATAAACCATCTGTTTCATGAAATCACACTTTGATCATCTCCTTCTTTTAATCACACAAAAGCAACCTGGCACCTGGGAGCTGTTCAATACGTGTTTGCTGAATGAAGCAATGAGTGAGTGAGCAAAAGAATGAACACACTCCCCTGTGACATCTTGCCCTCCAGGACTTTAGTATTTTTTGTCTCCTTCCCTCCCGGTCCCTTTTAGTTTACCCTTCACTAAGTCAAGTTGAGGAAAACGTCTCCCCGCACCCATGTATGGTGCAGTTGTCCTTACAGGGCAATGTTCAGGAGATTCATGTGTGCTTTGGCATTAGCCTGCTCCCAGCTTGCCTTTTTTTAGGTCCTTCTTAGAAGAATGCTCTTTACTGCATGACCTCATTCCTAGGTAAGTAGAACAATGGGAGATGCAGTTCCTGTGTGAGTTCTTGCATTGATTCAGAGGTGAGAGTGGAGTGCTAGTGAGCTTTCACCACCCAGGCACCTGTCCCAAGTCTTAATAACTACAGATAACCTTGTTGCTTGCCCAGCTTCCCAACAGCTACATCTCCCATGAGGTGATGGAGACAATTAAGAAATGGCTACTTTGGGAATAATTTTGATCCAAAGAAGGATTTATCTGCAAATGAGAAGGATATGATGTGAGCCTGAGGAAACACGGCCATGTTATCTTAAAGCAATGGGCCTCCATCTTTAGGAGGTGAAAGGAGTTTTCTAGGGGGCTCTATAAAATTTTGAATCCTGCTGGGCACAGTGGGTCATGCCTATAATCCCAGCACTTTGGGAGGCCAAGGCAGGAGGAATCACTTGAGGCCAGGAGTTCAACACCTGAGCAACTCCCAAGCAACATAGCAAAACCCTGTCTCTACAAAAAATAAAAAAAATTAGCTGCAAATGGTGGCATGTGCCTGTGATCCCAGCTACTCAGGAGGCTGAGGTGGAAGGATTTCTTGTGCCCAGGAAGTCCAAGCTGCAGTGAGTTGTGATTGTGACACTGTACTCCAGCCTGGGTGACAGAGTGAGACCCTGTCTCAAAAAAAAAAAAAAAAAAAAAGAAAAAGAAAAATATGTTGAACTCTATAAAGTGATAGGGGGCATTCTAATGCTCTATATTTTGGTGCGATCTCACAACAAACCCAGGTGGTAGGTTTTCTAAGTATCAAAGAAATGATTTCATGAGTCTATGCCACAAAACTCCAGAGGGAAGAAAGGGCCGGAGAGAGTCAAGGGCTTTGAAAGATTAAATTCTACCTAGGTCACTGTTTTTAACCTCAGCAAGTAAGAAAGGGACATGAAATCCAAAGAACCCACACAACATGGTAAGTCAGGCAATGTCCCAGTGGAACACCTTTTAAAATCATACATATATGGGAATAAATAAACAAAATAACCACAGACAAATAAAACTTTAAAAAATTATGTCAGGAAGAATCTGGAGCAAAAATAACTGACACTTGCAAAGGAATGCAAAGAAGAACAGCAAAGGGCAATCTGATGTATGTTCAATGCAGTAATTTTCTATTACTACATAAAAACTCACTTCAAACACCCATTTATTATCTTACAGTTTCCATGGCTTAGCTAGGTCTTCTGCTTATGACCTCACAAAGCTTCAATCAAGGCATTGCAATCTCATCTGAGGCTGGAGTCCGCTTTCAAGCTCATGTGGTTGCTAGAGCTCATTTCCTTGCAGCTGCAGAATTCATGGTGGGTTGTTTTTTTCAGGGCCACTGGGAGAGAGAGAGTCTTTGCTGCTTTGAGTCTCTGAGCTCAGGGAAAGCCTAAATTCTCTTTGAAAGAGCTCTGTGGATGAGGTCAGGCCTTTCCAGGGCAAGCTTCTTCTTCATTAACTCAAAATCAACTAATTGGTGATTAATTTCATCATCTGAAAACTCCCTTCTGTTTTACCATATAAAGAAACACAATCATGCGAGTGACATTCCGTCACTTTCGCCATATTCTATTGGTTAGTAGCAGGTAACAGGTTCTGCCCACTCTCCAGGAGATGGGATTACCATGGATGTGACTCACTGGGGGTCACTGCAGGATGTGTTTGCCACATTTGGAGAGAGGAGATGTGGCTCCACTCACTAGAACAATTATCAGGCAGACAGGATGCAGCAGGTACAGTGTTAGGCATGGGGATTCTGAGGTGAGTAGATCACTTTCCCTGCCTTCCTTGAGATAGTCTTTAGTTTACTGCAAAATATAGGACAGAGATTTGGGGCCAATGAAGAGAAAACAATTCTGTCTCTTATTTTGTTTCTAACTTCTTATGAAATCATGGTGAGGATCTTCAAACTGAAAAGAACAGACCTACAGCGGGGAATGAAGAGCAAGGTGGATAAAGGAATACTCTAGAAGCACTTAACTATCCTGAATGCATCAAAGACAATTTGCCTAATAAATATCATTGAAGGTAGGGAGAAAACTTATAAGTAAGGATGCTGAAGTGTTGTCACTGATCTTTGAGCAATCAAGAAAAGAAGTGCTGGAAGACTGAGCTAAGAAAATATTCTAATGAAAATGTATGCAGCAAATATTGTTTGGAAGAACTCTGTGTGTAGACATCAGGTTCAAGCTCTACAATTCTGTTTGGTGACCTGGGCAATTTGTGGAACTCATTTTTCTCCTATGCCAGCTTCGAAGATCTGGACATGATGCTTAAGGGTTGACCCCATTGTCCCTCAGACACTGAAGGGATGCACATTCTTCCAAAAAGGATGTGGAAAAGTATGGTTATACTTCTCTTTACTGAAAGCATAGAGCACAATAGGAAATAAGATTACATTCCAGAAAACTGGAACAATCTCATTGAAGCTGATTATATGAACTAATGCACCTACTTCTTTTCTCCCAGTTTTGATGCTAGGAATAAAGGGTGAGGGAGGGGAGGAGAGAGAAAGAGAGAAAGGCATTAAAAGCTAAGGAGCTGATATTTATAACCAGTTTTGGAAGCAGATCTTAAGCCTTGCTGTCTTCATAATAGACAGGCATTTTCAGACCCTGAATTGCAAGGTTAGCATTTTCCCAAGAATAACCTAACAGAGCTCTCAAGATAATTCCTCAAAGGCCAAGGACCTAAAATATCTGTCGCGTGTTCTTCTATCTCTTTCCAGAGCAATCAGGGATCATTCTTCAGCGTCCTGAAGAGTGTTTTCTTTGTCGCTGCTTCGCAGGCAACACAAGTGCCACGCAGCTGTGCTCGTACTAGGCCTCTGCGCGGAGCCACCTGACTTCCTGCTGGGCACTGAGCCCCCGCACACCGCTACTCCACAATCCAGAGAATTTGCTTCAATTGGTGGAATTTGCTGCAATATGTCCCTTGAGTGTCCTTGTCCGAAATGATTTTTCTCTTCCTCTAGCCTCTCTGAGTCAGCTGTGTTTGGACTTGAAACGGAAGCTATGCACAGCAGCCTCAGACGTGTGACTGTGCCCGGAAGCAGCGCACGCTTCATTGGGTTGCCGAAGGGAAAGCTGCTTTCAGTCCAGGAGTTAACCTTTGGGAATTCAGAATATCTGGGCTTTATCCAAGCCATGTATCCCTTTTCCCGTCTAAAACCACCCACAACTTAATATAAAATAGAATAAAATAAAATAAAATGAAACCCCTGATGAGCCTCCTTCCCTATCATGGCAGAAGAGAAATAGCATAAAGTCTGAATTTCTTATCAAAGCAAGCAAGATCCTGTGATTTGAATGCTGCTCAACCTCAACTTCTATTACCTGCTTAAACAGAGCTGGAGCAAGTTCAAAATCACGTGTAAATTATCAAATACATTCTGTTCTCCTAGGTCTGTGTAAAAGTTCCCAGTTTTCTCAGGCATGAAAGTTTCTCCCTGCTTGCCTCTGCTGGGCTTCTGTTCATGTCTCAAACCTGACTTCAACATTGACCTCCGATGTGGATCCTTCTCTTACCCTTTCAACTTCCCCAGAGCACAAGCACTTTCTCTTCTTTGCCCTTGCACTTGTTATTTGGAATGTAATGATCTGCTTTCCTGTTTTTCCCCCATACAACAAAGCTTTTAAAAAAATTGTGGAAAAATGGAATTAAAAGATAAAATTTAAAAATATAAACTTTATTTCTCACCATAAGCTCCATCAAGTTCAAGACATTTTTGTGAGTGATGATCCAGCCATTTAGCCCATTCCTAAAGAACTGAGTGTCTTGGGAATTTAACTATGTCAATGTAATCTTTTTTTACATTATTAACTGAAGAAAAAGGGATGCCCTTTACAGATTTTGTTTTTAAGATTAGGAAACAAAAAGAAATAAGAAGAAGCCAAGTCAGGACTATAAGGTAGATGCCTAATGATTTCCCATGAAACTCTTGCAAAATTGCCCTTGTTTGATGAGAAGAATGAACAGGAACATTGTCATGATGGAGAAGGGCTCTCTGCTGAAGCTTTTCCTGGGTGTTTTTTGGCTAAACCTCTAGCTAACTTTCTCAAAACAGTCTCATAATAAGCAGATGTTATCATTCTTTGGCTCTCCAGAAAGTCAAGACAGAAAATGCCTTGAGCATCCAAGAAAAAGTCTGCGACAGTGACCTTTGCTCTTGACTGGTTTGCTTTTGCTTTGACTGGACCACTGCCACCTCTTGGTAGCCATTGCTTTGATTGTGCTTTGTCTTCAGGATTCTGCTAGTAAAGCTGCATTCCATCTCCTGTTATAATTCCTCAAAGAAATATTTCAAAGAAATGCTTGACCCCACTTGTTTTAAAATTTCCATTGAAAGCTCTATTCTTGTCTGAAACTAATCTGGCTGCCACAGTTTTAGCATCCATCACATGGAAAGTTTGCTCAACTTTAATTTTTCAGTCAGAATTGTGTAAGCTGAACCAACTGAAATGCCTGTGGTGTTGACTATTTTCTGCTGTTGATTGTTTATCCTCTTTAATGAAGGCATGAACAAGATTAATTTTTTCCTTGCAAACTGATGTGGATGGTCTGCTGCCACAGTCTTCATCTTCAACATCCACTTGTCCTTTCTTAAAATAAGTTATCCATTTGTAAACTGTTGATTTCTTTGGAACATTGTCCCTGTACACTTTTCATAAGGCACCAATGACTTCATCATTCTTCCACCTAAGCTTCACCACAAATTTGATGTTTGTTCTTGCTTCAATTGTAGCAGAATTTATGTTGCTCTGATAGAGGCATTTCTGAAACTCCTGTCTCATCCTTCTTAGTGCCTCAAACTCGACTCTGTTCAGACATGTTATAACAAGATAGTTCAAGATCATTTTGGTACAAAAAATGAAAATCTAAGTAGTTTTTTCATAATACACATTTTCCGTAATACATTTGAAGACCTCTCATATTTAAGCACAATGAGAAGTGGCACCATATATTTATACCCAAATCCATAAGTACTTTTACTTACCAATAAATATTTGTTAAATGAATGATATTTACCTCAAATAAAAAACATACGAGGGAGGCCCGAGGAGGTGGCAATTTTCCAGTCTTCACACAAAATATTTCTCTTTGAACTCTATAGACTGATGACTATTATCTTGAGAAAAGCAAACCTTAAAAAACTTACTGTTACTTTACCAGTGTTAACCACAAGATCTTGGTATGTTACTAAGGCATGAGACAGCTCTTACAGTTTTAGAGGCATATACTGACAGATCTTATACTTTTAGAGGCAATTCCTGAGAATAATTCAGAATTAAGAATATGTACTCTAGGTATGACTATGAAAGTCATTGAGAAGCAGTTTATAATTGAAACAGTGGAAAACATGGAGCCAAATAAGGTTTTGTAAAAATGAACTGAGACATTAAAAGTTGTGTTTGTGGCAGATTTACCAGGGAGTGACTTTCGAAAGTGATCTATTCCTTTTTTCCTGCGAATGTGGAAATTCCTTTCACTTCATCACTGATGTAGGACTGTTTAGCTTCTACTTAAACAATTATAGTAACCAGGAGCTTAGGATTTTATAAGAAATAGCTATACTCTTTTTTCATATTTGCTTGACCACTTTCTACCTACAACTTCTGCCCATTGGCTGTAATTTTGAGTCTTGGAAACTACAAAGATGAATCAGCTTTACATATTGGGTGAGGGCAGTGATTGGCTTTATTTCAAAGTCTTCTTTGTTTCTGGCAAAATATCCTGGTTAACTTGTGTAGACTCTCACTAACAGACTCTTACTAATTTGTCAAACCCTTCTTTAAAATATGTATATCTTACCTGGAATAGTCTAAACTTCACAGAATAAAATACAACTCTTGTTACTTTTACTCTAAAATTCTATTATTTATTAAAACTTGATATGAAATTTACCTTTATGTTTTGGTTGCATTTATTATTCCATGTTTTCATTATGGCCCATGAAAAAATCCAGAATTATAATTTAAACTGCTGCTCAATTAGGACTCACTAGATCTTCATTTATGCATTTAAAATTTAGAGTAATACCTTTATATCCTTTAATATGTTTTGTTAGTTTCACCATAGCTATTCTATCAATCAAAGTGATCTTGAAACTTGATTCTTTCAACCTTCTTATTAACTTTGCATGATAGCTTTGTTTGGTACATGAATTTGATAAAATTATCTTCTAATCATATGTCATCATCCAGTTCCCTTTACCAATCATTTTCAAGCAGTCAATATGAGCTAAACATTGAAGGGATGAAAATTAAGTAAGTGGGGTAGGCAAATGATTTCTGCCCAGGAGTATAAAATGGCCCTGTGGAACAGTCATTTTGTAAGTAAACACAACCCAAGGTGCTACATGCATACCTTAGTGGAACATGAACAAGATCTGGGGGAGTGTGGAAAAGACAGAGTTTCTTTCCCTCATAGGATCAGAAAAAAATATTGTGGAGAAGGTGGCATTTGAAGTTAAAGGTCATGAATGTTGAATAGAATTTCACCAACATGGGACCACTATGTAAATGATATTATAGACCAGGGGAATATCATATAGCAAGGAGGCAGGGATGGATAAATTCAGGACATTTTGGGGCATGAAGTGGCACCAGGAAGCTAAAGGCCCATAGATAGAATACAGCACAAGATAAGAAGGATTATGTACTAGAGCCAGATTGTTGGGGCATGAAAGCATGCAAAGTGAACTTAGGGTTATTCTAGACCCTTGGAAGCCACTAAAAGCTTTAGAGCAGGAAAGTGATATGATTGGATTTGGTTTTAGAAAGAACTATTGGCTCTGTGTGGTATGTACTGAAGAAGCTAGAAAACCAAGAGGGGAGTTCAGGGGCTCAGCAATAAGAATAGTAACTATTGCTGAATAATAGCTATTCAGCAATAATAATAGTAACTAGAAGTAATACTGAAATGACATTTATAATTTATATGTTGCTTTTACATGTGATCACATGATTTAATGTCAAAGTTCATATGAACTAGCACTGTGCTAATAGGCATGAAAAAAGGATGGACTTGATGCCATGGAGGGGGGTAGAATAGACAGAGCTTGGCAACTAATTGTATGTGGAATACTAAGAATAAAGCAAGCTGCAGGTTACTCTGGGGTTTCTAAACAAGTAGCCTGGAAGGAGCAGGCACACTCAAATGGAATATGTGAGAAGAGTATGATGGAGGATATTTACAAAGATGAGGGCAGAGATAAGGGGAACGTACAGAAGAGAATGCTGTTTGCCAGAGACATTACCATAACTAGGCCTGAAGGGGCAAGGCAAGGGAGTGTTTACCTGAGTAGTTGCCTGAGTGATTACCAGCCCCTCAACACCAACAGGAGCTGTGTACTTTAGTGGAAGAATGTAGCCAGCTCCAGTTTACCCTGAAGGCAGAGAGGTAAGGAAGTGAACACCTCAACCCCACTCTTGCCCTGCTGCTGCAGCTTATTGGCTGATATCAACCAGAAGCCAGGGGGCAAGGAGGTTGGCCAGCCATGCCCCCCATCCTGTATCTGTATAAATCCCAAGCCCCAGACTCCACCAGCACATGAGTACACGAGCAGATGAGGAGACGAGCAGAAGAGCAGAAGAATGGCAGAATGGTGTGACAGAGAGAAGAGAAGGAGCATCTGAATACCAAGAGGAGTTCAGCTGGGAGCATTCAGAGAGGAGATCGGCCACTGGATGGCCAAGCTCAGGGAGAAGATCATCTTCCCACTCCATCCCCTTTCCAGCTCCCTGTCCGTCCCACTGAGAACCACCTCCACCACTCAATAAAACACCCACATTTGTCCTTCAAGACCATGGGAGACCTGATTTTTCCTGGACACTGGACAAGAGCTCAGGATACAGAAAGCTGTCACACTGCCCCTCTGCCCTTATGACAAGACAGAGGGTCCACTGAGCAGTTTAACACTTAAGCTGTCTGTGAATGGCAAGGTTAAAAGAGTGCACTGTGACCCACCCCCACTTGGGCCTCTAGAGTTGCAAGCACCCATCCCTTGACACTGCCATGGGGCCGGAGCCCAGGAGCACTCACCCTGGCTCCTGTACATGACCATCTGTGTGCTCTCCCCTCCCATAAGGGATTTGAGCATGCAGCACAGTGGCCAAACAGATGAGCCACGCCCCTGTTGCACATCCTGTGAGGGGTATCAGGGAACTCTCCTGTTTCACTGCCACCATTCATTATGTCAGAATTGTTGGTAAGAATTTATTGACTAAGACAAGGCTTGTGAAACAACTAGACATGCCTTCCAGCTTGTGTCATTGTTTCCCATCCATTGCTAATTTTGTGGACGCATCAACATTGCATATGTAGTTGTGTCACAAGCTGAGAGTCCCCCTAAGTGCATATTTTCTTCTCTCCAAAAGCACTTTGTCACAGAATTTGTGGAATCAACATAATGACATGTCCATTGTCCATGATGATTCCAAAACCAAGTAAATTTGTGAAGACAAAGCAAAATATTTAATCTGATCAAATGTCATCTCTTAGTGAATGCTTTTGCATTCTGACTGAAATCTAGATCTTTTTACATGAGCACAAGCTCCCTGTTTCACGTTAGTCGTTTTATTGATGGCCAATATCAAACCTGTCAGTTTACAGTTTTTTGTGTCTTTTCATTTATTAGAGACAGAAAGACAAAGTGACAGACAGACACACATGCACACCCACATCACAGAAAAGAGAGATAAGGGAGCCTATAAAAATTAATATTCAAATAATGTAAATTGTCCAAGAACATATGTCTTTCAGGATATTGATCTATTCATTATTCCAGCCTAGTTGGAAACCACTAAATTTAATTAATGTAGCACACAACTTTAAATCCTATGAGAATTACCCACTGTCTCATGCTCCTTTTGATTCACATACCTGAGAATTTCTACTCCACCATCACCACTTCCTTTAAAGCCATCACACAAAAGTATTGTTGTAAGTAGTGTAGCTGCCTTGATTTGCCTATGGCCCTATTAGTTTCCATATCTATATTACAGGATTTTTGTAAAAAGAAATGATGTCCTGGTCACTTCAGTTGGTGTTTAGTAATGATTGTTGAATGGTTAAATGAATGAATGAATGAACAGATGAAAGAATGGTGGAGGAAATGGTAAAAAATGGCTTCAGCTTTGTTTCTTTGTGTATCCTTGGAACTAATTTCCCTCTTCCATTTATAATAATGCTCTATACTTTCATCTGTCATTTACATCTTTTCATAGCTACTCTGTGGTAAATGAGATTTTGTTAGTGGCCATAAAACAGTTGAAATCTGCAATTTCATTAGGCATTCAATTTCTACCATAAAACTTAATGACTAAGCAGATGAACATGGAGATGATTTTGTAAGGATAAAGCGCACAGACATACACATCATAATTGCAAGGCTACTGTACGGCTTAAGCAATTCAGACAAGCCAGCTGCTCTGAAAAGAAACAAGTATGCCTTCCTGACAGCATTTATCAGCTAAATTGTGCTCACAGCTCTCTTTCAATGCACACTTGATTTTGATTGGGATATTCTGAGTATATCATGTGGTAAAATCACATGGCCCCATAGCATTCTATCTTTTCAAAAAGCACTATGCTTGTTGATTAGTCCAATTATATATCTCCCTTTTCAATCCCCAAATTTATCTCCATTTCACAGATGGAGAAACTAAGGCAAAGTCAATTTAAGTAATATGACAAGTTGTTACCATATTAGGATTACATCCGATACAAGAAGTACGTGCTTATATTACTTCGGTTAGTTAAACGTTGCTAATTCAATTTCTGTAAACTGATAATAGTTCTTGCGAAAGTATCATGAGGCAGGTACTCTCATAGAGTGTTAATGCAAGTATACATTAGTACAGCCTTTTGGAAAGACTGCTTGGCAATACGTGTTGGTGGCAATACAAATATTCATATGCCCCAACAGTGTAATTAGAGTTCTGGGAATCCAATCTGAGGTAAGAATCCTTGATGTTTTCAAGGATTCATGCACAAAGACAGTATTATTTTTGGGCCCCTATCACAATGTTGGGCATATGACAAGTGCTTTGCATCATCTCACTTAGTATGCATCCTTCTCATGTACACAGGCATTCCCCCCATCATTCACATAAAGCAAGAGACTTGAAAAGAAATGAAGCAACAACAATAAAAGCGTCAAGCAAGAATTCATAGCCACCTGGCTGCTAGAGAGATTTAGAATCCAACATTATTGATTACAGAACATTTAGAAACTAAATTCTCAATATTAAATATGAAAACTTTAGACCTATGATAGAAAATTATCAATGGACGGGCACAGTGGCTCATGCCTATAATTCCAGCACTTTGAGAGGCAGAGGCAGGTGGACCATCTCAGCCCAGGAGTTTGAGACCAGCCTGGGCAACATGGAGAAACCATGTCTACACAAAAATCAAAAATTAGCCAGGTGTAATAGTGCACACTGTAGTCCCAGCTACTAGGGAGGCTGAGGTGGGAGGATCACCTAAGCCAGGAGGTCAAAGCTGCAGTGAGCTAAGATTGTGCCGGTGTACTCCAGCCTGGGTGACAAAACAAGATCCTGTCTAAAAAATTTAAAAAAAAAAGAATAGAAAAAGAAAATTAGCAATGTATTTTAATGTATTTGTAAATTAGTATTAGCAAAATACTTAAAATTATGCTTTAAGTAATTTTAGTGATATTTATTTGTGATTTGTACCTAAAACAAATACTTATTGAGAACCTATCATTTAACATGTATTTTCTAGATACTAGGGATATACATACATGAATCTGGAGATTAGGCAATGATACAGGCAGGAAGTAGGGAAATACTAGGTAAAAGAGGGCGGTTCCCTGGCAAAGGCCCCAATCTCAAGCCTGGAAACCTGTAGCCCTAAATGGGAACAGGCACTCCTGTTTTTGCACCCAAATGTTGCCTTTTGCCCTGCCATGCTCCCCATCCTGTACCCATATAAACCCTAAACTCCAGGCTCCACAAGCAGAAGAACAGAGGATAGAAGAGAAACAGAGTGGCAGAGAAGGAGAGAAGAGAAGGAGTGTCTGAACATTGAGAGGGGTTTGGCTGGGGATCGTTAGAGAGGACATTGGCTGCAAGATGGTTGAACTCCAGGGGAAGATCATTTTCCCACTTCATCCCCTTTCCAGCTCCCCATCCATCCCTCTGAAAGCCACCTCCATCGAGCAATAAAATTCTCCACATTTCCCATCCTTCAATTTTTCTTGTGACTGATTCTTTCTGAACACTGGACAAGGACCTGGGTACCAAGAGAACACTGAGCTTGTTAACACTTAAGCCATCTGTGGACAGCAGAGCTGAAAGAGGACTGTAACACACTCACTGGGGCTTCAGGAGTTGCAGGCACCCACCCCTGGACACTACTGTGGGGCCAGAGCCCAAAGGCACTTGCACCTGCCTGTCTGCATGGTTCCCTTCCCATAAGGGGTTTGAGTGTGCAGCAACAGAACAGATGAGCCACACCCTGTCACAAGTTCTGCAAGGGGGGTTGGGGGTCAGGGAATTCTCCCGTTTCAGCAAGAGGTAAAATACTTATGGGTCATCAGCTTGATATATAAAGCCTCGGGCATTAAATGAGATAAACTAGGGAGCAAATTGGATACAGAAGAAGGTCAACAGTTGACCCCGGGACCTTCAATGTTAAGAGGTTAGTGAGAAGATAGAAACAAACAAACAAAAAAAATGATCCTGAAGTTGCAGCTACTGAGATGGGAAAACACTGAGGAATCTGGGAAGTAAGCAAAACAAGTAATGGCAAAACCACAATTACTTTTGCACCAACCTAATATTTTTAAGTAGGAGGCCATGATCAACCATGTCCAATGCTGTTGAGTAGCTGAGTAAAATATGGATTGAAACTTGGATTTGGCAACGTAGAGACCATTGTTGACCTTATAATTCTTTCACTGGGAGTGATAGTTGCAAAAGCCTAACTGGAGTGGTTGGAGGAAGAAAGAAAAGCTGAACAACTGGAGAAAACAAATAAAAATAACTCTATGTGTTTGTTTTGTTATAGAGGGGATTACAGGGTTGAAGGTAATAATAGGTCAAGGAAGAGTTGTATGTTTGTTTTTTTAAGAAGAAAGACATCACACCATGTTAGTTGATAGGATTGCTGTAGGGAAGGAAAATTGGTATTTTTAGAAATAGAGGTTAATTGCATAAGATACGTCCTTGAGTAGGTGAGAGGAGATGGGCATAGCCTAGGGGTTGACATTAGATTGGATCTGGGACAGTTAACCTAGTATAACAGAAGGAACGGCAGAGCACGTAAGTTCATATGTTTGGTAAATTTTATGAGAAAACGATTAATATCTCTTGCGATTGTTTCTATTTTCTTGTGTAATAAGAAATAGATTGACAGCTGTGTGTCTAGAAAAGGAAGGGGTGCTGGACATTTGAGAAGAGATGCTAAATAATTTTTTAGAGAGTAAAAATGTGGATAGACAATTGAAGTACGAATAGGATAGCCAGGCGGTATTTAGGATCCACTTAGTTAATAAATGACTTTCAATACAGAGGGGTTGGGTGGTAGAACTTAATGGTAAAAGCCTCAAAGGAAGTGGTATTTTCTTTAGGGAACAAAGTGGGAACATGATCTAGATGTGTCTGGCTATGAGACCCTAAAAGTCCAGGGCTATGTAGGATAAGACAGAAAAAAATAAGACCCACTTGAAAGTAATGTAGAGCAGTAATGTCTCAGAGATGAGTCCAGGTTGAATTAAAACAGGGTTAGGAGAACATCTAGAGGAGAGCAGGAGGATGTAGAGGATTTTGATGATGACAGATTATGAGTCCTAATTTGATTGGAAAATTTGTAGCATTGATTGGGGAAAGTGCCCAGAACTGAGGCATAGACCTCTTGAGATACCTGAGGTTAACAGGATATAGAAAATGGTGTGGACTGTGGAAGAAGACAGATCAGGAAACCTTTAAATTCTAAACATGTTACCCTAAAGTATGGTGCTTAGAAAATTATAACCTAAAGTATGATGCCTTGGCATGTTGGGTATTTTTTAGTTAAAGGAGAAAGGAGGACTTCAGCAGCAAGAAGGTCTCTCTGACTTCCTCTTCTCCCCTGCTCTTTCCCCCTTATCCCACAACCAAAGCAAGCTATAAAACCAAGGAACATCACTCTCTGACCTACCTCCCCTGAAAGTAGGTCATAAGATCCTCATGTAATAGGCATCCTAACCTATACTCAGAGGGAAGGAATGCAGACAGAGATACCAAGAAGAATCTGAACAAGCAAGCCTTGCTGAGTTTTCCGCAGTTTATTACCTTTTTTGTTCAATCATGTTCTCTACAACTACCCACTTCTTTCAGCAGACTTAGCATAAAAATACACTTTTTCCTGGGTCTTTGAGTTCTTCATTACTGAAGGGTGCTGTGTCATGTGAAACTGATTAAATAATTTTTTGTGCTTTTTTTCTTGTTAATCTGTCCTTTGCTATAGGAGTGTCAGCCATGAATCATGCAATGGGTAAGGAAAATATATTACTTTTTTCTCCCCTACATATACCCTGAGGGTTCCTCATAGAAAGGTGTGCACTCTACTCGTAGTCTATTAACTGGGGCTGGATTCCTAGTTAATTGATTTTAGTGAGTTGGAGAGTATACGTGGGAAGATGGAGTAGTAATCTCACTAGAATTGTATAGAGCACTTTCAGCCCCTCCTTACCATTACCTTTGTCAGTGTCTAGATGAAGAAAGGTTGGTGAATTGATATGGGAAATACTTATGGGATAATATTAATGATTCTGATAACTTAATAGAAACCAAAACAACAGAAATAAACATTGAATAACCAGAATGAACCATGTAAAATTCAAATAATAGCAATTCTTTTGGACCTGACATTGTGCTGATATTGTGTACATTATTCCTTTTTTAATTTTATATTTTTTCTACAGTGAGCATGGGTGTATTAGGATCAGTAAAAGCATTTCTCAATTATCTGTGAGTGTATAAATGCACACTCAATTTTTCTGTCCTTTCAATTATGGGCTTATATATTGTCCTGTGAAAAAGCAACCTAAAGAAAAATAATGCAAAAGGAAAGAGAACGAATTACTGGTAGCACCAAAAGGAATAAAAGGCTGAATGTATTACATTATGTGCTATGCCACAATTTGTTTATTCATCTACTAATGAACATTGTATTGTTTCCTGTTTAGGGCTATTATAAATGAAACTGCTATGAATAATTACATTCAAATCTTTGTATGAACATATGCTTTTATTTATCTGGGGTAAAGGCCTAAGAGTGGAATGTCTGGGTCATTTGGTAGGAATATGTTTAACTTTTTAATAAACTACCAAACTCTTCTAAAATGATTGCAACAATTTGTTCCCAAATAATAGCAAATAGGTGTAGAAGTGCTCTATCTTCTTACTGATACTTGAAATGTTTATTCTTTTTAATTTTAAACATTTTACATGGCATGTATTAATACCTTATTATGGTTTTCATTTGCATTTTTCAACTAATTATGTTGAGTATATTACCATATTTTTATTTGCCATCTATATTTCTTCGATGGTGAAGTATCTCTTCAAACTTTTGACCATTTTTGAGTTTTTTCTCTGATTATTACTGAGCTTTAAGTGCTTTTGTGTACTCTAGACACAGTTTTTTGTTGGATATGTTTTAGAAATATTTTCTCCCAATCTGTGGCTTACCTTTTCATTTTCTTAATAGTGCATTTAAAGAAAAAAAGTTTTTACTTTTGGTGGAATATAATTAATGATTTTTGTAATTTTAGAGTTGATTTTTCTTGTGTTCTAAGAAATATTTGCCAAACCTAAGATCATTAAGATTTTACCTCATTTTAAAAAGAAATTTTATAGTTTTATCTCTTACTTTTCTGTTTATGATTGATTATGAGTTAATTTTTGAACGTGATGTGAGGTAAAATTCAAGATTTTTGTTGTTCTTTTTTTAAAAAAACTTTAATTTTGGGTTGAGGGGTACGTGTGCCGGTTTGCTATGTAGGAAAACTCATTTCACGGGGGTTTGTTGTATAGATTAGTCACCCAGTTACTAAGCCTAGTACCCTATAGTTATTTTTTTCTGCTCCTCTCCCTTTTTTCACCCTCCACCCTCAGGTAGGTCCCAGTGTCTGTTTTCTCCTCTTTGTGTCCACGTGTTATCATTTAGCTCTCACTTATAAGTGAGAACCTGTGGCGATTTGGTTTTCTGTTCCTGCATTAGTTTGCTAAGGATAATGGCCTCCATCCACGTTCCTGCAAAAAACATGATCTCATACTTTTTTATGGCTGCATAGTATTCCATCATGTATATGTACCACATTTTCTTTATCCAGAATACCATTAATGGCCATTTAGGTTTTCCATGTCTTTGCTATTGTGAATAGTGCTGCAGTGAACATACATGTGCATGTGTCTATATGATAGAAGAATTTATATTATTTCAAGTATATCCCCAGTAATGGAATTTCTGGGTCAAATGGTACTTCTGTTTTTAGGTCTCTGAGGAATTGCCATGCCGTTTTCCTCAATGGTTGAACTAATTTATGCTCCCACCAAAAGTGTATTTTTCACAACCTTAATTTTAGTAATAGCCATTCTGACTGATATGAGATGGTATCTCATTGTGGATTTGATTTTCATTTATCTAATGATCAGTGTTAGTTGGGTTTTTTTTTCATATGCTTGTTGGCTGTGTATATGTCTTCTTTTGCAATGTGTCTGTTCATGTTTGCCCACTTTTGATGGGGTTGTGTGTTTTTTTTCTTGTAACGTTGTTTAAGTTCCTTATAGATACTAGATATTAGACCTTGCCAGATGCATAATTTGCAAATATTTTCACCAATTCTGTAGGTTGTCTCTTTACTCTCTTGATAGTTTATTTTGCTGTGCAGAAGCTCTTTAGTTTAATAAGATCCTATTTGTCAATTTTTGCTTTTGCTGCAATTGCTTTTGGCATCTTCACCATAAAATCTTTGCCCATTCCTATGTCCAGAATGGTACTGCTGAGGTTGTCTTCCAGGGTTTTTATAGTTTTGGGTTTTATATTCAAGTATTTAATTCATACTGAGTTGATTTTTGTATACGGTATAAGAAAGAGGTCCAGTTTCAATCTTTTGCATATGGCTTGCCAGTTATCCCAGCACCATTTATGGAATAGGGAGTTCTTTCTCCACTGCTTGTTTTTGTCAACTTTATCTAAAATAAGATGATTGTAGGTGTGTGGCCTTATTTCTGGGCTCTCTATTCTGTTCTATTGGTCTATGTATCTTTTTTTGTACCAGTGCAGTGCTGTTTTAGTTACTGTAACCCTGTAGCATAGTTTGAAGTGAGGTAGCATGATGCCTCCAGCTTTCTTTCTTCTGCTTAAGATTGCCTGGTTCATTGAGGCTGTTTTTGGTTCCATATGAATTTTAGAATAATTTTTTTTCTAGTTCTGTGAAGAATGTCATTGGTAGTTTGAAAGGAATAGCACTAAATCTGTAAATTACTTTGGGCAGTATGACCATTTTGAAAATATTGATTGTTTCTATTCATGAGCATGGAATGTTTCTCCATTTGTTTGTGTTATCTCTCTTATTTCTTTCAGTAGTATTTTGTAATTTTCATTGTAGAGGCTACCACTTGGTTAGCTATATTTCCAGGTATTTTCTTCTTCTTGTGGCTATTGTGAATGGGATTGCATTCCTGATTTGGCTCTTGGCCTGGATGTTGTTGGTGCATAGGAATGCTACTTATTTTTGTACATTGATTTTGTATCTTGAAACTTTGCTGAAGCCATGTATCAGATCAAGGAGCTTTTGGGCAAGAGACTGTGGGGTTTTCTAGGTATGGAATTGTATGATCTGCAAACAGGGATATTTTCACTTCCTCTCTTCCTATTTGGGTGCTCTTTATTTCTTTCACCTGCCTAATTGCTGTGGTCAGTATTTCCAATATTATGTTAAAAAAGCATGGTGAGCGAAGGCATCCTTGTCTAGTGCCAGTTTTTAAGAGGAGTTCTTCTAGCTTCTGTCCAGTAAGTATGATGTTGGCTGTGGGTATGTCATAGATGGCTTTTATTATTGTGAGGCATATTCCTTCAATACCTAATTTGTTGAGAGTTTTTAACATGAAGTGTTGTTGAGTTATACTGAAAGCTTTTACTGCATCCATTAATATAATCATGTGGTTTTGTCTTTAGTTCTGTTTATGTGACTAATCATGTTTATTGATTTGCATATTTTGAACTAGGGTTGCATCTCAGGAATAAAGCCTACCTGTTCATAGTGTATTAGCCTTTTCATGTGCTACTGGATTCAGTTTTCTAGTATTTTCTTGAAGTTTTTCCATCAATGTTCATCAAGAATATTGGCCTGAAGTTTTCTTTGTGTGTGTGTGTCTCTTCCAGGGCTTGGTATCAGGATGATGCTGACCTCATAGAATGAGTTAAGGAGGAGTCCCTCCTCCTCAGTTTTTTGGAATATCTTCAGTAGGAATGATACCAGATCTTTCACATCTTTTTTATACATCTGGTAGAATTCAGCTGTAAATCTCCCTAGTCCTGGGCTTTTTTTTTTCCTTTTGGTTGGTAGGCTATTTATTACTGATTCAATTTTGGAGAGCATTATTGGTCTATTAAGAGATTCAATTTCTTCCTGGTTCAGTCTTGGGAGGGTGTATGTGTCTAGGAACTTATCTGTTTCTTCTAGATTTTCTAGTTTATATGCATAGAGGTGTTCATAGCATTCTCTGTTGGTTGTTTGTACTTCTATGGGGTTAGTGGTAATATCTCCTTTGTCATTTCTAGTTGTGTTTATTTGGATCCTCTCTGTTTTCCTTTTTGTTAGTCTAGCTGATGGTCTATTGTATTAATTGTTTTCAGAAAACTACCTCCTGGATTGATTGATCTTTAGAAAGTTTTTTTAATGTCTCAATCTCCTTCAGTTCAGCTCTGATTTTGTTCATTTCTTGTCTTCTGCTAGCTTTTGTTTTGGTTTGATTCTGCTTCTCTACTTCTTTTTGTTGTGTTAGATTGTTAGTTTGAGATGTTTCTAACTTTTTGATGTGGGCATTTAGTGCTATAAATTTCCCTCTTAACATTGCCTTAGCTGTGTCCCAGAGATTCTGGGATGTTCTATCTTTGTTCTCATTAATTTCAAAGAACTTCTTGATTTCTGCCTTAATTTCATTATTTACCCAAAAGTTCAGTAGCAGGTTCTTTAATTTCAAGGTAATTGTATTGTTTTGAGTGATTCTCTTCATCTTGATTTCCAATTTTATTGCATTGTGATCCAAAGGAGTGGTTGGTAGGATTTCCATTCTTTTGCATTTGCTGAGGATTGTTTTATGTCCAATTGTGTGGTCAATTTTAGAGTATGTGCCATCTGGTAATGAGAAGAATGTATATTATGCTGTTTTTGGGTGGAGAGTTCTGTAGATTTCTATCAAGTCCATTTAGTTCACTGTTGAGTTCAGGTTCTAAATATCTTTGTTAAATTTCTGCCTTGATGATCTATTTAATACTGTCAGTGGGGTGTTGAGGTCTTACAATATTATTGTGTGGGAGTCTACATCTCTTTGTAGGTCTCTAATAACTTGCTTTATGAATCTGGGTGCTCCTGTGTTGGATGCATATATATTTAGGATACTAAGGTCTATTGTTGAATTGAATGCTTTACCATTTTGTAACGCTTTAGAATTGAATCTTTTAGCATTTTAAATTTTTTACCATTTTGTAATCCTCACTTTGCCTTTAGTGATAGTTGTTGGTTGAAAGTCTGTTTTGTCTGAAATTAGGATTGCAACCCTTGCTTTTTTCTCTTTTCCATTTGCTTGGTAGATTTTTCTCCATCCCTTTAATTTGAGTCTATGTGTGTCATTGCATGTGAGATGGGTCTCTTGAAGACAGTACACTATGGCATCTTGCTTCTTTATCCAGCTTGCCACTATGTACCTTTTATTTGGAGCATTTAGCCTGTTTACATATAAGGTTAGTATTGATATGTGTTGATTTGATTTTGTCATCATGCTGTTAACGGTTCTTATGCAGGCTTGTTTGTATGGTTGCTATATGGTGTCACTGGTCTGTGTACTTAGGTGTACTTTTGCAGAGGCTAGTAATGGTCTTTCTTTTCCATATTTAGTGCTTCTTTCAGGAGCTCTTATAAGGCAGATCTGGTGGTAACAAATTCCCTCCGTATTTACTTGTCTGAAAAGGACCTTATTTTCATTCCATTATGAAGCTTAGTTTGGCCAGATATAAAATTTGTGGTTGGAATTTCTTTTCTTTTTGAATGTTGAATATTGACCCTCAATCTCTTCTGACTTGTACAATTTATGCTGGAAGGTCCACTGCTAGGTTTTATAAGATTCCCTTTGTAGGTGACCTGTCTTTTCTCACTAGTTGCCTTTAACATTTTTTCTTTTAATTTGAGCTTGGACAATGTGATGCTTTTGTGTCTCGGGGATGATCTTGTGAATTACTTTGCAGGGGTTTTCTACATTTCCTGAATTTGAATGTTGGCCACTCTAGCTAGGTTGGGGAACTTCTTATGGATGATATCCTGAAGTATGTTTTCTAAGCTGCTTTCATTCTCCTGATCTCTTTCAGAGATGCCCAAGTGTCATAGATTTGGACTCTTTATACAGTTCCATATTTCATGGAGGTTTTGTTCATTCTTTTTCATTCTTTTTTTAAAATTGTTGTCTGACTGTCTTATTTCAGAAGGTCAGTCTTCAAGCTCTGAGATTATTTCCTCAGCTTGATCTGTTCTGCTGATAATGCTTGTGATTGCATTATAAAATTATTGCAGAGTGTTTTTCAGCTCTATCAGATTGGTTATTTTTTTTTCCTGTACTGGCTATTTTGTCTGTCAACTCCTGTGTCTTTATATTGTGACTCTTAGCTTACTCAGATTGGATTTCAATGTTTTCCTGTATCTTAATTATCTTCATTCTTATCCATATTCTGAATTATCTTCCTGTCATTTCAGCCATTTTAGCCTGGTTAATACCCTTTCTGGAGAATTAGTGTTGATTGGTGGAAAGATGGCACTCTGACTTTTTGAGTTGTCTGAGTTCTTGCACTGGTTTTTTCTCATCTTTGTGAGTTGATGGCCCTTCAATCTTGGAAGTTGCTGTTTTTGAATTTTTTTCTTCTTTTATTGTATTTGATGGCTTTTGTGATGTAAGGTAGATTGACTGGCTTCATTTCTGGAAGATTTTAGTGGCCAAGGCTCAGCTCAGTACTCCTGGACTTCATGCTGTAACTCTGGGAGACTTGTATTGGACCCTGCTTTGTTCTCTGGCCCCTCGATGTTTATTTTTTGTTTGTTGGTTTGTTTGTTTGAGACGGAGTCTCACTCTGTCGCCCAGGCTGGAGTGCAGTGGCGTGATCTCAGCTCACTGCAAGCTCTGCCTCCAGGGTTCATGCCATTCTCCTGCCTCAGCCTCCTGAGTAGCTGGGACTACAGGTGCCTGTCACCACGCCCAGCTAATTTTTTTTTGTATTTTTAGTAGAGACTGGGTTTCACCGTGTTAGCCAGGATGGTCTCGATCTGCTGACCTCATGATCCACCCGTGTTGGCCTCCCAAAGTGCTGGGATTACAGGCCTGAGCCACCGCACCCAGTCTGGCCCCTCGATGTTAAGAACTTGTTGCACTAGAAAAGTCAAGGTGCTCCCAGACTGCTGTTCATAACATTCCAATAGGAAATGCCAGCCAAAGCACATCCTAGGGTGGTGGCAGTGGGATCCATCCTTGTTTGCACATGCCAGTATCAGCTGCATCTGCAGCATGGTGGGGTGAACCCTTGTCAGTTGCAACAGGGTGCTAGCGGGTGCCAGGGTGCCAGCCTCCATGTGGGCATTTGCAGCAGCAGCTGGCATTAACAGCATAGCATCTGTGCCAGTATTCACAGAAGCAGTAGGCCTTTTCCTGTATGCATTTGTAGCACTGGCTGGTATTGAAAGTGTGACTGTGCATGTCCATGCAGGTGGTGGTTTCAGCATGAGAGCAGGACTCAGGTGGGTGCAGGACTGTGTGTCATGTCTGTGCACATTCCTGTAGGTGTCAGTAGCCATTCAGGGCAGGGCAGGTCCTCTTTTCTTCATGCATAGTGGCATGGCAGGATGGAGATGCACATGTGTACTGGCAGGGAAGGGAAGGCATGGTTTGCACTTGCACATACACACTGGCAAAGTAATGTGGGTGGGGGGGGTGGCTGTGGGCAAGTGCGTGCAGGCAAAGCAGCAAGTGGAGGATGCAGTGGGAGGAGGGTGCAGGCCAGCTGGTGCATGTCCACTGGGATTGCTCTGCTGGAGTACTCTGCTAGTCACGTGTGTGGTCCACTATCATGGGAGCTATGATGCAGGCCCCTAGGAGGTATCTGGGGGGCTGAACTGCAAGCAGGCGTGGCTGGGATGGGGCCCTAGGAGTATCTAGCAGACTGAGAGGTGATCAGGTTGAACTGGCCCAGTCTCATAGGCAAGATTTCTCTGCAGATTTCAGGTCTGACAGTTCCCCTAGGGCTAATGTCTCCAATGGGAGTGAGTCAAGCCTAGGGAAAGGGATGACCCTGGCCATGCTCCTCTACAGATGCTCCCACACTAAACACTCTGGGTTCTGCTCTGGCTGTAGTTCTTCCCTACCACTTCTCTTAGCAGCTCTTCCTGCCAATGTAAGTGTCCATGGTGGTCAAGAGGTATCCTCCTGCCAAGATTCCAGAGGCCCGTGGCAAGAGCAGGTTTCTCCTTGCCTGTTCAACACACCCCTTCCCCAGGAGTTTTTGGGGCCCAGGAATGCATCCTGGTGTAGAGTAGCCCCATGCAACATTCCCAGTTTTCTCCCACTTTAGTCCAACATCTGTGTCTTCCCTCCATCTATTCTCAATGCCTTCCCTCTGAAGATCTGCTTAGAGTACACCAGTCTTCCCAGTGCCCCATCCCTTGGTGGGAGTTGTTCCTCCTGGCTGTGTCTAGTCAGCCATCTTGCCTTTTCTGTACCCTTTCTTGATTTTTGTTTTGTGTTTGTGTGTGTATGTTTTGCAAGATAAAATCCAATTGTTCTTTCACCATCTTTTGAGAAAATTATAAGTTTCTTCCATTTAATTTTATTGGCATTTTTGTAAAAAATTATTGACCATGTCTGTGTCAGTCTATTTCTGGACTCTCTTTTCTGTTTCATTTATTTATTTGTCAAACTTTATGCCAATGACACAATGTCTTGATTATAGTAGTTTTATGCTAAGTCTTATAATGACGTAGTGTAACTCCTCCAAATGTATTCTTCTTTTTCAATGTTTGTTTTGTCTGTCCTGAAGTCTTTGCATTTTTATATAAGTCTTAGGATAATCTTGTCAGTTTCTATGAAAAAAGTGACTTCTGGGATATTCCTTGAAATTGTGTTACATCTATAGATTATTTTGGAGAGAAGTGACATCTTAAAAATATTGAGTCTTCTTATCCATGAACATGGTATATATCTCCATTTATTTAGGTCTTCTGTTATTTCTTTTAGTAGCATTTTTCAGTTTTCAGTGTGTAGATATTACATATATTTTATTAGATTATTAGATTTGTCCCTAAGCATTTCATATTTTTATGCTGTTGTAAATGGTATTGTTTGAAAATACTGTGAGCCCTGTATAAGTTATAGGAATTATTCTCTCTGCTTCTTCTGGGTAGCTGTTTCCCTGGTCTCAGATAGTTTCCTGACAAATGTGCTGATCAGTGCTTGGTGAATAACTCCAGGGGACTCTCTGTTGATCTCTATTCTCTCTCTAGGGAGCTCTCTCATTTCTGGTAATCTTCCCTGTGATATATAGTCACCCTGGAATATCCACTCTCCCTCCACTCCCAACTCCTTCTCCTCAACTGAAACAGATCTCTGAGTTTCTCCTGGGATTTTTTCCCTAAATTCAGTGGAATCTCTTTCCATAGAGCAAGGTGGGCAATCTTAATGCTCACTTTATTTGTTTCCTCTCTTTCAGAGATTACTGCCCTGTGCTGCCTGATATCCAATGTTTGAAAGTTGGTGTTTAATATATTTTGTCTTTTTGTTGTTATTTTAGCTGAAAGGGTAAAAGCAGTCTCTTCATCTCAGTCAGAAGCAAAACTCCTCTTTGCTCATTCTTTAATACCCCATATGAGGATCACCCTTCTCTGTAAAGAATGCTTTAATAACCACTATGGTTGGCAAAATAGTGTCTTACAGTGATATCTATGCCCTGATCATCAGAACCTGTGAATATGTTACTTTGCATAGGAAAGAGGACTTTGCCAATTTAATAAGGTTAAGAATCTTGAGAAGGAAAGATTATCCTGGATAATTCAAGCAGGCTCAATCAAATCACAAGTTTCTTAAAACTTATGGACCTTTCCTATCTGCAAAGATAAGATAGATGGCAAAGTGAAAATATGTTATCTGATGTTGATAGCTCTGGCTTTTAAAAATGGCAAAAGGAGGCCACAAGCCAAAGAATACAGGTGGGCTCTAGATCTAGAAAATGCCAAACCTAGTTCTTCTCTAGAGTTTCCATAAAGGAACACAGTTCTGTGATACTTTGACTTAGTCCAGTGAGACCTATGTTGGACTTCTGACCTACAGAGCTAAGATAATAAGTTTATGTTGGTTTAAGTCTCTAAGTCTGTAGTGATTTGTTATAACAGCAATAGAAAACTAATACACTTCCAGATAATTTTAAATTTTCAAATGGGAAACTTCAAAAATATATAATAAATAAATTATAGTTTTTCATATGAATAATCCACCTTATACTGCCACTATATCAGTATCCTTTGCCAAAATATTCTGTTATATATATGTTTTCAACTGAGGCTTCCCAAACTCTAATTCCAGGCTTACACTTTATAGCTGGTGTTCTACTTTTATTATTTTCTCAGCCATTTGTCATTTATTTGCCAGTCATGCTATCCCTTTGGTGATAATTTTGGTATATGGGATATCATTGTGTTCCTTCCACTTTACCACCATAATAATAGTTTTTACTTAGTGGAATAGTTTGTGTCCCCCAAAAAATCAGACTAATTTAGAAATCAGAATTTTGGGAGTACAGTCCTCATGTTATTAGTGTATCACTTTAGGCAGTTTCACTCTGCTTTACAGAATTCCTGTTTGTTTGTCTTGGAGACAACATTTACCGTTATTCAGCCCTACAGCAGGTGGAGGTAGAGAAAAGATTAAACATCCTTTTGTGGTTGGATTTTTTTCATTTTGACAACAAAAGATTCGTAGAGGAGGAAAGGATTTTACATAGACACCAGGAATTTTCAGATAAATCAACATACAAAAAAAGACTACATATGAGGAATACTTTTGAAATTGAGGTGAATTTTACAAATACTGAAATGCCAGATTTAAGTGTACAATTGCTTAAGTTTTGTCAACTATGTACAACTGTGTAATCACCACTTGAATCAAGATATAGGACAACCCCATATCCAAAGAAAGCTCCCTAGTGCTTCTTACAGTCTATGCCTACCTTTGCACAGGCAAACACTCTTCTGACTTTCATCACAATAGTTCAGTTTTGGCTGTTCTTTATGGAGGAATTATGCAGTATGGGGTTTTTTATGTATAGCCTCTTTCATAAAACATAATGTTTTTGAGATTTATCATCATCCATAATATTATGGCATGTATCAGTAGTTTATCCTTTGTAAAAATGAATTTTATTTTCTATATTTAAGGTATATAGCATAATGTTATCAGATATATATAGATAGTAAAACTTTACTATACTGAAGCAAATTATCATTTTTTTCTTTTTGTGTGAACAGCAGCTAAAATTATATATTTAACCAGAATCCTAAATGCAATATAATTTTATTACCTATAGTCTCATGTTGTACAGTAGATCTCCAGACTTGTTCATCCTACATATCTGCTGCATTGTATCCTCTGACCTATATCTCTTCATTTCCCCTTCCAGCCCCCAACCCCTGGTAACCAGTGTTTTGTTCTTTCTCTGTATATTTAATTTTCTTGGTTCCACATATAAGTGAGATTATACAATTTTTTTCATGTCTGACATTTCATTTATAACAGTGTCCTCGAAGCTCACCTACATTATGACAAATGGAAAGATCTCATTCTTTTTTAGGACTGAATAATATTGAACGAATCAAGATATAGAACAGCTACATGCCCAAAGAAAGCTCCCTTGTGCTTCTTTCAGTCTATTCCCACCTCTACACAGGCAAACATTTGATACTGAACAAATAATACATATATACACACACGCACACACACACACACACACACACACACACACACAATTTCTTTGTCCATTTGTCTGTTACCAAACTCTTAGGTTGTTTTTGTATATTGGCTATTGTGAATAATACTGCAGTGAGCATGGGAGCACAAATATCTTTACCAGGTGGTGATTTCAATTCCTTTGGATATATGCCCAGAAGAGGGATTGCTGGGTCATTCAGAAGTTTGTTTTAAAATGTATTTAAGAAATATCATACTTTTTTCCATAATAGCTGCACCAATCTACAATCCCACCAACAGTGTACAAGAGTTTCCTCTGTTCCACACTCTCATCAACATTTGTTAACATTTTTATAGTAGTCATTATAATGGGTGTGAAGTGGTATTTCATAGTGGCTTAAATTTGTATTTCCCTGATGATTAATGATGTTGAGCACATTTTCATATACCTGTTGGCGATGTTTATATCTTCTTTGGAAAAATGTCTGTTAAAATGTTTTCCTCATTTTTAATTGGGGTATTTGTTTTCCTACTGTTGAGCTGTATGAATTCTTTCTAAATTTTGGATATTAACCCCTTATCAGATATATGGTTTGCAATTTATTCCCTGATTTTTAGGCTGCCATTTTATTTTGTTCACTTAATGGTGTCCCATAAGTCCCATAGGTTGTCTTCACTCTTTTTCATTCGTTTCCCCACTCTGATTCATTTCAAAAGACCTATCTTTTAACTTCACAGATTCTTTCTTTTTGCTTCATCTGGCCTGCTATCGAAGCTCTCTATTGTTCTTTTTATTTCACTGATTGGATTCTTCTCTAATTTTTTTTAAATAATCTCTCTTTGTTGAATTTCTCACTCAGATCATGAATTGTTTCTGATTTAATTGTCTGTTTGTATTCTCTTGTATCTTGTTGAGTTTCTGTCTTTTTCAGGTAATTCATACATTTTTATTTTTAAAGGTCATTTACTGGAGAATTATTGTGCTCATTTGGTGGTGTCATTTTTCCTTGCTTTTTCATTTTTCTTGTGTCTCTGCATTAATGTCTGTGCATCTGGTGGTGCAGTCACCTCTTCCAAACTTTACACAGTGGCGTTTGTAGGAGAAGATGTTCATTTGAAGAAGAGCCTGAGACTGTTGGTTGGGCAGGGTGCAGTGGCTCTGGTTCCATGTGATTGCAGTGGTGTAGTCTCCAGCAGCTTCTTCGGTTGTGATAACTGGTGATTACTGTGAATGCCTCTGTGGTCAAGGTTCCAGGAGTTTGTGGCAGTGATGGTGGCTCCATAGGTTATTAGGGCAAAGGCTTTAACCTATTAAGGTTTGATCCTCCTATTCTTTGTCTTCCCCATAGTGGGTCATCTCAGCTGAGGAGATCTCTCTTGGTGTGGATCTGACAGAGCACACAGACAGCCATGGCAGCACTGGGATATGGGGAGTAGGTGCTTGGAGCAGCTGTGTAGCTGGGTTCCTGGACTCAGAGTCTTGTGACACTGTTATTAGACCTGGGATTCAAGGCATAGGTTCTTTCCAAGGCATGAGAGGTGTATTAGTCCATTTTCACACTGCTATAAAAAATGACCTGAGATGGTAATTTATAAAGGAAAGAGGTTTAATTGACTCAGTTCCACATGGCTTGCAAGGCCTCAGGAAACTTACAATCATGGCCCCTAAAGATGAAGGGGAAGTAAGGCATGTCTCACATGGCGGCAGCAGATAGAGATATTGCAGGGGAAACGGCCCCTTTTATACCGTCAGATCTTATGAGAACTCTGTCACTATCATAAGAACAGCATGGGGGAAACCACCCCCAATGATCCAATCACCTCCCACCTTGTCCCTCCCTCGACATGTGGGGATTACAATTCAAGATGAGATTTGGGTGGGGACACAGAGTCAATCCATATCAAGTGGATTCAGTTCTTCTACTAAGCTGGAATTTGTAGCTCTGAGGCATATCCCAGCATATCTAGCCCATGGGGCTGGGATGTAGCTGTGATTCTGACCATGGGGTGGGCAGGGCACTATACTGGCACAGCTCTGGAGAAGAGAGGGGCTTTTGGAAGCTGGGACCCTGGGGAGCAGAGCACAGCTGCAATTTGAGATCCAAGACTGATAGGGCACATTGTCACCTCAAGCTCCACAAGATGAGTACCACATGGTGGTGACTCTATACCCTGGAATAGTGGGACATGACAGTAACTAAGACTCTGTGAGGCTGGGTGCAGCAGCAAGGACCCAGGAATGGCAAGACTCTGCTGTTGCTTGGGTCCTGGGAAGCTGGGAGCAGCACGGCAATGACTCCACTCCCTAGAGAGATGGGATAACTCAGCAGCTTAGATTGTAGGGGAAGAGGGGTTAATCCTGTTCCAGGTAGGTGGGGCACTGTGGCTGTTAGGCCTTGCGGGTGGAGTGGCACAACT
The DNA here is from genome assembly GCF_000001405.40 of Homo sapiens. Taxonomy (NCBI): domain Eukaryota; kingdom Metazoa; phylum Chordata; class Mammalia; order Primates; family Hominidae; genus Homo; species Homo sapiens. The sequence goes on along the minus strand of NC_000018.10, from coordinate 4,783,076 downwards.
CAGCCAAGGCTATGAGTTCCTGGGATGCAAAATGCCACATCTCCTCAACTCCAGAAAGTGTGGCTATATAGGTCAAGAGAGCCTCCAGACCCCTTGAGACTGGGGTGCTGCATCAGCTGTAGTGCTGGAGGATGCAAGTGCTCCAGTTTTCTAAAGGCTCAGAGGCTCCCCAGCACTGCCTCACCTGGGGTGCTGGTGCAGGGGTCAACAGCTCTGGCGTGCCGGAAGTCTGAGGTCCCTATGGGTTGGGGTCTTGCCTCACCTATGGCACTGGCGGTGTTCAGGAGCCCTGGGTGAGGTCCCTGGAGGACAGAGCACAACTTTATCTTGGCCCTGAAAGGAAGATACACCATTGACTGGAACTGGGGTTGTGCAGCCACTCAGTGGTAGCTTGATCCTGGGGTAGGGCATAGCTGGAGCTCGGCTAAGAAATAGCACATTGTCGTGTGGACATCCCCCTCAGGGATGAAGGGGTGAGGCAATGGCAACACCCCCACAGCAGGAAGCCCTCTAGCAATGTCTCTGATTCCAAGATGGTGCAGTGCAATAGCAGCACAGGGAATGGTGGTGGTGGGGAATGGTGTCTGCTCCTTTTTGGGGGGTGGCTGAGCATGTGGATTCTGGGGAGCTCCTTCAGTTGGGCTCAGAAACTGTCAGGACTGCAAGAGTTCCCAGTAGCAAAGATTGCAGTGTTCATGGTGGTAATGGGGGCTGCTGGAGTCTTCTTTCTTACCCTTTCCCTACCCTCCTGATTCTGAGCTCATCCTGCTACTGTGAAGTGCAGGAATCCTTGATTCTTGTCTAACTTGGGAGAATGAATTCAGCCAAGGGACAATTAATAATGTAAGCAAAAGGTTTATTAAGGAGATAAAAGTACACTCCAAGAGAAAAGTGGGCTGACCCAGCTGGAAAACAGCTCTGGCCTTGTGTGTCTGGAAAATAGCTCTGGGCTGGTCCAGTTGGAAAAATAGTAGCAGTGTTTACTTAAAGAGACAGTAAACTCTGAAAGATGAGAAAGAACAGGCTGCTCAAGAGAATGAGCCAGCAGCAGCTAGTGCTGGGGGACTCTATGAGAATCTTACATAATTATTTATGAACGGCCATGGAGGGGTGTCACTTGCAATCATGTTTTAAACATTCCTCTTGGGCACACATGCTCTGTGGTTGCACATGCTAGTGAGACACATGTCACATGTCTCATTAGCATTAAATTCTCCACCCAAGGATGTGTTTTTTATGAGAAAAAGGCTACTCTAGGGTGAGTTATTGGAGGAATGTACATGCTTGTCAGCAGGGAAAGTCTTTATCATGGTTACCTCCTGCTAGGGTCTGATAAGTCCCCTTCGAGGATACAGGAGCGCAATCACAAGGCCAGAAGTAGCCAGTGTAGCCATTGTCTCCTTTGTTAACTGTCAATGGGCAGCATCTCCTGGACTTCTTTCCCCAGGGGCTCCCTTGCCTGCTCATTTCTGGCTATCTGCCTACTCTAACAATCTGACTAAAGGCAAGCTGTTTCCTTCTTTTCCCTATGTGGCCATCCTGCATTTCTGTGCTCTACAGGATTTCTGCTACTTCTTTGCTGTTCTCTGGAGCTCTCCTGTAGTTATTTTGGTGAGAATTTAGTTGTTTATTTGTGGGGTGTGTGTGTGTGTGAAGAGTACTAGAGGTTTCTAGTCAGCTGTCTTGTTTATGTCCCAAGATAGCTCTTTTTTTTTTTTTTTTTTGGTCTTATCAAATTAGCTATATTGAAGAACAATTCATGGATTCTTGGGGATAAAGTATCCCTGAATTTCTCAGTGCTCCTCTAAGAGATCTTGGTGTCTTGAGACATAGAAATGCATACACTATAAATACAGGGAGTGTTTTCAATATCTTCCCCTAGAAACATTTATTCTTCACATACTTTGAGTATATAGCCTTTTGTCTCGTTAACTACTCTATCCAAAAGGCAACACAACTTTTATTCCCTAAGAAGGCCAATGATTACAGCTCAAATGAGACCCCCCAAAGCCTCCAAGGTGCCAAGAAATCTGAAGCGCCATCTCCCCAGCATTTGCATGTCAAAAGGGATGAAGCCCAGATGTTGAAGACATTTCTAGGTCAAAAAATTCAAGACACATGGGACCATCTGGCTTTTGGAGAGATTTTATTGACATTCCCAAAGGTTAAGGTTAGACCCAGGATACTTTTCATCCTGTCTGTAAGAAACAAAGATTTACCTCTCTTTTTTGGACAAGAGATGGAGGAAGCTGCTTCTTTCCTGTGTATAAGTGGAGAGAAGCCGTTGTTCTCCATCCCTGGTCTATGAGGTATAACCACAAGTTGAGGTTGCATAGAAAGTTTAACAGGTTTGAAGATGAGGAATTCAAGTGTATATGCTTGGTAATTTAAGGAAGCAATTTAATCATTTTTTGTCTATGGTAATCTGTTACAGCAACAAGGGAGAATACACCCCCTTTATAAGCAGAGTTAGTTGTCCTCCTTTCTGTGGTTGTTCTGACACTTTCTATAATGCTGGCATTGTCCTTTCCTGTGTTACTATACCTTTGTTTCCTATTTTAGTGAGCTCATTATTTCTGAGGCCACGTCCTGTTAATATTTGTGACTCAAGTGCTCTGTTCCTAGTTCGAATCTAAGTATATGGTGAATGAATGAATGAGGTTTGAGAGAATATTATTTATTCATCATCACCATTAAGGTTCATTGTCCCATGGGTCTAAGTCATCACAATGGTGAGGAATGCCACCAGCTCTAACCACACATGATTCTCAGATTCATGTGCCCTGATTTTCATCATTTGCACACCGTTTTTAAACAATATAGTGAATTGAAAAAGACCTCTACTGGCAGTGTCTTAAAAACACATGCTACATGCACTTTCTTTTCTTTTTCTTTTTTTTTTTTTTTTTTTTTGGAGACAGAGTCTCACTTTGTCGCCCAGGCTGGAGTGCAGTGGCGCGATCTCGGCTCACTACAAGCTCCGCCTCCTGGGTTCATGACATTCTCCTGCCTCAGCCTCCAGAATAGCTGGGACTACGGGCGCCTGCCACCACGCCAGGCTAATTTTTTTGTATTTTCAGTAAAGACGGGGTTTCACTGTGTTAGCCAGGATGGTCTTGATCTCCTGACCTCATGATCTGCTCACCTCAGCCTCCCAGAGTGCTGGGATTACAGGCATGAGCCACCACGCCTGGCCCACGCACTTTGTTTTCAAAAGAAGACCTTTTCCGCTACAAGAGTGTGAGCTTTTTTCATTTTTCACTAGGAGATTGTTTTTAACTGATTTGAAGATTAAGAATTGAAGTATACATGTTCAGTAATTTAAGAAAAAACTAATCATTTGTTTTTTTAAAAAGAAAAATGACAATTTTACTATACAGAGGGTCTTTCTGTATTGCTCCAAAATATTTTCAACAACATACATTGAAAATATTAAGTTAAAAATATAGCACTTAATACTGACAAGGTTGTAGTAAAACTGCAGTAGACATATATGTTGGTTGGTAAGAGACTGATTAACTCAATAGTCCCAGAGTAACTAATCAATAGAAAATAATTAAAAATATATGTAATAAGTTATCTTGAGTGGATATGATCATGTGGATAAGATAGGAATTACCTCCTCTCTTTTTTTTTCTTTTTTTTTTGAGATGGAGCCTTGCTCTGTCACTCAGGCTGGAGCGCAATGGCACGATCTTGGCTCACTGCTACTTCTGCCTCCCGGGATGAAGTGATTCTTCCACCTCAGCCTCTCAAGTAGCTGGGATTACAAGCACTTGCCATCATGCCAGGCTAATTTTTGTATTTTTGTAGAGATGGGGTTTTACCCTGTTGGCCAAGCTGGTCTTGAACTCCTGACCTCAGGTGATCCGCCCCCCTCGGCCTCCCAAAGTGTTAGGATTACAGGCGTAAGCCACCATGCCTGGCCTAGGAATTACCTCCTCTTATATCTCTTCTGTATGCTAGAGAATCTTATAGTTTCCACACCTGGAGTTTAGTTACATATAAACTAGGATGGCACAATTTGTATTCTATATTGGTGGGAACTCCCTAATAAAACCAGAATACAGAGAGGAAAGCCATGGTTTTTGAGATAACTGTCTTTGATTAACATCCTCCTCAAGGCTGGGTGGCAGATGCAGTGATTATTTCTAATTCAGAATGATGCTGTGCTTGACTCTGTTGTAAATCAACAACCCCAGATGAAGCTTCAGAAGCAGCCTCAGAAGAAAAAGTTTTTCTCTAACCTTCTTTTGCTCTCCTAAATCTCATTTATATTGTCTGTAAATATTCTTTCCACAGGCTGGCCATAGAAACTGGACTCCCTCTACCCCAAAGCAGGTCATAGAAACTAGAACCACTTTTCCTTGAAGTCTACCGTAGAACCTAAAAATATTATTATTTTAATTAATTAATTAATTACTTTTAGACAGAGTCTTGCTCTGTCGCCCAGGCTGGAGTGCAGTGGCATGATCTCGGCTCACTGCAACCTCTGCCTCCCAGGCTTAAGCAATTCTCCTGCCTCAGCCTCCAGGGTACCTGGGATTACAGGTGCCCGCCACCATGCCCAGCTAATTTTTTGTATTTTTAGTAGAGACAGGATTTCATCATGTTGGCCAGGCTGGTCTTGAAATCCTGACCTCAAGTGATCCACCTGCTTCGGCCTCCCAAAGTGCTGGGATTATAGACATGAACCACTGCGCCCGGCCAAACCTAAAAATATTGATCTAAGTTTCCCCCACCCTGTGTAAAAACTGATCATAAAGAAATTGTTGGACCTACCTTGTTTGACTATAGGTTATGAGACCCCATTCCAGAGAGGACACTGCTCCACACCCAGAAGTAAGAAATATATGTTCAGAGAAGCCAAGAAGAATCTAAATAGATAGGTCTTGCTGAGTTCCCCCACTCACTCAGTCTGTTAGCGTGCCCTTTCTGTCCAATCATACTTCTACACAGCTGCCCATACTTTGTTTAACCTAAGCATAAAGATGCATGATTTCCCTTGAATCTTTGGTTCTTCATTCTGAAGGCTTCCATGTTCCTGCTAATAATATTTGCATGCCTTTTCCCCAATTAATCCACCTTTTGTGAGTTTATTTATTTGATTGATTTATTTGCAGTGAACCTTCAGAAGGCAAAAGGGAAGCTTTCCCTTGGCCCCTAGCTCCCCCACATCCCTGGAAAACCTCTATGATCTATAAAAGAAAGTTATTATAGAAATAATGTGACTACAATATTAAAAGCCAAACAAAATCTCAAAACTTTAAGCATTCTCAGAAATATTTCAGTATAGAACAAAACTATCCAAATATTAGTTAATAAGGTGAAACATCAAATAATTCTGATGTATTTGTAGGAGTATTATTAAAAATGTGCTATATGTACACCAGTATGTTTATTGTGATATTATCCATAATTAATAGAAGTATTCTGTAATGATTTAGTAAAATATGGTACATCAAATCCTTCCTCTGTGTTTGCATGGCATCCTATATTTCTCTATTTTAGCATTTTTTACTATGTACTGTTTCTTATATTTTTCTTCACCTGCTGTGAGCCCCCTGAGAACAAGGAGTATGAAAGAAATAAACATCATCAAAATTATTTTCTTGGATATCCTCTCAAATCCTGGGCTCCTCTTTTATTGTTGGAGCTCAGAAAATGATACCCAAAAGTATAACTCTTTGGCATGCAGAGTACTTTGAACTGAAGGCCATTGGAAGGGCCTCAGAAGCAAAGCCTCTTTCTGACCTTCTACTGCCTGCCTTTCTCTTGCTTCCTTTCCTTCCCCAAGGCAGGCCACAGGACTGGAGTTCTTCTTCCCCAAGATGGGTAGTAGGAACTAGAAATACAGATGACCCTGGAACAATTTGGGAATTACAATGTGTATGTGCTCACTGTTGACTGAAAGCCTTACTGATAACATAAAGTCATTTAACATATAATTTGTATGTTATATATATGATATACTATATTCTTACAACAAAGCTAGATAAAAGAAAATGTTATTATGAAAATTATAAGGAAGAGAAAGTATATTTACTATTCATTAAGTGGAAGCGGATCATTATAAAAGTCTTCCTCATTGTCTTCATGCTGAGTAGGCTGAGGAGGAGGAGGGAGAAGAGTGGTTGGTTTTGCTGTCTCAGGGGTAGCAGAGGTGGAAGAAGCAGAGGAGGTGGAAGGGGAGGCAGCAGAGGCAGGCACACTCGGTATAATTTTATGGAAATACATTGTAATTTTGGTCTGCCTTTTTTTGCTTTTTAATTTCTCTGAAAATGTTTCTCTATGGTACCATTTACTTTATTTTCAGTACCCATATCATCGAAGGGTCTGTGTCATAAAAGAAGTCAATAGCATTCTTGTATAATCAGAATCCTTCTGGCAGAGTGTCTAATGTCATTATGTTTTCTGGCACTGCTTCTTCAATATCTTCTTCCTCATTGGCACTGGTTTGAAAGTACTTATCTCCATCAAGTCATTTTCTGTTAATTCCTCTGGGATACCCTCTCTTAACTCTTGAATTTCTCCAAGACCCATATGTTGAAATCCTTCACCTCACACCTTTTTTGCATATCTGTGTTATCATTTCCCTGACTGGCACTGTTGAATCCTGTGAAGTCGTGGACAATATCTGGACACAGTTTTCTCCAGAAGAAATTGTTGTGTCAGGCTCTATGGCTTTCGTGGTTTTCTAAAGCAATGATGGCATATTCAATGGTGTGATCCTTCTAGACTTTCATGGTGTTCTCTCTATCAGGGTCCTCTTCCATAGCATTGACAATTCTTTCCATAGAGTACCCTGTGTAATGAGACTTAAAGGTCTTTATGACCCCTTCATCTAAGGCTCAACTAGAGATGTTGTGTTCGAGGGAGAGCAGACCACTTCAATGCCTTCGGTGTTGAACTCATGAGATTCTAAGTGGCCAGGGTTATTGCTCAACACCAAAAGAGTTTTAAATGGAAATTCCTTTCTGGCAAAGTACTTCCTGACTTCAGAGACAATACACTGATGGAACCAATTCAGAAAAAGGGTTCTCCTCGTACAGGCCTTCTTGTAAAACCAAAAGACTGGCTGCTGGTGTTTATATTTCCCCTTTAAGGCTTAGGAGTGACTGGGCACAGTGGCTTATGCCTGTAATCCCAGCACTTTGGGAGGCTGAGGTAGGCGGATCACCTGAGGTCAGGATTTGGAGACCAGCCTGGCCAACATGGTGAAACCCCATCTCTACTAAAAATACAAAAATTAGCCAGGCGTAGCAGCTCACACCTGTAATCCCAGCTACGTGGGAGGCTGAGGTAGGAGAATCACTTGAACCTGGGAAGCGGAGGTTGCAGTGAGCCAAGATCATGCCACTGCACTACAGCCTGGGTGACAGAGCAAGACTGTCTCAAAAAAAAAAAAAAAATACAAAGAAAGGCTCAGGGGCTAGCAGATTTATAGAAAAGCACAGTCCGGATCATAAACCCAACTCTATTTGCACAAAACAGTAGAGTTAGCCTATCCCCTCCTGCCTTAAATCCTGGTGTGTGCTTCTCTTCCTTACTACTAAATCTTCTTTGTGGCATTTTTTTTTTCAGGATAAAAAAAAATGTACTTTCATCTTCATTAGAAACCTGTTCAGGCAGATAATGATTTTCTTCATGGCAATGGGAACTCGTCTGCTGCCTCTTGAGCAGCAGAAGCTGCTTCTTCACAAGTTTGACATTTTTATTAAAGTTAAATGCCTTTTTAAAATTATCAAACCATCCTTTGCTGGCATTCAATCCTCCAGCTTTAGGTCCTTCACCTTCTTTTTGCTTTAACTTGCCATATAATGATTTTGCTTTTTCTCAAAATATATTACAATCTATAGGTAATATAGTAATTTTGCACCCATATAAAAGCTGTATTTTCAATATGAGATTAAAAGTTATTCCATAAAAAGTGTATGGTTTTTGCACCTTCAGATGTAGCTGCAGTGATGGCTTCACATCAATGATCCCTATGCTGGATTCATTTTTCTTGAAATGGTGGACAACTGAAGCTGCAGACCTCAATCTATGGTACGTATCAAGCAATTCAGCTTTTTCTTATAATATCATGAGTTTTCTTTGCTTCTTGGGACAAATTCCAGCATCACTAGTGGCACTTTGTATGGGTCCTGTGATATTATTCCAAGTTTATGGTATTGCACTAAAAATGATGAAAAATACTCAAGAGCAGCTGGAGAAAACTTTTTACTGCAATACTGCTCATGTGGGGATGACTAACGTCACAGGGCATTTTAAGCAGATACAACACCTGAGCTCACTGCAGTAGCAACAGGAGGTGGCAACAAAATTATTGCAGTAGATGGGTATGTACTAGAGTTAATTTTATGCATTTATGATTCAATACTGTGTCTTTACATTTGTTTACATTTCTGTTGACTGCCAATGGTGCCATGTATGGTCTGTAAGCATGTGCATAAGTTTTGATATTTAACTTTTTTACATAACAGATTTGCATATATTTCATGGTAGTAAATGATACAATAGACTAGTATCTACATATATTTTATACATTCATGACATACATAACCTTTTATTAATTATTTCAATACTTCTAAGGCTACATGGTTTGTCCGAGAGTTTTTGCAAATTACCACAAATCTTGAAAACATTTCTAATATGTTTATTGAAAAACATCGACATATAAATGGACCCACGCAGTTCAAACCTGTGTCATTCAAGGATCAACTGTATTGCTCTAACCTTCCACCTTCCTTTCTGTGTAGAAGATGGCCATAAATTCTCTGGCCTACTTTATCTGATAGTAGATCATAAGACCCTCATTTCCAAAGGGGTCTATACCTGGTCTATACCTGGGAGAAAGAAATGCTGCAAATAGAAGTCAAGAAGAATCTGAACAGGCAGCCTTCGCTGTCTTTCCCACTTAGGTCTATTACCATTATATCATACCATTTTTGTCCAATCACATTTCTACATGGCTGTCCATTCTTTGTTGGACCTAAGCATAAAAATCGTTTTCTTTGAGTCTTTAGGTCTTCATTTCTGAAGGCCCCTGTGTCATGTAACACTTTGATTAAATAAATGTATCATGCTTTTCTCTTTTTAATCTGTCTTTGTTGTTGTCATTGTTATAGGAGTGTCAGCCATGACCCTTCTGAAGGAAAGGTATTGTACCTTTTCAACCCCTACACTGTGTAATCCTAACTTGTCAAAACCACAATCCAAATTCATCATCAATTTTCTTTCTACAAGATTATTTCCATTAGCACACAAAGGTATCTTAACCCTTGGAATTAAAGCAAACAAAAAAAGAAACAGCTCCTCTTTAACCCCATTTCCTCTCGCATTTCTGTATCATTTCTTTGTTCAACATTTTTTATATAAATTGAATGAATTTTTGCTTCACTGTGCTTTCATGGTACTTGGCACTTATACTCTCTTGATAAGTATTTTGGAAGATATTGCCTGGGCGCAGGGGCTCACACCTGTAATGCCAGCACTTTGGGAGGCCGAGGCAGGTGGATTACTTGAGGTCAGGGGTTCGAGACCAGCCTGGCCAACATGGCAAAACCCTGTATCTACTAAAAAATACAAAAATTAGCCGGGTGTGGTGGTGTGCATTTATAATCCCAGCTACTCAGAAGGCTGAGGCAGGAGAATCACTTGAACCCAGGAGGCAGAGGTTGCAGTGAGCTGAGATTGTGCCACTGCACTCCAGCCTAGGCAACAGAGGCAGACAGTCTCAAAAAAAAGAAGTATTTTGGAAGATCTAATTGTGTCGTTACATACAATGATAGCTATAAAGACTTTGTAGTAATAATACATAATAATACAAAATAATAAAATGTATGTAACATTATGCTGAATAAAAAGCAGCATACAAATATTATATGTACACTGTGTAAAATATGAACGTATTTTGACAATGAACAGAAGCTGTTATAAAAAATGAAACAGTTTGTCATATGGGAAGGATTAATGATGATTGATTTCTATTCCCTGAAAAGTCCTTCAAAGTTTTTCACACTTACAAAGTTAAGCGAAAGGAAATATCTCCTTCAGCACAGTGAGTCTTTAGGAATGAACATGCCACCCTTGGAACAGCCATACGTAAGGCGAGTCAGCCTTCTTGAATCAGGGCAAAACAGCCGAAGGTCACAACCTGAGGCCTTACGCAGGGCTTGCTAGAATTTTGTCCTCAATCTAGTTTCTGCAAGTTTTTCATTGAGCTCCTACAAAACGTCAAGTAGTATGTTAAATGTTGGGAATACGGTAGGGGAACATAGGTATATGTGTTATTTGACAGGTGCATAGAAGCCCTGAATTGCACTGGGAAGGAGGTTAAGTACAGGAAAGTCTTCCTTGAGGAAGTTATCCTTGAGCGAAGAGCTAAAGGATGAAATACAATTAATTGGGTAACTGCGCAGGGTTGGGTAAGGCATTTTCATTTTAGAAAGAGAGACTTGCATACACAAAGTTTCTATGACTTCAGTAGGCATGATGCCTTTAAGGAAATGAAAGAAGTCAAGGTAATTGAAATGTAGAGAATGAGAAGAGGAGTGGCCTAAGATAAAACCAGGGGAATTGTGTGGGCAAACACACAGGCCCGGAGTCTACTTTGCTTATTTTGATCTTTATTCCGAGAGCGCTATGAAGCATTAGGCTTTTATGCAGAGCAGTTACAGGATCAGATTTGCTTTGTTTAAGACTGCTTTGACTACAGATAAGAACTCTGATTTCCCTAAATTGCCCATGTTATGGCACAAATATAGAATGATAATATTTCTTCCATCCCCTCGTCAAAATGAGGGGATTTAGGAGTATCTTGATGAGATTTGATGAAAATAAATAATTAACAGATTCTTTATATCTCCATTTATAGTAAGCAAAATGAAATACAAAGCACTAGGACGTATAGTTAAAATTGAATTCATAAAAAAACTTATAGCATAATACCGAAGCTCTAATTTGTGAAATGCACTTGCATAAATGTATTTGTTAGAAAGGTCAGCTTGCAGTTTACTTGGATGCCAATAAAATGGCATGTCAGACAGAAGTAAATACCAGTCTATTTGACACAGAGAATTGGGTCTTGTCTTGAGCTGTATCTGTTGAAGCTTCCATCTGGCTTATTCTCTAGGACTCACAAGCTGGACCTTCGGTTGTATACTGTGTTCCTTGGGCATCTGTGTCTTATACATGACACTGCCTGGGAGCCTCTGGATTCAAGAAGAGATTGCAGAAAAGCCAAAGTGGTTGTGCAGGTGCCTGAGTTCATGGGTTCATGGACCATTTTTGTAGCACAGCTAAAGCAAAACAGCAATTTGGATTAGCATAATAGGAGTATAGATACTGAGAGGGTATAGATTCACATAGATACTTTGAAGGTAAAACTGATGTCAGATTAGATGTGGGAGATGAGGGATAAGGTGCAAAGTATGACTTCTAGGTGTCTGGCTTGCTGAATGGACAGTGGTGTGATTATTTTAGGTAGAGGTGCATCAAATGGTGGGAGGTATCATTAAACATGTTACATTTGAGACATCCATGTAAATACATGGTGTAAAAAGTTCTATTACATGCTAGGCACTCTGCCAAATACAGCATGTCATTTATACCCCATTTTAGTCACTATATCCAATAGCATAGATTCTATTATTATATCTGTTTTCCAAGTGAGATAATCGAGAACTGGAGTTTCCAAGTAACTTGCCATGGTTACAGCAAGGAAGTAGTGGAGCTTGATTTGGGGCCCAGGCAGTTTTCTTTTAAAGCTCATTATTTGCTACGGTTTGAATGCATCTCACTAAATGCTTGTGTTAGAAATGCAATACCCAGTGGAATGGTGTTGGGAGGTGGGGCCTAATGGGAGGTTTAGATCATGAGGACTCCACCTACATGAATGGATTAATTCTGATTATAAAAGGGCTTTAGGCTGTAAGTTTCATCTCTTGCAATCTCTCATATTGTCTTTGTTCTTCTGCCATGGGATGATGCAGCAAGAAGGCCCTCCCCAAATCTTTACCCCTCAGTTTTGGACTTCCAAGCTTCCAGAACCATGAGCCAATACATGTTTGTCCACTATAAATGACATAGTCTGTGGTGTTTGGTTCTAGCAGCACAAACAAACTAAGATACCATTTAATGCTGTTTGTCTCTCTGTGACTAGCCCCAACCCAGTCCTCACCTTAGTTTCAACCCCACCTTCTGTACACAACAAGAGATATCTTGATTTATTTTTTCTCTATGGATTGACCTCTCAGGATTCTCCATAGATAACTCTCCTGTCATAAGGACGGAGCCCTCATGAATGGGATTAGTGCTCTTATAAAAGAGGCCCCAGAGAGCTCCCCTTTTTCTACCATATGAGGATACAGTAAGAAGGCGCCCTCTATAAACCAGAAAACAGGCCAGGCCCCCGTTCTCCAGACAACTACATCGAATCTGCAGGTGCCTTTATCTTGGACTTGCCAGCCTCCAGAACTGTGAGAAATAAATTTCTGTTGTTCATAAGTCACCCAGTCTACGATGTGATATTTTGTTATAGCAGCTGCAATGAACTAAAACACTGTATTTTATTTTTTGTTTTGTTTCTAATGTTTTTAATATGACCACACCATATTTCTCTTCTTTCCTTGCTTTCCTCTGTGCTCCTCAGTTCTCAGTGTTAGGTCCTCATCTTTTCCCTCCTGTCTTTGTGTTCTCTTTCTCCCAGGGCTCACCCTTTCTCTCAATTTCTAATTATTACTTCGTGGGGGCTGAATTATAAACTTTGACCCACCAGCTTTTGTTACAAGGTTTCCCGCAGGCTTTTATCCCATATATCCAACCTTTGCCGGTTAATTCCACATGGATTAATCACTTATCATGTCAGATATATGATATATATGATATGTGATATATGTCTTATATCATAACCCCTATGATGTGTCCCTTTTTGCAAAGGCACCGCCCATTTCCAGGACACCACAGCCACTTGTTTCTTTCCCCAGAAGTGCCAGTCCCTCCCTTGGCCCGCCACACCTGGCTGACCAGCTGTATATCTGGAGTTTCAGACTCCCTGCACCACATCAGATCTTGGATGGAACCCCACACTGCAGGTTATAGCTTCTGGCATCCTAAGCTTATACCTAAGAGCCAGATGACGACGGTAGTTGATGCCCTTTGGAGTGATTTTTTGACTAATGAGAAATAGGAGTGTGAAGGGAGACAGGCAGATTGATTTTCTTTCCTCCTCTCCCCCACAGACTAATCTGGAGCATGGTTCTTTCTCACAGCCTGATTAGAAAAGTCCTGTGAGCTGAATGAACACACCTGGTAAGGCCCCTCCTGTGTCTCTCCTCCGCTCCTTGTGAGATTGCAGCCAGTACAGGAAAGAATTGCTGTCTCACTAAACTTCCTTTCTTACCTGCTTTGTTGTATTTTCATTCCCACCCCAACAACGCATCAGCACTTTAATAATTGCCTCAGGCTCTGTTTTCTGGAGAAACCAGGTTAATCTTAAAATTTAACATTTTAAAAAAGAAAAGGAACTTTTTTTCATCACTCAATTTGGCTTTTGTGTCTGTTAAAACATAATAATATCACTAACCCTGAAAACCGTGTGTTCATTTAGTATCACTCATTCTTTCTTTTATTGATAAAACACAGACTCTCAAAAGCCCAGTTGGTTCTTCCTTCACACTGAGGCATCTTCTCTCCAAGGCACCATGGGTACCACTCTGGTCTAGGCTTACATTAATTTTATCTTAATTACTGCACAGGTGTTCTGCTTTTTGAACCAGATTCTCCGACTCCAGTCTCCTTTCTATAATCCATCTTGCACACTCTACCACTGTACAAGATGGCTCTTCCTTAAATTTCATATTCTTGTTGTTTCTCCAGGGACATCTGCACCCAACACATACAACGTGACCTTCAATCATGTTTTGTAACCTATTATAAAAACTTGAAACTCTTTGAATTTGAAGTATTTTCAATTACCCAACATTCTAGTCCATTCTTCTCTTTCTGGTGCAGTCACAAGCCAGTTTGTTTTTAATCCTGCACCTTTGTTTATATTATTTCTTTGGCCTGAAGCACCTTTTCCTTATCTTCTGTAAATCTTCCCTGCCTTCCAAACCCCAGCTTAAAACAATCTGCTTTGTGAGGTTTATTATAAGAACTCTAAAAGACAGTGCTATCTATATACCTACTCTTAAATTCGTTTAGCATTAATCATCTATAATATTTAATTACTTAATTGTATATTTCTTTATGCTGCTCATAAACAGTTTGGAATTATAGTTCTGTTTTCTTAACTAGATTACATTTTTTAAACCATAGAAACTGTCTTGTTTTTTCATAGGGCCTTAATTATATAGGGCACAAAATAGATGCTTTGTTGATTGTGTCTTTGAAAATGAATAGTCTATGTACGATAACCAGAAGTGCCTTGGTTAGTTGAAAGCTAGGTAATACTGCATGATTATAATGATCAATAATAGGGACCAGTCAATTTAATGAGCAAGGTGGATATCGGATGCCCACCATACATCCTTATGAATGCCACTCTCTAAAGGTGATCCAATGATTGGAGACTAAGCATATATACCTCATGGCTGTTATAGAAGCAACTGTACTCTTCCTTCAGTCTGAATGATCCTGCCCTTGATAGGTAACAATTACATTTGGATAGGCAGTGTGGAAATTAGAGGAGCAAGTAGCATTTCAGCCTTATATCTCCAGCACCATTTTGAACCCAGGTTAAACTTTTTACTAGCCAAAGTACTAGTATGAACCAAGCAAGAGGCAAGAGAGTAGATCACGAAAAAGTCAGCGTGGCTGTAGTGTGAACTGAGGTGTAATTACTGACTGGCTATACACTTGGCTTGTAAAGTGTATAAATTCACGTTAAGAAGTATGGATTTATTCTATGTTAGTAGTGTACCACCAAAGCTTTTTAAATAGAAATCTGACCACATCTGTGTTTCAGAAAGATAATTTTTGTAGCAGTACAGCAGATGGGAAGAGTGGTGGTGATGAAGCCAGTTTGGAGTTTTATGTTTCTGTCTGGTTTCTAAACTGTGTTTGGGGACTGTTGTGAGTCTCTTAGAGATGCCTCGTGGGCCACTTCAAAGGACAATGAGGGTGAGTGGGTGGGAGACTGGGTCTCCAATCCAACTTCAACCTGACAAGATCTACTTATATCTATTGCAATTGGCCTTCTAAGTACAATTTAAGTAAAATTTTGTGAAAAGAAAATATATTGTAGTTTAAAAAAATTGGAAAACTCCTAGTTTACTTAACTAGCAGACTTTGGGGCAATTGTTGGACAGATTTTAGAAATATTTTGAGGTAGATTCAATTGGACTTACTTATTAATAATATTTATGAGATTTAAAAAATGAGGAGTCAATCGCAGCACTTTGGGAGGCCGAGGCAGGCAGATCACAAGGTCAGGAGATCAAGACCATCCTGGCTAACATGGTGAAACCCCGTCTCTACTAAAAAAATACAAAAAATTAGCTGGGCGAGGTGGCGGGTCCCTGTAGTCCTAGCTACTCGGGAGGCTGAGGCAGGAGAATGGCGTGAACCCGGGGCGGAGCCTGTAGTGAGCCGAGATCGTGCCGCTGCACTCCAGCCTGGGTGACAGAGCGAGACACCATCTCAGAAAAAAAAAAAAAGAGGAGTCAAAGAACATTGGGTGATTTCATAGAAATCACCCAATAGATTGCATTAACCAAGGTACAAATCATTCCAAGTGAAGAAGATTTATAGACAGGGAGATTCTCATCAACTCATTGAGTGTGAAGTGCCTCTGAGCAACAATTTGCTGAAGAGATAATTAGAGATTGAAGTCTGGATCTCAGGAGTAAGATCAGATATAAGTTTGGAAGTCATAAACGTTAGATGGGCTTTGAAGCCAAGGAGACAGATGATGTCATCTAGAGAGAAAGTAGAGACCAGAAGAGCTGAGGTAACAAGCTGAAGACCAAGGTAGCATCCAGGCTATAAAGGTCATCTATCTGCCTACAAGTATTCTTCAGTCTTTGCAATGTTTTATATTTGGTTTTTAAATTTATTGTTAACTTTTAAAATTCAATATTTCTTGCAAATCAAAACCACAATGAGATACCATCTCATGCCAGTCAAAATGGTGATTTTTTAAAATTTTATTATTATTATACTTTAAGTTTTAGGGTACATGTGCACAACATGCAGGTTTGTTACATATGTATACATGTGCCATGTTGGTGTGCTGCACCCATTAACTCGTCATTTAGCATTAGGTATATCTCCTACTGCTATCCCTCCCCCCTCCCCCCCACCCCACAACAGTCCTCGGTGTGTGATGTTCCCCTTCCTGTGTCCATGTGTTCTCATTGTTCAATTCCCACCTATGAGTGAGAACATACGGTGTTTGGTTTTTTGTCCTTGTGATAGTTTGCTGAGAATGATGGTTTCCAGTTTCATCCATGCTGCTATAAAGACACTTGCACACGTATGTTTATAGCGGCACTATTCACAATAGCAAAGACTTGGAACCAACCTAAATGTCCAACAACGATAGACTGGATTAAGAAAATGTGGCACATATACACCGTGGAATACTATGCAGCCATAAAAAATGATGAGTTCATGTCCTTTGTAGGGACATGGGTGAAACCAGAATGGCGATTATTAAAAAGTCAGGAAACAATACATGCTCTCGAGGCTGTGGAGAAATAGGAACGTTTTTACACTGTTGGTGGGAAGGTAAATTAGTTCAACCATTGTGGAAGTCAGTGTGGCGATTCCTCAAGGATCTAGAACCAGAAATACTATTTGGCCCAGCAATCCCATTACTGGGTATATACCCAGAATGATTATAAATCATTCTACTATAAAGGCACATGCTCACGTATGTTTATTGCAGCACTATTTACAATAGCAAAGACTTGGAACCAACCCAAATGCCCATCAATGATAGACTGAATAAAGAAAATGTGACATATATACACCATGGAATACTATACAGCCATAAAAAAGAGTGAGTTAACATCCTTTGCAGGGACATGGATGAAGCTGGAAACCATCATTCTCAGCAAACTGACACAGGAATAGAAAACCAAACACCGCATGTTCTCACACATAAATAGGAGTTGAACAATGAGAACACATGGACACAGGGAGGGGAGCAAAACACATCGGGGACTGTCAGTGGGTGGGGGACAAGGGGAGGGAGAGCATTCGGCCAAATACCTATTGCATGTGGAGCTTAAAACCTAGATGACAGGCTGATAGGTGCAGCAAGCCACCATGGCACATGTATAACTATGTAACAAACCTGCACATTCTGCACATGTATCCTAGAACTTAAAGTAAAAAATAAAAATAAAAAATAAGAAAATTCAGTATTTCTGACTTCCCTGGACACATCAAAGGAGTTATTGATACTGGGCTACCCTTCGCTCATGGCCACCATAGGCCAGACTGTTGTTGAGTGGCACCCCCTGCAGCTTGGTCGATACTCTGCAGTTGAGCACCTCCCATCCCACCAGCTTGGCTGGCTGTTCCCAGTTGGGTCAATTCCTCCAGGCTCCAGGCATTTGAGTTTTTTTTTTTTTTCCTTCTTCTTTTTAAAAAACTTTTATTTTTAGTTCAGGGATACATGTGCAGGTTTGTTACATAGGTAAACTTGTGTCACGGGGGTTTGTTGTACAGATTACAGCGTTGGAAGTCCTGGCCAGGGCAATCAGTCAAGAGAAAGAAATAAAGGGCATCCAAATAGGAAGAAAGGAAGTCAAACTATCCCTGTTTGCAGACGACATGATCCTATATATAGCAAACCCCATAGTCTCAGCCCAAAAGCTTCTTAAGCTGGTAAACAACTTCAGCAAAGTCTCAGGATACAAAATCAATGTGCAGAAATCACTAACATTCCTGTAACAACAGTGAAGCTGAGAGCCAAATCAGAAATGCAATTTTATTCACAACAGCCACAAAAAGAATAAAATACCTAGGAATACAGTTAACTAAGGAGCTGAAAGATCTCTACAAGGAGAACTACAAAACACAGTTCAAAGAAATCAGAGATAACTCAAACAAATGGAAAAACATTCCATGCTCCTGGGTAGGAAGAATCAATGTTGTAAAAATGGCCATACTGCACAAACCAATTTATATATTCAATGCTATTCCTATTAAACTACCATTGAGATTCTTCACAGAACTAGAAAAAAACTATTTTAAAATTCATCTGGAACCAAAAAAGAGCACAAATAGCTAAGGTGATCCTAAGCAAAAGGAACGAATCTGGAGGCATCATGTTACATGGCTTCAAACTATTCTACAGGTCTATAGTAACAAAAGCAGCATGGTACTGATGCATTTGAGTTTTCAACTCCTGAGGGCGAAGAACACACAAGGGAACCTCTGACCACCAATATTTATTAAGTAGAGCCTGTAAATGGGATTTTTTTGATTATTTATTTTCTTATTTTGATGTTTTTTTTCTTACTTGTGTAAGCCCAAGAATTAAACTGAAGTTAAGTCTTTAGAGTTAGGGAAGACAACAGGGGTTCCTCAGCTCAATAAACATAAATTATATTACTGCTCCCCAGTCCTACTGTTTGCACCACCATCATGCAAACATTACATAACGCATGTAATAAGAGGCAAAATGTTGTTAATCTATCGGTAGAAGATAACACATTAGGATATAACATAATCTAATTTAATTTAATAAAATATATGTTGGATTTGGAGCTGGATAGGACAACAGTGTCATAATTAAGGGGATGGACTGTGAAGTCAGAAAGTCTGGGTTCCAATTATCACTGCTAATTACCACATGTGTGACCTTGTGCAGGTCTTTCTGTCTTTCTGTCTCTTGTTTTTCGTACCTGTGAAAGGTACTTGTAAGGATTAAATGTGTTAATATAAGGAAAACCTTTTGGGCACCTCAGGTGCATAATGAGTGATCAGTAAAGGTTAGTTGTTGCTGTTACTTTATGGAAAATGGTTCACTTCTTACCATCCACAAACCTGATGAGCCTACTGAGTTTTTGTAAACCTGTAACCAAGCAAGCAGGAAATGAGAATTTAGTAGCAAATATGTAAATATGACATATTGTTATTGTAACCATAAATCTTAAATCTTGACTGAAATGGCAAAACACCTTGAGAGTTAAATGTCTGTGGTTCTGAACAAATCACTGTAGACATATATTTTTACCTTTCAAGAGAAAAGCAATTTATTTCTGTTTAGGAGCTGTTGATGCAATCCCTAAGGTATTAGTTATTCCTTAAATTTGAAATTTTGTGTGATTAATTCAGGATAAAACAATGAATCAGAATTTAGATTATCAGCTCCATCAAGATTTATGGAATTTACAAGAAAAGGAAAGTTTTTCTCCTCTATGAAAGTGTTAAGTGAGTCAATTACACATTCTTGTAAATTTCAATTCGGCATCTGAATTTGCTCTCTAGCTTCATTTAAAAATCAACCTCAAAAGCCAAGAGTTTCATTTTGGGGTCCAAACCTCATGCATAATTATCTTTGGAAAATTGATAGAGATGTTAGACATTTGCAATGAGATAAATAATTGAGTTGAAATGAGGCTTGGGATTAAAATTTTAAAGACCTTGCTTAAAAGCATTTGTCCAGATTGTCCTGGAATTTCTGAGAGACTGGGTTTTGTTGGGATGAAATGAGAATTTGGCAGGCTGCTTGGGTCATGTCTGCTCTTCAGTTGGACATACCTAAGGCAGGACCTGAAGAAAACACATTAAATCATGTTTCTCTGCCTTAAATATTTAACAAGTGTTTTGTTCTGATGACTCTTTGAATTAGAATCATAGAATTTTATAGTTGGAAGAGCCCATAGAGATAAGTTAGAGCAAGCATTCATTTTGTAAAAAGGAAACTGAAGCACGATGTTTGGGTTACTGCAGGGAGAATGATTTGTATGTATTATCAACTAGTCATTTTAGCTCTTCAAAAAAAAAAAGCAAAGTGTAGTGATTACTTAGAATCTGATTGATAAAAATACAAACTTTGCTTAAACCAGTCACATACAAACTGGCTATTCATTTAGATGTTGGCCCAGACTGTCTGGCATGTGCAGGAAACATTTAAATAGTCAAATAACTTCCCTATTCATTAAGATAAGCTTAATCTTTTGTCAATCTTATTGAAATAAATAAAGTTGGGTGTGTATGCTGGCATCTAAATACATGTATTTATGTATCTAAATACATATGTATCCAAATACATCTAAATACATGTATTTAGATATGTATATGTGCATGTACATTCTCTCCCCCTAGGCAAAGGCTTCCAGTAAGAGTACAAATGATTGAAGAAGGCTAACATATCAGAAAAATTGAAAGATTATGCCTAGGGAAAATACAAGGAGTAAAAACAAAGACTGGGAATAAGAGAAAAAATAGGCAGGAGTTACCTCTCTGCAACAGATTAGGAGGTTAAAGTGCAAAGATGTTAGGCAATTTGTCAGTAAGTGGCAGAGACAGAAATCTAAGCCAATTTTCCAGACTGTTGTCTTATCCACTGAGCCATACCATGCTTCTCAATGTGTCCGCACGTCTCCTGAGGGCCTTGTTAAAGCAGATTTTGATCCATATGTCTGAGATAGGGCCACGGATGCACATTTATGGCAAACCTCCAGGTGACTGTAATACTGCTGGTGTGGACTCACACTATTAGTAACAAGGGGCTATATTCTCTATCCTTAATGTGCACAAAACTAAAAGCCAAAAAACTACATGTTGTCTAGAAAATGATTGCCTTTAGAATGCTCATCTGCAGCTCTCAAGAAAATGCAGGGCCCCAACTAGAACAGAACTGTGAAGCTTTCCAGGCTTAATCTCAATATCTCAAACTTCATTTTGTGCCTTTCCACTACTTGTGGTCCAACATGAGGGAACCAATTCTGGCTTTGCTTTTTCCTTGTCTAGACCTACCTTTAGGAAACTCAGAAATGATTTCACACTGAGGAGTGAATGTCTGATCCCAACTTGAATTGAGATGTCAACACTGAGTTATATATGCAAAAGATTTTTGGAGGAATGCCTGTGAAGCATACAGAGGAGAAAGCAGGAATGCATAACGACAGCCTTCAGACTGGTGAATGTTTCAAATATGAGAAAGGAGAGGTAGAAGGAAGGATTGGGCTAGGAAAAATCTCAGACTTCAGTGCAGTTCTAAGGAAGTTTCCATCAGGCTGACAGAGAGGCCTTGAGCCTTTCATCTCTGAGAGATGGGCCTGCACTAATACCCTCACCACATTCACTGTCTGGCTGGAAGCAGCTGGGTAGTGCAGCCTCAGCATGCATGTGGTAGTATATCTAGAGCACGAGTAGCTGCTTTGTCAATCAACTATGTTCCCTGCAGTAAGAGAGCTGAGCAGTGCAGTTTCACAGCCATCAGAGTCATCTCCTTGAGCTGCACTGATCTACTTCTCCACGCAGGTTCACGGGCAGCTCCTCCATGGTTCTCATTGGCCACTCTTCCTGAGAGGCAACTTGGAAGCAGAGATCAGTGGGACAAACTTCAGCTCCTGCAGTCAATCTCAGGGTCTCAGCTGGTCCTCATCCTTGGCCTTGTCTGTTTTTCATTCTAAATTGCCCACACTCTTAGCTATTACTTGTCATTCCTGCAAGGTCTGAGTCTTGGGCACTTCTTGGGCTGAGGCTGCAGCATGTGTTCTTTAACAGTAACAAGGAACAAGAGAGTGAAAAGAGGGGCCAGAGGAGATCACCTGGTTCTTACAGGTGTTCCTTCCTGCCCTCATTTTGTAAAGGTGGCTACAACCCCTACTACCAATCAGGATCCTTTACCTCTGCCAAGATGGTGACACTAATCCTTGCCTCTTGGACCGTGGACAAGAGGAGTCCAGCATGCTCTGGGAGCAGCTTTAGCTTGTGGTTCCATGGGACCTAGCTGTGTCTTCTAGAAAGAAAACTCCCCCTTTGGCAACCAGGACCTCCAGTGCTGCAGAGCCCAGAGATAAAGGGATGAGAAACCCCAAATCTCCCAGCAGGATTTGTGAGAGTAAGTGGGGCCATCCCATCTTCCACCTTGCGATTTCCAGATTAATATAGACTTTCTATTGAGTACACAATGCCATATAGAGGTATTTGATTAAATGCATATAATCTTGCATGCATCCTAAAGGGTAGTACCCCATCCATCTACAATGTTGCCTCTGAGCTGTGCTTCATTTATGTCTTTAGATGCCATTCCATCATTCTTTGAGGCTGACTGCTTCTGAATGATGTGGTATGGAACAGAAGCAGCAGATCTTATTGTCATGGGTCCACTCACTCATCTCCTTCCCTATGAAGTGGGAGCCCTGGCTGGATGTGCCGTGTGTGAGATTCCATGCCTGTGGATCAGGCATTCTGTAAGTTCCAGTTAGTGGTGCTGAGTGAGGCTCTGCAAACAGGCTCTGCGAAATTAACACCAGAATAGGGTTCTATTCCTATAAGAATAAACAACTGGCTTTTCCAAGATAGAGGGGGACTCTTGTAGTCAACTTGCCACCAAATGCTGGTTGGTCTTCTCAAGGAAGAGAGTCACTTCAGGGAAGAGCACTAGTGTCTGTGACTGACAGGCTGGACCTTCAGAGACAACAGCCATTAGATCAGCCTAGATAAGTAGAAATTCATGTTTTGGGCCTTATATGTAGCATCCATCTCTGTCACTGTGGCCACTACATTCACATGCTCATCGTGATGATGACAAAGTTTAGCTAATGTCAACGGACTGAGTCATTTTGTTATTATCTGGATGTTCAACCCCTCTTTCATTTTGAATGGTTTCTGATGATGCTTTGGATTTCAAAGAATCAATACCAATTCAGGCTCGGTGTCCAGGAGTCTCCAGTATGTTTGAGTATTTCTCTTTCCCTAGTAGAGTCACCAAAGTAATGACCATAAGTCCCTTTGGGAAAGAAAAAATGGGGAAACATTTGAATGTATACTGGCTACAGTTTTGGAAATTCCTGCCATCTAGTTAGGGGATTCTGGATCTGAACAAGTGATTATGATATTTTATTGAGGCAACTGCCCTCAGCCTCTTGCTGTGTGATTCTTGCCTTTGTCTGGCTACAAAGATAAGCATCTTCTTTGTTGACTGCCAGAGTATTTTGCCTCTAGGGATGCTGAGCTCTAGTCACCATCTCCATACCTCCATGTGAGTCAATTCATATTCACTACCCCTCTGAATTTTGCAGTTGTTAGAGGAGCTCCAGCATCCCAGATTCTGATAGGTAAGCACCACCACATGGTCCTCACGCCCCAAACCCCTTGAGCACATAGGTATTAATAAACCCAGCCCCGCAGAAGCCTCTCCTGCTCTCAGTCTTCGCATCAGAGCAGAACTATCACTGCCACTTTAGTGATGCAGGTGGCGTCTCCCTGGCCCCCTGCATCCAGCACCCTGAAAAATCCATTCCCAGGGACACTGCCTTAGTGATTACTGCTATGTGCAATTTGATTTTGTAGTCCCTTCAGTATATAATCTGTTTCCTTCTTTCTCAGGCCTAGTATATGCTGGGCTTTAATTCTATTATCAGCCTGGCACCCAGGAGAAGAGGTGAGAGTAGCTCTTGAGGGAGGCACGATACCTTTGTGGGGACCTGCACCATCTTCTAGCACGGAGGAAGTGCTAGCCGCTAGAAGAGAAGGGTAGATCACGTCTGCAAGCTCTGAGGGTTAAGTTCCACAGAGTCAAACTCCCAAGGAACACCTGTCTGGATGTCATATCCCACGTTTCAGGGTGCCAGGTTTTCTCAACCAAGGCTCCAAACTTAGCACAGACTGCCTTGGCTGAGCATGTAAACTTCTCCGGAGCTCTGTCTCATCAAGTGAACCTGCTCCTGAGCTGAGTCAGACCTCTCACTACAGGAGACAATGGGCTCTTTGAAAGAGACCAAAAAGGCCCTCTGGCTCTCACTCTTATTTTTAATTGTTTGTTCCTGGCCCTCTGTTTCTCATTACGCCTCTGCTGAGTCTCAATACAACTTAGCAATAATCAGCCAGCTCTGCCATCCTAGTAGCAATTGCTCCTCATATCTTTCAAGTATCTGAACCGTTGCCCTGGAAAGGGCATCCCCTCCACCAGGATGTTTTCCCAAGTCAACAACAAAGAGTTCTGCAGCAATTGGGCCACTGTTTATGTGAGGGTCTATGTGTGCCCCACTCCACTCAGCATGATATCCATCTTGTCTACTGGGCAGTGAGTGAGGTAGCCCCAAGCTCTCTCTTCAAGCCCTGTTTTTTAATACCCACACTGGAACCAACTATGTTAGTCTGAATCCTCCAAAAAGCAGGCAGCACGGTGGGATCTGACATGCAGGGCATTTATTGAAAAAATGCCAGGAGGGACCATAGGAAGAGTAGGAATGTGCAGGAAGAGGCGTGGTCTGACACTTATGAAAGGAGATGGGGTGGAGGGCAGTGGAGGAGAGGGAAGAAAGAGCATCAGCTACAGAGCAGTTTCAGGACATGTTCCACCTGGCTGAATCAGAGTCCTCAAGAGAAGTCACCTGTCTGGCAGGAGTGGCCCTGCACTAGTGCCCCACTGCTCAGTCCTTGGCTGGGAGAAGCCTTGGGGTGGGGGGCTTGGCATTAACATGGTGGGAGTCCAGAGAACCCAGCGGCCAGGAGTTGTGGTCAGCTATGCTCCCCACAGCAGAGCTGAGCAGCAGGCACTTTTCCCATGCCACCAACAATGACTGTAATTGGTTCCTGATGAATGGTTAGCACATACTGAGCATTTGCTATATGCCAGGCACTGTGCTAACAGCTTTTGAATGCATCTCTCCTTTTAATCCTCACAACATGTGTAATGATCAACCCTGTTTTTCAAAATTGAACTGAGGCTTAGAAAGGTTAAGTAATTTGCCAAAGGTCATGAGGAGTTGGTCCTCTTACAATAATCCTATGCAACTTTCCATTAAAACAATTTTGTATGTATTGATCAACCACATATTCTGTTTCTGAAGGTCCACCAAATTTTTGGACTATAATAGTGAGCCATGCAGCCTGGGCCCTCCCATCACAGACTTTAAATCTAATAAGGGAAATAGATCTGCAAATACACAATTTTAATATGGTTGGGTACTGCATCGGAAGGCCCTCAGGATGTCATGCATGAAAGGGCTCCAGGAGGATATGATATCAAACTGTGACTGAAGGGTGGATAGCATTCAGCCTGGTGAGAAAAGGTGAGCATAAGAGAGTACTAAGCAAAGGACACAGTATACACAAATGCTTACAGACCAAAGAAAGCATAGCGCCTTCAAGGTATTTTGTGATAATGGACATCCTTGCATGCTGTTAGTAATTTCAAACTTTGACCTATATGGGCATGCATAGAACCTGAGTAATGAGCAAAAACGAAAGAACCTCATATTCTCAAAAAGAATGTATGAAATAGCATAAACATTGCCATGTGAAGGAGAACTTGACAAAAAAAAAAAAAACCATGGAATTGAATTGCATTATATTAATTCAATTAACTTCTGTTTTGTTTTTTGAGAGTCTCCCTCTGTCACCCAGGCTGGAGTGCAGTGGTGCAGTCATAGCTCACCGTAACCTCGACCACCTGGGCTCAAGCTATTCTCCTGCCTCAGCCTCCCAAGCAGCTGAAACTGTAAGTGCATGCCACCGCACCCAGGTAATTTTTTATTTTTTATTTTTTGGTAAAGACAGGTTCTTACTATGTTGCCCAGGTTGATCTGTAGCTCCGGGCCTCCAGTGATCCCTCCTGGCCTCTCAAAGTGCTGGGATTACAGGCATGAGCCACTGCCCTAGCCCTAATTCACTTAAGAAGTTTTAAACCTGTCCTATTTGATTATTATGATGAATTTCCTGGTTGAAATTGCTCCCCTCCAACTGACTGCACATTATGCCCCATGCTGACATCTCTAAAGTAACACACAGGTTATTTGACTCTGATCCTCAGAGAATCAAACTTTGTATCTTGATCTTCAACATCCTTTAGAAGAAAGGAATTTCCAGTTAAAGTGACATAAAGAGGTTGGTGATTCTTCCGATAGAACTGTCAAAACTGTCAAAAACAACCATTTTCTGGCACTAGAAATTGACCAGGGCAGAAAAGTTGAAGCATTTGTTCTTGAAAAACTGATAGACCTCCAGGAAAGGACAGATGACCTTGCCTAGGGAGCCCTTCTCACCTCCTAGTCCTTAAGGTGGAAAGGGAAGGTTTTCAAGATGATATTGAGCACAAAGTCAGCAGCTTTGCTGCCAGGAGGGGTGCTCTCCTTGGATCTGGAGGCAAAAATCTGAATTTGGGGGATAAAGGTGACAGATTTTTATCTAAATGGGAAATAATCCAATCACATATTTTGTGTGATAAAGAAAATATAGTATAGACATACAATATAATACCACTAAGTATATAAAGGAACGAACTACTGATACAAGCTGCAACATAGGAAAACCTGAAAAATGCCATGCCAAATGAAAGAAGCCACTCACAAACCACATATGTTATGTGAATCTATGTAAAATATCGAGAAAGGGCAACACTGTAGAGACAGAAACTGATTAGTTGTTTGCCTGGGGTGGGGGTCAAGGACTGACTGCAAAAAAAGACCTTAGGAAATATTTTGGGGTAGATAGAACTGTTCTAAAACTGGATTATGGGAATATTTGCACAGCTGTATACATCTGCTAAAACTCACCAAACTTTATACTTAAAGTATTAATTGTACAAGTTATACTTTAAGTATAAAGTGTACTTTTAACTCGATAAAGCAAAAGTTGGTGCATTTTATAGTATGCAAGTTATACCTCAATAATGGTGTTAAAAATTCTCCAAAATCTTGCTTCATGTACACATCCAGACAACTTCCTGAGACCATCCACCCTCCCTGCCAGGCAGAGACTTTGTCCAAGCTGACCTCCCTGCTGTGTCTCCTCTTCTTCTCCGGCAGCCACAGCACACTCATCCTGTAAGCAGGTGGTACAGCCAGCATGCTGCCCTGCTCTGCTGAGCTGAGCATGGGTAAGACTTACTAAAATGATAACTTCCACTTTTACTGCAAGAAGCCCTGTGTTTGCTGTAGCGGGCTGAAAAGATGCTGTCATTTTTCACATTTCCTCTTTCATGAAAACTTCAGAGAACACGGCCCAAGTCCCATTCTCTTCACTAAGCCTTCCCTGGCTATTCTAGTTCACAGTGATTTACAGCGAAATAAGGAGTCATTCTCTAATCATTTTATTCAACATCCTTTCAACAATTTTATTGAAAGCCTAGTATGTGCTGAATACTATTAAGGAGCTAGAGAAAAAGTTCCTACCTCCATGGAATCTATATTCTAGCAATTTATGGTACTGATTGTATATGGTACTATATCCATGAAATTCTGTCTGTGCTACTTTTGTTTCCATTGTTATAGTGTAATTTGTTATTTGAGAATGGAGGCTCTCTTACATCTTTTTCCATTATCACTAACACTGTCTTTAATGCAGTGTAAACCAAATGGTAAGTGTTTAAGGAATATTTGTATATGACTTATTCAGAGATTAAGTAATAATAATCTGCACCAAATTCTGAGAACTAACTGTATGCTATGTACTGATCTGCTTTATTTACGTGATACCATTTATGATTCCTGTAATATTTGAGATTTGTATTATTTCAATTTACTGATGAAAAAATTAAAATGGAAAGAAATCAAGCAACTTTCCTGAAGTCACATAGGTAGTAGATGATGGAAATATGGCTCAATTTTAAGAGTGTCTCATTCCAAAACTTTGCTTTTAGCCATATGCTATCTCCATGGCACATTTTAATTTATCTTTTTTGTAGTTATATAAACATCTTTATTTAAAGCCATCAACATACTACATGGTGTTTCAGTTTTGAAGTGGTAAGCATTTAACAGCCAAATATATGTATTGAAATTAACTGTTTGGAGACAATACTCCATGGATCTCTCACGATTTTGCATGTCTTAAGAGAACATGTACTTTGATCTAGGCTAACTTTCCAAGGATTATTACATAGCAAACAGCCTTGAAAAACAGAATTGTCCCTCTCTGGAGCAGATGGAAGATGTTTTCACTGTCTAGCTACAGGGGTGTCCAATCTTTTGGCTTCCCTGGGCTACATTGGAAAAAGAATTGTCTTGGGCCACACATAAAACACACTAACATTAAATGTTAGACCTAAAACCATAAAAACCCTAGAAGAAAACCTAGGCAATACCATTCAGGACATAGGCATGGGCAAGGACTTCATGTCTAAAACACCAAAAGCAATGGCAACAAAAGCCAAAATTGACAAATGGGATCTAATTAAACTAAAGAGCTTCGGCACAGCAAAAGAAACTACCATCAGAGTGAACAGGCAACCTACAAAATGGGAGAAAATTTTTGCAACCTACTCATCTGACAAAGGGCTAATATCCAGAATCTACAATGAACTCAAACAAATTTACAAGAAAAAAACAAACAACCCCATCAAAAAGTGGGCGAAGGACATGAACAGACACTTCTCAAAAGAAGACATTTATGCAGCCAAAAAACACATGAAAAAATGCTCATCATCACTGGCCATCAGAGAAATGCAAATCAAAACCACAATGAGTTACCATCTCACACCAGTCAGAATGGCGATCATTAAAAAGTCAGGAAACAACAGGTGCTGGAGAGGATGTGGAGAAATAGGAACAATTTCACACTGTTGGTAGGACTGTAAACTAGTTCAACCATGTGGAAGTCAGTGTGGCGATTCCTCAGGAATCTAGAACTAGAAATACCATTTGACCCAGCCATCCCATTACTGGGTATATACCCAAAGGATTATAAATCATGCTGCTGTAAAGACACATGCACATGTATGTTTACTGTGGCACTATTCACAATAGCAAAGACTTGGAACCAACCCAAATGTCCAACAATGATAGACTGGATTAAGAAAATGTGGCACATATACACCATGGAATACTACGCAGCCATAAAAAATGATGAGTTCATGTCCTTTGTAGGGACATGGATGAAGCTGGAAACCATCACTCTCAGCAAACTATCCCAAGGAGAAAAAACCAAACACCACATGTTCTCACTCACAGGTGGGAGCTGAACAATGAGAACACATGGACACAGGAAGGGGAACATCACACAATCACACACCAGGGCCTGTTGTGGGGTGGGGGGAGGGGGAAGGGATAGTATCAGGAGATATATCTAATGTTAAATGACGAGTTAATGGGTGCAGCACACCAACATGGCACATATATACATATGTAACAAACCTGCACGTTGTGTACATGTACCCTAAAACTTAAAGTATTAAAAAAAAAACTAACATTAATGATAGCTGATGAGCTAAAAAAAAAATCACAATAAATCTCATAGTGTTTTAAGAAAGTTAATGAATTTGTATTGAGACAGATTCAAAGCCGTCCTGGGCCACATGTGGCCTGTGGGCTGCAGGTTTGACAAACTTAGTCTAGTATAATAAAAGTAATGCCATTTTCCAGGACAAAAATGTCTGTCAGTGAGAGGTGAAGCCGGCTGGGCTTCTGAGTCGGGTGGGGACTTGGAGAACTTCTCTGTCTAGCTAAAGGATTGTAAACACACCAATCAGTGCTCTGTGTCCAGCTAAAGGTTTGTAAAGGCACCAATGAGCACTCTAAAAATGGACCAATCAGCACTCTGTAAAAAGGACCAATCAGCGCTCTCTAAAATGGACCAATCAGCAGGATGTGGGCAGGGCCAAATAAGGGAATAAAAGCTGGCCACCAAGCCAGTAGTGGCAACCTGTTAGGGTCCCCTTTCACACTGTGGAAGCTTTGTTCTTTCGTTATTCACAATAAATCTTGCTGCTGCTCACTCTTAGGGTCTGCACTACCTTTATGAGCTGTAACACTCGCCATGAAGGTCTGCAACTTCACTTCTGAAGCCAGCGAGACCACAGACCCACCTGAAGGAACAAACAACTCCGGATGCGCCACCTTTAAGAGCTGTAACACATTGCAAAGGTCTGCGGCTTCACTCCTGAAGTCAGTAAGACCACGAAGCCACCAGAAGGAAGAAACTCCAGACGCATCTGAACATCTGAAGGAACAAACTCTGGACACACCATCTTTAAGAACAGTAACACTCAACCACGTGGGTCGGAGGCTTCATTCTTGAAGTCAGGGAGACCAAGAACTCACCAGAAGGAACCAATTCTGGACACATCAGGTTTGTTTACAGTCCATTATAAAATAACAGGGTTTCTCAAGTTCTGGCTTCCTCAACTGGGACACAGAGCCCACTCGGTGTACAGCATTGACCTGACCTGCCTTCACATCATCCCCATGGGCACTAGGATGCAAGGGGCAACTGGAGAGATATGAAGTTCATGTTATTTGCTGGGCTCTGGGAATAGTCCTTTGTCTCTGATCTAAGAGCCTTCTGTCTTCTGCCAGCATCCACAAAATACCATGGTAGGCTAACTTGTTAGGTTGCTCTTCACAGTTTCTGACATTAACCCTTCTTTATGGTCTTTACTATTCTTTAAACTAGGCAATGTGCCTTCAATGTACATACTTCATATGACCAATCTCAGACAAAACTTGGAAATATTTGAACTTTTAACAATGCATTTTGGTAGCTTTTCTTTTTTTCTCTGTATTACTTTCCCCTTCCTTTTAGACTCTTATTATTTATCTGCTTTCTTTCACCTCACCCTGCATTTTAGCTGTAAAAATAATATCCCTTTTCACACCTTAGAGTAGAATGAATGTGTTATCTCTCTGAGGGATATTTACATTTTCAGTCTTAATCTGACATATAGAAAGAAGGCTTTGTCTCTAGGAACAGCAATTTAGAAATTTTTAATAAGGGAATAGGGAGAGACTTATTTGTAACAAGTAAGTGACTAGGGAGAGTCGTTCTCTGCGTTTCTGAAATTAAAACACTCAATGATTTTCAGCTCTGCCCACATGTCAGGAATGTTCTGGATGTACTCCAAGTTTCAATCTATACATATTACTTGGAAGTATATTAAAAGTGTCATTCTTTAGGGCAAGTAAGAATAGCTGTTGGAATAGAAACTTCTGAAATTCAGTAGCCTAGTAGATGTTTATTTCTTAGTTATGTTGAGACCTGTGTGTCCTTGGCATGTGGTATACATCATGGTTGCTCCAGGACCCAGATTTATAGGCTCCTTTCATTCAATTAGCAGAGGATGAGAGATTCCGCAGCAAAGGCACAGACTCTTCTTCACCGCTTCATCTGGGATTGACACAGATTCCTTCTACTCATGTTCTATTGGCTAAAACTCAGTCATGTGACCACATCTAAATGCAAGGGGGTCTAGCAAATATAGCTTTGCCATATGCCCAGGAGGGAAACAAAACAGGTTTTATTGAACATGTGGCAATCTCTGCTTCAGAATTGGTACCCTGTTGTTCCAGAATAGCTCAGTAATGTTGGATATTTCTGACAAATGCTTATGAATAATTCACTTTGACACAGTGGGGAAATGCCATATGCTGGGTATATTTGTGCTATCTTCAATTTGCGTCTGGGTTACTTTCCTTTTCATAGTAAAAATAATAACTTACATTTTTTCACATTACATTAAATAAAAATTGCATTTCACAAACAACTGGCATAGTATGACACCATTTTTGTGAAGTGGAGGTGTGTGCTTAAAGGAAGACTGGAAGGGAAGATATCACAATGTTGTTAGTGGTTATCCCTTTGAAAAGAGAAACCATTTCTACCCTGTTCTATTTTCATACAATTTCTGAAAAGTTTTAGAATAAGCAAATACAATTTTCCATCAGAAAAATAAAATATTTTCATTTAAAACAATAGGGACCAACTTACATACGGAGTGGCTGATAGCATCAGGTACTTCCACCTGCTTTATTTCATTGATTGTGTTGTTTGGGTAAGGCAGGTATCAGTATTACTATGCCCATTTTGCAGATGACGGAACTGAAATTCAGATGGAGCAAGTGACTTGCTCAAGAACACACAGCCAGAAGAGGCTGATCTGGGACTCAGTCCTTTCCAAGCATAAGTTTTTCCCATAATATCAAGTTGGTTTCAGGAGCCCAGAAGTGAAGTATTGTGGTGTTAAATGTTCTTTCTCTAGTTTTCAAAGAAGAAAAACTTGCACAGCAACTTTTTCTGGGAGATTCTTCTAGAGCTCCTACTAGAAAGAGATACAAGAAGTTTCACTGTGACTTGTCCAACAAAATGGCATAGAACCACGAAGAGAGAAGTGCTGAGTGCTTTTAGGGGTTTTTAGTGGAGGTCTTTTTGATGGACAAATTATAGTGTAGAATCGCCTTTATCACCTCTATCCACTTTGATAGAGCTTGCTTTCTGGGCTCTGGTAGCTGTCTTTACATGACAAGGATTGGAAAAGTTGCCAGACCTTCTTGTCTGTGCCACATCTGATCCAGATGGCTCTACACACTCCAATTTTAGTTTCTATTTTGCTTTCACCTCTGACGGTGGAAAAGAACAGCCTGTAACATTGCTGCGGAGAAATTTCTGGAGAAAACTCTGCACGGTGACTGCACAGGAAAGGCAAGGTTACCACCGTTCTGGTGTGCTAATTAGCCTCTTATAATTGTCACAGTCATCAGCCTCTCCAGCCTGCCAGGTTGTGGGCAGTGGTCTATTTCAGGGGCATCTGGCAGGAACCAGAGAGAATGATTGGCGTACGGATGATTAAAGGTGTGCCACCAGACTGGACGTCTCTTTAAGAAAGCTTACATATGCTGAAGGGCAGAAAGAAAAAAAGAAGGTACGCCTTCCTAAGAATCAGTGTTTGGAGTGGGTTGGTAACTCGTCATTATGTTACTCAAATGGCATGTCCAATTTGAAGCTAGTGGCAGGTAAGGTTAGCGTCAAATAAGCAAATCCAGAGACATTATAGCTTTTATTTCAGCTGCCCCAAGCTCCCGTCCCCTCCCACTCTCTCTCCCTTTAACCTTCTCTTAACACTGCTGCATTATGGCAAGGGGTGGCAGAGAGCATGTTATTTTGGGTGGCAGACTAATTTTGGTCGTCAGAGAGCTTTCTCTAGTGTTTTATCAGAGCTTCCCGAAAGCCTGGACCTAATGTACAAAAACAAGGAAATCAGAG
Source organism: Homo sapiens (assembly GCF_000001405.40). Taxonomy (NCBI): domain Eukaryota; kingdom Metazoa; phylum Chordata; class Mammalia; order Primates; family Hominidae; genus Homo; species Homo sapiens. The sequence continues at coordinate 4,749,965 of NC_000018.10, read as the reverse complement.
CTTGATTTTCATCTGCTCAAAGGCTGTGGCAAAGCAGACAGTGGAAAGGGTAAATTCTCTGGGTCAAAGCATAAGCATCCGAGTGTCACCAAGAGCACATGGAGCATATGGCATCGTCTCCAGAGAAGACATAGTATTTCTGACTCTATTCCTGAAACTTAGCTTAAAAATTGAGGATACTCCAGAAAATGTGTTTCCTAGCTAACTAATTGTCAAAAACTTAAAGGAGTCACAATAGAAATTATTCTCCAAAGAAGAAATGAAGTGAAACAGATACATGCATGCCTAGAATGTTTCAGATCCTGTCACACTAGCTACTTGAAGTGTTATATAATTTGTTTCCTTAATAATTTGCAAATCTGTCATTAAGTCAGAATGCAAGGGAGAGAGGAGCTCTGACGCTAGTTTCTAGAAGAGAAATTTAAGGCAGATGTGGGCACCAGATGTTGTGGAACAGTGGCAGTTTTCATGCATATTTATGTGAGACTAGTACGTTTTATTATTATAAAACCTCTGTTTACAGAATGAGAGTGATGTGAGCTGCTTGAAGGAAAGAGCACAAGTTGGAGAGAGTTTTAAGTGGTGCTGAGGTAGGATGGAACTTGGATATAAGAAAATGGTAATGAAACATTGCCTTAATCCTTATTTTGAAGAGGCGCAAAGAAGATCGTAGGTTTCTTAGTCCAGTTCCACCTCCTGGCAGTTAGTTGGGGTTTGTAATGAGAGAGTTCCCTGGGAGGAATAACAGCTGTCAATGAGACACAGCACAGGGAGGGCATAGGCTGAGTCCTCAGACGACTCCGGGGGCAGTGTTCCCACAGCTGAGAGTACACAAATCTTAGTCCTTAAGAGATGTGCCTTTTGGAGTTTCTGCCTGACCACCCTCAAAAACATCTCTAGATACACCAGTGAGAGGTATGTAAAGCACCTGGACAGGAATCCCTAGACCCAGAAAGTCTGGTTCCATGACTTATGAGCTGCGTGAGTAGAGGTTATACTGTCTAAGTCTCATCTCTTTGTACAACACAATGTGTACAGTCTAGTGTCAGGGCTCAGAACGCTGTATCCCAAAGTATGTCACATTGGCCTGAGCAGAAGATCACTAACCTCCTCTGCCTTTCTGCATGGGGACATGAAAAGAATTCTCCCTCCCTTCTCCCCTGAGGATCCTCTTGTGACACATGCCCTGCCCTATACCCAGAGGAAAGGAATGAAGACATAAAGACACACAGAAAAATTGAACAAACAGAAATTGCAAAGTTCCTCCCAGTTTGTTTATACCATACCAACTTCGTCCAATCACACTTCTACATACATCACTGTCCAGTGTTCATCAAACTGAAGCATAAAACTGCAGTTTTCCATGGGTGTTTCGGACTTCATTTCTGACAGCTCCTACGTCACGTAGAACTTTGGTTAATCAATTTGTTGCCTTTCTTTCTTGTTAATCTCTCTTTTATTACAGGGATGACAGCCATCCATCTTGCAATGGCTGAGGAAAATATATTACTTTTTCTCCCCTACAACATAAAGTAATATCTCTCCCACTTTTATAACACCCAAATTTTATCTATATACATTAAATGAAATTTTCTACTACAGGAAATATTCGGTAACATTAAAAATGCAGAGAAATTCCAAATTCTTGGCTTTTCCTCAGAAACATAGTGCAGGCCTACATCTGTGAATACAACTGCCATTTGGGTAATGCTTATATTTTACAAAGTGATCGAGTTAGAAGGTTAGAGAAATGAATTTCTAACACATGCTTCCTAAAAAAGCACATTTGGATAACAAAATGCTCAGGATTGCCTTAGCATCTGGCTGATCTTATCATATAAAGGCCTGTGTGGTCTTATATGAGAGTGGGAAATCTTACTTAGGAAGACTTAGTTTTACTCTTTCTGTTGATTCTCATGTAGCTGTCAATACTGGAGACCATTCCTAGGTACTGACACATACAGGGAGCTTAGCTTAGGGAGCATTTGTTTACCTGCTAGTATCTTCTTACTATCTAGTGAGATCAAGGTCTTATATTGGGAGAGATGGAGAGGGAAAATAAACTTGTGGAACTTTTCTGGGTGTCAGCAGGATGTCCTATAGAGCGGTGGTCCCCAACCTTCTTGGCACCATGGACTGGTTTCATGGAAGACAATTTTTCCACAGATGGGCTGGCAGGGGGGATGGTTTCAGAATTATTCAAGAGTATTACATTTATCATTAGCTTCTCATAAGGAGTGTGCAACCTAGATCCCTCACACACGCAGTTCACAATAGAGTTCATGCTCCTACGTGAATCTAACACTGTTGCTGATCTGACAGGAGGCATAGCTTACCTCCTGCTGTGTAGTCAAGTCCTAACAGGCCACGGACCCCTCCCAGGGTGGGCCACCCCTGCTGTAGAGAAGTAAAGCAGCATGAAGATCTTGGGGATTTTAGGGCAAAGGATGATAGGAAATGTGGAAGGAATGGTGGAAAAAGATTTGTGGTTTGATATAAAAAATTAAATATCCCTATTTTCCAGAAGCCTTGAACTGCAGTGATTCATAAAATTAAGCCCCTAGTTTTAGTCTATTTCTCAAATATTTAGTGTTTGTAATCATGCCTTAAGGTTTCTGAGATGGTTTTGTTTCTTTTACTTCTAATTGACTTCATAAATGTTTAAGTACAACTTTTGTCCTCCTAACTTTTGCATTTAGGTAATTCATTAACACCCATCTGCCCTTGACTCATTTGTCATGACACCTTCACCTTTGTGATAACTTTCTCCTCAAATTGCCACCTCTTTTGTTTGTTTCATCAGAAGTAGTATACTATGTGGATGGATCCCTGAATGTTAACTATGGGCACATCTCATTTTATTGCACTTCACAGAGACCATTTTTTTTTTTTTTTTTTAACCAATTTAAGTTTGTGGCAACCCTACTTAGAGCAAGTCTGTCAGCACTATTTTTTTTCCAGCAGTATGTGTTCTGTTTCTGTATCTGTATCACATTTTGGTAATTCTCACAATGTTTCAAATTTTTCATTATTATTTTATCTGTTACGGTGAGCTGTGATCATGTGATCAGTGATCTTTGATGTTATTATTATCATTGTTTTGAGGTGTGACAAGTCACACCCATATAAGACAGTGAACTTAATTGAAAATGCTATGTGTATTCTGACTTCTCCAATGACCAGGCATTTCCCCACTTCGCTCCCTTCTCTTGGGCCTTTCTATTCCTGGAGATACAACAATATTGAAATTAGGTCAATGAATACCCCTACGGTGGATTTTGAGTGTTGGAGTAGAAGAAGAGTTGCATGTCTCTCACTTTAAAGCAAAAGCCAGAAATAATTAAGCATATTGAGGGAAGCATGTTAAAAATTGAGATAGGCCAAAAGTTAGGTTTCTGGCCCCAGACAGTCTTGGGGCCACATTGAGAATGTAAAGGAAAAGTTCATGGAGGAAATGAAAAGTGCTACTCCAGGGAACACAAGAATGATAAGAAAATAGAACAGCCTTATTGCTGCTGTGGAGAAAGTCTGAGTCGTCTGGATCAAAGCAGCTTCAACATTCTCTTAAGCCAAAGACTAATCCAGACAAAGTCCTTCACTCTCTTCAATTATATGAAAGCTGAGAGAGGTAAGGAAGCTGCAGAAGAAGAGTTTGAAGCTAGTAGAGCTTGGTTTATGAGGTTTAAGGAAAGGATCCACCTCCATAACATGAAAGCACAAGTGAAGCAGAAACTGTGGATGGAGAAACTGTAGCCAGTTATTCAAATCTAGCTGAGACCATTAATGAAGGTGACTACTCTAAACAGCAGATTTTCAGTGTAGACAAAACAGCCTCGTTTTGGAAAAAGATGCCCTCTAGACCTTTCATAGCTAGAAAGGAGAAGTCAATACCTGGCTTCAAAGCGTCAGAGGACAGGCTGACTCTCTTGTTAGGTCCTACTACAGCTGGCGACTTTAACTACTACAGCTTATTTGCCATTTGGAAAATACTAAGGCCCTTTAGAATTTCGCTACATTGTCTCTGCCTGTGCTTTATCAGTGGAACTGAAAAGCCTGGATGACAGCATATCTGCTTATACCATGATTAACTGAATATTTTAATCCTACTGTTGAGACCCACTGCTCAGAAAAAAAGATTTATTCTCAAAATATTACTGATCATTGAAATACAGCTGGTCATTCCAGAGCTCTGATGGAGCAATACAGGAGATGAATGTTGTTTTAATGCCTGCTGACACAACATACATTCTGCAGCTCATGAATCAAGGAGTAATTTTTACTTTCAAATATTACTGTTGAAAAAACACATTGTTTAAGGCTATTGTGGCTATAGATAGTAATTTCTCTGGTGGATCTGAGAGAAGCAAATTAAAAACCTTCTGGAAAGGATTCACCATCCTAGATGTCATTAAGGACATTTGTGATTTATGGAAGGAGGTAAAAATCTCAACATGAGCAGAAATTTGGAAGAAGTTGATTCCAGTCCTCATGGATGACTTTGAAGGGCTGAAGACTTCCTTCAGTAGTCACTACAGATATGGTGGAAATAGCAAGAGAACTAGAATTAGGAGTGGAAGCTGAAGATGTGACTGAATTGTTGCAAACTAATGATCAAACTTGAATGGATGAGGACTTGCTTCTTATGGATGAGCAAAGAAAAATGGTTTCTTGAGATGGGATCTACTTCTGGTGAAGATGCTGTGAACATTGTTGATGACAACAAAGGATTTAGACTAGTACATACTTGGTTGATAAAACGTAGTGGCAGGGTTTGAGAAGATTGAATTCAATTTTGAAATAAGTTCTACTGTTGATAAAATGCTATCAAATAATATCACATACTACAGATAAATCTTTCATGAAAGGAAGAATCGATGGATGCAGCATACTTCATTGTTGTCTATTTTTAAAAATTGCCAGCCTGGGCAACATATCAAGACCTCATCTTTATTCCCCACAAAATTAAAAATAAGTTAGCCTGGCATGGTGATGTGTACCTACTTGGGAGGCTAAGGTGGGAGGATGACTTGAAGCCAGGAGTTTAAGGCTGCAGTGAGCCATGATCACACCACTGCACTCCAACCTAGGCAACAGAGTGAGACCCTGCCTAAAAACACAAAAAAAGAAATTGCCACAGCCACTCCAGCTTTCAGCAACCACCACCCTGATCAGTCAGCAGCCATCCACATCTAGACAAGACCCTCTACCTGCAAAAAGATTATGACTCTCTAAGGGCTCAGATGATTGTTAGCATCTTTTTTTTTTTTTAGCATTAAGGTATGTACATTGTCTTTTTACACAATGTAATTGCATACTTAATTGACTGTAGTATACTGTAAATACAACTTTTATACACACTGGGAAGCCAAAAAAATGTGTGTGACTCATTTTTTTGTGACATTTGCTTTATTGCTGTGGTCTGAACTTTTGCTTTATTGCTTTGGAACTGAACCCACAATATCTTAGAAGTATGCTGGTGTTTCCATTACTTGGGAACAGTTTTAGCACTTTAAGATGTATAGAGCTTTTCAGATTGAGAATCAATGTCAATTTCTTTGACCATTCCAGTCAGCTTCCCTTACTTTCCCACTTTACTTGGTTTCTCAGTTCAAGGTAATTTACTGTAAGTTTTTTTATTTAATTTTTAATTAATTAATTATTTTAAAATTAATTCAACAGTTTTTGGGGAACAGATGGTGTTTGGTTACATGCATAAGTTATTTAGTAGTAATTTCTGAGATTTTGGTGCACCCTTCACACTGCACTCAATGTCTAGTATTTTATCCCTCATCCCCCTTCTACCCTTCCCCAAGAGTCCCCAAAGTCTATTATATCATTCTTATGCTTTTGTGTCCTCATAGTTTAGCTCTCACTTATAAATGAGAGTGTACAATGTTTGATGTTTCATTCCTGAGTTACTTCACTTAGAATAAGGGTCTCAAACTCTATTCACATTACTGTGAATGTCATTATTTTATTCCTTTTTACAGCTGAGTAGTATTCATATATATATTTATATATCTCACATTTTCTTTATCCACTCGTTGGTTGATGAGCATTTAGGCTGGTTCCACGTTTTTGCAATTGTGAATTGTGCTGCTATAGACGTGTGTGCAGTGTCTTTTTCATACAATGATTTCTTTTCCTCTGGGTAGGTACCCAGTAGTGGGATTGCTGGATCAAATGGTAGTTTTACTTTCAGTCCTTTAAGAAATCTCCAAACCATTCTCCATAGTGATTGTACTAGTTTGCATTCCCACCAGCATTGCAAAAGTGTTCCCTTTTCATCACATCCATGCCAACATCTATTATGTTTTGATGTTTTAAAAAATTATGGCCATTCTTGCAGGAGTAAGGTGGTATCTCATTGTGGTTTTAATTTGCATTACTCTGATAATTAGTGCTGCTGAGCATTTTTTCATATATTCATTGACCTTTTGTATATCTTCTTTTGAGAATTGTCTATTCATGTTCTTTGCTCACTTTTTGATGTGATTATTTTTTTTTCTTGCTGATTTGTTTGAGTTCTTTGTGGATTCTGGATATTAGTCCTTTGTTGGATACATAGTTTGTGAATATTAACGCTCATTCTGTGGGTTGCCTATTTACTCTGCTGATTTTTTTTTTTTCTGCACAGAAGATTTTTAGTTTAATTAGGTCCCATCTATTTATTTTTTGTTGTTGTTGCATTTGCTTTTGGGTTCTTGATCATGAGCTCTTTACCTAAGCCAATGTCTAGGAGGGTTTTTACGATGTTATCTTTTAGAATTTTTATGGTTTCAGGTCTTGGATTTTAGTCTTTGGTCCATCTTGAGTTGATTTTTGCATAAGGTGACAGATGAGGATCCATCTTCATTCTTCTACATGTAGTTTGCCAATCATCCCAGCACCATTTGTTGAATAGGGTGTCCTTTCCCCACTTTATGTTTTTGTTTGCTTTGTTGAAGATCTGATGGCTGTAAGTATTTGGCTTTATTTCTGGGTTCTCTATCCTGTTACATTGGTATACATGCCTATTTTTATACCAGTACCATGCTGTTTTGGTAACTATAATCTTGTACTATAGTTTGAAGTCAGGTAATGTGATGCCCCCAGGTTTGTTCTTTTTGCATAGTCTTGCTTTGGCTATGTGGGCTCTTTTTTGGTTCCATATGAATTTTAGGATTTTTTTTTCTAGTTCTACAAAGAATGATGATGGTATTTTGATGGGAATTGTGCTGAGTTTGTAGACCGCTTTTGGCAGTATGGTCATTTTCGCAATATTGATTCTACCCATTCATGAGCGTGGGATGTGTTTCCATTTGTTTGTAATTTCTATGATTTCTTTCAGCAGTGTTTTGTAGTTTTTCTTGTAGCGAACTTTCTTCTCAGTAGTTAGTTATATTCTTAAGGATTTTATTTTATTTTTTTGCAGCTGTTGTAAAAGGGATTTCGTTTTTGATTTGTTTCTCACCTTGGTCATTGTTTGTGTATAGCAGTGCTACTGATTTGCTTATACTGATTTTGTATCCTGAAGCTTTACTAAATGCATTTATCCAACCTAGGAGCTTTTTGGAGAAGTCTTTAGGATTTTCTAGGTATATGAACATATGAGTTTAAAGTAACAGTTCGACTGCCTCTTTACTGATTTGGAAGCACTTTATTTCTTTCTCTTATCTGATTGCTCTGGCTAGGACTACTATAAATTTTGCAGTTCCTGGTAAAATACTTCACCAATTGCTCCTGTACATCTCATCTTTAAGGCTTTATTTGCTTTCTCTGTTTTAATTCAACCCTCCTAATGGGGTTCTCTTTGCAAATGCACAACATATCTCTTTTGTAAGGGTATCAGACAGTGCTGGTAGTGGAAGCTTCCCAAACAGACTCTTTCTGCTACCTGGATGCTAAATCAGACCCACATTCCCATGACTCGGTCATTTATGAGGCACGTAATTCTAGGCTATGTAATGATAGCTAGCACGTATTTAGTGTTCATCTGTCTGTCACTATTCTCAGTATTTTACATGAATTCAAGCTAGATGACAACCATATGAAGTAGATATCATTATAGTTTAAGTGGCAAGGTGCAGTGGCTCACACTTGTAATGCCAGCACTTTGGAAGACCTAGATGGGAGTATTGCTTTAGGCCAGGAGTTCAAGACCACCCAAGGCAACATAGTAAGGCTTCATCTCTACAAAAAACATTAAAAAATTAGCCAGGTGTGTTGGTGTGCCTGTACTCCCAGCTACCTGGGTGTCTGAGGAGAGAAGATCACTTGAGCCTGGGAAGTCAAGGCTACAGTGAGCCATGATAGTGCCACTGGAAGTCCAGGCAAAACCTGCTGTCAAGAAAAAAGTGTAGGAGACTTAAGTAACTTCCCCCAAATCACAGAAGTAGTAGGTAGATGAATTGGGATATGAATGCATATAGTCTAGCTCTAACATAAAAATTTTTAACTGTTTCATTTCTGTTTAATACATTTTAATCTGCTTTTGTTTTTTGTCCCCAAAGTAATTCAGTTTGCATATCATGTTTATCTGGGTTTCTATACACATATATTTTCTGCTACATCCTGAAAGCTTACTTTGACTTACTACAGAAACAGTACAGAAATATAATGTTTCACAAATAGCAGAAGCTAGATAGGGAAAATATCAAGAAATGAAACAAAAGACCTACTTACTTAATGGGAGACTTGCAATCTTAACAGATAAACTAGACCTATATAAAAAGGAGATAGTCTCGATCTTAACCACTTATTAAAGAAAACTAGGAAAACAGATGAAAATTTCATGTTACCAGATGAGACAGGGTGACAAAGTAACATACAAATCTAAAAAGGAAGATATTCAATAAGTCAGAGAGAAAACTAAATTACATTGTTCATTTGTTTAACACTCAGTGCCGGGGAAAACCAGACTGGGGAAAAGCAGTGAGCAAAATGGGCGCAAACCCCTTCCCTCATGGAATTTACATTCTAGTAGGAGTATAGATAAGACAAACATGTGTAGGGGAGAAAACATAATGTATTTTTCTCACCCATTGTAAAGTTCATGGCTGAGACCATCATAACAAAAGACAGAATAACAAGCGAAAAGCACATAAATTTATTTAATAAACGTTTACATGATATGGGAACCTTTAGAAATGATGACCCAAAGAAATGAGGAAAGTTGTATTTTTACAACTTAGGTTTGATAAGGTTTGATATCAAACTTAGGTCTGATAAAGAGTGAAGAGAAGTACACTTTGAGGACAAAGGGCATCATCTAATGGTAATAAACTAGGGAGAACTGAGTAAGGCATGTTTGCTGAGATTCTCCTCTGTTTCTGTGTGACATTTCTTTCTTTATGGCAGGGTACCTGTCACATGAGGGTCTTTAGAGGAGAAGAAAGGGAGAAGGTCAGAGAGTGACCTTCCAGGGTTCTACTGCTTTAGGGAAGAAGTGATGGGGTAATTCTAGTTTCTAGTCTGCTTCAGGGGAGAAAGGAGATGTAGAAGGTTAGAGTGGCCTTCCTGTTACTGCTGTTTTCTCAATTTTTAAGGTGCCATATTTTGGGATACTGTTCCTGCACCACTTTACATGGCAAGTCAATAACAAATTCTATGTATATAGCAATAAATATAAGGAAAGAAAAAAACAGGGAATGATGAAAAAGTTGCAATTTAAATAGGAGGTCAGGGAAGCCTCCCTGAGAAGGTGACATTTGAATAAAGACCTAAATGAAGTGTGAAGGTGAAACACATGGATATCTGGCAGAAGATGGTTTTATGAAGATGGATTAAGTTCAAAAGCCTACGTACTTTGCTTTATGTTTAAGGAATAATAATAAGTGTCTGTGACTAAAGCAGAGAAAGTAAGGGGGAAAGTATAGTAGTTGAATTCAAGAATGGTAGTAGGGTCCCCATATGGTAAAGTCACCAGGCCATGATTAGCGCTTTGATGGAAAGTGACTCTCCTAGGAGTGTGCCAAGTAAGAAAATTTATTGAGAGTTGCTCCTTGAAGCTACAGATAATATGTAATAAAAGCAACTGTGGAACTCTCCTCTAGAAAATGGGATAACTTGGCACAGACTGAGATGATCAAAATAGAGCATTTGAAGAATTCTCAGGTCTGTAGCTTCCAGTAAGCCTGATAAAACTTTAAATAAAATGCAAATGGTAACTATTTGAGGTATGGGGAATGGTGAAAAAGAGGAGGAAACTAGAGGAGATTCCATCACTAAAAGAAGGTAATCACAGTGGGTGAAACTGTATTTATATTTTTTTTATCCCTCTGAGGGAATTTTTAAGTTTGCGTGTAGCATTGCAGATAGAGATCAAGCAGAAAATGACAGTCCCATTGTCCTGAGGATCAGAGGATGGAGTCTGAGATTGCTAGAGTGCCTGGAAATTGATCTGGGGAGATCCTAGGAAGGAGAGATTCTAGGGGAGATTCGTTTCCCTATGGCAGGGAAACTTCGTTCATGTCTGTATATAATCTTGCTGGCCTCTAACTTAAACAGGATGAGATTTCAATGATCTCACCCTGTGAGATCATTAGAAGAACTCTCTAGCTATTTTTCAGAGTTTCAACAGCTGCTTATCATAGGGATATAAAATTTGGAGTTTGAGTTCTAGCAAAATAAAGAGACTTGGAAAACACTTAGGGCTTTAAATTGAAACCTCAAGAAAACCACATCTTAGAAGTAAAGACTATATTCCAAAGAATATGGTGCTAAATAATTCATAAGGGGCAAAACTGCAATATGCTATCAAATTACAAAGCCAAGCTTCTACAGTGTTAAGATGACCAGTAAGCACGCATGGGAGAGACTTCAAGAAGTGTGATGGAAAACAGATAGAAAAGTAAAAATTTTCATCAGATGTTTCTGCCACTGCCATGACAGAGAGATAGACTTGAGGATAAAGTCTTGGTAAGATAGAAAGGCTTGGGGAACAGCTCAGGCTTTTCACAGTCATATTCAATAGAACATAAAACTGAGCCTCCAAAAGTTAAGTGCATTCAGCCAGAAATTGACCTGACTTCTAGAGCAAAAATTAACACTTTTTATAGTAATATTTTTTTCAAAACCTGGAAACTCTTCAATCCTGCCTAGAATAAAATAAAAAGTTATTAGATATGCAAAGAAAAAGAGAAATTTGTCACATAGCCAAGAGCAGAAGTTATCAATAAAATCAGACCCTAGAATGACCCAGATACTGGAATTAACAAGGACTTTAAGACAACCATTTTAAATATGATCAAGAATTTAAAGGAAAAGAGATTCTAATGAGTGAATAGATGGGGGATATCAGTACAGAAATGGAGGCTTTAAACAAGAATTAATTGTATATTAAAGAACAGAAAAACATTACCTATAATAAAAGGTTTACTGAATGTGCTTAACGGCGAATTAGAGATAGATCACCAGTTAATTACCTGTGTTTTCTATTTCTTATTTTTTTGTTCTCTTCCTTATTTGCTGCTTTATTTGGTACTAATAATTTTAAAAGTAATTATATAATTTCTTGAATAGCTTATCACTTATCTTTTAATAATTTTTAGTAGTAACTAGAGATTACAGTGTGTCTTTTTAAGGTATCGCAGTTTAATTGGAGTTAATATTGTATTTTTACATAAAATGCAGAATTTCAAAATGAGAAATTTATATACATCCACCCTTCTGCTATTGTTTTCATAAATTTTACATTTATATATGATATAAACTCTAAAATCCAATATAGCAATGCCTACATTAAATAATTCTTTGGTTGGATATTTATTACACATTTACCATCATTTGTGCTTATTATTCCTTCCTGAGGATCTGAGATTTTAATTTTCGTCGTTTTCTCTCAGCCTGGAAAACTTCCCTTAGTCTTTCTTACAATGCAGGTCTAATGGCATTGAACTTTGTTCACATTTGTTCATGCAAAAATATTTTTGTTTTGCCTTCATTTTTGAAGCATGTGGTTTTTGGCTATTGAATTTAGGGTTGATAGTTTAATTTTCAGCACTTTAACTGTCATTTAAATTTATTCTGACCTCTATTATTTCTGATGAGACATCAGCTATTATTTTTGTCATTGTTCCCTTATATGTAAGGTGTCCTTTATTTTTGTCTCGTTTCAAGGTTTTCTCTTTATTTGTGGTGTCAGAAGTTTGACTCTTGTGCTAGCTGTGGTTTTCTTTGTATTTATTATGTTTGAAATTCATTTAGTTTTTGGATCCATAAGTTAATGTTTTCCACCAAATTCGGGAAATTTTCAGGTTTTTTAATTCAAATATTGTCTGTCCCTTTTTCCCAATCTTCCCATTCCAGCTATACAGTTACATGCATGTTATACCATTTGGTTAGTATTTTCAAACCTTATTCCTTCTATTATTCCAATTGGATAATTTCTTTTGGCCTGTCTTTTAGTTATACTAATCATCTCATCTGTGATGAAATTGGGATAGGGATATGACATGTGGGGAAAGAGTAAGAGACCCTAACTTGGGAGATCTTTGGAGATAAGAGCTGCTCAGGCAAAGGAAAATTCATTTGTTAATCATTATCAGACTGGGTTTTTTTCCTTTTTATTTAGTACCCTCGATATACTCCTTTAGGCCTTACTGTCATCTAATATATAAAAGATCAAGCAATCTAATAAAATTGGAGCAAAGTTGTATAAGAGCTGCAGTTTTTAATTCACTTTTTGATGTTTAAAAAAGTCTTCTCTGCAGTAAGCTAATTCATATTATCTCCCAAGTCATTGTTTTCACTTTTCTTTTGGGTTCTGTAAGTTTAGCCCCTTTCTAAGGTTTAGCTTGAGAGAGAGATGGCTAACATTTAAACTACTCTGACTATATATTTTGTTTATCAGTGGAGAAAGGTGATATGGTGATGTATTATTAAATAAAGAAATTATTGTGAAAGAATTTTGAAAATTCAAATAGTACAAATGTCTGTATCCTGATTTTCTTTTGAAATGTTGCTACCCTATTAAATTTAATAAAAGAAATATGGAATCTTTTGTTATGTTGAAATACTTATTTGTCTAATTACCAACTTATAGCTTTGAACAAGGAATTAAACTTCTCCAGCATTCAATTTACTTATCATGAAATTAGGCCAATAATGCTAATCTGCAAATATTTTCTGGGTGATATTTGAGATATCATGTATCTGCCCCTTTCACATAATATATGATCAATAATTTGTGATTAGCACTACGATAATTGTTAATACTTTCATTGTTGCTTTAATTAGGTAGTCAGAAAAACACTGAACTACATCCTATTTTTCACTATGTGAGAGAAGGGGGAGCAAAGAGAGATTGTAATACTTAGCTTCACTTTTGGCCAACAATGTGCTAATATTTAGCATATATTATCTCATTTCATTCTGTCACCAACCGCCAACTTGTAAGTTAGAGTCTATAAATATTCCTTTTTTTTTAATCAATGAAGAGCTTAGAGGTATCAGGCAACTTATAAGAGATCTCAAGGATCATCAGTAGGACACACCAGGGAAGACAAGAGAGGGTAGGCTTCAGCGTGTTGAGCACAGCTTAGAAATTAGAGATGTTGAAAAGATCTAGGGAAGAGCTATATATATGTTAGAGTATTGCCTGGAATTTTTAACTGAAGAGGGCAAGCTTTGTCAATTTTATTCCTGAGGCTGACCACATCCGTCCTTGGTTGAAACATTGAATATGTTGGTCTTACTGAGTTTAGCCCCATTTTCCTATTATAGGTGAATGTATCCACTTCATTCTTCTGGTTCAGCCTCATCCCACGTTAATTAAATAAGCTTTTTATAGAATACTTACTATGTGTTAAATGCTGTTCTATAACTGAAGATGTAGCAGTAAGAAAAAGAAAACAGTCCCTTTATTCATAAATTTTACATCATAGTAGGAGAGATAAACAATAAACCAATTAGAAAATAAAAACATAAACTAATGTCAAATGGTAAAAAGTACCATGAGGAAAAATAAACAAAGGAAGGGTATCAGGAGTGCTTGTTGGAGGTGTGTGTACATGTAGTGTGGTTATTTTAGATAAGGTAGTCAGGGAAGGCATCTGTGGGGAAAGCAGTAATTGAGCAAAATGCAAAGAAAGAAAGGAAGTTGCATTGGTCCATTCTCACACAGCTGTAAGTAAATACCTGAGACTGGATAATTTGTAAAAGAAAGAGGTTTAATGTACTCACAGTTCTGCATGGCTGAGGAAGCCTCAGAAAACTTGCAATCGTGGAGAAGTTGAAAGGCAAGCAAGTATGGCAGCAGGCAAAAGAGAGAGAGTGTGTGAAGGAGGAACTGTCAAACACTAATAAAACCATCATATCTCGTGAGAATTCACTATCATGAAAACGGCCTGGAGGAACCATCCCCATGATCCAATCACGTCCCACTAGGTGCCTCCCTCAAAACGTGAGGATTATGGGGATTACAATTCCAGATGAGATTTGGGTGGGGACACAGAGGCAGACCGTATCAGAAGTGATGTGAATGTTGAGGGATATGCTCCAGGTAAGGGATCAGTAGTTTCACATCACTGAAGCAGAAAGAAGATTGGGTTTTTGAGGACATGCAAAGAGGCCAGTGTGATGTCAGTGGTGCATGAATGGGGCCCAGAGTATTGGAAGATAAACCCAGACAGACCTAAGGGGATAGATCATGTACAGCCTCAGAGGCTGTGGTGAAGATTCTGAATTTTATTATGATATGATTGAAGCTATAGGGATGTCTTGAGCACAGGAATGATATAATCATGTTTGGTAAAAGCCATCACTCTGGCTACTGGATGGGGACTAGACTGTAGGAGTCAAAAGTGAAAGCAGAATCCTATGCTCACAGTCCAGGTGAAGGATGATTGTGGTTGAGGCTAGAAGAGCAGCTGTGAGTGGCAGAGGAGGAGTGACATGTGGTACATGTTTTGAAGATTGACAGAGGTTACTGGTGGGTTGGATGTGGGTGTGAGAGAATGGGAAGCCAAGGATAGGTCCTGACTTGCTCTAGCTTGTAAATGTTCACCATCAGCTTAGGGCAGATGACAAAACGTAGGACCACAAAATCCATCATGCTGTTTAAGGCAGGGAAAATGTTGGTGGATGGCGCAAGATGTGTATAATGGCAAAAATGTCCACCAGGCAGATTAGCTTGGTATCCAAAAAGTGTGTGGCCCAGACAAGTAGTCAGCAGTTTCAAGGAGGTCAAACAACAAATAATGGAATATTGGTATTGGCGACTGGAGCCTGAACCCTGAGAATCAAAGAGCAGACAACACCCTGAAAAGTGTGGAGGCAGCTACAAATAGGGCTGAGTCAGAGTACTGTAGGGGCATTGGCAGGAGCAAGAGTAGTCTTTGTGTTACAGGGCTTTAGTATCAGGCAAGCCAGCACTCACAGAGAGCAGACAGACCCAACTTATGCAGTTTGGGATAGAAAGTAGGAGCTTTGTCCTGGGAAGGAAAATGGATCTGAGTCCCCTGATCAAACTGGAATTATCAGAAAAAAGGAAATTTGGCATAGATTAACTGAATATTTAACTACAGCTCTTTGACCTGTAAGAAAATATTAGGGCAGGTCTCCATAGTTGAGCCAGCATCCTTGGCAGGCCAGGCCCTTGCAATTGCCTGTGATGGGATAAGAGTAAGAAGAAGATAGAGAACAAGGGAAGCTAGTAAACCCAGTGCTGGGCATCTCCCTGTCAGGAAAAATTGAAGAAAAGAAGCAAAGCAAAAGCAGGCAAAGAGGTCAGCCATCTGCTGCTTGGGAAAGGAGGCCATGTTCCCTGTCCCCTGTGGCGCTCCACACCTTGCTTCTGTATTTCCTCATTCACAAGGGTCTCCAGTTCTTCCACCCGTGAATGTGATGACCTGAAATGACTGAAAATGTGTCATCCCTACTGTGACTTAGTCATACTGGATTTGAAACATTTCATTCAAAATGTACACTGTTTTACTCTTAACCTCCCTCTCCCCACAGAATAATTTACTCAGCTTGATTAGCACTTGATCTCTGGTTTTATTTGAGACTTGCTAGAAAATTGTAAACTAAAATTTACAATTAGTTTGGAAATTCCAAATTAGTTTGGAATTCTCCCAAGTAAAACTTACAAAGTGATTGAGGATTTGGTCAATGGTGAATTTTTTTGGGGGGGTGGGTGGCTTTTAACTGAAAGCTTGCTAATGTCAGGTTTCATTTATTTTTTTTTAAAGTCTTGTGACTGAGTGATTTTTTAATGTCCTTCCTCATGTGCCTGTCAGGTCCTGGAAGCTGGAATTTTTATCATGTTTATTTTTCTTCTCCAATGATCTCATAAAATGGCTACACATATTAATTGATAATGAGTATTGCTTGAATTGAAAATAATATTTTCCGTGTTTTATTTTTCTTAATTTCTTTAGTTTGCTTTGAAGTAGTACTTATGTTTTGATTTTTTTCCTTAAGTACATATTTCCCCTTACCTGAGATTCATATTGTTTGTTATCTTCTTTTCTTTGTTCTTAGAAAAACTTCAAATGGAATTGGACTTCAATCTTTTCTTCTGTAAATTTAAGTACTTTAAATTTAAGTACTTTAAGTTTCCCTAAATATTTCTTCTGTAAATTTAAGTACTTTAAATTTAAGCTTCCCTAAATATTTAAAAAGAGATTGGGTTCACATAGTGTTTGCAACCACACAGAACTCCCTCTCTCTCTTTTTTATTATTTTTGTTCATTGTTGATTTATGGCAGCTTGCTTTCTGAAATTCCTTGGCCTGGTTATCTCCCTCATTTTATGTGGATAATCTTATTTTCTCTCTATTTTGCTTATCTGCCAAATTTTGCTTTCACTCCCAGCAGTGTCTTTTTAGTGTGGTATGTTGTTCAGGCAGGGAGCCTTTGGGGGTCAGTTTTGAAAACTCATAAAAGTCCAGACTGCTCTAGCCCCTTCAGTCTTAGGGGAAGGAGAAGGGTCTCTACAGGGGCTTACAGTCTTTCGTTCACCTGTGAGAATGAGTGGCACTGCTCAAACATTGTTCTAGGTGCTTCTATGAGAGTGTTTTAAGATTAAATTAATATTTAAATTAGTGGACTTTGAGTATAGCCGATGGCCCTCCCTAATGTGGGTGGGCCTATCTAATTAGTTGAAGGTCTGAATAGAACCAAAGGCTGGCCTGCTCCAAGCAAGAGGGAATTATGCCTGCAGACAACCTTTAGACTTCCTTGGCAACACTGGCTCTTCCTGGTCTCCAGCATGACTTCTTCGGACTTGAACCACAACTATTTTCTGAGTTTCCAGTTTGCTTACCCCTTCAATCTTATGAGTGTGTTTGGGCTGCTAGAACAACGGGCTGGCTTATAAACAACACAAATCTATTTCTCACAGTTATAGAGGCTGGAAAGTCCCAAGAGCAAGTCATCATTGGATTCAGTATCTGGTGAGAATTTGCTCTCTGGTTCATAGATGGTGCCTTCTCACTGTGTCCTCACATGATGGAAAGGAATAGCTAACTCCCTGGGGTATCTTTTATAAGGACACTAATCCCATTCATAAGGGAAGAGACTTCATTCCCTAATCCCCTCCCAAAGACCCCATTTTGATAATACTATCAGATTAGGTATTAGGTTTCATGTATGAATTTTAGGGGGACACAAATATTTAGATCATAGCACCTATAATATTTTGGTCTTTTGAATGAGCCAATTCTTTATAATAAATATCTTCATAGTACATATATATGTTATATATATACGTGCATACATACACACATTATGTTGGTGTAAACCTCAAAATATATACAAAATATCTTTACTCTAATTTTTCCATCTTTTCTCTTTCAATCACTGCTTTCTCATGCTGAAGTCTCATTAGAATGTGTCTATTTGAGCAGCTCCGGAGGAAGGAATCTTCTGCTCCAACTTCTCAAGATGTTTTCTATTTTCCCATTTTCCTAAAATTTCAGAAAAGCAATAGGACAAAAAAAATCATATAACAGTAATTCTACAGGCAAAAATTAAAGATACTATCAAGTTCCAGAACTGCAGCACTTTATATGTCGCATGAGTGACACATATTAGAGGAGAAGAAAATTTAGCCCAAATTTCCTTCTACTCTGATATGTGTCACATGTGAGTTTTTCCCTCAGAAGCCAATATGTCTTACATTGTATATCCATATTCTGATGGTAACTACAGAGCACACCAGAGTATTATTTGGAGGAATAAAGAAAGACTTGATGAGCTCATCTTTGCCAGAATGCCAGTTAAATATGCCTTTCATCCAAAGTCAGCTTTTAAAGCTAAAACTTGGCTGGAGAAATGTCTCATAGAGAGAAGTTGCCTCTTCTTTTGAAGGCCAGCAGGTAAGCACTTCTATCTTTTAGGAATTTTTAGAGATTTGTTCAGGAGTCATCTCTAGCACTTGTGCCTTAGGTACAGCCAACCTTCCTTTGAGAGCTTTTCCTATACATTTTTATGATTTTACTTAATACTTAACATTGAACTCTGTGAATCTGGTACTTTTGCACTGATTGAAGGACAAGTGTTATCCAGAATCACAGAAAACAGAGTACTCCACATGTATAACAGATCACTCTCCATGCAAAGTGGATTCTTGCATCTTTCACTTTGAATTCTTGCATTCTTCACAACCCAAGCATCCACTACGTCTCTCGCTCCAACCACAGCTCCATTACTCCCGCCCTGCTGTAGTTATTGCTTCTTCAGCTCATGGTCAGTTTTCCAGGGAAGCAATACTTTCCCTACCATGTGATCCTCCCAAATCCTTGTCTCTCCTTGGCTTTTGAATTTCCTGGTCATGGAAATATATACTTTTCAGGACTTTTCTAGAATAAAAGGCTATCTCCACGAAGTCAACACAAAAACAAGCAAAAGTTGGAAAGAAGGCCTGGAGTGTACAACAGTATGATGTTGACCACGATATAGCACTACCAAGCCAAAAGCTTGCCTCCCCTGACTTTCCTATTTAGAAGGAAGCATGCATTAGCCTAGAAATGAACCTCCCTAACCAAGAAGAGAAATTTTACTCACTGCTGATAGGATGCAGTCTACCAGTCATCAGTTGTACTTACCACTAAATCTTGACCTAGTCTCCAAAATGAAGCCAGATTACCCTGGAGGCAGTGATCAAGACATTCTTCCAGGTCAAGAGCTTTACTCTCCCCGTAGTGAACATTTCCCAGGAGAAATATGTGATCGTCCATAAGCAAATCAAAAACAGCTCTATCAACAAGATCTTACTTAGAAGCTTAAGTATTCCTGTTTTGAAAATACTTGTTTTGGCATTACTGTGTTGTTGTTCTGGACATCACAGTATCCAAGAGGGAATCAGAGCATAATAGAAAAGAGAAGGCAATGCCACAAAAAAGTAACAGGAAGTGAATTAAAACTGACAATCAACAGCTGGGAGTGGTGGCTTGTGCCTGTAATTCCAGTGACTCAGAAGGCTGAATCAAAATTCGAATAGATTTGCTTTTTGTTTCTTCTTTACTTAAAAATGGAAATGGCATGAGGTGAATAAATATGATTCTGAGATAATATAGTTCTCCATGACATGTATTTGTTTATTTATACTTTTAATACGTACAAGTCATTGCAGTTTGTTCGTTGCACAGGATGAATCTGTGAAGCTTATGATTCTGTCCAGAAAAGGTGTAAGAGCCCTGTATATGTTGAATATAGTGAAGCAAGATGTACATAAGAATAAGATGATATAAGCATGGTGTGCACACCCAACTAAATCTACCTTCTACTCCAATACAGCCTGATAGAGGGAAAATGGAAGAGGAGAGAGAAGTGAACAATGGAGAGAAACAATATAAGTGTAATAGGAGGCAGGGTGATTGAAAATTAAAGCATCATTGGAGCAGAAATAGAATTCCCTCTCAGGAAAGACCATGTCTCGTATTACATTTCAGAGTTGACTAATATCTGGAGAGTACTGAAAAGATATTTGTTGGCTAGAATTGTATGTTCGTGAATTCAGACGTCTTCTATCTCCAACCATCATTGTAACCCTCATGGCAATGAAAATATCTGTATGGTGTCATCCACATAGTGAAGTCATAGAAAATTACCATAGAAGTTCACCCAAATATTCTGATTTTATTTGCTTTAAACATTCATGCCTTACTGTATATTCATAGCAATATTGATGACAGCAGCTTATTTGTCTATTGCAAAAATTTCCATTTTGAAGATATTGTTTTGCAATTTTCTGAATTCCATTTTGGTCATCGTGTTTTTAATATTTTTATTATTTAAGAAATAATAATTTGTTTTCTGAAAACTGTATAACCTTCTAGGCTTCAGATAATTGATAATTTTGGAGTTATCTGTAGGTGGTTGTATAAGAGGCATGTGGGCTCCGTCTAAGCTGGATAAATTATATGAGTATGATGAGTTAGTTATTTGTGCATGTTATATGACTATAAGTTAGTTATTTGATACTTTTGTTTGTATAATCTATAAAATTAGTTGTCAATTACAGTAGAAGATATGGTATTTTTCTTATTTCTATAGCAATGTAAACTCTAGAAATGGTTCTTAGGAAGTCTCTCTCCTAAATTATTCCCTGATTGTGACTTAAGAAACAACAGAAGATGCCTTGGTTCAATTAGTTTACTAGGAAGCCATTTAGTGCACTGGTGGAAAAAGATGACTGCAATAGTGCAAGGCAGCATCCCCAGGTCTGGCATTTAACAACTGCTTATTGAGTGACTGGTATGTGAAAGACATTACATTATTCTTTGATAAATGGCAGATGAGTTAGACCAGGGTGCTATACTTCTCAAGGAATTTACAGTTCAGTGGAAAAAACTTGAAAGGAAATTAATGTAAGAAAGAAGTAAATGTAGGATAACAGTGAGTAGGGAAAATTTTGGAAAAAGAAAATATAAGTGTATTCTGACACATAAAGTCTTACTGATCATTTAGCAAAGAGGAAAATTATTAATTTTTATTAACTCTGGGATCTCATAAATTATCTAATCTAACTGACAGTCTTCATGCTTAAATCTCTAGCACTGGCTTCAAATGCTGGGTTAGGGATGGAATACAGACATTTCTATTTCTATAAAGCTTCCCCAAGTTATTCTGTTAAGTTGTCAAGTTGGGAACCAGCCCTATTGTACCCTGGCTAAGGGATAAAACAGTCTGCAATCAAACTTCCCACTGGCAGAGAACTCACTTCTTACCAGGCAGCACATTTCATCCTTGGAAATTTCTTTAGAATAGAGTGATTATGGTTATGATTCTTAATGGAAATTTCTCCATGAAATTTCAATTTATTGATCCTTGTTCTACACTTGAAGCCACAAAATGCAATTTTTTATTTCACTAGAGAGCTCTTTGTTTTGTATGAATTGTTCGCTAATGGTATTATACTTGTTTGAGGTACACAATAGCTTCTAAAATGGGAAAGTTTTGGGGGCATTTGATTATTGCTCAGATGTCAATTCTAGCAATGAGATAATTCAGCTTATTGATCTGATGTCAAGTTTCAGAATAAACAGAAGCATATTACTATCACCTCTACTACCACTACCACCACCACTACTACCATTACCACCACCACCACTACTACTACTGCTCCTACCACTACTGCTGCTACTACTACTACTACGACTACAATTACTGCTACTACCAAAACCACCACTACTACTGCTACTACTACTAATACCATTACTGCTACTACTAGCGCCACTGACACTGCTGCTATTAATATTACTACTATGACCACGATTCCTACTTTTTCTATCAATAAATATACAAAGCAATAGATAATAGTTATTGAGCTAGGTGTTAGTCATCGTACTACATACGGATTCTACCGATTTTCCCAGGTAGAAACGGAGTCATTATTAATGCCCAGCTTTTTCATATACAAATAATTGCTCATATCTGTGTCATCTATTTTTAAAACTTCCCCATTTTCTCCACTTCTATGCATCTTTTCTACTACTGCCCTACCTCAGTTTTGGACAACTACAATGGTCTTCCATCAAGTCTTCCCATATCCATTATTGCCTCTTTTCAATTAATTTGCCACATTGCATCCAGGCTCTTTTTTAAAAGTAGACTTAATTTTTTGGAGCAGTTTTAGGTTCACAGTGAAGTTGACAGGAAGGACGGCCTCCCCCATTAGCAACATCCCACACCAGGTGGTACATTGTTACAGTCCATGAGCCTACACTAACACATTATTATCACCCGAAGTTTATAGTTTACATTAGGCTTGATTCTTGATGTTGCACATTCTATGGGTTTGGACAAACATATAATAACATGTATCCACCATTAAAGAGTCATACAGAATAGTTTCACTTTGCTAAAAAATCCCCTGTGTTCTTCTTGTTCATCCGTCCCTACCCACAATCCCTGGAGACCACTGATCTTTTTTCTCTCTATAATTTTTCCTTTTCCTGAACATCATATAGTTGGAATCACACAATATGTAGTCTTCTCAGATTGGCTTCTTTTACTTAGTAATATGCATTTAAGATTCTTCCAAGTCTTTTCATGGTTGGATAGCTTATTTCTCTTTATCACTGAATAATATTCCATTGTCTGCATATACCACAGTTTATTTACCAGTTCACCTCCTGAGGAACTACTTGATTGCCTTCAAGTGTTGGCAATTATGAATAAAGATGCTAGAACCATATTGTGAAAGTTTTTGTTTGGACTTAATTTTTATTTATTTATTTATTTATTTTTGAGACAGAGTCTCACTCCGTGGCCCAGGCTAGAGTGCAGTGGCGCAGTCTCAGCTCACTGCAACCTCCGCCTCCTGGGTTCAAGCACTTCTCTGCCTCAGCCTCCCAAGTAGCTGGGATTACAGGCACCCGCCACCACACCCGGCTAATTTTTTGTATTTTTTAGTAGAGGTGGGGTTTCACCATCTTGGCCAGGCTGGTGTTGAACTCCTGACCTTGTGATCCACCTGCCTTGGCCTCCCAAAGTGCTGGCATTACAGGCGTGAGCCACCGCGCCTGGCCTGGACTTAATTTTTCAACCCATTTGGGTTTATATCAAAGAGTATGATCACTGGATTGTATAGGAAAATCATGCTTTTTTTTGTTTGTTTGTTTTTGTTTTTTTTGTAAGAAACTGCCAAACTGTCTTCCAAAGTGGCTGTACCATTATGCATTCCCACCAACAATGGATGAGAACTTCTGTTGCTCTACATCCTCACCAGCATTTTGTGTTGTCAGTGTTTTGGATTTGAGCAGTTCTTATAGGTGTGTAGTGGTAATTCACTGTTGCTCTAATTTGCATATCACTAATGTCATATAATGTGGAACAACTTCTCATATGGTTATTTGCCACATGTATATCTTCTTTGATGAGATGTCTGTTCAAGTTTTTTTTGCCCATTTTTAAATCAGGCTGTTAGTTTTCTTATTGTTTTTAGAGTTCTTTGTGTATTTTGGATAACAGTCTTTTATCAGATAATTCTTTTACAAATGTTTTCTCCTAGTCTATGGCTTGTCTCCTCATTCTCCTGACAGTGTCTTTTGCAAAGCAGAGGTTGTTTATTTCATTAAGGTCAGGACTATATTTATTCTATGGCATACATCTTTGGTGTTGTATCGAAACATCATTGCCATACCCAAAGTCATCTAGATTTTCTCCTATGTTATCTTCTAGGAGTTTCATAGTTTTGAATTTTACATTTGGCACTTTGATTTCTTTTGAGTTAATTTTGTGAAGGATATGAGTCTGTGTCCCCAGATTTTGTTTTTTGTATGTGCGTTCCAGAATCACTTGTTGAAAAGACTATATTTTGTCCATTGTATTGTCTTTGTTCCTTCGTCAAAGATAAGTTGATATTTCTGTGTGTCTGTTTCTGGGCTGTCTATGCTGTTCCTTGGATCTATTTGTCTATTTTTCCACTAACACCACATTGTCTTGATTACTGTAGCTTTTAGTCAGGTAGTGTCAGGTTTTCAACTTTGTTCTTCTCGTTCAGGATTACATTAGCTATTCTATTCTTTTACCTCTCTCCTTGTTTGCTTTAGAACAACTTTGTGGATATCCAAAAAATAATTTGCTAGGATTTTGTTTGTGATTTTCTTGAACCTGTTTATCAAGTTGGGAAAAACTGACATCTTGAAAATATTGAGGCTTCCTCTTCATGAACATGGACTATTTCTTTATTTAGTTCTTTGATTTCTTTCATCAGAGTTTTGTAGTTTACTTTATATAGATCTTGCACATACTTTGTTAGATTTATAACAATATTTTACTTTAGAGGGAGCGATAATGTAAATGGTATTGTGATTTTAATTTCAAATTCCACTTGTTTGTTGCTGGTATAAAGAAAATTAACTTTTTTATGTTAATTTTGTATTCTACAATCTTGCTATAATTGCTTATTAGTTCCAGGAATTTTTTTTTATTCTTTTGGATGTTCTGTGCAGACAGTTATGACATCAGCAAGGAGAGACAGTTTTATTTCTTTTTCTCAATCAGCATACCTCTTATTTCCTTTTCTTTTGTCATTACATTAACTAGGACTTCTGCTATGATATTGAAAAGACGTGATGAGAGGGGACATCCTTATGTTGTTTCTGATCTTAGAAGGAAAGCTTCTAATTTCTCACCATTATGTATGATGTTAGCTGTAGAGTTTTTGTAGATGTTCTTTATCATGTTGAGAAAGCTTCCCTCTGTGAACCCTGAATATCCGAGACAAATATTTAATTTAGAAAGTTTATTTTGCCAAGGTTGAGGATGTGCATCTGTGACACAGCCTTAGGAGGTCCTGACGACATGTGCTCAAGGTGGTCAGAGCACATTTTGGTTTTATACATTTCAGGGAGACATCACACATCAATCAACATATGTAAAATAAACGTTGGTTCAGTCCAGAAAGGCGGGACAACTCAAAGCAAAGGCAGGACAACTGGAAGCAGGGAGAGGCTTCCAGGTCATAGGTAGATAAGAGAAAAATGGTTGCATTCTTTTCAGTTTCTGATTAACTTCTCCAAAGATGGCAATAAGATACACATTTATCTCAGTGAGCAGAGGGGTGACTGAATAGAATGGGAGGCAGGTTTGCCCTAAGCAGTTCCTATCCTGACTTTTCCCTTTAGCTTAGTGATTTGGGGCCCCAAGATTTATTTTCCTTTCATGGTTCTATTCACAAATTTCTGAGAGATTTTATCATGAATAGGCGTTGGAGTTTGTCCAGGGTTTTTTTTCTGCAGCTATTCATATGATCATGTAATTTTTCTTCTTTAGCTTGTTGATATGATAGATTGAATTGATTTTTGAATGTTAAACCAGTCTTGCATAACTGAGATAAATCTGACATGGTCGTAATGTATAATTCTTCTAATGTATTGCTGGATTTAATTTGCTAGTATTTTGTTGAAGATTTTTGCCTCTACGTTCATGATAAATATTGGCCTGTAGTTTTCTTTTCTTGTAATGTCTTTGTTTGGTTTTAGTATTAGAGCAATGCTGGCCTCATAGAAAGAGTTATGAAATATTTCCTCTGCTTCTATCTTCTGGAAGACATTATAGAGAACTGGTATTATTTCTTCTCTAAATGTTTGATAGAATTTGCCAGTAAATTATTCTGGGCCTGGTGCTTTTTGTGTTTTGGGGTTATTAATTACTGATTTAATTTCTTTACTAACTACAGGCTTATTGAGATTGTCTCTTCAGTCTTATTTTAAAAAGCACAATCCTGTCTTGTCACTGCTCTGCCTAACATATTATAATGATTCCCCATTGCTTTTAGGATAAAGTCCATATCTTTAAGATGAATAGTAGCCTGCGTGATCACCCCCTTCATTCCTCTACAGCCCTGTCTCACTTTGCTTTTTAGATCACAACTACATTGAACTTTTTTTAGTTCCTTGAAGGTTTAACCTTCATGGTGTTTAATATCTGGTCTTTCATCTGTCCATAACACCCTTGTCCCAGATTCCTTTACCTAGGTAATAAAAATGCACTGACTCATCTTTCAGACCTTTGCTATAGTTTCTCATGGCATGTGGTGTGTCCCTTCATATTAATAGTACCTACCTAAATGGAATTAATTTTTTATTGTTTTATGTGTTTACTGCTCATCTTCCTTACTACGCTATAAATTCAATGAAGGCTCTGTTTATCTTGTTCACTCTTTTATCTCCCTACCCGAGCAATGACCATCACACATTAGTCATGCAGCAAATATTGGTTGAAAGAATAATTCTCACACTGGGGAAAGTACTTACATTATCTTCCTTTTATGTATGAGAGAACAGAGGCATAGGGAGAGCATGTGAAGAATTTATTTACGTTGTCCCTAAAGTAGATGGGTAGTCTTGAAAGCCAAGTCCATGACTCTGTTCCACACGTTATCAAAAACTGGACAACAGCAAGGCCCTTAACTGGGACTCCGTGTAGACTCAAGATATATGTGGCCCTCTGGAGATCTTTGAAAATTTTGAGGTTTTTTTTTAATAAATTATTCCAGATAGTGAATTTTGAGAAAATGAAGGATTTATAAATGTGATTAACTTCTTAAAATGTCCTGGTACAGAAATAATTTTAAGAACCACCTTCAAAGACAACCACTTTCAACATCTTAAAATGTCATCATTTGTTTTTCAACCTGTGGGGGAAAAAAAACTGTCAGTACTATGTTTGGCATAGAGGAAAAACTCAAACTTGCCAAGAAATATCATTATAATGGTTTTGACTTTTTGAGAAGAGTAGTGCTAAAATTATTAATTTTGTCTTAAATTAATCATAAGTGCTGCTGTAAAAGGGGTGGGTTTTCTTCTGAAAATTTTTAGTAATGGTACAAACTAACTGATATTAACCAGCTATTTAAACTACATAAAGAACTAACTGATATTAACCAGCTATTTAAACTACATAAAGAACTAACTGATATTAACCAGCTATTTAAACTACATAAAGAACTTCAAGAGAGCTCTCCTAGGTTTTTTAAAAAATCAGTTTTTCACTACCCAAAATTAAGCCAGGCTTAGTATTTGTTAGAGAGAACTTTTTTATACATTTTATATAGCGAGAGGTCAAGAGAGCTATGTCTTCTCAGCAGTCTAAATGCATACATGTTTTAAGCAGTAGTAACGAGCAGTTAAGTAATGGCATTAGAATGTTTGGACCCTGCTCTTTTTGTATAAGCTTCAGCAAAAGCCTACTTAAAAGTGGGAAAGTTTAATGATTATAGTCTTTAGAACACACTCAGAAACAAATCTAAGAATCAGGGAGTGTCTTGTTGGAAAATGGATTCTGGGTCCTGGGCAAACTGAAGTCAAAGACACCCGAAAGCAGACTCTAATTTCTCCTCCCAGATAAGGTTGTGACTTTGTGAATGGTTAAATTGGGTCAAGAACCATTAGAGCCTTATACACATTAACATACCCTCAAAAGGAAATGCATATATTGGGAGCGTTGGCCACTTAGGATGTAAATATAAACAGTAGGTATAAAAGTTCTGCTGTGTAACAACAGTTTGGTGATTTCCTTAGCTCTGGAAGATCCTTATGTGTACTGAGATGTTCCCTGAAATTTGTCCCATTAGGACAGTCATACTGAGACGTGCTGCGTTAGGTCCTGCCTGTGTAGCCTCCATTTTCAAAAGTTCTTCAAACTTTGCTAAGTAAACTTGACATTGTATCATTGTATGTATATATGTATGTGTGTGTGTGTTTGTGTGTATATGTATATGTTATCTCTTTCCACTTACATGTAATACATCTAAAACCCTGCAGAAGTCTAAGTTCAAAATGGGACACCCCCTCACCTTTCCATCACTCCTGGCTGTTGCTCAAAAAGTACAAAACTGGAGATAGAATTCCAAATTGTAAGTGGAATATTCCAAAGCTGGTTGCACCATCACATATCTTCCCTGGGGTCTCCTGGAATTATTACAATGGGGGCAAAGTAATTTCTAGTGATAGACACTTTCTCTAAGTCCCATTTTGAGGGTCTATTTCTATCTCAATCAAGAGGCCTTGTCTCTAATACACTGAGTGTTCAGGAGACAGCAAACTATTTATAACATAGGTTACTCTTAACATATTTGTCTACGCTTTCTAGGGGTTGAAGTTCTGCAGTTGAGGGTTTCCTCCTGGTACAGATTATTGTCTATAACTATGTGTATCATAGTTAACAACCCAGAATATTTAATGAATGAAGAATGCTATTAGAAAGGCCACAATATGGGGCGTTGATGGTTTTGCAAATTCTAATGCTTGGAAATTACCTAGAGGAATCAGTTGTAGGGTGGAACATGCCAGGGCAGGCCCACAGCAAAATGCTGCTGAGAGGCAGGAACCAGAGAGCGCAGACACCTGAAAATAGTAAAGCTCTATCTGTATGCATGACTGGTGAAACAAACATGTTTGCAAAATGGATTCCAGCTGTAATACTACAAATAAAATAGACATTAAATATTTAATTTTTATAGCGTTAAGTGCTCAGTTGAAAGCAGCACGAGGATTTTTTAAAAAAGAAGCCAGGTGTCTCAACAATTTATAATTAATTATTTTTAAAAGACCACAAATCACTAAGTGTTTTCATCCATATTTTTTGGTAGACTAATTATTATTGGCTTTCTGAAGTGAGCTGTTGACTATCGGATCAACCTTCCTGTTAGGTTTTTCCTCTTAAACAGGATTGTAGAATAGACATTTTGTTAAACAGAAAAATGAGGCCATGTACAAAAATCTGTGTTTCTAGTGGATTCAAAACATAGTGGTAGCATGTTTAAAAATATCCTTGAGTTATCCAAGAGTGTACATTTTAGTTTGTTATGCTTCTCTAGTGTTAGTGATATTTTTCCTATATTTTATAAAATAAAACTGGAAAAAAATCTTCTAAAATGTAAGCGACCAAGGCAGGCACATATTAATAGTTGATATTAGTATGTGGTGAATGAGACATCTAAAACATACTGTTTTTAAAAACTGGATTATGTTTCAGTGATTGAAAAAAGAATTCTCTAACACATGTTACATCCTTTGCAATATGTGTAGAGGCATTATCAGATGGGAATTTTTGTCTTCTTATACAATGTAAGTTTGATTTTATCTTTCATGTTCAGCAAGGCATAACAGCATAACTTCCAGGGATATCAAAAAGGAGAGGACTCTTTATTGATTTGTTAATGGAGGTACATCAGTGTACAGCCTCCTTGTTTTCACATTTAATCTCTGTTTAAACTCGTTTTGGAGCCTTCTTCATCTTGATGTCAAGGGCACCAAATGAAAGGGAAGTTCAGAGCAAGGGGACTGCTATATTCTGTGTCACATACTTCAAATAGCACAGCCCATTGTCACAACTGTCAAGCCTTTTCCTGCTTTGTCTCCTTGGTGACCCAGCTCAAGCCTCACTGTGTCTGAAGACTCTTAGTGGAAACCGTCATTCCACTTCTGTTACTGTGGTTACCCTAAAAATTTCAAATTAAATAGTTTAATTCCAAACTTGAAAAATTGTTGAAAATAAAAATAATACAAATGACACCCAAATACCTATACACAGATTCCCCTATTATTTATTCACCCATTTGCTTTGTCATTTGCTCTTTTCTCTCTCTTCCCCATCACTCCCTCATCTATCCATCTTTCTATGTGTAGTACAAACACATGCATAATTATTTTCTGGAAGAACTTGAGAGAAAATTGCATATATTATGATTCTTTACTCCAAAACATTCCAGTGATTAAGGATCTTCACTTACATAGCCACAATACAATTATCAGCCTCATAAATTTATATTGATATGATGTTTTGATCTAATCTTCCATCCAGATTTCAGTTTGTGAGTTCACCTGATAAAGTAAGTTATAGCATAATTGTTCCCTCCAACACAGAATTCAGTTTAGAGTGAGACATTGCTTTTAGCTGTGAGGATTCATTAGCCTCCTTTAAATCAGAAACCTTTCCTTTCATGACATTGACATTTTTGACAAATATACTCTCAGTCCCACCTTTTTACTAATAGAACATTAAGCAGTTGGCTTTTATGATATTTCTTTATAACTAGATTGAGACTATTCATTCTTGGCCAGAATGGTACACAGATGATGGGTCCTTCTCAGGATATCACAGATAACGGCTCATAGTGTCAACTGCCCTTCATCGGTGCCATTGGTTGGTCAAGGTGTGGCCTGGTTTCTCTGCTATATAATTGCAGTTTGGTTTTCTCTATTACCACTGGTATAGTTTGCAGAAAGACACTTTAAGACTATATAGCTATCTACCTCCCCATCACAATTACTCCCTAGATTTTGCATCCATTAATGGTCCTGACATAACCCAGTCTTCACTGTAATTGTTGCAAAGTGGAACTGTAGCACTCCCTCCACAATCACCCATCAGTTGTAGCATTGTACTGTAAGCAATAACCCTTCCTTATATATTTATTATTGACATGGAGTCCTAAAGTTTATAATTCAATGCTACCTATGCCATCAAAGAAAAGGAATTTGAGAATATAACTATTCTTGATTGTATTTTTTCATCATCAAATGTTCTAAATCTTCAGCATTCATTTCAACCAACTGCCCCTCCTCTCTCTCTCAGAGGATTAAATTGCTTCCAAATCAAGAAAATTGGGAACATTAGCTGTGAATGACAACTTCCCTTCTCACCTTGCACATAAAAATGTATTTATGTCTATACCTATTTACGCCTGAATTATACACTTATTTACACCTTGACTTCATCACATTTGTCAAGTCAGACATAAAGTAGCCTTCCTCAAGATTAAAGTCAATTGCTTTATCTATGTTAGTTTCTCCCCTCTTTTCTCTTTATCTTATTGGACCTCTGGCATGTAGAATTTTGTCCATTTTATCTTTGTTTCATGAAATACTTTCTGCATTGGTCCACACACAGCCTCTTTTTGCCTTTCTATCTTTGTATCTCCCTATTTCTATCCATTATTTATTTCAAAGTTATGAGCTCCTATGGACCCACCACCACAGGAATGTCAGTTAGTCTCCTTCCAGTCTTGGTTTGTGTTCTTGGGTATTGATCTGGAGTGGGAGCCAGCAAGACGTGTTGTTCTGCCTCCTAGTAGGAGCCATGGCTGGGGTCTGTTCCCCTAAGCTCTTGATTACTACCTCCTCCTTGCTCTTCTACCAGTTACCTCTTTCCTCCTTTATATCATCAACCTCTCCCTTTCAAGTGGCTCTTTCTCCTTAACTTGCAAGTGTGTTCAAGTTTCTCTCATCTGAAAAACAAAATCTCTAGTTTTTCCTTGAAGCAAAAACTGTCTCTGTCTTTTTGTTTGCAGCCGTCATCGATGAAATGTAATCAACAGATCTTCGACACAGTGAAATCTGACTCCTCTTCCTAAGGGAGCCCTATGAAATCATTCTGACAAATCTCACCATAGCTTCATACTTGTACATCTAAAGAACACATTTTAGTCTGTTTCCCTGGAACTTGTTGTTGTCTTTAATATTACCAAACACCAGTTTTTTCTCTGAGAACCCACTTTACTTGGCCTCCTGACACTCCTCCTTGGCTTTTCCTTTTGTAGGTCAGCTGATTTATTCCCTAGACCATTTCTCCTGTTTGCCTCTGAAGAGTTTTGAGGATTATGTCCCAGAGCTACTGTTCTGTTCTCACTGCCTGGTTTTCTTGCACCATCTATCTATTTCTGTATTCTTGGATTTACTAACTTTATGTATAACGATAAAATCCAAATCCTTGCCTCCAAAGTTTGATGTCTCCTGTGAGCATTAGTCTAAGATAAACAGCTACACTTGTATATATCAGAGAAAACTGAAACTCAGCAAGTCATAAACTGCAATTGCATCTTTCTTCCACTTTTTCCCCTCAAAGAAAAATACCCTAGACAAAATATTTCTTTTTCTCAATTTTATATCTCTTGATTCACCCCTTTACCCAATTAAGTAATCTAGAAGGTATTGCAACATAGTGCTGTTCAACATATTTTTTGTGAAGATGAACATATTCTATGTCTGTACCGTTTAACGTAGTAGCCTCTAACCACATGTGGCTTTTGAGCACCTGAAGTGTGGATTTTGTGGCTGAGGAACTGAATATCTTGTACATTGTTGCTGGTGGGAATGTAAATTGGCACAACCACTGTGGAGAACAGTTTGGTGGTTCCCCAAAAAACTAAAAATTGAGCTACCACATAATCCAGCAATCCCCCTGCTGGGTATATATCCAAGAGAAAGGAAATCAGTATATCATAGAGATATCTGCACTTCTATGCTTGTTACAGCACTGTTTACAATAGCTAAGATTTGGAAGAAACCTAAGTGTCCATCAACAGATGAAGGAATAAGTAAATTTCATTTAAAATTTAAATGAACTGAAAATTCGTTAAAAATTTAAACTGTGGCTGAGGAGCTCAAATTTTAAAATTTCATTTAAATTAATTTAAATTTAAATTACCACATATGGCTAATGGCTGCTATATTGTACAGTGCTGTTCTAGACCATCATGACCCAAAATATGTACATTTTATTTAATGTTGATAGGCATTCTGACACAAAAATACGCATCTTTATGGAACACAGAAAAGACGGAAGGAAGGTATTTTGTGGTTAATAAGATTGGATAAAGCTGGGTTAAAAAAATGAATGCTATTTGTCTTTACAGAAGGAAGAGATCACTCCAGATCCTCTGAGGTTTTATTTTTATTTTTATTTATTTATTTATTTTATTTTATTTTTTTTTTTTTTTGAGGTAGAGTCTCACTCTGTCTCCCAGGCTGTAGTGCAGTGGCGCAATCTCGGCTCACTGTAACCTCCACCTCCCAGGTTCAAGCGATTCTCCTGCCCCAGCCTCCTGAGTAGCTGGGATTACAGGCGTGTGCCACCATGCCCAACTAAGTTTTGTATATATATATATATATATATATTTTTTTTTTTTTTTAGTAGAGACAGGGTTTCCCATGTTGGTCAGGCTGGTCTCGAACTCCTGGCCTCGATCCACCTGACGGCCTCCCGCCTCCCAAAGTGCTGGGATTACAGGCGTGAGCCACCATGCCTGGCCTTTCCTCTGAGCTTTTATAGTGCTATGTGAAACACTGAGCTCAAGGAAGAGAAGATAGTAAAGACAGCCTTTACCATGTCTCACCGGAGAATCCCTTCTCTCAGAATATCTGTAAATGCATTTGAGGGACTGCAGACAAAGCTGAAAAAGAATCCTGAAGTCCTTTCTTTTCTTCACCATTCACATATCCAGTCACTAAGTCTTACCATCTCTGCCTCCTGAATACTTTTTTCATCCATTCTTCTTCTCATTCCTTACTATTTATATGAATTTTCTAGGGATGCCATAAGAAAGTACCACAGACCGGGTGGCTTATACAACAGAAATTTATTTTCTCACAATTTTGGAGGCTAGAAGTATTTTTAATGGTAAATATGCAATTTCTTTTGCACTGGCCTATTATCTACTTAGTGTTTAGATAGTATCAGTGAAATACTATCAAAAGTGATATAATCTACATACATTTTAGCTACCGTGCACCAAATCCCTTTTCAACTTTATACTTTGATACTTTCATATTTGATGGATGTTTTCTTCTGAGTTATTTTACCGACCACCTGTACAGTTAGAAGCAACTTCAACTCGGTCCATAGATTAATTACTTTTTTCATTAAGGAACGCTAATTGCACCAATATATGGTATATTCACATATCTTTTTTAGTTCAGAGAACATCCATGAAGCACTTGTTATGTTCTTAGCACTTAGCATCCCAAAATGAATAAGACATGATTCCTGTCCTCTAGCAGCTGAAGTCTATAAGTGGATGCAGATATGTGAGAAAATAAATTACAGTTTAGTCTGAAGAATGTAGATAATGGATATTTCAGTAACTTATCTGGTAAATCAGATGGTTTAAAGAAAAATTTGGCATACCCAATTATAAGCCTTTTTACCTCTCTTTCTTTTTTAAAATTGTCTTTAGAAATTTAGAAATTCTTCCCATGTTATTAGCCATTTACTTATTCTTCCATAAGCCACTGGGGAAAAAAGCACCAAAGAATTATGTCCTTTTGCTCTAATCTCCTGTATAAAATTCAGAGATGGACACTTACATCCAGGAACAAGCCTGCTGCTCACATTTCAACATGGATGCTTTCTGTTAGATTATGTGTTTTCTCTGGCATCTCAGCTTTGCCCTGGTTTTCTCTTTATTCCAGCCTGCCACTGCCCAAACATGAAATAGCTGCACAAATACATTTTTATTAAATGTACTTTATTGTGTACCATCTAACTTTTTAAATTTCTTAAGCCCACCACCACCTACTGTTCTTTTATATCTTGTCTTTCATCATCTTCACTTTTTCCAGTGAGAATCACCTCTCTTGCTCATTGATTTTTATCATTTATATTCCAACTCCAGCTGGAAATCTTTTCCTTCTTTTTGTAAATACTCTACATTAAAAAGCATATCTGATACTAGAAATATTAACTTTATCCTTCATTGTAATTGGCATTACTTCTTCCACTATGTGATTATTTTAACATTTTCTGACATCTCTGAAAAAGCAGAGCTGTCATTATTTATCACGTAGTTTTTAATCTTACAGGAATGTTCCTGTCTTTACTATGTTGCTGCCATATTTTCCTTCTTCTGAGAACGTAAGCCCACTATTGAACAGTTTGACCACTTTTTGTTTTACAATCTTTATTGGTTTTTGTATCTAAATATCTGGCTTACTGACTCACTTCTCACTTTCTGTGTGTGTGTGTTTTTTTCTTCCTCTTAAGGTTTTTAGGCTGTGGGTTTAAATAAGAATATGCTGAAACCTCCAACTGTTCAACTTCTTGAAACAAGATTATTAACCTGTATCCTCTTCAATACACAATGGACTGCCACATATTCCAATAATTTTTATCTTTTGAGTGCCCAATTTCTGGTGTGGTAAACAAAAAATACACGCATATTTGGGGAACTTTTCCTCTGTTGACTGGTATGAAAGCTCAGATCAGTGGATTTATCAATATTGTTTTTTCTACTGCTTGAGAATAAATTTTGTTGCTTATTTTCTGTCAAAAATATGCTTGCATATTTGCAATGTTTACAATATAGATTCCTGTTTCATTTTGTCTTTCACTCTCTTATGTATTTTCTTAGTGTGCTCTAACTCCCTCTTCTCTTTCCACTAGTGACTTCTCTAATCTCAGACTTCTGTCGGATCCTTACAGTAGTAAAGCACAGCTTCTTCTGGGAGGACAGATCCTGTTCTCTTGTAATTTCTCTGAACTCCTTCTCTATCATATTTGATTTATTTTTATCTGCACACTGCAGGCAAAAACCGACTCTTCTAAAGTCATTTTTACTATATGCTATTCCTGTGTATTCTCCCTGATGAATTCTAGGTGGATTGGATTTAGCTTTAAATGCTTCGTATTTTCCTTACTTCTTTCTATCTCCTCATCAACTAAACAAGAAAACACCCTATTTCTCTTTCTTGAGGTTTTTTCATGCTGTTTTCTCATAGGGCTCCAGTAGATTTGTGTGAATTTGTTAGCTCAGATTCAGTATCACAGTAGAAGTAAAAGCCTAGAATTTGACAAGAGACAGAACAAAACTTAAGACTCATATTCGCAACTACTTTGAGTAGCTGTATGCTCCTGGGAAAGCCACATGACCTCTCTAAGACTCAGTTTTCTCACCTGGATAATGAGGGTTTTTTTAAAAACTCAGAGGGGTTTTTTTTTTTTAAGGACTTTTGAAATAATATGTAGCAAAATGCTTAGCATAATTCTTTGCATACAGTAAGTGCTAAATAAATATTAGTGATATAATTTCACCTACTTATCTTCCTTTTATCCTCACCTTTCAGGATGTCTCTGCTCTGCTCAGTAACACTGTGACTTGTATTGTTAAGCATTTGTGATTTTTAAAATAACAATTTCCATTTTATTGAAAGTGATGTCCCTTTAGTTTTCACCCAGAAATGATTTCTTGAGCCGTGTCTAAGGTAGGTTTTTGACTGTCTTGTGATCTTTCATTCTTCTTTCATCTTAAGTAAAGTTGGCCTAGTATATGGTAAAGCCATACTTCTAGTGCTGTTGTTGTATTTTAAACTTCTCGTAACATGACCAAACATCACACCTACATGTTGACTTTACTGGGACTGCTCACTTCATTTGTCATGATGAAGTCTATATGGGGTCACAGTATTCCCTACACCACCTCAATTCTGAGTCTATTGAACAGAGTTTTTAATGTTGCCTTATCCTTGAAATCAACACAAATATCTTCTTCTTGTTCTTGTTTCCTTCTGGCAGAGTCTAAAGTTCATTTAGAAAATGTGTGTCTTAGTAAACAGCAGAACCTCTAACAAAACCTTTCTGCCATAGAGCTTCTTGTGGGATGAGAAGGAAGAAACAAACAACAAGCGTGATAAATTATGCAGTGTGCTAGAAATAGACACGCTGTTGCTCTTTAAAACATAAACAAGGTAAGAGTGATTGGGGGGGTCCTAGAGCTTCCAATTTTAAGTAAGATTGTGGGAAAGTGACAGTTGGCCACCATTTGGAGGATGTGAGGGAGTTAGACACATGCATATCTGGTGGAAGAATGGTTCAGACAGAGGAAAGAGCTCCTGGAAAAGCCTAAGGTGAAAGCAGCTCTAATGTGTTGAAGAACTAGCGAGAAAGCCGGTGTAGCCAGAGTGCATTGAATGAAGGGGGAAAATAATCAATGATGAGATCAGACAGGTAATGGGACATAGACTGTGTAGGGCTTTGGAGACCACTCTGAGGATTTTGGGGTTTACTCTGGGTGAATTGAGACCATGAAATGCTCTGAGGAGAAAAATGACATGTTCTGACACAGGTTTTAAAAGGATAGCTCTGGCTGTTTTATTGAGAACAGAAAATCCATTTGTACTCTTCTTATAACCTATACCTTTTTTAAGCACAAATGTGATTCTTTATCAAATGTGTATCTATATATGATATATATATATATCAAATGTGTATCTGATACACATTTGATCAAACCACAAATGTGTATCTATATCAGTTTAAGTAATCGAGGTTGCTACTATTTTATGTCCTGCTAGAGAGTCTAAACCAAAGCTTACAAAAGTTTGCAATGGGAATCAGGGTGGCAAAAGCCTGCTAAATTTGTGTTTCTAATAATTAAAGACTGTAATTCTGAAAATTTGTTTTTTAAAAAAGTAATTCAGTAAAAAATATTTAAGAAATGAATACTTTTCAAATCAAGAGAAAATAGCGACAGGCAAAACAATATAGAACAAAAGATAGAAAAAAAGGCAATTGCAAATAATCTCAAAAATAGAAAGCAAAGTTGATAGAAATAGGCCAGATTGTAAGTTATTACAATTGCTTACTATAAACAAATGAACTCAGGCTGAAAATATTTATGCCACACTTAAAAGGATATATATATATATATACATATATACAATTGAAAGAAAGGAAAGGAAGAAAGAAGGAAGGAAATTTTTACACAGTATAAAAATTGATCAGGCAATGCAAAAGGCAAAAGAAGAGAGAAGAAAAAAAGTAAGGAGTAATAATAATCCACTAGTCAATATATACTTATTGAGTACCTACGTGCAGCACTTGAAATTCGACAATCAAGAGAGTTTTCTGTACTTTCATCATGATAAATAAAGATTGCATGTTTCTGGGACTGATAGCTAAACACATTTAATTAATTTTGTTTCTTAGAAACAGGATCAGTAACCAGATATGATGAAAATGAGAAGTTTTGGAGTACTGCTGATCTGAATTTCAATCCAAGCTCCACTGCTTACTGGCTTTGTGACCTTGAGTAAATTTATTTAACTTTCTAAGTCCCAGGGTCCTCTTTTGTAAATCTGTGGTATGTAGAGGGACTTGGGAGGATTTGGGGGCTGGGGAGAGGAATAAATGGAATAACAAGTACAATACCTGGCACATAATAGGTATTCAGCACATATCTGGTGAAAGAACATACAATTTATTCATAAGTGAGAAAATCCTTTACAATGGTTTTTTTTTTCTCAAGTGGTATCTAGTAAAGAGTCAGGATTCAAATTCATCTCCCACTTCTATTCTCTGTTCTTTGTACTATGCTATACACACGTCTATGTTACATAACAAAATAGATAAACCAATAAGTGGTATGTAATGCTTTCTTTGACCACTTCCTTCGTTCTCCTTTCCCTTTTTTTTTTCTTTTTCTTTTTTTAATCTTACAACCTTTCTTTGGTCCCAGATCATCGGAGCGTGGTTTTTTTTTTCCCATATTTTTTTTTTTTCTCTCCAGCCCTTGTTTCTGTTGACTGCTAGGTATAGCCTACCCTGGTTGATTTAAGAGGAAGAAACTCTGGGGCTCGGCTCATTTGAACCCACCTGCTGTGCTGCTCTTCTTTTCACTAATAGAAGTTCCTTTTCTAGCTCTTAACCTAGACTTAGTTTATGGACTAAGTTTTATGTCCACAGTGCCCTTAATTGTGTGACATATTGAAAGCAATATGAAGAAGAGAATCAGAAGGTCCTACCATGACAAACATTTGAGTAAATAACATCTTTTAGACCTCAGATTACTCATTTGTCAAGTAAGAGAGTTTGGCTAAAATAAGTCTCTAGGCTTCTTCACCACTTTAATGAAGAATACAAACTAACATTTCTAGAACAGGCTGCCAATCTGAGATTAGCCCCAAAAGGCTGTGGATTTGGGAGACCTCTTAGTCTGCCAGTTTGAATGCCATACTATTATATTCCAGGTTGGCTGCTCCAGTCACTACCAATAAGGCTGACATTCTCCCAGCTTACATCATTTA
Organism: Homo sapiens; assembly: GCF_000001405.40. Classification (NCBI taxonomy): domain Eukaryota; kingdom Metazoa; phylum Chordata; class Mammalia; order Primates; family Hominidae; genus Homo; species Homo sapiens. The sequence goes on along the minus strand of NC_000018.10, from coordinate 4,711,231 downwards.
CAGTGCAGCCCATTTAAGCCTTTTGATGACCCTGGGAAATGGGATAGAGATAATTCAGTTATGCATTGCTTAATGATGGGGATACAATCTGAAAAATACATCATTAGGCAATTTTGTTATTGTGTGAGCATCATAAAGTATACTTACACAAACCTAGATGGGACAGCCTAGTACACACCCAGGCTAAATGGTATGGCCTATGGCTCCTAGGCTACAAACTCATATAGCATGTTACTGTACTGAATACGGTAGGCAATTGTAACACAATGGTAAGTATTTGTTTATCTAAATATATCTAAACATAGAAATGGTACAGTAAAAATATAGTATTATAATCTTATGGGACCACCATTGTATATGCCATATTTGTTGGCCAAAATGTTGTTATATACATACAACACATGACTCCCATTTAATGATGAGATGACTGAGATTCAGAGCAGCATTCCTGGAGTCACTTAAAAACGTTTATCTAAGACTAGACTCTATGCCAGCCTTCTTAAATTAGAATTTTTCTACTTTTAAAAGGCGTAAAATTATGTCTTATAGAATAATATAGGTAACATAATAGACTAGAAAGTAGATGTTTTACATACTGTTCCCACCTAGAAAATCAACAACAAATAGGTTCTTGGCAAACATATCCCATTTGCTTTTAGTATCTCAATTTAAATGTTAAAGTATTGAAAATATATGGTTAGGAGTATATTCTAAAATGTTGCTTCCAGAAATTACAGAATTTCACAAAAGACATACAATAGAGGCTTAAAAAAAAAGCAAGCCCATGGTAAGAATTTGAATTGTATTATCTCCTTCCTTTTAAACTATTTTCAAGCTGCTTTCCTCACATTGGAAACATCAAAATAATGAAACAGTACAGAGGTTTCCTAAACATCATACAAATATGCACCCAAATTTACTGCAGTGCTTGAATGCAAAATGTCTATGAAGTGGGCAAATCCAATAACTAACTCTCAGACTTTTGAATAAACCTTTCAAATCATTGATTGTAGTTCAGCTTCACGATGCTAGTCAATAGCAGAGATGTGCCATTTTTTGGTTGTTATTCAAACCTTTGTGGTAGAAAAGTCAATATCCAAACTGCCATCTATATTTAATGGCTCTTTGAAACTCCTAAAAATTGATTTTACATATACTATTATCATTATTACAAACTTTTAATCCATTTTCAAAATGTGCATTAATTAATAGCAAAAATAATCAGATACTCTACAAGTAACCACAGCACAAAATATACCTGAACAGTGTATTTTTATAAACCTCTCTTCATATCTTCACCTTCCTCTAGGAAGAAAAATCCTAGAGAAAAACTATTGGTTGATAATTACACAATCAATCTTATTGGAGTCACTAGATTAAAAAGAATTTGTAGACACTTGCACATGTTTTTATTTGACTTTATTCTTCATGTAAGTACATTATTAAACATTGGAATACTTTATTTTTCATCTTTTGTTCTTTCTACTGCCTTTTATTTTCAAATATTTTTTCTTTCTTCCATTTTGCTTGCTCCAAACTCTTTTTCTCTTTCATATTCTTCCTCAATTTTCCCTGTTTCTTATTGAGTTCTGGGAATATTTTCTAACAGATGGATTCAGTCTTTTGGAGTTTCTCTGGGCTAGCAGTTGATTTATTTCAGTCTAGATGCTTTTGTATTTCTTGGACTTAAAATCATTTTTCTGTCTTTATTGTAATCTGTAGTACCAAGAGACCAATGATGTTTTGCCAATATCAAAATATTTCCTCAATTGTTACAGAGAAACAACTAATACATAATTATATGGGTTACTGATGAAGTCTGATCTTTAAGTTTTCCCTACCACTTTAAAATTATTTTATGTATGTATATATATATATATATATATATATATATATATATGTATTAAATAGACTAAGAACAGTTTTAGGTTTGCAGAATAATTGAGTGGCAAGCATAGATTCCCATGTACATCCTCACTTCACCACACACACAGTTTTTCCCCTTATTAAAATATTGTATTAGTGTGGTATATTTGTTACAGTTGATGAGACAATATTGATACATTTTTATTAACTAAAGTTTACCCTCAATGGCTCAGTCTTTGTGCTGTACATTCTATGGGTTTTGACAAATGTGTAACAGCATGTATCCACCATTGCAGTATCATACACAACAGTTTCAGCTGCCCCAAAATTCTCTGTATTCCACTTATTCATCTCTCCCTCTCTCTCACTGAGCCCCTGGCAACCAGGGATCTTTTTACCCTCACAGTTTGGCCTGTTCTAGAATATTATATAGTTGGAATCATACATGAAAAGGAATGTAATTTTTCAGATTGGCTCCTTTAACTTAGCAATATGCACTTAAGAGTCTTCTCTATCTTTTCATGGCATGATAGCTTATTTCTTTTTATTACTGAATAAAATCTATTTTAGGAATATGCCACAGTTTATCCATTTATCAATGGAAGGACATCTTGATTGGCTTCCAGGTATTAGCAATTATGAATAAAGCTACTATAAACATTTGTGTGCAGGTTTTTGTGTGGACATACGTTTTCAACTCATTTGGGTAAGTACAATTTGGTGGCTCATATGGTAAGAGTATGTTTAGTTTTCTAAGAAACTATCAAACTATCTTCCAGAGTGGCTGCACCATTTTGCATTCCCATCAGCAATGAATGAGCCTTCCTATTACTCTACAGCCTCCCCGGTATTTTGTGTTGTCAGTGTTGTTGATTTTAGCCATTCTAATAGGTATGTAGTAGTATTTCATTGTCATTTTAATTCTTTACAATTTTAATAGGAGAAAATATTCAATTGTCTCTCAAAGCATGAAACAAGAGCTCCCAGACACTAAAAGCCAGTTGTGAGCCTGACTATGATATCAAGTCCTTGATATCCAGGGACAGCAAATGGGAGGTTTTAAGATAACAGAATATACTTCAAATGTGTACATCATGGAAGTGAAGGTGACCTGACTTATTCTTACACCAGTGATCACCAGGGTGTACTTTACTGGAGCTGAAAAGAGATTTCAGTGCTTCCTGGGTACATCTTCAACCTCAGAGCCATCCTCAGGCCTGGAACACATCTGAACTCCACTGCCCTTACTCCCAAATATTGACAGCTCTTTTTTAAAAAATGTACCTGCCCCCCTAGCTTTATCAAAATATAATTGACAAGTAGAAATTGTGTATATTTACAGTGAATGTGGTATATGTATATAATACATATACACATCATGAAATGATTTAATCAAGGTAATTAACATATCCATCATCACCTCACATACTTTTGTTTTGGTTGTGAGAACATTTCAGATCTCCTCTCCTGGCAATTTTCAAGTTGATAGTATGTTTATTAACTATAGTCATCATGCTGTTCAATAGATTTCCAGAATAAGACAGCTCTTTTGTCTTACTTTTCCCTCTTCTAAGTCATCAGTATCCATTTATGATGGCTTTGTACTAGTATTTAATGTTACCTGAAGCGAAATAAAAGTCTACCTCTAATGCACTAATGCATGGTGGCCAATCCTGCAACTGGCACAAGAAAGACACAGGCCACCTGTCCCACGTAGGTGCCAGAGTAACATGATAGCATAGGTCAAAGGCAGCAAGGGATTGATTAAGGTGTTCACACAGGGAGAGAAGTGGAGAGATTGATACCTGCCCCCTCTGCTCCAGGAGAGAGCCATAGATCTGTTTTTTTTATTTTTGTTTTATTTATTTATTTATTTATTTATTTATTTGAGACAGTCTCATCTGTCGCCCAGGCTGGAGTGCAGTTGGAGTGCAGTGGCACGCTCTCGGCTCACTGCAAGCTCCGCCTCCCAGATTCACACCATTCTCCTGCCTCAGCCTCCTGAGTAGCTGGGACTACAGGCGCCCGCCACCACGCCCGGCTAATTTTTTTTTTTTTTTTTTTTGTAATGTTTAGTACAGACGGGGTTTCACCATGTTAGCCAGGATGGTCTCGATCTCCTGACCTCGTGATCCGCCTGCCTCGGCCTCCCAAAGTGCTGGGATTACAGGCGTGAGCCACCGCGCCCGGCCAAGCCATAGATCTGTTTTTTGGGCAAAAGATTATGATACAATTTCCTAGTTTAGATTTGTGGGGCTGCCAATGTGGATATAGACTTCAGGTGCAGTATTTATTTTTGTTTTTATTTTGAAAAAATTTAGGAGTTTGAGAAGCAATAGAAAATTTATTTGAGAATAGAACCTGTGTTATCTTCACTTTTGAGATTTTTTTTTCAGTAAATGTAGGCAGACACTGAGATATCAAAAATGAATAAATCATAGGAGAGAAGATGAAGCAAATCAATTTATAAAAGCAAATAGTTAAATTTACGTTATAGTGGATATGGCCAGAATATTACAATTATTGCAGAGATTAATTTTCATGTAAAGTCATTCTGTAATTTCTAAGTTAATATTGTTTTCATTACTTGATGAAACAATTTCCTAGAGTGTCTCTATCTTGCAAGAAACCATGGAAATTTTAAATTATGATTGGTTTTAAAAATTCAAAATCTAAGAATATGTTTCAGTGAAAATAAAGTACCCCAAAGCTAGTAAAATTTTAACTTAATAAATAAAAGAGGAAAAGTGTTTACTTTAGAGTACTTTCATCAGACTCTGCAGGCATGCCCACAGACAAACAGGCAAAGGACAGGAAAATGTATAATGAAAATTTCATTATATTGAAATATATATTTTCATTATATATTTTCCTATATTATATTTTGTTATATTAAAATATAACACCTATGGGTCCCAACCAAACAGAAAGTTCAGTAAGCTCTTATGCTTCTAAACAAATGAAAAGCACATTTTAAAAACATTTAAAATTACTATAACGTTAGGAAGTGAGCCTTTCTAAAAGGTTTTGTGCGTTATTCCACATCCGCATTGATACAGAACCAAATAAAGTTATGTGAAGATGTTAACAGTAAATCAGGCCAGAGGCTGGTGGAGGCCAAAGACTTATATTCTGAGCAGTAGGACAGTTTTAACTCTTAGGATAATGGAGGTAAAAATAGATGACCTCAGCATCCTAAGAATTAATTGAATCAAACCAGTCCATTCCCACTTTCACCCTTTCTCCTCTAAGAGCCATTCTAATTGTGTCTCAAAATAGTTTCTGTCTGCAGTCATCTTTCTGTCCTTTTACTGCCATTTCCTTCATAAATCAAGGCTAACCCTTCCCTGTTATACATGCTAACTAGAGAATCCCCAACTCATAAAATGTTTGTAACCGATTGCAGAGAAGCTTTTTGCAAATGGGAGTTTATGTAATGAATCTTCATTCATTTAACTAATAATTTCTGAATGTCTAGTATGTGCCAGGGACTATTCTGCAGGTATACAGGTGAACATGACAGTCTCCGCTTTCATGTATAAATTGCAGTATGTTTATTTATTTACTAGTTTTATTTTTTAGAGATGAGATATTGCTATGTTGTCTAGGCTATATTAGAATTCCTGGGCTCAAGCCATCCTTTCACCTCAGCTTCCCAAGTAGCTGGGACCACAGGTGTTCACCACTCCGCCCAGCTTATAAATTGCCATATAAATAGTACAGAGGACATCACAGAAGAGACATACAGGAGGAAGGAAATGCTGGAAGAAGGGAGAAGAACTCACACACAGGACCTGCTACTGGCCTAGAACTGTCCAGGTGAAGCTGTTCTAAGGGTTGAGGAGTATGGCATGTGATTCTGCGTGGTCTGTATTGGGGGGAAGTTTTTGAGTTAACGGCTATTCAAAATGTCTTTGGGCTGCTGTGTGCATCACTTTTGGCGGCGTGGTGGCGAATCCTGCAACTGGCACAAGAAAGACACAGGCCACCTGTCCCAGGTAGGTGCCAGAGTAACATGATAGCATAGGTCAAAGGCAGCAAGGGATTGATTAAGGTGTTCACACAGAGAGAGAAGTGGTGAGATTGATACCTGCCCCCTCTGCTCCAGGAGAGAGCCATAGATCTGTTTTTTGGGCAAAAGATTATGATACAGTTTCCTGGTTTAGATTTGTGGGGCTACCATTGTGGATATAGACTTCAGGTGCAGTATTTATTTACACCTCAATTTAAACTATCCACAAGTAAGTGGTTGACCTACTTTAACTTCAGGGTCATTTCCTTCTCTCCCAGCTGTAGCTGAACTTCCTAGAGCTCTGGCTGCCAATGTGGAACAGGCGATTATGAGGTCTTTCAGACTGCAGGTGAAGGAGGTCGAGTGGATTATATTGTCTCAGAGGTGAGAGATAAGGACAGAGGGTGTGCTTAAAATAGGCCACTAAATTGCTCCCTGCTGTTGTGACAAGCTTTTGAGAAAGCACTGTTGGTGATTGCAAGTTAAAAGATCTGTAGGCTGTGGGAAGTCTCCGGGAGGAATTTAAGGCAATGTGTAAAATTGTAGGATTCCTAATTCTAGTTCAAAACCAAACTGTCAAGAGAAAGAGGAGAAACATTCTACTTATGGTAACAGTTTGAGGGACTGTTGTAATATATCATCCAACAAGATGTAATGCAGCTCAGCCTGTCAAGTCAGTAGCACCTAAATCTAGTTAGTGTAGGAGCAATTTATAGCTAAGCATTATTGAACAAATCTGGACTCTACTACTCACACAATGATCCTTCTAGATTCTTGCTTTTGTGAAGGTAACTATAGAAGTGAAGGAGATACTAGGCCCTTGGGACATACTGGAGCTCAGGGAACAAGACTGACAAGCAAGCTCAGAGATACAATGTCAGAAGGAACGTTAGGAACTGGAAATGAGAGAAGTTACCTCCTCTTTCTGATGTCAGACACGGGGAAAGCCTCAGTGCTGGGTTAGGGAGAGGCACAGGAAGACAGCCTGCAATTGACAAACGTTATGTTAAAAGTTTTACGTGGATAACTTTATTTATATTTTCCTTTGTGTTTTCTTTCATTTCCTGTACTCGTAAGAAGTCTTTGCGCATCCAAAGATCAGTTAAATATATTTTTCCAGCCTCTTCCCGTGTTTTAAAATATTTATTTCTTTATGTTAGAGTATGTAAAGTGAGGTTTAAATTTGATCATTATCTCTGCAAGGGTCAATTTTCCCCAACACTAACTTTGAATAATCTGGCCCCATTGGTTTGTAATGGTCCTTCTTACATCATCTTGCTATCTGAGTTAGGCTCTGTTTCAGAACATCTATCCTGTTTCACTCCTATGCTCTGTCTTGCATCAGTTTTACATTATTTTATTCGTGGTAGTCTTATGTTTTATGTTTTGTGTGCAATTTAGCAACATAACTTTTCTATTTGAGTCTTTTTGAAGCTATTATACTTATTTTTCCAAATAAACTTTAAAATCATTTTTATAAAGTGCACAAAATACCATCACAATTGAATTAAACCATATCAATTTGAGAAGTTTTGGCTTTTCAATATTTAATCCTTCTGGGAAAAGAAAAAATTGGGTACATCATTATATTTCATCTCCTTTCAGATTTTCTAAATAATTCCTATAGCTTTTTTTCTTCTATGTATTGCAAATTTTGCTAGCCAATTCTAGGTATTTCATGGTTTTTTTTCTTTTTTTGCTTCTGTAAATAAAAATATTTTTCTTTTATTTCATCTTGTAATTATGGTTCAACATAGGAGAAACTTGATATTATTGCAGTGTATATTACAACTTACTAGTAAGTTCTAAAAGTTTTTAAGTTGATTTTTTGAGCTTTAAAGACATCTAGTTATATATTATATAAATAGTAATAATTTATCACCATATAATTAGTGAGAAGTTTTGCATATTCTGGAATATTTGTTGAATTTTCATTCTTAGTTTTCTATGTTTCTGCGATTGTAACATCACCAGAGACAGACTCTATCATAAAATTTATAATTAGATTTACAGATTGTATTGGGTGAAAAATTAAAATTCTAGTTGTATTTAACTTGTCTCACTTTTTTTAAAAACTAAAATTTTTCTTAATGTATTTTGGTGTCACCGGTAGTCAGGATTTCTGTCCAAGAACCAAAAAACACAATAGTTGTGCTTTTTAGTGAATTAATGTAAGTTTTTATCTCTTATAATCACCAATATTTAATCCAATGGAACTTTTGCGACGTTTTGGAAAGGATTATTAACCATAGTGGTTAAGCTTGTAAAATGAAACCCGGGAAGTATTTTCAAAATGAATCTTAGCTCCGTATATTTAAGATGGGGAGCTGAATGCTTTCTGAAATGGATTCATTCCACAGACAGGTTTGGAGTTGGCTTTAATAAATGCGAATGAACAGGTCAGCCAGCCAACAGCAAGTTTGTAGTAAGTGGTTATTCTGGGTTTAGCACCCTCATATATTCTGAGGAGATTATAGATAGTTTTTGGTCTTGTGTTGAGCCAGTCTCTATAAGGACTCCTTCCCTCCTCTGTAGGCTAGTTTCCTTTTTTCACCCTTTAAACATCCATTTGCTGTCTATCATCAGGCCTCATCTTTTCCCTCTACATTGTCCTTTCTCAGGACTCCAACAAAGATCACTAAGCATATAGATGACTTCTGAAAGGTTCAGCTTTTGTCCTGACAGATTTCTAGCCTGAGCTCAGCAGCTGACTGTCAAACCTTCTACCAAATATATTCATTTGAATGTCCTTCAGGGATGTCACATTCAATATATTCCAAATCGACCCATCATTCCTCCTGACTTCTAGACTTTTTGCCTCAAATTTACTTAACTGCCCATGCTTGAAAAGCAAGTGTCATTCCTTATTTCTTCCTATCCCTTACTTCTCGTATTCAATCTACAAGAAATATCCATTGATCCTTGCTGATTCAATGTACTAAAAACACCATTTTATTATTTCCACTCTGTCACCGTAGTGTTTATCTTACTAAGACTCACACTTACGTCACCTGAAGGACCATCATAAAACATACAGCATTCTCTCTGCCTGCAGGCCCCCCACTCCCTAGCAATTTTTCTGTGTTCCCCTAATTTCATTTTTGGTGTTAATATGATCATGTCACTCTTCCATTTAGATTGCCTAATGAGGCCTGATGACTCTTTAGGTGGAGCATAAGGCCGAGTCATTATCTTTCATTCTCCCTTTATATCCATGCTGTTTGAAGGCAGATAACATGGAAAGTTTCTGTTATCCAGAGGTCTCATGCTCACTCATGTTTCTTTGCCTTTGTATATTTGGGTCTCTCTCCCAAAAATACTTTTTCCCCTACCTTTTTCACCTAATGATTTTTAAAATTTTAATGTAGTTTTCATCTGTTCTAAGATTGTTCCCTAACTTGTGATGGTTTAAAATATATCTACCAATTCTTCAATATTTCCTTCAATAAAAGAAGCTAATTCCCCTCCTTTGAGTGAAGGCTGGACTTAGAGGCTTGCTTCTAACATATATAATAATATGGCAGAAATGATGGCATCTCCCTTCTGAGAGTAGATTTTAAAAGACTGCAGCTTCTTTCTTCATTGCATTCCCTTTCTCTCAGATAAACTTTTATTTAATTGATATTTTATTTTTCCATAGGTTATTGGGGAACAGGTGGTGTTTGGTTACATGAGTAAGTTCTTTAGTGGTGACTTGTGAGATTTTGTTGCACCCATCACCTGAGCAGTATACACTGCACCCTATTTGTAGTCTTTTATCCCTCACCCCCTCCCACCCTTACCCACAAGTCCCCAAGTTACATTGTATCATTCTTATGCCTTTGCATCCTCATAGCTTAACTCCCACATATCAGTGAGAACATACGATGTGGGATTTTCCATTCCTGAATTACTTCACTTAGAATAATAGTTTCCAATCTCATTCAGGTTGCTGTGAATGCCATTAATTCATTCCTTTTTATGGCAGAGTAGTATTCCATCATATATATATATATATATATATATATATATACACACATACACACACATATATACATATATATACACACATATATATACATATATATACACACACACATATATATATGTTTCTTTATCCATTTGTTGACTGATAGGCATTTGAATTGGTTCCATGATTTTGCAATTGTGAATTATGCTGCTATAAACATGCATGTGCAAGTAACTGTTTTTATGTAATGACTTCTTTTCCTCTGGATAGACACCCAGTAGTAGGACTGCTGGATCAAATGGTAGTTATACTTTTAGTTCTTTAAGGAATCTCTACACTGTTTTCCATAGTGTTTGTACTAGTTTACATTCCTACTAGCAGTGTAGAAGTGTTCCCTGATCACCACATCCATGCCAACGTCTACTGTTTTGTGATTTTTTAAATTATGGCCATTCTTGCAGGAATAAGGTGGTATCGCATTATGGTTTTGATTTGCATTTCCCTGGATCATTAGTGATGTTGAGCATTTTTTCATAGGTTTATTGGCCATTTGCATATGTTCTTTTGAGAAATATCTATTCATATTCTTAGCCCACTTTTTTATATTATACTTTAAATTCTAGGGTACATGTGCACAACGTGCAGGTTTGTTACACATGTATACATGTGCCATGTTGGTGTGCTACACCCATTAACTCGTCATTTACATTAGGTATTTCTCCTAATGTTATCCCTCCCCTCATCCCAAACCCCACCACATGTCCCGGTGTGTGATGTTCCCCACCCTGTGTCCAAATGTTCTCATTGTTCAGTTCCCACCTATGAGTGAGAACATGTGATGTTTGGTTTTTTGTCCTTGCAATAGTTTGCTGAGAATGATGGTTTCCAGCTTATCCATGTCCCTACAAAGGACGTGAACTCATCCTATTTTATGGCTGCATAGTATTCCATAGTGTGTATGTGCCACATTTTCTTAAACTAGTCTGTCATGGATGGACATTTGGGTTGGTTCCAAGTCTTTGCTATTGTGAATAGTGCCGCAATAAACATAGGTGTGCATGTGTGTTTATAGCAGCATGATTTATAATCCTTTGGGTATATACCCAGTAATGGGATGGCTGGGTCAAATGGTATTTCTAGTTCTAGATCCTCGAGGAATCGCCACACTGTCTTCCACAATGGTTGAACTAGTTTACAGTCCCACCAACAGTGTAAAAGCAATCCTATTTCTCCACATCCCCTCCAGCACCTGTTGTTTCCTGACTTTTTGATGATCGTGATTCTGACTGGTGTGAGATGGTATCTCATTGTGGTTTTGATTTGCATTTCTCTGATGGCCAGTGATGATGAGCTTTTTTTCATGTGTCTGTTGGCTGCATAAATGTCTTCTTCTGAGAAGTGTCTGTTTATAGTCTTCACCCACTTTTTGATAGGGTTGTTTGTTTTTTTCTTGTAAGTTCGTTTGAGTTCTTTGTAGATTCTGGATATTAGCCCTTTGTCAGACGAGTAGACTACAAAAATTTTCTCCCATTCTGTAGGTTGCCTGTTCACTCTGGTGGTGGTTTCTTTTGCTTTGCAAAAGCTCTTTAGTTTAAATAGATCCCATTTGTCAATTTTGGCTTCCGTTGCTATTGCTTTTGGTGTTTTGGACATGAAGTCCTTGCCCATGCCTATGTCCTGAATGGAATTGCCTAGGTTTTCTTCTAGGGTTTTTATGGTTTTAGGTCTAATATTTAAGTCTTTAATCCATCTTGAATTACTTTTTGTATAAGGTGTAAGGAAGGGAATCCAGTTTCAGCTTTCTACATATGGCTAGCCAGTTTTCCCAGCACCATTTATTAAATAGGGAATCCTTTCCCCATTTCTTGTTTTTCTCAGGTTTGTCAAAGATCAGATGGTTATAGATGTGTGGTATTATTTCTGAGGGCTCTGTTCTATTCCACTGGTCTATATCTCTGTTTTGGCACCAGTACCACGCTGTTTTGGTTACTGTAGCCTTGTAGTATAGTTTGAAGTCAGGTAGCTTAATACCTCCAGCTTTGTTCTTTTGGCTGAGGATTGTCTTGGCAATGTGGGCTCTTTTTTGGTTCCATGTGGACTTTAAAGTAGTTTTTTCCAATTCTGCAAAGAAAGTCATTGACAGGTTGATGGAGAAGGCATTGAATCTATAAATTACCTTGGGCAGTATGGCCATTTTCACGATATTGATTCTTCCTATTCATGAGCGTGGAATGTTTCCATTTGTCTGTGTCCTCTTTTATTTCGTTGAGCAGTGGTTTGTAGTTCTCCTTGAAAAGGTCCTTCACATCCCTCATAAGTTGGATTCCTAGGTATTTTATTCACTGTGAAGCAATTGTGAATGGGAGTTCAGTCATGATTTGGCTCTCTGTTTGTCTGTTATTGGTGTATAGGAATACTTGTGATTTTTGCACATTGATTTTGTATCCTGAGACTTTGCTGAAGTTGCTTATCAGCTTAAGGAGATTTTGGGCTGAGATGGTGGGGTTTTCTAGATATACAATCATGTCATCTCCAAACAGGGACAATTTGACTTCCTCTTTTCCTAATTGAATATGCTTTATTTCTTTCTCCAGCCTGATTGCCCTGGCCAGAACTTCCAACAGTATGTTGAATAGCAGTGGTGAGAGAGGGCACCCCTGTCTAGTGCCAGTTTTCAAAGGGAATGCTTCCAGGTTTGCCCATTCAGCATGATATTGGCTGTGGGTTTGTCATAAATAGCTCTTACTATTTTGAGATACATCCCATCAATACCTAATTTATTGAGAGTTTTTAGCATGAAGGGCTGTTGAATTTTGTTGAAGGCCTTTTCTGCATCTATTAAGATAATCATGTGGTTTTTGTCTTTGGTTCTGTTTATATGATGGATTACGCTTATTGATTTATGTATGTTGAACCAGCCTTGCATCCCAGGGATGAAGCTGAATTGATCGTGGTGGATAAGTGTTTTGATGTGCTGCTGAATTTGGTTTGCCAGCATTTTATTGAGGATTTTTGCATCAGTGTTCATCAGGGATATTGGTCTAAAATTCTCTTTTTTTTATTGTGTCTCTGCCAGGCTTTGGTATCAAGATGATGCTGTCCTCATAAAATGAGTTAGGGAGGATTCCCTCTTTTTCTATTGATTGGAATAATTTCAGAAGGAATGCCACGAGCTCCTCTTTGTACCTTCAGTATAATTCAGCTGTCAATCCATCTGGTCCTGGACTTTTTTTGGTTGGTAGGCTATTAATTATTGCCTCAATTTCAGAACCTATTATTGGTCTATTCAGGGATTCAACTTCTTCCTGGTTTAGTCTTGGGAGAGTGTATGTGTACAGGAATTTATCCATTTCTTCTAGATTTTCTAGTTTATTTGCGTAGAAGTGTTTATAGTATTCTCTGATGGTAGTTTATATTTCTGTGGGATCGGTGGTGATATTCCTTTTATCATTTTTTATTGCATCTATTTGATTCTTCTCTCTTTTCTTCTTTATTAGTCTTGCTAGCGGTCTATCAATTTTGTTGATCCTTTCAAAAAACCAGCTCCTGGATTCATTGATTTTTTGAAGCATTTTTTGTATCTCTATCTCCTTCAATTCTGCTCTGATCTTAGTTATTTCTTGTCTTCTGCTAGCTTTTGAATGTGTTTGCTCTTGCTTCTCTAGTTCTTTTAATTGTGATATTAAGGTGTCAATTTTAGATCTTTCCTGCTTTCCTTTGTGGGCATTTAGTGCTCTAAATTTCCCTCTACACACTGCTTTAAATGTGTCCCAGAGATTCTGGTGTGTTGTGTCTTTGTTCTCACTGGTTTCAAAGAACATCATTATTTCTGCCTTCATTTTGTTATGTACCCAGTAGTCAGTCATTCAGGAGCAAGTTGTTCACTTTCCATGTCGTTGTGAGGTTTTGAGTGAGTTTCTTAATCCCAAGTTCTAATTTGATTGCACTGTGGTCTGAGAGACAGTTTGTTATAGTTTCTGTTCTTTTACATTTGCTGAGGAGTGCTTTACTTCCAACTATGTGGTCTATTTTGGAATAGGTGTGATGTGGTGCTGAGAATAATTATATTCTGTTGATTTGGGGTGGAGAGTTCTGTAGATGTCTATTAGGTCTGCTTGGTGCAGAGCTGAGTTCAAGTCCTGAATACCCTTGTTAACTTTCTGTCTTGTTGATCTGCCTAATGTTGACAGTGGGATGTTAAAGTCTCCCATTATTATTGTGTGGCAGTCTAAGTCTCTTTGTAGGTCTCTAAGGACTTGCTTTATGAATCTGTGTGCTCCTGTATTGGGTGCATATATATTTAGGATAGTTAGCTCTTCTTGTTAAATTGATCCAGGCTTTTGATCTTTGTTGGTTTAAAGTCATGGTTTAAAGTCTGTTTTATCAGAGACTAGGATTGTAACCCCTGCTTTTTTTTTTGTTTTGTTTTCCATTTGCTTGATAGATATTCCTCCATCCCTTTATTTTGAGCCTATGCGTGTCTCTGCACATGAGGTAGGTCTCCTGAATACAGCACACTGATGGGTCTTGACTCTTTATCCAATTTGCCAGTCTGTGTCTTTTAATTGGAGCATTTAGCCCATTTACATTTAAGGTTAATATTGTTATTTGTGAATTTGGTCCTGTCATTATGATGTTAGCTGGTTATTTTGCTCGTTAGTTGATGCAGTTTCTTCCTAGCATCAGTGGTCTTTACAATTTGGCATGTTTTTGCAGTGTCTGGTACCGGTTGTTCCTTTCCATGTTTAGTGCTTCCTTCAGGAGCTCTTGTAAGGCAGGCCTGGTGGGAACAAAATCTCTCAGCATTTGCTTGTCTGTAAAGGATTTTATTTCTCCTTCACTTTTGAAGCTTCGTTTGGCTGGATATGAAATTCTGGGTTGAAAATTCTTTTATTTAAGAATGTTGAATATTGGCCCCTGCTCTCTTCTGGCTTGTAGAATTTCTGCTGTAGTCTGAGGGGCTTCCCTTTGTAGGTAATCTGACCTTTCTCTCTGTCTGCCCTTAACATTTTTTCCTTCATTTCAACTTTGGTGAATCTGACAATTATGTCTCTTGGAGTTGCTCTTCTCGTGGAGTATCTTTGTGGCGTTCTCTGTATTTCCTGAATTTGAATGTTGGCCTGCCTTGCTTGGTTGGGGAGGTTCTCCTGGATAATATCCTGAAGAGTGTTTTCCAACTTGGTTCCATTCTCCCTGTCACTTTCAGGTACACCAATCAGACGTAGATTTAGTCTTTTCACATAGTCCCATATTTCTTGGAGGCTTTGTTCATTTCTTTTTACTCTTTTTCCTCTAAACTTCTCTTCTCACTTCATTTCATTCATTTGATCTTCAATCACTGATACCCTTTCTTTCAGTTGATCAAATTGACAACTGAAGCTTGTGCATGCACCATGTAGTTCTCGTGCCATGGTTTTCAGCTCCATCAGGTCATTTAAGGTCTTCTCTGTCCTGTTTTTTCTAGTTAGCCATGCTTCTCATCTTTTTTCAAGGTTTTTTAGCTTCTTTGCAATGGGTTCAAGCATCCTCCTTTAGCTTGGAGAAGTTTGCTATTACTGATCTTCTGAGGCCTTTTTCTGTCAACTCTTCAAAGTCATTCTCCATCCAGCTTCGTTTTGTTGCTGGCAAGGAGCTGCATTCCTTTGTATCTTTGTGGAGAAGAAGCACTCTGATTTTTGGAATTTTCAGCTTTTCTGCTCTGGTTTCTCCCCATCTTTGTGGTTTTATCTACCTTTGGTCTTTCATGATGGTGACCTAGAGGTGCGGTTTTGGTGTGGATGTCCTTTATGTTTGTTAGTTTTCCTTCTAACAGTCAGGACCCTCAGCTGTAGGTCTGTTGGAGTTTGCTGGAGGTCCACTCCAGACCCTGTTTGCCTGGATGTCACCAGTGGAGGCTGCAGAACAGCAAATATTGCAGAACAGCAAATGTTGCTGCCTGATCCTTCCTCTGGAAGCTTCATCTCAGAGGGGCACCTGGCTCTATGAGGTGTCAGTCGGCCCCTACTTGGAGGTGTCTCCCAGTTAGGCTACTCGGGGATCAGGGACCCACTTGAGGAGGCAGTCTGTCCATTCTCAGATCTCAAACTGCATGCTGGGAGAACCACTACTCTCTTCAAAGCTGTCAGACAGGGACGTTTAAGTCTGCATAAGTTTCTGCTGCCTTTTGTTCAGCTATGCCCTGCCCCAAAAGATGGAGTCTGCAGAGGCAGGCAGGCCTCCTTGAGCTGTGGTGGACTCCACCCAGTTTGAGCTTCCTGGCTGCTTTACCTACGCAAGCCTCAGCAATGGCAGATGCCCCTCCCCCAGCCTCGCTGCCAAATTACAGTTCAATCTCAGACTGCTGTACTAGTAATGAGCAAGGCTCCATGGGCGTGGGACCCTCTGAGCCAGGCCCAGGATAAAATGTCCTAGTGTTCCGTTTGCTAAGACCATTGGAAAAGCACAGTATTAGGGTGGGAGTGTCCCAAAGATGACCCCTTGTGCTTCCCGGGTGAGGTGATGCCCCGCCCTGCCTCAGCTCACACTCTGTGGGCTGCACCCACTGTCCAACAAGCCCCAGTGAGATGAACCTGGTACCTCAGTTGGAAATGCAGAAATCACCCGTCTTCTGCATCACTCACACTGGGAGCTATAGACTGGAGCTGTTCCTATTCAGCCATCTTGGAACCCCTCTTAGCCTACTTTTTGATGAGATTGTTTGTTTTTTTAATTGCTGATTTGAGTTTGTTGTAGATTACGCATATTAGTCCTTTGTCAGATGTATAGATTGTGAATATTTTCTCCCATTCTGCTGGTTGTCTGTTTACTCTGATGACTGTTCCTTTTGGTGTGCGAAAGCTCTTTAGTTTAATCAAATCCCACCTATTTATGTTTGTTTTTATTGCATTTGCTTTTGGGTTCTTGGTCACAAAATCCTTGCCTAAACCAATGTCTAGAAGGGTTTTTCTAATGTTATCTTCTAGAATTTTTATATTTTCAGGTCTTAGATTTAAGTCCTTAATCCATTTTGAGTTGATTTTTGTATAAAGTGAGAGATGAGGATCCCATTTCATTCTCCTACATGTGGCTAGCCAATTATCCCAGCACCATTTGTTGAAAAGGGTGTCCTTTCCCCGATTTATGTTTTTGTTTGCTTTGTCAAAAATCAGTTGGCTTTAAGTATTTGGGTGTATTTCTGGGTTTTCTATTCTGTTCTCTTGGTCTATGTTCCTATTTTTCTACCGGTAACCTGCTGTTACATGATAGATAACATGGAAAGTTATCTGTTAGCTACCAGTACCATGCAGTTTGGGTGACTATGGCCTTATAGTATAGTTTGAAATCAGGTAGTATGATGCCTCCAGATTTGTTCTTTTTCTTAGTCCTGCTTTGACTATGTGTGCACTTTTTTGGTTCCATATGAATTTTAGAATTGTGTTTTTCTAATTCTGTGAAGAATAGTGGTGGTATTTTGATAAGGATTGCATTGAATTTGTAGATTGCTTTTGGCAGTATGGTCATTTTCACAATATTGCTTCTACCCATCTAAGAGCATGGGATATGTTTCCATTTGCTCCTGTCATCTATCATTTCTTTCAGCAGTGTTCTGTAGTTTTCTGTATTGAGGTCCTTCATCTCCTTGGTTAGGTATATTCCTAAGTATTTTTTTTTTTTGGAGCTATTGTAAAATGGGTTGAGTTCTTGATTTGACTCTCCACTTGGTCACTGGTGGTGTATAGAAGAGCTACTAATTTGTGTACATTAATGTTGTATCCAGAAACTTTACTGAATTCTTTTATCAGTTCTAGGAGCTTTCTGAAGGAGTCTTTAGGGTTTTCAAGGTAAATTATCATATCATCAGCAAACAGTGACAGTTTGACTTCCCCTTTACCAATTTGGGTGCCTTTTATTTATTTCTCTTGTCTGATTGCTCTGGCTAGGATTGCCAGTACTATGTTGAAGATGGGTGGTGAGAGTGGCCATCCTTGTCTTGTTCCAGTTGTCAGAGGGAAAGCTTTCAACTTTTTCCCATTGAGTACTATGTTGGCTTTGGGTTTGTCATAGGTGGCTTCTACTACATTGAGGTATGTCCCTTATATGCTGATTTTGCTGAGAGTTTTAATCATAATGGGATTCTGGATTTTGTTGAATGCTTCTTCTGCATCTATTGAGATGATCATTTGATTTTTGCTTTAAATTCTGTTTATGTGGTTTATCACATTCATTTATTTGCATATGTTAAACCATCCCTGCATCCCTGGTATGAAACCCACTTAATCTTGGTGAATTCTCTTTTTGATATGTTGTTGGATTCAGTTAGCTTGTATTTTGTTAAGGATTTTAACATCTATGTTCATCAGGGGTATCAGTCTGTAGTTTTCTTTTTCAGTTATGTTCTTTCATGGTTTTGGTATTAGGGTAATGCTAGCTTCACAGAATGAATTAGGGAGGGTTTCCGCTTTCTCTGTCTTATGGAAAAGTGTCAGTAAGATTGGTACCAATTCCTCTTTGGGTGGTAGAATTCTGCTGTGAATCCATCTGGTCTTGGACTCTTTTTTGTTGGTAATTTTAAAACTACCATTTAAATCTCACTGCTTGTTATTGGTCTGTTTAGGGAATCTAATTCTTTCTGATTTAAGCTAGGAGGGTTGTATTTTTCCAGGAATTTATCCATCTCTACTAGTTTTTTATGTTTATGTGCATAAAGGTGTTCATAGTAGCCTTGAATGATCTTTTGTATTTCTGTGGTGTCAGTTGTAACAACTCCTGTTTTGTTTCTTAGTGAGGTTATTTGGATTTTCTCTTTTCTTTTCATTATTAAACTTGCTAATGGTCTATCAATTTTATTTCTCTTTTAAAATAACCAGCTTTTTGTTTCATTTGTCTTTTGTGATTTTTTTCTTTGTTTGAAGTTCATTTAGTTCTGCTCTGATCTTGGTTATTTCCTTTCTTCTGCTGGGTTTTGGTTTGGTTTCCCTAGTTCCTTGAGGTGTGACCTTAGAATGTGAGTTTGTACTGTTACCGGGGGTCCTTGCTCCCAGAGCTCCCAAGATGGTGGTGGGCCACTTCCAAAATGGCAGCAGGCCGCTTCCAAGATGGTGGCAAGCCTCGTTTTCTCTGACCTGGGGTTCTTGGCCTTACGGATTCCAAGGAATGGAATCTTGGGCCATGCGGTGAGTGTTATAGCTCTATTAGAAGCCGTGGGTCACCGAAGAAAACTGTGGAACCCAATGACTGGTGTTCAGCTTGATTAGAACGAACCCAGGCACTTAGCCATGCAGGAACAGTGGCAAGTCTTTAGCCCGATCGGGAGTGGCAATGGGCACCTCGCTGGATCAGGAATGCAGCAGACACCCTGCCGGATCCGAAGGGATGGAAGCCAGCAGCGGGTCTGCGGTGGCGGCGGCAAACAGCAGTGGTGGATGGCGAGTGAAAGCTCAGCTCGAGCCGTAGCCATTGCCAGCTCGAATGCCTGGGTTTATATCCCGATCATTGTCCCTCCTGTTGTGCTCTCAGGTGATAGATGATTGGTTGTTTCTTTACCTCCTGTTTTTGCCTAATTAGCATTTTAGTGAGCTCTCTGATTGGTTGGGTATGAGCTAAGTTGCAAGCCCCCTGTTTAAAGGTGGATGCAGTCCCCTTCCCAGCTAGGCTTAGGGATTTTTAGCTGGCCTAAGAAATCCAGCTAGTCCTGTCTCTCAGTACCCCCTCTAAACAGGAAAACCAAGTGCTGTTGGGGAGGTTGGCTGGCGACCACTCTAACTGCTTCCTGCCGAATTGGGGCATAGTAGGGGTTGTGCAGTTGAGATTTCCTCGGGAGGGGTGCCTTCAATGTCATTAACATTGGAGCATGGGCTAGCAGGCCGGTCCAGGGGTCCACAGTAGATCTTAGTCATGGACTGCATCTGGGGCTCCATTTGAAGAGCCATTTGTAGTTTTACAGCTTTGATTCTGGAAGAGACAAACTTAACAAGGAGGTTAAACATACAGGGATTGTCCTGTATGGCCTGCAGTGCAGGGGATTATTTCTTTGGCACACTTTACAGGCCCTGACTATCTGCTTGATAGTTTTGAAAAGGCCTGGTCCAGTAAATAATAATTTGGCCATCTGATGCATGCTATCAATGCATAAGTGGAAGGTTTGGTGAAGGGTTTTAAGTAATTTCTATTGGTTAGCTGCAGGCAAAAGTATTTTCCTTCTTCAGTGGCTAGCCATCCTGAGGGGAGGAAACTATGTCTTTGTGAGGTTCCCCATTCTATGTCTTCTTCTGAGTACTGGGGCTTGGTTTCCCAGAGGGGATTACCCCATACTAGGGGTCCTTCTGTAAGCATTTCTAATGGAGGGTCCTGCCTTGCGGCTCTTCTGGCTTCAATATCCGCTTGGCGGTTCTCTTCTATTTCCCTTTCTTTTCCTTTCTGATGACCCCAGCAGTGTAAGACTGCCACCTCTTTAGGTTTCTGTACAGCCAATAATAATCTCTTAATGGCTTCCTGATGTTTGACAAGTGTTCCCTTGGAAGTTAGGAATTCCCTTTCTCTCCCTATTGCTGCATGGGCATGGAGGACTAGGTAAGCCTACTTACAGTTTGCATATATATTTACCCTTTTTCCTTCTCCTAATTCTGGTGCCCGAGTGAGGGCTATTAGTTCTGCCAGCTGAGCACTAGTTCCTGGAGTAAGGGGATTACTTTCGAGTATTCCATTATCACCAACCACTGCATACCCCACTTTTCAAAGTCCTTTTTCTACAAAGGAACTTTCATCAGTATACAAGTTGAGGTCGGGATCAGTCAAGGGAACCTCTAAAAGGTCCCCTTGAGCAGCACAGGTTTGAGCAATTACTTGTTGACAGTTATGTTCTATCTTTTCTTTGTTGTCTGGAAGAAATGTGGCTGGGTTAAGAGTTGCACAAGTGTGCAATTGCAGCATTGGCCCTTCAAGTAATAGAGCCTGATATTTAAGTAAATTGTTGTCTGACAGCCACAAGTGTCTTTTAGCAGTGAGTGTGCTATTCACATTGTGAGATGTCCACACAGTAAGATCTCTTCCCTGTATCATTTTAACTGCTTCAGATACCAAGACTGCTACTGCCACCACTACCTGTAAACAATGAGGCCAACCCTTTGCCACTACATCAATTTCCTTACTCAGGTATGCCACGGGTTGCAAGCTCATCCCTTGGACCTGTGTAAGGACTCCTAGAGCTATTCCTGTTTTTTTCTGTGACATATAAAGAAAAGTTTTGCCCCACTGGCAAGCTTAACACTGGGGCATGTGTTAGCGCCTTCTTTAGGGCCTGGAAAGCCACTTCTGCTTCAGGTGTCCATCTTACTAAATGGGTATTGGCTTTTTGAGTTTCCTTAATTCGTGTATTTAATGGTCTGGCTATTTTGCTGTACCTGGGAATCCATATTTGGCAGAAACCTGTTATGCCAAGGAACGCTGTTAGTTGCTTTAGGGTTTTGGGATGAGGATAACCCAGTATAGGCTGGATACGTTCCTCACTGAGGGTTCTGGTGCCTTTGGATAATTTTAGCCCTAAGTATTTAACCTGCTGTGAGCAGAGCTGAGCCTTTGGTTTGGAAACCTTGTAGCCACAGGTAGCAAGGAAATTTAAGAGTGCTTGGGTGGCTTGATGGCACAAGGTTTCTGAATGGGTGGCTAAAAGTAAATCATCCATGTACCGAAGGACAAGAGTGTCCAGGTAGGAGAATTGGCTCAAGTCTTGGGCTAATGCCTGGCCAAATAGATGGGGGCTATTCCTGAACCCTTGGGGTAAAACAGTCCAGATGAGTTGAGACATTGGGTTTGAAGGATCTTCAAAGGCAAACAAGAATTGAGAGTCAGGATGTACAGGGATGCAGAAAACGGCATGCTTAGGGTCCAGGACTGTAAACCACTCTGCGTCCTCTGGTATTTGGGAAAGCAGAGTGTAAGGGTTAGGTACAGCTGGGTATAGAGGGACAATGGCTTCACTGATAATCCTGAGATCTTGCACTAACCTCTACTGTCCATTGGGTTTCTGTACTCCTAAAATTGGAGTATTGCAGGGGCGAATGCATGGTTTTACTAGGCCTTGGGCTTTTAGGTCCTTAACAATCTTTTGGAGTCCTTGTTGGGCCTCAGGTCTAAGGGGGTACTGCCTTTGGTAGGGAAAGGAGGTGGAATCCTTTAGTTTAACTTGAACAGGACAGGCATTCTTTGCTCTTCCTTATTTTCTTTCTGTTGCCCAGACTTCAGGATTAATTCCTTCCTCAAGCAGGGGACAACAAATGGGTGTTCCTTCTCCTATGTTCGGGTGTATAATGACCCCTGCTTTTGCTAGAATGTCTCTCCCTAACAAGGGAGTGGGGCTTTCAGGCATAATTAGAAAAGCATGTGAAAAGAGTAGAGTTCCCCAGTCACAACTTAGTGGCTGGGAGAAGTAGCTAGTGACTGGCTGTCCTAGGACCCCTCGGATAGTGACAGATCTGGAGGATAGTTGTCCAGGACAGGAGAGTAAGACTGAGAAGGCCACGCCAATGTCCAGGACACAGTTAGCCTCCTGGCCCTCAATGGTCAAGCATACCCGGGGCTTTGTGAGGGTGATGGCATGGGCTGGTGCTTGCCCTGGGCACCCTCAATCCTGCTGCTGGATCATCTGGTTAGTGGCTTCTGACTCAGAGGACCTTCCTCCCCTAGGGCACTGGGCCTTCCAGTGATTCCTTTGACATAAGGAGCGTGGACAAGGGCGTGGCTTATTCCTACTTGGACAATCTTTTTTAAAGTATCCCCATAGACTGCACTGGAAGCAAGCCCTATTAGGCATTCCATTTGCCTAGCTTTTCCCATTTCCAGAGCCTCCAAAGTCCACTTGCCTGAGAGCCATGACTAAAGCGGTGGTCTTTTTTTTATCCTGTTTGTCCCATTCTGCCTGTTCCTCCTGATCGCTATTATAAAAAACCGAGGTTGCCAAGTTCAATAGGGTTTCTAAGTTTTGCTCCGGGCCTAAGGTGGACTTTTGAAGTTTTTTCCTAATGTCTGCAGCTGACTGAGTAATAAACTTTTCCTTTAAGATTAGTTGGCCTTCAATAGAGTCAGGTGACAGGGAGGTATGCTTTCTCAATGCCTCCCTTAGTCTCTCCAGAAAGGCAGTAGGATTTTCTTCCCTTCCCTGTGTTATAGTGGACATCATTGAATAATTCATAGGCTTCTTCCTAGTTTTCCTTAGTCCTTGTAGCATGCAAGTTAGCAAATGTCTGCAGAACCAATCTCCATGTTCTGATTCTGTGTCCCAGTGAGGGTCTACACTGGGAACTGCCTGCTGGCCTGTGGGGAATCATTCTCTTTCCTCTGTTATCATCCTGTCATTGACCTGACTGAGATACCAGAGACTGCCAAACTCTTGGGCTGCAGTTATGGCAGCACTTCTCTCATTTGGGGTTAGTGTCTGATCTAGCAGTAGCATTATATCTCTCCATATCAGATCAAAGGATTGCCCTAATCCTTGTAAAACATCAATATAGCCATCAGGGTTATCTGAGAATTTACCTAGGTCTATTTTAATTTGCTTTAAGTCTGAGAGAGAAAAAGGTACATTCACTCTGGCTGGGCTGAATTCTCCTCCTCCCACTGCTTGGAGGGGGCATAATCGGGGAATATTGGCACTCTTTGGTTCATCGTTTACCCCTTTGTCTATCTCCTTTTGGACCATTTGGGTTGAAGACAGGTCTTATTAGTTGGAGAAGGAGTCGGGGGGACACTGGGGTAGGGAGGTAGACTCTGAGGGCTTCCTATAGGGCATAAATCACACTTTTTACATAATTGTGAGTTGTCTCTTAATGAAAAGAAAGTTTGTACATATGGCACTTCAATCCATTTGCCTTTTTTCCTACAAAAGAGGTCTAGCTGTAAGATGGTGTTATAATGTATACTTCCCTCAGGAGGCCAGATTTCTCCCCCTTGAAGAGGATAACATGGCCAGGCGGCACTGCAGAAGAATATAAGTTGTTTCTTTCTTAGTGTCTGAGGGTCAAATTGGTCCCAGTTCTCCAGAATACATCTTAGGGGTGTTTTTGCCTTGGGAGGAACATTTCCCATCTGAAAAAATAACAGGGATGCCAGCATCCCTAGTCATTTTCTGATGAGCATTAGTCATAGAGCATCCTCTATGGTCCTAATGCTTATTCCTTTCCAGGGTTCATAACCACCCATGGACCTCTGCTTATTAGATTAGTTATGCTCACCGATGTAGCAGTCCTGCACACCTTTTCCCACCTTTCTTGACCATAAAGAAAGGGGCCTGGGCTGCTGGATTCTAGTGGTCCTTTACCAGCATGCCCAGCATTGCCTTTGCGCTCAGAGGTGAGTTCCTTTCCATGGTGCGTAACCACCCATGGACCTCTGCTTATCGGATTAGTTAAGCTGACCAATGTAGAAGTCCTGCACCTGTTTTCCCACCTTTCTTGACCACAAAGAAAGCAGTCCACACTGCTGGATTCTAGTGGTCCTTTACCAGCATGCCCAACATTGCCTTTGCACTCAGAGGTGAGTCCTAGAGCTGGGCTGGGTTCCTGAGTATTTCCTAACAACCCAGCTGCGCCATCAAGATGCGTTCCCGTAAAAGCAGTTCTTATGCAAATTTGTTTCAGAGAGGGTGTAGGTAACCTTTTGAGTCAGGATTGAGATAGTCTTTTGATTCTGTAAGTACTTTAAGGCTTGGCTGAGTGCAAACAGCCCGCACATTTGAGCAGACAAATTATTAGGCAATTTTTCTTTTTCTTTTTTTTATTATACTTTAAATTGTATGGTACATGTGCACAACGTGCAGGTTTGTTACATATGTATGCATGTGCCATGTTGGTGTGCTGCACCCATTAACTTGTCATTTACATTAGGTATATCTTCTAATGCTATCCCTCCCCCCTTCCCCCACTCCACGACAGTCCTGGGTGTGTGATGTTCCCCTTCCTGTGTCCAAGTGTTCTCATTGTTCAATTCCCAACTATGAGTGAGAATATGTGGTGTTTGGTTTTTTGTCCTTGCAATAGTTTGCTGAGAAGGATGGTTTCCAGCTTCATTGATGTCCCTACAAAGGACATGAACTCATCCTTTTTTATGGCTGCATAGTATTCCATGGTGTATATGTGCCACATTTTCTTAATCCAGTCTATCACTGATGGACATGTGGGTTGGTTCCAAGTCTTTGCTATTGTGATGTGCTGCAATAAACATACATGTGCATGTGTCTTTATAGCAGCATGATTTATAATCCTTTGCATACATACCCAGTAATGGGATGGCTGGGTCAAACGGTAGTTCTAGTTCTAGATCTTTGAAGAATTGCCACACTGTCTTCCACAACGGTTGAACTAGTTTACAGTCCCACCAACAGTGTAAAAGTGTTCCTATTTCTCCACATCCTCTCCAGCACCTGTTGTTTCTTGACTTTTTAATGATTGCCATTCTAACTGGTGTGAGATGGTATCTCATGGTGGTTTTGATTTGCAATTCTCTGATGGCCAGTGATGATGAGCTTTTTTTCATGTGTCTCTTGGCTGCATAAATGTCTTCTTTTGAGAAGTGTCTGTTCATATCCTTTGCCCACTTTTTGATGGGGTTGTTTGTTTTTTTCTTGTAAGTTTGTTTGAGTTCTTTGTAGATTCTGGATATTAGCCCTTTGTCAGATGAGTAGAGTGCAAACATCTCCCATTCTATAGGTTGCTTGTTCACTCTGATGGTAGTTTCTTTTGCTGTGCAGAAGCTCTTTAGTTTAATTAGATCCCATTTGTCAATTTTGGCTTTTGTTGCCATTGCTTTTGGTGTTTTGGACATGAAGTCCTTGCCCATGCCTATGTCCTGAATGGTAATGCCTAGGTTTTCTTCTAGGGTTTTTACAGTTTTAGGTCTAACATTTAAGTCTTTAATCCATTTTGAATTACTTTTTGTGTAAGGTGTAAGGAAGGGATCCAGTTTCAGTTTTCTACATATGGCTAGCCAATTTTCCCAGCACCGTTTATTAAATAAGGAATCCTTTCCCCATTTCTTGTTTTTTGTCAGGTTTGTCAAAGATCAGATGGTTGTAGATGTGTGGTATTATTTCTGAGGGCTCTATTCTGTTCCATTGGTCCATATCTCTGTTTTGGTGCCAGTACCATGCTGTTTTGGTTACTGTAGGCTTGTAGTATAGTTTGAAGTCAGGTAGCGTGATGCCTCCGGCTTTGTTATTTTGGCTTAGGATTGTCTTGGCAATGTAGGCTCTTTTGGTTCCATATGAACTTTAAAGTAGTTTTTTCCAGTTCTGTGAAGAAAGTCATTGGTAGCTTGATGGGGATGGCATTGAATCTATAAATTACCTTGGGCAGTATGGCCATTTTCACAATATTGATTCTTCCTATCCATGAGCATGGAATGATCTTCCGTTTGTTTGTGTCCTCCTTTATTTTGTTGAGCAGTGGTTTGTAGTTCTCCTTGAAAAGGTCCTTCACATCCCTCATAAGTTGGATTCCTAGGTATTTTATTCACTGTGAAGCAATTGTGAATGGGAGTTCAGTCATGATTTGGCTCTCTGTTTGTCTGTTATTGGTGTATAGGAATACTTGTGATTTTTGCACATTGATTTTGTATCCTGAGACTTTGCTGAAGTTGCTTATCAGCTTATGGAGATTTTGGGCTGAGACGATGGGGTTTTCTAAATATACAATCATGTCATCTGCAAACAGGGACAATTTGACTTCCTCTTTTCCTAATTGAATATGCTTTATTTCTTTCTCCAGCCTGATTGCCCTGGCCAGAACTTCCAACAGTATGTTGAATAGCAGTGGTGAGAGAGGGCACCCCTGTCTAGTGCCAGTTTTCAAAGGGAATGCTTCCAGGTTTGCCCATTCAGCATGATATTGGCTGTGGGTTTGTCATAAATAGCTCTTACTATTTTGAGATACATCCCATCAATACCTAATTTATTGAGAGTTTTTAGCATGAAGGGCTGTTGAATTTTGTCAAAGGCCTTTTCTGCATCTATTGAGATAATCATGTGGTTTTTGTCTTTGGTTCTGTTTATATGATGGATTACGTTTATTGATTTGCATGTATTGAACCAGCCTTGCATCCCGGGGATGAAGCCCACTTGATCATGGTGGATAAGCTCTTTGATGTGCTGTTGGATTTGGTTTGCCAGCATTTTATTGAGGATTTTTGCATCAATGTTCATCAGGTATATTGGTGTAAAATTCTCTTTTTTTGTTGTGTCTCTGCCAGGCTTTGGTATCAGGATGATGCTGGCCTCATAAAATGAGTTAGGGAGGATTCTCTCTTTTTCTATTGATTGGAATAATTTCAGAAGGAATGGTACCAGCTCCTCCTGTTACCTCTGGTAGAATTCAGGTGTGAATCCATCTGGTCCTGGACTTTTTTTGGTTGGTAGGCTATTAATTATTGCCTCAATTTCAGAACTGTTATTGGTCTATTCAAGGATTCAAATTCTTCCTGGTTTAGTCTTGGGAGGGTGTATGTGTCCAGGAATTTAATTTTTCTAACTCTGCTTCCACAAGAGTCTCCCTGTCACTTACTGAATACCCATTGTGGTTTTTTTCCTCAGTCACCTGGGAGGAGCTATCTATAGTCCTATCCTGAAGGGAGTTCCTCCTAGGTCTGGTCAGACCTTTGTATGGTAATTAAGATTTAAATCCCCTGTTAGGAAATCTGGGTTAAGGGAATTATCAGTGGTTGTTGTTAAATTACCTTTTTCTAACAGAATTACCCCATACTTTAAGATTTTTGAGTTAGTAAGCTACCTTTTTGCTTTTTTGACTTAGAATAATTCTGAACTGGTGTGGTGTGCTCACGATGAGGTTTCCTCTAAAAGTTACTTTTCTATTTTCTTCTGTTAGCAAAGCAGTTGCTGCTACAGATTGAATGCATCTGCAGGTTACTGGGTTAAGGATTTTTGATAGGAAAGCTATGGATTGTCAGTGGTCTCAGTGTTTTCAGGCTATGCCCTTGTTTACACTGACAAGAAGGTAGTATTGGAGTGTTATAGGGTCACAGAGAAGACCTTCAATTATCAATTATAGGTTTTCAGTTTACCTGGCTTTTAAAGGAATAGGGCACACTGTAACACTGTGGGTTTTTTTATTTTTTTATTTTTTTACTATTTCTTTCTCTTTTTTTCTTTGACTCCCTCTCTCTCTCTCCCCTCCATCTCTCTCTCTCTCTCCCCTCCATCTCTCTCTGTCCCCTCCATCACTGTCTGTCTCTCTTCCGTGTCTCTGTCTCTCTCCTCCATCTCTCTTTCTTCCATGTCTCTCTCTCTCCTCCTCTTAGCCATTACAAACTTGGGGCCCTGGCAAGGGTGGTGGGGAATGTATCCCACATAACTGCCCATGTCGAGAGCTGTATACCTAAATTGGGAGGGACACCAGGGATAAGACTCCCTGGGTTTATAGCCTAGATGCGTAAGGTCGCAGCCTAGAGCTTCCTTAGATCCCTTTGGAGATACAACTTGCTAGAGAAAATGAAAGTCTGAACCATTAATACCTAGGAGGCAGGGATCAGAGGAAGTAGATTCAGAGGTAAGGAGAATTTTGGGTCTACACTTTCAAGAAAGTCGTGATCATGACCCAGGAGGTATGGGTCAGAAGGAAAGGTAGCAGTGCACGCATGGGCGACTGTTAGTAGAGACTTCTGGCTGCACCATGATCTCAACCAGCTAATGCCAGGAGTTCGGGATGACAGCTTTCTGCCTCTAGTCGGCCCTCGGCTTCTCCAAGAAAATTGAAAGTGGAAGCTGGCTCCAGGCAGGCCAACATCCCAACAGAAGGGTTGGGGGTTGTTAGAAAGCCCTTCCCCAGATAGCCTCACACCTGAGTCTTAAGTCCAGCGGCCAAGCTAATTGTTTTCAACTGGCCAACAGGTGCCCAGTATTTTCCTCCAATTCTAAGGAAGGATAGGACAGAATAGCAAGCAAAAGTGGTCCAATATTACTCACGGCTTTGGAGGTCCTTTCATGGTTGCCAAAATGTTACCAGGAGGTCGTTGCTCCCAGAGCTCCCAAGATGGTGGCGGACAACTTCCAAGATGGTGGCAAGCCTCGTGTTCTCTGACCTGGGGTTCTTGGCCTCACGGATTCCAAAGAATGGAATCTTGGGCCATGCGGTGAGTGTTATAGCTCTATTAGAAGCCGTGGGTCATGGAAGAGAACTGTGGAACCCAGTGACTAGTGTTCAGCTTGATTAGGGCAAACCCAGGCACTTAGCCCTGCAGGAACAATGGCAAACCTTTAGCCCAATCGGGAGTGGCAGTGGATGCCTCGCTGGATCAGGAGTACAGTGGACACCCTGCCAGATCCAGAGGGACAGAAGTCAGCAGTGGGTCTGTGATGGCAGCAAACAGCAGTGGTGGATGGTGAGTGAAAGCTCAGCTCGAGCCGTTACAAACATGGACCAGAAGAGTGCAGTTGCAAGATTTAACAGAGTGAAATAGAGTGAAAACAGAGCTCCCATACAAAGGGAGGGGACCCAAAGAGGGTAGCTGTTGCTGGCTCAAATGCCCAGGTTTATATCCCGATCATTGTCCCTTCTGCTGTGCTCTCAGGCGATAGATGATTGGCTAAAAACCTGTTTTTGCCTAATTAGCATTTTAGTGAGCTCTCTGATTGGTCGGGTGTGAGCTAAGTTGCAAGCCCCGTGTTTAAAGGTGGATGTGGTCACCTTCCCAGCTAGGCTTAGGGATTTTTAGTCAGCCTAGAAATCCAGCTAGTCCTGTCTCTCAGTACTCTTTCAGTCTTTTTGATGTTTGCATTTAGGGCTATGAACTTTCCTCTTAGTACTACCTTTGATGTATCCCAGAGGTTTTGATAGGTTGTGCCACTATTGTCTTTCAGTCTGAATAATTTTTTAATTTGCATCTTGATTTCATTTTTGACCCAGTGATCATTAAGGAGCAGGTTATTTAATTTGTATGTATTTGCATGGTTTTGAAGGTTCCTTTTGGACTTGATTTCCAGTTTTATTCTACTGTGGTTTGAGAGAGTGCTTGATATAATTTCAGTTTTCTTAAATTTATTGAGGCTCATTTTGTGGCCTACCCTGTGATCTATCTTGGAGAAAGTTTCATATGCTGTTGAAAAGAATGGGTATTCTGTGGTTGTTGGACAGGATATTCTGTATATATCTGTTAAGTCCATTGTTCCAAGGTATAGTTTAAATCCATTGTTTCTTTGTTGACTTTCTGTCTTGATGACCTGCCTAGTCCTGTCAGTGGAGTATTGAAGTTCCCCATTATTATTGTGTTGCTGTCTATCTCATTTCTTAGGTCTGTTAGTAATTGTTTTATAGATTGGGCAGCCCCAGTATTAAGTGCATATATGTTTAGGATTGTAATATTTTATTGTTGGACAAGGCCTTTTATCATTATATAATGTTCCTCTTTGTCTTTTTTAACTGCTGTTTCTTTAAAGTTTGTTTTCTCTGACATAAGAATAGCTACCCCTGCTCACTTTTGGTGTCCATTTGTATGAAATGCCTTTTTCCATCCCTTTACTTTAAGTTGATCTGAGTCCTTATGTGTTAGTTGAGTCTATTGAATGCATCAGATAGTTGGTTGGTGAATTCTTATCCATTCTGCAGTTCTGTATCTTTTAAGTGGAGCACTTAAGCCATTTACGTTCAATGTTAGTATCGAGATATGAGGTGCTATTCCATTCATTGTGCTATTTGTTGCCTGTGTACCTTGGTTTTTTGTTTTTGTTTTTTAAATTGTAGTATTATTTTATAGGTCCTGTGAAATTTAGGCTTTAAAGAGGTTCTGTTTTGATGTGTTTCCAGGATTAGTTTCAAGATTTAGAGCTCCTTTTAGCAGTTCTTGTAGTAATGGCTTGCTAGAGTCAAATTCTCTCAGCATTTTTTTGTCTGTAAAAGACTGTATCTTTCCTTCATACATGATGCTTAGTTTCGCTGGATACAAAATTCTTGGCTGATAATTGTTTTGTTTGAGGAAGCTGAAGATAGGGCCCCAATCCCTTCTAGCTTGTAGGGTTTCTGCTGAGAAATCTGCTGTTAATTGGATAGGTTTTCCTTTTTAGGTTACCTGGTGCTTTTGTCTCAGAGCTCTTAAGATTCTTTCCTTTGTCTTAACTTTAGATAACCTGATGAGAATGTGCCTAGGCAATGATCTTTTCATAATGAATTTCCCAGATGTTCTTTGTGCTTCTTGTATTTGGATGT
The DNA here is from genome assembly GCF_000001405.40 of Homo sapiens. NCBI lineage: Eukaryota > Metazoa > Chordata > Mammalia > Primates > Hominidae > Homo > Homo sapiens. The sequence goes on along the minus strand of NC_000018.10, from coordinate 4,680,225 downwards.
CTAGGTCTCTAGCAAGGCTGGGGAAGTTTTCCTCGATTATTCCCCCAAATATGTTTTCCAAACTTTTAGATTTCTCTTCTTCCTGAGGAACACCAGTTATTCTTAGGTCTGTTCTTTTAACATAATCCCAGAATTCTTGGAAGCATTGTTCATATTTTCTTATTCTTCTTTCTCTGTTGGACTGAGTTAATTTAAAGACCTTGTCTTTGAGCTCTGAATTTCTTTCTTCTGCTTGTTCAATTCTGTTGCTGAGACTTTCTAGAGTGTTTTACATTTTTATAAGTGTGTCCAGTGTTTCCTGAAGTTTTGATTATTTTTTCTTTATGCTATCTATTTCCTTGAATATTTCTCTCTTCACTTCGTGTATCATTTTTTGTGCTTCCTTGCATTGGGTGTCGCCTTTCTTTGGTGCCTACCTGATTAGCTTAATAACTAACCTCCTGAATGCTTTTTCAGGTAAATCAGGTATTTCTTCTTGGTTTGGATCCATTGCTGGTGAGCTAGTGTGATTTTGGGGGGTGTTAAAGAGACTTGTTTTGTCATATTATGAGGATTGGTTTTCTGGTTCCTTCTCATTTGAGTAGCCTCTGTCAGAGGGAAGGTCTAGGGCTGAAGGCTGTTGTTCATATTATTTTGTCTCATGGGGTGTTCCCTTGATGTAGTACTCTTCCCTTTTTCCTATGGATATGGCTTCCTGAGAGCTGAGCTGTAGAGATTGTTACCTCTCTTCTGGGTCTAGCCACCCAGGAAGTCTACCAGGCTCCAGGCTGGTACTGGGGGTTGTCTGCATAGAGTCCTGTGCTGTGAACCATCTCTGGGTCTCTCAGCCATGGATAGCAGCACCTTTTCCGGTGGAGGTGGCAGTGGGGTGAAATGGACTTTGTGTTTGTTCTTAGCTTTGGTGGTTTAATGCTCTGTTTTTGCACCAGTTGGCCTACTGCCAGGACATGGCACTTTCCAGAGAGCATCAGCTGTGTTAGTATGGAGAGGAACTGGTGGTGGACAGGGCCCTAGAATTCCCAAGAGTATATGCCCTTTGTCTGCAGCTACAAGGGTGGGTAGGGAAGGACCATCAGGTGAGGGAAAGTCTAGATGTGTTTTAGCTCACTCTCCTTGGGGCAGGTCTTGCTGGGGCTGCTGTGGGGGAAGAGGGTGAGGTTCCCAGGTCAATGGAGTTGTGTACCTAGGAGGATTATGGCTGCCTCTGTTGAGTCATGTTAGGTTGTCAGGGAAGTGGGGGAAAGCCGGCAGTCACAGGCCTCACTCAGCTCCCATGCAATCTAAAGGGCTGGTCTCACTCCCACCATGCCCCCGCTAACAGCACCGAGTCTGTTTCCAGGCAGTGGGCAAGCAGGGCTGAGAACTTGCCCCAGGGTACCCACCTCCCAGCTGTGAAAGAAAAGGGCTTTAGTTCTTCCCCAACCTGTGGAGTCTGCACACAGGATTTGCGCCCTCCCCTGAGTTCTGGCCAGGAGGCTTCTCGACTGGTTCAAACTGTTACAAAGTTCAGCTGGAGACTTCCTTCCCCATGTGGTGTTTTCCCCATGCCTCTGGCCACCCTCCCAAAGGATCCCTGTGATGCCAGGAAGGAATGGCTGGCTTGGGGACCCAGCAAGCTCCCAGGGCCTTTCCCGCTGCTTTCTCTACCCGTTTTTCACTCAGCTCTCTAAACTGATTCAGCTCTGAGTAAGTTGGAAACTTCTCCTGCAAACTAGACCTTCGGTTTCCCCAGTGGGAGGTGCATGTTCAGGGGTGGAGGATCTCCCTTTCCCACTTCTGCAGTGTGGGCACTCACAGTATTTAGGATGTCTCCCGGGTCCTGCAGGAGCAGTCCATTTCCTTCAGAGGGTCTGTGGGTTGTCTCAGCATTCCTGATTTATTCTTGCAGTGATTCTGGAACTGAAATTTACTATGTGAGCCTCTGCACGATGCTCTGTCCATCTAAGTTGGAGCTGCAATCTAGTCCTGCCTCCTGTCTGCAATGATGATCCCTTTTCTTTCTTCATATGAACTTTTTCTGAGGGAAGCCAGGTTCCATGTGATAAGGGCACATGGAAGCAGATCCTCCCCCAATTGAGCTTTCAGATGAGATTGTACATTCAATGAGGAGCTTGACAGATCTCTCATCAGAGATCTTCAGCCAGAACCAGGCAGCTGAGCTGTTTCCAGATTCCTGACCCTCAAAAATTGCGAGATAATAAATATTTGTTGTTTTAAGCTGCTTACTTCTGGAGCAACTCTTTAACGCTTTCCTAACCTCTGCACTCATAACACCATATGCTTGCCTGTATGAGATCACTAATTACACTATTGGAATTATCTGTTAATTATTCCAATTTCCTTATCAAAGTGTGAATACCTTGTGAGCAGATTTTTACTACATGTTAAATAGATAAATGAAAATAGCAGATGACCCTTAGTTTCAACAAACCTACATTCTGTTAAGAATATTACCACACATTACAAAAGAACAAATAACAAAAGAAATTCTCTAATAGACTTTAACTTTAGATGACACAGACCTCCCTCACTCTATAGGATTTCAGAGAAAGAAGAGATACATTAAAGCTAAAGGAGTCCCAGAAGGATTTCTGGACATGACAATAGAGCTAGGAGTCTGAATTTGGGTAAGATTTAAGTAAACAAAAGAAGATGAGTCATTTTGAGTATCGGGGCTACTTCTATCAAGGGCATGGTAGGATGAGTATGTACATGGAAATATTTGAGGATTAATTAGATCCAGATAACCAGAAACAAGAAGGCTCATGTGATTAACATTCAACCAAGTTGAATAAATGAGGCTGAGGCCAGATCACAGAAACCTTGAAAGATGGGAACATTTCAGATAAGAACCCTGTGATAGTTAATTTTATGTGTCAACTAGACAGGGCCACAAGGTACCCAGATATTTGGTCAAACATTCTGGGTGTTTCTGTGAAGGTGTTTTGGATAAGGTTAATATTCAGATTGGTAGATTGAGTAAAGCACGTTGCCTTCCCTATGTAGGTGGGCCTTGTTCAATCAGTTGAAGGCCTGGACACAACCAAAAAGCTGATCCTTCTCCAAGGAAGGGAAGATTCGTCCTGCCTAACTGGTTCCAGCTGGGAAATAGATTTCTCCTGTCTTTGGACTTGAGTCAAAATGCTGGCTCTCCCTGGGTTTCAAGTCTGACGCCCTTCAGATTGGAACTACACCATCAGTTCTCCCAAATCCCAGGCCTTCAGCCTCAGACTGGAAACAAACCATCAGCATTCCTACTCTCCAGCTTGCCTACTCACCCTGCAGATCTCAGGACTTGACAGCCTTATAAAATCTAGATATTCTATTGTTTCTGTTTCTCTAGAGAATGCTGGTTAATACGTACCCTACGATTACTTTATTCTTCCTTAAGGAAGGAGAAGTAGGTAGTCTTCATTCATATGTGAATTTTTAGGGTACACTTTGACACCCCACAGAAAAAGAAAAAAAATGACCAGAGTGATAGCAAATGCTTTGTCTCATATGGAGAAAATATCCCTAAAAAAGTCTCATCTGTAATACTTGATGACATTATTAGATTTTCTAATATTTATTAAAATAATGCATTCTTATATTAATATGTTCAGCAAATATTCAATGTTGAGTTTTATTCTAAGTTTCAAAGAGGAGCTATAGAATTAGTGCTTTCAGTTATCCTTGTGACCATGCTCTCTCCTTTACAAAAACCTACATATTATTTCACTTACAGTTGAAACATTTAAAAAATCTAAATGGTGATGTGTCTCTTTTGCATCATAACAGGTGTAGGTGGCCCATTACTGCTTTAATCATAATTAGTTGTGTATTGCAGATGCACAGCCGGAGATAATTTTAGAACTTAAGGAACAACCCCATGAGTCTGCACTTGGGCTTTCTTCAGAAAAAAAAATTATATACATTCTTATAAAGCCCTTGATTTCCTCTCTAGCTCGTTCTTTTCAGGAGGCTCTAGCAGGTGCTGGCTTTGATTAATAGTCTCTAACCATATTCTTTTCAAACCAGCTCTCATTTATGAAGTTACATTTCATTTTAGTGCTGGTTGTTGTAGTGGTTGCATAGCAACAGTATTGGCCAAATAATTATTTTTTTCCCTACACATAAACTGAATTTCTCAGGTCTAGTTCAAAGCTCCTCTTTTGCTTCAAGAATATAAAAAACTTCCATTAATTCATTGGGTGAATGAAGTGAAAACTAGCCGGTGCCATTTTCAGAAACAGAGGCACCAAGGCCAATTGTGTAGAAAGTAAATAGGTCAAAAAAAAAAGTAAGTAAATAGGCTAAGAGACAAAATTATGCAGAAGTTTGGGGGATAATTTTGAGGGACAATAAGCAACAGAACACTTTGACATGAATAGTATAGGAAAAATTATAGTTTTCTGGGCTTGATGAGGAGGTAGACATAAAAGTATCAGCGTAGCAGTGCTGAGCTGTAACTTATTATGTGCCTAGGAAACCCAATTCTTTGTCTTCAAACTTTTAAAAATAAAACTTTTAATTAATGGCTAAAGGCTTAAGTTTGTATTTCACAAATAAAATATGAGGTGTTTTTTTTTTCTAGAGAACTTGAGAGAAGACACCTATAACATGTGAATACTATGCTAGGCAGGGAAAGACAGAAGCATGGGTCATACTTAGATATATTTTTAGAGTCTCAGTCTAATAGATACATTTGTTTGTGCCAACTTCAACTTTCCCTCCAAGGTGGCATCCAGATGCTCTCTGTGAGCCAGGCTTTTCCTTTTTCCTTCTCCATTCTTGGCCTCTGTTCATGGTCTTTCTCCCACTGTTCTCCCCCAGTGAATTCCAAGCCATTATAGGTTACAACTAAATCACTACATAAGAAAGTGTTTACTTATTGTCTTGGCATTTTTGCTATTCTAATCTTCCATAGCAACTTACAAATGACTTTATTTTACATACATTACCACATTTAATCATAGCAACTCCTCAGTTGGACAAGTTGAATATTGCTTTTAAATGAACTCAGAGATTTTAGAGTTTAAGAATAGCTAGCAAACAACTGAACCTTACTGGAACATCATTTTTGCCTTCAATCCATGGCTCTTTCTTATAGACCATATTGCCTAACAAAAGGGTATCATATCTACTTGATTCAAATTGTAATAGTTAGTTTTGTCAATAGTTTAAAAATGAGTGTATATTTGTCAACATTGTCTGTCTTAATTTATAGTCTTCTATCGAAAGGAGAGACCACACTTGTTAAATTCACTTTGATGGGTTATTAATAAAACCCATGAAACACGCAGGCATTCAGCAAGACATAAATATGCTCAGAGTTTTAATCATGCGGGGTCTCATCACACTTTTGGCTGTTCAGATAAATTTGATTGCTTTGTAGAGTTTCAATGATAGTAGTGCAATGAACTGCATGAAGTGTTTGTTATTCTGCTACTGTTTCAAGTATAATCTCTGTTTTGAAACAAATCCTGCAAGTAGCCTTCATTTTTATCCATATGGTTATGTTTTACAGAACAAGAGTTTGCAGTAAGAAGAAAATAACTTATTTTATATAAGTTTATATAAGTGATTTTCACTGCAAAGACTACATTATAAAGCATGGCACACAATAAATTGTAAGATGAGTGAAGCCTATGCCATTGATTACTTTTTTCTTTATGTTTAAAGAGTGAACATTAAGTTTTATAATTTATTGCATGTATTAAAGAAAAGGGAATACTATTTTATTTGTGGTATTTTGTCAATAAATATATCTATGTCTATCTATATATGTAAATTTTATAGGAAATAGAAAAGTTTTGTCTTTCAAGCAATAGAATAGCATTTTCCCCTTGCATTCAAATGAAGAGAACTGGGGCTTTCTCTGCATTAATAGAATTTTCCAATGAGAATAGAGGCGGTTGGTGATGTAGTAGACATAAACTCCAGATCAAGAGAAATGATGAATGCTATCCTGCTTCTATCAATAGCAATAAATTATTCATATTTTTAGTGAAAACTTTCCTAGTGGACTTGTTAGTTAATCCAGCAATGATAATAAAAACGAATGAATGAATGGATGAATAAGCCAAACAAGAATCAAATATTGAACTTTTAAAGTCTGGTGTCTTAATGTATTCACTTAAAAATGCTATAAGATTGCTATCTAATTTACCTCCTTTGCTAGATCTTACAAGTAATGATTCAAGAAAATTGATGTATATGTAAGAAAATCTATGTCCTACTAATGGTTATGAGTCCTCATTTCTTGTATTTTCCCTCTAAGACATTTATCCTTTCTACTCAACCTGCTTGACCACCTCTAAAGAATGACAAATTTTGGGCATTGAGTAGACATCTCAACCTGCTTATTGCTCATAGCAAACTGGGGACCCAAAGGTCTTATTGCAATTTGAACACTCTCAGTCTCTTTTAATATAAACTTAGTGCTCTTTTGCCAACTCAATTTACTTTAAAACTTGGTGGATATTCAACGTATCTGATTACATTCTACCTCAAGCATCACATCCACAATTGTTTTTGAAATTTGCTTTCTTCTAATTACTACTATGTTGGTATTAGGCTTCTATGCATTATGCCCTTGAATGTTCTAGAAATCCCTTTTGTCTAGATGAGAAAACCTGCTGGCAAAAAGGGTCTTAGAATCACATTCTTGATTTTTATCTTAGTCCTCAGGCATCATTCTACATTGAGAAAATTTTACTAACTGAGAGACTGGAGATTAAAAATGTATCTATTTTCCAACTCTCTATATTTCCTCTAAATTACACTAGTGCAGTGGCCAGTTCTCCTACTAGGTCATCTCCCTCTCTCTTTTTTCTTTTTTCAGTTCTGTGCCTTGCACAGATAAGAACAGTCAGCTGACACTTTTAATATTCTGCCTGGTTATCATCTTGGCCAATTTCAAAAGTTTACCATATACATTTTCCTCCTTCTAAGTCTACAAACAAAGACTTATTCTAAATTTTGTAGGTCACCAGGGAAGCCCACTTTGGACGGGCTAATTCATGAATTTTCAGTCAACTATAAGACAGGTAGGTAGTCTGTTCTGATGATCTTGACAGGACTGTCTCACATATGTGGGGCTCAGCTGACCCTTGGCTTGTCTAAGATGTCTTCAGCTGAAACTGGGCTTTCCTCCACATGGGTTGTCATTCTCCAGCAGGGAGGTTTTCCACATGACAGTGATAAGGCTCTAAGAGAAAGAGTAGGACCACCTAAGACTTCTTGAAGCCTAAGTTCAGAACAGGCACTCTGTCACTTATGCATTCTATTGTTCAAAGGAAGTCAAGAGGCCAGCCTATTTTCAAAGCATGGGAAAATGAATTCCACTTCTTGATGGGTGCCTCTCCAAAGTCACATTGCAAAGAGCATGCATACAGGGAGGGGTAAAGAACTGCAGCAATTTTTGCAATCAATCTACCTCAGAGCCATTATTTCTCCAAATACTGCACTTGCCACATTCTTAATTTCCTATCCTTTTGAAACCCTAACTAATGCATATTATTTCCATGTCTTATAATTGTCTATTTTCCATCTCTTTTTTAAACTTTTATTTTAGGTTCATGCATACATGTGTAGGTTGTTATATAAGTAAATTGCATGTTGTAGGGTTTGGTGTACAAATTATGTTGTCACCCAGGTAATAAACACAGTACCCGATAGATAGTTTTTCAATCTTCACCTTCCTCCTACCCTCCACACTCAAGTAGGCTTATTATTCGAAAGGTTGCCAAACTGCTTTCCACAATGGCTGAACTAATTAACATTCTCACCAGCAGTTCATAAGTGTTTTTTCTCCACAACCTCGCCAGCGTCTGCTATCTTTTGACTCTTTAATAATAGTCATTCTGACCGGTGTGAGAATGGCTTTGTGGTTTTAATTTGCATTTCTGTAATGATTACTAGTGTTAAGCAGTTTTTTATATGCTTTATGACCACACGTGTGTCTTCTTTTGGAAAGTGTCTGTTAATGTCCCTTTGTCCACATTTTAATGAAGTCGTTTGTTGTTTGCTTGTAAATTTGTTTAAGTCCCTTATAGATGCTAGAGTTTATACCTTTACTGGATGCATAGTTTGCAAATATTTTCTCCCATTCTGTAGGTTGTCTGTTTATTCTGTTGATAGTTTCTTTTGCTGTGCTGAAGCTGTTTAGTTTAATTAGGTCCCATTTGTCAATTTTAGTTTTTGTTGAAATTGCTTTTTGCATCTTTGTCATGAAGTCTGCTAGGTCCTATGTCCAGAATGATATTTCCGAGGTTATCTTTCAGGGTTTTTATAGTTTTTGGTTTTAAATTGAAGTCTTTAATCCATCTTGAGTCAATTTTTGGATATGATGTAAGGAAGGGGACCAGTTTCGATCTTGTGCATGTGGTGAGCCAGTTAATCCAGCACCATTTATTGAATAGGAAGTCCTCTCCCCTTTGCTTGCTTTTGTCAATTTTGTTGAAGATCAGATGGTTTTAAGTGTGTGGCATTATTTTTGGGCTCTCTATGCTGTTCCATTGATCTATATGACTGTTGTACCAGTACCTTGCTGTTTAGGTTACTGTAGTTTTATAGTGTAGTTTTAAGTCAGGTAATGTGATGCCTCCTGCTTTGTTATTTTCCCTTGGTTGTTTGAGCTATTTTTGGTTATATATGAATTTTAAAACAGTTTATTTTCCTAATTCTGTGAATAATGTCATCGATAATTTGATAGTAATAGCATGAAATTTGTAAATTGCTTGGGCAGTATGGCCATTTTGACAATATTGATTCTTTCTATCCACAAGCCTGGAATGTTTTTCCATTTGTTCATGTCACTTCTGATTTATTTCAGCAGTTTTTTGTAATTCTCATTGTAGAGGCCTTTTAACACCTTAATTAGCTCTATTCCTAGGTATTTGATTCTTTTTGTGGCTATTGTGAATGGCATTGCATTCCTGATTAGACTCTTAGTTGGGATGTTGTTTGTGTATAAGAATGCTATTGATATCTGTACATTGATTTTATATCCTGAAACTTTGCTGAAGTTGTGTATAAGAACAAGGAGTTTTGGGGCAGGTACTATCAGGTTTTCTAGGTATAGAATCATATCATTGGCAAACAGGGATATTTTAACTTCCTGCCTTCCTATTTGGATGACATTTATTTCTTTCTCTTGCCTGATTGCTTTGGCTAGGACTTGCATTACTTTGTTGAATAGGAGTGGGGAGAGAGGGCATACTTGTCTTATTCGAGTTTTCAAGGGGAATACTTCCAGTTTTACTCATTTCGTATGATGTTGTCTATGGTTTGTCATAGATGGCTCCTACTATTTTGAAGTATGTTCCTTTAATGCCTAGTGTTTTGAGGATTTTTAACATGAAGGATGTTGAGTTTTATCAAAGGCTTTTTCTGCATCTATTGAGGTTATGTGGTTTATGTTTTTACTTCTGTTTTTGTGGTGAATAACATTTATTGATTTGTATATGTTAAACCAACCTTGAATTCCAGGAATAAATCCTACTCGTTCATGGTGGATTCATTTTTGATGTATTGATGGATTTTGTTTGCTAGTATTTTCCTGAGTATTTTTGCATTTGTGTTCATCAAGAGTGTTGCCCTAAAATTTTCTGTTTTGGTGTGTTTCTGCCAGGTTTTGATATCAGGATGATGCTGGCCTCACAGAATGAATTAGGAAGGAGTCTCTCTCCCTCAATTTTTTAAAATACTTTCAGTAGGAATGGTACCAGCTCTACTTTACACATCTGGCAGAATTCAGCTGTGAATGTATCTGGTACTGGTTTTTTTCTAGTTGGTAGGCTTTTTATTACTGATTCAATCTCAGAACTCATTATTGTTCTGTTCAGGGACTCAATATCTTCCTGATTCAGTCTTGGAGGTTGTATGTTTCAAGGAATTTATCCATTTCTTCTAGGTTTTCTAGCTTATGTGCATACAGGTTTTCATAATAGTCTCTGAGGGTTTTTGTATTTCTGTGGAGTCAGTGGTAACCTCCCCTTTGTCACTTCTGATAGTGTTTATTTGGAATTTCTCTTTTTTCTTTATTAGTCTAGCTAGTGGGCTGCTTTTCTTAATTTCTTCAAAAACCAGCTCCTGGTTCATTGATATTTCTGTAGTTTTTCATGTTTTAATTTACTTCAGTTAAGCTATGATTTTTGTCATTTCTTGTCTTCTGCTAGCTTTAGAGTTAGTTTGTCCTTGTTTCTCTAGCTCCTCTAGTTGTGATGTTGTTGATAATTTGAGATCTTTCAATTTTTTTTTTTTTTTTTGAGACAGAGTCTCACTCTGTTGCCCAGACTGGAGTGCAGTGGTATGATCTCAGCTCACTGCAACCTCTGCCTCCTGGGTTCAAGGTATTCTGCCTCAGCCTCCTGAGTAGCTGGGATTACAGGCATGTGCTGCATGCCTGGCTAATTTTTTTTTTTTTTTTTTGTATTTTTAGTAGACATGGGGCTTCGTCATGTTGGCCAAGCTGGTCTCGAACCCCTGACCTCAGGTGATCCACCCACCTAGCACTCTCAAAGTGCTAGGATTACAGGCATGAGCCACTGAGCCTGGCCCAGACTTTTTGATGTGAGCATTTAGTGCCATAAGCTTCCTTCTTAACATTGCTTTGGCTGTGTACCAGAGATTCTCGTATATCTTTTTTCTCATTAATTTCAAATAATTTCTTGATTTCTGCCTTAATTTCATTATTACTCAGAAGACATTCAGAAACATGCTATTTAATTTCCATTTAATCGTATGGAGTAATTTTCTAAGCATTGATTTCTACTTTTATTGCACTATGGTCTGAGATTGTGGTTGGTATAATTTCGATTTTTTGAATTTGCCGAAGGTTATTTTATACCCAACTGTGTGGTCAATTTTAGAGTATGTACCCTTTGCAGATGAGAAGAGTGTATTTTCTGTTGCTTTGGGGTGGTGACCTCTGTAGATGTTTATTAGGTCCATTTCATCAAGTGTTGAGTTAAGATCCTGAATATTTTTGTTAGTATCATGTCTTGATGATCTGTCTAATATTGTCAGTTCAGTGTTCAACTATCCCACTATTATTGTTGGTTATCTAAATCTCTTCATAGTTCTCTAAAAAATTGCTTTATGAATCTGGATACTTTGTGTTGGGTGTGTATATATTTAGAATAGTTAGGTCTTCTTGTTGAATTGAGCCTTTCACCATTATGTAATGCCCTTCTTTATCTTTTCTTGAACCTTATTGACTTAAAGTTCTTTTTGTCTGAAGTTAGAATAGCAACGCCCAGTTTTTTCTGCTTTCTGTTCACTCTGTAGATTTTTATCCATCCTTTTACTTTGAGCCTATGGATGTCATCACATGTAAGGGGGGTCTCTTGAAGACAACATACCACTGAGTTTTGCATCTTTCTCCAACTTGCCACTCTGTGTCTCTTAATTGGGGCATTTAGCTCATTTACATTCAAAGTTAGTATTGGTAGGTGTAAATTAGATCCTGTGATCACATTGTTAGCTGGTTATTATGCAGACTTGTTTGTATGGATGATACCTAATATCACTAGACTAGACTATGTATTTATGTTTGTTTATGTAGTGGCTGGTAATGGTCTTTTCTTTCCATGTTTAGCACTCCCTACAAAATCTCTTGTAAAGAAGGACTGATGGTAACAAATTCCCTTAGCATTTGCTTGTCTGAGAAGGATATTATTTCTCCTTGCTTATAAAGCTTAGTTTAGCCAGATATAAAATACTTGGTGGAAAAATTTTTTTTTAAGAATCCTGAATATAGGCCCCAATTTCTTCTGTCTTGTAGGGTCTCTGCTGATCAAGTCTACTGTTAGCCTGATGGGGTTCCCTTTGTAGGTGACCTGCCCCTTTTCTCTAGCTGCCTTTAATAATTTTTCTTTCATTTCGACCTTGGAGAATTTGATGACTGTGTTTCTTGGGATGATCTTCTTGTGAAGTAACTTGCAGGACTTCTCTGCATTTCCTGAATTTGAATGCTGGCCTCTAGCAAGGTTGGGGAAATTTTCATTGATGATATCCCGAAATATGTTTTTCAAGTTGCTTGGTTTCTCTCTCTTTCAGGCATACCAGTAAGCCATAGATTAAGTATCTTTATATAATCCCATATTTCTCAGAGGTTTTACTCATTCCTCTTTGTTGTTTTTCCTTTTTCTGTGACTGAGTTATTTTAGAGAACCATTTTTCAAGCTTTGAGATTCTTTCCTCAGCTTGGTCAATTCTGGTGTTACTATTTGTAATTATATTATAACATTCTTGTGGTGTGTTTTTCAGCTCTATCAGGTAAGTTTGGTTCTTTCTTATGACAGCCATTTTATCTGTCAACTCATATCATTTTTGTAATACTTAGATTCCTGGGATTGGGTTTTGACTTTCTCCTGTATGTCCATGATCTTTGTTCCTATCCATATTCTGAATTCTATTATTGCCATTTCAGCCATCTCAGCCTAGTTAAGAACCATTGCTGTGGAACTAATGTGATTGTTTGGTGTTAAGAAGACATTCTGACTTTTTGAGTTGGAGAGTTCTTGTCCTGGTTCTCTCTCATCTTTGTGGGCTGATGTTCTGCCAATTTTTGAAGTTACCATCCTTTGGATGGTTTTCTTTTTGATGTTCCTTTTATCCTATTTAATGTGCTTTGAGGTTTGATTGTGGAATAACATGGGTTCATTCGGCTGGCTTCTGTCTGGAAGATTTTAAGGGTCCAAGGCTCACCTTAGGATTACTGGACAGCATGCTGTGGCTCTAGGGGGCTGGTATCAGGATCCTTGCTTTGTTTTCTTTCCCCTTGAATTTAAGTAACCTACCACACTGGAGGGGCCAATGTGTTTGAAGGCCACTGGTGACAACACTCATGGGTGGTGCCAGCCAAAGTGCTTTGTAGGTGGTGGCAGTACTATTCATCCTTGTTGTATATGTCAGCAGCAGTGGCAATGCAATGGGGTACACACTTGTTTGCTGTGGTGGGTTGCATGCCTCTGTGCAGGCATTTGCAGTGGTAGTGGTGGCAAAAGGTCATTGGTGAGGGGAGGAGCTTCTTGGTGTCCCTGTGTGTGCTTGCACCAGCAGCAGTTTTAGCACAGGGATGGGGTGCTGGTGGCATGGGGCTGGTGGTCTCCATGCCCACAAATGCTCTGATGGCAATGGCAGCATGGTGGGGGTTGGGGGGACAGGGTGCACTCACACCTGCAGCAGTGGCACAGTGGGGTGCACATGCACACATGTGCTGGTGGGGAAGGGTAGGCAAGGTCTTCCTGCAATGGACACTGTGTGACAAAGCAATGTTGGGGGTGGCCGTGGGTGAGTGTGTGTAGGCAAAGCAGCATGGGGGAGGCTTCAGTGGATGAAGTGTGTGGGTAGGCTGTTGTGCATCTGCAGGGACCACTCCGTAGTGCTCTCCACTGGTCTAGTATGGTCCACCAGCACAGGAGCTGTGATGCAGACCTTCCAGAAAGCACTCCACCTCGGCATTCAAGGCTGCAAGCAGGCATGGCCAGGATGGGGCCCCTGGAGAGACCAGCAGATCAAGGGATTCTCGGGTTCAACCAGCACCATCTCATGGGCAAGACTGTCCTGCCCTTTTCAGGTTCTGCAGTTTCCCTAGGGCTAAAGTCTCCTAAGAGAGCAAGGCAAGCCTTGGGGGATAGTCATTCATGGCCATGCTCCACTACAGATGCTCCTGCACCAAACCCTTTGGGCTTCACACCAGCTGGAGTTCTGCCTCACCACTTCTCTAAGAAGGTCTCCCTGCCAGCTCAAGTGTCTGTGGAGGTTGTGGAGTCTCTTGTTGCCATGATACCAGAGGCCCATGGTGAGAGCAAGTTGCTCCTTGTCCACTCAACTCACCCCTTCCCCAGGAGTTGTTAGGGGCTAGGAATGAGCCTTGATGTGCAGTAGCTCTGTGCAGGGTTCCTAGCTTCCTCCCCATTCATCCCAGAATCTGTGTCTTCCCTCCATCCATTTTCAGTGCTTTCTCTCTCAAGATCTGCTAGAAGGATGCCAGTCTTCCTGATATCCCACTCCATCAGTGGCAGATGTTCCTCCTGGCTGCATCTAGTCGGTCATCTTGTCCCATCTCTATTTTTAATCTATTTTTCTCTATGTAAAGTATTCTGGGTAATTTCATTTGTAATATTTCAAGTTTATCATCTATGTCTTCAACTGTGTCCAATGTGCTGTTCAAATTCTCCATAGAAATTTTGGCTTATTTTACTTTTAATTTCTAAAAATTATATTATTTTTCAGACATGCATGGTGATTCTTGATAATTTTCTCTTCTCTGCATATGTTTTTACACTTCTTATATTTTATATAGTAAGCCAGCAAGTTTTCTTTCTTCTATCTGTTGTTTCTGTTATTACTCATGGTGGCTTTATTTGTGTGCTTGATGATTTTTTATTGTAAGATGATCATTTCCATTCAGTGTTTACAATTTGTTTTTGTTTTTGTTTTTTTGAGACAGAGTTTCTCTCCGTTGCCCAGGGTGGAGTGCAGTGGTGCGATCTTGGCTCACTGCAACCTTCACCTCCCTGGTTCAAGCAATTCTCCTGCCTCAGCCTCCTGAGTAGCTGGGATTACAAGCATGCACCACCATGCCTGGCTAACTTTTGTATGTTTAGTAGAGATGGGGTTTCATCATGTTGACCAGGCTGTTCTCAAATTCCTAGCCTCAAGTGATCTACCCATCTCAGCCTCCCAAAGTGCTGGGATTACAGGCATGAACCACCATGCCCGGCTACAAGATGTTTTTGAGGGTAAGATGATGACTAATTTATATTTGCTTCTGTCAAGTGACCAGAAAAGTATACATCAGGAACAACTTTGAACTTAATTCATTGCTTAAGGTGTGTGTATTGCAAGAACAATTTAGGCTGATATTCTTGTGAGGACCTGCTTAAGGTTACAATTTTCAAGGACATTTTCACAGTTATTCTCCTCAATGCCAAGGCAAATCTTTCAGCTTCATAGGAGTTAGAGGACAGGGCATGTTTACTGCTGAATCACATCTTTTAAAATTTTATTGAACACATTTTATATACATATATTACACTCATTTGAAGGGCACTTTTCTTTCATTTAGCAATGTCTTTGAGGTTCATTCATGTTGAAGCATGTATCAGTAGGCTCTTCTACCCCTTTTATTGCTGAATAGTGTTTCATTATATGAGTATATGACATTTTTTCTATCTACTAGTTAATGGTAATATAGGTTGTTTCATTTTTTGGCTATTATGATTAATGCTGGTAAGAACATTTGCGTGTTAATCTTTGTGTGGATATCTGATTTCATTATTCTTGAGTAGATACTTAAGAATAGAATTGCTATTTATTATGGTGAATTTATATTTAACTTTTAAATAAGTTTCTAAACTACTTTCAGTGTGGCTGGACCATTTTACATTACCATCACTAATGTATCAAACATATATGAGAATGTTTATCGACATCCTCATCAACCTATGCCATTGTCTTTTGTTTTTTGTATAGCCATTCTAGTAGCTTTAATTTACATTTCCCTGATGACTAATAAGTTGAGCATCTCTTCATGGGTTTATTAACCATTCATATATATTCTTTGGTGAAATGTCTATTCAAATATTTTATCCATTTTTATTATTTGACAGTTTTCTTACTACTGAGGTATAGACTCCTTGGTATGTTTTGGACCTAAGTCCTGTATAAGATGTGTGTTTTACAAGTACTTTTTCCTAGACTCTTGTTTGTCTTTTTATTTTCTAACTGATACCTTTTGAAGAGAAAAACTTTTTATGCTTGATAAAAACCAACTGATCAATTTTGTGTCTTAAAGATCACACTTTTGGTATTATATACAAGAAATATTTGCCTAACTCAGGGTTGCAGAGAAATTCTTCTATGTTATCTTTTGAAATAATGAGAACTTCCTATCATTTTAGTTTTTACATTTAAGTTTATATCCCATTTTGAGGTAATTTTTGTTTTTGGTGTGGGATAATGGTCCAAGTTCATACTCTTGCATATGATATTCAATTGTCCAACCACCATTTGTTTTAAAAGGCTATCCATTCCTCAATGAATTGAATTAGCGCTTTTGTCAAAAATCAAATCATCATAAATATAAAGGTTTATTTATGGACTCTCAGTTTTTGTTTCATATATATATGTGTGTGTACATATATATTTATGTAAATTATGTATTTATGCCAGAGCAACACACTTAGTAATTGTAGTTGAAAGTAAGTTTTGAAGTTGGAAGTGAAAGTTTTCCAACTTTGCTCTTTTTAAAAACAGTTTTGACAAATTCTTAGTCTTTTGTGATTCCATATAAATTTGTGGATTATCTTGTATATTTTTTGCAAAAAAAATTCAGCTGAAATTTTCATCGTGAATTGCATTGAATCTGTAGACCAAATTGGAGAGAATTATAATCTTAACAATGTTGAATCTTCTAATTCATAAACATGAAATATCTCTCCATTTGTGTGGATCTTTTAAAATTGTCTACACTGATGTTTTGAACTTTTCAGTGTCCAGATATTATACCTCTTAGGTTAAATTTATTGCTAAATATTTTATTCCTTTTGATGCTATTGTGAATAAAATCTTTCTCTTAATTTCATGTTTAGATTTGTCCTTGCCAATATAGAGAAATAAAGTTTATTTATCTATATGAATGTTAATCTTGTATCCTGAAACTTTGCTGAAGTAATTTATCACTTCCAGTAGGGTTTTGTGGACTAGTTAAGCTTTGCTGTACACAAGATCATGTTTTCTGACAATCACAAAAGTTTTACTTCTTCTTTTCCAATTTTGTTCCCTTTTATTTCTATTTCTTTTTCTTTTTCTTGCCTTTTACACTGGCTAAATTGTTCTATGTAATAAAGTGAGAGTAGGCATACTTGCCCTTTTCTCAATCTTTAGGGAAAAGCCTTCAGTCTTTCATCATTAAGTATGGTGATACACATAAAATGTTTTTTTGTATGCTCTTCATCAGTTGAGGAATGTCCTTTATATTCAAACTGTATTAAGAGTTTTATCATGAAGAGATGTTAGATTTTTTTCAATAGATGCTTTTATCCATCTACTGAGATGATCATTTAGCTTTTGTTCTTTTTTATTAATATGATATACAACATTAATTGATTTTCAAGTATTAAACCAGCCCTACACTCATGAGATAAATCTCAACTGTATAATTTGTTTTTATGTTGTTGGACTCAGTTTGCTAATATTTTGTTGTGGATTTTTGCATTTATATTAATGACCGATATTTGTCCGTGATTTTATTTTCTCATTACATATTTGCATAGCTTTACTATTAGGGTGATACTGGCCTCAGAAAAGGAGCTAGAATATGTTTTGTCTTTCTATGTTTTTGGAAGAGCTGTAGAATATTGGTATTACTTCTTTTTTAAATGTTTTGTAGAATTCATCAGGGAAACTTCTGGGCCTAGGCTTTTCTTTTTTTTCTTTTTTTCAGATGGAGTCTCACTCTGTCGCCCAGGCTGGAGTGCAGTGGTGCGATCTTGGCTCACTGCAAGCTCCGCCTCCCGGGTTCACACCATTCTCCTGCCTCAGCCTCCCGAGTAGCTGGGACTACAGGCGCCCGCTACCACATCCGGATAATTTTTTGTTTTTTTAGTAGAGACGGGGTTTCACCGTGTTAGCCAGGATGGTCTCGATCTCCTGACCTTGTGATCCACCCGCCTCTGCCTCCCAAAGTGCTGGAATTACAGGTGTGAGCCACCGTGCAAGGCCGGGCCTAGGCTTTTCTTTGTTGAAAGATTTTTGATCACTAGTGCAATTTCTTTACTTGTGTACTTAATAGTTCTATTAAGATTTTTATTTATTCTTAAGTCAGTTTTGCTAATTTGTGTTTATGAATCAATTTAGTCAATGTCAAATTCGTTAGCATAAATTGTACTATGGTATTCTAATTCCTATAATTTCTGAAGGGTCAGTGGTGATGTCCCTTCTTTTATTCCTAATTTTGGTGAACTTTATCTGTTCTTTTTTCCTTCTTGGTTAATCTACATAATTTGTTAATTTTGTTAATCTTTCAAAGAACCAACTGTAGTTTCATTGATTTTCTCTAATTTTTTTTGTTTTCTTTGCTTAATTGATTTCCCTTCTATTCTTTAGAGTTTTCTCCTTCTCTTTGCCTTGGGTTGAATTTGCCCTCATTTCTCAAATTCTTAAGGTGCAAATTAGGTTACTGATTTGAAACATTTGTTTTTCTTAATATAGGAACATAAAGCTCTTAGATTTCTCTCTATAAATTGCTCTAATTGCATCTTTTAAATCTTGATATATGTATTGGTCTCTTCTCACATTGCTATAAATAACTACCTGAGACTGCATAATTTATAAAGAAAAGAGATTTAATTGGCTCACAGTTCCACAGGCTATACAGGAAACATGGCTGGGGAGTCCTCAGAAAACTTACAATCATGGAAGAAGGCAAAGGAGTAAAGGGGGAGGTGCTACACACTTTTAAACAAACAGATCTCATGAGAACTCATTTACTATATCACTAGAACAGCAAAAGGGAGGTCCCCATGATCCAATCACCTCCCACCAGGCCCCTCCTCCAACATTGGGGATTACAATTCTGACATGAGATTTGGGCAGGGACACAAATCCAAACCATATCAATATGTTTTCAGTTTTATACAGTTAAAAGTACTTTCTAGTTTCTCTTATATTGTCTTTGACCCATGGGTTCAAAATTTATTGCTTGACTTCCAAATACTTGTGGAGTTTCCAAATGTCCTTCTGTTGTTTAAACCCAATTACATATTGTGATCAGAGAACATACTTCGTATGATTTTAATATTTTAAAATTTATTCAGATTTTTTAAATGTTCTAATATATGCTCCATCCTGGAGAACATTCCATGTGTGCTTGAAAAGAATGTGTAGTATTCTGTTGTTTTAAGGTTGCATGGTCTATAGTTAAGTGTAATGTCATGTTGACTTATAGTGTTGCAGAAGTCTGTTATATCTTAGGTGATATTCCATTTAGTTGATGTGTCTGTTACTAAGAGTGAAGTATAGGTGTCTCCAACTCTTATTGTTGAATTGAGAACTTCTACCTTCAATTCTGTCAGTTTTTGCTAAATGTATTTTGGGGTCCTGTCGTTTGGTGCATATATGTTTGTAACTGTTATATTTTCCTGCTAAATTTAATTCTTTTTTTCATTGTAAACTATTTCTCTTCATAATTAATAACATTTTAAAATATTAAAGTGTGTTTTGTTTGATATTTGTATAGTCATTTCAGATCTCTTTGGGTTACTGTTTGCATAATATATCTTTTTCCATTCTTTTACTTTTTACTTCAAACATTCTGTGCCTTGGAATCTAAAGTGTATCTTTTTATAGACAGATATAGTTGAAAGCTGTCTTTTTTTTCAGTCTTATAACCTCTTCCTTTTAATTGGAGTGTTTTATATTTTGAAATTAAATAAAATTATTGATATTGTAAGATTTATATTGCTATTGTATTTGTATCCTATATGTGTTGTCTTTTTCATTTCTTTTTCCCTCTATTGCTTCCTTATTGTGTTACATATATACTTTCTGGTTTGCCATTTAAAATCCTTTAATTTTTTAGCTATACATTTTGAGTTATTAGTAGCTTATCTGTAGATTACAATATGCATCTTAATTTAAGAAAATCTACTTCAGATTACTGTTCAGTAAATCCAATAGTACATAGAAGCTTTGCTATATACTCCTTTGCTATGTATCTTGGCTGTATACACAGACATACCTCTTTCTTTTATCCCCCAACTTTTGTGCTAGTATTGTCACACAAATTATGTCTTTCACATTATAAGCCTATTGGTTTATTTTTATAATTATTGTTTCATGCAGTTGTCCTTTAATCAATTAGAAGAAGAAAATAATTTTAAAATGCCATACTTCTTTTTTGTATTTACCCATGTGATTCCCTTTAAGTTTGTTTTTCTTCTTTGAATAGGTATAAGTCTCCATTTAAGTTTTTTCTTTTCTGTCTGAAATGCTCCATTTAGTATTTCTTGTAGAGCAAGTCCACTGATGAGAAATTCACTGTCCTTTTACTCTGAAAATGTCTTTATTGCCATTTCAGTTTTGAAAGATAGTATTGTTGAATATAGAATTCCTGATTGACAATGTTTTTCATTCAGCTCTTTAAAAATGTCAATCTTCTGCCTTCTGGCCTCTGTCCTTTCTATTGAGAAGCCTACTAATCTTTTTGAGGCTTCTTGGTATATAATAAGTTATTTTTATCTTGCTGATTTCAAAACATTGGCCTTATCCTTGATTTTCAACAGTTTGCCTATAATTCATCTAGGTGAAACTCTTTGAGTTTATCCTGCTTGGAGTTTGTTGAACCATTTGGATGTGTAGACTGATGATTTTCATAAAATGTATAAATGTTTTGGCAATTATTTATTCAAATACTTTTTTTGTCCCTTCTGTCTCTTCTTCTTAGACTTCCATATACTTATTTTGATATGCTTACTGGTGTCTCACAAGTCTCTAATGCCCTGTTCTGCCTTTCTTTTCTTTCTTTTTTTTTTTTTGAGACTGTATAAACACTATAAACCTATTCTCAAGTTTGCTGATTCTTTCTTCTCCCATCTCAAATGTAGACCACCTTGTGAAGTTTTTGTTTTAGTTATTTTATTTTCAAATCTTGAATTTCTATTTGGTTCTTTTAAAAAATTATTTATATTTTTAAATTTATGTTATTTGTTAAGACATAGTTGTTATAATGTTTTTTAATTCTTCCTGCATGGCTTATTTTATTTGCTTGAACGTATTTATAATAGTGATTTAAAGTTTTTGTTTATGAAGTCCAACATCTGGACCCCCTCAGAGGTATTTTCTTTTGAATCCTCTTGCTGTCTGAGAATAACCCATACTTTTCTGTGTCTTTGCATGTGTTCTAACATTTTAGCTGAAAATAAAAATATTAGATAGTATATTGTAAGAACTATGGAGTCAGATTTCTCCTCCCTCATGTTTGTTTTAGTTGTTCTTAGATTACCTATTTCCTGCAGCAAATGTGTGGCCACTGAATTCTTTCTTTGTTCCTTTTTTAAAAAAATCATTGTTTTAAACCTGGATTCTAGGGTTCCTCCCTGGATCTTCATTGCTTAATGGTCCACTAATTTCTAGTCAGGATATTTCCTTAAATACTTTGACTAAGTCTTCAATATTTTGCCAAGGAAATTTGTGTGTAAAAGGACACTTCCTCATTTCTGGCATTTTACAAGTCAGTCTTCACTTTTACTTCCTGTTTGCATAGGGTCTTGAGATCAGCTATAAGTAAGTAATCAGGAACCACTCATTTCCCAGTTCTTTGTGGGCATGCAAAGAACCCTATTCATGTGTACAGCATTCCAGATATCCATGAACATGTCAGAGATGTTTAACCTACATATGATCAACTTGTACCTAGATTTTCCTATTAAACTTTTGGTCAGTTTTTAGTTTGTCCTGACTGAAATCAGTCTTAGGCAGCTGTGTTGTTAAAAATTCCAGTAAGTTGTCACTGTTTTTGATTAATGCCTTGGGCTAGGACTTTTTCTGTAGTACTGAGCTCTGAGTCAGATTAAATGCTGACCAATTCCCTGAGATCAGGGATTCTCTAGGGAGCTACAACCCTTGTCAAAATGTTGACTGTGCTCTGGAAATGGAACTTTTAACAAAATTCCATAATAGATCAGTCTCCTTTGTTAGAGATGAAGTGCTACTGCTCCATGGATGTAGGGAAGAGAGATGGGAGCAGTCCCAAATTAGCTACAAGCTCCTACTGTTCTTATCAGGTTTAGTAGTTTTCTTGAATAAATACTTTGTTTGTTCTGTGCCTTTGACCGATTTTCAGTGAAATGATTGGTGTTGATAGTTTTGCTATTATTTTTATTACTTTTTTTGAGATAGTGGATTCACTGAGGTTGTTACTTCACTGTTCCAGAAGTCTCACATGCTATTTCTTTTTAATATTAACAATCGAAGAGTTTCATGGCCTATTATTTGAGGAGAAAGTTAAACAATAGATACGTGTCTTAACTCATGGGGAAAATCAACAAAAACCCCTTTCTCAATGAAATTATACATTTTATATAATCTAGTGGTATTTTTCAGCATCTTAAATGTAGTATCTGTTAGTAAGTCTGGCATAATTTGTGATAACACTAGGTAGAGTGACATTGACAACTGGAATTTGATTTAAAAAACTTCTCCAAACACTTGCGATTATATTGAGAGAATTTAAGTGGCTTGTCCTTTAAAGTGTTAGCTCAAATGATGTAAACTTAGTACTTTACATTAGTAGTTTTCTCAAGGGAATGTCATGACAAATATAGCAATAGGGTATTTGTGACCAAAAAAAATCACACTATATTTAATATATATTTGTGAACCAAGAGATACATATTTTGTTTTTTTTTTTCATTGAAGTACACAAATTCGCCTGTTGGAAAAAGTCAACAGTATATTTTGGCTAGAAAATTATAATAATTATTTTAGCTGTTTTGCTTTCATTTGAAGATAAAATTTAAAGATTTAGCTGTTTTGCTTTTATTTGAAGATAAACATTACATTTCTTATTCTACAGTTGCTTGCAAAACTTTTCCATCATGGAGGAATTTTTGTACAGACCTTCATTTAAGAATTCAAACTTGTTAGTTAATGATGATCAGCAGAAAAACTCTTGCATAAAAGTAAATAGGAAAGTGTGCTATTCCTTCCTCTTTCACTCTCAAATATTCCCAGTTCTATGGAAGCTCTTTTACAAGGTCAGTCCCTTCTACATTAGTGAAAAGAAATTTCTCTCCACACAAACTGCCAAAAATGTGAATGGCTTACAGAATACATGAGACACTTAATAATTTCCAATTTTAGCACATTATTTTGTGCTGAGTCTCAAAAAAGTAAAATAAAGCAGTTAAGATCACAGGCTGTGGAGTACATCAGAGGCAGAGTCGGACACCATTCTGCTATGTGAGTTTGAGAGAGTTGCTGACAATGAGATCTTGCACAAGTCACTGTATGACTCTATGACTCACTTCATCTATTACACGAGGAAAATAATACCTCACAAAGTAGTTCTGGAACAATTAGGTAAAGTATGTTCAAGATTTAGCAAATTCATCTCATATGTAAGCTTCTGAATAACAGGCACCATAGTAGCCTTGCCCTTGGAAGGAGTTTTTATGCTTTGAAGGAAATTAACAAATTTGTCCTCTGAACTTTTTATATTGGCTTTCAGTAGAAGGGTTAAAAGAAAGAAATATCAGCTAACAGGAAGTTAATACATTGTACGCTGATACAACTTAGCTTAAGGATAAATGGGCTTTGTCCTCTCATTTTTTCCTAAAGACAGTTTTTTTTTAATCAAATAGCAAATAATTCTTTTAAGTATTGGCTGGTAGTTATGAATAAAGGTTGAAATCTACATTATGTCCCCATGAAGAGTGTATACTCTTTGAAGATGGATGTTTCTTTTGTATTCTCCAAAGTATTGGTATCTATCAAGCACTGAAATAATATTTTTTGAAATATAATCCAATTACATGTTTTGAAAAATAGTACAGGTTGAATATTACTTATCTGAAATACTTGGGTTCAGAAGTATTTCAGATTTTGGAGTTTTTGGATTTGGGAATATTTGCATATACATAATGAGATATTTTGGGGATGGGACCCAAGTCTAAACATGAATTTCATTTATGTTTCATATATTCCATATACACATAACCAGTAGGTAATTTTATATAATATTTCTAATAATTTTGTGTGTGAAACAAAGTTTGTGTTAATTACTTATGTATGAAAACTTTTTACCTGTGTTATGTTGGCACTCAGAATGTTTTGGATTTTGAGATTTTCAGATTAAGGGTGCCCAACCTGTAATTAAAAGTGAAGTGCAGCTAAGGAATAGCACAGTGGGACCCAGTATTGCTAGAACTTCACATAGCAAGACTTGTGAAAAATACAAGCTTTGAGTCAATTTTGTAAAATTGCCCTAGCTGCTGATTTGTTTTGGCAATGAGAATAAGACAATTCATTAATTTTTTTGTGTCAGATATATATGTGAGACTATGTTGCATATGATCATAATGGAAGAGGTTGATGCAAATGATTTTTAAAAGAGAATCATATTAAACATGTTCATAAAAAGAGTTACAGTCAAAGCTTACTCTGTGCAGGAAAGAAAAATGGACATAAGTGAGTGCACCTACAATTTATTTTTTACTTTTAAAATATTTATCTCTGTCTCATAATGAGTCTTGTAATTTTTAGTCTAAATTCACTGGGTAGCAATTATAAATAAGTCAGATTCCATGGCATTAAGTTCAATGGAATCCTTACCCCACATATCTACAGTGTGTTCACTTTTAAAATGGCATACCAAGGACATAGTAATTACAATCATAATAATAATATAAATGATTAGTGAATTTCCTTTTCAGGAGCAAATTTAAAAATAGTTCTGAAAAAAGTCATACTTTGAGGACATAATGACCCTTATTCAGTAGCGGGACATTGAATGACCATTCTATTTATTATAGAAAGAAAGCTATTGGACAAAGGAGGATGTATAAATGAAGATCATTCTTTGGACAGGCAAGAACTTGTACTGGCAGTAATTATGGTGACTTCTACTCTGTATATCTGGATTTTTTTTAAAAAAAAGCATTTTACCTCTCTCCATGGAGTAGCTTTTTGAAAAGTCATATAAAGCTTGATGAATGTCAAGTGTTAAGAACTGACATTTTTCTATTCTGCCCTTTTAGTATAGATATTTCAGCATTCATCAAAATACAACATCCAAGAAACAAGAAAGAAACTGGCAATTTTTCCACAAATGCTACAGAGAGATGCATGTAGGAGTAGGCTCAGTGAAAGCAGCCACACAGGAAAGAAATGACATTTAGGTTATTTAACTCTGGAAGAAATTTACAATGTATATGGTAGAAATGTCACATGTGTATATATGTATGTGTATATCAATGTGTGTGTGCATGTGCATGTTATGGATATACACACAAATGGATATGTGTGTGTATATACACACAAATATCCATATGTGTTCTATTTCATTTGTACAAATGAAATCCATTCAGCTTACAAATCAAACAGAGGGCCAGTCTAGTGAGCAATATGGAAAAGTAGTGACAACACTCCACCTTCCTCAATGGGGCAAACCCAATAGAAAGATCTTTGTTCCATACTGGATTAGGAAATAAGTGCCAGCTAATATGCTTTAGTCCCTGCTAATTTCCTGGCTCCTCACTGCTGTCTGACAACTGTATTTGCTGCTGTGTTGGCCTCTGAGTCCCACAAGCTTTCCACCTTCACTAGACTGTCTGCCTATTTTCAAGGCAGCCTTTTGCCCTGTCCTCTTATTCATATATAACTTTATTCCCTTGCCCACTTGGTTTTCATCTCTGTAGGCTTTTGTTCCTGTGCATCTGGGTTCCAGCATTTTAATGGTAATGGAGGTCCAATTTTGTGTCTCTATGTCATGATTACATATGTCAGCAAACAATATTTTTTGAACAATCTAGGTCTTACCCACTGAGGTGTAAAAGCTATGAGATTAAAATATTCTGTGTAAATTAAAACATTTTCATTTATTCAATATAGGAAGCTGAAATTATAAAATACTTAACAATACTAGCGATAATGTATTGACATTTCATGATATACCAAGTATGCTTACGTACTCTATATGCTCTATCTCCTTTCATCTTTACAGAACCACATCAATTAGATAATGTCATAGTTTTCATATAATGTGCAGGAAACCAAGGACTACACAGAGCAACATCTATTAAATAATGGGGAAGGGATCCCAGCTGAGATTGCTGTACTGCCCCAAAGACATTCTCCATAAAACTTAAGGATCTAAAAATCAACTAAAGAGATATCTCAGTGGAGCACAAACCTTGTCAGTAAGTGTAGGGCAAAAGGTAAAAACATCCAATTATTGACCAAAAGTAGGTTTTGTGAACATGGCTAGTAAAAATCACACTTTATTCTTAATTATACTGCTTGATCCTTTTTTTAAAATTAATTAATTAATTAATTTTTACCTTTTTAGAGATGGGGTCACACTGTATTGCCCAGGCTGATCTCGAACTCCTAGGCTCAAGGGATCCTTCTGCTTTGGCCTCCCAAATTGCTAGGATTACAGGCATGAGCCACCATGCCTGGCCTGCTTGATCCTTTCTAATAATCAATGAGATCAGCAGTTCATTAAGTTAATACACATTGAAGCAAGAAAAATCTTCCTTGACTCTTCCCTCTCCTGCATCATTTACATGCTGTTGACTACATCCTCCCTTGTCCACTTAATAAACTCCAATTCACTCTTCAAGGAAGTTCCTTTGATATCCTTTCTCTTTATGCCTGACTCTCAAGTATACACACATGAGCAGAGCTAGGTTTGCTCTGCACTCTGCTCTCGCTGCACCAATTCCATATTTCTATCACTTATCGTACTTAATCCTACCCCACTCTACTATTTGATGAGCTTGAGAGCAAGTATTTTGTTTTTTATGTTGGTATCCTCAGTGCCTTGCATACAATAGTAATCATGAATGAATGAATGAATGAATGAGTGAATGAATGAATGCCTTAAAAGAGGTGTAGCCAGTTAATTAACTGTCAAGTTCAATGAAATAAAAGCCATGCAGGTGGAATGGAGCTTGTGAATTTTCCCTAAATTGAAGTAGTCACTACTTATACATTCATTCATTGATGAACATTCAAGTTGTTTTTATTATGAGTAATGCTGGTGTGAATACTCATGTACAAATTTTTGTGTGAAAAATGTTTTCATTTCTCTTGAGTATATATCTAGGAGTGAAATTGATGGGTCATATGGTAACTCTATGTTGAACTCATTGGGAAATCACTAAACTGTTCCACAGAATCTGTGCCATATTACATTCTCATCAGCAAGGTATAAAGGTTCCACATTTTCCATATCTTTGCTAAAACTTGTTTTTATTTGACTTTTTAAAAGTTTACCCATTGTAGGTGTGAAATGGTACCCATTTCAGTTTAGATTTGCATTTATTTTTCAGATAATGATTTTTACCATCTTTTCATATGTTTCTTGGCCAGTTTTGTATCTTTTTTGGAGAAGTATCTATTCAGATCATTTTCCCATTTTTGATTATTATTCTGATAATAGGTTTTTATATCTTCTGGGTACAAGTCACTTATCAGATATATAATTTGTAAATATTTCCCTTCATTCTGTTTTGTCTTTTCACTTTCTTAATGGTATTCTTTAAATCACAAAAGATCTTAATTTTGAGGAAGTCCAATTTACCTATTTTTTTAAATTTGGGCACTTGTGCTTTAATGTTGTTTCTAAGAAGGCTTTTCTTAACTCAATATTATGAGGATTTACTTCTAAGAGTAAGAGTTTCTTCTAAACTTTGATTCAGTTTGAGTCAATTTTGTTGATTGTCTTGGGTAGGAGTTCAGCTTTATTTTTTCACATGTGGATATTCAATTATTTTGGCACCATTTGTTGAAAAGAACTGAATTTCAACTAAATTGTCCCAACACCCTAGCACCAACACAATTTTAATAAAGACAGAATATATTTATTAAATCCAGCAAGAGTATTATTGGCTTGAGCAGTGACATCAAGTTTCTAATTTTAGCCTCCTTTTTTCATTATTACCCACTATGACTCCAGAACCTTCAGCATCAGGATGTGAATTGCTTATTGTCAGTAAGTATTTGGGAATGAAACTATAACTAAAGAACCAAAAACTTTATTGGCCTTTAAAATTTTTTCTTTGCTATTGAATTCCGAATTCAGGCAGCCTGTCATTTAGTAGCTTGTTAGGTAGTCTGATGCATAAGAACTTAAGTGTTGATTCCATAATATCATCTCTATAATTTAGTTCCATTATGTCCACATCAACTGAATGCAGAACAAGTGTGATGAATGACTTCTCAGATATTCTGCTTTAACAGATGGGACTCATTTCCTCACAACCACTTAATCCACACTGACTCGATACAGTTCACATGTTCATGTGCCACAAATGGAACACATCTATTTGCAAAGAGATTTGCCAATAACTGTGAAAAAATATCTTGAACTGTAGTCTAGTGTATTAAATTGTTTGTTCCAGGATCTTCCAATCTTCCAGACGCCATATATATATATATATATATATATATATATATATATATATATATATATCCCTCCCCAAAATAAACATATGTGTTGTTTTTGAAATTACTACTGGGCTAAAGGAATTTTGGCATTACTGTGAAATTGTTAGAGTACTGTCAGGGCTCAGAAAGCAATACCACAAAGACTGGCCCTTTGACATGCTGAGAGAGGCCTTAGAAGCTGCCTCAGAATCAAAGTTCTAACCTTGTCTTGCTCCTTCCCCAAGCCTTATATCACTAAGAAAGCTTCTTTCCAAAAGAAATGTAATTGCCCTAAGACCCTCTTTCTCAAGATCTCATCAAATAAACACGAATGGTCAACCACAAGAGAAAAGACTGGAGTCATCATCATGCCCAGACAGACATTTCATCTATTCTTCTGAAGGCAGCTCTAAGAGACTAGCCAAGAAATTTTATCTGAAGATGAGACAACCATTATTCCTGTGAACCACCTTCTGAGTATTGGGCCTTTTATTTTTCTATTTCCCCATCCCCTATGAAGAAAGTCTCAACCACATGGCCACACTTTGAGTTCATATTTGGTATGACTCCTGAGCACACATGTGCATGTAATAGTAATACATTTGTTATGCTTTTATCTTGTTAGTCTGCTTTTTGTTATGGGAATGTCAGCCATGATCCTTTATGATGGGGAGGAAAGAGATCAGCCCCTTCCCACCCCTAGAATACAAATTAAAAACTGTATTCTGTGGGTGTTTTTAAACCCATCTCACGTGCACAGACACACATAGGCTCAAAATAAAGGGATGGAGGAAGATCTACCAAGCAAATGGAAAACAAAAAAAGGCAGGGGTTGCAATCCTAGTCTCTGATAAAACAGACTTTCAACCAACAAAGATCAAAAGAGACAAAGAAGGTCATTACATAATGGTAAAGGGATCAATTCAACAAGAAGAGCTAACTATCCTAAATATATATGCACCCAATACAGGAGCACCCAGATTCATAAAGCAAGTCCTGAGTGACCTACAAAGAGACTTAGACTCCCACACGTTAATAATGGGAGACTTTAA
Organism: Homo sapiens; assembly: GCF_000001405.40. Classification (NCBI taxonomy): domain Eukaryota; kingdom Metazoa; phylum Chordata; class Mammalia; order Primates; family Hominidae; genus Homo; species Homo sapiens. The sequence goes on along the minus strand of NC_000018.10, from coordinate 4,651,027 downwards.
CACCCCACTGTCAACATTAGACAGATCAACGAGACAGAAAGTCAGCAAGGATACCCAGAAATTGAACTCAGCTCTGCACCAAGTGGACCTAATAGACATCTACAGAACTCTCCACCCCAAATCAACAGAATATACATTTTTTTCAGCACCACACCACACCTATTCCAAAATTGACCACATACTTGGAAGTAAAGCTCTCCTCAGCAAATGTAAAAGAACAGAGATTATAACAAACTATCTCTCAGACCACAGTGCAATCAAACTAGAACTCAGGATTAAGAATCTCACTCAAAACCGCTCAACTACATGGAAACTGAACAACCTGCTCCTGAATGACTACTGGATACATAAGGAAATGAAGGCAGAAATAAAGATGTTCTTTGAAACCAACAAGAACAAAGACACAACATACCAGAATCTCTGGGATGCATTCAAAGCAGTGTGTAGAGGGAAATTTATAGCACTAAATGCCCACAAGAGAAAGCAGGAAAGATCCAAAATTGACACCCTAACATCACAATTAAAAGAACTAGAAACACAAGAGCAAACACATTCAAAAGCTAGCAGAAGGCAAGAAATAACTAAAATCAGAGCAGAACTGAAGGAAATAGAGACACAAAAAACCCTTCAAAAAATTAATGAATCCAGGAGCTGGTTTTTTGAAAGGATCAACAAAATTGATAGACCGCTAGCAAGACTAATAAAGAAAAAAAGAGAGAAGAATCAAATAGACACAATAAAAAATGATAAAGGGGATATCACCACCGATCCCACAGAAATACAAACTACCATCAGAGAATACTACAAACACCTCTACGCAAATAAACTAGAAAATCTAGAAGAAATGGATAAATTCCTCGACACATACACTCTCCCAAGACTAAACCAGGAAGAAGTTGAATCTCTGAATAGACCAATAACAGGAGCTGAAATTGTGGCAATAATCAATAGTTTACCAACCAAAAAGAGCCCAGGACCAGATGGATTCACAGCCGAATTCTACCAGAGGTACAAGGAGGAACTGGTACCATTCCTTCTGAAACTATTCCAATCAATAGAAAAAGAGGGAATCCTCCCTAACTCATTTTATGAGGCCAGCATCATTCTGATACCAAAGCCAGGCAGAGACACAACCAAAAAAGAGAATTTTAGACCAATATCCTTGATGAACATTGATGCAAAAATCCTCAACAAAATTCTGGCACAACGAATCCAGCAGCACATCAAAAAGCTTGTCCACCATGATCAAGTGGGCTTCATCCCTGGGATGCAAGGCTGGTTCAATATACGCAAATCAATAAATGTAATCCAGCATATAAACAGAACCAAAGACAAAAACCACATGATTATCTCAATAGATGCAGAAAAAGCCTTTGACAAAATTCAACAACTCTTCATGCTAAAAACTCTCAATAAATTATGTATTGATGGGACGTATTTCAAAATAATAAGAGCTATCTATGACAAACCCACAGCCAATATCATACTGAATGGGCAAAAACTGGAAGCATTCCCTTTGAAAACTGGCACAAGACAGGGATGCCCTCTCTCACCACTCCTATTCAACATAGTGTTGGAAGTTCTGGCCAGGGCAATTAGGCAGGAGAAGGAAATAAAGGGTATTCAATTAGGAAAAGAGGAAGTCAAATTGTCCCTGTTTGCAGATGACATGATTGTATATCTGGAAAACCCCATTGTCTCAGCCCAAAATCTCCTTAAGCTGATAAGCAACTTCAGCAAAGTCTCAGGATACAAAATCAAAGTACAAAAGTCACAAGCATTCTTATACTCCACAGCTCGATAAGCAAAAGAAAGAATCTCTAAATAAATTTTAATAGCCAATTAAAAATAATTCAACTCAGAAGAAAACATAAAAGGAAAGTTTCATGATATTGGATTTGGCAATGATTTCTTGGACATGACAACAAAAGCACAGGCAACAAAAGAAAAAAACATATAAATTAATCTTAATCAAAATGTTAAACTTTTGTGTATTAAGGAATACAATCAACAGAGTGAAAGGCAACCCATGAAATGGAAGAGTGGAATAAAATATTTGCATATCACACATACAATTAGATCTTAATATCCACAGTCTGTAAATAACTTCTACCACTCAGCAACAATAACAACAAAAAAACCTCAATTTTAAAAATGGGTAAAGGACTGGAATTTCTCCAAGGAAGATACACACATGGCCAATAAGCACATGGAAACATGTTCATTTTCATCACTGATTTTTAGGGAAATGCCAATCAAAACCACAACAAGATGCCACTCCATACCCACCAAGATAGTTATTATTAAAAACAAAAACACAGGCAGTAACATGTGTTGGCAAGGGTACAGAGAAATTAGAACCCTTGTTTGTGACTGGTAAAAATGTAAAATGGTATAGCCACTGTGGAAAATGGTATAGCAGTTCCTCAAAAAATCAAACGTAGAATTAGCATTCGAGTCAGCAATTCCATTGCTGGGCATACACTCTAAAGAACTAAAAGCTGGGACTTGAACATATATTTGTGTGCTCATATTCATAGCAGCATTATTTACAATAGCCAAAAGGTGGAAGCAACCCAAGGGTCCACTGACAGATAAATATATAAACAAAATGCATTTTGGAATATTAAATTTACAGTATTACAATATTACAAATTATGTGGAATAAAATGCACAATGGAATATTATTCAGCCTTAAAAAGGAATGTAATTCTAACGCATGCCACGACATGGCTAAACTTTAAAGATATTATGTTAAGTGTGATAAGCCAGGTACAAAAGGACAAGTAAGCATTGTATGATTCTACTTACATGAGGTACGTGAAATAGTTAAATTCATAGAGACAGAAAGTGAAATGGTGGTTGTCAGGAACTGTGGGTAGGAGGGAATGGGGAGCTATTGTTTAATGAACACAGTTTCATGTTGTGATGAGAAACTATCTGGAGAAGTTTAGTGGTGATTGAGGCACAACGATGTGGATGTGCTGAATGCAATTAAACTGTACACTTCCAAAGCAGTTCAAATGATACATCTTACAGATATTTTACCAAAATAAGAATAATAATTCAGCCTTCCAAATTCACATGCTAATACACCGTAAGTGGCTGAAGACCTTCAAAGTATTTGTGAAATTATTGAAAGTAAGTAATAAATTTTTTGATAGAAAACAAATAAATGAATCAAGAAGTATTTTTAAATCAATGAGGTTCAATTCAATATTTTAATAGTAAGTTATTAATGTGAAGGTTATGATAGGATTAATGTGAAGTTAGAAATACTCAAGTGATGTCCTCTAAAATAAAATTTAGTTTTTCTAATTTTATATTTTTGTATATATATATATAGTAGAAAATTTGGAAAATATATGAATGTAATAATATGAGGAAGGAATAAAATTATTACCTCAATAAAACCACTGTTTGTATTTTGGAGTTGAGATGATATAAGTACATAGACTATAAATAGTATATTTATTGAACAGAATTTTAAAAGGAGAAATTTAAAAGCATTTATAATGTCCCCATTCATGGATAACCATACAAATTCCTTCCTCCCTCTTTTGCTTACATCCACCTACATCTCTACTTATCATGTATCTACCTTTTGGACTACCTATACTGATAATCTCAACTTTGCATTTTGTCTGTGTCTCATTTACAATTACTAAACACAGTGTAGTTTATTCATTCATTTACTGTTGGCTATTTCAGTTGTTTCTCATATTATGCTATAATAAATAATGTGATGACAATGTTTATACATAAGTCTTTTATGTGCCCTTATTTAACAAATATTCATCTAGTATTATGTGTGTGTGTGTATATATATATAGATATATATATACTTTTTGTGTATATATATATATATATATTTTTGAGACGGAGTCTCACGCCGTCATCCAGGCTGGAGTGCAGTGGCACAATCTCGGCTCACTGCAACCTCTGCCTCCCGGGTTCAAGCGATTCTTCTGCCTCAGCCTCCTGAGTAGCTGGGACTACAGGCGCCCACCACCACACCCGGGGAAATTTTTGTATTTTTAGTAGAGCGGGGTTTCACCATATTGGCCAGGCTGGTCTCGAACTTCTGACCTTGTGGTCTGCCCACCTCGGCCTCCCAAAGTGCTGGGATTACAGGCATGAGCCACCGCACCTGGCCATTATGTATATATTTTAAGTGCTTAACAATCTTAACTCATTTTAGACTTAGGCCACCTTGTTGTTATTTGTATCAATTCCCAGAGGTTGAATTACTGAATTAAATAATGTGAAGATTTTTAACTTTTCTTTATAGCTATTATCCAATTTATTTCCAGAACATTCGAATCAAATTACCAAATTTTGACTGGATCTCACCAAAAGCATTTGGAGATATAACTCTGCCTTGCCAATTACTGATTTTTTTTTCAAATGGTAGACCTCTAATAGAATGTTCCCCATTGTTTTAAATTCATTTCCTAAAGTATTGGTTGTTAAAGACATTTCTTTGCATACATTTAATAGTCACCTGAAGTTATTTTTAGAATTTTTATTTGCCTATAATTCTATTCTTACTAGTTCTGAGGGGTTCTGAGCTATTGAATATATTACTTTTCTTTTAAAAAGAATACAAATCATTTCCTCAGTGGGAACAATTTTATCACGTCGGCTACATATTGCTAAATTCCTTTACATAATAACTCTGCAGATTTATATGCCACAGTTTGTGAAAAATGAAAAAAGCAATCCTAGGTACTGCCCAAGATCATTATAACATGTAGTCTGGAAAAACTGAACACCTCTCAATTGTTCTTTCAGCCCCCTAGTCTTGCTCTCACTACCCTACCTCCTTTAAAAAGGGAGAACTGTTAGAAAGAACATTTTAAACATGCTTAAAATTTCTCATGGTTCTCAGTGCTGAAAACATAACCTAGAGTTTTAGCAAAGGCTCAAAAGCCTTTCATAACTTTTCCCTTGCATTTCTAGGCTCATCTTTTATCATCTTTCCCTGCTACCCCAGCTCTGCTTCTTCTCCGCTCCATATGAACACTCGGGTGCACTGAAACCCTTGAACTTGCCATTCTTCCAGGCTGATCCTAACTGCCGAGCTTTCACTCACCTGTTCCATCTGCCCCTGTGCCAGCATGCTCAGGCCTGCAGAGTGAACATCTCATCTTTTGGAACTTACCATCCCTATGAACTTTTGCTCCTCTCCTTCCCTTCACTCAGATAAATGATGACTATTCCTTTTGCACTTCCACTGGGCTCCATATTGACTTTTTTTGTAGAAATTGATAACATTTATTTCTTCTACATGTCTTTTAAGTATGCAAAAGACGGACAGTTCCTTTATGCTTCATAATACCTATGAGCAATGTCACATGGACAAATAATTGATGCTTTCTATCTCTAATTATCTTGATAGGTTCACTACTTATTAGCTTTGTCATCCTGTGTAAAATCTCTAACTCCTGAGCTGAAGTGTCCTAATCTGCTGAAAGAATACAAGTGTATAAACCAGCAATGATTTCACAGGATTGTTTTGAACTTTATATAGAATACTATTTGTGGTGGCATATTAGAGTTATTCAATAAATTCTTAATTCAACTTGCATTGTATAGAGGAGTCTGAATGTTTGGGGTATTTTATGTTCTACTTTTCTGAATAAAAATCTGTGCATTTTGCCCCCTCCCATATGTTTTGTCTGTTTTTACTGAATGTGAAAGAAATATATTTTCTCGTTCCCTTATTCTAACGGTAAGGTCTTTATTTATCTAAAGAGCTAGTATTAAATATTAGTATAAAATAACTGTTCCTCATCTAACTTTCAGGTATTACCAACGGGGCAAAAAAACATGAGTTGATTAGTCCTCATGTTATGTAAAAGAACAACCCATTATATTTTAAAATTCTGACAATTAAATAGCACGATTTTCTTAACCCTGCCTTTGTCATAGAGGTTATGGGACTCACTCCAGGTTTCTTCCACATTGACTTGCTCCCTGGGGGATTAATACCCATGATCACTTGTACCTTCCACAAAATATGAATGAAAACATCTCCTTCCTGTGTTTTGCCATTTTGTGAATGGAAGTGATAATATCTTAACCTGGTAAGATATACCTCTCGTCAAGAGTCCTCCCTAGGGAGCCTGTACATCCTGGCACATGGTACCATCTAGTTCCACTTAAATCTTCAAGCACTGGTTATGCCAGTTAACTCTAGTGATGGTCAGTCATCTGGGAGAAGAGTAGAGATGTTTTTACTTGCAGGTTTGTGTGTGTGTGTGTGTGTGTGTGTGTGTGTGTGTGTTTGTGTATCTAACAAAAATCCTCTTTAGCTATTACTTATTCAAAATACTAAAAGTATGATCACGGAGGCTCAGTGAAAGTTATCACTGGGGAAACATTGTATTTAGATGATTGACAGCACTAGCAGTATTGAGTAGGAATAAGATGCTAATTTAATGACCAAATCATGTTTACATTATACCAAACAAGAGCACCAGCCCAGGTTATGCTAAAAGACCAAACCTGCTTACAAAATATGTTATTTATTGACTTCCTCATCAAAATTCTTCCTTCTTGGCATTACTGGGGCTTAGTAAGTTTTCTCATCTTTACCTACTAATAAAATGCCATAAGCATGACAACTGATGCTCTTCCATACACTATGCTGACCTCGAATACACATCAGCTACTCTAGACTTCTCCTCCGTCCAGACATTAAAGCAAAAACCTCGCAGACTGGCACTCTCAGCAGCAAGTTCCTTCCCAGAGCACAGAATCACTGTTAACTATTCTTAAGATGAATAAATAGTTTCTTCTTTCAGTTATATAGGCATCTCCAGATTCCATAGCAAATGGAGGGAAGCCAGAGAAAGAACAATTCAATGAATATCGTGGAGCTTTTTAAACATGCTCTGTCAATGGTTTTCAGAAGCAGAAGTCCAGTAATTAGTACAGGGACCTGGAAGAATAGTACTAAGGGAATTAGGAGGTAGTAAGGAAAATTTCCTCTTCTCATTATGTATGCTTATTTTGTTTTTACTGAATCTTAAACTACACAAGAGGAAAAGGGCACTAATGATACTTTGAACCACTTTTTTCCCCTCTTCTCTCTACTCTGATTCATTATCTGGATAATTCTCCCCATCTTTTAAGTCACCTCTCAGAGAGGTCTTCACTGACTTCCAGGTTATGTTTAGGTTCTTTGAATTATGCCCCCACATTTGCAGTAGTAACTTACATTGTTAGAACTCTGCAGACAGTCTTCTCATCTTGGTTCTGTTTCATCCCATCACACAGGATGAGCAGTCACTGTGTGCTCAGTGGTGTCCCTGGGCCTGATACACCACTGAGCACAGTAGGCAGGCAATAAACATTCATTTAATAAATTAACAAGTAAATATGGGTACATGCATATGTCTTATTCTCTAAACCGCATCATGAGCCCTCTGAAGGCGGAGGTAGCGTCTTCTACTTAGCATAACGTTTAACCTACCAAAGCTTCATATATAATGTGCTTCTTCCTCTGAGTTTTCAAACTTGTAATTTTCCACCAGCCTATTGATACATAGGGATGATTAAAGTACTTATATGAGTAGGGGTGGGTCCACATAGTCAAGGTGTTGTATTTCCCACTGTGGTTTCTCCTTTTTACAATACATGTGGAATCTGTAAGACTTCTTAGACTATCATAGGTTATACATTTTAAATCCAATGAATGGATCTGATTATAGTGCTAAAATGAAAAGCCTTTCCAAAGTGTAAATCATTTCTCTCTTGCTTGTTGGAATGGCTTTCTTCTAGAGATTTGGCTTTTACAAAAATGTAATATCTTTGTCATCACATTTTGGCAGTGCATTCTGAAAGCCAAGGTTTTTCAACCTTGGCACTATTGACCTTTAAGGCCAGATAAGTTTTTTTTCTATGAGGGTTGTCCTGTGCATTATAAGATGTTTAGCAACGTCTCTGGCCTCTCTACCTACTAGAATCCAGGAGCACCTGCCCCCAAATTGTGATAGGCATTGTCAAATGTAACCTGGAGAGCAAAACCACCTCTGTTTAAGAAAGAGTACTTCGTTTGTATCACACATGGTTGTTTTCCATATTTAAGATTGACTTCTAAAAAACCTAATTCTTTTTTTTTTAATCAGCCAGTCTTTGACAGACTAAATAACCTAATTCTAAAATTGATATTTAAGGAACATTTTTTTTCTGGATAGAATTTGCCTTTCTTTCTCACAAGTAAATACATGGGTTTAACAATGATTTTATGAATTTAGCATTGAAACATTCTCCAGGATCCAACCCTGGTCTTTGTTACATTGTATCATTTTGAATACCTTCCCAGTTCTCAAGACTATATATTTTAGATGCAAAGTTCCCATTCTTGTGAATACACTGCGCCTCAGGTGATTTTTCATTGCTTTCCAGGAAAGCTGTAAAAATTACTGAAGTTATTTTTGAGCCAAATAACACTTAAAGGCATCCTTCACATGTCTAAGTCACTCACATTTGTCACTGATTTCAGAGTTCCTTTTAGGTTAGGTCCATTCTGTTAGAATGTAGATGAACAAGAACAAAGTTGCATGGGCAAAGGTGAGAAGAAGGAAAAAGAACTGTCATTTAAATTGCTTTCTTAACCTACTGCTTGATAAATTCTCTTTTTTTTTTTTTTTGGAGTACAGTGTTGCTATCATACACCACTTACATTTTAGTCAGGGACTGAAATAAAAGAGTGAAGAGATCCCAGAATAGAGTGTGAGCCATTTTTTTGAAATGCCTTGGAGTAATTTTCATAATACCCTAGAACACAGCTTCACGGATGTTTTTGACATCTGGGATGACAGGAACCAGATAAAGATGCTTGCCTTTCAGACTTTGCTAAAGTGATTGCTTTCCCTAAAGGAAATCCCTAAGGAGATATCATCCTGGTAATGACCATAATGAGGTGCAGCACCCAATTACCCGAAACCATAGATTCTGAAGGGCTTGACTCTTCCTCTGCAGAGGCACTGCCAGCATCGGCTCAGCAGAATGGGAGACTTGAGCAGTGCATAACAAGCGCAATGGTTGTTACCATTGGCCATTCAGTCCTCTAGGCAGGGTGACAGCCACAAAGCAAGCTGTATTTATCATTGCTAGAATTAGTCCAAGCCTCCAGGGTTAGCTTGCTTCTGTTCTAACATTACCAGGGGTCAGCAGCTGCAGAAGCAGAGGGTCAATTTGCTAAGCCTTGTTTTTCTATCACGATGGCAGAGATAAATGCCATGAAGTACATGAATGAATTCTGGGGACTCCCCTTCTCAAGATCTTTCCTGCAGGCTTTATGCCAATTATATTCATTTGGCAAATAAGCAGCTCTGGAGAAAGATTCCGGTACTGTCAGGCAGTTTAGGACTACACTTATAGATCATTTAGCTAAATCTCTCATTTTGTGGGTGAGATGAAGAGCAGTTGTGTACCCTTGGCCAAGTCTGCATGACCTACTCTACGAAGAACCCGGATGGTTTAACTACCTAAATGAAAAAAAAAAAAAAAAAAAAATATATATATATATATATATATATATATATACCACACACTTTCTATGCTTTAGTGTGATTTTGGATGGCATGGGGCAGAGAGGGTGTCTCAGTCAGCTTGGGCTGTCATAACAAAATACCATAGAGTAGGTGGATTAAACAACAGGAATTCATTTCTCATGGTTTTGGAAGTTGAAAGTCCAAGATCAAGGGGCCAGAAGGGTCAGTGTCTGGTGAGGGCTCTTTTCTTAGGTAACAGACAGCTGCCTTCTTGTGTCCTCAGGCAGCTGGAGAGAGAAAGCAAGCTCTCTAGTGTTTCTTCTTTCTTATAAGGGCATTAATCCCTTCGTGGGGGCTCTACCCTCATGACCTTATCTAAAACGAATTACTTCTCAAAAATCCCATCTGCAAATACCATCACATTGGAGCTTAGAACTTCCACATATGAATTTGTTGGGGACATAATTCAGTCCATAGCAGGGGGAGAGGAACAGTTTCGGGACATGGGCCTCTCGGAAATGGACAGACCTGGGATGAAGAATCTTTGGATTATTACAAAGTGGTATGACAATGCTAGTTGGGTCAGGGGCTGCCAAGAGGGAGGAAACTATCCCAGGTAGTTTGACAACATGTAGGCAAAATTCATGATTTGATTTTGAACCTGACAGAAACCACTGCTCCACTTCACAGGGAACAGCAGGTGTACATGCAGCTGATGTCTGTCTGTGCTGGCACCTGCCTATGGTCACAGCTTTTTAATGGCATTGAAATTAGCAACTCTCTTCTTTCTGCATCCTGCTACATCTCCCAATATTGATTACCTTTAATTAAAATGGATATTAATTTCCTCTTAATATGACAATATCTCCAACTTATTTTATTCACCTTTCTCTCAACCTCATATAATACATGAAATGCTTTCTTTTCAGAGCTGTGCAGAATTCCCTGGAGGACAGCAACCAGTACCCCATTGTGCTAACCACAAAGGAACCCAATGAGGTAGCTGGTGGCTATGGTACAATTAGCATCAGCTAGGAATTCCCCTCGGGCTCCTTCCCTCCCTTTCATCTCCCTTTAATCTTTCTGTAGCTCCTGCCAATGGCCTTTTTTGGGGGGTCTATGTTTGCTCCTTCTCTGCCCTACTTTTTATCTCGTACACTGCAGTCAATGTTAGCACACTCTTATTTTCATTATTTGAAGCTGTCCAAGCATTCATATCTGGATTCAGTCTGGCATTTGAAAGAAATATAATGGTTTCCAAAGTCATGGTTATCATGTGATACAGATAGACATCTGCATATGCCAGGAATCTTAAAGACTACTCCTCAAATACATTTGTCATAATTTGTAGAAAATGTCACTGATAAGCATCTTCCAAACGTGCTTTTCTGGTTACTTGTAGCTTTTGTTATCGCTTATAATTCAGATAAGCTAGGTACTAGTTTATTTTGTGAAAGCGTAAGGATCCAGACAAAAAGTGTCATTGGTTTTAAGTTGTCCTGATGTTAATTCTACATACATCACTATAAACACTAGATTACCAATTTGTTCTTTTTGTGTCATTGTTAAAGTCTGCTCAATGACTCACCATGAAATCCCCTCAAAATTATCCAAATTTGGCTTCTTGGCTGTTTCCTTTTTGAGTTAAATAACCACCTAGGTCACTGCAAGTCTCTACTAATTATACACAAGAACATCTGTTCTTTAGTCAGACACAACTCCTCCCAGTTTGGCATTGACCACTCTCGTTTCGGGCTGCTTCTCTTGCATGGCAAGAGTCAGCTTATGCAAAGCATCATCACTGCTCCCACAATTAAGAATTGCCTGTGGCCGACCTCTTACTTGTGGGTCCCAGATAATTGTTAAAATGATAATAAACTCTCAACCAGTGAAGAACTGAGATAGAACATTAGATAGGACAGCTGGGAGTTCCCCTTGGGTTCCTCCCTCTCTTAATCTTTTTGTAGCTCCTGCCAGAGGAAACCAAATAAGATGCTGCCTGGAAAATGATCAATGTGGAGTCTGCAGAATAGCAGACTGATGCAATATAAAAAAGAGATAATTTCACAGCCTGTTTTTTAAAGTATAGTGATACTGGCTGTGGGGATGGCAGCATTTATTCATTCAATCAATATTTACTGAGTGTCCACCATCTGTTAGGCACGGGGCTAGGTGCTGAGAATAAAGCTGTGAAGAAACTAAAAAACAAAATAAAACAAATCCCAAAGAGCAGAGAATACTTCTCACTGTCAAATGTTTGTGGCATGCTTTTAGTACTACCCATAGAATTTGTGTTAAAATAGACTCTAGAGAACTCAAAGGCAAAGTAACAAAATGAAGGAAAGCACAGGCTGCTTGATTTTACGCTCTGTTGCTTACTATATGTAAATTTTGGGGCCTTACTTTCCTAATCTGCAAAATAAGGATATTAATTTGCGTGCCTCATAGAATCCTGTCATAATTGTGTCATAATTAAGCTAGTTAATACAGATAAGTATCCTAAATAGTGGCTGACATATAGTAAGTGTTCAATAAAATCAGGTAAAATCTAATTCAGAGATACGCTGTGATGAAAAGGATCCTATGCAATGTGTGAGTTCAATGGGAAAGATTGTCATGCTTGATTAGTAATGCTTGCCGCAAACAGCATGGTGAGTGGCGGTGCGTACGCCACTTATACATCTTCTCTGCTCTGCCCCTCACCTTACAGATGAAGCTGAAATCCAGAAAGATTAAGACATATAACTAAAATGACACGCCTAATTAGTAACAAAGCTGGAACTATAATTTACATTGCTATGCTAATTTTTGTAGACCTATAAATCATTTAATATAGGCAAAGAGATGATTTTCAGACAAGGCTACACAAATAATTTTTCAAATAAGGAAGGGAAAATCTCTACCATGTATATACATGATATCAATATCCAGAGGAACTAAGAAGAGAGTAGTTAATCTGACTTGCTGGATTTACACATTTTAGAGATGAGTTCCAATATTTAACTATTGAGCATGTTCTCTACCTGTTGCATTATTTTTCCTTTATCAAGGCTTTTAAAAATAACTGTTTAAATTCAACCTAAAGTCATTTTCATCCACTTTTCCATGATATCGTGAAATTTTTCTCAAGCGATATGCATAGGAACTTTTGGGGTCATAACGACGTGCACAAACCGGTTGGTTCTAATGGTTAGGTTTACTTATATAAGCTGGCAGCCTTGACAGCACACACTATTTTTGTTGTTTCAAATTACAGCGTATTTAGTAATAGGTCTAGGTAGAAAATTAAATGACCCCATTAAACCTAGTCACTGAATCTTTATCTATTCCTGTGTTCACAAAATAAATAGTTTTTTCTTTCTTTGTAGCTGGGGAAATTAAGACACAGAAAAGTGAATTTTCTGTGAAATGAGCCGTAAGAAGCAGAAGCAAACCCATGAGAACAGGCTTCTCCTCCTGTGTGTTAGCTGTGCAGCCTCTTATCAGTTGCCCTACATTTTACTCTTGGCAGAGAACATGGGGAATCCATGGGTGAACGCTTGTAAGGCAAAGTGTTATGTCTCTTTGTTTCAGAGACAACGAAAAATTGTACAATATAGTGTTGTCAATATGTGAAGCTAAGCTTTTTTAGCTGTAGTATGCTAATAGAGCTGACACTATCAGGTACATAGTGGGTGCCAATAAATTGCTATGAAATTAAAATTAATAAGGAATGCTATATTTAAAAGATGAACAGACACACACATTTGTACTTCACTGAGAAGTAATGAACAGCCACCCCATATCCAAGACCCATGGGATTTATTAATTCATGCAGGGATAGGTATTTCATGAACACACATAGGTTGGTGCAAACGTAATTGTGGGTTTTGCCATTTAAAAGTAAAGGCAAAACCTGCACTTACATTTGTACCAACCTAATATAAATACACACACACTCACAAGCAGAGGGTGTTCTGTCTCATAGCAGAAATTCTACATAAAATAAAATCGTACTAAATGATAATGTAAGCATTTCAATAACTAGGTAGAAAAAATAACAGAAGTGAATTATTAAATAGTTTCTCTATTGCTCACAACTTCACAAGAGATAGAAGCATGAATACTCGGACAATGACAACAAAATCTCCAAAGCCTTATATAGCTAGTGTTACTGCTGTTTTTGTCTTTCTTGCATAGATTTCCAAACATCCTCCCCAGTTTACTTTAGGAGAATTATCTTTCCCCGCATTTTGTATGGTTTTGAAGGGAGGCTCATTCCATGTGTCCACTGCCTATGGGTGTAATGAGGCGTCACTGGGAGTGGCTTGTGAGAGCAGCTGAACTACTCAGAATCTCTCTCGTGGGATGCTGCAGTGAGTGACACACTCATCTTGCAGTGGCAACGTGCCAATGGTGGCTTGTCCTGTTGCTGCCTTTGAGACAGCCCTGTTTCCTGCTTCCTGAGTCTTGTTCATTGACCAGTTTCCAAGCTAAATCTGGCAGTTTCCTCTATTTTGTTAACATCTTAATGAGGTATGATAAACATACAATACAGTGCACATATTTTAAATATGCATTTTATAAGTTCTGACATATAGACACTCGTGGAACCATCACAGCAATCAGTATCCATCTTCCCCAAAGTTTTGTTGCACCCTGTGTTGACTCCCTGGTCTCCTAGTTCCAGGCAACCACTGCTCTGCTCGATGTCACTTTTTGTTATTTTCCATGTGATCTGCTCTCTGCCTTTTTGATTATTTTGCATGTGCTGAAATTATTTAATCTGCTTTTTGATCATTTTGCATCTGATCTGCTCTCTGTCACTTCTGTGTATTTTGCATGTGCTGAAATCTTGTATGAATAGAATCATACAATATGAGTGTGTTTTTCTCTTTCTTCTTTTACTCAATATAAGCATTTTGAAATCCATCCATGTTTTGGTGTGTGTCTGTAGTTTATTCCTTTTTATTGCTGGGTATGATACTATTGTATAAATACATAATAGTTTGTTTATACATTCGCCTGTTGATAGAAATTTGGATTTTTATTTCAAGTTTTAGGATATTAAAAATGAAGTTGTTATGATCGTTTATGGACTACATTTTATACAGGCACGTGCTTTCGTTTCTCTTGGATAAATACCTACGAATGGAATGGCTACATCATATGGTATGTCTGTTTTTTAAAAATTTAAAACCAGCCTAATTGTTTTCCAAAATGGTTGTGCTGTTTACATTCCCACCAGCAGTATACAAAAGTTCCAGGTCCTCACAGCTTTCCCAATACTTGGTATGGTTAATCTTATTAACTTTAGCCAGTCTACAAAGTGTACAAGGTTGACTCATTGTGGTTTTAATTTGAATTGATATAATGACTAATAATGTTGAGTATATTTTATGTGCTTATCCTCCCATATATTATTCTTTAAGGAGTGCCTGTTCAAATCATTGTCCCATTTTTTTATTGGGTTATGGGGTTTTTAGGGTTTTGAGTTCTGTATATATTCTGGGTAGAAGTTTGGCTTTTTTCAAATTAAATATATGATTTGCAAAGACTTTCTTACAGCTTGTGCCTTTTTACTCTGTTAAGTGTCTAAAGTAAAAGTTTTTACTTTTGATTAACTCCAGTTTAGCAAGTATTCTTCTCTTTTGAAACATTTATTTGTATTTATTTATTTTTTATAATTTAATTATAGGCTTATACAATTTAATTTGTATTGATACATAATAGATGTCCATATTTTCAAGGTACATGTGATCATTTGATACATTCATATAATCAAATTGGGGTAATTGAGGTATTCATCACCTTAAATATTTATCTTTTCTGTATGCTAGGAACATTTGAATTATTCTCTTCTATGTGTTTGAAATGTACAATAGATTAATGTTAACTATAGCCGCCCTATTGATACATTGAACACCAGTTCTTATTTCTTCTATCAAACACTATATGTGTAACCATTAATCAACCTCTCTTTATTCATCTCTTTTCCCTACCCTTCCTGGTATCTGGTAACCATCAATCTATTCTCTATCTTCATGAAATCCACATTTTTAGCTCCCACATGTAAGAACATGTGATAATTGTCTTTCACTTAACATAATGACCTCCAGTTTTATTTGTGTTGCTGCAAATAATAGGATTTCATTCTTTTTATGGCTGAGTAATATTCCCTTTTATGTATGTGCCACAGTTTCTATATCCATTTGTCCATCAATAGACACATTTTGCCTATTGTGAATAGTGCTGCAATAATCATGGGAGTGTGTTTATCTCTTCAATAGATTGATTTCTTTTCTTTTGGATATATACCAAGTAGTAGAATTTCTGGATCACATGTAGTTTTATTTTTAGTTTTTGAGGAACCTCCATACCATTATCCGTAGTGGCTATGCTAACCTACATTCCCACCAACAGTGTACAAAGGTTCCTCTTTCTCTACATCCTGGCCAGCATTTGTTATTCTCTGTCTTTTTGATGAAAGCCAGTTAACTACGGTGAGATAATATTTTATTGTGGTTTTGATTTGCGTTTTTCTCATGAGTGATGTTGATCAATTTTCACATACCTGTTGACCATCTGTTTGTCTTCCTTTGAGAAATGTCCATTCAGGTCTTTTGCTCATTTGTTAATATTTGAGGGGTTTTTGTTGTTGTTGCTATTGAATTGAGTTCCTTATATATTCTGGTCATTAATCCCTTATCAGGTGGATAGTTTGCAAATATTTTCTCCCATTCTTTGGGTTGTCTGTTTACCTTGTGATTATTTCTTTTGCTGTGTGGAAGCTTTTTAGCTTGATGTAATCTGTCTATTTTTACTTTTGTTGCCTATGCTTTTGAGATCTATTCTTCTAATAAATTGTGATTTTTGTGTCATAGCTAAAAATATTTGCTTAATCCACAGTTTTGTCCTATAATTTCTGTCATATAGTTTTATAGAACTATAGTTCTACAGTTCTACAGTTTTAGGTTTTCTATTTGGAGCTATGTTTCTTTAAGTTAATTTTTTATCTATTCTTCTTTTTAGTTCTATTCATTTTTGCTTTATGTATTTAAAAACTGTTAGGTATATAGCCATGGGGATTAATATACACTCTTCATGAATTATCCTATTATTATGAAATAGCTTGCTTTATCATTGGTAATACTTTTTGAAGTCTACTTTGTCAGATATTAATATAGCGACTTCAGGTTTCTTTTGACTACTGTTGGCATGTTGTCTTTTTTTATCCTTTTACTTTAAACCTTTATGTATTTATATTTAAATTGTCTTGACTCTTTTATTTCATATTCAAATCTTTTAATTGTGTTATCTAGGCCATTTACATGTAATGTTTTATTGATATAATTAGGATTAAATCCTTCATCTTGCTATTTGTTTTCTACTCATTACATCTGAATGCTTTTAATGTGGTCTCTTAATCACTGGTTTTGAACATTTTGATTATGATGTGTCTTAGTGTTGTTTTATTCCTATTTATTTCATTTGGGGTTCTTTGAACTTAAATGTGTAGATTTATTGCTTTCATCACATTTGAAAATTTTAGCAGTTTTTTTTTAATTTCTGTCCCTCTATTTTTCGTCTCTTTTGGGGACTCCAAGAACACATTATTAGATGGTGTGTTGTCCCACAGTGTGCTCATGTTCTTCTCCTCCCACATCCCCTGTTTCTCACTGTATTTCATTTTGGAAGATTTCTCTTGCTGTAGCTTCAAGTTTACAAATATTTTCTTATATAGTATCTAATCTGCCTTTAATCCTTTCCAGTTTGTGTTTTATCTCACAGATTCAGTTCAGTTTTCTATTTAGAAGTTCAATTTGGATTTAAAAAAGAAAACATTATTTGAACATATGAACCACATTAAAGTAACTGCTATAATGTTCCCTTTTAACATCCATGTCAGTTCTGGGTCATTTTTTATTAATTTATTTCTCCATATTATTGGTCATATTTTCTTGTTTCGTTGTATGACTTGCAATTTTTTGTTGGATGCCAGTCTTTGTGAATTTACTGTGCTGAACTTTGTATATTTATCTTTTTATGTAAGTATTCTTTAGCTTCATTCTGTGAGGTAGTTAAGCTGCTTGAAAAGTTTGAGCATGCGTCAGTTAACTTTCTCTATAAAGAGACAAATGGATATTAAGCTTTGTTGGCCATACTTGGTCCCTATTGAATATTTTTCTTTATATTTTATTTTCTTACAACTTTTTTACAAGTCAAAAATAATAAAAATTAAAAATAAACAAAACATTCTTGGCTTGCAGGCCATACAAAAATAGACCACACACTGGAGTTGGCCCACAGGCTTGATCCCTGCGTTTGAATCTTACTTCTATGAGTTGTAAACCTGGACCAGAGCAGAGCTCAGTCTATGGTTTATTATTCTTCACCACTGAGGCAAAATGTTCTACATACCTACTCAAGAGGTTTTCACTCAGTCAGAAATGTCACTGTTCCTGGCTCAGGTGGTGTCCTCTCCAATCCTTTCTGATAATTCCTTCGCTGCCCTCAGATAATCTCCTCACATGCATGCCTTCATCAAATCTCATATGCTTGCCTTCATGAGTACTCAGCTGCATACTCAGAGGACCCTGTGAAAATTTCTGGCGTTGTCTCTCTGAAAGATCTCTCCTCTCCTGCACTTTGTCCTGTGAACTCTAGCTGCCTTTTTCTCCCTGGACTCTGAGATTTGTTTCCTCAATCTAGAGGGTTTACTTGCATTTCCCCTTCCCTGCACTGTGACCTGGAAACTCTCTTTAGCTGTAAGCTGGGACAATCATGGGACTTACCTCATTTGTTTCCTGCCTCTTAGAAACGTCCTTGATGGCCTGACATCTAAGCGATTAGAAAACCATGCTTTCATATATTTTGTTTGTTTTGTGAATATTTCTGGCAGGAAGGTAAATCTGGTCTTGTATATTCCATATTGGTTGGAAGCAAAAATGCCTCCAGTTTCCTTTTGATTCTGCCATTCCTCTACCAAGTCTGCAAGGCTGAATTATTCTTCCAACAAATGTCCTTATGCTAAGCTAAGTAGAGTGATTTCTATAGCTTGCAAACAAGACTTAGCCGATAAAAACATCAGCCGATAAAAACAATCAGCAGTGTCTGATTAAGTAATTCAGTTTTTCTCTATTGTAAAAAGAAAAGCAGTGTTTTGATCTTCTATTGCCCTGCAGAAATTGAGAGTTTTGTTTAAGTTTAAATTTTTCTTTTATTAGATCTTTTAATTTGTGAGACTGTAACTGTGGCTTTTGAAAGATTATCATGTAAAGTCCTTCTGTGCCAAACATTTAAGATTTCCACAAATTTATGCAAATTTATATGTATGAAGACACATATCAACTATTTCTAAACATGCACCAAATATCGTATCTCCTCAATAAAGTGATAAAAATCCATTAGCGATCTTACTGGTTCACTCTGCAATAACTTTAGAAGTTCACATACATCTAAAAGCTGCAAAAATTGAAAAACATGATTTCTGTACTGTCAGTGATCAGAGTCATTTAAAGAACCAACCTCCAAGCAATAGAACAACCCATTTTTTTTTAGAGATAGAAACTAGCATATTTTCTCTCTTTTCACTATATTTCTATATTCAGAAGAAAACCAGTTAAACAAAGACAAAGCTTTAAGTTAGAATTTTAAAGGGAAAGCAAAGTTATAATAGTTAAACCTTTCGATTGTTGAAGGCATTTGGCAGATGATGACAATAAGTGTCTGTAGCTGGAGGCCCTTAAAGAGCATTAGGTCTCTAACTTGGCTTACAGAAGCATCTATAAACCATGATAACCTTGGTTTATAGATGAAGAATAGTATGAAACAATAATGGCAGATCAGAAACATATATTTAAAAGAATTCTCAAACACATAGGTAATCAGCTGCACCAGTTCCTCCGTGAGAGGTAGCAGTCTGTTTGAGGATATCATGCTGACCATGGTACTCCTGTACACTGCCCCGCGCACCCTGCCGGCAGCCTCCTGTTGCAGGAACAGCCAAGCTTTTGAGCATATCTTGCTTGATAAAGTGTTGGAGCCATCGAAGGCCCTGCTGGTGTAGTTGCCTTCCTATTGATAGTTTTCTGCCACCACCAGGAGGCTGTGGGGTGCTTGGAACTCCTGACTGAGTTTTTCCTGGTTGTGCACCACTTCTACCACAGGGATGGATCTCTGGAAGGGTAATGCTTTCATGTGAAAGACTGTACGGTTACTGAATAGCCCACCTGCATTGTGGCACTTGGTTGCTTGAGCCTCATGTTGCTATTAGGCAGTGTCTAGCAAAAGCTAAGAGTGTTCCCTGGCCCACTAGAAAATAAAGACAAAAAAGAAACCTCTCAAAGTACAGTCAAGGGGGTCTAGGAGAGAAGGGACTGTGTATCTTTGTACCCTGCAGCCATCACACAATGGACATAATGAAACTCAAAGACTCCGCATTTGCTTCAATTTTTGTTATCAACATAAACAGCCAGCATTGGAGTCAGGTGTTTACTGCCTACATGACCAGCTTTCCTGCTTTTTCTTCAAGCATCACTCCTCTTATTGAGAGGTATATGTGCATATTATCAACCCTCATGTAGCAAAAAAGAAAATCCTTTATTCTTACTATACTAAAAACTAAGAGAAGAATTGATTTGGAAAAAAAATTACAATTTCTCATAATTTTATCATTCAAAGAAAATCAGTTTTAACAACCGTATCTATACTATACTTTTTCCATATATATTTATGTACATGGAATATGTGTGTGTATATATATATGAATATGTGTATCTATATTGTGTATATGTCTTTATATACCTTTTTACAAGTATCGTTAACTTGATTTTTCAGTTTAATATACTGTGGACATATTTCACTAAAAAAATGTACAACTACATTGGCACATTTGAAGGCTACAATTTTCTAGATTAGGAGTTGGCAAACTTCTTCTGCAAAGGGACAGATAGCAAACATTTTAGGCTTTGTGGACCACATGTGGTCTTTATTGGTAAAACTGCACCCTCCTCCTCCTCTTTCTCCTCCTTTCTTCTTTTTCTAATACCAATTTAAAAATGTAAAAGCAATTCTTAGATCATGGGCCGTTGCCTAGATATACTGTATATTATAGGCTAATAATAATAATAATGTTTACTACTGTAAACATCCCATAATATAAAAGTAAAATAGGTAACAGTTATAGTTTACAGAATATCATAATTTCTTTAACCTTCTGCTTCCAGCTTCTGCATCATTTCACTGCTGCTGAGAATTTTCTCACTAGGTATGGGAGCTTGCTTATCTGCTTTCTCTAACAATTTTATTAACATTATGCAAAGAAGTTACAACAGATACTTTTGATTATTAATTCAACATACGTTTACTTTGAGCCCATTAAGCGCATTGCAACATATTAGTATTCAATTTGATCAGTGGTTTTAGCAGAATGAACCCCCCATTCAAAACAGAGAATATTAGTAACATCATTTAAGCTGTCCTTGTACTCCATTTTGCAGAACAGCTTTAACTTGGGGTAGATCTTAAGTTTTAGGCAACATAAAAATATTTCAGGAAATGGTGTCCAAACATATTTGATGATAAAAGTGAAATTTAATGTGTTGATCTCCCAAATAACTTATCTGCCCTTTAGATAACTTCAGGCTAAGTCCTGCCATGACAATACCCCAATTGCTCCCTTTTCAAGAATCTTAAATGACTTTCCTGTAGAACCTAGTTTATAGGACTAATTTTGAACAATAGTGCCATGCTGTTGGAAGAAAACGTTAAGAAGTTAGACTTGCTGAATGATTTTAGATACTGATAGAGTTGTTTCAAAAACATATTTTCAAGATTTATACTGAATAAAAAAGGCTAAGATTTCTTATGTCCAAATATATTGGCATCAATGACATATAGCTAACTCAAAGGTAAAAGCAATTGAAAACAAAAAATGGAATGCTTATTATCCATTTGATTAATAAATTATGTCTTAAGATAATAACCTGGTGGTGGAGGATGGGCGTGAAGTTATTATTAATGTACATGATGGTATATACCTTGGTCAGAGAATTTACTAAGAGAGAAAAATCTGTCTGGAAAGCAAATAGCACAGACAGAGACTTCACACTGGATGTGTTTGTATCTTGCCTCTAAAGGCATATTTTGTTAAATTATTATATACAGCATAGGTTACGTATTTACTCTTTGTTATTGAAATAAAAAAACCCTAGAATTTATTTTCCTAGGTTCCAAGTTCTTTAAGAACAAATGTGTATCCTGTAAAGAAATGGACTATGATGTTTGAAAATGTAACAAATATGGTTTTCTATGCCCTTAATTAATATTCATAGATCTGGAATATTTGGAAACTAAATGACTACTCTCTGCCAGGCATTGTTCTGGGTGCTTTGGACAAATCCAGACAATACCCTGCTGTCACGGCCTCACATTCCAGTGGAGGGAGATACACACTGAAAATGAGTAAATCAATAAAATACAGCAGGACTCACTTAACCTCATTCATAGGCTCTTGGAAAGCGCGACTTTACATGAAACAATGTATAATGAAACCAATTTTCCATAGGCTAATTGATATAAACAAAAGTTTAGTTCCTGTGGTGTATGTCTGGTCACAAAAACATCAACAAATTTCTAAATAAAGGCCAAAACACTTCTAATTTTAAACATTGAAATAAATGTGAGCTATACACACATTTAAGAAAGATTAAGAAAAACAAGAAAGATCATTAATACCCAAATGTTTCAGTTCAGAGTCATAGGTGGCCGAGCCTGTCCTGGCAGATCAGGGTGTAAGGCGGGGCCAGGCCTGGACAGGATACCACCCTTGCAGGGCCACTCAGTCACACACACCCCATACTCACTCACACAGCTTTGGGATGTGGGAGGTAACCAGAAGAAAGCCCACAGAGATGCGAGGAGAATGTGCAAACTCCACACAGACAGTGGTCCTGGTCAGGAACCAGTTTGTTTTTTCTCATCAATATTGTTATGAAACAACCTTATCCTAGGACCTGCTGTAAACTGATAAGGTCTATTCATCAAGATCACTGGTTTTATGTTTAGCCATGTGTGTACCCATACACTCACATATATGTATAGACATATATTTACATATATGTATGATCTTGATACATTCTCTCAAAATAGCCCTATAGTCACTTTTGTGTCTTTACCTAATAGCCTCTTGATTCCAATGCAGCATGCCCTAAATTACATTCAGAATTTGGCCTCCCAAACTCACGTCGCCTCCAGGGTTCCTCATGTTTGTTAATGGCAACGCCATTCCACTATTCATGGTTATGATCTGCAATTCACTTCTAATTTTGGCTCTTCACTTACTCCTCATAGAAAATTATTCCAAGTATTGTTAGTGTTTCGTCCCTAATAGACACCACAAGCAACCCTTTTCTCAACTCTTTATAGTCCCAGTTCATACTGCCTGTCTTTTATATTATCACAGATTCAGGTATATATGCACATATATTCAGGTATATATACCTGAATCACACAGTATACATTTTTGCTTTTCAGGAAATTTATATTTAGTCTCTATTGGGGATTGAGAGTGTGAACACTTGGTAGAACATGGTCAATAATTTTTAAATTGGGGTTGAAAAGCCTCGTTTTCTTTCAAAATTTCCCAAAGCAGTGAAACACATTACTTTTAAGAAGGATAGAAGGTTAGGCAGATGTGAGGAGGGAGAGTGGGTGTTTGAGGCCATTGTTATTTCTGTGAGCTACTGACTGAAGAAAGAATATATTTAAAAGAGCAAGTAGGAACATCACAGCCTAGCCTAGAACAGAAGCTCCCACCTCTTCATCCTTCACCCTCTTCTTTAGAACATCTGCCAACTTCCGATACAACTAGCATCTGTGTCTGTGGCTCACCTATGGAGGAGGAGATGATCTTCAAAACTATGCTGAGAACGTTTTTCCCGCCTCTCCCAACTCCAACTAGGTCACTTTCTGCCTTTCCATTGTTTTTGCAAACCAAAAACGCCTCAGGAATAACAGGGTGAAATGTACGTGTGAGCAGTCCAGAGCCCTGCAGTGCAGTGTGACATGAATTCACAGTCCCACCTTAGCCTCGTAACCTTCACCTTTATGAGCACCTCAGGTTAGAGTGTGGGGTAGGGAACTGGGACATGAAGTCTGGTTTTAGTTACAAAGAGAGATTGTCTTCCTTTATAATTAATTTCAAAATAGAATGAACATATCAGATATAATTTGCTGTACTCACATCTTTTGGTTATTCTGAAGGGGACTTTCCCTTGCCCATGGTCCTCACCACTCAAGACTTAGTAATAAGACAAGCTTCCATTTTTAAGGCGATATCTACACCAGACACTATATGTAAAGTATCTTTTTAAATACATAAAACAATCTTGTGAAGTACATATTACCCTCTTCTTTTAATTGATTTTTTTAAAGACTGAAATATTTAATAGTAGGGCTGTTTTTAATTCAAGGAAGAGTATCTGTTTAGAGACATCAAGTGCTTTCCTTGAGATTGACTAAAAAGAAAGATGCCTGCTATATCTGGTTCTGTTCAGCATTGCACTGGAAGTCTTGGCCAGGGCAATAAGACAGAATAATAAAGTTTTAAGAATTGAAAGGACAAAATAAAAATGTTATTATTGTGTTTGAATATTTAGAGAATGCAGAAGAATCTAGAGATACATTATTAAGTATTTAGGAATATTACGTCCTAAAGTATGCACGTTTTGACCAAAAAAAGAAACTATAAAACTGTAGTGAAAGAAATATCCAAAGAAATGGGGAGAGGGGATAAACCATGTTTATGGATTGGTAGATTCAATATTGTAAATGTTGTCAAATTGACTCGTAGTTCCAGTGTGCAATTTTAGTCAAAATCTGAACTTTTTATTTAATATAAACTATTTTTTGGTGGAGCTTGAAAGGTTGATTCTAAAATGTATATGAAGTACAATGATAGAAAATAGTGAAGAAACTCTGGAAGAGTTGAGAAGAGAGGACCTGCTATACTGCCAGCATTTAACATAAAGCTACAGAAATTAAAGTGCGGTCCTGGCACAAAGACAGAAGAACCAAGTAAAGCAGAATAGAAACAGATCCCAGTGACCATGGACACTTGATTTATGATAAAGGTGGCACTGCAGAAGTGGGAGAGAAAGATAGTCTTTTTGAGAAATGATGCCTGAACTGTTCGCTATCCATACTGGAAAAAAGAAAAAACTATCCTCTACCTTACTTCATGCACACACACAAAATCAATTTATGTTCATAGTAGACCTAAGGAAGAAAATCAAAATAATAAATCTGTTACAAATATAGAATAATCTTTATTATCTCCAGATAGAAAATATTTTTAAAAGAAGATCTAGAAAACAATAAAAAGCAGAGAAAGATGGATAAGTTTTGCTACGTTAATTTTTTTAATCATTGAAATTTAACCTTAAAACAGGGGAAAGGAAAGCCACAGATTGTGGAAATATATTTTCAATACATCACCAACAAAAAAACCTGAAAACAGGTTTGGGAAATACTTTCTTAATCAATAAGAAAAGTAAAACAGTTTTATTTAAAAAGGAAAAAGCTGAAGAGAAAGAATATAAAATGGATAGGAGGCAGGACTAAATTGCAGCTCCCACTCAGACAGCCAGAGCAGTTTATGGAGACTCGCATCATGAATTTTTGCTCCAAAAACTACTGCAGGAGTATACCAGGAAAGCCAAGAGAATCCACAGGCCCTTAGAAGGAAGCTGATTGCTCCTTTAGGACCCGAGAGACAACCCAAATACTGGCCTTGCCCATTGCCTGATCCTGCCTATACTACCACAGCTGATGCTCTCTTGAAAGCACCACCTCCTGGCAGGAGGACAACCAGCACAAAACTGGTGCAATAAACAACAATAATACAGCTAAGAACCCTCAACAGAGTCCATTTCACTCCCCTGCCACCTCCACTGGAGCAGGTGCTGGTATCCACAACTGAGAGACCTGAAGACAGTTCACATCACACGACTCTGTGCAGATACCCCCAGTACCAGCCTGGAGCCTGGTAGCCCTGCTGGGTGGCTAGATTAAGAAGAGAAATAACAGTCACCACAGTTAGGTTCTCAGGAAGCCACATCTTTAGGAAAAGAGATAGAGTACTACATAAAGGGAGCACCCCATAGGACAAAACAATGTGAACAGCAGCCTGGAGACCCAGATCTTCCCTTTGACATAGCCCACCCAAATGAGAAGGAACCAGAAAAACAATTCTGGTAATATGACAAAACAAGGTACTTTAACACCCCGAAAAAAATCACACTAGCTTACCAGCAATGGATCCAAACCAAGAAGAAATCCCTTAACTGACAGTAAAAGAATTCAGAAGGTTGATTGTTAAGCTAATCAAGGAGGCACCAAAGAAAGGTGAAGTCCAAATTAAGTAAATTTAAAAAAAAAGATACAAAATATGAGGGAAGAAATCTTCAGTGAAATAGCATAAATAAAAAACAATCACAACTTCAGGAAGTAAAGGACTCACTTAGAGAAATGCAAAATATACAGGAAAGTCTCAGCAATAGAATTGAATAAGCAGAAGAAAGAATTTCAGAACTCAAAGACAATGTTTTCAAAAAAATCCAATCCAACAAAGACAAAGAAAAAAGAATAATTAAAAAAATGAACAAAGCCTCCAAGAAGTTTGGGATTATGTTAAATAACCAAACCTAAAATAATTGGCATTCCTGAGGAAAAAAAGAGAAATCTAAAAATTTGGAAAAGATAATTGGGCAAGTAATCAAGGAAAACTTCTCTGGCCTTGCTAGAGATCTAGACATCCAAATATAAGAAGCTCAAGTCACACATGGGAAATTCATCACAAAAATTTCATTTCCTAGGAAATAGTCATCAGGTTATCTAAAGTCAAGAAGAAGGAAAGAATCTTAAGAGCTGTGAGGCAAAAGCACCAGGTAACCTATAAAGAAAAACCTATCAGAGTAAGAGCAAATTTATCAGCAGAAACCCTACAAACTAGAATGGATTGGGGCCCTATCTTTAGCCTCCTTAAAGAAAACAATTATCAGTCAAGAATTTCGTAACCAGTGAAACTAAGCTTCATAAATAAAGGAAAGATACAGTCTTTTTCAGACAAACAAATGCTAAGAGAATCTGCCACTATCAAGCCAGCACTATAAGAACTTGTAAAATGGGTTCTAAATCTTGAAACAAATCCTGGAAACACATCAAAACAGAACCTCTTTGAAGCATGAGTCTCACAGGATCTGTAAAACAAAAATATGATAAAAAATGCCCCAGGTATTCAGGCAACAAATAGCATGATGAATGGAATAGTACCTCAAATCTCAATACTAATGTTGAATGTAAATGGTCTAAATGCTCCACTTAAAATATACAGAATTGCAGAATGAATAAGAATTCACCAACCAAGTATCTGCTCTCTTCAAGAGACTCATCTCACATACAGACTTATGTAAACTCAAGGTAAAGGGGTGGAAAAAAGACATTCTATGCAAATGGACACCAAAAGTGAATGGGAGTAGCTATTCTTATATTACACAAAACAAACTTTAAAGCAACAGCAGTTTAAAAAGACAAAGAGGGACATTATATTATGATAAAGGCCTTGTCCAACAGGAAAATATCACAATCCTAAATATATTTGCACCTAACACTAGACACTCCAAATTTATAAAACAATTCCTACTAGACCTAAGAAATGATATAGACAGCAACACAATAATAGTGGGGGACTTTGATACTCCACTGACAGCACTAGACAGGTCATCAAGACAGAAAGTCAACAAAGAAACAATGGATTTAAGCTATATCCTAGAACAAATGGCCTTAATAGATATTTACAGAACATTCTACCCAACAACTGCAGGATATACATCCTATTCATCAGTGCATGGAAATTTCTTCAAGGTAGATCATATAATAGACCACAAACATGTCTCAATAAATTTAATTAAATTGAAATTATATTAAGGACTCTCTCAGAGCACAGTGAAATCAAATTGGAGATCAACTCCAAAAGGAATCTTCAAAACCATGCAAATACATGGAAATTAAATAACCTGCTTCTGAATGATCATTGGGTCAACAATGAAATCAAGATGGCAATTAAAAAATTATTTGAACTGAGTGAAAATAGTGACACAACCTATCAA
The DNA here is from genome assembly GCF_000001405.40 of Homo sapiens. Classification (NCBI taxonomy): domain Eukaryota; kingdom Metazoa; phylum Chordata; class Mammalia; order Primates; family Hominidae; genus Homo; species Homo sapiens. The sequence goes on along the minus strand of NC_000018.10, from coordinate 4,623,372 downwards.
TCAAAATGGCTGGGATCCAGCGAAGACGGTGCTAAGAGGAAAGTTCATAGCCTTAAACGCCTACATCAAAGAGTCCGAAAGAGCACCAACAGACAATCTAACGTCATTCCTCAAGGAACTAGAGAAACAAGAATAAACCAAACCCAAATGCAGCAGAACAAAAGAACCAAGATCAGAGCAGAACTAAATGAAATTGAAACAAAAAATCTACAAAAGCTAAATAAAACAAAAAGCTGATTTTTTGAAAAGATAAATAAACATTGATAGGCCATTGGCAAGATTAATCAAGAAAAGCAGATAGAAAACCTAAATAAGCACAATTAGAAGCAAAAGATCATTCAAGGCTACTATGAACACCTTTAAGTGCATAAACTACAAAACCTAAAGGAAATGGATAAATTCCTGGAAACATACAATCCCCCTAGCCTAAAGCAGGAAGAATTAGAAACCCTGAACCGACCAATAAGAAGCAGTGAGATTGAAGTGGTAATAAAAATATTACCAACAAAAAACTTCCAGGACCAGATGGATTCACAGCTGAATTCCGTGAAACATTCAAAAAAGAATTGATAAGAATCCTATTGATGTTATTCCACAAGACAGAGAGAGAATCCTCCCTAAGTCATTCTATGAAGTCAGTATCACCCTAATACCAAAACCAGGTAAGGACATAACAAAAAAAGAAAACTACAAAACAATATCCCAGATGAACATAGATGCAAAAATCCTTAACAAAATACTAGCTAACTGAATCCAACAGCATATCAGAAAGATAATCCACTGTGATCAAGTGGGTTTCATACCAGGGATGCAGAGATGGTTAAACATACACAAGTCAAAAAATGTGATATACCACATAAACAGAATTAAAAATAAAAATCACATGATCATCTCAATAAATGCAGAAAAAGCATTTGACAAAATCCAACATTCCTTTATGATTAACACTCTCGCAAAATCAGCATAAAAGGGACATACTTCAATGTAATAAAAGCCATCTATGACGAACCCACAGTCAACATAATACTGAGTAGGGAAAAGTTGAAAGAATTCCCTCCAAGAACTGGAAGAAAACCAAGGATGCCCACTCTCACCACTCCTCTTCAGCAAAGTACTGGAAGTCCTAGCCAGAGCAATCAGACAAGACAAATAAATAAAAAGCATCTAAATGAGTAAAGAGGAAGTCAAACTGTTGCTGTTTGCTGATGATATGATCACATACCTAGAAAATCCTAAAGACTCCTCCAAAAAGCTCCTAAAACTGATAAATGAATTCAGCAGTTTCAGGATACAAAATTGTTGTACACAAATCAGTAGCTCTGCTATACACCAACAATGACCAAGCTGAGAATCAAATCATCACATCAAGAACCCAACCCCTTTTACAGTAGCTGGAAAGATAAAAAATAAAATACTTAGGAATATGCCTAATCAAGGACATGAAAGACCTCTACAAGGAAAACTACAAAACGCTGCTTAAAGAAATCATAGATGACACACACAAATGGAAACACATCCCATGCTCATGGATGGGTAGAATCAATATTGTGAAAATAACCATATTGCCAAAAGCAATCTAGAAATTCAATGCACTTCAAATAAAAATACTGCCATCATTCTTCATATAACTTGAAAAAAAATCCTAAAATTTATATGAAACCAAAAAAGAGCCCACATAGCCAAAGCAAGACTAAGCAAAAAGAACAAATCTGGAGGCATCACATCACCTGACTTCAAACTATACTATAAGGCCACAGTCACCAAAAAAGCATGGTACTGATATAAAAATAGGCATGTAGACCAATGGAACAGAATAGGGAACCCAGAAATAAAACCAAATACTTAAAGACAACTCATCTTTGACAAAGCAAACAAAAACATAAAGTGGGGAAAGGACACCCTATTCAACAAATGGTGCTGAGATAATTGGTGAACTACATGTAGGAGAATGAAACTGGATCCTCATCTCTGTTTTTTTTTTTTTTTTTTTTTTTGAGATGGAGTCTCACTCTGTCACCCAGGCTAGAGTGCAGTGGCACTATCTTGGCTCACTGCAACCTCCGCCTCCTGGGTTCAAGCGATTCTTCTGCCTCAGCCTCCCAAGTAGCTGGGACTACAGGCACGTGCCACCAGGCCCGACTAATTTTTTGTATTTTTAGTAGAGACAGGGTTTTACCATATTGGCCAGGCTGGTCTCGAACTCCTGACCTCGTGATCTGCCTGCCTTGGCCTCCCAAAGTGCTGGGATTACAGGCATGAGCCACCATGCCCAGCCTCCTCATCTCTTACCTTATACAAAAATCAACTGAAGATGGATTAAGGACTTAAATCTAAGACCTGAAACTACAAAAATTCTAGAAGATAACATCGGAAAAACCCTCTAGACAATACTTAGGCAAAGACTTCATGACCAAGAACCCAAAAGTAAATGCAGCAAAAACAAAGATAAATAGGTGGGACTTAATTAAACCAAAGAGTTTCTGCACAGCAAAAAGAACAGTCAGCAGAGTAAACAGAGAACCCACAGGGTGGGAGAAAATCTTCACCGTCTATACATTTGACAAAGGACTAATATCCAGAATCTACAAGTAACTCAAACAAATTAGCAAGAAAAAAAAATCCCATCAAAATTGGGCTAAGGATATGACTAGACAATTGTGAAAAGAAGATATACAAATGGCCAAAAAACTTATGGAAAAATAATCAACATCAGTAATGACCAGGGAAGTGCAAATCAAAACCACAATGTGATACCACCTTACTCCTGCAAGAATAAACATTATCGAAAAATAAAAAAATAATAGATGTTGGCATGTTGGTGGTGAAAAGGGAACACTTGTACACTGCTGGTGGGAATGTAAACCAGTACAACCACTATGGAAAACAGTGTGAAGATTCCTTAAAGAACTAAAATTAGAACTACCATTTGATCTAACAGTCCCACCAATGGGTGTCTACCCAGAGGAAAATAAGTCATTATAAGAAAAAATAATTGCACACGTTTATAGCAGCACAATTTGCTGCTATATATATATATATATATGCAATATATATGTTTGTGTGTGTGTATATGTATATATGCAATATCTATCTATCTATCTATCTATCTATCTATCTATCTATCTATCTGTCATCTCTATCTAATGGAATACTTACTACTCAGCCTTAAAAAGGAATGAATAAATGACATTCACAGCAACCTGAATGCATGTTTTTGAGTTAGAGGAAGAAGCAAATTTCTTATTTATTTTGTGTTTATTTTCATGTGTCCTCTTGATATTTAATAAAGTCTCCTTGAGTATTCTACTTTATCTCAGCTTTTCTAAGGGTAAAACTACAGAAAAAACTGTCAAGGGCCAAAATTAGATCAAGAAGATTCTCAAATATTCTCTTTCTTCCTCCCATGAATGAGGACTTGGACTTGGTCCACTGGGGGTCTTCCCTTTCCTGCCCTTTGGTAATGCTGCTGCCCTACCAGACCAATTTTATGTGTGTGTGTGTGTGTGTGTGTGTGTGTGTGTGTGTGTGTGAGAGAGAGAGAGAGAGAGAGATGTAAAATTTGGAAAAGGCTGGTCGTTGTGGCTTATGCCTGTAATCCCAGTGCTTTGGGAGGCCGAGGCGGGCATATCTCTTGAGCCCAGGAGCTCAAGACCAACCTGGGCAACATACCAAGACCCCATCTCTTAAAAAAAAAAAAATCTGAAGGAAAGACTATATAAGGGAAGGTGAAGAAAAGCTTGGGACAGACCTGGAGGTCAATCTTTTAAGAGGACTATGGAAACAGGTGAAATGCACAGATACACAGATGAGAGATCAAAAAGGATTTTGAGAAAAGCAAGTGAAGAATTCAAGGTAATTTGCATTTGCTTCTTGGGTGAGTTTCTGTGATCACAATGCCACTGTGAGATCAGGCCACAGGAGACACAGCTATAAGAATTTCACAGTGTGTAGCAAATTGGAGCCAGAGCTTAAAAAGGTTATCAGTGCACCTCCAAGAGAGCAGTGGGGTGTTCTGGTGGCACGAGTAATTGGTGACAGGACACCAGCACAGAGGTTTAAAGCTGTGACTGCTAGCTCTGCCTCCTACTGTTTGCCCACACCTGCGAAGCCTGCAGCCCAAGCTCATTCCAGTGGTTCTATTATCGCAGCAATCCTTAGCGTGACTTTCCTTTCTGAGTCTGTGAGCTGTTTGACTTTGTGTTTGAAAGTAAACCGACAAGACAACATTTTGACGTTATAGAAGTACTACTTACTCTAAACCATCTGAGTGGAAGCAACCTCTGCCTTCCCTTGTTCGCCCACAACTGCGAAGGCTGCAGCCCAAGCTCAGTCCAGTGGTTCTGCTATTGCAGCAATGCTTAGCATGACTTTCCTAAGTCTGAGCTGTTTGGCTTTGTTTTTGAAAGCAGACCAACAAGACAACATTTTGACCTTATAGGAGCAATGCTTACTGTAAACCATCTGAGTGGAAGGATCCTTTCACAGTGACCAAATTATGTCTTGTTTTAGGTAACTATAGTAGTATATGGTGAATATTGTGTTCCCAGCAAAAGACCAGAACAATTTCTTCTTTATTTCTAGAACATTGGTACAAAAGCATAAGCAAACATTTCAGAAGATGAATTTTATATTCTTAGGTGTAGCCTACATATTTGTTCAAAAAGGACTATATTTTACTAATACAGGCTTTTCCAAGAACAAAGCCAACCCGAATTGTATTCTCCTCCAATCTGAAAATGATCCAGGACTAATAATAATGACACCTAACATTTGTAGAGCACTTTAGCGTTTACAAAACCTTGCATGAATATTTTCAGATATGATCACCAACTCAATAATAAAAGTAAATTTTATTATCTCCACCTTACACTTAGGAAAACCTGAGTACAGAACCCAAAGTCACTTGTCTACTGAATGTGATGGTTTTGCAAGACCCAGGTCTTCAAACTCTAGATCCTCAGTGCCTTTAGCCTTATCACAGCTGCCTGTACACACACACAGACACACACAAAGAGCTAGGTAAATGTCACTTACTGTTCTCATCAATGCATGCCACCTATCTCAGCATTTGATTGATTGAAATGGTAACCAACATAGATACAACAAAATGGCAGTTAGCACTGGGAGACTTTAGGCAAAATGATTTACATATTTTTGATTTTTTGAAACTCTGTCTTAATACATAATTACTATTTCAAATATTATGGGTGATCACCCCTAATCTTTTATTTAACTTAATATAAAGTCATTGTAAGAAAGAACATTATTTTTGTGTTCATTACAGCATCTGCTCCTGGTGGTCACGGTAGAGTGAATGGGTTTAGCGCAGTAGTCAGTTCCCAACCTTTTTGGCACCAGGGACCAATTTCATGGAAGACAACTTTTCCATGGACAGGTGAGCAGTGGTGGGGGTGATGCTTTCAGGATGAAGCTGTTCCACCTCACATCATCAGGCATTAGATTCTCATAAACAGCATGCAACCTAGATCCCTCGCATGCACAGTTCACAATAGGGTTCGTGCTCCTATGGGAACCTAATGCTCTCGTCTGACAGGAGACAGAGTTCAGGTGGTAATGTTTGTTTACCTACCACTAATCCTCCTGCTGTGTGGCCCTGTTCCTAATACACCACAGGCCAGTACCAGTCTGTGGCCTGGGGGTTGGGGACCCCTGGTTTAGCAGAGACCAGGGCCCAGGTCTAGTCTTATCCCAAGCTATATCTCCCTAGCAAAGGAAGGTAACCTATGTGAGGTTCAGTTACCTGACCTGTGAAATGGAAAAAAATAGTATCTATCCTCCATTTTCACAGGATAATTGTGTAGAACAAATTAGATAAATTAGACAGACATTTGAGACTGTTTTGCAATTGTAATGTATTGTTCAAATATGAGGCATTATCATTCAGCATGAAATGCATTCCAGGTGACTAGATGTGCTTCATCATGAATATTTTAATGTAAGTGTAAAGATTTTTTTACTCTAAAATAATAGATTTTGGAATGAACAGGCTATCTTGAAATAACATAAAATTTCCCATAACTCCAATGAGAAAAATGTCAGTGGCTCTTGGTGAGTTTTAAAGATGCAGTATAAAATTGAAATCTAACCTGACTTCAAACTATACTACAAGGCTACAGTAACCAAAACAGCATGGTAGTGGTACCAAAACAGAGATATAGACCAATGGAACAGAACAGAGCCCTCAGAAATAATACCACACATCTACAACCATCTGATCTTTGACAAACCTGACAAAATCATGAAATGGGGAAAGGATTGCCTATTTAATATGGTGCTGGGAAAACTGGCTAGCCATATGTAGAAAGCTGAAACTGGATCCCTTCCTTACACCTTATACAAAAATTAATTCAAGATGGATTAAAGACTTAAATGTTAGACCTAAAACCATAAAAACCCTAGAAGAAAACCTAGACAATACCATTCAGGACATTGGCATGGGCAAGGACTTCATGTCTAAAACACCAAAAGCAATGGCAACGAAAGCCACAATTGACAAATGGGATCCAATTAAACTAAAGAGCTTCTGCACAGCAAAAGAAATTACCATCAGAGTGAACAGGCAACCTACAGAATGGGAGAAAATTTTTGCAATCTTCTCATCTGACAAAAGGCTAATATCCAGAATCTACAAAGAAAAACAAATTTACAAGAAATAAACAACCCCATCAAAAAGTGGGTGAAGGATATGAACAGACACTTCTCAGAAGAAGACATTTATGCAGCCAACAGACACATGAAAAAATGCTCGTCATCACTGGCCATCAGAGAAATGCAAATCAAAACCACAATGAGATACCATCTCACACCAGTTAGAATGGCAATCATTAAAAAGTCAGGAAACAACAGGTGCTGGAGAGGATGTGGAGAAATAGGAACACTTTTACACTGTTGATGGGACTGTAAACTAGTTCAACCATTGTGGAAGACAGTGTGGCGATTCCTCAAGGATCTAGAACTAGAAATACCATTTGACCCAGCCATCCCATTACTGGGTATATACCCAAAGGATTATAAATCATGCTGCTATAAACACACATGCATGTGTATGTTTATTGTGGCACTATTCACAATAGCAAAGACTTGGAACCAACCCAAATGTCCATCAATGATAGACTGGATTAAGAAAATGTGGCACATATACACCATGGAATACTATGCAGGCATAAAAAAGGATGAGTTCATGTCCTGTGTAGGGACATGGATAAAGCTGGAAGCCATCATTCTCAGCAAACTATCCCAAGGACAAAAAATCGAACACCGCATGTTTTCACTCATAGGTGGGAATTGAACAATGAGAACACTTGGACACAGGAAGGGGAACGTCACACACTGGGGCCGGTCGTGGAGTGGGGGGAGGGGGGAGAGATAGCATTAGGAGATATACCTCATATAAATGACGAGTTAATGGGTGCAGCACACCAACATGGCACATGTATACATATGTAACACACCTGCACGTTGTGCACATGTACCCTAGAACTTAAAGTATAATAAAAAAAATGAGATATTTAATACGTATACTAATTAATTTTGAATGAAAATAGCTAAATTTTTTAGGAGTAGAATTAAATGAGATTCTATTCAAATATATTAATTTTACTAAAGTATACTGATTTTTTTAAGTGTCCACCAACTTTCTGGCATTGAATAATAAAACTCAGTAACAAACAATATAATTTTGTTTGTTTCTTAAAAAGAGAGAGCTTGGGTATTTTCTTAGTAGCAAAAATATGGAAGCTGAAGATGATACAGCTACAATGGCACAGTCTCACTTATGAGATGTGTGAAGTGCTACAATCCTTGAGTAAATCATATCATAATTTACTTGCCTCACTGAGAGAGCTGTAAGAAAGAGAGGGAATAAAAAGACTGAATTAGGCCAGGCACAGTGGCTCACGCCTGAAATCCCAGCACTTTGGGAGGCTGAGGCGGGCAGATCAGCTGAGGTGAGGAGTTTGAGACCATCCTGGTCAATGTGGTGAAACCCCATCTCTACTAAAAATACAAAAATTAGCTGCGTGTGGTGGCACGTGCCTGTAATCTCAGCTACTCAGAAGGCTGAGGCAGGAGAATCTCTTGAACCCAGGAGCCGGAGATTGCAGTGAGCCAAGATCACACCACTGCCCTCCAGCCTGGGTGACAGAGCGAGACTCCATCTCAAAAAAAAAAAAGATTGAATTAGCTCTGCAGAGCCATATACCCAGTGGCCCTAAAGCACACAATGGAGACTTTTTCTTGGAAAATGAAGAACTATAGTGATTACAGAAAATTATTTGTAGTAAGAGAATTCAAAAAGTGTTCAACTTGATTCATTTTTTTACATAATCATAGAACTAAGATGATGCCTCTATGCTGAAAAAAAACATTAATTGGAAGTGAAGTTAAAGTTAAGGGAAATTAAAGTTAAAGTGAAGTGAAGTTATCTACAGATAAGATCAAACAGTGATAAGGCATGGATATAGCACGTGTGGGGTTTTTTGTGACCTCAAACAATAGCACATGGTTCCTGTTTTTTACTACCCTGTGCAACAAATCAAGGGCAGAAACAGACATAACTCATTTTATTGTGCTTCGCTTTATGATGCTTCATAGATATTGTGGTTTTTAGAAATTGAAGGTTTGTAGCAACTCTGCATCAAACAAGTCTATCAGTGCCATTTTTTCAACAGTAGGTTTTCACTTTGGGTCTCTGTGTCACATTTTAGTAATTCTAGCAATATTTCAAACTTTTAAATCATTGTTATATTTGTTATAGGGATCTTTAATGTTACTGTTGTAATTGTTTGCAATGCCACAAACAGAATCCATGTAAGATGGCAAACTTAATAAATGTTGTATGTGTTCTGACTAGTCTACTGACCAGATATTCCCCATATCTCTCCCTTTTCTCAGGTCTGCTTATTCCCTATGACACCACAGTATTGAAGTTATGTCAATGAATAATCCTAAATTGGCTTCTACATGTTCAAGTGATGAGTTGCGTGTCTCTCACTTTAAATCAAATGCCAGAAATGACTGAACTTAGTGAGGAAGGCATGCCAAAGGCTGATAGGTCAAAGGCTAGGCCTTTGGTGCCAAATAGCCAAACTGTGGCAAAGGAAAAGTTCTTGAAGAAAATTAAAAGTGCTTATCCACTGTACACACAAATGATAAGAAAGCCAAACAGCCTTATTGATGATATGGAGAAAGTTTGAGTGGTCTGAATAGAAGATCAAACCAGCCACAGCATTCCCTTAAACCAAGGCCTAATCCAGAGCAAGGCTTCAACTCTCTTCAATTCTATGAAGGCTAAAAGAGGTGAGAAAGCTGCAGAAAAAAAAAAATGAAGCTAGCAGAAATTGGTTCATGAGGTTTAAGGGAAGGAACTATCTTCATAACATAAAACTGCAAGGTGAAACAGCAAGTGCTGATGGATAAGCTGTAGCAAACTATCCAGAAGACCTACTTAAGGACACTGATGAAGGTGGCTACACTCTACAATAGATTTTCAGTGTAGATGAAACAGCCTTCTATTGGAAGAAGATGCCATCTAGGCCTTTCAGAGCTGAAGAAAAGTGAATGTCTGGCTTCAAAGGATAGGCTGACTTTCTTCTTAGGGTCTGTACAGCTGGTGACTTCAAGTTGAAGTCAATGCTCATTTGCCATTCCAGAAATCCTAAGGCCCTTAAGAATTATGCCAAAGCTACTCTGCCTGTGCTCTATAAATGGAAAAACAAAGCCTGGATGACAGAACACTTGATTATAGCATGGTTTACTGAATATTTTAAGTTCACTCTTGAGACCTACTGCTAAGAAAGATTTCCTTTCAAAATCTTACTACTCATTCACAATGCACCTCTTTACCCAAGAGCACTGTTGGAGAGGTACCATGAGATTCGTGTTGTTTTCATGCCTGCTAACCTAACATCCATTCTGCAGCCCATGGATCAAGGAGTAATTTAAACTGTAAGTCCTATTAAGAAATGCATTTTGTAAGCCTATAGCTGTCACAAACAGTGATTCCTCTGATGAATGTGGGCAAAGACAGTTGAAAACCTGGAAGAGATTCACCATTCTGAATGCCACTAAGAACATTTGTGATTCATTGGAGAAGTTCAAAATCTCAATATGAATAGGAGTTTGGAAGAACTTAATGCCAACCTTCATGAAGGCCTTAGGGGGTTTAGGACTTCGGCAGAGGAAGTAACTGCAGATGTGGTAGAAATAGTAAAAGAAGTATAATTAGAAGTGGGGCTTGAAGATGTGACTAATGAATTGTTGCAATCTCATGATCTAACCTGAATGGATATGAAGTTGCTTTTTACGGATGAGCAAAGAAAGTCGTTTTTGAGATAGAATTTACTCCGGGTGAAGATTATGTGAACACTGTTGAAACAACAACAAAGGATTTATACTATTACCTAAATTTAATTCATAAAGTAACACCAAACAAAATTTGAGAAGGTTGACTCCAATTTTTAAAGAAGTTCTACTATGGGTAAAATGTATTAAATAGCATCACATGCTACAGAGAAATGTTTTTGTGAAAGGAAGAGTCAACTGATTGAAGAAGACAATCGAGTTTCATTGTCTTACTTTAAGAAAATTGCCACAGCCACCCAACCTTCACCAGCCACCACCCTGATCAGTCAACAGCCATCAATACTGTGGCAAAACCCTCAAGCAGAAAAGAGATTATGATTAACTGAAGGCTCAGATGACTGTTAGCATTTTTTAGCAATAAAGTATTTTTAAATTAAGATATGTATGCTGTGTTTTTAGACGTAATCTATTGCACACTTAATAAACTATAGTATAGTGAAAATATAACTTTTATAGACACTGGGAAACCAAGAAGTTCATGTGACTTGCTTTTTTGCAGTGATCTGGAAATTAACTCACTATACATCCAAGGTGTGCCTGTAATGGCTGTGAAAAATAGTGGTACCTTCAGATATAACTTCCCCCCGGCACAATTTTACACTGGTCAGCAGTCTCCAGTGGCCTATTACAAGATTCTGTATCATTCTGTTGAAAAGTATAACCAATGACTTTGATGAAGATAGAACTTTTTTATCAAGTGCATGGTTTATAAGCTGGAAAGAATAATGAAAAATTAAGTGGCAGATCAATATATAGAATAAAGTTGATACTCCAGAATTATGACCTGAATTAAACAATAAAATTTGACAGTAATAAAAATAAAGTCCTCCACTAAAGTTATAAAAATTAGTGGCATTAAGTAGGATGGGAAGCCTGGCTTAAGTACAGCTTTAAAATAGAAATTCCTTTCTTTTTGCTTTCTATTTCCATATGGGGAGAACTCCAATATGGTGACATTCCTGGTCTCATGTCATGACTTATTTGACTCCTGGATAACAATAATTAATTCATGAATTGAGTGGAGCTAATCTTTTATACTTATAAAGTGTGTAAGTACTAACTAAAAGGTCCCAAATGTTTCATGACTGCACTGTTCCAATGTCCAGGTTCATGGGAGCTGAGTATAAGTAGAGGCAAACCCATGGTGCCCCACACTTAAGCATATAATCTAACAGAGATTGCATTTTCAATAAATTCCCATTCATGTGAATTTTGTCCCTCTTTCAATTTTTTTCTGAAGTCATATGGGCAAAATTATTATTTATGGTGTTCCCTCAAACTTAAATGTTTTGTGCGAGATAACTTAAAAGTATCAATACTTAACCAAGAATATAGAAGATTTAATGGTAGACGACAAGAGGACTTTAAAATATGTGAAGGACTCTCTTTTAGAACAGAGATTACTTTCTCTAGCCTCCAGAGGGAAACCGATTTTATAAAATATAGAAAAGACTTCTGGCAAAAGAATGTATTCATTCATTTGAGAATCCAGCATATGCTAAGCACAGTGCAAGGTAATGAAGATACAACAGTGAATGTAACAAGCTTGAGCCCATTCCTTCATGGCAATTGCTATTTGTAGGGAATAACAAAAAAATTTTGGTACAGTGAGGTAAGTACTGTTACAGGAATAAACAAGGATGTTACTGGAATGCTTATAATAGGACATCTAAGTCTAGGGCCTAAGAAAAAAGATTCCCAGAGGAAAGAAATATTAAGTTGACAACTAAACATAACTATTAAAATTGATCCAATTGCAAGAAGGAAAAACAGAACAGTGTTCCAGACAGTAGAAAAAACACATGGAAAAAAACTCAAAAGGGAGCAAAGGTCTTTATCCTAAAGATAATGGGAAATCACTGAAAGTAGAAGTGTATCAAAATCAAATTTGTAATTTTAAGATCATGCTAACTGTTCTGTGAAGAATGGAGGGTAGCATGGGGGAGGGGAGATACAAAGTGGGTGCATGGAGATGGAGAGAAGTGCAGAGATTTGGGATATTCTTAGGAGACAGAATTAATGTCTTGTGAGATGGTGAGCTCCCCATCACCTGAAAGTTTTGAGAAGAAGCTGAATGACCATGAAGTTGTCAAGGGTATTATATATAAGCTTTATATATTGACTAAACATACAGTAATCTCTAAGACATGGCTGTCTTTAGGTTTCTTCACTGCACTCATTAACCAAGCTGACTAGAAGTGGCAAAAGTCCTTATTACTCACTGAGATTGGAAGTGTTCACTAACGTCAGGTCTAATGAACTATGTTCTCTCCAACTAAGTACCCAAATCAGTGGTGAATTTTTGATGAGAAGGTGGCAAGGACTGAGTTACCTGTAACAAGATGATTGATGATTTTTTTGACATTTCGATTTTCAAAATGATATCATAACTTGGAATTTAGCATTCCCTAGATAACTTTTAGAGACAGGATTGGTACAATCAGGGGCCATTAGGGATAAGTGAAATCAATCTGCCTAAATTATGACCGATAGTTTTACTTTAATTTCTCCTTTAGATTTTTAACTCTTATCAAAGTAAAATATGCACATAGTTTAGCAAATCAGATTAAACCCAAATATTTAAAATGCGTAATATTTTACAATGAAAACCAGTGGTCTCCTGCCCATCCTCAAGCCCTGTTCACCAGAGGCTTTCACTTTCAGCTCTTCCAGCTATTTATTCTGGCATTTACCACTCCTAATATTTATTCTGATATTTATTTATCTTTTAAAAAAATTATTCATAGGCTTCAATTACAACAGATACACATTTAAATTTATTTTTCTCTTCTAAGCTTTAGTTGCTTTCTCTTTAAAATAGAAGAAAACAGTAAACATTCAACCACTAGATCACTGTGGGGCTCAAATGAGATTACCTCCAAGATCTGTCACCACTACCACATCCAATCTCCTTTTCATTCAGGAACAAGTTCTCATTAGCCCTTTTAACCATAAAAGCTCACCAAGTTTAACAGGACACATGGCTGTCCAGGAGAGACCCCATTTTTCAAGTCTTATTGCAGCTAGGAGTGGCCATGTGACTAAGTTTTCACTAGCAGAATATGAATGGAAACAATTAGCGCCAGTTCCAGTTCCTGAAAAAAAAAAAAAAAAAGGTGTTACCACTCCAGATCTCCCCATTCTTACTTCCTAAAAGCTGGAAAGCAGATATACCGATGTGAGATATCTTGGACCAGAACAAAGACAACACCTTAAAACACAGCAAGGCAGCAGGATGGAGGGACCCCAAGTCTCTGATGATCTGGTGAAGGAGAGTTGTTGTAGCCACCTCTACCTCAGCAGTTCACCACTGATTTGGGTAGCTAATTGAGAAAACACAAGTTCATTTGTCTGTTGTGTACTCTGATAACCTCTAGGCTCTTATGTGGAAAACAAATATTTCCATTAACTTTATTTGAACCACTATATTTTAAAGTATTTTTTGTTATACTAACTCAGCCTACACACTTAATTACAAATATTTGTAAACTATCAAGTTCTAGCTGATGTTCATTTATAACAGTTTGACTCATTCACATATAGCTATTCGCAAGAACTCTGCTCTTTCATCATGCCCTACCAAGTTCCCATCCCTTCTAAAAATTAGAGCAAGTCGGCCATGCAAATTAGCACAGAAATAACAATTTACCAAATAGATCCCAGGCGGTTTTATGGAGTTAATATAGCTTCTAAAAGTACCTAACCATTCGTGTTCAAAGATTAAACCCTGGAAGGGTCTGATTCATTATAAACTAGAACTTTCAAGTTATTAGATTTTGATAGTAGTTTTATAACACATGGTTAGTTGGGTGAGAACAACTAAGGAACAAGTAAGACAATTGGCTGTTCAATTTAACAAACACTAATTGAATAACCCACATACGTTTGGCATTGACTTAGAAAACCTCTCCCACCTAAATTGGAAGCAGTTCTGGTGCTAGATTAGAGAATGGAGACTTTTCGGTAACAGTGACTGCTAAAGCCTAAAATAAGTGGAGACATTGTGGAATATAGAAAATAATAACATTAAACAGGCATTCAGGTACACACTCTCAACTCCCATCCTTGCACTAAAGGGAATACCTAGGGGGAAAATCCAGAAAACCAGTCGGTGACACTCACCTTTGAAGAAAGCCTTATTTCGTCTTGTACAGTGATGGTACTTCAACATTACAAGGAAAACAGCCTGGCATATGAAAATTTGACATTATCATGGCACAGACCTCTCATATACTTGATTGAGCTTCTCAAACAAACTTTTAAAACTGCAGTAACTTATTTGTATTACTTTATTAAACTGCTTCAATTATTTTATAGCTAAGCTAGTGAAAGTTTGCATTTCTGAATTTCAGCATCCAATTCCTCCATGGAAACAGAGTGATCATATTCTACATGTGAAAAATTTGGACATGCTGCCTGTTGGGTTATGAATATATGGAGATGGTGAAACAGGTGATTTGAAATTGAGACAATTCCAGAAAAAAATCTTTGTATATAATTGTCATTACAATTTTCAACTCATGCTAGTGTCAAGCTATTGTCTACATAAAGCCTACGAATGAATAAGATAAGCCTATCTGGAATTACAATTAATACAGCCTTTGCTTATCTTATTTTTAAAGCTGAAATTCAATCTCATAAGTATTTTGTAAAATCATATTTTATATAGATAAGTGGTTTATTAATTGCTTCAACAAGATCTATTCTGCCAAATAGCATACAAAAGAGGGAATATTCTTCTATTTTTTAAATTGATGGACTGTACCCCATTAACATATACAATTATTATTCTTTTTAATTTTTAATTTTTATGGCTGCATATTATGTGAAATATATTTTGATATAAGCATACAATGTGTAATGATCAAATCTGGGTAACTGGGATATTCATCATCCCAAACATTTATCATTTCTTTCTGTTGGGAATATTCCAATTCTACTTTACTAGTTATTTTGAAATGTGCCATAAATTATTGTTAACTATAATCACCTTATTGTGCTACCAAACACTAGATCTTATTCCTTCTAACTCTACCTCTGTACGCATTAACCAACTCTTCATTATCCCGCCTTCTCCAGCAACTCTTCATCAGCACTCCCATGCTTATTGCAGCACTATTCACAATAGCCCAGATGTGGATGCAGCATAAGTGTCCATCCACAGATGAATGGATAAAGAAACCGTGATATATATATACACAATGGAATACAATTGAGCCATAAAAAAATGAAATTTTTTCATTTGCAATAGCATGGATGGAGCTGGAGGATATTATGTTAAATGAAATATGCCAGGCACAGAAAGACAAATATTTCATCTTCTCACTCGTGTGCTTAAAAAATTGATCTCTTGGAGGTGGAAAATAGAATGGTGGTTGTAATTATTATTCTTTTAAATACTAGTGTAACTGATGTGCTACCTGAGCACTGGCTTCCCAGACGGATAATGTTGTCGAACAGGGAGTGTCATGAAGTGCCTTCAAAGGCTTTGTACATCATGAGCTTCCCTTGTGAGACTGGGCTACACAAACACCCAGGGACTGCCAGCATTTTGCAAAATGTATCAGAAGAATGGTCAGCCTTCCAAAGAATTCAGTAGAAGAGATTTAATACTTAATGAATGAGCTCTGACCAAGAGCACAAGCAAGTCTAAAGTTTAGTGATAAGGTTCCTAAACTGAAAAGAAGACATTTTGGTACAGACCAGACTGCATAATAAGAACAATATAAAACTCCCAGAAGAGAACCCATCATAAGCAAAACTTATTCCCTAAGCCCCGACAGGTTAAAGTTAATCATTACCACTAGGGAACAGGGGAGGAGGCAGAAGAGACTGAAATTAGAAGCCACTGGGAGGCTGTTTATATTATTGCAAATGTGTATCACAGACTTCATTTCTGAGGTGGGCTCTTCTTCTGAAGTGGGCCATTATAAAATTGTGGGGTAAAGAATACTTGAGTGTTAGTAATGAAAATATCTTAACAGAGAATACAGCACCTAACCACTAAATACAAGATTCCAGTGCCCTGAGTGAATAAACACCACAGAAAATTCAATCCTTATGACACTTCTGACCACTTGCTTTTTCTTTCAGGAAAATTTAAGGGGCTTAAAAGAATGAACCAGTTTTTAAAATAACTTGATATTTTAAAATAACTGGATATTCTAATACTCAGGCTCATTTAGCACTGTTGATTACTTTAAATTGGGAGTAAAAGTTTGAGTGTTTGTAGATCTCTTCGCCGAGTCTGAGTACTATCTTCTGTGCATGTTTCAGGATAGTGAATTCTGCAATATTGCAAAGTATTTTCCTCTTTACTCTGGTGTGTCATAGTAATATGATGGGAGTATGATTCTGCACCAGTGCCCTTTGGATTTTGAATCCATATCAAAATCTGTGCTAAGCACAATTGGGAATTACAACCAGTTAAATGGGTTAATGACATACTTCCTTTCCCAGAGTTGTCTTTTTATTTTTTAAAAGCATTATTTAGAAATAATTCCTATATCCATGCAACTCACCCATTTAAAACATAAAATTCAGGGATTTTAAGTATTTTTACAGAAATGTGCAATCATTACTATAATTTTAAATATGTTCATCACCTCGATAGCAACCCCATACCCTTCAGCTATCATCCACCTACAGCCCTATCCTCCTCAGCTTTAAGAAGTTACCATTAATCTATGTTCTGTCTGTACAGATTTGCCTGTTCAGGACATTTCGTATGAACGGAATCATACAATAGTGTGGCATTTTGGGACTGGTCTGTGTTACTTAGCATAATGTTTTCAAGATTAATTCACACTGTACCATGTATCAGAACTTTTTTCTTTATATTTTCCTTTATATGGCCAAATACTATTTGATTGTATAGATATACCACATTTAGTTTATTCATTCAGCCACTTGAGTTGTGCCTAATTTATGGTTATCATAAATAATGCTGCTATGAACATTTCTTTATGTGTGAGTTTTTGTGTAAACGTATCTTTTCACTCCTCTTGGGAAAACGTATAGAAGTGGAATTGCTAGAACATAAGATAACTCTATGTTTTATATGAGGAATTGCCAGATTGTTTCCAAAGCAGCTACACTATTTTACATTCTCATCAGCAGTTTAGGGTTCCAGTTTCTCCACTTCCTCACCAATACTTGATTTTATCTGACTTTCGGAATCTAGCCATCCTCATAGGTAAGAGTAGTATCTCATATGGTTTTGATTTGCATTTCCCTGCTGACTAATGATATTGAGCATCCTTTCATGTGCTTAATTGGCCATTTGAATATATTTCTTGGTGATAAGTCTATTTGGATACTTTGCCCATTTTTAATTGGGTTATTTGTTTTTTTATTCCTCAAAAAGTGTTTTAATTCCATCTGATATCTCATATTCCATGGGCACACAGTTTTTCTTTCCTTTCACTAAAATACAGTTGAACTGTTTTTCTTCAAAGGCTAACACCTTTTTAGAGCACTAGTTTCTATGCGGTAAGCATCTGCTTTTCGGAGAGCATCAGAGATTTTTATTGCCTTCCTTAAGCCTCCATGACATCACTAAATAAACCTGACACAATTCTTTTCTGCACTAGTAGTTAGAGTTTTCCAAGCAGAACGGTTTTTATGGATCCCTAGGGGACCAGCTAACAGAGACAATGACAATGAGTTAGAGAGCTAGGAAAGCTTCTCAAGTGACTGCCAAATTTTAGTATTTTTTCATATTCTTCCAATTCTAATGTATTTTTCACTGTGACCTTCAAATTGCACTTAGTATATTCTGGATTCAGACAAAAGGCAATTTCACTTACAAATCTTACAAACTTAATTTCATTATGAGTGAACATTCATTTTCCTGTGATTTCTATGTGTTTGGCATCTTAACAAAGATTACTCTTTATAATAAAGATATATTTTGCATCAGCTTTTATGTGCCAAATACGTTACATCAATATATATGGATAAAAAATAAGAGAAATGGAGAAGAACAACAGTAACAATAGGCTCTCATCACTCTGGCAAAATAAAAGCAAAAGAAGCAAAATAAAAATAAGCAGAAAAATGACAAGAGGATCTAACTAATAGAGGAATGTGATAGGATTGATAATTTAATCAAAAACTAGCTGTTAACCAAAAGAATAGTTATTTCATCAAGAATCTTTTTAAAAGATTCTTTGTAAAATGTTAATCTAATAATTTTGTTCCCCTGTTTAAAACCCTCAGAAGGCTTCCTATTGCTGTTAGGATAGAACCACACATATTTCAAGAGGCATAAGACGGAAGCCCTGAACAATCTGGGCCCACATGACCCCGTAAGCCTCATTGTTACCACTTTCTTCCATGACTCTGAGTTTCATCCATACTAGCCTTCATCCAATTTTTACTCACTTTTAAAAGCCTGTATGCATTAGGCTTATCAGAACTTACGGTGAATTTGTATCTGTATTAAATGGTATTAGGGCCAGGGAACCTAGGAATAAGCAAATCCTACAGAGACTATTTCAAAAAGTTTCCAAGGGAGATACATAACAGGGAATAATATCACAGGAACAGAGAAGAATCACAGCACTTTTATGCAGATTTCGGCCCCAAATCTAATTCAAACTTTAGGTAACCAAGCTAGAATAATGGGAACTGGGCCAGTGAGCTGATTGGCCTCCTTATTTCCTAAGGCAAAACCCAACTTTTTGATTCATTATACGCTAACCAGTGCTATGGAAGAGAGAAAGCACAGAGTGACAGCAAGTCACCCTGGTACAGAAATGAGTAGAAAAGAACCAGCGACAAAAGAGTGCTAACAACATAAGCCATGAGACCCTGCCCGCCTGCAAAATTGCTGCATCACTGTTCGGGACCCTGAGGAAAGGCGCACAGCTCCTCCCGCAGGAGCCATAAGAACAAGTTGTTGGTAGGGTTAGAAAAAATTCTTGAAATCCATCTCTAATGTCAATATGACTCTCTTTTCTGAGATTTCTTACCTTTCCATTTTAAAATAAATAATAAGAGGCCGGGCATGGTGGCTCATGCCTGTAATCCCAGAACTTTGGGAGGCCGAGGCAGGCGGATCCCTTGAGGTGAGAAGTTAGAGACCAGCCTGGCCAAAATATTGAAACCCCATCTCTACTGAAAATACAAAAATTAGCTGGGTGTGATGGCGGGCATCTGTATTCTCAGCCACTCAGGAGGCTGAGGCAGGAGAACTACTTGAACCCGGGAGGCGGAGGTTGCAGTGAGCAGAGATCACACCACTGCACTCCAACCTGGGCAACAGAGTGAGATTACGTCTTAAAAAATAAAAATAAAGAAATAAAAATAAAATAACAGTCTTAAAAAAGCAGAAAACCAAAACAAACAGGTAATAGGAGAAAAGCCATGAAAGTTATTTTCCCCAACTAACATCTAGACTACTTTGCCAAAAAAAAATACATATATATATATATATATATATATATAAATACTTTTTTTTTGAGATAGAGTCTCGGTCTGTCGCCGGGCTGGAGTGCATTGGTACGATCTCGGCCCACTGCAACCTCTGCCACCCTGGTTCAAGCGATTCTTCGGCCTCTGCCTCCCAAGTAGCTGGGACTACAGGCGCACACCACCACACCTGGGTAATTTTTGTATTTTTAGTAGAGACGGGGTTTTAACATGTTGGCTAGGATGCTCTCGATCTCCTGACCTCGTGATCCGCCCACCTTAGCCTCCCAAAGTGCTGGGATTACAGGTGTGAGCCATCCTGCCCGGCCTATTTAAATACTTTTTTTAAAAAATGTACTTCTTAGTTTTTTTAAGCTGTTTAAAGTGCATAGCAACCAAAATAAAGCTTCTTAATTTACCTTATTTATTAATGGTAAAAGTATTAGTAAACCAAGCAGAGAAATTATTATAAATCCTATGGTTCACACTTCACTCACCAAGATAAATCCCAGGTAAACAAACAGTTTCAAAGTCTTTCAAGTGCCTTAAAAGTACTGGAAGAAACATAGGTGAGTGTTACTATAAACTTAGAATGTGGACCTATACTTTCAAGATAACTAACAGGAAAGAAAAAGGCAATACAATTGAATACATGAAAGTTTATGTTTCTCTAGGGACATGTCATCATAAATAACCTGAAAATAGAAACTGGGCAAACTATAATTATATAAATGACAAGGAATTAAAACAAATACATAAATCACTAAGATCCAAGTAAATGAATAGGTAAAGGAAATATATAGGCAACCCACAAATGTGAATTATAAATTTGGGAAAAATCACTTCTTGTAATGTAGATAACTGATTAAAATGAAAATATTTATAAAATTCAGTAAGAGAAGGAGTAAACACCCAAATCAACACGTAGGTAAGGTTAATATAGAGATAATTCACAACTATTTCATAAATAAATAAGAAAATGTGCATTCAAAAATACTGTATTGAAAAAATTATTCATAACTCAGGGCTTTTTCAGGTGTTTATTTGTCTTCTAAAACAAATAAATGAGGTCTCCTGCCCGCCTCCCCTCCTTTCAGGTCACTTTAGCAACATGATGGAAAATGAAGATGGAAAAGGGAGGTGGGGAACATCCCCTGGGGAGGGTTTGAGTTGTTTCTCTGCTGTATTTGGAGGAGGCAGATTCAGAAGCAGCTGTGGTATATGGAAGAAAGGATGAAAGGAAAAGAGAATTTTCTAAAATATGATTGAAAACTGATGGAAGCCACAGGGAACTTATTTGATATCTTCTGCTGGTTTCATACACTGAGTTCTTTTGACTACTGTGTTGCTCTTAGAATAAACAGTATTAGTCATGGCCTTACATGCTGTACACATAACCTTATAGATAAAGAATGGCTATCTGTATAAAGGTATATCTTCAGAAGGAAGGAAGGAAGAAAGAAAGGAAGGGAGGGAGGGAGTGAGGGAGGGAGGGAAGGTCAAAATTCTTTATGATATTTTGGGTAGATTAGGATATCCAATGACTTTTGAAAATTTTCTCTTCTGTATTATATAAGTCACACATAAGTGTTTTTTATTCCCTCTTCTGAAAATACAGAAAAGTAAGGGGAAAATAGACATTTGACAAGTTTGGTTATACTATTTTTAAAAGGGATATTGTGACTCAATATATTTTTTAAAAGCTGTTTTTCTTAGAACATCAGAAAAGTTGTCTGAATAAAAGAGAGGAAACATAGGTTTTTAAAAAAAGTGTAGTATTTTTATAGAAGTAATATCTTAATCCATCTGATTCATATGCCATTTATTTTAGCTTTAGAATACTGAAAAGGGGAATTACAGTTTGCGTTTTTTTAAAAAAGAAAGGGTAAATATTATTAAAATCTTTGGAATAAATGCAGGGAAGAAAGGACTTTTTCTATTGGAAAGTTTCAAAATATATTATTGACTTCCACCTTAATTCTTTTCCGAATCAGTCCAAAAAACTTTTCGCTACAATTAGATACTTTTCACCTTCTTTACAGAATTGTGTTAGACTCCAACAATAAAAACAAGTAGCACACATGTGCCTCAGCAATGCTTTTCCTAGTCCTCCTGCACTAAATGTCCATGCACCAATACTTTTCAACACATATATCTTTAACTCAGTCAGTCTTCACAGCATATAGGGGGTATGCTAGAGATGCTGCCCAAGAAAGCAAAATGAAACACAAAAAAGAAATGTAATATGTACTAGATATACAAATGGTTTAAGTCATGGCGTCTATGGCAGTTTATCATTATTCTACGTAGATGAGCTAAGACTATATCCAATCTATGGGCAATAATACCCTTCTCATTCCTGATGAAAATTCCAACTTTCTTAGCGGCCATGAAAAAACATCAAATTTTAAAAATCAGAAACAAAGTTTTTGCATGAATTTTAACCTCGCACAGACTGTACTAGCAGAACCATTTATTTTAAAACCTATGAGATTTCTGCCCATCTGCAAGATTTCATGAATGCTCTGTGCAAAAAGGAAGTTAGTGAAAGATCAGATCATGATGGGTCCTACATATAGTGGGTGTTGCAGAGCACTGAAATAAAAGCATTCAGTGGAGTTTGGAAGCGGAGTGAAACTATAAAGAAGACATTACAAAACCTCTTAAACCTCAAGTTCATTTTGTAGATGTGGCAAAAGTCATCAAATATCTAAAATGGTTCAGGAATCTTCAGTGTTGCTTTTTAAAGTATACACAGCACTCAACCAATGCTAGGTAAAGGAACATACAGTATTTTATGTTGTGTTACTTAAATAACTCTATGAAGAGCTCCATTGTTCCATTATTAGATATTAGTGGGAGCTCTTAGAAAGATTATTCCACTTAGTGATAGTCTGTTAAATAGATGGTTTGGAGCGCGTAGCTCAAAACTGGGCTCTGTAGAACGGGAAAAGCTATATGCTGACTTATCTCCTGGGTAATTCATGGTGTTCATTAATATGTCAAAGACTTTGAGAAATCCTGCAGTAAAGACATCTTTTCAGTTTGTGTAGCCCACCATCTCCCAAAGTTACTTGACTATGAAATGTTTATTTCATATGAAACAAACTAATGTTTCCATTGATGTATATTCCAAAAACACGCTTTAGGAAGATGAGATCAAGGGAAATGTCCTCATCCCAGTGTTAAATTATCTTGACATTGATTACCTACTTTCCTCAAACCACTTAAAAACACCACAATGATCCAGGCTCCAGCAGAGAAGTGTGACCTGTGATTGCCAGCAGCTGATCAACAGAAATTAGTGTACACAAAAAATGCAGACTCTAAATAGTCTAAGCTCAAAATCCACATCCTGTTCTCTTATCTATTAGAATAAAGAACATAAACAGAGACCCTAACATTATTCCAGGAAAGGTGTCATAAAGCAACAAAAGTTATCAATCCAAGGGCCGATCGTGGATGTTAGAAACCATTTGCTTACAGGCTCTATCTTAAGAGAGAAAAAGAAAGCTGGATCAAACTCATGGAGTAGCAGAATCAAATTAAAACAGTTGTCTAGTCTATCACAAATTCTCCCTAGGTCAAAATTGAATTTTTATGTTGGCTGTGGTCTTAATAAGAAACTGTGGATACAATTAATTCAGCGAAATGTCATAGGATTAAATCATCCAAGAGAGTGCCTGGAGAAACAAAAAGCATCCAGTAACTTCTTTGCAGATGGCAGATTTTCCAAGGCCTACATGAGGAAGAAGAAACTGAGAAACAATATTTCCCTAATTGAAATTTAAATGTGATAGTGAAAGGAAAAATTGTAGCTAACCTTCTTTATAGAACTCACTTTCTTTATTGTTTCAATTGTTCTTTTGCTGTATTTTTTATTCTTTTTGATTCTGTGACTGTACCAGTCAAAGTTGAAACAGATAAATAGAACCAGTAAGAGATGTATGCTAAGAAATTTATTGCAAGGACTTGGCTCCTGTGATTTGGGGACTGGCTAGGCAAGATGCAAATACGTGGGGCAGGCATGAGGAAGGGCAAGCTGATCCTCTCCGGCAGGAGCTGACACTTCTGCCCCCGGTGGAGTTTCTCCTCCACCACAGGAGCCCAAGTCTGCTTTTCAGGACTTTCAAGGACTGAATCAGATCACCCATATGGTCTAGGATTATCTAGGATAGCTTCCTTATTAAAGTCAATGGATTACAGACCAGTTACATCTTCAAAACACCTCACAGCAATACCAACATTAGTGTTTCGTTGAATAACTGGTGATTATTGCCTCACCAAGCTGATACATAGAACTGACCATCACAGGGCTATGTGAATTCATAGATATAACATAGTAAGTTGTAAAATGTGATTTGTGCCTGTGAAAATGCATAGACTCTAGATATCTTTCTAACACACACACACACACACACACACACAGATCAAATTTTATAACATATCATAGTCTAAAACAATTACAGGATATTTGTTAGAATTAAGTTTGGCTTTATACAACAAGAACAATAACAACAACAATATAACATTGTTTTTAGAACACAGAAGCTTATTTCTCTTTCACATAAGAGCAGACTGGAGGTAGCCTATCCAGGACTTGTGTGGTGGCTTTTCTGTGTCTCAATTTCATAACTGATTGAAGGTCCTATTGTTCCTGTTCCTTTCTGCCCCGCTTTCTTGGGCAGATCCCTTCCCACACCAGGGTTAACCAATCATTTGTGGTAACTTCTAGAACTCCATCCTCCATTTCTGTTCTCTAAGCAGCAAAAAGGGCAAAAGGGGGAAAAGATTTTTCTCTCCCCTTTAAAGACCTTGCTGGAATTCCCAGTTTTGCTTACACTTTTTCGGCCAGAATTTGGTCACAGAGCCACAAAAAGCTGTAAGGTAGGGTAAGGAATGTAGTCTCTCCTTGCAGAAAGCAGTATACTTAGCTAAAATGTGGGATCATGTTACCAAGAATCAAAGAGAAAATGGATGTGAAAGTAGGTAGCTGGTATCCTCTGCCTCACCATGTGACCTTCAACTCCTCAAGAACAATTGACCTATTACAATTATGTGAGTGTGTATGGCCTTTGTGCAATTGATTTCTAAGGGTGGGTTGAGAAGGCATGACATGTATATTTGTTAGGTATATTTGTGTTTTTTCGTGGCTTTTTCAGATTTTGCCTGTTAGCAACTTCTGCAACCTTTACTTTTTAATATATAAAGCCATTCTACCCAAAACTTCAGCCTTAACTTTGAAATTCTTATGTTAGAAAGGGTTTCAGGATATATGGCCAAACTCTTTGGAACTGGCTTCAAGACAAGTGAGTTTGGTTCTGATTTTGTGCTGATTCTGGCAACTGATTTTCTGTCTTATTCCTAAGCACGGTTTCCACAGTATATCCAGATTTGGCCAATCCAGTTATGTGTGGGTGTGTGTGTGTGTGTGTGCATGTTGCCTTCTGATTTTATTTTCCTCTCTTATTCATATCTTAGACATTAAATTATCTAAGAGTGAGGAGAATAATAGTCCTGCCTTCCTTTCACCAGCATGATCTTAGGGTTTGGTGTGTTTCTGAAGTTGTTGCTAAAGTGACTCTTTTTTTTTCCCGGCTTTGATTTCTGAGAATTGTTTGAAAGCCTACATTACACAATATTTGCCACATCCCTTTCTCATCATAACCCAGAGTAAAAGTTGTCTCCTTAAATATTGACATAAAATTATTACTCTTGTGTTCAATAAAGGAGGCTTAAACATGAGAATAAAGAAATGTACTATGTAGTAAGTGGCAATGATTTGGAGAGAAAATAATTTACTTTTAGGCTATCAAAAATGCAAAGTGGGGACAGATAGAGAATACTATATGCTCTTTGTGTGAAGAAGTGCCTCATTTGTTCATTACTGATTTCTTTGGTTAATGTTGAAATGCCTTAACTGTGCAATTGTGAGATTGAATACCTTTTGCTTATTGCTGTAATTTGTAATCATTTACAAGGTTGCTGAGTAATAATTTTATTATTGCTGTTAGAAGATGAGTCCATTAGGAAACAACAATTGCCAACAGTTTATCCCTTAGAGCACTGTGTAAAGAGAATTATGATACCAATCGCTGTTTTCCATGAGACATTGGTCTTTAATTGGTGATACCAGTGTACAGTAACAGCTAGCAGAGAACTGCTTAAAGCTATATTTTTTTCCTCAGATGGTCATAAAGGGACCGTTATCTTCTTACAGTCTAAGTAGTACTTAGACCTGCATTTTGTACTCTGCGATTTTGAACATCTTTATCTCTTTGTCTTGGCCTACTCCTTCTCTGGCACCATCATTGGAAAAAAACTCTTTAACTGTTACACATTTCATTTTGCTTATAATATGTAAGCAATTCATAAACTTGGGCCACTATTTGATTATTATGTTATTCAAGGTATTTTTTCCTTCATTCAAAAAGTGAATGAGTGATTTCAGCTCAGAAACAGAGAAAGCTGGAAAAAGCAGCACTCCTACCTCTACAACAACAACAACAAAATCTGGACAAACTGAAAATAAATGACTTATCTTAAATCCATCAAAGAACTAGGTAATAGAGCCAGATGTAAAAGGCCACATATTATATGATTCAACTTAAATGATATTCTGGAAAAAGCAAAACTATAAGAATGGAAAACAGATGGGTGGTTACCAGGAGTTGAGGCTTGGGGAAGGGGTTGACTGCAGAGGGCTATAGAGAGGGAATTGTAGGATGCCAGAAGTAGGGCAACCAATTATGCATCCTAGTTTTCCAAGACTCCCAACTATAAAACTGAATGTCCTGAGTCCCAGTTATCCTTCTTTCCTCCAGGCAAATCAGGACTGTTGGTGACACTGCATGGAAGTGTTCTATATGATACTGGTGGTAGATATGTGACTCCATGCATTTGTTACAATTTGTAGAACTGGAAATCACAAAGGTTGGGCTTTACCATATGAAAAAAAAAATTTAATCAACTAATATATCACAGATCTCAGGACATAATGCAGGCTGTGATAAATATCTAACTTTATTAGAAATGAAGAGTAGTTGATAAAAAATTGGAATCTGGTCACAAGAGCAAATCTGTTGAGCTTTGAGGAGCACGTAGTAGAAATCTGCAAATATGTTCAGACTATCACGAAGGAAATGGATTGAACACTTTCAGGTCTAGCGGTATTATGTAACTAATACTCTTAGATTTATGCAATGCACAACCTGAACAACTGGGTTTTGTGGCTCTGCATAATTTGGCGTAATTAATAAATATCATTAGATCTTATTTTCTTCATTTTTAAAATGAAGATGTTACAATGATGATCCCTTTTGCAGTTATTTGTTGAAGCTATGGGTTCTGGAATTGATCATATCTGCATTTAAATGCTGGCTCCAAAACTCTTTAGCTCTGTGGCTTTGGTTAAATTATTCAACCTATCTGCACTCTGACTTTGTCTTCTTAGAATAAATATTATAATGGCACCTACCTCCATTGCTGGGATAAAGGTAAGTGAAATCACATATATAAGAAATAACACAATATATGGTACATAATACATATGGATAATATATTGTCTAAGTGGATTCCTAGCGCTGTCATTTGGCTTTACTAGTTTTTGGACTTATGTGACAAAAATATATAAACTAAAATGTCAAAATGGACATTTTATTTTCAAAAACTAAATCAGAGTTGCAATTCTTGTAAATTTAACTTTATCATCTATGTACAAGAATGGAGTTGACAAGAACATAGAAGAGTGTTACAGGCAAGGAATAGTTATATAACAGAAAAACAGGTACAAAAAGACTGAGAAATTTTTAAAAATCTGACCTTGAGTCAGACCCTTTATGCCATAGCTTTGACACTTGCTCTATTAACTACATGTCAGAATTAAAGGGCTAGGATGCTTCTTTCTAATTGACTGCTACAAATCTATTGAGAGCCACCATAGACCGTTGTGCAATTAATGATCTGTTGGCCGGGTGCGGTGGCTCATGCCTGTAATCCCAGCACTTTGGGAGGCCAAGGTGGGTGGATCACCTGAGGTCAAGAGTTCGAGACCAGCCTGACCAACATGGGGAAATACTGTCTCTACTAAAAATACAAAATTAGCCTGGCATTGTGGCACATGCCTATAATCCCAGCTACTCGGGAGGCTGAGGCAGGAGAATCGCTTGAACCCGGGAAGCAGAGGTTGCGGTGGGCTGAGATCACACCATTGCACTCCAGCCTGGGCAGCAAGAACAAAACTCCATTTCAAACAAACAAACAAAATAATCTGTTAAGACAGTAAGAAAGAAAGGCAAGGCAGTCCTCTGGTTGATTGCCACTCATTGGCGATATATATATTGCACTCTGTAGGGGTCATGCACAGTGCTAGTGTTAGAATTTACAAAAATAAGTAGAGATAGATGTATAGATCAATGGAATAGGATTCAGAGTCCAAAAATTAGGTCTCACATATATGATCAATTAAATTTTGACAAGAGTGCCAAGACAATTCAATAAAAAAAGGCTTCTTCAACAAATTATGCTGGAACAACTGGATATCCACATATACCTAAAACTAAATTGGATCCCTATTTTATACCATAGACAAAAATTAATTCAAAAGAGATCAAAGACCTAAATGTAAGAGCTAAAACCATGTAGAATTCTTAGGAAAAAGCAGGCATAACTCTTTATGACCTTGGATTAGGCAATGATTTCTTAGATATGACACCAAGAGCACCAGTAAATATGAAAAAAAATAAATGAATTGGGTTTCATCAAAATTTAAAACTTTTGTACTGCAAAGGACACCATCAAGAAAGCAAAAAGGCATTTTCACAGAATGAGATAAAATATTTGCAAATAATACGTGATAAAGACTTGTATCTACAGTGTGTAAAGAACTCTTACAACCACAGTAATATAAAACACAAGTAGTCCAATTTAAATATGAGCAAGTGTCTAGGATGGTTAGAAAATCTCTTTATATAAAACAGGCAAAGGAAAATCAGGAAATATTAGAATTACAAGGAGAATTTAGGAGCCTCTAGTCCAAATCTCTTTTAAAAATTGAAATTGCATTATCATATCTTTATTACCTATTATCCATATGCTTGAATATCTTCACTGATAAGAAGCTCACTCCTTTATTGGGCTGCCTGTCTCAACACTGGCCAGCCTGCATCATTTGGAAATTTTATTCAGAATCAACATTTCTAAAAAAAAAAAAAAATTATATGAATGGCCAAAAAGCACATTAAAAGATACTCAACATCGTTAGTCATCAGGGAAATGTAAATCAAAACCAGAATGAGATACCACTTCACACCACACTAGGATGGCTAGAAAAAATGTATCATAGTAAGTGTTGATGAGAATATGGTGAATATTTCTCACAGCATTTGTCATAATACCTAAAAAATAGAAACAACTCAAATGTCCATCAACTGATAAATAAACAAAATATAACAAATCCCTACAGTGGAATAATATTTCGCAATAAAAAGGAATGAAGTACTGATACATGCTACAACATGGATGAATCCTGAAAATATGCTGAGTGAAAGAAGCCAGTCACAAAAGGCCACATATTACACACATGTTACATAATACCATTCATATTAAATATCCAGAATGGGAAAATCTATAAAGACAGAAAGTAAATTAGTGGTTGTCTAGGGTTGAGGAGAAGAGGTGGTGGGAGAATGAAAGAGTGCAAATAGTAGGGAGTTTATTTTAGGGGTGATGAAATATTCAAAATTAGATTGTAGTGATTCAAAATTAGATGCCATGATTATTGTAGTGATGATTGCACAACTAAAAAACCCGTTAAATTATACACTTTAAGTGGGTGAATCATATGGTATATAAATTGTATCTCAATGAGGCTGTTGTTTTAAAAAGCCCTGCCATTGAACAGTTCCTAACTCAACCGTGTAGAATGGCAACTGAATGCACAATTACTTGATAGTAGAAGAATACATAAAGCACCCTTCAAGCAGAATATGGAGAGGACACATTTCACTATGCTTTTCCATATGTGTGCTTTTCTCTTGTAATGTTTGGGAATCGGGTTTGTAAACTCAGCCCCTCAGAAACATCTGCATACAAAATTTACCCGAGATAATAAGTATATACTTAAAACTGAAATATAGATAAGAACTTTATATTTCCTTCTTCATAAAAGTTGAAAAGAACAAATGTGCACAAAATAATATCGTGACAAATTATTTTGCAAATGCATGCAATATACCATATGCATTTTTATACATCCATAATTAATGTAATTATGCTAATTTATATTTTCTAAGCTAACATCACACACATATTTTGATATATTAACATATTTCATATACATATAAATTTAAGAACTCCATGTATTTGTATAGTTTATAGGGAGACAAAGTAGTTTTATCATAGCATATGTTAAATAAATATAATATACACAGAAAATAAGCCATAAAACCAGACCAGAAAATCTCTTTATATAAAATAAATAGGCAAAAGAAAATCAGGAAATATTAGAATTATAAGGAGAATTTAGGAGCTTCTAGTTCGAGTATCTTTTAAAAATAGAAATTCCATTTACTGTATCTTTGTTACCTATCATCTGCATGCTTGAATATCTTCACTGATGAGAAGCTCACTCCTTTATTAGGCTTCCTGTCCCAAGACTGGCCAGCCCGTATCACTTGGAAGGTTTATTCAGAATTTGTCTCTTTGCAATGGTCCTATGATTTAAGACTTGCCGTTTGTAGCAGTAGAAAATATACTATACTTACATATATGTCATTCTTTGGTACTTTTTCAAGCTGTTTCACGTACATTACTGCATTTTGTTTGTAGGGCCATCCTGTAAGCCTCGCAGATGTATGATTTTTTTAAATTTTGTTGATAAACACCCAAGGCCTGTGTTATAATTGTTCTTAAACGAAGACAATAGAATTCCATTTAAGTGAGGAAATTATATTTGCTTACTTGTTTCTTTGCGTGTTGAGATATTAGATAGCTCTCAGAATCTTTGGCTACTCTGAAAGGACAGGATCTGCATTAAACCACCTGTAATAACTCCCAGAACCATGGCTCAGGGCTATTCTGGCAGCCACTGAGTCCAGACAATGTGGCCTCCTCATCCACTCCCCCAAATCAATGCTTCCCCTTGGGCAGTTCAATTTCTAACCTGTCTCATGAGGATGCATCCCATGGATAGAATATATCCATGTCTGATGTTAGTGACAGGGGAAGGTAGGAAATGTAGTCTTGGGGATGGCAAGATATATGATACAAGAAAATATCAAAATGTAGAGAGTGATTATTTTGAACTTTCAAAAATGGCAGATGCCCACTATGGCTTCCTAATTCATTTTTCTAATGCCTGACTTGCCCTCTCAAGTTATCTTCTAGGATTTTCTGTTCTTTATCTACACATTCTTTTTTTTTTTTTTTTTTTTTTTTTTTTGAGACAGAGTCTTGCCGTGTCGCCCAGGCTGGAGTGCAATGGCACGATCTCGGCTCACTGCAAGCTCCGCCGCCCAGGTTCATGCCATCCTCCTGCCTCAGCCTCCCAAGTAGCTGGGACTACAGGCGCATGCCGCCACGCCTGGCTAATTTTTTTTATTTTTAGTAGAGACGGGGGTTTCACCGTGTTAGCCAGGATGGTCTCGATCTCCTGACCTTGTGATCCGCCCGCCTTGGCTTCCCAAAGTGCTGGGATTACAGGCGTGAGCCACCGCGCCCGACCTATCTATACATTCTTAAACTTGGACATAGAACTTTACCTCTACGTCTGCTTAACTAGAGTTTGCTAGTTTGGCTTAGTGCTTCTACCTCTTCAGATCATGTTGAAAGCTGCTTGGTCCTTCATTGTATGAGCAGCCCAACCCAGTTTTATTTATGAACACCCTTGATACTTGTTATTTCTAATTTCTTTTTTCCTGAGACAGAGTTTCACTCTTGCTGCCCAGGCTGGAGTTCAGTGGCACGATCTCGGCTCACTGCAACCTCCGCCTCCTGGGTTCAAGCGATTCTCCTGCCTCAGCCTCCCAAGTAGCTGGGATTACAGGCACTTGCCACCATGCCTGGCTAATTTTTTTGTTTTTTAGTAGAGACAGGGTTTGGCCGTGTTGGGCAGGCTGGTTTCAAACTGCTGACCTCAGGTGATCCACCCGGCTCGGCCTCCCAAAGTGCTGGGATTACAGGCATGAGCCACCATGCCCGGCCTGTTATTTTTAATTCTGTGGGGCATATTAGCATCTCTCTTGGGTGGTGATGATGGCTTGAAAATGTTACTGAGGATACTCTGATACATTCTGTGCTTTAGAATCAGTTTTGTTGCACAGTTATCTTAGCTTCTGTGAATTAACCTATCTTCATGTCACTTTACCTTGTCCTCAAGAATGTCATGAGATGTCAGATCACCTTTATCAGATGCCTTGCTTAAATCAAGATAACCAGTGTCTGTGGCCATCCTTTGCTCTATTAGTTTAGTAAACTTAATGAAAAATAAATATTATTAGTTTGGTATTACTTTTTAAAAATTAATCTGTGTCCATTCCATCCATTCCTAGGGATCATTTCTCCCTTTTCTTTTTTTCTTTTCTTTTTTTTTTTTTTTTTTTTTGAGACAGAGTCTCACTCTGTTGCCCAGGCTGGAGTGCAGTGGTTTGATCTCGGCTCACTGCAACCTCCGCCTCCGGGATTCAAGCAATTCTCCTGCCTCAGCCTCCTGAGTATGGGATTACAGGCACCCACCACCACGCCCAGCTAATTTTTGTATTTTTAGTAGAGACTGGGTTTCACCATGTTGGTCAGGCTGGTCTCGAACCCCTGACCTCATGATCCACCTGCCTTGGCCTCCTAAAGTGCTGGGATTACAGGCAGTGGGGATACAAGGTTTAATGATCTTTTTGTAGGTGGGTTCACAGCCAGATCATGTCTTTTCCTCCCTCTGCTTCTGGGTTCTCTGGAGCAGAAAAAAAAAAAGACATGCAACATCAGAATCTCCAGTTTTACTACCTCACTGTTAATGTCTTCACACCCACCTGCAGTAGGCACTCCTCCCAATATTTTTATTCCTGCCCAGAACATCTTACTTTCTAGTTGTTAAGCGTGTTTTAATGAAAACACACAAAGTGTTAAGAGGGAGGTAGTACAGAAATTTGATTGCTTTGGAAAACTTCCAGTATTGTAGAAATTATTTTATTGATTGGTTGACTCATTCATTCATTTATTTAAGAACTATTGATTGAGTGCTATGGGGGATATCTTTTCCTTGAGGAAATGGGCCACTCCTGCCCCATGGGCTGAAGTTTTCAGTCCCTGTACCCTCCTGTAATCCTCAGACAGAGTTGTGGATGAGGCCCAGGTTGAGGCTATTAAAGGCATTTTCTGGAATTAATATGTGGACAACTTGCCACATGCTTGGAACTGGTTGCAGAGTAAAGCTAACCAGTGACAAGCAGAATCAAGGCACTGGAGAAAGAGAATGCCTTGAGGTCAGCAGCTGAGTGCCTGGATCTTTATGTATAGAAGCCAGTGCCTGCTTTAGACTTTGTAGTTTTATGATCCGATAAATTCCATTTTTGCTTAATCTAGCTTGTGTTCCATTTCTATCACTCACAACAGAAAGGACACCAAAAGGACACTCAAAATAGTCTACTGTCAATCTTACTTTTAGATGTATTTGCCATTTTTTTCTCTTCTTTCTCCAAAAATATATATAGGAAATGCAAAGAGGCTATGCCAGGGGCTATACTACTCTCTGTTACACAGGAATGAAATTCATTAAAGAATACATGGTCTAACGGATGAAGGTAATAGCAGTATGTTTAAAGTACTGTAAGGGCACCGAGGAAAATTGACTAAATGCAATACTATAAAGCCCACCATGTTTCCTCCACTGGCCCCCATCACCGCCCCCCCTCCTACTCAGTGCCCTTGGCCTGAGACCTGTTTTAGTCTCAGAGCCTTGACTGGTACCTGCTCCTGCTCTCAGACTATTCTCCTAAATGAGCTTCAGTTTCCTCTTGGCACTGCTTTAGAGTCACTGGCAAATTTATTTCTCCTTTTTTTTTCTAGAATTTTTTAAATCTAGTGATTTTGTTTTATTAGGTAGAGTTTTTATGGTGCCTTTTACAATATTTTGTCTTCCTGGTTAGCCGAGGAGCTTATGTTAATTTCAGTGAAAGCTGGTTATCTTTTTTTTTTTTTTAAACCTTCACTTGAGTCACCTATCATCTACTTTGTTGGTTTGTTTGTTTTTATCTCCTATTGACCTTGGACTTGTAGGTCCCACTGCCTAGGCAGTTCACCTTGTGTACTCAGGAAAAGTGAGTAGGGAGGAATTAACCTTTGGCATAGACATAGTGATCAGAAAACAGCTACTGGGTTTGGAAAAGTCTTGATAGCATTGTCCGTTGGTTAAATGGCTGCAAGTCATAAAAATTGAGCTTTTAGAGAGTGGCAGTGTTTCACTCTGATTCATCAGCCTGATTGTTCTTTTGCTTTTAAAGAATAGAAGTTTCTGCATTTTACTTAACCTAGCCGTATTATTTATGCAGAATTTAACACCCTTTTCTCTGACCTGCAGTTCTTGCCAATGGCTAAAATTTTCAAATGCTCAGTGGAAGTTTCATTAAAAGACTAGCTCAGAGAGTAATGCCATTGATGAATTGATTTCTTTGTAGATAACAGATTAATTTGCTGCTCACAATTTGTGAAACCCAACAGGACCATCGTTGTATCTTAGTGATGTTTTATCTCTCAAGCAACTAGCACAGTTTCCAGCACATAAGATCAGCCAAGTAGAAGTTTATAAGTAAAAGTTTATACATTAATAAATAAATAAGTGGATAAACCATATATATTTGAAAAAGAATGTATTGAGTAAATAATGCTCTGTAAATGATGTAATATTCACTTAGGCTTAAAGAAATATGTTGAGGGCTCTTTTAAGGTGGATAAGGATGAAAAATAACTCAAGTCTTTTTTATAATTAGTAGACCTTTTTCACTTAGGGTATGTTTCTCCTGCAGAGGTGTTTTCAAAGCTTTTTGTTTAACACTCTGTATAAGAAGTCTTCCCATGCCTTATTGCTATACCTGCCATTTTGTCATCTGTTCCCATCGAGCCCACTTACGGTAGCTAACATATTACTTGCAAATCATTTCCCACAATCTTAACAAGAAAAAAAAGCTAAAGTTATCTCCCTTAATAATCAATATAATTTTAAGGCATTATGTGAAGATGCCTTGTTATCTCGGAGAACAAAAAAAAAGACATTCAGAGAAAACATCTCTGAGTAAACTAAAAAGTAGTTTCAGAAAATGTATCTTCTTATGTACTAATAAGATGGACTGATTCATTTTCATTTCTTTTTTTAATCTGCTTTGATTTAGAATGGAAATTGAATCCTCACAGGACATATTAAGTGGTAAATCAGTAAAAGAGTCTCACATATGTAAGAGACAAAAATATGTGTGTATTTTCAAAACAGTAATATCTTTAATAAAAATATTAAACATTTCTGAAAGTGATTGCATTTATTATTGTATTTAAACATCCTTTTTCCTTCGTTTCATCTCTTCAGAATCAAATTGCCAACCTGCATGAGGAAGGTCACGGCTTATTCACATCTGATTAAAGAGCTATTTATTTTATTACCATGCGTCTCTCCTCTGTCAGGTTACACCTTTATGCGCAAAAATTTTCAAGGCAGGCTGTACAAGCAAGAACTGGGACTCAGGAAATAAACTGATGTATGCAAATGTTAATTCTGCCTTGTGGACAGGTTAACATTATCTCACTAAACTCTAAGTTACTTGTGTGAAATGTAGAAATAATCACAATATTGTTTCCATAAGAGGCAAATGAGATAATATGTTTTGAAGTGTTTAGCATGGTATATGGCATAGTTTAGTGATCAGTTATAAGCATAATAATTATTATTACCATAGAACATAGATGAAATTTCATAGGCCATGGGTCAGTGGTAGTGTCTGTCTTCTGAAAATGTTTACAAAAATTAAGATTATGATATTAAAGCATAATGAATAATATATTTACTCAGAAAATTACCTTTCTCCCAATTTTTTACTTTGAGAAAGTTCAAACATAAACTTTCCAGAAGAGTACAATGAACAGCATACATCCACCATGAGTCACCAACTGCTCCCTTCTTGCCACACAAGCTGGATCTTTCCCTCTTTATGTTTCAATACATCTGCATGAATGTCCTAAAACAAGGATGTTCTCCCACATATCCTCAGTATAAAGATTACATTCAAGAAATTTAACATTGGTACTCCTACTATGTAATGTATAGGTTGTACTCACATTTCCCCAACTGTCCTAATAATGTTCTTTAAAGCAGTTTTATTTGTGTTTTCATTTTGATCCAGGACCCAAACAAGAAGCATTATTTGCATTTTGTTGTCATGTTTCTGTTGACTATCTTCACTCAGAAAAATCCCCAGCCATTTTTTCTTTTCTTTCACGATATTGATTTGAAGAGTCAAGGTCAATTGTCTCCTGATTGTCTCTTAATTTGAATTTGTCTGATTGTTCCCTCAGTCCTAGACTCAGGTTCAACTTCTCAGCAAGATACTGTGATCAATGGTGCTGTGTTCTTTCAGTGCAGCAAGGCACGAGGCCATGATGTCACCTTCTGTCATGTTAAGTGGGATCTGTTGGTATGTCTACCAGATTACATCATATGGAGGCTTTCCTGTTTCTCTTCTAATTAATAAATAATCTAGGAAGTGACACTTTGAAATCAGATGTATCCTATTCTCCAACAGCTTGTCACCTACTGGTTTCAGCATCAAATTATTATTCTTGCCTGAATCAGTTATTACAACACTGGTTGCAAAACAGTGACTTTTCTAGTTATAAAATTGCTTCTATGTTTATTAGTTGTCATTCTTCTGTAAAGAAGAGCTTCCCCCACTGCATTTTAGAATCATTATGGACTCATAGATTTTTAAAATAAGTATTAAGCATTAGAACACATCTAATATGTACAAGATATGTATGCAAAATATTTTTCAGTTCTAGAAGATAAGAACTTTGAATTGTCCTTGTAGAGCACTACTGTTGATTCAAAACTAGTAGCAAAAGGTCCAGTGTACAAGAGATTATTTATAAGGACTTTAAACCTGATAAGATTTTAAGTATAAATTTATGATTCACTGATAATATTTGGAGGATTTTGTAGTGCTACTGCTCTCTACATGGATAGAGGCTTGACTACATTAGTTTTTAAACATAAATTTCCATCAATTATAATATTGTTTAGGATATAAAATAATACTTTTTATGTAAAACACAAAGGAATTGAACTAATGCCAGAGCACAGAGCTCTCCATTTGTTTCTCCTAAACACATAAAATGGCACATTAAATAAACATTTATTATTATTACATCTTTCAGGAGGCTTCCTTGGAATAATTATTTTTTCTAGTCAGAAAAATATAATAGGTTTTTGACCCAAGGGTAGAGTTCTGTATTGAGCTTCCATTTGCAGAACTATTCTGTTACTGAAGAGTTACTGCCCTAGAAAACTTTCCAATTCTACTTATTTCCCTAGCTTCATATTTTGTTGTGAAGGGTTATTATTAAGTTTTATCTGAAAATATAGCTATTTTCTTGTAAGTAATATGGGTTTTTTTCCTGATTAGTTTTAAGATTTTCTCCTTGCTTTGCTGTTGTAAAGTTTCATCAGGAGGTATCCAGTTGTGAAATTACTTCTATTTATTCTTTTGTTTCCCTTTCTCTTTATTCTTTCTTCTAAGATTTTTTCATAGACATAGATCTTTTTATTTTATCCTTTATGTCACTGATTTGCTTGTGTTTTCTACCTCTTCGTCTCTGTATGCAATATTTCATGTATTTTTTCCTGTCCCCTCCTTATTTCTTTATTCTTCATCTATGTCTAATCTAATTACCTATATTTTTCTTTACCTGAATCTCCATTTAGATCTTTTCAAATCTCTTTATTTTTCTTAGTACCTTTTTTTTTCTTTTTCAGAGAATAAACACTCTTTCTTTTAGGTCTGAAATTATTTTTAAATATTTCTTTTATATTCTTTCTTTGTAGTATCATGTTTTTTCCTTAAATTCTTGAGATTTTTTTTCTAATCAAAGGGTATCATTTCCTTAAGTGCTATATGACTTTATCATTGTGAGATCATCCTAGGTTGGGCTTCTCTTGCTGTGAGAAACCACATTGGTCAGAGCTGTGGAAGTGGCCCGGAGAGCAATTTGCTTTTGTTTTGCCCATGGTCCCAGGTGTATCGCCATGTAGAGACTAATTTTTATATTAAATTTTTTGGCTTTGGTTTTTTGGAACCAGAATTTTTGTGAATTTGTACTTCTGTGAGGCTAAGAAGAAGGAGAAAACTTTTTTGCAAAGATCAAAAGGAAACAAAACCTTTACCATCTCCCTCTGAAATGAAGAACATTTTTAAACAAACTTGAATTGAGAGCACCACCATTTGGAGGTCCAACTTTAATGTGGGTTTCTCAAATCTGCACACTTTGCCTGTTGGCAATCAATAGTCAAACTCCTATCCTCGTGTGCATTTAGTCACAAATTGCCAAATTATGATGTTGGTACCTATCCGTACCCTCGCCCCATCCCACAGAGCATCAGTATTGCAGCATGTTGCTCCAACTTCTGGATCCATCTTCATGTTCAGCATCTAGGTGTTTTCTTCCCAAGAGTGGAGCTTAGTATGTAGAAGACTGTTTGTTACTAGATTTTCACAGAATTTCTAGGTGCTTTTTTAAAAAAATTTTAAATCATACTTTAAGTTCTGGGATACATGTGCAGAACAGGGGTTTGTTACACAGGTATACACGTGCCATGGTGGTTTGCTGCACCCATCAACCTGTCATCTACATTACGTATTTACCCTAATGCTATCCCTCCCCCAGCCCCCCACCTCCCAACAGGCCCTGTTGTGTGATGTTCTCCTCCCTGTGTTCATGTGTTCTCATTGTTAAACTCCCACTTATGAGTGAGAATATGTGGTGTTTGATTTTGTGTTCTTGTGATAGTTTGCTGAGAATGACGGTTTCCAGCTTCATCCATGTCCCTGCAAAGAACATGAACTCATCCTTTTTTATGGCTGCATAGCAGTCCGTGGTGTATATGTGTCACATTTTCTTTATCCAGTCTATCATTGATGGGCATTTGGGTTGGTTCCAAGTTTTTGCTATTGTGAACAGTGCCACAATAAACATACACGTGCATGTGTCTTTATAGTAGAATGATTTACAATCCTTTGGGTATATACCCAGTAATGGGATGGCTGGGTCAAGTGGTATTTCTGGTTCTAGATCTTTGAGGAATCACCACACTGTCTTCCACAATGGTTGAACAAATTTACACTCCCACCAACAGCGTAAAAGCATTCCTATTTCTCCACATCCTCTCCAGCATCTGTTGTTTCCTGACTTTTTAATGATCGCCATTCTAACTGGTGTGAGATGGTATCTCATTGTGGTTTTGATTTGCATTTCTCTAATGACCAGTGATGATGAACTTTTTTTCATACGTTTGTTGACTGCATAAATGTCTTCTTTTGAGAAGTGTCTGTTCATATCCTTTGCCCACTTTTTGATGGGGTTGTTTTTTTTCTTGTAAATTTGTATAAGTTCTTTGTAGATTCTAGATATTAGTCCTTTGTCAGATGGATAGATTGCAACAATTTTCTCCCATTCTGTAGGTTGCCTGTTCACTCTGATGATAGTTTCTTTTGCTGTGCAGAAGCTCTTTAGTTTAATTAGATCCCATTTCTCAATTTTGCTTTTGTTGCCACTGCTGTAGGTGCTTTTTTAAAGAAGGTTTTTAAATGATCAAGTCAGACATATTCTTGCAACAGGAAATCTACTATAACTAATCTTTACTTCTCCTTAAATATTCAGTAAGATTATTTTTAGTGACATAATTATGCCATTTAACCTTGTTTAGGACAAAGAAATGTAAGTGGAATTCTACTGGGTGAAGCTTCCTTCACTTTCCTGTTAAAAAGAAGAGGAATTTTCCCTTTCTTTCTGCCTGGAACTTTCACCAATGCCTAGAGGCAACACAGCCATCTTGTAGCTACATTCTAAAGATGCTTCAGCAGGAGGACAGAGCACCCTGATTCCTTGAACAGGGCCTTAACTCTGGACTCCAGCACTGAGATTTCTTGTTCTATGACGAAGGTAAAACATTCATCTAGTTTAAACCACTGTTTTTCAGTCTTTGGTAAATGCAGTCCTGATTGATACTCTAAATGGTAGCTTCAAATAAATAATTCTATTGTAATAATAAATATATTTTTTAAAAAATATGCAACTTCAAATCTTTTGTAGCTAAACTGCAAAGACAGAAATATGAGACTAGCTACTGCATTTAGCAGGATTCCAAGAAACAAACTGCAGACTTAGGACTTGGAACACATCATGTTCTGACATATGAAAAAAAATACTGTTCTCTGAAAACACGTGATTTTGCATGTTCTCATTCTTTGTCACCTGCTATCCTCCCGCCTAAACTCTCCTCTGTACCCTCTGCTTATCATAATATTTTATAATCATGGCTTATTGATGTATCTTCCTAACAAGACTATGACTTTCTTGAAGGTAGAAAATGTATCCCCTGCATGTAAAACACTGTCCAGTATCACTAATTTATGCATTTCCTTATTAATCCTCTAAATTTTCAAACATTGTAGTTTTTCAGTGATAACCTACTAAGTGCCAGGCACTCTTCTTGGTACTGGTGCAGTGAGCAAAATAGACACAGATCTTTGCCCCTGAGGTGATTATGTAATTTACACCCTCATTGATCTTGGTTAAATGAAAAAAATGCACATACTGGAAACTTTTCCACATTTGTGAATACACAAAATGTGATGGAATTATGTTGGAATGAAGCCTAGGAAAAATCATCATTTTCTCAAAATATATTTTGGTCTTCTTTATTATTTCACTGTTTATGTTGTCTGGAGGGTGTTTATTAACACATCATTTTCAGCACATGTTGATAAATCCCAAAGCAATTATTTCCAGCACAGAACCTTCTCTGGAGACTCACAGCCGTAACTTCAGCCTTCTTGTAGAAAATTGAGCACCACAAATATATCCATAAATTTGACACAAAGAAAGTCAAATTCCTTTTTTTCATCATCCAAAAACCTATTTGTGTTCCTATATGACCTACCTCATAAAAACACGTCTATCCACATATTCATTAAATGGACCATGTTATTCTTTTCCTTCATAGGAGCCCCATGACTTCCACCCAAAACCCACTCCTTAGCAAAGCAGAAAAACAGCAGCTCCAGGCTCTCTTCCTAAGTACCCTTTGCTCTCCCCAGAAACAACCACTAGAATCACTAGCTATGGCAGACACATACCACTCTTTTTTTTCCTCTTTGTTTTTACTCATATTGTTCTTCTGGAATGCTCTGCCCTTTCACTCCGGCTAACTCTTCCTGGAGCATCACCTTCACTTACAGCTTATCCCACGCTATCCAAGTCAGGCTATTCCATGCCTGCCTTCTGTGTTTATAACTCTTACAGCACATGGGAAAACACATTTTAAACATTTACATTTCCAAAGAGACACTTTAAAAAAAAAAATCAGTTTAACAATAGTATGTGTTAAACCTACGTAAGAAGAAAAACAAAATCCAAAAATCTCTCCAAAAAGCCTTTTGCCTTCCCCTCCAAAAAAAAAGTCATTTTCTTTGTCTTATAAAAATGTTATTAGATTTTTCTTATTTTCAAGTTTTTAATCTAACTGTGAAACTAGAAAAAACTAAGAAATCCAGTATTCCATAAATGGAGGTAGCTTATAATATTTGAAGTAAAATCTCATGTTTTAAAGTAAATTAAATTAGCAAATTTTACATTTTCTGAGTAAAATTTGCTTCTGTACTTAGTAAGCTAAACTTGGTAATAAAATTAGTAGATCAAATTGTATAAATTGCATCTTTTGTGTTCTTCACTACAAAACAGTCTATATAAAACTATATGTTACAAAAGCACATACTATTTTCTTTACCATACAAATACAAATGTCTACAATACCATAGAAAACAGAGGTCTGAAAGGAAAATATGCACATTAAGATTGCACCATATTATCTCCTACAAAATTTAACAGTTCTTAAAGTTATGAAGCAACTTCAATTCGGTTTTGGGAGAAAAGTTAACACTAAAAATCCTTACTTATTTTCTACTTTTCTGCAATATCCCTTAAATTTTATTTATATTTTCTCTTCATGTATCTCAAACATTTAAGACTGTGAGGGGAAAACTAAAATCAAATAGAAGCCTCTTAACTTCTCCCTAATCCTCAATAGGAGTGGCAATGGAAATCTTTACAGATGTCTATGTCCTAATTTATTTAATTCTTATATATATCCCTCTGTGACTTTTAAAATTTTAGTATGTCTTGAACATTCGTATTTCTTGACATTCTCAGTAGCATTTCATTCAGTGTGATGTATATAAAAACTGGAAACTCCTGTTTTTCACTTTCTAGGGATTATAGAGCTATACCAAACATGTGTAATCACGGAGTGAGCTAGAAAATGGGATTGAGGGCCTATAACGGAATAAACCATGGTTCGCAAAGTTATGGGCTTCTCCCCCAACACAGTCTGGGAGCACCATAAAGAAAAAAACTGTTGTGGTGTGCTTGTGTGCATTATGTTATATCAGTCTATATATCTATATCCATTTCTTTATATCTTCTTACATATCTATACCTAAATCTATCCATCTATCTATCTGCCTACCTACCTATCTATCTATATCTTCTCATGCCCAACTCCTAGCAGCACAATATGTGCCTAAGAAACATATATGAAATAAGCAAGCAACAATGTGCCCTATTTGAAACAGAACAAATAGGGCACATTGTTGGTTGCAAAGAATGCTTCTCAGTCATGAGTTTTGTTTATGTCACCTGGAAAAGTTCAGGTTATGCATAAGGTTACCTCAGGCAGCCAGGAGAATATAAGTAAACTTCATCACAAAATCTTGCCTTCATTTGTTTCCCTAATTTTGGCTGAGCTCTTCTCAAGGCCTCTTTGTAGCTTTTGTTAAAAAAGCATGTTCAAGGAGTGCGACAAGTTGTACTGCACCTTATGTGCAATAATCAATGTCTTGGAAAAGAACCTGCCTTAGAGAGTAAATAGGAATGATGTCTCCTTCAGCCTAAGGAAACTGTCTCTGTAAGAATCCATCTTTTTATTACCCAACAACAGCCTTTCTATAGCAGTAAACTTTTCTAAAATTGTGCACCTTCACCCAAATTCTTCTCCAGTTTTCCATCCTACCTCATTTTGTTGTTCTTAGTATAGCAACCACTGTAAGCTATCTTTCCAGTCCACAAAGAGTTAAGAGTTAATGTTACTTTCCATCAGAGTAGTGAATGTTAAGTGGCATAAAATCCCAGTTGTGCCATCAAGTTTTGATCAACGATTTAGTTACTTTTGCTACTACCGTCAGAATGAACATTAAGCTGAGTACACTATGCCACCTGGTTCAAAGTGGGGTCTACCTGGCTGCAAGTGATAGAGTAACAGCAGTGATACCAAGGAAGGTCATGAATGAATGGGGCCACAAAGACATTGACCCATCTATATATTAAACCATGAGAGATCAAAGTAGTCAGCAGTTCTACAGAAACACCAGTTTCAAGGGATACCGAGTAGTGTATCTGTGCATTTCTAGAAATTCTATGGGACATTATAGTGATTTGCTGATAACTGGGCAGTAATTCTTGCTGACATATTTGATAAG
Source organism: Homo sapiens (assembly GCF_000001405.40). Taxonomy (NCBI): domain Eukaryota; kingdom Metazoa; phylum Chordata; class Mammalia; order Primates; family Hominidae; genus Homo; species Homo sapiens. The sequence goes on along the minus strand of NC_000018.10, from coordinate 4,579,792 downwards.
ATTTAAAATTATTTAATTTCTTCAAGTGTCCACCAACATTCTTAGGATTGAAAAGACAATTATAAACTCCAAAAGTTGAAAACCATTGTGTCTGTGAATAAACAAAGCTGTTAAAGAAGGTTAATATTTTTTTCCACATAAAAGAGAACAACTAGCTCTAAATTAGGGCTTGTTATACTAATAAAGACTTTAATAGTTTGTGTTACCTATTGCTGCATAATGAACCACCCAAAATTTAGTGACTGAAATCCATGACAACATTTACTTTGCTCATAAATCTGTAACTTGAGCAGTCCTTAGTGGGGACAACTTATTTCTCCCACTTCAGTATCCGGTAGAACAGACCAAGGCTGGAGGCAAGAAAGGCTCATTCATTCATATATCTGGTCTAGATACTGGCTGTAGGCTTGAATCTTAGCTGCAACTGTCAACCACAACAACCAATGTAGTCTGTGCATTCGATCTGGGTTTCCTTAAGACAAGGTTCCAAGGGCAAGTGTCCCTAGAGAGAGAAGCAGATGAAAGCTGTATTACTTTCTATGATCCAGCATTAAAAGCCATGCATTTTGTTGTGTTTTGTTTTGTTTCCAAAATGACAGAATAGAGGCTTTGCCAGGATGCCTAACCTACTTGGAAATAGCAGAATAGTGCATAGACATTCACACTGAGAACTTCTATCCAAGAAGGAACACAAAAGTTCAACATAAAAGTAAAAGAAAACTTTGGATATGGGGACAAAAAAGGTGAGTAACAGCCTGCGTAGCAGGGTCTGGTGGAAAACCACGAGTGAATCCCCAGTACATGAGATGAGGAGGAGTGTCTCTATGATACACATTCCCACTGAGGATGCAGGCATCCAAGCCACATGAGCCTACCAAGCCTTGGATGCATTTGACTTGCGGAGCAGTTGGGTGACTGTGTACACTCCCAGACCTGGGCACCAATAGAAGGTAGCCATTCTTTATCATAGAGGGCTGCAAAGAAACTGCCAGCTGGCAGCATAGCGGTCACTGGTTTGGAGAGTCTTTGGCCAGAATTTGGTGTCCTGGTCTAGAATAAGAGAGGTGCCCCCACAGCCAGAACTGTGAGACAAGTATGACATGGGCCCCAGCTGTAGATGCGTGAGACAAGTATGACATGGGCCCCAGCTGTAGATGCGTGAGACAAGTATGACATGGGCCCCAGCTGTAGATGCTAGATTGGAGCACACCCCTCACCCCTTCCTGGGACCAGAGCGAGAGGAGATTTACCTGGGAAGGGTGATATTGGCCTGGGTGATGAGTTTTATGACCTGGGGCAGTTTCACGGACTGAAGGAAAACTAAGTGTGACTTGGCTAACTGTCATAACTCACTGCCAAGGCTGGGCCATGATGGGGAGCCCTGATGGGTCTGAAGCAAGTTCCAATGATGCTTGCTGGGCTGTGGAGTTGAAACTGCACCTCTCCCTATGTTGGGTCTTTGGCACAGCAACGGTTGCTCCACTCCTCATGAGGGCATTTCTATGCGGGCCTGAAAACTAATTTCTGACCCTCGTGCCTGCCATTAAGGAGCCCGAGTGCAGGCTTGCCTGGCTGAGTCCCATATGGCTTTCCCACTCCCATACCTCAAAGGCAGAGTTTGGGATCCAGACTTTTGAGCATTCCTTGGCCTAACCCATCCCCTAAGAGACCTAAGTACTTCTCCTGGTTAACAAAGATCAAGCATAAATCCTACTGCCACCACCACAGCTGGCTCTCACAGTAAGCTCCACCTACTGGCCTACAGGTAGTTTTGTACAACCTAGTACAACATCTGCTGACCCAAGTGCATACACAGCATGCAGGAAGGAGACAAGCTTCTCTCAACTTCTGCTACCACCATTTCCATGTCACCCTGGCCACCCAGGAAGCCATGAGCCTGCTCGCCTGCCCAATACACTGCTACTACAACCGGCATTTGAGACAGCCACCACACTATGGCTACTTATAATTAAGGAAATCATACAGAGTGTTTGCCCCTAAATGCACTCAGAAGCAAATCCAAATGGCCCAACTCAACATATATTGTAGACACATCCTTAAAAAAAAAAAAAAAGTCATGCCCCAGTGAAGGTAAATTCAAAAAACAAGAAGTGACTGTTTTTCAAGATGCAAATAAATCAACATAATAATATCAACTTGCATGAATAAGAAGAGTGTTATGACACCCACAAAGGAACATAATAATTCTTTAGCAATAGAGTTGCAAATGAAATTTATGGAATGCCAGATAAATAACTCAAAATATTGATTTTGAAGAAGCTCAATGAGATCCAAGAGAAAGCTGAAAACCAATAACCAATACAAAGAAATCAGGAAATCAACTCCGCATATAAATGAGAATTTTACCAAGGAGGTAAGTATAAAAAAAAAAAAAAATCAAAAAACTTCTGGAAATGAAAAATGTCTTGAAGGAATTACAAAATACAGCTGAAAACTTTAACAATAGATTATACCAAGCAGAGGAGACAATCTCAGAATGTGAAGCTAGGTCTTTTTAATTAATTTGGTGAGACAAAAATAAAGCAAAAAGGATAAAAAACAATGAACAAAGCATTGTTGTAGTATAAGACTCCATAAAGCAACAAAACATATAAATAATCAGTATTCCTGAGGGAGAAAAAAAGAAACAAAAAATTTAGAAAACCTATGTAGGGAAATAATTAATGAAAATTTCCCTAAACTAGGAAGAGATGTAAACATCCAGGTATAAGAGGCACAACAAACTCCAGCAAAATACATTGCAAGGTGACCTTTGCCATGACATATTAGGCTGTGTAAAATTACCATGAAAAAAAAAATTCTGAAAATAGCAAGAAAAAGCATCCTGACACCTATGAAGAAAACCTCATGAAACTAACAATGTACTTCTCAGCAGAAACCTTACAGGCCAGAAGGGATTGGAATCCTATTTTCAGATTGCTAAAGAAAAACTCTGTTAACTAAAAATTTTATAATCTGCCAGCATATGCTACATAAGTGAAAGATAGATAGTCTTTCTCAGACAAGAAAGCACTAAAGGCATTCATCACCACAATTCTGGTGCTAAAAGAAACAAAAGGTCGATTTTTTCCATTATAAAAACCAAGGAAAGCATAAAACTCTTGGGTCTTATTAAAAAATTACACGAAGGAGAAAGAGAAATAAATAAAATGACAACACAACAGGACTCCACCAAACTAAAAAGACAAACACAGAAAAAATAAGAAAAATGAAAGAATCTGTAAAACAACTACATAACAATTAACATTAAGAAAAGAACAAAACCTCACATATCAATATTTACCTTGAATGCGAATGAATCAAATGCTCCACTTAAAAGATAAAGATTAGCAGATGGATTTTTAAAAACATGACCCAACTATATGCTGCGAGATAGTCACTTTATTGATAAAGACACTTAAAGACTGAAGAGCAAGGGGTGGAAAAAGATATTCCATGCTTAAAGAAACAAAAAACTAGCAGAAGTAGCTATTCTTGTATCCGATAAAACAGATTTTAAATCAAAAACCATGTAAAAAGATAAAGGTCAATATATAAGGGTAAAACAATCAATTCAACAAGAAGATATAATAATCTTAAATATATATGCACCCAACTTTGGAGCACCCAGATTCATAAAACAAATTTACTATAACTAAGAGCAATGCAATAATTGTTTGAGATTTCACAACACCCTACTCACAGATCATCAAGGCAGAAACTCAACATAGAAACTCTGCACTTAAATTGGACTCTAAACCAAATGGATCTAACAAAACATTCTACACAACAATGGTACAACATACATTCTTATCAACACAAGCAACATTCTCTAAGATAGACCATATATTAGGCTACAAAACAAATCGCAAGAGATTTTTTAAAAATCTAAATAATATCAAGTATGTTTTCAAACCACAATAGAATAAAACCAGAAACCAATACAAAAGGAACTCTTGAAACTATATACATACATGGAAATTAAACATGTTCCTGAACAATCTTTGAGTCAATAAAGCATTTAAGACAAAAATTAAAAATGTTTTTGAAATGAATAAAAATCAAGACAAAACATACCAAAGCTTCTGTGATACAGCTAAAGCATTTCTAAGATTGAAGTTTGTCCTGTAATCTTAGCACTTTGGGAGGCCAAGGTGGGCAGATCACAAGGTCAGGAGTTCGAGACCAGCCTGACCAACATGGTGAAACCCCGTTTCTACTAAAAATGCAAAAATTAGCCTGGTTTGGTGGCACACACCTATAATCCCAGCTACTGAGGAGGCTGAGGCAGGAGAATCACTTGAACCTGGAAGATGGAGGTTGTGGTGAGCCAAGATTATGCCACTGCACTCCAGCCTGGGTGACAGAGCGAGACTCCATCTCAAAAAAAAAAAAGATTGAAGTTTGTAGCATTAAATGCCTACATCAAAAAAATGGAAAATGGAAACATCACATATTAATACCCTAATGTTGCACCTCAAGGAATTAAAAAATCAAAAACAAAGCAAATATAAAGCAAACAGAAAGAAAGAAATAACAAAGATCAGAGCAGAACTAAATAAAAGTATGACCAAAAAACCTCAACAATACAAAAGGATCAACAAAACAAAAACTTGTTTTTTAAAAAAGATAATTATATTGCTCCATTTTCACACTGCTATAAAGGACTACCTGAGACTGGATAATTTAAAGGAAAGAGGTTTAGTTGATTCACAGTTCTGCATCATTGGGGAGGCCTCAGGAGACTTACAATCATGTCAACAGGAGAGAAAGACAGCAAAGGGGTAAGTGCTGCACACACTTCTCAACCATTCAATCTCATGGGAATTCACTCATGTCACGAGAACAGCATGAGGGAAACCACTCCCATGATCCAATCACCTCCACCCAGGTCCCTCCCCTGACACATGGGGATTACAATTCAAGGTAAGATTTGGGTGGGGACATGGAGCCAACCCATATCATCCCACTCCTGGCCCCTCTCAAATCTCATGAACTTATCACATTTCACAACACAGTCAGGCCTTCCCAACAGTCCTGCAAAGTCTTAACTCATTCCAACATTAATTCAAAAGTCCAAGTCCAAAGTCTCATCTGATATAAGGCAAGTCCCTTCTTCCTATGAGCCTGTAGAATTAAAAGCAAGTTAATTACTTCTAAGATACAATGTGGGCACAGGAATTGGGTAAATACTCCCATTCCAAAAGCAAGGGATTGGCCAAAATAAAGGGTCTACAGACCTCATGCAATCTGAAATCCAGCAGGGCAGCCATTAAATCCTAAAGCTCTGAAATAATATCCTTTGACTCCATGTCATACATCCAAGGCATGCTGATGCAAGGGGTAGGCTCACACAGCCTTGGGCAGATCTGTGCCTGTGGCTCTGCAGGGTTCAGACCCTGCAACTGCTTCAGGAGCTGGCATTGAATGCCTGCAGCTTTTCCAGCCACATGGTACAAGCTGTCGGTAGATCTACCATTCTAGAGTATGGAGGACAATGGCCCTCTTCTCACAGCTCCACTAGGCAGTGCCCCATTGGGGACTCTGTGTGGGTTCTCCAACTCCATATTTTCCTTTTGCATTGCCATAGTGGAGGATCTCTATGAGGGCTCTGCCCCTGCAGCAGACTTCTGCCTGCACATCCAGGTGTTCCATACATACTCTGAAGTCCAGGTGGAGGTTCCCAAACTCTTGCCTTCTGTACACGTGCAGGCCTAATACCACGTGGAAGATGCCAAGGCTTGGGGCTTGCACACTCTGAAGCAACAGCCCAAGCTGTACCTTGGCCCCTGTTAGCCACAGCTGGTGCTGAAATGGCTGGGATGTATAGCATCATGTCTCAAGGCTGGACATAGCAGCAGGACCCAGCCCATGAAACCATTTTTCCCTCCTATGCCTCTGGGCCTGTGATGGGAGGAGTTGCCATGAAGATCACTGAAATGCCCTGGAGAACTTTTCCCCATTGTCTTGACTATTAACATTCAACTCTTGTTTACTTATGCAAATTTTTGCAGCTTGAATTTCTCTCCAGAAAATGTGTTTTTCTTTTCTACCGCATGATCAAGCTGCAAATTTTCCAAACTATTATGCTCTGCTTCTCTTTTAAACATAATTTCCAATTTCAGACCATCTTTTTGTGAACACCTATGACTGTACACTTCAGAAAAAGCCAGGTCACCTCTTTAATGAATGCTTTGCTGGTTAGAATCTCTTTGGCAAGATGCTCAAAATCATCTTTCTCCAGTTCATTGTTCCACAGATCAATAGGGCAGGGACAAAATGCTGCCATTCTCTTTGCTAAGGCATAGCAAGAATGACCTTTGCTCCTGTTCCTAATAAGTTCCTCATCTCCATCTGAGACCACTTCAGCCTAGACTTCATTGTCCACGTCATTATCAGCATTTTGGTCAAAACCATTCAACAAGTCTCTAGGAAGTTCGGAACTTTCCCACATCTTCCTGGCTTCTTCTGAGCCCTCCAAACTGTTTCAACCTCTGCTTGTTACCTAGTTTCAAAGTCACTTCCACATTTGCAGGTATCTTTATAGCAGTGCTCCAGTCCTGGTACCAATTCTCTATATTTGCTTATTATCACATTGCAATAAAGGACTACCTGAGACTGGGTAATTTACAAAGGATAGAGGTCTATTTGACTTACAGTTCTGCATGGTTAGGGAGGCCTCAAGAAACTTATAATCATGGTGGCAGGAGAGAGAGATAGAGCAAAGGGGGAAGTGCTATACACACTTTTAAACCATCAGATCTCATGAGGATTCACTCACTATCACAAGAACAGTATGGGCAAAACTGCTCCCATGATCCCATCACCTCCCACCAGGTATCTCCCCTGACATGTGGGGATCACAATTTGAGATGAGATTTGGGCAGGGACACAGAGCCAAACTATATCAATAAACAATATTGATACACCACTATCTAGACTAAGAAAAGACAGAACATCAAGATAAACATAATCAGAAATGAAGAAGTAGGCATTACAATGGATAGCACAGAAATGTAAAAGATCATCAGATACTACTATAAACAATGCTACACTCACAAACTAGAAGACCTAGAGTAAATGAATAAATTCCTGGAAACATACAACCTTCCAAAATTGAACCAGGAAGAAATTGACATCCTAAACAGACTAATAACAAGTAGTGAGATTGAATCAGTAATTAAAAATCTTCAAACAAAAATCCCAAGGACCAGATGGATTCACAGCCTAAGTGCACCAGATGTACAAAGAAGAACTGGTACTAATCCTCCTGAAACTTCCGAAAAATCGAGAAGGGAATTCTCCCTAACTCATTCTCCAAAGCAAGAATCACCCTGATACTGAAGCCAGACAAGGACACAACAGAGAAAGAAAACTACAGGCTAATATCCCTGATGAACATAGATTCAAAAATACTCAACAAAATGCTAGCAAACCAGATTCAACAGCACATCAGAAAGAATACAACATGATCAAGTGGGTTTTATTCTATGTATGCAAAGATGTTTCAACACAAGTAAATCAATAAACGTTATTTATCATATGAACAGAATTAAGGACAAAAACCATATGATCATCTCAATAGAATTAGAAAAATCAATAAATAAAATTCAGCATCTCTTTGGGATGAAAACTCTCATCAAACTAGGAATAGAAAATAAAGGCCCTATATAACAAGCAAACTACCATCATATTGAATAGAGAAAAGTTGAAAACAATCCTTCTAAGAACTAGAACAAGACACAGATGCCCACTTTCATTACTCCTATTCAACATAGTACTGGAAGTCCTGGCCACAGCAATCAGGCAAGAGAAAGGGGTAAAAAAGCATCCAAATCAGAAAATAGAAAGTAAAATTATCTCTGTTCAATGATGATATAATCTTATACCTAGAAAACTCAAAGCAGTCCTCCAAAAAAGCTCTTAGATTTGACAAATGAAGTCAGTAATGTTCCAGGATACAAAAATCAATGTACAAAAATCACTATCATTTCTATACACCAATAACAGTCAACCAGAGAACCAAATCAAAAGGTAGTCTCATTTATAATAAATACCAAAAAATTAAATATCTAGGAATACATTTAACTCAGGAGGTGAAAAATCTTTATAAGGAAAACTACAGAACACTGCTGAAAGAAATTGTGGATGACACAAACAAATGGAAAAACATCCCATGTTCATGGATCAGAAGAATGAATATCATTAAAATGGCCATACTTCTCAAAGCAATCTACAGATTCCGTGCAATCTCTCCCATAATACCAATGTCATTTTTTTCACAGAACAAGAAAAAAAAACCTAAAATTTATATGAAACCAAAACAAAGCCCAAATAGCCAAAGCAATCCTAAGCAACAAGAACAAATCTGTGTGCATCACATTACCTGATTTCAAATTTTACTACAAGGCTGTAGTAACCTATACAGCATGGTACTGGCATAAAAATACAAACAGATCAATGGAACAGAATAGATAACCCAGAAATAAAGCCGTATATCTGTAGCTAACTAATCTTTGACAAAGCTGACAAAGACATATGCTAGGCAAACGACACCACCCTTTTCAATAAATGGTACAGGGAAAATCAGATTGCCAAATGCAGAATGAAACTGTACCCCTATCTCTCAGCATATACAGAAAACAACTCAAGATAGATTAAAGACTTACTGAAATGTAACAACAGATACCATAAAAATACTAGAAGTAACCTAAGGGAAACTCTTCTGGACATTGGTCTAGGCATAAAGTTCATAGCTAAGACCTTAAAAGCATAAGCAACAAAAACAACAATAGATAAATAAGACTTAATTAAACTAAAAAGCTTTTGCATGGCATAAGAAATAATCAATAGAGAGAAGAGATGACCTGCAGAGTCGAAGAAAATATTTGCAAACTATTCATCCAACAAGGCACTAATATCCAGAATATACAAGGAATTCAAACAGCTCAACAACAACAAAAAATACCTCCATTAAAAAATAGGCAAAGCACATGAATAGATATTTTTCAAAAGAAGACATACAAATGGCCAACGAACCTATGAAAAAATGCTTAACATCATTAATTATCAAAAAAATGCAAATTAAAACCACAATGAAAAATCATCTTACATCAGTCAGAATGGCAACTACTAAAAAGCCAAAAAATAACAGATGTTGGTGAGGATGTGAAGAAAAGGAAATGCTTATATACTATTGATGGGAATGTAAATTAGAACAATCTGTATAGAAAACAGTATGCGGATTTCTCAAAGAACTGAAAACAGAATTGCCATACAATCCAACAATCCCAGTACTGGATGTCTACCCAAAAGAAAAATAAATCATATAAAAAGGATACCTGCATTCATATGTTTATCACAGCACTTTTCACAATAGCAAAGATATGGAATCAAGGTAAGTGTCTATCAACAGATGGTTGTATAAGGAAAATATCATATATATATACACAATGGAATACAAATAAAAAATAATGAAGTCTTGTCTTTTACAGCAACATGGTTAGAACTGGAGGCCATTATTTTCAGTCAAACCGCTCTGAAACAGAAAGTCAAATACCACATGCTCTCACTTATAATTGGGAACTAATTAATGTGTATGCATAGACATAGAGTGTGAAATGATAGACATTTATATTCAGAACATGTGGTGGGAGGAGAGTGAGGGATGAGAAATTATTTAATGGGTAGAATGTGCATTGTTCAGGTTATGGTTAAACCAAAATCCAGACTTCACCACTGCGCAGTATATCCACATCACAAAACTGCTCTTGTACCCCTTAAATCTACATAAATTTTTTAAAAAAAGCTTTAAAAAAGTAATGCATTGTGATGCCCTCCACATATTATTTGTTAAAGTAATCTCATAGGCTCATTCAATTTCAAGAAAAAGAGAAATGGATTTCACTTCTTACTAAGAGAGTGTCGAGGTTCTGGAAGAGGGCATCAGGCCAGAAATACTGCTGTGGCTATTGTAAGGAAATATAATCTGCTTCAGACTGGCCTTTGGCCACAATAACTTACATCTCTCCCACATGCAAAGTGCATTTTAGTGAATGTTCTATTTGTGCTACTTTTTCTTGTATTAATAAGTTTACTTCGTTGATTTTTAAAGTTAATTGAGTTGTTTACTTTTGATTTTTAAATTCCACTTTTCCCTCTATGGTTTTAGAAGTTATACACATCGTTCTTCATGACTTTTTTTTTTTTTTTTGAGACGGAGTCTCGCTCTGTCGCCCAGGCTAGAGTGCGGTGGCGCGATCTCAGCTCCCTGTAAGCTCCACCTCCCGGGTTCACGCCATTCTCCTGCCTCAGTCTCCCGAGTAGCTGGGACTACAGGCGCCCACCACTACACCCAGCTAATTTTTTGTATTTTTAGTAGAGACGGAGTTTCACCGTATTAGCCAGGATGGTCTCAATCTCCTGACCTCGTGATCCACCCGCCTTGGCCTCCCAAAGTGCTGGGATTACAGGCATGAGCCACCGCACCCAGCCCATTCTTCATGATTTTTAAAAAATATTACCCCAGATATTTTTACGTATATGCTAACCTAACAAATCTTACAACTAGACAATAGCTTTATGTGTGTCCTAAGCAATGCAAGGGTCTTAGCACACTAACTTTGATTATCACCTCCTGGCTGGATATGAGTGTTAGCTCAGGCTGCTATAACAAAATGCTGTTACCTGGGTGGCTATTATGGATCAAATATTTATCTCTTCCCAAAATTCATATGTTAAAGCTTTACCTTCCAATTTGATGATATTAGAAATTGGGGCATCTGGAAGATAATTAAAGATTAGATGAGATCATGAGGGCAGAGCCCTCATGAATGGGATCAGTACCCTTATAAGAGTTTTGAGAGAGCTTGCTTTACTCTGCTGTCTTCCATGTAAAGATACAATGAGAAGTCAGGCATCTGCCACTGGGAAGACGTCTCTCACCAGGACCTGACCATTCTGGCACCCTGATCTTGGACTTCTAGCCTCCAGAACTGTGAGAAATAGATTTCCATGTTTATAAGTCATCCAAACTATGGTAATTTGTTATAACAGCCCAAACTAAGACTGCAGCTTAATTAACAGACATTTATTTCTCACAGTTGTAGAGGCTAGAAAGTCTAAGATCAAGGTGCTGGCCGATTCAGTGTCTGGTGAGTGCCCTCTCCCTGGTTTTCAGGAGGCCACCTTCTTGCTGTATTTCCACATGGAGAAGAGAGGGTTTCTGGTATCTTCTTCATCCTGTAAGGACACTTACCCATCGTGGGTGCTCCACCTACATGACCTCATCTAAACCTCTCAAAGTCCCCACCTACAAATATCATCACACTGGGGATGAGAACTTCAACATCTGAATTTTGGGAAGACACAAACATTCAGTCCATAGCAATATGCTATTACTTTCTGGTGTTTTAGACATGGCTCATTTTTCCACCAAACATTTGATATTATTATTTTCTTTAAAAAGCAGGGGAAAATGTAGTTGATTATTGCTACCTCAACCCATATTTTTACCAATGTTTTTATTAATCACTTTTAAAATTGGGATATAATTCACATATAATAAAATTCACTATTTTAAAGTGTACAATTCAGTAAGTATTCAAATATCCGCAATACCGTGCAACCATCACCAATACCTAATCTCAATACATTTTCATCACCCTCCCAAATGAAGCTCGTATTGCTTAGCAATTACTCCCCATGTCCCACTCTCCTCAGCTACTGGCAACATCTTATCTGCTTTGTGTCTCCTAGATTTGCCTGTTCTGGACATTTAATATAAATAGAATCATAAAAGATGTGGCCTTTTGTTTTTGGTTTCTTTCACTTAGCATGGCATTTTCAAGTTTCATCCATGTTTTGGCATGTATTGTTGCCTCATTCCTTTTCATGGATGAATTATATTTTATTGTATGGATATACATTATTTGGTTTCTCCATCATCAGTTGATGAACATTTTGCTTGTTGCTTTCACTTTTCTAGCTATTATGGATAATGTTGCTATGAATGCCAAAAACATTTTCACAATGCTAGCCCTAGCAATATATGACAGTTCCAATTCCTCCACATTTTGAACAACACTGGTTATTTTTATGGGTTTTGTTTTTTGGTTTTATTTCTGTTTTGTTTGTTTTAAATATAGAAATCCTAATGGATGTTAAGTGGTATTTCATTTTGTTTTGACTTACAAATACCTAATGACTAATGATGTTGAACATCTTTAAATATGCTTGCTGGCCATTTGTATATCTACCTTGCAGAAATGTCTATCCAAATATTTTGCCCATTTTTAATTGTGTTGTCTTTTCATTATTGGTATGTAAGAGCTCTTTAAATGTTCTGGATATTAGATCCTAAATGGATATATGATATGCAAATATTTTCCTCCATTCTGTCAGTTATCTTTTTACTTTTTCATAGTATCTTTTGAATCACAGAAGTTTTTTTATTTTGATGAGTCCAATTTATTTAATTTTTCTTTGATTGCTTGTGTTTTTGCTGTCATATATAAGAAACCATTGCCTAATGCTAAGTCATGAATATTTGTACCTATGTTTTCTCTGAAGAGTTTTTATCTCTTCCATTTACGTCTTTGATCTATTTTAAATTAATTTTTATCATGTTATGTTATGGGCGTCTAACTTTATCCTTTTACATGTATATATCCAATTGTTTTAACATCATTTGTTGATAAGACAAATTTTCCCCAATGAATAATTTTGGCACCCTTATCAAAATTAATTGGCTCAGATGTTCAAGTGTGTTTCTAGCTCTTTTTACACTATTGATCTATGTGTCTATCCTTGTGCTGGTACCACACTGTTTAATGACTTGCTTCGCAGTAGTTTTTGAGATTAGAATCTTTGAGAGCTCTAACCTTGGTCTCCTTTTTCAAGATTGTTTTGCCTATAATGGTTTCCTTGCATTTCCATATTAATTTTAGGATCAATTTGTCATTTCTATAAATAAGAAAGTTGAAATTTTGATAGGGATTGTATTGAATCTGTAGTTCAGTTTGGGGAATACTGCCCTCTTAACAATATTGTGTCTTCCAATTCATGTACAAAAGTTATCTCAAATTTTCAATTTATTTTAATAATGTTTTATAGTTTTCACTGTACAAGTCCTCATAACTTTCTACATCTTGGGTGTTCCATCTGGGATACTTTTCCTTTTGTTTAAAGAATAGATTTTAGAATTTTCATTCTTGAGGATCTGTTAAACTTAATTTTTCCTTGTTTGAAGATGTCTTTTTTTGTGTGTTCTTATTATTGAAAGACATTTCTGCTTGTTATGGAATTGTAAGCTGATATTTTCTCTGAATATAGTGTTTTGTGGTACTTTGGTTTCAATTATTCTTGCTGCTGTCAGTCTAACTGCCATCCTTTCTGTGTGAGCTTGAGCCTTTACTGTTCTCTACACAATTTAAAATTAATTTTTCAAGTTAAAAGAAAACCATGTTTTGGGAATATTGTTCAGAGTTGCAATGAATTTATAGCTCAGCCTGAAGAAAAGTAGCATATTTACTATATTAAGTATTCCTCTCAATGAATGTGTAATACTTGGCCATATATCGTTTATTAAAGTTCTATGATTATACATACATCGTTTTGCTTATATTTTATTTTATCCTCAGATATTTATAATTTTAATGCTATTATAATTGCTATTTTAAATTACATTTTCACTTGGTTTTTGCTGATGCATGAAAGTACAATTGACTATTTTATATTCCTCTTATATTCAGAAACTTGCTATATTCTCCAATTATTGTAATTATTTATCTGTGTATCTCAAGAGGAATTTTTATATAGTCACCCTATTATCTAAAAATAGTAATAATTAATAATTTTATTCCCTTTATTCCAGTCTTTTTTGTTATTTTTCTTATTATGTTTGTTAGGAATTTTAGTACAATTTTTAACAGAATTTGCATTTTTGTAGTGTATCTGAGTTTAAAGAAACTCATAGTCTTTAACATTTCTTCTTTAAGTTCGTGTTTCTGTAATATTTATTTAATCTCCATTTTGTGCATGATGAGATGTTATAGCATACAAATGGTAAACAAATTATTTTATATCATTCATTGTCCCATGTCAGACTTAGGAATGGGATCTAAAATTTTAAAATAGTGTCTTTAAACTCAACACGTTTAGCCTCGTGATGTTTAACCTCATCAGCATTTCCTTTCTGTAGAAAGCTAAACCATATTTTTTTCTGATTTATTTTAAATATTTTAGGCCTGGAATGAACTACATTCTTAATGACTATCAAGATTCTTAGGTAACTCAGAATTTGTGCTTTTTTTCTGATGAACCCGTGAATGAATAGCTGTGAATCTATGTTATTTTTAACATCGTGTAAATATTTTAAGAACATCATCAGCTACAAAGTAATATTTATCTTCCTTTCAGAGAATTAAAAGGGTGCATTTTTGGAAACCTCCAAGTTTTGTTATCACTCTAGCAAGATCTTACGTAAAGATCATCTATACTGTTTAAAGTATAACTTAAAAATATAGCTGAATGCAAATTGACAATATTATTCCTAGAAAAAAATAACCCCAATCTGTTTAAATGGGAGTTAATTTTATGATAAATAGCAACTTAGGGACATGTAATCAGTATCTGAATATTTTCCTCATACCAAATATTCACTATAAAATACCAAAACAAAGCTAAGAGGCTTAATTTATTATAGTGGCATAACTTGATGAAATTTTAAATTAATCCTTTTCTACCTTCAAGTATAAAGCACGTAACGCTTGTTTTTCAACAGCTGTTTCCACCAACTCATTTATCATGTGCATGCAAGCAGGCTCTAAGGAGGTGTGCTGAAACTTGGAGATAATCCTTTAGAGATCCCCATGGTCTCTGTAACTCAGAGTCTTAGATAGCAACCCAGTTTGCCGATGGTCTCTCAGCTTTGACTAAAGGCCACTTGGGAAACTATGGAGAACTTCAATTAATGCCTGAATATGCTTGGGTATCACTCAGATTTTTGAACTTTCTATACTACATTGTTGTAAGTGCCACATTCACACAGTTGCAGAGCTGTTTACGTTTATACAGCAAAGCAAGTGATGTACTTGCCAAAAGAGAAAACACATCCTCAACTGAAAAACTAGAATAGTCATGTTCTCAACCACTGAGTGCCATCCAGAGACAGCTTGGACGGTGTTTGTGCCTAGGTCAATCTATTCTAAGACAGGGATTTAGCTTACTGGAATTCCATTTTTTCCATATTCTTTCAGACCATTAAGAACTAGTAATAAAAGGTATGTATTCTTCCCACCTAGTTTGGTAGATGAGAAATGTAATTCAACACCAGTTTTAGTCTGACATATGTCACCAGTAGCCTGCTGTGATCCAGAAATGCTCATTTGAAATGACAAAATGTGGTATGCATTAATTAAGTCAAAGGACTCCATTGGAACTATAGTGATCTTGATGGTTGGGAAGTCAGAAGAGTTTAGATTGGATGTCCTACCGTGAAACTACCTCAATAAGAGGGCTGCACATCTGAGTCACTGTCTATTCTTCTTGTGTTTCAGAAGACCCCAAATTATAGGAGATAAATGCATTTTTCTGCTGTCTTAAAATATTTGTGTAGCACAAGTCAATAATCACTTCCCTTGCAAGGTGGTACGTTGAGCACAGTTGTTAGCTTCAGCCTTCTCCTTATTAATGACCTGCTACTAATGTCAAAGTGAATGCTACCTCCATGTACCTGCCTCATCTATTATACTTTCTCAGGGTGCTCTGGAGTTATGCTTCTTATCCCAGCCTCAAGGAAGGAAGTCGCAAAATCCCAATGTACTTGCTCTATTTTGGCATGTCAAACTGTCAACAATGGCTGCCCTTAAGACTAAATCCTATGCTCTAGCATATGTAATTTCTAAGAGTTTTGCTGATATTGATGTCGGTTTTTCAGTCTAGGTAGAAGGAACAACTTCATGCTTATTTGAAAGATTTGCTAAGACTTAGTGGCCATGGCTTATTATTCTCTAGAAACTAAACTACTCCCCAACTAGTTCTTTTCAAACATTATTTTTGTAATCCTGAAAATCCTTTTGTCAAAATGCTGTCTGCCTAGGATAAGAGAGAATGAATGCAAATAAATCGAGGTTGGAGCATTTATATGCAATGTGACCAAGGGAAAGTATGCAGAGAAATCTTTGAATTAATGCTTCCTATTACTATTCTTCTGAGCACTGATGGTTGGTTCTAAACCAAATAAGAAAAAGGAATGCTATAGGTAAGAAAAGGAGATCTAATTTCAAAAACAATACATTTAGGCTGATAAGAAGACCAAAGGATGAATCAATAACTATAGATCATCAGAAACTATTGCCAAAGAATTAACTGTTAACTACAGGATTCCCAAATAGTTAACAGTTAAATCTTTGGCAATAGAATTAGGCACCGAAATTATGGAAAAGGCACCCGAATTATGGACAAGGGTTTCTGTGCTATTAATGACAAGACTATTGATTGTTTTAGATCATTGATATTTTTAGGCTTCTCAAAATATTATAGAGTGTGGAGGATGAATAGAAAGAATATGCTTTGTAAGCAGATATTTTGGTATATAGTCAGTGTTAGGGTTAGTGTGAGAGTACGCGGCTTGGCTTGTTTTGTTGGCATTTTAGGGGATGTTTATGAATAAAGCTGTTAGGTTGACTCTGAGAGGCTAGAACCCTTTATAGGACAGCATGCCCTGACCTTATGGTATATATAACTATATTTTAGATAAAATTTTATTTTCTCAATTTTTTTAGAGATCTCTCTCTTGTTCTGTTGGCACCAGAGAAACTACCTGGACAGGAAGTCACAATAATCGTCTCTGAGGCCAGACCTTGTCTGTTTTTCTAAAAACAATCTAAGGAGCCACTTGTTTACATCAGAGTAGGGTATCCAAAGTGAGGAGAGATACACTTTATTCTACTTTCTGGTGCCTGAAACGATGCATTGATGAGGTGTTTGAAAAGATGCATTGATGAGGTGGATTAAAATTGTGGGTAAGTATTGTGATGGGTAAAATAATGCAATGAGTCCCTTATTTCCTGAAATTAAACAATGAAAAACTCATTGGTATATCAAAATAGTAAAAGTTATAGAATCTTAAAATAGCAAGGACTTTAAAATCATATATTCAAACCTGTTAATTTTATAGATTAAATCTACCTTTACTCATTTGGCAAATATTTATTCAATATAGTCTGTTTACAAGATATTCAAGAAACAAATAAAAAGACAATCTTTTCCTTAATATTGACACAGATAATAAATAAATAACATCAAAAAAATAATCATACATGTATGTTTATTGCAGCACAATTCACAGTAACAAACATGGAATCAACCTAAGTGTCCATCAATGGATGATTTGATAAAGAAATGTGATTTGAAAAAGAAATTGCACACATTATAATACTACTGAGCCATGAAAAAGAATGAAATCATGTCTTTTGAAGCAACATTGACAGAACCAGAAGCCATTTATTAAGTTAAACAACTCAGAAACAGAAAGTCAAACACTGTATGTTTTCACTTACAAGTGGAAGCTCAATAACGTGTACACATGGACATAGAGTGTGGAATAATACACCCTGGAGATGGCAGGGTGGAAAGGTAGAAAGTGAGTGGGGGGATGAGAAATTACTTAATGGGTGCAATGTACCTTATTTGGGTGAGGGTAACACTAAAAACTCAGACTTCACTGCTATGCAATGCATCCATGTAACAAAAATGCTCTTTTACCCCTTCAGTGTATACAGATTAAAATGTTTTTGAAAAATATTTTAAGCAACCACAGTTTTTTGCCTGAATTAAAGAGCCCAGCATGATAGGGCTGAGATTCATTGCAGAGCAACTTCTTTAAGGTGAGGTTGCATACAGTGGGCCCTGAGGATAGGGCTTCTGGTCAGAACATTATGGGAAGAGAATTTTAGGTCCGCCCTTCTGGTAGCAAACATGGACATAAAAATTTGCAATGAATTAGAGATATCTATGCCAATAATCAGCACTCAGGCTTCTCTAGTCTTCTCACTCAATGACAGTTCACGGGAAGCCATGCACTTTCCTCTCCTGGGATTCAGCTCACCATTTGTTGTCATTGCATCGGTTGGTGAGGCCTACCAGCTAGGGGCTATTTCTCAGCCAAGAGAACTATCATGAAAAAATTGGGTCTTCTTTATTAGTCTAGCTAGCAATGTATCTATTTTGTTAATTTTTTCAAAAACCAGCTCCTAGATTCATTGATTTTTTGAAGGGTTTTTCATATCTCTATATCCTTCAGTTCTGCTCTGATCTTAGTTATTTCCTGTATTCTGCTAGCTTTTGAATTTGTTTGCTCTTGCTTCTCTAGCTCTTTTAATTGTGATATTAGGGTGTCATTCTGAGATGTTTCCAGCTTTCTGATTTGGGCATTTAGTGCTATAAATTTCCCTCTTAACACTGCTTTAGCTGTGTGTCCCAGAGATTCTGGTGTGTTGTCTTTGTTCTCATTGGTTTCAAAGACCTTCTTGATTTCTGCTTTAATTTCATTATTTCCCAGGAGTCACTCAGGAGTAGGTTGTTCAATTTCCATGTGGTCACGTGGTTTTGAGTGAGTTTCTTAATCTTGAGTTCTAATTTGATTGCACTGTGGTATGAGACACTGTTTGTTATGATTTCCATTCTTTTGCATTTGCTAAGGAGTATTTTACTTCCAACTATGTGGTCAATTTTAGAATAAGTACCAAGTGGCACTGAGAAGAATATATATTCTGTTGATTTGGGGTGGAGAGTTCCGTAGATGTCTATTAGGTCCACTTGATCCAGAGCTGAGTTCAAGTCCTGAATATCCTTGTTAATTTTCTGTCTCATTGATCTGTCTAATATTGACATTACCCATCTGACAAAGGTCTAATACCCAGAGTCTACAGGAAACTTAAACAAATTTACAAGGAAAAACAAACGACCCCATCAAAAAGTGAGCAAAGGATATGAACAGACACTTCTCAACAGAAGACATTTATGTGACCAACAAACATATGAAAAAAAGCTCATCATCACTGATCATTAGAGAAATGCAAATCAAAACCACAATGAGATATCATCGCATGCCAGTCAGAATGGCAATTATTAAAATGTCAGGAAATAACAGATGGTGGCAAGGCTGTGGAGAAATAGGAACACTTTTACACTGTTGGTGGAACTGTAAATTAGTTCAACCATTGTGGAAGACTGTATGGTGATTCCTCAGTGATCTAGAACCAGAAATACAATTTGACCCAGCAATCCCATTGCTGGGTATATACTCAAAGGATTATAAATCATTCTACTATAAAAACTCATGCACACATATGTTTATTGCAGCACTATTTACGATAGCAAAGACTTGGAACCAACCCAAATGCCCATCAATGACAGACTGGATAAAGAAAATGTGGCACATATATACCATGGTATACTATGCAGGCATAATACAGAATGAGTTCATGTTCTTTGCAGGGACATGGATGAAGCTGGAAGCCATCATCCTCAGCAAACTAACACAGGAACAGAAAACCAAGCACCACATATTGTCACGCATAAGTGGGACTTGAACAATGAGAACACATAGACACAGGGAAGGGAACAACACACATTGGGGCCTGTCAGGGTTGGGGTCAAGGGGAGGGAGAGCATTAGGACAAATACCTAATGCATGCAGGGCTTAAAACCTAGATGATGTGTTGATAGGTGCAGCAAACCAGCATGGCACATGCATACCTATGTAACAAACCTGCACATTCTGCACATGTATTCTGGAGCTTAAAGTAAAAGAAAAAAAAAAAAAGATTGGCTGTGTCATGTACTTCCTTTGTTATGTAGGAAAAGACAAGAATCCCTCTGAGATTCACTTTCTTTTTTTGCAAATCAGGATAGTTATGTTTACCTTAGGTTGCCCCTCAAGTGTATAATAACACCATAATATCTGAGGGATGAATCTTATCAATGCTTACTTGCTATTAGGATTAGAACTTCTGGCCTGGGAGATCTTTAAATCTGTCATCTTAGCATGCCAAGTAATTATGTAGGTGGAGCAAAATTGTTGAGGCTATCACCAGAATCTGGTCAACTCACAAGCTTGACATTTCTAGCTTATACCTTCAAGACATAAGAGGTTCCTGTCTGCCTCTTAGCGAGAAGATGTGTTATTGGTTGGCTAATGCTGTGTAACACACTACCCCACAAGTTAGTGACTTAAAACCCAATGGCCATGTATTATTTCTTATGAGACTACAGGGTAGCTAGGTGGTTCTGCTGTCTGAATGTGGCTCAGTTGATCTTACCTGGACTCTAATGCACTGTTGTCAGCAAGGCTTTGGCTGGAGTCTAGCTGACCTGGGATGGCCAGGCCTGGAAGTCCTGTGGCTCAATCTTTTTTACATGTATCTCACAATCCTCCAGCAGCCTAGCCCAGAATTTCCTGATTCTTTGACAGATGTGTGTGAGAAAGATCAGTTGTACAAGAAAGTGAGTAGAAATATGCATGTGCTTTCCAAGCCTCACCTTTTTGCAACCTCTCTGTTATGGACTGAATACGTGTGTTGCTTCCCACCCCATTTATATCTTATAAGGAGAGAAGAGATAATCAGAGTTTTCTCTCTCTTTGCCATGTAAGAAGGTGGCTGTTTACAAGCCAGGAGGAGAGTCCTCACCAAGAGCCAAAGTTGCCAGCACCTTGATCTCAGATTTCCCAGCCTCTAGAACTATGAGAAATAAATGCCTGTTATTTAAGCCCCCAGTCTATGGTATTTTGTTATGGCAACTATTGCTGACAAAGACATCTTCCATTGACCAAAACAAGTCACTTGCTGAGTCCAGAATAAAAATAGAGTTACAAATTAGAGGGCAAAGGACATGCATATAGGGCAGTCATTATGGAGAGATATTAAATCAATCAATATATTACTTTCTACTTTCACATAGAAATCCTACAGTTTGTGGTAATCTTAGGACTTGCCCTTCAGCAATTGTTATCTAAGCATACATAGCCGACAATCAACAATTAGTAGCCATTATTATCTCTCTTGCACAACACTGCTTGGTTTACCTTCCAATGGTACTTCATTTCCTTTTCCTCTTTTTATTTTTTGTTTTAAAAGTGGGACATGGGATAGCAGGAATGCAACAACAAATTCTAGCCATGGAGTATCTTTAAAAAGTAAAGAATTTGTGATTCAAAGTCATTTTTTAACTTTTAATTTGTCATTATATATGCAATATGGTCATTGTAGGAAGAAAAAAGAAATAATAGTTAAAATAAGCCATAATGTTTCCATATAGAAATAACTACTATTAGCATTTGGCAAAATATTTCAAGATTCTTTTCTAGGTGTGTGTGCTTGCGCATGCATGTATGTTTTCCTAAAATATGTTATCTTATTGCTAAACTCCCTTCCGGGAAGGCTGAAACAAGGTACTTCTGCAATACATTGTAGAGAATATCATTTTTCCCAATCCATTAAACGTAAGTATTATAACCTACAAATATTTGCCAATCTACTAAGTGGAAATGGAAATTCATTACTCTTTGAATTTACATATATTGTGTAATTAGTGACAATAACTTTTTACTTATGTCCATAGGCCATTTATTTTCTTCTTTCGGATTTGTCTTTATGGCCTACTAATTGTCCCATGGGCACATTTCCTATTTTCCTTTAATTTATTGATTATTTTAAGTTCATAAATCTTTATTTATTATATTATTGTGTACATACATGAAATACTATCCCATGAGTCATTATTTACCTTTAAGTTAGTTTAGGATATTTATGATGAGAAGTAAATTTTACCAAGATTTCTCTATGACTGCATTTCTTGGGTTCAGCCCTAGAAAAATCTAATAAGTAAAAAATAAATACATAATAAAGTAAAAAAAAACTTCTCAGAGTGTACAAAATCACAACTCTTTTCTTCTCACCATCTGATTTTTACTTTCTGGGAGTAAGTAAAAATGTGTCTAGTTATAGAAAGAGAGTAAATAATTCTCTTACTAAGCTATTTCTAGGGGAAAGGATAAGTAGAAATAATTGCTTTCCCCTTGTAGTGATGATGCAATACAATTAAAAGTAACGTTATTTCCCTAAGCACAACGCAGTATTCAGATTGGTGCGTTTCAGAGTAGACACACTGGACAATGACACTTCCACATGAAGATGGCCACAACACTTAAAATCACTTACATCTTTAGCTTTCTTGAACTACACATCTGGTCCTGAAGGATAGAGCTTCCTGGAAAATTATGGTGGATTCATATGAATAACCTCATATTTAAAGATTATGCAAGCCAGATGCATGCCTGTCATCCCAACTACTCAGAAGGCTGAGATGAAAATAACTCTTGAGCCAAGGAATATCTCTTAGGCAACATAGAGAGACCCCATCTGTAAAAAATAAATGAATAAAAAGTGTATACTCAATCCTACCAAAGATTCTGATGCTTTACCTGTTTCTGTTCCTAGAAAGAATACAACGTAGAAAGAAAGAAAAAAAAAACTCTTTAAAAAACAATTTTCATGAAAATAATAGTAATATAATAAATGTTTGTTCATGCTGGTGGTATAATTTTGTTAATCCAACCAAGACTATTGAAAGTAAGCTAAAGATATATATAAAATCCATCAACATATCTTGAGCACCAAGTATTGTCTTCTTCCTGATTTCATGGAGATCATACTCTCAATCTATGCTGGGTGACAGGCCATACAAAGACACATAAGTGAACAGGAAAAATTTAAATAGTGACAAGTGCTATGAAAATAATTAAAATACAGTGATGTGACATAAAGTGACAGAGTTGGGTGGATCATCAGGGAAATTCTCTGAGTAGGTGGCATTTAATCTGAGATCTGGACGATGAGATTATCACTTCTCCTTTTCTAATGACCAATCAAGAACTTTACTTTTCTTGTAACTCAATAACACAGAATTACCATATAAGGATTATTAAAATACTGGGGATTACTGAAAGAATATATGTTAATTGGGGACATTTATTTTCTATTATATTTTCCATTTAACCACATCAGAATTATTTATTATTATATTAACAAATTTCAGTTCCTGTTTATCCTTGGTAAATTTATGAGTTTTTAAAATAAATGCCTATATAAAATATAGAATTAAAATAAATATTAAATATCAAAATTATGGGAGTTTAAGGAAGAGTCATCCTTATGTATCTGTCATGTTTATAGGGAAATTACACATAGATCCTCATAATTTCAGGAAACTAGTATAGGTGAAAAAATATAAATATGACTCTTAAGCTAACAACTGTGACCATTAAAAGCATAGAATGCATAATTTTAAAAATCATCAAAACTCAGTCTGTATAAACAAAATAGGAAAAGAGAAAAAAAGGATAATAAATAGAAAACATGATCTAATAAAATAGAAATAAGTCCTAAATTATTATTATTATTTTTTTTTTGAGACGGAGTTTCACTCTTGTTGCCCAGTCTGGAGTGCAATGGTACGATCTCGGCTCACCACAACCTCCACTTCCTGGGTTCAAGTGATTCTCCTGCCTCAGCCTCCCGTGTAGCTGGGATTACAGGCATGCACCACCACATCTGGCTGATTTTTTTTTATTTTTAGTAGAGACAGAGTTTCTCCATGTTGGTCAGGCTAGCCTCGAACTGTCGACCTCAGCCTCAGCCTCCCAAAGTGCTGGGAATACAGGTGTGAGCCACCGCGCCCAGCCAAGTCCTAAATTATTAGTAATGAATATATGTAAGTAGGTTAAACTCACCAACCAGAGACTCTAAGATCAGATTTTTAAAAAATTGAACAATATAGTTCATGTAAACAGCATTCCTTTAAAAAAGTTATCACAGCTACACAAAGGGATACAAACAAAATGTTTGTTTTAACATTATTTGGAGGGGTTAGATGTTAGAAGCAATTTAAGGTGCATCCTTGGAGGAGTATATGGTGGATGGACTTTATGGACATTACGCAGTATTATACAGTATGGCATGCTTCAATCATAGTGTGAAGTGAACATAGTAAGAAAGAGAATGAGAGCACGACATAATTTCTATAAATAAACATCTACATAAAACAATACACATGGACAAATAAAAAGATAATGTTAAACATACCAAAATTGTTTTTCCCATAAATTAGACAATTTAAAAGAAATGGACAAATTCCTTGAAACTGCAAACTACCAAAACTAAATGAAGATAGAAAAAAGATAATCTAAAGAGTTCCATAAGCATTAAAGAAATGTATTTTGTAATTAAAAGACGTCAAAAAAGAAAATTCCATGCCAATATGGTTATATTGGAGAATTTTACCAAGCATTTAAAGAATCAATACCAATTTTACATCGTCTCTTCCAGAAAATGTAAAAGGCAGTCCCAGCTCCTTCTAACATTTCCCAGCTCATCTTCTGAGGCCAATATTATTCTGATACCCAAATCAGAAGAAGACAGTACAAAGCAAAGAAACTAATGACCAGTAACTCTCATGAACTGAGATGCAAAATTCCTCAACAATATTGTATTAATATTTTAATGTTAAAAATATTTAAAATTAAACCAAGTGATGTATAAAAAGAATTTTACAGTCAAGTAAAATGTATTCCAAATATGTAAATCTGGCTCAACATTTAAAATTTATTTAATATAATCCACCAAATTAACAGGCTAAGGAAGAATAATCATATGATCTTACCAATTGATGCAAACAATACATTTGGCAAAAAGTAACACATTCACGGTAAAAGCTCTCTGCAAACTAGAAATAGAAAAAGCTTTCTCATCTTGAATTTTTAAAAAATCTACAGAGAAAAAAGTTAATACCATATTTAATGATGTAAGACTGAATATTTCCCCTATAAGACTATATACAAGGCACGAATGTCTACTCTCACTACCTTCATTCAACATAGCCTGGAAGTTCTATTCAGCACAATAAGACAATAAAAATAAATAAAGGCATACAGACAGTAAATATTTCCCTAAGTACATATTTTTTAATGATTTTAACATTAAAAAAATCACAGGCATCTACAAAGAAAAAAGTAAATATCCTAGAATTAAGCAAGTGGAACAAGATTGCTGTATACAAGATCAGCACACAAAAATCAATTACATTTCTATATAAAAAAATGAGCATGTGGAAACCAAAACTAAAATCATAATACCATTTATAAACACTCAAAAGTAAGTGAAATACATATGTATTAGTATTTCAACACATGCATAAAATTTGTATGCTTAAAATTACAAAATGATAATTTTACTGATCAAAAAAGTGATAAATAATTGAAGAGATTTACCAGGTACATTGATTGGAAAACTCAACATAGTAAAGACATCAATGCTCCTGAAATTTATCTACTGGTTTAATGTAGTTCTTATCAAAATCCCAGCCTGTGTTTTGTTGTTGTTGTTGTTTGGGTAGACTTACACAAACTTATTCTAAAAATTATATGGGAAGACCAAGGACCTAAAAAAGTTAAGACAACTTTTTAAAAGAATAAAATGGAAGCAATTCCTCTTTTTGATGTTAAGTTACAGTAAGTTGCTGTAAGGATAAATACATATAACAATGGAGCAGAATATAGAACCCAAAAATAGACCCACACAAATATGCCCAAACCTTTTAACAAATGGTACTGAAACATTAAGAAAAGCTCCCACCTGAATTTCATACCTTATAAAAAAATTAATTAAAAATATATCATGAACTTAAATGCAAAACATTAAACTTATTTAAAAATTAATTGGAGTAAATCTTCAGGAGTCAATACTAAGTGGGCAGTTATTATACTTGATACCAAAATTATGATCCATTAAAAATCAATAAATTAAACCTGATCAAAATTTCATCTTTTGCTCTGTGAAAGATCTTAAGAGGGTAAAAAACCCAGCTATAGAATGGGGAAAATATTTGCAAACTATATATTATAAAAAGGACCAATACCTAGAGTATATTAAGAACTATCTGGCTGGGTGTGGTGGCTCACACCTGTAATCCCAGCACTTTGGGAGGCTGAGGTGGTGTGGATTGCTTGAGCTCAGGAGTTTGAGAACAGCCTGGGCAACATAGCAAAACTCTATCTCTACAAAAAATACAAAAATTAGCTGGGCATGGTGGCACAGGCCTGTAGTCCCTGTTACTCCAGCAGCTGAGGCAGGAGGATTGCTTGTGCCTGGGAGGTCGAGGCTATAGTAAGATCAAGGATGCAGTGAGTCAAGATCACACCACCGCATTCCAGGTTGGACAACAGAGTGAGATCCTGTCTCAAGAAAAAAAAAAAAGAAAAAAAAAAGAACTATACAAGCCAAACATTTAAAGAAATCCAATTAGAAGATGAACCAAAAAAGGAACATTTTACCACAGAGAATAAACGGCAAATAAGCATATAAAAATATGTTTAACATTAGAGAAATCCAAATTAAAATCACAATGAGATAATACCACACCCATCAGATTGGCTAAAATAAAATATAATAGCAACATCAAATGCTGGTGAAGATGCAGAGAAATTGGATCACACATACATTGCTGGTGGGAATAAAATGGTTCTGCACTCTGTAAAATGATTTGTCAGATTTTTCTTTAAAACAGGTATTTGCTTCCAGTGTAACCCAGTAATTGCACTCTTGGGCATTTATTACAGAAAAACTGAAAACTTTTGCTAATGTAAAACATGTACACAAATGTCTATATCAGCTCTGTTCATGAGTAAAAAAACCTGGAAACCCCCCAAATATCCTTCAATGGGTTTATCCATTGAACTTTCAACTGTGGTTTATCCTTTCCGTGGATTCAACAATGACCAAAAAGGAATGAGCTAGTGATGCATGCAAAAACTTGAATGTCTTTCAAAAGAATTATTGAGTGAAAAAAAGTCCATCTCAAAAGTTTACAAAGTGTATGATGCCATTACAGAACATTCTTGAAATAACAGATTTGTAGAGATGAAGAACAGATTAAAGTTAAAGATTCAGAGGAGAAAGAGAAGGACCATAAAGCAATAGTATGAGGGTGCCTGTGGTGGTGGGAGAGTTCAGTACTTTGAGTGTGGTGGTGGTTATGCAAAGTTACACAAATAAAATCTCATAGAATTATATACACATACAATTATGGGCTTGTAAAACTGATGAAAGCTGAATAAGCTAGGCAATGCAGTTGCCATTGGGGTGAGGTAGGTGAAGAATGCACGGAACCTTCCTGTACGTTTATTTATTTATTTTTCTTTGCAACTGCATTGACTGCTGACAGCAACTACATGCAGTTAGACCAAACCTCACAGATAATGGCCCAGTCCTCCACAAGATTGTCCTCACTTCAGTCACCAGCTGCAAATTCAAGGGTGCCCAGGCCACCTTCAGTTCTGGGCACAAATTCAAGGGTGCCCATGGCTACAACATGGGGATTTCCACCATCCTACTACCTCTACTATAATTTGCTATAATGATTCACAAAACTCAGGAAAGCACTGTTCTTACAATTACAGTTTTATTACAGCAAAGGAGTACAAAATTAGAAGCAGCCTAAGGAAGAAACACATGGAGTGAGGTCTGGAATGATCCCCAAAGTGAAACTTCTGTTATCCTTTCCCTGTGGAGTCAGAATGTGCCTTTTTGATGTGTGGCAATAGGCAGAGTATGGCCAACCAGGAAAGCTCCCTGCAGTTTTAGTGTCCAGAGAGTTTACTGGGGCTTCATGACATAGGTGTAATTAATGGAGTCATTGGCCATGTGACTTAATCTCCAGCCCCATCTCTACTTCCCAGAGGCCAGGTTGATAGCATGTGGCTCAAAGCCCCAGTCCTCTAATCACATGCTTCGTCTATCTGGCATGGCCAGCCCCCATCCCAAAACACTTCATTAGCCTAAACCATTTAGGGGTCCATGAAAAATCTCTTCATTGGTGTGAACTATCAGGGCCTACCGAGAATAACAAGGTACTCCTATCACTCAGGAAATCCCAAGAATTTCGAGGTTACCTCCCAGGAACTGGGCATGGAAGCCACCCAACTATTTTGTTACACAGCAAATTCTTGTGAATTTATAATTAATTCAAAATTTTAAAGTTTTTAAAAAATTGTTGCCCATGTTGATGATGAGAAGAGTGTTGGGAAATTAGCTGTAAACTGAATAAACAAAAAACCCCACCTAGACAGAAGAGTCATTTTGTATGAACGACAGCTGTAAAGATAAGTGTGTACACATATGCACACACATGTGTTCGTACTTGCATAGAAATGAATGAATGAATAAAATGAAAATACTAGTAGAAAAAAATTGGGATGAAGATCTGTAAAACCATGAAACAAAACCTAAGCACTCTAAAAACAGACTGACAGCAATAACAAACACCATACGCAAAGTTAAAGACAGAAAGAATGTAAGACATATATAGTATAGTAGCAATGGATTTATGATCCTGAAATACAAGTAGCCCCTATACATCCAGAAGAAAATAAAACCCAAAGGAAATGTTGTCATGGTTATAAATAGACAAATTCAGAAGAAATAATTTCCCCAATAAACATATGTAGAAAGTCTCAGTATCACCAAAAAAGTGCAAAGTAAAATACTGAGATATCACATTTCACCAGTCAGCTTGCCAAAATTTACAAGATGACAGCATCTAGTACTGGTGATGCTTCCATCACCAGATGCTTCCTCACGCATGGAGGGAGTATGAACAGTTTAGATTTTCTCTGAGGAGAGCACATTATAAGGAAAACCCCCAAAAGAGGCTCTTCACATTTTATTGTGGTTACATTTACTGATCTTAGTTGGCACATATTAGTGCACATTTACTTCAGTTATTAACTTAAAAATTACAAAAAATATTACTTTCCCTGAGGCAAAATCAAGTTTTTGAAAAACAATAATACCTGTAGTCCCAGCTACTTGGGAGGCTGAGGCCGGAGAGTGGCGTGAACCCGGAGGCGGAGCTTGCAGTGAGCCGAGATCGAGCCACTGCACTCCAGCCTGGGCGACAGAGTGAGACTCCGTCTCAAAAAAAAAAAAAAAGAAAGAAAGAAAAAGAAAAACAATAATAATTATTTGGGAAAGATGTTTTTTAAAAGTATGGTTTATTGTTAAATTAGATTTAAGGTTTTATGTGAAAACAATCCTAAGCTTAATTTGAAAAGTAGATTGATCCACGTGTTTTTTTCCCATAAAAGTTCAATTCCTAAATATCCCACCTAGTTACATTACTGTCATGTTTCAAGATTAATATATGATGAACATAAAGGAACATCTTTGGCCATTTTTAAATCATAGATGAACAGAAATCCTAGAGGATTATGTTTAAATCTCTACCCACGTTTGTTGGGAGTGATTAGTGTTTTAGGAATGCTTTGAACTTACACTGCTCTGCTCTCATTAAGTATATCCTATCCTGGGACTTGAAAAATTCAAGGAAACTAATGGGAAGAGGTGATATAAAAAACAGTTACTACATGGGAAATTATCTTTTGATAAAGTGATGTTTCTTTTCTTTAATATTTTATAAAGCTATCTCCCATTCCAATGATTAAAAATGAGAACCCCAAATCTTCTTTTATGCTATAAATTGTTCTGTACCAAAATATTTGTTTTTCAAAAGATTTTTTAGAAATGCTATGACTAGGCAACAATTTACTTTTGGTCAATGTGCTACATTTTATGGAAAAAGGAATTCAGTCATACAAGTAAATAAAAAAGTCATCAGATGGCACAAATTGCTATTCAAGGTTACTCAAGATCAATAATGGAATTAGAGGTATCATATCTCAAAATAATTATTCAGCCAAATTCTGAATTTGGGTTAGAAATTACAAACACAGCAGGCCTTCTCACTTTCTTTATCCCTCCTTAGAGTCTCTCCCTATAAAACATTGTCTTTGAATTGGTGAGGCACCTGAAATATGTTCAAGTGCAGTATATTAGCACATCTGTCTGAATTTAGAGTATGGAAGATACATGTCAGAGTTAGGAGATGAGAGGCCAGATAGAAGCTTGCCAAAGCTGAAGGAATTTTCATCTCCAGTTTAGATTGCACCATGAGTGGGGAATGAGATAATTGCCTGATAAGAATGACCTCATTCATATTTTGGGAAACACATCTGGTTAATGGGGCTGCCACAAATTTCTGGAGGCCCACAGTGATGATGAAAATTGGCTTCATTTTCATTCCAAAGGAGATGATAATAGAAAAAATCCTAAAAGGATACTCTAACATTTTAATTCTGTAAGATGCTTGTGGCCAAGATCTAGGAAAATGAGAATTGACTGTGATCCAATTCTCATAAGACATTTAAGTGTAGGAAAAATGAATAAATTTGAACTACATAAAACAATATAGAAAAGTCTGTAAAAACTTATTGGCAAGGATAAAAAGCAAGTTGCCAAAGGATGATGCAATTTCTGTACAGTTCAAAATTATGTAATAATTATGGGTTTAAAAATATGGAGGAAAATATATATATAAATATGAATGATAATTTGGGAGATCAAATTAATTTAACCACTGTATGATTTTCCACTGTATCAATATACACCAACATAAAAATGCTCTTGTTGATAGATATTTGGAATACTTAAATTTTCACTATTATAAAAGTTCTACAAAATCATTATTGCAGATGTCTGCCTGTATAGGTGTGTGAGTTTCCCTAAAGGATATATATGTAAATATCTTTGATATGGTAGAGAGGTATGTATATTCTATTGACATAGATAAATATTCAATGGCATCTTCTAATTTATTAAGAATATAAAACATTTTCTGTGATATGAGCTGCAACTACTTTTCTCCAATTTTCATTTGTCTTTTGACTTTGTGATGTTATTTGATTTGTAGGATTTAAAATTTTATCCAATTAACTTTGTCTGTCTTTTCCTTTATTATTTCTGGGTTTTGAGTTAAAATTACAGAAGCATTTCTTGCTCTAAGATAATTACAAGGAATGAAAGTCCCCATGTTTTCTTTTTCTGCATTTTGTTTTCAATCTTCTGACTAATTTTGTTTTAGATGACTCACATTTAAGCATCGTAGAACGGAATTTAAGATACAATTTGTCGGCTGGGCGCGGTGGCTGATGCCTGTAATCCCAGCACTTTGGGAGGCCGAGACGGGTGGATCATGAGGTCAGGAGTTTGAGACCCTCCTGGCCAACATGGTGAAACCCCATCTCTACTAAAAATAAAAAAAAAAAAAAAAAAAAATCAGCTGGGCGTGGTGGCGCATACCTGTAATCTCAGCTACTCGGGAGACTGAGGCAGGAAGATCACTTGAACCAGGGAGTGAGAGGTTGCAGTGAGCCAAGATGGCTCCACTGCACTCCAGCCTGGCGACAGAGCAAGACTCTGTCTCAAAAAAAAAAAAAAAAAAAAAAGGATACAATTTTTCTTTCAATATCTATGCATAATTTTTATACTTAATGTGATTTCTGAATATTTGGACTCGTGTCAATTATCACTTTTTTCTATTTGCCATCTTCTATTGTACTTTGAATTTCTCATTTTTTTTCCTTCTTGGCATCTATTATACGTTGAACTTTCTCAAAAAAATACTCTTTCATTACACTTTTTTGATTAAATATTATAAATAGTATTGAACACTTCTGCCCTTATGTTTTTGTCTTTTAAAAATCTAAACTTGTTCACTGTTATCTCCCGTACCAGCTTGAAAAGATGCTTATAATGCTTTAACACTCCTCTCCCATCGTCTCATTCCTCTATAAGCTTTAAATCCTTATTTTTAAATATAAGTTTTTGCATAAGGTCAATAGTTAATGAAATGTGCTAGCACTTAATCAATTTTGGAATGTTCATTTATTTGTTGAATCCCACAGCTTCCTTCTTTGTTCAGTTTTCTTCATGCTGAAATATATGCACTTAATAGTTCTTTTAATGAGACTCTGTGTGGGTGGTAAATTCTTCTGGTAATTGTAAGCATAAACATTATTTTTTTCTTCCCTCACAGATAATAGTTTATCTGTGTATATGGCTTACAGTTACTTTCCTTTGGCATTTTAAATATATTATTCCATTGTCTTCTAGCATCTGTTGTTGCCAATGTCTCTTGTTAGTTTAATTGGTCATTCCGTGGTTGGTGATGCATTGGTTCTCTTTAGTGCTTTTTAAGATTTTTCTTTTTATCCTAATGTTCTACAACTTCATGACGATATGCATATGCATTCATTAGTTTTAATTTATTCTGCTAAGTACCTGGAGTATACTTTTGATGTGGAAAATTTTCAGCAATTACTTCTTCAAGTTTTATTGCTCGGACATTTGCTACATTCTGCTTTTATCAAACTCTTATTCCATGAGGGTTGGAGCCTCACTATGTATTTATACTGTTTTTCAGGTGATTTTTTTAAAACTTTTGTTTCTTTTGGTTTACCATAGTCTTTCTGTGGCACATGCTGGTCAGCTTTCTCAATACTGTTTTCTAATCGACCAACCCGTTCTTAGACTCTGTTCAGTATAGAGTTTACATAGCACACTGCCGTTTTTTGGCTACTTTCGGGAAAACCCAGGGCTTTTGCCTCATTCGTTTTTTGGATATTTCCATTCCAATCATATTCAGAAGATATTTATCTTTTTGAGTCTAAAAATAATCCTTTTGGCTTAAACATTGACTATACTTGTGGTTATTGCTTTGTGTTTGAAGCAGAGGGGATGATTAGAGAATGAACTAAGCACATCAGTTTTTCAGTACATCTCATAATTGTTTTTTAAAATCATATGCTATAAAAACTTGGTTAAATATTTAGCATTCTACAGTATAAATGTACATTATCTACATATCCTTGCCTACAAGAGCCAGAACAAGTTATTTGAAATGCCTAGATAAATATTGAATGTAAAGCCACAAACATCTTAAAACATATGGAGATAAAGTTATTAAAATACCTAATCCATTCATTTCAACAGCTGTCATAATGAGTCATTACAGTAAACATCACAGTAAAAATGAGTACTTAATTTTCTATTTTGTTCACGTTCCTTTTTTATAATATTAGAAACATTCAGAAAACAAGATTAAGTTTCTAGAATTTAACAACTACTTCTAAAATTGCTTTAGTGCCTATAGATTGTTGTCTCTCCTCTTTATCACATTTTATTATAGAATAACTTGTTATTTTTTAAGGGGCATCTTTTGGTATATATAAGTTATTACAAATCCATTGGTTTTTCAAAGATTGAAGCTCTATCACTGTAACTTTTTGCTAATGATTGCTGCCTGACAATGTAAAACTGACAACTTTATTTTTTAACAGTGGAGGTTGCTATTTATTTGCACTACATCATATAGTTACTGGCAAGCACAAGACAATTTTTTAAATGACCTATCAAGTCAAGGAAGGGAAGCGATTGAAGTACAAAACTTTGCTTTCTTGATATTTAAATTTCAATAAAATTGTATCATTAACATTACTCTCAGTTTTTGTAGTCAATCTTTCTGAATCAGGAAAGGGAAAAGAAAGAACGTTAACAAATCCTTAAAACTCTTTGCTTCATGGAGTTGAGAGAAATCACTAGTAATCCCCTAACTGGCAATAAGCAATGGTAATCTTACTTTAGAGTTACCACCTTGATGAGTAATATGTGGCCCTTAGAACAGGTTAGTAGTTCAGTAAAAATCATGTTGTCAGCCATAAAATGGTCATTTGTTCATTCATTTATTCATTTACATATATCTATTGGGTGGTGATTACATACCTAGCACTGTGCTAAGTACTAGGAACTACAAGGGTGAACAGAACAGACTCCAAATTTCTTCCCTCACAGAGGTTACAGGCCAGTAGGAGAAACATATTAGATAAATCATCTCATAAATGATTATGCAGTTAGTATTGATATGAGCAATGATGGAATAAATATAGGGAGTAACTAAGGGAGGCTGTCACATCCTTGAGGACTTGAACTAGATAAGATGAAATGAGATGAGTAATAGCCAGGGAAAGGAGTAAGAGAGCCAATGGTAGCATTATAAGGAGAAGACTGAAATCAACAAAAGCCATGGGTGACAAGTGCTGGGTGCAATGGATATCAGAGGTGTGGAAAGGGCAGGAGCCTTAGAAAGGAGGCCAAAACGGTGAGCTTGAGGCTAGAGACACACCAGGTTGCATAGATCTCCATGGTTCATTTTAATGATTTTGAACTTATTCAATATACCATGTTACGGAATGGGCTGTCAATCACAGCCCTCCATGCCAGTACAGCAGTTTCCCTTTAATCTAATGGGATATACCCAAGGTCCCCAGTGGATGCCTGAAACCATGAATAGAACCAAATTCTATACAATAAGTCCTCAAGAGTTACAATAAAGTCATTGATATGTTTTTGGAAACTGCAACTTTAAGCAAAATGAGGTATTATGAAACCAATTTTATCATGGGCTAATTAATATAAACAAGAGTTAAGTTCCTAGGTCATATTTCTGGTCACAAAAACATCACCAAACTTCTAAATAAAGAGCAAAACACTTCTAATATTAAACATTGAAGTAACTGCCTATACTTACATTTAAGAAAAACTAATAAAAACAAGCTGGGCATGATGGCACATGTCTGTGGTCCCAGCAACTGCAGTGGCTGAGATGGGAGGATTCCTTGAGCCCAGGAAGTCGAAGCTTCAGTAAACTATGATTGTGCTGACAGAGTATGACTCCATGTCTAAGATAATAATAATAACAAAAACTAAGAAAATTACCGAATTTTTGGTGAATCAGTGTGTGACATTGGTCGTGGTGGTGGGTTAAATCAAGGAAGAATTGTCTGCAGAGTGAAAATTGCAAGGAGCACCTCCTTCTACCACGCATTTCAAAAACAAAATCCAACACATACGGCCGGTTCGAGGAGAGCTTTCCTACTGCATTGTTTATTGTTCTGCATTTGTATGATTATTGTAGATGAGGAATTTTTATCTTGCAATAATTTGTATTCATCCATTC
The DNA here is from genome assembly GCF_000001405.40 of Homo sapiens. Taxonomy (NCBI): domain Eukaryota; kingdom Metazoa; phylum Chordata; class Mammalia; order Primates; family Hominidae; genus Homo; species Homo sapiens. Next base: position 4,544,824 of record NC_000018.10, on the reverse strand, counting down.
ATTTCCAACCTGCTTTTCCCAGTTGGTGTCTCCATGTGGCCGGAGTCTGTCCCGGGAGCTCAGGGCACAAGGCAGGAGCCAGCCCTGGACGGGATGCCATCACATCACAGGGCACACTCACGCCCATATTCACTCACATGGGGACCATGTAGACATGCCAGTGAACCGAATGAACCAGCTCTGGGATGTGAAAGGGAGTTAGACTACCCAGAAAACCCATGTAGATGTGGGGAGAAAGGCTCCACACAGATGGTGGCCCCAGCCAGGAATCCTTTTTTTTTTTTTTTCTCAGCAACATCAAATAACAAAACGACATTGAATGAAACATTATTTGAGGGCCTGCTGTGTATACATATATATTTTTTTGATCTGATAACTGAGAGGGCAACTAAGTGACTACGGGTGGGGAGCGTAGACCACGTGGGTAGGCTGGACAAAGGATGATTCACATCCCAGTAGGACACAGCAGGATGGCACGAGATTGCATCACGCTACTCAGAGCTGCAAGGCAGTTGAAAACTTATGAATGGTTTACTTCTGGAATTTTCATTTACTGTTTTTGGAATGCTATTGACCTTGGGTAAATAAAGCCACAGAAAGTGAAACTGTGGATAATGGGGAGCCATAGTTCCCAATCCTGACCAATCACACAAATCACTTGTGGATTCTTCAACTTTATGCATTTCAGAACACAGAATAAATTCATCCTGAGATAAGGAAGAGCTTTCTGGCTCAGAGGTTCTCCATGTTTTTTCTTTTGCCAAATTCAGCATCCACTTGTGGGTATTGCAGTCCACTACCTTGCTCCCTTCCAAATTCTTGGTTACTAAGCAACCCAAGGAATAAGATGCTTCTTTAGTTAACAGTAACTTCTCCATTGCATTTTTAATACTTAGCATCTTCTAATATACAACATTTCCAGTTTCACTATTTGCTTTCCAACCCTGTTTCAAACAGCATGTCTGAAAATTCTTACCACTTGCTAATTACATACATAATTTCATTTTTTACTGATGTATATGCAAAAAATATGAGCTCTCTTCTGCAAAGGAGTTATATATAGTGGAGTAGAACTTGGATTCTGAAGACAAACTGCCAGTGCTCAAAGTATTGAGACCATGATCAAGTTCCTGAATCCTATAATGCCAGCTTCTTTATCTATAAAATAGGAATACTAATGGTACCAAAGCCATTGAGATGTTGGAATGATTTAGTGAGTTATGTGTGCTTAGAACCATGTCTTGTATGTAAGAACTGCATATAGGTACATTTTCTATACTCGATGTAAAATTTATAGGTATAAATGCATTTAAAATGTTATTTTTCTTTTGTAACCAGCACTAATACAAATTGTTAGTTATAAAATGCTCAAGCTGCTGTATGAAAATGATACTGAAGTGAGAAAAGTGGACATACGATAAATATCCTAGGCAGAATTTATTAAATTGTACATCTTAAATGTTCACAGCATGTTAAACAAAGAAGAATGAGCAAGCAGTACTAGAAAACATAATATTCTTTAAAAAGCAAACTAAATTTTGAGTTAAAGTGAAAATCAGTTATCATATTTCTTTGCTTTTCATTTGTCAATTTTTTTAAAGTTGAATGTAGATCTCTTAGGACACTTTCAATGAAAATTCTATGTTATATTCACAACTTCTTAAAGACAAACTACATTATCAGCAAAGCTTTAAAGGAATCAAATTCAAATATACAATTTAACTTTTATGTATTTTTTCTACTTTTCATTAAAGGTACTGAAGATTATTTCATTTCAATGTCATGCAATTTTTACATCATCTCTTTTGTATCATAATTATGCAAAGTTATTTAAATATAAATTTGTGAAACTAATATTTAATACTAATATATCTTGATGTATAAGAAAATAGACATAGTTATGGAAAAATCTGAATTCATTTGGCAACATACATTTAACAGATTTTTATTTGAATAAAAAGTTTTAAGCCAACAGAAATGTGAAAAAAATTTTTACACCTCTAGTCATATTAGTAAATTGTAATGTGTACCAACAACTTAATAGCAATTTTACATGGAGAGAAAGATTCACATATTATATGTATACTTTCAGATTTCAGAAAAGATAACAGATGAAAAGAAAATGTATAGTTTTGAATTGAAGAAATCTGGCCTATCACATTCTACCATGAATTGTATTTCTATCATCATAATTGGTTTTTATGTAATACAGAGTGCTTACTTTGTGGCAAGTATTCTAAGTACTTTAGAAATGTAAATTTATTTAGACTATATTAGCATGTATTTGTATTTCCTCAAATTTAGGCAGATAATATAGTTTATTATATATAGTAAACAAATGTTTCTGTTATACTCATGTATAAATTATGTATTATTTTAAGTTATACTAACTAAACAATATAACCACATAACTCACCAGCCTGACCCCAGAAAAGCCAGTTAGTTCACAGTGGGTAATGGTGGGATACCAGAAGCTTAACTAAGTTGGATTCGCAGTTACAGATGCTGTGGCAGATGTAATCTCGAAAACAGATGGGCACAGCCTCTGGAACTTCTCATATGTGGCTACTGATGTGGTAAATACATTCTTTTAAATTCATGACCAGAAAGAGGATTAGAAGCAGTTTGCATTCCCGTGGAATAGACGAAAATATATGTTCCTTGTCTTGCCCAGGGCCTTATATTACCTAAGTGACTCCTGTTCTCTGTCTCAGTAGAGTCTAAAGAGAGCTAATTCTCTGGACATTCTACAGACTATTACCTTTGTTCGCTGTATTAACTGACTTCGGAGTCATAGAGGGATTCTTAAATAAGACCCAAAAACGTACAAATAACACACTGATGCATTTAAAAACAATAAATTAAAAATTAAAGACCAAGAAGAGAATGGTTGTCTGTAATTTTAGGATCCAGATCATCTGATGTAGAGGAATGAAAGGAAGCCTCAAAAGTCAGGGCCTCAAAAGTCCTGGTTAGGATCTATTTCTTAAGCAGGATGTTTGGTAAATACATGTTTTATTATCTTTGTTATTGCGTAAACTTAGCATTTACTTGTTAAATCATCATTTTATGTATGAAATGTTGCACAATAAGTTTTTAATGAGCTGGTAGAGTTCTTTTAAAAGAAATGAAGATAAAATTGAACCATTATAGAAACGAATAATGAATCAAAGACATAGCAATCAGCGTAAACATCATTGGAAACATAGAAAGCTGAAGGATGGGCTTGAAACACTCATGAAAAATTAAACGGAAAAGAACATAATGTTTAAAATGTTGAGAGAAATAAATGGAACTATAGGCAAAGATGTGGAGCTTCAGACAACTCAGCATCTGCTGTCATTAAAGAAAAGAGAAAAGATAGAAGATAAATATATTTTTTAAATGTAGAGGAAAATTTCCCTGATATAGAGGAAAAGAGAAAAAGTGTACAGTGATACAAAACAATACATATCAGTAGGTAGTTTAGTAAAGTTGCTGGACTTTAACAATAAAGAAATAACTGCATGGGCATCTGAACAAAAGATTGCCCATACAATTGATAGAGTTACTACCATATTCAATAATGTGATAATAAAAAAAGTCTAAAATTTTAATGAAAGATAATTTTACCCAGAAAGTTACTATTCAAAGATCAAGAGACACATACTCTCAAATATTCAATAGTTAAAAATTTATAGTATCTATAAATATATTTCTTAAAAAACACTCATTGAGAATAAATGCCAATCAACACCAGAGTTGACTGCCAAAGCTATGATAAAGAGATGGATTTTAGCATTAAATCATTTTCATATGAAACCAAAGCTAACAACTGTGAAAATTATCAAAGAACAGAATAAAATATTATAAGTCTATATATTATAATAGTGATGATGACATAACTAACTGCATGAATATGTAGGGGAATAATAGTAGGCAATCTAGCTTTTTGTTTGTTTTTTTGAGAAGACGTCTTGCTCTGTCACCAGGTTAGAATGCAATGGTGCAATCTCAGCTCACTGCAACTCTGCCACCCGGGTTCAAGCGATTCTCCTGCCTCAGCCTCCCAAGTAGCTGGGATTAAAGGCATGTGCCACCAAGCCTGGCTAATTTTTTATATTTTTAGTAGAGACGGGGTTTCACCGTGTTAGCCAGGATGGTCTCGAACTCCTGACCTTGTGATCCGCCCACCTTGGCCTCCCAAAGTGCTGGAAATCTTACTTTTTAATAAAATAATGTTTATAACTATGAGGACAGGGAAATAAAGATGATTTAAATTTATCCAGTGGTGGCTAGTGCTGCACTTTACCAGTTAGAAAATATTTTATTTAGACATTTCATACCTTGTAAAAATTTTTTTCAAGTATTGTTTTTTCACCCTAAATATGTATTTATGTAGCTATTAATTATTTTTTCAAACATTTTATTAAAATATGTAATACCTACAGAAAAACCACAAAATGTAACTGTACAAATAGATGAATTATAACAGTGAAAATATCAATGTTAGTACCACCAGGATTAGAGCAATACCAGAATGTTAGAAGTCTCTTTCGCATCCACTCCCAATCATATTCCCCATCTCCTTCCCAGATGTAACAACTAATCTGATTTCCAACATCACAAAGTTTGTGAAATTTATATAAGTAGAAAATACTGCTAGCTTCTTTTGCCCAAACAAAGATATGCTGTTGTTGTCAGTCCTTTTCACTTTAGCTATTGTGACTTGAATTAGCAGTTCCCTGATGACTCATGAAGTTTCTCAACTGTTCATGTTTATTGGCTCTTTGGACATCTTCTTTTGTGAACTCTTCATATTTTTTCTACTTTATTCATTATCTGAGTTTTTCCTGGTTTGCAGAAGTTATTTGCATCTTCAAGATATGAGTCTTTTATGGGTTTTACTTATTTCAAATATCTTCTCCCATCAGTTTCTTCCCTTCTCGCTTTCAAAATATTCTTTTGGTTACATTTAGTTTTAAATTAGTACAATTTTTCATTCTTTCTGTTACAGTCAGTGATTTTTGTCTTTTGTTGAAGAAAACTTTGGCTATTCTAAGTTTTTTAAGATACTCTCCTATATTCTTCTAAAAGCTTTGCTCTTTTGCCTTTTGCATGCAGTTTGAACACCTTATTTGAGCAGAGATTTATGAAGGAGGTATTGAAGTAGGAGTTTGAAGACTGTAAGGGGTGATATTTCTAAATATAGTTAGTATTCATTTCTATTTAGCCACATATTTACTCTATCCATTGCTATTTGTTCCTTCCTATATCACCATACTTCCATCTGGGGTTATTTTCTCTCTGCCTTAAAAATAATTATTATATTATTTTCATTAACATGGGTTGGCTGGTGACAAATCTTTCAGTATTCCCATGCCTAAAATATCTTTAATTTTCTCCATTTTTATTGGTGGTTTTACTGGGTTAAATTTAGATTTTAGGTTGGCTTCTTTTTCTTTCAGCATTTGAGGATGTAATTCAATTGTTCTCTGGTCTCTCTTTCTCTTTTTAGTTAATAAATCAGCCTATTTTTGCTCCTTTGAAGGGAAAGATGCTTTTCCTCTCTTGTTGCTTTTATTATTTTTCTTTGTCTTTGATTTTTAACAGTGTTATTATGATGTACCTTAGCATTTTATTCATTTTTAGCATGTTTGGGATACATTTTCACTCTTAAATATGAAATTGATATCTTTCATCAGTTTCTCATTTATCAGTTTCACCCACTGTCTGTTTAAAACTATTTTTGCTCTATTCCTTCTGTCCTCTCTTTTATAAAATCTAGCTACATGTGTGTTAGAACTTTTCACTGTCACATAGTTCTCAAATACTTTTTAAATTTTTTTGTTCTTTCATCTTTATAAATATGAATGGGCATGTTATTCTGGCCTATTTTCCATTCTGCTAATTCTTTCTTCAACTATATCTAATATGCTACTGAACACATTCTTGAATTTTTAAGGGGAGATATAAAACTTCCATTTAATCCATTTTATAGTGTTTTGTTCTCTGCTATATTCTCTATCCTGTCATCCAATTTCTGAATATATTAATCACACTTATGAAACTTATGTTACAGTCTGTTTTAGTTCATTTTCACATTGCTATAAAGAAATACCTAAGACTAGGTAATTTATAAAGAAAAGAGGTTTAATTGGCTCATGGTTATTCAGGCTGTACAGGAAGCATGGTCCTGGCATCTGCCCCACTTCTGGGGAGGCCTCAGGAAACAATCATGGTGGAAGGCAAAGGGGGAGCTGGCACATCACATGGCCAGAGCAGGAGCAAGAGAGAGTGAGGGGGGAAGTGCCACACACTTTTAAACAACACGATCTCACAAGAACTCACTCACTATTGTGAGGACAGTACCAAGAGCAATGGTGCTAAACTATTCATGAGAAATTCACCCCCATGATCAAATTACCTCTTACCAGGCCCCACTTCCACCACTGGGGATTACAATTCAAGATGAGATTTGGTGGGGACACAGATCCAAACCACATCGCATTCTGTTTCAGATAAGCCCAATGTCTGAATTTCCTGTGGTTCAGTCTCTTGCTGTCCCTGTTTCTCCCTCTATGTCCCTTTGTTTTTTGGTCATGTGGTCTTATTTCTTGATATTCCTGGTTATGTTTGATTGCATGCTGGACATCGTGTATGAAAAATTTTACAGATAATTATCTTGGATACTGATAATTTTAGGCTCTGGCTGATGTTATCTTCTTCTGGAGAGATTTTGTCTTTACTTCTTGCAAGCAGTTATGCAAGGGAAGATCACCTTCATACAATCAGAGATTGAGTTTAACTTCATGGCATGCTTCAGGGTTTCTAGAAAGGAGATTTATCTGTGGTTCACTTCTATTTCTGGAGTGTAGCCAGCTCTTCCAAGGTTCTAGTGAAAAAACCCCTTTTCACTGATGGACCCTACACTTCAACTTTTATATATCAGGATATTACAACTTTGGAATCAGTGCTCAGATTTTTAGCCTCTCCTTCTGATTTGGCAAATGGCCTGGTTAAAACCTATGTGAGAATATGTTTCTCCTTTCTCTCTGAGATCTTTACACTTCAAGTCCTTGCTGTCTTGTTAGTTCTTTGATTATAGCACTTATGTTTTTTATTTCCAGCAATTATAGTTGATCTCAGTTAGAGAACTCATCAGCAGGAAGCCAGTCTTCCTTTACTGGAAATGTAAACACTCTAATTATATTTTTAAACCATTTTAAATTTAAGAAGATTTAAGGAAACTTGTTTGAATAGCAATTAGGAGTCTGGAGAGGTACCTTTTAACCTTTGCTAGTTGCAAAACCAGTAAATTTTTAGCCTAGTGTTTGAAGAAGACACTTGGGCAGAAAGCAAAAAAAAAAAAAAAAAAAAGCAATTGTTGGGGTTCCTGACCTTACTCATGCTCTAATTTTGACTCTGTGTTGCATTTATGTTCCACAAATTGTTTCAGACTCCCGACTATTTGTGTGGACTAACAGAACCGTAAAATAGAGTTCAACTTAGACTTCATCTTTAATGTTTTCTATTATTAAATCCTCTACTTCCATTTTGTCAGTATGTACTAATGTTTATTTTTTCTAGGGATTTTAAATTTACTCTCTCTTTATTTCCATTATCACTACCTTTACCATCTTTGGTATAAAACACATGAATAATCTACATGTTTAGTCTTTCAAACTATAGACTTCCCTCCGTGTAATCCATCTGACATTTTTGGTTAGCTACTCTTCCTACAACCTTTTAGCACAACATTCCTTTATTGAAAATCTAAAATGTGCCCTAACTTCATTGAATAAATTTTCATAAATTGAAATGCTCAGTACTTCAGTCAGACTGCCTAAACAAACTTCCTTATACTGCTATCCAATATCTCTCTGTTCAAGTCAAGTGTTCATTCTCCTTGATCTCTTTCACTGGGCTTTCTTTTTCTAACCTGCTTTTAGTGTTGATTTCCTCATCTCCTTTAAATGTTTAGCCTGCCCTTCTAATCTCCTTCACTCTCCACAGGTTATGCCCTGTATTTCTAAAGGAAATGTTTAAATATTCCAGCCTTTTCTCCTGTAAGGCAGGAAACTAGTAGAATTTTTACTTCACAGATATTTTTCAAGAGCACCATACCCTACCTAGGACAAGAGTGCTGGCAAGGGAACTGGGAGAATATCTCCAAGGAAACAATCAGGTTACAGAGGGTAAAGCTCCAGTTTCTACCTGCTGTTCCATATGTAGGAAATTTCTATTTATTTTCAGTGAACTTAATACTGTTAAGTGAGGTGACTCATTCTTTACAGTTGATACTTAAATCATTTTCCAACTAATCTCACTGTTTTCAAATTCATCTTTCCAGTGCCTGCTCAACTGAGCTATTTAAAACACAAATGTGAACATATTAATATATTACTATATTAATATATATTAATATTCTTCTTCAAATCTTTCACTAGTTCCTTATCACTTAAATATAAAGTCCAAGTTCCTTGGGCTTTTTATGATTTGACTCATACATATATTATCAATCTATCTATATCTAAATGTTTCATCTTATGTATATATTATGGTATTGCAGCCATAATACAGATATCCTTTAAGTGCATGTGATTACATACATGTGATTAAGTTTATGGAATTATGTTACATTATGTCTTGCAAAAAGACTACCTTTTTTGCTGGCTCAATAAAGTAAGCAGGCATGTTTGGGGAGCCCATATCTCAAAAAACTGTTGAGACCTCTAGGAAATGCAGGCAGCTTCCAACCAACAGCCAGACACAACTAGTGTCTTCAAGTCTATAGCACCAAGTGAGTGAATTCTTCCAACAACCTGAGTGAGCTTGGAAGTGGATCTTTCTCTCATGCAAGCTTCTGATAAGAAAGCAGTTCATGCTGACATCTGGATTGCAAGATTGAGACCCTGAAGCAGGGAACTCAGCTAAACCACTCCTAGACTCCTGTCCCACCAAACAGTGAGCTAATAAATGAGTGATACTTTAGGCTGTCACATTTATGATGATATCGCCACACAGCAATGGATAACTAATACTCACATCATGCTGTTTCTCACCTTCTTCTCTTAACCTTGACACTGTCACCTACTAGCCTTTGTTCAGCTAACAAACTCTTATTTGTCCTTGATGACCAATTTCATCATTTCTACAAAGCCTGTTAATTCTTTTCTAATTCTGCCCTTTTATAAAATACAAATAACCATTCATCTTGCTGCTTAACATAATTAATTTTAAACTTCAATTTTTGTACGTTTCACACTATATTAGGTATGTTTATTTTCCATTTACTAAACTTGAAGACAGAGACTATATCATATTTATCTTTGTGCCCTGGGGCTGTAATAAACTTGAAAGGCAGTCTAGGCCACAAGGACTGCAACTTTTACATGAGTCCTAGTGCTGAACTGGGCACAGAGACAGCAGACTGGGGGACACACAACCCACAAAAACACCAGTTGGGGCAGGTAACGGGGTGCTGACATCACCCCTCCCCTAATCCCAGGCTGCACAGCTCGTAGCTCTAAAAGAGACCCTTTCCTTCTGCTTGAGAGCAGAGTAAAGAGTGGGGAGGACTTTGTCTTGTATCTTGGATATTAGCTCAGCCACAGCAGGATAAGGCACTGGTCAGAGTTGAAGGCCCTCTTAACTCCAGGATGACATTTATAGGCATGCCCTGGGCCAGAAGGGGACCTGATGCCTTGAAGGGAATGACCCAGTCCTGGGAGGACTCATTACCTGCTATCTGAAGAGCCCTTGGGCCTTGAATAACCAGCAGTGATACACAGGTACTACCCTAGGGCCTTGGATGAGGCTCTGAGACTTCTTGGCTTCACATGAGACTCAGCACATTCCCAGATGTGGTGCCACAGGGCTAGACTCCTGCTAGAGAAAAACAGAGGGAAAAGTAAAGGGAACTTTGTCCTGCACCTTAGGTACCAGCTCAGCCACAGGTGGGTAGAGCACCAATCAGGCCCTTGGAATTCCTGATTTCTGAACTTGGCTCTTGGATGGCACTTCAGGACCAGCTCTGGGCCAGAGAGGAGCCTACTGCCATGAAGGGTGGGTTTCAGGCCAGGCAAAATTTACCACCAGCTGACTGAAGAGCTGTTGGGCCTTAAGGGAACATTGGCTACAGTCTGGCAGTACTTCTTGTGGACCTGTAATGGCAGTGGCCACAGGGTGAGTCTCCTCTGCCTTTGGAAAGGGGAGGGAAGAGTGGGGAGGATTGTGTCTTGTGGTTTTTAGTGCCAGCTCAACCTCAGTACAATAGAACACCAAGTAGACTTCTAAGGTTTTTGGCTCTACTCCCTGGCTCCCAGACACCACATCTAGACACATCTGGGAAGTGCCCTAAAGGGAAGGACACAGGCCTGGCAGGCTTTGCCAACTGCTGATTGTAGAGCCTCAGGCCTTTGACTGAAAACAGGCAGTAGCCAGGGAGTGGTGACAGCAGGCCTTGGGCAATACTCAATGCTGTGCTAGATTCAGGTTTGACCCAGCAGTCACAGTGATGGTGGCAACAGGGGTGTTACTGTCATTCCACCCCAGCTTCAGGACACTCAAAACAGAAAGACTCCATTTTTTTGGAAGAAAGTAAAGGAGGAGAACAAGAGTCTCTGCTGGTAATCCAGACAATTCTCCCAGATGTTGTCCAGGACCATCAAGGTGGTAGCTGTGCAAGTCTGCGAGAATCACAGTGTTACTGGGCTTAAGGTGTGATATGGCTTGTCTGTGTCCCCATCCAAATCTCATTTTGAACTGTAGCTCCCATATTTCCCACGTGTCAGGGAGGGAGCCCGTGGGAGGTCATTCAATCGTGGGAGTGGGTCTTTTGCTGTTCTCATGATAGTGAATAAGTCTCATGAGATCTGAGGGTTTTATAAAGGGGAGTTCCCCTGCATATGCTCTCTTGCCTTCCACCCTGTAAGATGTGCCTTTGCTTCTCCTTGCCTTCCACCACAATTGTGATACCTCCCCAGCCATGTGGAACTGTGAACCCATTAAATCTCTTTCCTTTACAAATTACCCAGTCTTGGGTATGTCTTTATTAGCAGCATGAGAACAGACTAATACAGTAAATTGGTACTGGGTAGTGCAGCGCTGCTGTAAAGATATCCAAAAATGTAGAAGCAACTTTGGAACTGGGTAACAGGCAGAGGTTGGAACAGTTTGGAGGGCTCAGAAGAAGATAGGAAAATGTGGAAATTTTGGAACTTCATAGAGACTTGGAGGACTCAGAAGACAGGATGATGTGGAAAAGTTTGGAACTTCCTTGAGACTTGTTGAATGGCTTTGACCAAAATGCTGATAGTGATATGGATAATAAGGTACAGGCTAAGGTGGTCTCAGATGGAAATGAGGAACTTGTTGGGAACTGGAGTAAAGATCACACTTGCTATGCAAAGAGACTGGCAGCATTTTGCCCCTGCCCTGGAGAACTGTGGAACATTGAACTTGAGAGAGATGATTTAGGGTATCTGGCAGAAACGATTCTAAGAAGCAAAGCATTCAAGAGGAAGCAGAAGATAAAAGTGCAGAAAATTTGCAGCCTGACAATTTGATAGAAAAGAAAAACCCATTTTCTGGGAAGAAATTCAAGCCAGTTGAAGAAATTTACACACGTAATGAGGAGCCTAATGTTAATCACCAACACAATGGGAAAATGTCTCCAGGGCATGTCAGAGACCTTCCAGGCAGCCCCTTCCATCACAGGCCCAGAGGCCTAGGAGGAAAAAATGGTTTTCTGGGTCTGGCCCAGGGCCCCACTTCTCTGTGCAGCCTTGGGACATGATCCCTTGTGCCAAGCTGCTTCAGTTCCAGCCAAGGCTAAAAGACACCAAGGTGCAGCTCAACCCATTGCTTCAGAGAGTACAAACCCCAAGCTTCCATGTGGTGTTGAGCCTGCAGGTGTACAAAAGTCAAGAATTGAGGCTTAGAAACCTCCATCTAGATTTCAGAGGATGTATGGAAATGCCTGGATGTCCAAGCAGAAGTTTCTTGCAGTGGCGGGGCTCTCATGAAGAACCTCTGCTAGGGCAGTGTGGAAGGGAATTGTGGGGTGCAAGCCCCCACACAGAGTCCCCACTGGGGCACTGCCTAGTGGAGCTGTGAAAATAGGGCCACCATCCTCCAGACCCCAGAATGGTAGACCCACTGACAGCTTGCACCGTGCACCTGGAAAAACTGCAGACACTCAATGTCAGCCGGGAAAGCAGTCAGAAAGTGTGCTGTGTCCTGCTAAGCCACAGGGGTTGAGCTGCTCAAGGCTGTGGGAGATGGCCTTTTTCATCAGTATGACTTGGATGTGAGACATGAAGTCAAAAGAGATCATTTTGAAACTTTAAGATTTAATGACTACCATATTGGATTTTTGAACTTCCATGGATCCTGTAGCTCCTTTGTTTTGGCCAATTTCTCCCAATTGGAATGGATGCATTTACCCAATGCCTGTATCCCCATTGTATCTAGGATTAACTAACTTGCTTTTGATTTTACAGGCTCATAGGCAAAAGGGAATTGCCTTGTCTCAGATGAGACTTTGGACTGTGGACTTTTGAGTTAATGCTGAAATGAGTTAAGACTTTGGGGGACTGTTGGCAAGGCTTGATTGGTTTTGAAATGTTAGGACATGAGATTTGGGAGGGGCAAAGGGCAGAATGATATGGTTTGGCTGTGTCCCCACCCAAATCTCATCTTCAATTGCAGTTCCCACAATTCCCATGTGTCATGAGAGGTACCTGGTGGGAGGCAATTGAATCATGGCATCACATCTTTCCCTTGCTGTTCTCATGATACTGAATAAATCTCACAAGATCAGATGGTTTTACAAAGACAAGCTTCCCTGCACATGCTTTCTTGCCTTCCACCATGTAAGACATGCCTTTGCTTCTTCTTTGCCTTTCATCATAATTGTGAAGCCTCACAAGCCATGCAGAACTATGAATACATTAAACCTTTTTCCTTTATAAATTACCCAGCCTTGGGTATGTCTTTATTAGCAGTGTGAGAATGACATAATACAGGGTGCTCTCTAAAGTAGATACAACTTAAATCACAGCACCCAAATCCTTTCAAATACATGGAAAGCCTTCTTAAGAAGGATAGGTACAAACAAACCCAGACAGTGACAACTAAAATAAATACCTAATTCTTAAATGCCCAGACATAGAAGAACATCTACAACTATCAAGATATTCCAGGGAAAAATCATCTCACCAAAGGAACTAAATAAGGCACCAGGTACCAATCCTGGAGAAACAGAGATATGTGACCTTTCAGATAGATAATTCAAAATAGCTATGTTGAAGAAACACAAAGAAATTCAAGGTAACACAGAGAAGGAATTCAGAATTCTATCAGATAAATTTAACAAAGATTAAAATAATTTAAAAGAATCAAGCAGAAATTATGGAGCTGAAAATGCATTTGGCATACTGAAGAATGCATTAGCGTCTTTTAATTGCAGAATTGATCAAGCAAAAGAATTTGTGAGCTTGAAGGCAGGCTGTTTGAAAATATACAATCAAAGGAGACAAAGAAAAAAGAATAAAAAACAATGAAGCACACTATAGAATCTAGAAAATAGCCTCAAAAAGGCAAATCTAAGAGTTATTGGACTTAAAGAGGAAGTGGAGAAATAGGTAGGGCTGGGAAGTTTAATCAAAAAAATAATGAGAGAGAACTTCCCAAACCTAGAGAAAGATATCAATATCCAAATCCAAGAAACTTATAGAATACCAGGTGAATTTAACACAAAGAAGACTACTACCTCAAGGCATTTAATAATCAACCAACCAAAGATCAAGGGTAAAGATAGGATCTTAAAAGCAGCAAGAAGAAAAAAACAAATAACATACAATGGAACCCTAATGAACTTTTCAGTGAGAACCTAATAGGCCAGGAGAGAGTGGTATGGCATATTTAAAGTGCTGGAGGAAAAAAAAGAAAACTTTTAACCTAGAATAGTATAGCTGAGTGAAAATATACTACAAACAGGAAGGAGAAATAAAGATTTTAGGAGATAAACAAAAGCTGAGGTATTGCATCAACACTACACCCATCTTCCAAGAAATGCTAAAGGGAGTGCTTCAATAAGGAAGAAAAGGATGTTACTGGCTGGGCATGGTGGCTCACACCTGTAACCCTAGCACTTTGGTAGTCTTAGGCCAGCAGATCATTTGATGTTGGGAGTTCGAGACCAGCCTGGCCAACATGGTGAAATCTTGTCTGTACTAAAAATTACAAAAATTAGCCAGATGTGGTGGTGGATGCCTGTAATCCCAGCTTCTCAGGATGCTGAAACATGAGAATTACTTGAACTCGGGAGGCAGAGGTTGCAGTGAGTCGAAATCATGCCACTTTACTCCAGCCTGGGTGATAACAGTGAGACGCCATCTCAACAAAAAGAAAAAAAACAGGAAAAGAATGTTACTGAGTAATAAATCAGTAATCACCTGAAGGTACAAAACTCACTGGTAATAGCAAATACACAGAAAAGCACAGAATATGATTACACTGTAACTGTGATGTGTAAGCTACTCTTATCCTAAGTACAAAGAATAAATGATGAAGAAATAAAAAAAAACATGACTACAATAACTTTTCAAGATAGACAGAAAAATAAGATATAAATAGAAATAACATAAAGTTTAAAAGCAGGGTGATGAAGTTTAGGCACAGAGTTTTTATTCATTTTCTTTTTTCTTAGTTGTTTATGCAAACAGTGTTAAGTGATTATAAGCTTAAAATAATGGTTTATGATAGTATTTGCGTGTGTCATGGTAACCTGAAACCAAAAAACATACAACAGAAACATAAAAAATAAAAATCAAGAAACTAAGTCTTATTACCAGAGATAATCACTTTCACCAAGGAAAAACAGGAAGAAAACAAAGAAGGAAGAGATGATCACAAAACAACCAGTAAACAAATAACAAAATGGCAGAAAAGTTTTTACTTATCAATAATAACATTGAATATAAATAGTCTAAACTCTCCAATCAAAAGACATGGGGTGGCTGAATGGATAAGAAAAAGAGACCCATAATATGTTGCCTATAAGAAACATACTTCACCTATAAAGATACACATAAACTGAAAATAAAGGGATAGAAAAAATATTCCATGCCATTGGAAATCAACAAAGAGCAGGAGTAGCTATACTTATATCAGACAAAATAGATTTAAAGACAATTCTATGAGAAGAAACAAAGAATGTCACTATATAATGATAAAGGGGTCAATTCACCAAGAGGATATAACAATCTTAAATATATATGAACCCCAAAATTAGATCACACAGCTATATAAAGAAAATACTATTAGAGCTTAAGAGAAAGGCCCCATTACAATAATAGCTGAAGACTTCAACACCCCACATCAGCATTGGACAGATCTTCCAGACAGAAAATCAGCAAGAAACATCAGACTTAATCTGCACTGTGGACCAAATGAATCTAATAGATATTTACAGAACATTTCATCCAACAGCTTCAAAATACAGATTCTCATCCTCAACACATGGATTATTCTCAAGGATAAACCATATGTTAGGTCATAAAACAATCCTTAAAACATTCAAAAAATTGACATAATTTCCGGCATCTTCTCTGACCACAATAGAATAAAACTAGAAATCAGTAACGAGAGGAATTTTGGAAACTTTGCAAACACGTGGAAATTAAACAATATGCTCCTGAATAACCAGTAGGTCAATAAGGAAATTAAGAATAAAATTGAAAAATTTCTCAAAACACATGATAATGGAAACACAACATACAAAAACCTGTGGGAGACAGCAAAAGCAGTACTAAAAAGGAAGTTTATAGCTATAAATGCCTACATTAATAAAGAAGAAAAATTTCAAATAAACAATCTAGTGATGCATCCTAAAGAATGAGAAAACCAAGAGCAAAACAAACCAAAAAAATTACTGGAAGAAAATAAAATAAAAATCAGTATAGAAGAAAATAAAATAAAAATCAGAGCAGAAACAAATAAAATGAAGAAAACAATACAAAAGATTAAGGAAACAAAAAGTTGGCTTTTTTGAAAAGTTAAAAAATAGTGATAAACCTTTAGCCAGACTAACTTAGCAAAAAAGAAAGAAGAACCAAATAAATAAAATCACAGATGAAAAGAGAAGCATTACAACTGATACCACAGAAATTCAAAACATCATTAGTGACTACTGTAACCAACTATATGCCAATTAATAGAAAAAATTTAGAAGAAATGGGCAGTTCCTAGACACATAGAAACTACCACAATTGAATCAGAAAGAAAACCAAAACTTGAACAGATCAATCATATGTAACAAGATCAAAGCCATGATCAAAAGTCTCCTTGTAAAGAAAAGCTCAGGACCCAATGGCTTTACTGCTGAATTCTACCAAACATTTAAAGAAGAACTAATGTCAATCCTACTCAAACTATTCTGAAAAACACAGGGGAAAGGAATACTTCCAAACTCAATCTGTGAGGTAAGTATTACCCGATACAAAAATCAGACAAAGACAATTCAAATAAAGAAAACTATAAGCCAATATTTCTGATGAATATTTATGCGAAAATCCTCAAAAAAATACTGGCAAACTGAATTAAACAACATATTAAAAAGATCATTCGTCATGATGGGAAAGAGAGTTTCTGGGGTGCCAGTTGAGTTGGTCTCCCCTGTGTGAGACACCCATGGGAAGTCATGGGCGGCCTCTGAGGAGAAAAGTCTCCTTATTGCCTTCACGTCTTTATGCCTCGAGAACATAACAGCTCAGCAGCATTCCACAGGTTGCTCACGGAGATAACACTACCTTTGAAGCAGTGGAGTATAATCAAACGTCTGGGCTCCTCCTGGAACCCGCTCCCACCCGTTTCAGTCCTGATAAGTTAAAGATCTTAAGTCGTTTAGACACATGCCTTTGCTCAAGGAAATTCACAGAAACTGCCACTGCTATACATCTTATTGAATGACTCACGAGTTTTCCTTCACTGATTGATCCTTTTCCTCATCCCTCCCTCCCCCTTCCATCTGCCCTAAGAAGAAAGAGCTTGTAAACCAATAAATTGGGTGGAGCTTGAGAGCTCTGGGCCGTGAGCAAGCCTCCCACTCTCCGATCCCCTCGACCCGCCTTTTAAATGCTTATTCTGTCTCTTTCTAACTCCTTTATCTCCACCGGACTCGGGGTACCCGCTGGGTAGTGTGGGGCTGGTTTCCCCAACAGTCATGACCAAGTGTGATTCATCCCCAGGATGCAAGAGTAGTTTAACATATGCAAATCAATCAGTGTGATAAATCACATCAACAGAATGAAGGACAAAAGCCATATGATCATTTCAACGGATGCTGAAAAAGCGTTTGATAAAATTCAACATTCCTTCATAATAAAAAAAAGCTCAAAAAACTAAGTATAGAAAAAGCATACCTCAACACAATAAAAACCATATATGACAGATTCACTGCTAGTATCATACTATTTAGTATCATACTGAATGGGGAAAAACTGAAAGCCTTTCCTTTAAGATCTTTGAAGTGACAAGGGTGCCAAGTTTCACCACTGTTATTCAACATAGTACTTGAAGTCCTAGCAAGAGCAATCATAACAGACAAAAATAAAAAGCATCCAGACTGGAATGGGATAAGTCAAATTATTCTTGTTTGCAGATTATATGATCTTATATTTGGAAAAACCTAAAGACTCCACCAAAAAATCTATTAGAACTGATAAACAAATTCAGTAAAGTTTCAGGGTACAAAATCAACATAGAACACTTAGTAGCATTTCTATATGCCAACAATGAACAATCTGAAAAAGAAATTTAAAAGCAGTCTCATTTACAATAGCCACAAATAAAATTAAATACTAGAAATTTACTTAACCAAAGAAGTGAAAGTTCTCTGTAATAAAAACTATGAAACACTGATGAAAGAAATTGAAGAGGACACCAAAAAATGGAAAGATGTTCTATGTTCATGAATTGAAAGAATCAATATTGTTAAAACATCCATACTAGGCTGGGCGCAGTGGCTCACGCCTGTAATCCCAGCACTTTGGGAGGCTGAGGTAGGCAGATCACGAGGTCAGGAGATCGAGACCATCCTGGCTAACATGGTGAAACCCGGTCTCTACTAAAAATACAAAAAAATAAGCTGGGCATGGTGGTGGGCACTTGTAGTTCCAGCTACTTGGAGGCTGAGGCAGGAGAATAGCATGAACCCAGGAGGCAGAGCTTGCAGTGAGCCGAGATTGCACCACTGCACTCCAGCCTGGGCAACAGAGCGAGACTCCATCTCAAAAAAAAAAAAAAAAAAAAAAAAAAGTTCATACTATCCAAAGCAGTCTACAGATTCAATGAAATCCCTATCAAAATACCAGTGACATTCTTCACAAAAAAGAAAAAAAGTCCTAAAATTTATATGAAACCACAAAAGACCCAGAATAATCAAAGCTATCCTAAGTAAAAAGAACAAAACTGTAGGAATCGTATTACCTGACTTCAAATTATACTATTGAGCTATAGTAATCAAAACAGCATGGTACTGGCATAAAAACAGACATATTGACCAATGGAACTAAAAGAAGAACCCAGAAACAAATTCATATACCTACAGTGAGCCCATTTTTGACAAAGGTGCCAAGAACATACACTGTAGGAAAAGAGAGTCTCTTCCATAAATGGTGCTGGGAAAGCTGGATATTCATATGCAGAATTATGAAACTGGCCCTCTATCTCTCACTGTATACCAAAACCAAATCAAAATGGATTAAATATTTAAATGTAAGACCTCAGACTATGAAACTACTACAGGAAAACATTAGGGAAACTCTCCAGGACATTGGTCTGGGCAAAAATGTCCTGAGTAATACTCTACAAGCATAGGCAACCAAAGCAAAAATGGACAAATGGGATCACATCAAATTAAAAAGGTTCTGCACAGCAAAGGAAACAATCAACAAAGTGAAGAGACAACCCACAGAATGGGAGAGAATATTTGCAAACAACCCGTCTGACAAGGGATTAATAACCAGGAGCTCCAACAACTTAGAGAAAAGAAATTGAATAATCCAATTGAAAAATGGGCAAAAGATCTGAATAGACATTTCTTTAAAGAAGACATACAATGGCAAACAGGCATATGAAAAGGTGCTCAACATCATTGCTCATCAGAGAAATGCAAATTAAAATTGCAATGAGATATCATCTTACCCTAGTTAAAATGGCTTATATCCAAAACATAAGCAATAACAAATGCTGGCGATAATGTGGATGAAAGGGAATGCTCATACACTGTTGGTGGAAAAGTAAGTTAATACAATTACTGTGGAGAACAGTTTGGAGAGTACTCAAAAATCTTAAAATGGAGCTACCAGATGATCCAGCAATCCCACTGCTGGGTATATACCCAAGAGAAAGGAAATCAGCATATCAAAGAAATATCTGCACTTCTATGTTTTTTGCAGCAGTGTTCACAATCACCAAGATTTGGAAGCAACCTGAGTGTCCATCAACAGATGAATAGATAAAGAAAATATGGTACATATGCACAATGAAGTACTATTCAAACATAAAAAAATGAGATCCTGTCATTTGTAACAACATGGATGGAACTGGAGATCATTTTGTTAAGTGAAATAAGCCAGGCACAGAAAGACAAATATCGCATGTTCTCACTTATTTGTGGGATTTAAAAATCCAAACAATTGAACTCACAGACATAGAGATTAGAAAAATGTTTGCCATAGGCTGGAAAGGGTAGTGATAGGTTGGAAGGAAAACAGGAACAGTTAATGGGTACAAAAAAAATAGAAAGAATGAATAAGACCTACTATTTGATAGCACAGCAGGGTGACTACAGTCAATAATAACTGAGTTGTACATTTAAAAATAACTAAACGAGTATACTTGGATTGTCTGCAACACAAAAGATAAATCCTTGAAGGGATAGATAACCCATTTTCCATGATGTTATTATTATGCATTGCATGCCTGTATCAAAACATTTTATGTATTCTATCCATACATATACTATGTACCCACAAAAATTAATAATTAAATTTAAAAAAATTTCTGTGTCCTTACTGTACTCTAAACCTCCTGTGTTTAACCTTTCATATCTTTGAGAGGAATCAAAAAGATGATTGGTTTTGTTTAATAGTTTTCTAGACCAAAAGAAAGTTTGCAACACATGACAAACAAGTGGTTTTGTTACTAGAGGAAAAAAAGTATATATTTTGATAAGACAATTTCAAATATACCAATGAATAATAAATAAAGTACCTAGGCAATTTACACAAAAAATTAATTTTGGCTATTAATTATTGTATATGCTCCGTTTCCAGTATAGATCTAAAATGCTTTACATACACATACCTTCTCATGTGAGTCTTCCAACAGTCCTATGGGACAGCGTAGCATACGGGTTAACAGCATAGATATTGAGATAATAACAATGCCTTTTTTTCCATGATGGTGTTGTGGAGATTACCTGAATTAATATATAAGGTACTCTTCGAAGAGTTCCTGGCCTTTAGGAGGTGCTGTTATTCTTACAGGAGGAATTGAGGCTTAGAGTGGTTAAGTTACTGGCTGAAGAAACATCACTACTAGGTGGAGCTGCTGAAGTTTAAATCCAATCTGTCTGACCCCCAAATCCGATGATAGTAAACACTACACTATATTGTATGATAATCTTTTTTTAAAGTTTACTTCAGTTAAAGTACAAATTAAAACAATGATCTTTCTCATTCAAATTAGCAAATATTATACAAAATGTGGAGGCAAATCTCAAAGATTCCATGTAGAAGTGAGACGATTGATAGTAGCAGTCTCTTACATTAGTGGCAGGAATTTAAATGGTTAGATCTTGATAAAAACTAACTTTATATGTAACCTACTATTTAATAATTCCCAT
Organism: Homo sapiens; assembly: GCF_000001405.40. Classification (NCBI taxonomy): domain Eukaryota; kingdom Metazoa; phylum Chordata; class Mammalia; order Primates; family Hominidae; genus Homo; species Homo sapiens. Next base: position 4,523,928 of record NC_000018.10, on the reverse strand, counting down.
TTTATAAATCTATTCTAAGTGAAGAAAACAAAATAATAAACTGGGCACAAAGATCTTGATTATTGCATTATCATGCCCTTGAATGTTCAAGAATAGTACAATGGTTAAAGGGTTAAAATAATACTACAAATTATATTCTTTGTACTACTAAACATTTTATTTGTATGTATTTATATTATTTAATAATACACTGCTATTAAATTCATGTTTTTAAATAATTCTGTTACAAAGAAAGATAGATAAGTCATTTGAAAACTACAATAAAATGGAGTATTTTGATCAATTTTATGAAAGAATTACCTAAGAAGGAAATTTTATACACATAATAAAATCTAGAGAGAAATAATATCATAAGGAAAACAATGCTTATCTATGGCTTGGTAAATAAGTAATATTTTAATTTTTATTTGAATGTTTATTTACCATGAAAATCTCTGTGATGAGCATGCATTAAACATAAAATCAGAAAAAGAACAATAAGTATGATTTTAAAATAAACTAAAAGTCTACTTCCAGTTTATGGGTTGTTGGAGAAAAAAATAAAGGAGTGTGAATATATTCAAAATGTGAAGAGTTTATAAGATTATAAAAGCAATATTGACTGTAGATAATGTACCAACTGATATAACAATGTTATACTTTTGCTGCCCAAAGATGACTGTTTCAGTGTTACAGGTGTTGTGACTTGGTATGAGTTCTACTACATTTCTATTTTATGATTCTGTGAATTACCAATGGATTCACAGAAAAACAAAACATGCAGCTCACATGTGCCACATTCCTCCCCATGTCCTCCCACCTCCCTGTGGTGATGGATAATGATGAGCCATGGCCAAGCATGTCCCTTCACAATCTTTGCAAGAGCCTCAAAGCACATAAGCTTATATTAATAGGGAACCCTTTATATATCTCTATGTTTAACATAGATCATAGCTGAGCTTTTCCCTTTAGCAACAATGCTACCCAGGAGAAAAGGAGATGCAAAATATTCATGTCTTCCCAAAATGTCAGTTAACAGCATGTGCATATTGCATGTCCCTAATGGCTTGGTTGGTAAATGAGCCGAAAACATCACCTTGTTACTGTGACATAGTAAATATTCTCAGTCAAAGCCTGACCTTTTGCTTTCCCTCCACAGTAAGCCTGGCTGTGTGTCTCCTTTATGGCAGCATTTGAACATATTTCAGTATTTCTAATAACTACAAGTACCCTTCCTAGAAGTAACAAACCCCTTTAATTTATCTTCACTGTCCAACTTCTTGAACGGCTGCTGTCCCTGCTTTGTAATTTCCCTTTCTTTCACTAAAGAGAAATGATTATGGTGAATTCCACCCTCATCACTCTACTAAAAAAGACTCCTGGACTTTACCAACAATGTTCCTATTGCTATATTACACGGCCACCTTCATGCCATTGTTTAACTTGATCTTAATGTAGCATTTGACACTGGAGACCACTTTCCTTAGAGCAATTTCAATTTTCTTGGCTTCTATGACACATTGCTCCTACTTTAATTCATTTTTAGGGATGCTTTTTCTCTGTCTTCTCTGCAAATGTTCCTTCCTCCATTCTGTGTCTGACACATTGCTGTCCTGGGCTCTTTGCCTTCTCACTCTCCATGCATGGTGGCTTTCATTCCCCTGGCTTCACAACTGAAAATTATGTAGCCTTCCTCCCAGGTTCAAAATTTGGAAAGGTTTATTTCTTACTTTGACATCTCTACTTTGAACTTGTACTGGGACCCCAAACTCAAAATATATAAACCTAGTAAAAAAAAAATAGGTGAGTCTTTGGGTTTGAGTTTCACTTTCCCCAATGTACTAGCTGTGTGACATTGGACGTGTTATTTAACACACTTTGAGGTTCAGTTTCTTTATTTGGTTGGTTGGGAAAATTGATAGGATAGTGTGTGAAAAGCGAACGCAGTATAGTTTGAGGCACATAGTACGTGTTCACTTGTGTCCCTTTCTTGTGACTCCATTGTCAGTGCACGATCTGCTGATATACTTGCTTGTCCAACTCAGTAACTTGAGGATCAACGTTTACTCTCCTTTCTGCCTCACATTCCACCTTCAATCACCTAGTTTTATTGATGGTCCTATTTAAATATCTCTCAAATATATTCCCTTCTTTAGATGTCCACTGGTGTTTCTCTAGTTGAGGACATCAAATACTTTTGACTGTTTTCCAGATCTTATCATTATCCTCAAAACCCATTGGTTTTTCCATCTTTGACCTCATTCACTTCAAATGCACAAACCCCAAAGTCACCCAATAAAGCTTTGTGACATTAGCCTAATTTACTCTCCTTAGCTATTAATTACCCCTTTCAGTGTAAATCCCAGGCTCTTTAATTAAACACGGAAAGGCTTTGGAGATGTCTCCCCTGCCTTATCTATATTCATTTCTTGACATTCACTTTATTATTTCCTCTAACCATACTGGGCAGTGGTCCTCTCTTGATTTTATTATATTATTGCACACTTGCATATGACAAATCTTTTTTAATGTATGCTTTTATTTCATGATTTAGAGATCTAAAAAACACAAAAATATTGTTTTGTCCACTTTAAAGGTCATATGGAATTATCAAAGGGAGAGTACAGAAAATATTCTGCATCATTATTCAATTACAAAACCAGACTGAGAAAGTAGGCTGTAAAATACTGTGATAACTTAAAAAAATACCAACAAGGACCTGCCAGTAATTACGAGCTTAACAGAATTAGCTAAAAAATTTAACACTTGGGTACAGAACATAAACCATGTGGGAGAACAGGCTTATGAGAAACATAACAACTCAAGACCATTTGCAGATTGACTGAATATTCAAGTGACACTAGATTAGAAGGCTTCATTAGGGGAATTAATTTCAATTCATTGAATTATTTTGATAGAAGATGTCTTTAAATCATAAATATATTACCTTCATGCATTTTACCTGATCCAGGACTCTTAGTGATACCTTCCCTGTGACAACCATGATTTGCCTTCCACGATACATTTCCAGAATGCAACCAACCCTTTCAGTGGGTAATGATTGTTGTTCCTAGAACACGTTATTTTCTTTTTCACTTCCTCTCATTTCATACACTACTTTCTTGCTTTAAATGTTCTTTCCTATTCTCAAATTATTTTCTTTAGATAAATTCTACCCATGCTTCACGTCATATATGTGACATCCTCTAGAAAGTCTACTCTGAAGCCTCAATACTTGGTCAGATTTCCCTCCTGTGTTTTGTCCTACTATTGCGCTTCTCACCCCTGACATGCAATCACCTTGTTTTATAGATATGTTACAGGTATACCTATATGTTATAGGTATATAGGTTATAGGTATATAGATATAGATACCCCATTATACTGTCATCTTTTTAAAGTGCTTGGTCTTAACTTATTCACCACAGTATGCCTACAAGCTAGCAAAGTGCTTGCCTCTTAAGAAGAGCTCAAACCACATTTGGAATCAGACATTTAATACTTTTAACTGTGGAAGTAAAGAATCCATGATAAAAATTATCTGCTTTCCTATAGAATTATTTTCTAATTATTTTCTAAAATAGAAAAAGATTTTCTATTTGTATAAATTTCTTTACTGCTACTAAATGCTCTGTTTTAATATTAGCCCTAATGGCATCAATTCCACGAACCTGCTCAGTGTACTCTCAGAAGGCTGTCAGCAAAGTCCTCTCTGATAAGGAAGTTTTCTTTCCTAATATGGGGACCATCGCTTTTATTTTGGTTTTTCTTTGCTTATTCAATATTTCTCACTTTTTAATTTTATTTTAATCTTATGTATTTATCCTCTTGAAATCACCAAAGGGTTTATTTTCTTTTTGCTGTTGATTCTGGAGGGAAGACAACTGACCTTCTTGTTAGCACTTATCTGATGCCTGACACAGCAAAGTCACTTCTCCCAGACATCTCTCTGATAGCCCTGGGCCAATCATTACAAACAGAACGATGCTGAAGTTTTATGTGCAAGACCATGAAAGTGGCTTATCATTCCAAAGAACTGATGTATGTTTTTAGACAATGAACAAAAAATCTGTTAAGCTTCTTGCAACTTCTTGAAGCTTTTACAGTTATAATTATTTGCTTAAAACTTACTGCCAAGAAAAGCTTTTGATTATAATTTACTAAAGTTATCTTCTTATAATGAGATTTTATTCTCTGTGTTGTTACAAAAAGAAAAAGAGCAATATTGGTGCTCCAAATAGCTGTAGAGGGAAAAAGTACAAAGAGCAACAGGAAATACAAATTGACATGAGAAAAATAAAAAGTAAGATGTTTTATTGCCTTGAGGGATTTCTAGTGTGCTGGAAAAAACAGATACAAATAGATTGAAATAATTAGAGTATATTCACATGTGGACCATAGCAGAGATGGACATGGTTTGGAGGTTCAGAGAATGAGCATGATCCTAGACATCTAGATTCATAATTCTGTTCCACTAATAATTTAGCATCGTAGCCTTATGTAAGTTTATTAATCTCTCTAAGCCTTGATTTCCTCATCTGTAAAATTAGGTTATTAATCGACTTTACCTCACAGGAAATGTATGAGGATTAAATGAGACAACATATGTGCCTGTTGCATGACAAATGTTCAATGCTTGATAACTACTATTATAATTTATAAAAGTCTAAAAGAAGACAGAGAAGTTTCTAGTCATTCCAAGAAAGGAAAACTGAGGCACAAGAGTGGGCCACAAGGGAGATCCTTGTGCTGATTTCAAGGCAGAAGGTGAGCATCAGCCATTTTGTAGTTCCCACACATTGTTGCCAGTGTGCTGACTCACCTCGTTGGCAAGAAGTAGCAGCTGAACCTAAATTGTTTTCACCTTTCCTTGGAGCCTCCTTTAGCATTTCTGACTCCTGGGCTTCAATTTAACTTCATGACAACAGGCATAGCTTCTGCAGGATACATTTGGCATCAAGGGCAGAGGCAAGAAGATAATGCTCAATCCTTCCAGATGGGTTTCTGGCTCATGCTTATGGAATCCATCCTGCCTTTGGTCTTCCTCATTTTACGTCTATTTTCCTTTCCGTCTGCACACCCTGTGAACTTCAAGATCCATGACTATATGAGGAGAGAGCAGCCTTACGGAGACTGCTTAACCACCTCCCACAATTGTGTAAGTCAATTCCCCCAATCCCCTGTAACAAATTTCTCTCTCTCTCTGGCTGTCTCTCTCTCTTTCTGTCACACATACACACACACATACACCCCTGCCCCTACTGATTCTTTTCTCTGGCTGAACCCTGACTAATACATGGCCTTTTCTACCGCTGTTGCGATTTTTCCTTATGAGGAAGTGCTCAATGGTCTTATTTTGCATTGCATACATACATCATGTCCAGAACAAAAACGTAAAAATATCCCCATCAGTATTTCCAAATACAACAACAAATTTGTGACTACAATGATAGTGAAAATACATTATATACATTTATTTCAGAACTTTATCACTTCATATCACAATCTATGAAATAAATGAAAATGTAAACATGAGTGAATGAATGAATGAATGAATGAAATATTTGAAAGTAGAACTGACTGACCAGTTGAAATAATTTCTTTAGGAGCAAGGTTGCAGTATTAGTATTTCTACCACAACAAATGTTACTTGTAGTATTAAATGGGCAAATCAGTCAGAAGATTGTTTATCAAGGACAGCCCATGTATTTTCTAATTCCTTTTGTAAGCATTAAAAGTTTTTACAGACTGACCAAACAAAAGATCAAAATAGGACACAACAGCAATACTGTTTAAATCAGACTCTTTCTTTTCTATTTCTAACAGGAGAGCCTTTGACATTAAAGAAGATCAGCAGAGTCTGAAACAAAGGAAAAGCTCAGTTAAAAAATCATAAGTAAATGATTGTCTCTCTGAAATATATACTTCATGTAGAGAAACTATTCTTGGTTCTCATAATTTTCTTTTTCTCCCACTCATGATTTGCGGTACTGCACTGGTGTCCATGGCAACATCCATAGCTAATGAGTGGATTACTACCAGTGTCCTGCCACTGTCAATCGCTACATTCTTAAAGACAAGGAAATTTCTCTCTAATTGAGTGGTTTTATTACCCTGTCTCTCCCAATAAGCAAGACCTGAATCTTCACCAAGAATACATGACATCAACACAAGATTATCTATTGCTTTATCTATTTTACCACATTGGAAAGTTTAGTCAAGATGATAACATTTATTCACAAACACTTGGACAGATTGAAAAATCTCCTTGTTCTCTTTATGTAATGAACAAGAAAATAGTAGATTAACATATGTCAAATTATTCATAGAAGGCACTGTGCCTTATGTACCATTTGATGAGTAGTTCTCAATTTTTTTCTATTAAATGACTATAACAATAAGAGCAGAAATCAGTAATAAAACATAATTTAAGAGAACGCATCCAAGTTTATGCCAGCTAAATGCGGACTACTTTTGACTTTGATAATAGTGCAAGGAAGTTAGGCAGTGCTAGAGCTAGAGTGTTTTTACACACAATGCTTTTCATGACTGATCTTGAAATCACCTTGGTTAGTCATGGTCAGCCTTCTTTTATGACACAAAAGAAAATAGAATGGAACAGACGAATCAGAATGCATCATGGTGTGGTAAGAGTTATTTTGTGAAACATGTAAATTGAAATGTAAAATGTATTTTTCACCATTGTCCTTTTCTCACACAATACTGAAGGAATAGTATCAAACTTTCTCTAGATTCTGTTCCTTTTAAATTTTGTCCTGTGAGATTATAGTCTGGTTACTACCTGAATATGCATGTGTTTTGACTTTTCTCTAGTGGCTTAGAGTCTAAATCTATTCTTCTAAAGGAGTCAGAGTTCTTCATAACCACCAAACTCCCTGTATTCATTTCCTAGGGATGCCATAAAAATTACCACAAACTAAGTGGCTTGAAACAATATAAACTTAAATTCTTTCAGTTCTGAAGTCAATAGGTCCAAAATCAAGGTGTCAGGAGGGCCATCCTCTCTCTCCTAGCTTCTGCGGTTGCCAGCAATTCTTGGTGTTAGATCTGCATAACTCCAATCTGCATCTGCGTAACTCCAATCTCTATGATGTCATGCCTGTCTGCCCTCTGTGTCTTCACATGGCATTTTCCTCTCCATGTGTGTGTCTCTTCTCCTCTTAGTCCAATCTGGAAGTGTCTTTGTTGAGATGACTAATTGGATCTGTGAGTCACATGCCTAATCTCTTCATATATATATATATATTTTGTTTGTTTGTTTGTTTTGTTTTATTTTTGTTTTGAGATGGAATCTCGCTCTATCGCCCAGGCTGGAGTGCAGTGGCACGATCTCGGCTTATTGCAAGGTCCGCCTCCCGGGTTCATGCCATTCTCCTGCCTCAGCCTCCCAAGTAGCTGGGACTACAGGCACCTGCCGCTATGCCTGACTAATTTTTTGTATTTTTAGTAGAGACAGGGTTTCACCATGTTAGCCAGGATGGTCTCGATCTCCTGACCTCATGATCCACCTGTCTCGGCCTCCCAAAGTGCTGGGATTACAGGTGTGAGCCACCGTGCCCGGCCCACCAAAATATTTTACAGAAATTCATTGGCCCTGTTTCCAGAGCAAGTTACATGGAGAGATTGAAAATTTTCAAATAATCAAGCTCTGGTTTCTTTTTGCTTAAGAGTTTGTCAATTTATTTTCTTTTGCATTTTACTGTATGTGGCAAGAAGAAACAAGGTCACATCTTTCACACATTGCTTGGAAATCTCAGCAATATATCCAAGTTCATCATCTAAAGTTATATTTTACACCCAACAGCAGAAGACAATTAGCCAAGTCTCTACCATCTTATAATGAGGATCATCTTTGCTCTGCTTTCCTTGTTTCCATCTGATGCCTTGCAAGAATCGCCTTTAACGTTCATATTTCTAGCAACATTCTGTTCATGTTGACATATGTACTCTCTAAGATAAAAGAAGCTTTGTCATTTCTGAGCATTCACCAAAATTGCCTTTAACATTTGTATTTCTACCAACGATCTCTTTAAGGCTAAGTTTTTCTAACATATACCATAAAATTCTTCCTGCTGCTATCCATTATCCAATTCCAGAGCTACTATCACATTTTTTAAGCATTTATTACAGCAGCATCCCACTCCTGGTAATAAAATTTGTATTATTTTCCTTGGGCTGACATAAGCAAAGTATTACAAATTGTGTGGCTTAGAAAATAACAGAAATTGTTGTTTTTGTTGCAGGGTTGGTTCCCCCTGAGGAAGAATCTGTCCCTTAGGTTCTGCAAATCTTTTATACACCTTTGCTTATAGATACATCATTCTAATCTATGCCTCCACCCTCCATGATGTGCTCCCCTGTGTGTCTGTGTCTGCATCATGGTGTTCTCTCCTGATCATGGTGTTCTCTCCTGATAAGGACACCAGTAATGTTGGATTCAGACACATTTTAATGAAACATGAGCTCATCTTAATTTGATTACATCTGCAAAGATCCCTCTTCCAAGTAAGATCACACTCAGGGGTAGCAGAGTTTAAGCCTTTAACATATCTTTCTGGGGGACACAATATGACCCACAAAACCCTCATATAAATTTTGGCTAATTCATTAGGCTTTTCCAGATTTCTCACTATTCATTTCTGGTACCATTTCTCTATCTTTTAACAAATGTATATTCTGGTTGGACTATGACTAGGTTGTAAGCCCTCAGATATGTAGACTGTGTTTTACTCATTTTTTATCCACCACAGTATTTGGCAGTATTTGGGACATTGCTATGCAAAGTAGAAAAATCAATAAATATATTGAAATGAATTGAACTGAATTATATTGAATATTGGTTCTCTATCCAAGAAAAGGTGATCCAATTTTAAAAATTTATGATGTGCTTGAAAAGGCAATAAATCTAAAGATAAATGTATTCTATACCGAAATACCATATTCACCCTATTAAAATCAATAAAGAGAACAAGATGGCACCATGGGAATATAATTTTGGGCAATACTTAAGCTTCTCAGGTATTCTTATTATCATATATAAACAAAATAACATTAATGTTATTGGTGAAGTATCTTTAGGCCCTAGAATGTTATAGTCAAATAGAACTACATTCTTTAACTCTTCACATACATTCATGAACATATATTCTAATCCAGATATTTTTCTAGGTTCTGGGAATGCCAGTCAAGAAACTACAGTGCCTGGACTCAGAATGGTAGTGACACAAGTGACAAGTAGTCATATTCTAGATATATTTTAAAGAAACTGTCAACAGAACCTGCTAAGAAATGGAAGTGGAGTTTCACAGATAGGGAGGACTCAAGATAACTCCATAGACTGTGGCCCAGTAACTAAAATAATGAATTTATACTATCCTGAGATGGGGTAAGCTGGGGGAGAAGGGGAAATTTTAGTGATTTTTTAAACATGTTATTACACAGATGCTTCATAGACATTCAAATGAATATGTCAAGTAAGGAGATGGATATGGGTCTGAATCTCAGGAAACAGGTATAAGTACATGTGGGACTCACAAGCATATAGGAGATATTTATCAACACAGGAATGAATGAGATGATCTGGAGAAGATGATGAATGTATATGATGAGAGGAGGTTCAAAACTAAACCTAGGGGCATCATACTACATGGAAATAAAAATGATCCAATGAAGGAGACTAAACAACAGTAACAAGTGAAGTAAGAGGGAAATCAAGAAAAGGTAATGTTCCAGAAGCCAAATGAAGAAAGCGTTTTAACCAGTCAATTGACACTGATAGGTTAAGAAAAATCAATTCCTAGCATTAGCCATTAGATTTGGTAATTAAGCTAAGTTTCTAACTAAAATTAGTGTAGAAAATAAAACAAAATACCTTTTTTTAAAAGTCTAAGGAATAATTGCAAAAACTCATAACCGAAAAGACAATGTCACAATAAATATTATTACAATAAAAGAAGAGAAAATAACATGTAGAGATTTTTAAAAGTAAGAAAAATTATGAATATTTACTATTTCAATATATTTAACATTTTCAGATGAAATAGATCATTCCCTAGAGGAAAAGTAAATTACTCCAACTAATTCAAGAAGAAATAAGAAACCTTAATCAATATCCAAGCATTAAGCTAATTCCAAATGTAACCAAATTTCTTTCTTTTCACTCAAATTATGCACTCTCATACCTTACCCATACTCATACACACACAGTCCAAACTTTAAAAAGAACTAAAAGGAAATTATTATAGAAAATATAGTAAGAGAAAAAGCCACTCAATTAATTACAAAATAATAATGCAAACTTGATGCAAATACCAGGAAGCCATTATTTTTAAAAAGTGAGTGTAGATCCAAAAATACTGAATGAACTATTAGCTAATTTGAATTTATCAGTGAGTATAAAAATACTGTATTATTATCAAATCTAACTTATTCTAGAAATTTAAAAGTATTCAGAATTAGAAAAATAGTTACTATAATATAACTTACCTCATTATCAAATTAAAGTGAAAAATCAAACATTTCTCCTAAGGCATACAAAGAAGACATTCAGAAAATGTCAATATTGAATATGGTTTATAAAACACAAAAAATGTACAAGAAAAATTTAATATCTCATTAAAAATGACACCACAACCAAAAGGAATTTATGAAGTGAAGGATAGTTCAATATTTCAAAATGGATTAATTTATCATATCAATACACGTAAATGGAAAAAAATGCAACATGATTATCTTTATGGATGTTTAAAAGGCCTTCGATAGTTCCACAAGCATTCTAAAGAAAAACACTCAAAAAGTAAAGCAGCATCTTACTTGATATGGAAACATTAAAGGCATTTCCACTAAGATCAGGAAAAAAATAAAGACATCTATATCCTTACTGTAATTTGACATTGGTTTGGAGGCATGAGCCAATGTAATCAGACAAAAGAAAAATAATTGAGGGACAATACTAGAAAACGACATGTAAACCTATCTCTATTTACTGATAATATAAAATTATTTATGTAAAACACAGTGACACAATTCACTAAATATAAAAAAGTATAAAAATCACAGTCTTTATACATACTAACCATAACATGTTAAAAATAGAATGGAAGAGAATATTCCATTTTTTATTCTAGTATGAGCTCAGCTTAACTAAGAGAACATTCCATTTTTAATGACAACAGAATAGAATGCTTAGGAAAAAAATTACAAAAATTGCTCAACTTATAGAAAGAAAATCTTAAAACACTCTTAAAAGACATAAAATAGAACCCATCAAAAAGAATATAGCTGTTCTCTTTGTCTCGAGCTACACAAAATCATACTGATGCCAATTAACCTCAAGGTAGATTTAAACGCAAACAAAAAAAAAAATTCTTCTAGGAACGTCACAATTCGATGTTAAAGTTTTTAAAGAAGAAATAAACATTCAAGAATAACAATTAAAATCCTGAAAAAGGGCCGGGCGCAGTGGCTCATGCCTGTAATCCCAGCACTTTGGGAGGCCAAGGCGGGCGGATCACTTAAGATCAGGAGTTTGAGACCAGCCTGACCAACATGGTGAAACTCTGTCTCTACTAAAAAATAATAAAACTAAAATAATAATAATAATAATAATAATAAAATAAATAAAAAATAAAAATGCACGAATTAGCCGGGAGTGGTGATGTGTGCCTGTAATCCCAGCTACTCGGAAAGCTGAGGCAGGAGAATCGCTTGAACCCGGGAGGCGGAGGTTGCAGTGGGCCAAGATTGCACCACTGCACTCCAGCCTGGGCAACAGAGCAAGACTCCATCTCAAAGAAAGAAGAAGAAGAAGAAAGAAAATCCTGAAAAAGAAAAATGAATGGTAGTAGCCCTTCCAGATACTGAAATATAACCTTAAAACTCTAACTTAAAAATTTGATTGTGGTAGAAGAACAGATAGAATGATGATGAAAGCAAAACAGCTAGCAACAGATCCCAATACACATGGAAATTGAGTACATGATAAACTGTAATCTCAAATCACTATGGGAAAAATTGTATTGGTAATAAAAGGTAATGGCCACTTCATCACCTGCACTTTCAAAGAAACACCAGAGAAAAATTCTCCAAGGCGTGTTTTCCACTGCGATGCCGAACCTCTGCCTTTAGGAGTCCCCTATTCTTGAGCAAGGCCACCTGCTTCCCCTGGACTTGAGCTAGACTCCTTGAAAAGTGGGCATTTGGAGAGATGCTAGGGATACAGATGCTGGGGGAGGGGCGGGGTGTGCACAGGGTAGTCGGGAGGGTTTGAAATGAAGATGGGATGTGCATGGAGCAGGGAAGCCCTGTGAGATAGTTCAACTTGGGATGCTCCCAACATCTTGTCATCATGATGGATGTGCTGGAGAAGGAGATACCCCAGTGAGCTGCCACAAATTCATAACTTTGCCCTTGCCTTGGGAAGATCCACAATGCCTCTCTTGGCTGCATCTTAAGGAGGGTCCTAACAAGGCCGATGGTTTTGACAGAAACAAGAGACTAAGTAAGTTCCAGGTGTCCCCTGGCGCCAGTAGGTGGAAGCTTCTGTCCCGGCCAGCCCTGCTCCAGCTCCCGTGCCCAGCTGGGCCAGTGGGAGAACTGGGAAGGAGGCTGGCCTTCCCCTTCACCGTGGCTAATGTTTGCTAGGCCAGTTATGGTCAACCAATGATATACCGTGTGTTCCCTCTTATGTTTTCCTTTTAGTTTCCCCTTTTCAGGGTTTCCAGAGAATTTTGTTGTAGTTGTTTTTCTTCCTCTATTATTGGGGTTTGAGGATTGTGGTCAGGGGAGCCCTGGCTTTCACTGAAGGAACCTCGTGGTTTCCGTGGAAGAGGCTCCCACTCCCACTTTAATGAGGGTGAAGGTTGTCAGGTCACTGTTTGACATATTCATCTCCCCACCCTCACCACCACACCACCACATCACCACCACACACCACCACACCACCACACTACCACCACATCACCACACACCACCACCACACCACCACACTACCACCACACCACCACACACCACCACACCACCACACACCACCACCACACCACCACCACACCACCACCACACCACCACACTACCACCACACACCACCACCTCACCACACCACCACCACCACACCACCACCACCACACCACCACCACACCACCACACACCACACACCACCACACCACCACACACCACACACCACCACACCACCACACACCACCACACTACCACCACAGCACCACCTCACCACACCACCACACCACCACGAAGGTTGCTTTAAAGATCAATTCTTGTTCAGAGAAGGATTTGCTAGGTTTGCAATTGGGCATTAGCATCACGACCCACGAGGGCCCTGCCCACCTATGTGTCCCACAGGGCACCTTGACTCTTCAAACCAAAATTCCTTAAAAGGGCACAGCCGAGCCTTGTCTGAAACCTCAGGGGCCTAGGATTTCTGTGGCACTTCCTGAACTCTAGGTTGCCACAGACAATGGGGTCTGAGACTAGTCAGAAGGAGGGGCTCTTCCCACAGAGACCAGCTGGTCTCTGCCTAGGACCTTCCCTCCCGCCCAGCCAGTGGGCGGCATCCCAAGCAGTGAACCGAGCTCGTGGACTGACCCGGGGCTGGGCCTCACCAGCCAGGAGAATGAGAACCACACGGCGGGGCTGGGTCAGGTAGCTCCTCCAGGGCCATTCAGATCCCAAGCATCAGGAAATCACAGAGGTACTTTCATTTTTATTTTTTTATTTTATTTTATTTTATTTTTGAGATGGAGTTAAGCTCTTGTCGCCCACGCTGGAGTGCAATGGTGCAATCTCGGCTCACTGCAACCTCCACCTCCTGGGTTCAAGCCAGTCTCCTGCCTCAGACGCCAGAGTAGCTGGGATTACAGACGCACACCACCACGTCCGGCTAATTTTTGTATTTTTAGTAGAGACGTGGTTTCACCATTTTGGTCAGGCTGGTCTCGAACTCCTGATCTCCGGTGATCCACCCACCTCGGCCTCCCAAAGTGCTGGGACTAGAAGCGTGAGCCACTGCGCCTGGCTGCTGAGATACTTTTTAAGAAGTGTAAATAATTTTCAGTTGTTTTCTAATCCTACCTTTTTCTTTTCCCCACGAATTCACATCAGTGATCCGTTCACATCAGGTAAGTCTTGAAAAAGCCTTGATGCCCCTCCCCGCTCCCCACTGGTTAACCACGTGCGTGCACCTGCCCCCCCCCCCGCCCCCGCGCCATCCTTTCTCAGTAGTTAAGATTTTCTAGGCAATACCATAGACACTTCTGACTGTGTCTCTCTCTTCAAGTGCAAGAAACTCAAAGCATCTTTAAAAAAATACAAAAATATTTCACAAAAACAAAACACACAAAAATGTCTTTTTTAGGCCAGAGTTTTCTACGGATATTAAGTAATATTTTTCTTAATCTGTATAAGTTTGATGTGTTTAATATTTCTTAATAGCAGCAGCATTTATTTACACTTTTGTAGCAACACAATATTTTTACAGAAAACAGCCAGTGCTTGGCTCAAGTCTTCACGAGGGGTTTATGCAGGGTCACCTTGGTGACCCTGTGTATCATGTACTGTATTAAAAAAAAAAAGTTACCTAGTGTCACACTTGCCGTGTTAATTAAGAAAAGACGTTGTGCGCAGTCTCCTGTATTGGTGTGGATCCAACAGCTCTCCTAGGAGTCACCTTGCATGGGGGTTGAGTTGACGGTTCTTGTTGTGATATGTAAACCCCCAAGACCAAACTTGAGGGTTTATTTAGGGTTTTCTGTTTGCCTTTTTGGTATTTGTTTCATTTTGTTTTTGTACTGTTACTTCCTTTGCAGCCAAATCAATTTCATGATGCTCAAAACTTTTACCGATGTCAAATGGAGGAAGGGAACAGGAAAAAAAAAAAAAAAAAGCAAAAAAGATTTGTACAAAGTAATAAAATTTAAAACTGAGCTTTTCTTTTTAAGGGGGGGAAGTAATGGTCATTTAGAAAAAATACAGTTGAATTCATACTTTCCACCATTTACCAAGGATAAGGTCCAAAGACATCAGAAATCTAAATGAACAAATAATAATTTCCGTAAGTATTAGCGGAAAAATGAATGAATTCCTTTATACTTAGGGTAGCAAAACTCTACCTGAATGTGATTCAAAATCTAGAAGCAATGAAAGAAAAAGAATAAATTTGGCTAGATAAAGTTATCAGAAACATGGCAAAACAAACCTAAATGTGCAAGTTATATCACAGGTAAAGACCAAAACCCTGGTTGAAAAATAGGCAAAAGAAATGAACAGTTCACAGAAAAAAAAAATGTGACCATGCTGGCTATTAACATATATATGTATGTTTATATATATATATATTCTTAATATATATATATTCTTATCTTAATATATATATTCTTATCTTTATATATATATATATATATTCTTTTCTTAACTCATAATAAAAGAAATTCAAACTAAAACCACACTAACATATCACTTCTCACCCATTGGAGTGGTCAAAATTCTTAACTTGACTAGAGTTGACAGAGAATGCTCTGTTTTTTAATTTGATAAGTACAAACTGCACAATTTTAAGTACTAGATGATAAGTACTCAATTAATTTATATTACTTTAGTTCTTTAAAAAGTTATATGTATGCCAAATATGTAAGTGTGGTTTAACAATAGAAAATCAATTAATGTAATCATCACATCTATACTATAACAAATGTACATCCACAAGTAAAAAAAAAAAAAATGAATCTAGACCCAGACCTTTCACCTTCCCAAAAAATTAATTCAAAATGGGTCATAGACCTAAATGTAAAACGCAAAACTATATAATTTTCAGAAGATAACATAGGAGATAATCTAGGTGATCATAAGTTTGGTGATGACTTTTTAGACACAACAGAAAAAGCACAGTTCATGAAAAAAAATTGGTAAGTTAGACTCCCTTAAATTAAAAAGTAATCTGGAACATTATGAAAAATGCTGAATTTGACAGAGCTGAGTAGTGGCCATATTGTGATGTTTTCATTGTGCTCTTCTGGATGTCTGAAATGTTTATTTAAAAGATAATTTAAGGCCAGGCGCTGTAGCTCACGCCTGTAATCCCAGCACTTTGGGAGGCCGAGGCGGGGAGATCACTTGAAGTCAGGAGATCGAGACCATCCTGGCCAACATGGTGAATCCCCGTCTCTACTAAAAATAAAAAAATTAGCTGGACATAGTGACGCACGGCTGTAGTCCCAGCTACTCGGGAGGCTGAGGCAAGAGAATCGCTTGAACCCAGGAGGCGGACGTTACAGTGAGCCGAGATAGCGCTATTGCACTCCAGCCGGGCAACAGAGTGAGAAGACTCTGTCTCAAAATAAATAAATAAATAAACAAATAAATAAATAAATAATAATTTAAACTAAAAAAAGACCATATTATTTCATTATAACATTTCCAAAAAATGTTTTATTTAACTCTTTACCTTCCTTTTTCAAATGTTTTTTTTATTACTAAAGCCGTGTTTTGAGTGATCTAACGTGACTTTAAAATATACATTATTTTTACTTTTGCCAACATGGTTTTAGATGCAGAATTTTGAAACAGGGATGATATTATAACTTTCTATTTGTTTTATGGCACAAGAATCCATGTTCAATAACACGGTAACAGTTTCTTTTCTTTATCTAGTTCTCTATAGGTGTATATTTGTGGTCTCCACAGATAACTACTTAGTCTATTGCTTAGTGGATTGATCTTTAAACATTATTCTATTGATCTATAAACATTACTTATAATGACATTTAATACTTGCAACCATGAGATAACACCCAAAGGAATAATTAGTAAATTTGTGTTAAATTCCTTTACAATCCATGAGGACAGAATGTCTTTCCATTCACTTGTGTCAGTGTCAATTTCTTTCATCAGTGTTTTGCAGTTTCCACTGTAGATGTCTTCACCTCCTTGGCTAAATTTATTCCTAGGTTTCTTATTACTTTTTGTAGGTGTTGCAAATGAGATTGCTTTCTTGATTTCTTTTTCAGCTAGTTTATTATGGAAGTGTAGAAATTCTACTGATTTTTGTAGGTTGATTTTGTATTCTGCAACTTTACTGAAATTGTTTATCATTTCTAAGAGGTTTTGGTGGAATCTTCCAGTTTTTCTATGTATATGATCATGTCTTCTGCAAAGAGGAACAATTTGGCTTCCTCTTTCCCAATGGGGAGATCTTTTCTTTCTTTCTCTTTCCTGATTTTTCTGGCTATGATTACCGCTAATATGTTGAATAATAGTAGTGAACATGGGCATCCTCTCCAGGATACTGTTCCACTTCTTAGAAGAAATGTTTTTCCCCATTCAGTGTAATGCTTGTTGGGAGATTGTCTTGTATAGGCTTCATTATATTGAGGTTTGCTTCTTCTATGTCTAATTTGTTGAGAGTTTTATCATGAAGGGATGTTTAATTTTACTGAGTGCTTTTTCTGCATATATTGGAATGAACATATGATTTTTGTCCTTCATTCTATTGATATGATGTATCACATTTATTGACTTGCATATGTTCAATTATCCTTGCATTCTGGGGATAAATTCCACATGATCATGTTGTATTATTTGTTTGATATGCTGTTGGGTTGGGCTTGCTAGTATTTTTTTGATGATTTTTGTATCTACGTTCATTAGGGATATTGACCTGCAGTTTTCTTTTTTGTTGTTGTTGTGTCTTTGTCTAGTTTTAGTGTCAGGGTAATGCTGGCTTCATGAGAGTGAGTTAGAAAAGCTGGGAATGGTTGCATACACTTATAGTCTCAGATACTCAAGAGGCTAATGTGGGAGGATTGCTTGAGCCCAGGAGTTCAATGCCATCCCTGCAACATAGCAAGGCCCCACCTCTAAAAAATAAAGATAAAAATACATGGATTTAGGAAGAATTCCCTCCTCTTTATTTTTTTTGATAATTGGAAAATAATTGCTGTTAGTTTTTCCTTACAAGTTTTGTAGCATTCAACAGCAAAGCCATCCAGTCCTAGACTTTTCTTTTTTTGGAAGACTTTCTATTACTAATTTAATCTTGTACTTGTTATTGTTCTGTTTAGTTTTATATTTCTTCTTGGTTCAATCTTTGTAGTTTGTGTATGTCCAGGGATTTATACATTTCCTCTAGGTTTTCCATTTTGTTAGCACATTGTCGTTTATAGTGGTTTCTAATGATCCCTTGCAGCTCTGTGGTATCAGTTGTTTGGGTTTCTGATTCCATTTATTTGGGTCTTCGCTCTTTTTTCCTGGTTAGCCTAGCTAGTGATTTATTTTTGTTTATCTTTTCAAAATTTGTTTATCTTTGTTTATATTTTCAAAAGAACAAGTTTTAGTTTTGTTAATCTGTTGTATTTTTTTTTTACTATGGATTTCATTTAGTTCTGTGCTCTGATCTGTATTATTTCTTTCCTCCTAATAATTTTGAGTTTTGTCTCTTGTTACTTTTCTAGTTCCTTGAGGTAAATCATTAGGTTGTTTATTTGAAATAGTTCTACTTTTTCTAGGTAGACATTTCTTGCTATAAACTTCTCTCTTAGCACTGCTTTTTCTGTATGGCATTGGTTTGGGTATGTTGAGCTTCCATTTTCATTTGTTTCAAGAAATATTTTTAGTTTTTCTTAATTACTTCATTGACTCAATGTTCATTCAGGAGCATGTTGTTTAATTTCCATATGTTTGTAGAGTTTCCAAAGTTCCCTTTATTATTGATTTCTAGCTTTATTCCACTGTGGTCTGAGAAGATATTCAATATGGTTTCAGTTTTTATAAATTTGCTGAAGCTTCTTTTGTGGCCTAATATATGGACTATACTGGAAAATTCTCCCTGTACTAATTAGGGTAATGTGTACATTGCTATTGAATGAAATGTTCTATAAATGTCTGTTAAGTTTATATGATGTATATTGAAGATGAAGTCTGATATTTTTTGTTAATTTCCTGTCTAGACCAGTGATCGCCAACCGTTTTGGCACGAAGGACCTGTTTCATGAAAGACAGTTTTTCCACAGATGGTGGGATGTGGAGGGGCAGTTCAGAGGTGAAGGTTTTGGGATGAAACTGTTGCACCTCAGATCATCAGGCATTGGTTAGATTCTCATATGAAGCATGCAACCTAGATTCTTTGCATGCGCAGTTCATAGTAGGGTTCACACTCCTATGATAATCTAATGCCACCACTGATCTGATAGGAGGCAGAGCTCAGGTGGTAATGCTCGCTGGCCCACCACTCACCTTCTGTTGTGTGGCTGGGTTCCTAACAGGCCACGGACCAGTACCAGGGGTTGGGAAACTTGGTCCAGATTATGTATTCACTGCTGAAAATGGGATGTTAAATCCCCAACTATTACTGTATTGAGGTTGATCTCTCTCTTCAGCTCTAACAATATTTGCTTTATATATCTGGGTGCTCTGATGTTGAGTGCATTTATATTTATAATTGCTATATTCTGTTGCTAAATTGATTCCTTTGTCATTATATAGTGACCTTCTTTACCTCTTTTTAGGTTTTCTGACTTAAAGTCTATTCTGTCTGATAAAAGTATAGCTATTCTTGTATGCTTTTGTTTTCTACTTGTTTGGAATATTTTTTTCCTATTATTTCACTTTTAGTATATGGTTGTCTTTACAGGTCATATGGTTTGGCTCTATGTCCCCACTCAAATGTCATGTGGAATTGTAATCCCCATGTGTTAAAGGTGGGGCCCTGGTAGGAGGTGATTAGATCATGGGGGTGGATTTCCCCCATGCTGCTCTCATGATAGTGAATGAGTTCTCATGAGATCTGATGGTTTAAAAGTGTGTGGCACTTCCCCCTCAACCCCACTCCACCATGGTAAGATGTGCTTGCTTCCCCTTTGCATACCACCATGATTGTAAGTTTCCTGAGGCCTCCCAGTCATGCTGCCTATTAAGCCTGCAGAACTATGAGTCAATTAAACCTCTCACTTCATAATCACCTAGTCTCAGGTAGTTCTTTATAGCAGTGTGAGAATGGAATAATATAACAGATGAAGTGAAATTTTTGTAGGAAGCACATAGTTGGTTCTTTTAAAACAATCTATTGTTAATTTTTTTAATCAAGGTATAGAAACCATTTACACTCAAGAATTTTATTGATGGGTGAGAACTTACTCCTGTCATTTTGTCAATTTTTGAAATTTTGTATATTTTTTTCTTTCTTTTCATCTTTATGATTTCTTGCCCTCTTGTAGTGATAATTTTGAACTTCTTTCTTTCTCATTTGTTAGTATGCTTTATCAGGGCATTTTATACTTTCATGTCTTTTCATGATGGTAAATATTTCCCTTTAACTTCCAGATGCAGGAGGCCCTTAAGTATTTCTTGTAGGGCCAGTCCAGTGATGATAAATTCCCTTAGTCATTGTCTGGGAAAGGCTATTTTTCTTTTAATTTTGAAGTATACTTTTGCTGGGAATAGCAGGGCAGGTTTTTTTATTTTCTTTTTTTTTCTCAGCACTTTGAATGTATCATCATCACATTCTCTCCTGGCCTGTATGCTTTCTGCTGAGAAATCCGCTATTAGTCTCATGGGGCTTCCCTTACATGTAACTTGACACATTTCTCTAACTCTTTTTAGAAGTCTCTCTGTCTTTGATTTTTGGCAGTTTGACTATAATGTGCATTGAAAAAGACCTTTTTGGGTTAAATCTATTTTGGTGTATTTGAAGTTCCTGTATCTGGATGTCTGTGTCTCATGCAAGACTTGGGGAAGTTTTCAGCTATTATTTCATTGAATCACTTTTCTATGTCTTTGCCCATCTCTTCTTTCTGAATTCCCCAAATTTGATTATTTAGTGCTTTATGGTGTTTCATATGTCACATAGGCTTTCCTCATTCTTTACTATACTTCTTTTTCTGGCTGAGTTAGTTCAAAAGACCTGCCTTCAGGTTCAGAAATTCTTTCTTCTGCTTGATATTCTACTGTTGAAGCTCTCAATTATGTTTTTTATCCCCTACATTGAATTCTTCAGTTCTCTTATTTCTGCTTGTGTTTTTTAAAATAATATCTATCTCTATTGAATTTCTTATTAAGATCATGAATTGTTTCCCTGATTTCTTTGTATTGTTTATCTCTGTTCTCCTTTATCTCACTGATTTTTAAAAATATAATGATTTTGAATTCTTTCTTCAGGCATTTCATAGATTTTCCTTTCTTTGGGATCTATTCCTTAAGATTTTTTTTTGTTTTTGTCATGATTCCTTATTTTTTAATGTTTCTTGTGTCCTTACACTGATATCTGCATTTCTGATGTAACAGTCATTTCTTCCAATTTTATGAATTGGTTTTCATGGAAAATACTTTTTTTATATATTTATATCTATAGTCTTGGTAGGACAGAGTGCTTTGCATTTGATTTGGGGTTGGTGCGGTAGTGTAGTCTCCCTATGATTTCTTTGGCTATAATCAACATCAGTGGCATATTTAAGTTTCTCAGTGGCTTAGCCTACAGATATTACTGGAGGTTGTGGTAAGGCTTTTTTGGCCACAGGGACATGAAGTGTGCCAAACCTCAGGCACCAGTAGTGGTGTGGTGGCAGGACACCATGCAGATCTACAGGCCTCTGGTTATAAAACAGATTGTGAGACCAGCAAAAGTGACAT
Source organism: Homo sapiens (assembly GCF_000001405.40). Taxonomy (NCBI): domain Eukaryota; kingdom Metazoa; phylum Chordata; class Mammalia; order Primates; family Hominidae; genus Homo; species Homo sapiens. The sequence continues at coordinate 4,502,301 of NC_000018.10, read as the reverse complement.
CCAGCTGAGTGAGTACCAGTCAACTCTTGAATCATGAGAAATAGCAACTTTTTAAAATACTCTTAGTTTGGGGGTAGTTTATTGCACTGCAAAAGATAACCAGAACAGAAATTAGTATCAGACGTAGGTACTGCCATAGCAAAAGATGTGGTATGGGTTTTGTTAGCAAGTAGCAGGCAGAGACTAGAAGCACTGAGGGTATTGTTAATGAAACTTGGCACCAGGAATAGCGAGTCTTGTTGGGTTGATCCTCAGGCCTCTAATTGATATGTTCAGATGCCAGTAGTAGCAACAGTGTTCCAGGCAGCTGGGCCCTTGGGACCCTGGGTGGTATATGTGGCATTGGTAGTGGTAGTAGCAGTGACAGGCCAAACATCAGCCTCCCAAGCCATTTCAGGCACCAGTGAAAACATCAGCAAGCTAAGTGCGTCTATCTCCCAGCTCCCAGACAGTGCAGATAGTATTGGTGTTTGTTGTCAGCTAAAACCTGCTCACTTGATACCACATTTAAATTTACATTTATCATGAAACTTCAAATGCTGTGGCCAATAATGTCAATAGCAGATCAACAAAAGGATTGTATTTTGCAAGAGTAATAGTTTACTTAGCATCTCTATTTACAAAAAAAAAAAGTATTTTTGGTGAAAATTTATGTGTTTTTAAGACATGTTACAAATATTAACATTAAATTAACTGGCATATTTGTATGTTCTGTAAAGCTTATTTTTAAATGATATTTTATTTTATGGAGCATAATTAATGGCCTTCAGGCAATTTTATACCTATAGTGTAGCTGTGTAATGAAGCATATTATTTTGTTATAAATATTTAAATTAAGGTTGTTACATACTGTCTACTCTATTTTTATCCAATAAACATCATTTTTCTATCTCCTTAGATTATTAAGTGCCCCTGGACTCTCCTGAAGAAGGCTCTGACAATCTGTTTAGTCATTTTTTATGACATTGCTGGCAGCAAACTATTTTCACTAGAATATGAAATGTCTGTGGTACATTAACTAAAAAGAAGAGAAAACCAATTTATGAATATCTGAGAAATCATTGCAATGGTAGCTTAAAAATATATGCTATGTTGTACAATGCAACATATATGTAAAGTTTGCTTTGGTGATTCTAGAGAAATGTATGACACAATGTTAACACACCTAAGCCAGTGTTTTCCAAAAAGCAAGTCACACACTACTGATGGAACAAAATATTATTTTAGCTAATACATAGCATAACACTGTCTAATAACTAATATTTATACTAACATGTGTGGTAACTGGACTTCAAAAATAGTCCACAATGAATCATTTCTTTCTATATTCATGTCATTATTTAGTCCTTTACCCCCTTGAATCTAGACAAGTCTTGTGACTACTTTAATCAATGGAATGTGGCACAGTGATGCTGTGCCATTTCCAGACTTAATCTTTAAAAAAGCTCTCTCCTTTTTACTTTCTGTGATTTAGAGAGCTCTAAGTTACCGACTGAGAAATATGGCTCCCCTGCTACAAAGACTATGTGGATAAACCACATGGAAAGCCATGTGAAGAGAGAAGCCTTGGGACCACATGAATAGAGAGAAAGCCCCAGCATCCCAGTGTCCCAGCTGAGCCCAGAGGTTCAGCTATTCTTACCCAGGCACCAGTGGCACAAATAAAAATCTCCAAGAACAAAAAAAGATTTCAACCTCAGCACCATCTAACTGCAATGACAAAGCAGATTGTAAGTGAGACCAGCAGAAGTACCAGCCAGCTGAGCACCAGCCAATTCTTGAATCATGAGAAATATCAAAATTATCCTTTAATACACATATTTTGGGGGCAGTTTATTGCACTGCAATAAATATTCAGAACAGAAATTGGTATCCAAAGTAGATACTGCCATGGCAAAAAAAAAAAAAATGTGGCATGAGTTTTGTTAACACGTAGGAGGCAGAGACTAGAAGCACCGAGGGTATTGTTAATAAAGCCTGCCTGATAAGACAGCCAGGAAATCATGATGGGCAGATGGAGAAAAGGGAACCCAAGTTATATGATGTTAAAAAACTAATAAAACGTCTTCCAAGATCACGTAGAAGATAGAAAAGACACCTAAGGAACTTCTGATTTGATCTAAGGAGATATATAGGCAGAAAGCTGAATGTGCCAATTGCCTTTCTTGGGCCACCTTTGATAAAGTATGAGAGGTGTTAGATAAGCTACAGAAGTAACTGCTTGGTTTTCAAACAGCATTTAGAGAGAATATAATGAAGTCAGGACTTGTTAAATATGAAAATACAACTGTTTCTCATACTAATCCTCTTTTGGAAAAAGACTCACAAAATAATAATTGGCTTTAGTGCAAACGTTACATTCTTAGTAAAATGTGGCCTCAGGTAAAGACCTGGGTTGCATCTGTAAGACTCTTTTTAAAAAGTAAGAAAATTTTAAGTCTAGGTATGGAGACCATCATATATATATATGACTTCTATGAACATAAGGCCATTCCTCATGCACCCTCACTGATAGGTAGTAAGATGTCTAAGAGAGCTTTTAAGAATATTGTAAGGATATCATTCCATACTAAGTTGATCCATGACCCAAAGTCAAGACAGACCTGTACTGAAGAGATATTGAAGAGATATGTGCTTGTGGCTTCTGTTTAATGAATATTTATATTTTTATAATTTATAATTTAATACATAGTTTTAAAAGTTCACTTAGGACCCATACTAACTCAGACTAAAGGATACACAGATCATTCAGAAAGAGTCCTATATCTCCAAAGACAGAAGGCATACTGAGAAATAACATTACACTGTAAGTGCAGGCCATTTCTCATTCAAAAGGAAGAATACACTCGGTTATCAGAACCAAAAGTCTAGAAGACAGAGCTAAGAAATTAGGAGAATCACTCATGGAGTGCAGATCTGAGTCTACAAAGGCATGTATTTCTTGCTCAGAACTAGGGCAAGTGTCAACATGTATTTGTCTGAATTAAGGATCGCTATGGACCAGTGCCTGTTATATGCCTTTCCAACTCCCCTTTTGAAATAAATTGACTATTACTATTGCATTGTTGCCATTTCTGTCTCACCTTTGTAATGTTTTGTCAATTCCAGGCCTAAAATTAAAAAGTCTTGGCATCTTCTGGTTTTGGTCTTTTGTAGCTCACCTTGAACCACTATATGAGACCACCACATAAGACTGCCTTGACCCACCACATAAGATATTAAGCTACCTCGCTGAAAGGACCATGCAGGAGACTACATAGACCTCATGGAGAGGAAGAGGCCTCAAAACTACATTGCAAGGGGGTAAGCCATACCATTGCCACAGGTGAGCCCTGCTTTCCAGAACCATCCACATCAGGTCACCAGACATGTTGGTGAAGCCATCATGGACATTCCAGCCCCAATCACCTAAAACTGCTGCTGCATGAAAGACTTTAACTGAGAAAAGCAAAAGATCTATCCAGCTAAGTCAAATCATAGGATTCTGAAAATAATTAAATGGTGATTGTTTTCAGATACTAAGTTTTGGAGTGGCTTGTTATAAAGCAACAAAACAATATGTTTTAGAAACAAATATAACTATTATGTAACACATATGATCTCCCAGATATTATTGCAATGGAGAAAGTATCCGTAGTGAGAGTTAACCACTTAATGGATTCATCCTGGAATTTCTTTTTTTTTTTTTTTTTTGAGATGGAATCTCACTCTTTCTCCCAGGCTGGAGTGCAGTGGCACCATCTCTCCTCACTGCAACCTCCACCTCCCGGGTTCAAGCGATTCGCCCGCCTCAGCCTCCCGAGTAGCTGGGACTACAGGCGCGTGCCACAACGCCTGGCTAATTTTTTGTATTTTTAGTAGAGACAGGGTTTCACCGTGTTAGTCAGGATGGTTTCGATCTCCTGACCTCATGATCCGCCCGCCTTGGCCTCCCAAAGTCCTGGGATTATAGGCGTGAGCCACCGCACCCGGCCTATCCTGGAATTTCAAACCTACCCCCGATGCCTCAAACCTACAGAAACTGACACATGCACCATAGTTTTTTAAAGGGATGCAAAGTTTAAATAATGTGGATTTCAACTAAGGATTATTAAATATTGAATTTGCAACCACATTGATGCATTTTTCTTCAGCTGCACTTTGTCATTTCTGGAGGTTGACAGTCATTGATTATAAAAAATATTTTTATTATGCATAATTGTGAATTGGAATCAAACTTATCAGTGATATTTTTGTTGGTTTTGTGTTTTATTTTGCTGCTGGTTAATCCCATCATGGATGAATGACTTAAAAGAGAATGAGTTTTTAAAGCATGAAGGCAAAGAGAGTGATGGAAATAAATGTGAGTAGTAATACTGGTGGTGTTTAAATCAGTCATGTATCTTCAAAGAGTTATGAGGACAAAGTAAATCAGTTACTTTGTGTTTTTTATAGCTATCATCTACAAATAAAACTAAAATGTCATTAAAATGTATCGAAATATTTTATGCTTCTTACTTTTATGATCTAGCAATGTGATTTACTGCATTCTGTTTTGAATCATGTATTTAGAAACACAAATTAAACGAATCCATCTCAAGTAAAATTTTCAAGTACCCAAAATACTAAGGAAAATCTATCAAAATATTTGGAATGAAGTGTAAAAAAATTCAATTATCTGAATAAGTTTTCCCCAATAAGGAACAAATGCAAAAATCATTAGAATACATACATATAGTGTCACTTTAAAACATACAAACTAGAAAATCTGTAATATTGACAGAATCTTTAGTAAACTTGCTATGAAATAAAATGATAAAAATTATATTTGGACACAGAAAAAATAAAATGATTAATAAAATTATTTCATCCAAAAAGGTGAGCTTATTTTAGTGTTACAGATATTGACAGAAACCAAAGAAATGACTACTTTCTTAAGTATGGCAAAGTAATATTTATTAATAGTTGTTTTTCAAATATGAATGAATAAAGAATTATATGAAGACAATTTTTAGGCAAACATTGAAAATATCTATGACTATAGAATAGATTTTGAATTGACAGCTTCATCTCAAATAGTAACACAGACTAAAAATGATATACTGGGTTAAGCACTGACACTAAGAACACCTCTGGTATGCTAAGAAAACCTGTTTCAGGCATTTAAGCTGTTACAACAGAAGAAAAATATATTCTGGGTTGAAAACATAAGGAAGTTTTTATCCCATTTGGTATGCACAATGTTTTCAGGAGAAGTATTTTTAAATCTGTTAAAATGATCATTTATATCAAGGGAAGACCTCTAAATACTTAACTATGCTCAGCTTTGTGAAGAGATGGAGAATGTTTACAAATAACTACTATTCCAGACTGAAGCACGTTGACTTTTCACTCAGAAAGTCTTCAGTGTTACGTTAGATAATGCAAACTTCATATTCCTCTGAAAGAAATATTTAATCAGTAATATTTATGAGCACAAATTTGCAAATTAAATTTTGCAAATATATCTGCTCATTTGAGAAATCTCAATGTGTGTGCATTAGTCAGAATGGGCTATGTTAAGCTTTGCCAGTAAGCAATTCTCAGTTGTCTTTGACTTGGAAAACATGATATATGACCTTCTTAGTTTGACCAGGGCTCTGCTCCACAATGGTGGCCTTCATTTTAGAACCCCACATGCCATGCCAGATTGCCACCATCAGAACATTGCCAATTGCCAGGGGAAAGGAAGGAAAGTGTAAGGAATTGTGCCCTGGCTCTTAATAGTTTCAGTACGGGAGTAACCCACGTCATTTCACTCACCAAAACAAGTCACGTGGCTTAACTTCAAGGGAGGTTGAAGCCTACTCCATGTGAAAAAATCCTGAGAACCAGAATATTAGGGATCTCACTAACTATTGGGTATGTTTTCTTAGAAGTCAAGTTTGTCTCTGTATAAAGCCAATATGATATAATCACATACTTTGGAGTATACATACATCTCTGATCAGCCTGAGTTGGAGTCTTTTGGTTGTTCCGGCTGTTTATAAACTGTTTTGAAGAATTTGCTTTAAAATCATTTGGATTCTTATAAAAAGGGACTGGAAAGATTTGAAAAAAAAAAGGTCTTCATAACATTTTCCAACTCAGAAGACACTGGTGAGTAGTAGATAAGCAACTTTTTCTTATCATGTGAGGGCAAAGGTAGCATATTTTTAAGGAATTGATCATCAGTATCTTAATGTATCAGAGACTAAGTAATTGTTTATTACCCTTTATGATCCAATACTTAAAGTTTTGATTCTTTAGTTAACATAAAAACTCTAAAAAAGCAAAAATGTTTTTTCCAGGAACTACATCTTCACGTCATGCCAACCAAATGTGATTTTATTGTTGAATTAATCAAAAAATTATCATTTTTCTCATTGAGTAATGTTATTTTAGGTATGCAATTTTGCAAATTGATTAGATTTAGCATTACTTACATAAAAACTTAATTGTAATTATATTTACCTTTATAGTTACTTTCTACTTATGTCAAGTGAGATGTTTTTAAATGCATGGCAGTGATATAAAGTTATTTTAATATACTCATTTTAATAAAATGTAACAAAATGTGCAGTAAACAAATGGATAGATGAGACATACATACAGCTAAAAATTGTGTAAGGGTCATCAAAATACTGCTATCTGGAAAACAGTAATCCAATGAATAAATTAAAAATGATTGTTATGAATCAAAACAGAAAAAAGAATTACCCTAAATTTGTTCTGAGTTGAAGTTGTGCTCCTTTAATTAGGATTTTTAATCATGAACAAATTTTAGAAATGCTAAAGATTTTAAGAACCACTTCCAATTAAAAGAAACTGATTTTCTAAGGCTCCTTGTTCATAAATGAATTAAAAATCATCAGAAGTGTAAAAAATAATTTGCATAAAATTATTTGAATATGCATATATTGATGCTACTTTATATAACAAAATATTTGTATTATCTAAATAAGTAAATCATTTTCAGACCTATTATTAAATTGTGACATTTTTCATCACTCTTAATTGCTTTTGCAGGTTATACTAGAAGAGTGAGCATCTTTTACCAAATAATTTAGTGTCAAGAAATTTCACTCTAAGCCACAAGTGGCCTTAAGATAGGACAGGTAAGTGCTCCCATGAGAGATGTTGAAAAGTCCTCAAACTTCTACAGAACTATAGCAAAAGTTTTGCCCTTTGTTTTTGTGTAAGTTTAACAAGGAGCCTTAGAAAAAGCACATGAAAAGATGCTCAACATCTTTTGTCATTAGGAAAATGTTAATTAAAATAACAATGAGAGGCCCAGTGTGGTGGCTCAGGCCTGTAATCCCAGCACTTTGGAAGGCCGAGGCAGGTGGATCACTTGAGGTCAGGAGTTTGAGACCAGCTTGCCAACATGGCGAAACCTCATCTCCACTAAAAATACAAAAATTAGCCAAGCATGGTGGCACACACTTGGCTGAGGCAGGAGGATTTCTTGAACCCAGGAGGCAGAGGTTGCAGTGAGCCGAGATTGCGCCACTGTATTCCAGCCTGGGTGACAGAGCAAGACTCCATCTCAAAAAAAAAATAATAACAATGAGATACCACAGTATAGTTATTTTACAATGTCTAAAAAATAAAATAAAATATATTGATAATAGTAATTGATGGTAAGGACGTGGAGCAATAAGAAGTAGTGGGAATGCAAAGCATTACAACTACTTTAGAAGCCAATTTAGCAGTTTCATACAAAGCCAAATATAGCTTCAACATATAATCTAGCAACCATGTACCTTGGTATTTAACCACCAGATTCCATCAACCAAAATGTCCTTTAATAGATGAACTGATAAACAAGCTATGGTATGCCAATGCAATGGAATGCCATTCAGCAACAAAAATAATGAATTATCAAGCCACCCAAACATATATGTGAACCTTAAATGCATATTGCTAAATCTTTTACTGAGCTTATCTGAAAAGGCCACCTATTGTATGACTCAGTTTATAGGATGTTCTGGAGAAAGCAGAAATATGGAGACAGTTACAGTTCAATTTTTCCCAGGGCTTCTTGGAGAACAGAGGACAAGGGTGATTGAATAGGTAAAGCATAGAAAGTATTTTTACCATGATGAAACTATTCTTTATGATACTGTAATCATGGGTACATGCTACTATGCATTTATCAAAAGCCACAGAACTTACAGAAATCAGAGGAAACTTAATGTATGCAAATTTTAAAAGATCATTTAGGAGGCCGGGGTAGAGTTGGGGGGGATCCCAGGAAGGAATGCAGAATGCAACAAGAGAATCTAATTGTATTACAAATGTATGAAGGAACCACACTGAAGGGAGCTGTAGTAAAAAATGCTGACCTTGGAAATGAGTGGAGTCTGTAAGACTAACTAATGGCAAAAAGAACTGTACATAAATTCTATACTCTAGTTGATAAAATGGTTTCCCATGGGGGTATAGGTTAACAATTCTGAAACATGTATGTTATATACATGTATGTTATGTATATGTATGCTGGACTTGAACAACTAAGTGGATGGCAGATGGTGGGAGCAAGGTTTCTTACTGTTAGAGAGGGAATTTACAGTTAAGCAAAGAGTAGCAGATAGAAGATCCATGTCATAGTAGATTAGAATTGGAGACATCAGTATTAGCGTATGCTTAGTTTAGTGTAGATAAAAATGGTCCCATATAGAAATATTTGTAGACGGTGCCTATACATAAATTATACACATATACATTTCTTTGTTTTATCACCAGAGAGGACCTAAAAGATGTGACACTCCACCAGCAAACAGCACATCTAGTGCCAAGATCTTAGTTTCTAAAACCTTCCTCTGATGAGAGGAACTAGTTTCTTGGAGAAATGACTGATTCCAAGACTGGGGCAGGAAATATAGATGATGAACCTAGAACACCCCGTAGTGCCAGAAAGTAAAGTGCTCAAAAACCAAAACAAAACCTCCAACAATTCACAGAGATGGAGACGTGTCAAATGATCACAGTGGCAAGAGTCATTTGAACAAAATGAATAAAGTAAGGTTGGATTATAACCCAAAATATATTTTAAAACCATGAACCTATGTTGATATAAATCATTAAATATTAAATAAGAGGAAATGGACAAATCTCCTGGACATAAAAATTCCAAGTGATTTCCGTAGATACCCTGCTCCCGAGGAGATGGAGCATAATGCTGCACTTCTGAAGAGTGGGCTGCATAGAACGGCTCCCTTCTGAAGAATACATACAGCATGGAAAGGATCAAAAAGAGTAGCTTTCCAGTGGAGAAATCTGACAAACACTGACTCCGTGAGGTGATCAAGGATTACATCCACAGTGACAAGTCATTTTGATAGTATGTATCCTTGATGAGATGTGATGAGGATGGCACTTTTTCTCTGTGCTCTTCCTACCTGTATTAGTCTGATAAAGACATACCTGAGACTGGGTAATTAATACAGGAAAAAGGTTTAATTGGACTTACAGTTCCACATGGCTGGTGAAGCCTCACAATCATGGTGGAAGGCAAGGAGGAGCATGTCATGTCTTACATGGATGGCAACAGGCAAAGAGAGAGAGCTTGTGCACGGGAACTCCTCTTTTTAAACCATCAGATCTTGTGAGGCTTACTCTCAATCACGAGAACAGCATGGGAAAGACTTGCCCCATGATTCAATTACCTGCCACTGGGTCCCTTCCACAATATGTGGGAATTCAAAATGAGATTTGGGGGGAGACACAGCCAAACCATATCACTACCAAAAATGGGTATCCCAAATCTGATCATGTGAAAGTCATCAGACAAATTCCAAGAGAGAGCATCCTATAATTTACCTGTCCTATACTCCTCAAAACTTTCAAAGTCATCAAAAACAACAAAAAGTCTGAGAAACTATGATTGCCAAAAAAAGCCTAAGAAGACATGACAACTAAAGTTAATGTCATATCCTGGATAGGATCCTGGAACAGAAATACAACATTAGGCAAAAACAGAGAACATGAATAAAGTGTGAGCTTTAGTTAATAATAATGTATTAACATTGGTTCATTGTTTGTGACAAATGTACCATACTAATGTAAGATGTTGATAATAGAAGAAACTGGGTTGAGGTATTGTCAGAACACTGTGTACTATTTTTATAATTTTTGTGTAAATCTAAAAACATTCCAAAAATTTAAAGTTTTTTAAAAAAATAAAAGCTATAGGGTTTTTTTTATTAGATAAGCAATATGAACCCTTACCCCAATTACATCTGCATATCTGAGATTTCTTTCAGCATTTTATGATTAATTAGATCACTCAAATTAGTAATGATTATCATTGTTAATTTAAAAAATGGTGGCATTACAAAGACTAGGACGTATAATGGTTTTTGGTTTAGAAATTGGAAATTGACCACCAAAAAACAAGAAACTCACTAAGTGACTTGGAAAATTATTCTGCCTGTATATATTATGGTCTTTTCTCAAATGGTGACCAGAGTAGCACTGGCAGTGGAATCACAGACTGTGCTCCCTAGACATAGTGATTCCTGGGCCAAGCTCAGAACTCATGAACCGGAATCTCAGGGTGGGGAAGCGTGGAAGAGCAGAAAAGGGAAGATCGAAAATAGTAATCTTCAATGAGACTTTCCATTTAGCCAACTGTCATTACAAATTCTGTAGTTAAGCACTTATTATTGCGGAAGTACAATATGAAGTGCTTTTAGAGTTATCAAAAGTACATTGGGTTCATATATGAACTTCATAAATAAAATTGTGCATCTCTTCTTTTAGTATGAAATAATTAAATCCAGGTTTGTATTCTCATGTATGCATATGAATTTTTACTAACATTTATGGTCCTGTCAGCACACTCTTCAAATTATGGTAAATTAGTTGATCTTGTTTTTCTAACTTATTTTCCAAAAGGCACTAACTGAAAGCGATTTTTAGGAGTTTTATACATTGGAACCATTTAAAAAAAAAACACACACTTTTGTCACCTTCACACATTCATGCACTTCATAGTTGATTCTGGCAGGTTTTTAAATAGCAATTTGAGATAAATCTTAATAAAAGAAGCATACATAACTCTAGCAAATAATTAATGTTCAATGAACTCCTATTTTGAAACCAACTGGTGAATTACTTTTTTGTTTGTATGTGTGTGTTTCTTTTTAATTTATAAATATTTCCATTTGATATTTCTTGGTTGAGTCATATTGCATTTCGATCCTTTAGTTTATACTTGGGTTGCAAGGACGGTAATAAAAACAACTATAGGTTAGCAAGCAACTACAATCACAGAAGGTGAGTTTATTTATAGCTTTACCCACAAAGCTTTCTATTTCTCTTATATATCCTCATGATTTTGAGAAATGTCACAGTAACAATTTGAATTTTAGACACAAATGAGGTGGTATATTTTTTAAAGTAATTGAGCAGTAAAACCAAGGCCAATGGATCAGAGCTACATGGAGCTCAATATAAAAACTAAGAACTTTTGAAGAAACTGAGAGTCACCCAAAGATGGCAAAACTATGTCACTAAGTGACAGCACTTGTCCTTGGAGGGATTATCAGAAGTTGAACAATTATTTGATGAAGCTGAGCTAGTAAGTAAAATAAATATTCTTGGCCAGGCGCCGTGGCTAACGCCTCTAATCCCAGCACTTTGGGAGGCCGAGGTGGGTGGATCACCTGAGGTAAGGAGTTCAAGACCAGCCGGGCCAACATGGTGAAATCCCGTCTCTACCAAAAATACCAAAATTATCTGGGCATGGTGGCATGTGCCTGTAGTCCCAGCTACTCAGGAGGCTGAGGCAGGAGAATCGCTTGAACCCAGGAGACAGAGGTTGCAGTAAGCTGAGATCATGCCACTGCACTCCAGCCTGGGCAACACAGGCAGGCTCCATCTTAAAATCAATCAATCAATCAATCAATCAATATTCTTTAAGGTCTAGTCCAGCAAGAGTTATGTGTTAAGCCACTTGAGTTTAAAAAGTGAGGAGGGGTAGAAATAATATATTTCAGTGTATTTGCGGAGATGTATATAGTCTGAAATTTTATATAGAGGTATAAAGATTTATTTTAAGTTTATATTTGTTTGTTCTGATGATAGTTACTGCATTAAAAATTATCCCCAAACTTAGAGACTTACAAAAACACTTTATTTTAATCATGAATACAGATTAGGACTTTGAGAAAGACTTATTATCTTGGAAGTTCTTCCTTTTTGGTTTCTCAGACAGTTAGCATTAGATACTGCTAGAGGCCACTGTCATCTGAAGGCTTCGCTGGATTGGACATCCAAGATGGTGCACTCACAAGGTTTACAGTGGATGCTGGCCATTGGCTAAGACCCGTGCTGAGTTGTTTACCAGAGTACCAATTTTGTCTTTCTAGCATGGTAGCCCCAGAATAGTGAGATTTCTTATGTCCACCAGAAAAAGCACAAGGTACAACATTTGTTGTCACCTGACTTCCAAAGTCACAGAATATCACTTTTGCCCCTCGCTGTTAGTTTTAAATAAGTCTCAAGTTACAGACCTGTTTAGGTTGGGATACACCGAGCCAGTGTCCTTTAGCCAGTTTAGATTGGGAGCCTCAATAAATAAAGATGGTTGATATCTCTTGATCACTCTATCAAGTTGTTGTTACTATTTACTTCCTAAGATGGAAACCAGCCCTTATCTGAGAAATGGATTTTTTTTTTTTGCTGTTGACTATAGAATGTAAAGTAATAAAAATGATTTTTAAAACAAGAAACTAATTTTATTTTTTAGCCATAAAAAGACAATGGTAAAATGACATCGTTGCACTCACCCATACAAATAGAACTCTGTCAAGTTTTATTTAACCGTTTTGCAGATGTGCTAAACTTGATAATCTATTGGCTGAGAGGGAAAAGATGCAGTATAGAACTGTCACTGAAATTTTTCATGATTACAAAGACATGTGGCACTATTTACAAATAAAAATAGTTTTCTCTTTATTACACAGAGGAAATCTATCCTTAAAATAATCAAAAACTTGGGCAAATATATATATGTATATATATATACATATAGATATATAGTCATGGAGCATTATTCACATTTGTGAAAGATTAGAAACATCTTAAATTTCCAAAGTTAGAGAGATCCATCAATGAATGCAGCAAACAATAAGTATGCTTATAAGGAACTTAAATCATATGGGAGATCATATGGGAAAATACTTATAAGAGTGCTTATGGGAAAAGTCAGAATGTAGAATTATATATGCTATATGACTTTAAATAGCTAAATGGAAAAATAATAGAAAAAAGCAGAAAATTTGTAAACTTAATAAACAAGCTATACAGAGCTTTTAAAAATCTATTTTATTTCTGCAGTGTACACATCTTCCTTTTATGATTGAGAAGGCATAAAGCAATCTTTTTGTTATAGAATGCTAAAAATAGAATATGTTTTCACAGATGTATACACACTCACACAGAAAATGAAGACTTACTATTTCCTTCCTTCATTTATTTGTCTTACTACATCATAATCTAGCTTATTTTCTGGTGATCCCAAGGCCCACATCAAATATTACTTCTTTTTCTGGTATATCCAGACAGAACTATTTGCTTCTAAAATTGTACTGATATATGACATTTTAAAACATTGAAATATAATTCTCAATCATAAAATTTACCTTTTATAGTATACAATTAGGAAGTTTTATATATTAACAAAGTTGCACAACCAGGACTACTATCTCATTCTGCAATATTTTCATCACCCCAAGAAAAAGTCCTATACCTATTAGGAGTCACACCTCATTCCCTGATGCCCCCAGCCCCTAGCAATCACTAATCCACATTCTCTCTCTATGGATTTGCCTATTATGGATATTTCATACGAATGAAATCATATATGTGGCCTTTGCTGCCTGTCTTCTTCCACTGAGCATAATAAGGGCTGGTTTCCATCTTAGGAATTAATATTATCTAGATCCATCCATGTTGTAGCATGTATCAGTACCTCATTCCTTTTATGGTTGAATAATATTCCACTGTATGAATATAATACATTTTGTTTATCCTTTCATCAGTCAGCAGACATTTGGGTTATTTTTACTTTTTTGGCTATTTTGAATAATGCTACTATGTACCTTCATATGCCAGCTTTTGTGTGAACAAGTGTTTTCAAGCCTCATGAATATGTAACTAGGATTGGATTTCCTGGATCATATAATAACTTTCTAAGGAAATGTCAAATGATCTTTCAAAGTGACTGTACCACTTTACATTGCCACCAGCACTGTACAATGGTTCTAATACTCTACATCCTTTTCAACACTGGTTATAATCTGCCTTTTCAATTATAGCCATTCTAGTAGGTATGAAGTGGTATCTCATAGTGATTTTTATTTACATTTTCCCAATGAATAATGAATTGAGCAGCTTTTCATGTGCTCGTTGACCATTCATGTATCTTATTGAGATAAATGTCTATTAAAATCCTTTACCCATTTTTAAGTTGTGTTGTCTTTTTATTGTTGAGTTGTTAGAGTTTTTTATACATTCTGGATACTGGACACTTATCAGATATATTGTTTGCAAACATTTTCTCTGATTCCATGGGTTGTCATTTTACTTTCTTGATAGTGTCTTTGAAGCATAAACTTTTTAATTTTGATGAAGTCCAATTTATCTATTTTTTCTTTGGTTGTTTTGCTTTTGGTGTAATCTCTAAGAAACTATTGCCTAATCCAAGCTCACAGAGACTTATATATACATTTTTTTTTCTAAGAGTTTTATAGTTTTAGCTCTTAAGTGTAGATCTTCAATTCATCGTGTATTAGGTTGCTATTGGTGCGCATAGGAGTTTATACAGATCTTTGAATTGCACTTAACACTGCACCATTCTTTTCTGAATATATTTTTTACTCTCTTCTAGATTTTGGTCTCCTGAAATAATTCACCTAGTGGATAGCACCGAAAAAAAATGATTATTTCCTAAAAATTCAATTATTCAACAACAAACAATGGCATTAATGTGTCAGCCAAAATTTAACTTTCTTGAAATAACTGACATATTGCCAATAATTGTTACTTTCAACTTTAAATTTACCTTATTATGATAACTGCTTTGTGAATGAGGTTATACAAAACTCATCTGAATTGAGAAAATGCTATGTTCTTTATTGTTTGGGAGGTTTTAGTTGTTTTGTTTCTTTAGTTGTTTCCTAGCTTCCAATTTCTCCTTCATCCCCAGAGAAAACTCTAAACAATGCAAAAAAATAAGCTAAATATTTATTATTAGTATATTATAGTTATTTTATTTTAATAAGTGAAACTAATATTAGTTTAACATTATTATCTAATATCAGTTAATATTAGAGTGAGAAATTGACTATTTCAGGTGAACTTTCATCATGGTGGAACAAGAGCCTGAAAATTAGAAAGCCTTCTGCTGAGGCCATAGGATGGAATCTAAAGCTTCTCTGTATCTTCAGTTTTGAAAAATCAGAAGAAAGACTTTGAAAGCACTAAGAATTTTATATCAAACAATGAGTCTTGT
The DNA here is from genome assembly GCF_000001405.40 of Homo sapiens. NCBI lineage: Eukaryota > Metazoa > Chordata > Mammalia > Primates > Hominidae > Homo > Homo sapiens. The sequence continues at coordinate 4,486,781 of NC_000018.10, read as the reverse complement.
CTGATGCATCTACCAAACCTTTGCCTGACATTCATGATATTGTTTTCTGTTAATTAAGTTTGATAATAAAAATTTTCATTACTTCATGTAATCCTAGTCATTTGGTATCAGAAAAACTAAATAAACTACAAACTTGCCATTCATTCCTATCGATAGACAGGGAACTTGGTTGTAAAGTGCAGATGCAAAATGAGCTACTGGAATATAAAGTCTGATGAAGTGGGAGACATGGTGTAGACGCACATGGCCTTCCATATGTGAAAGAGGAGACTTGCCCAGAGGGAGAAAGCAGGAAGAAGCCAGAGTGAAGGTCTCTAAGCAGTGATCCAAGTAACAACCTAGACTAGAAGAAAGAGAAAATCTTCTCTAGGCATAAAAAACAGTGTAATAGGTAAGTGCTTAGAGGCAATTAATACTGTCAATAAAGGCTGGTTTAGGAGTATCAGGTATTGTAAAAAGAATCTGGGGCCCAACACATATGAGAAAGAACCTAAGCAAAATGTGTAAAAGTAAGCTTTCAGACAATGGAGCACATTGTAATTAAGTTTTCAAAGCATATCTGACTTGTATGTAAAATTTTTGTTTTTTGGTTTGCTTCAAATGCCAGCTCTGATCAGGAATGTTAAGCTGCTTACATACAAAAGGGGTAAAACTTAATGGATGTGTGTGTCTTTATATTAATGAGGATACATTTATAAAATAAAAAAGAAAGAATGAAGTTGTTTGCAATGCATAATAAATCATGAACCAATTGTAGAAAACAGCACTCACTTTATGGTGTCATCAGTTACATGCGTGGATCCTAACCATTTGGCTACTTATACTTAAATAAACTTAGAAAAATAAATACACCCATGTAGACATTATGTGTATCAGGGGACTACAAAACAAAGAGAAAATATCATATTTAAATTAATTAATTTTAGTTTGTAAAGTAATCATACAATATATTCAATGGCAATAACTGTTGTTGCTAAGAAAAGCCTATATTATTGCGGCTTACTAATAGTGAAAACTCACATGAGGAAGGATAACAGTAAGAGAATCACTTTATTAATTGCCTTTTATTTTCTGTTAATGAAGTAAAGTTTAACATCTATTCTACCACTGACTGTTTTCTAGTATGTACTGTTGCAATCTTAAAGAAATATGTTTTTCACTGAAATATTAATTTAATCATATTTTAAAAGTGCAAATTATATGACAGGCACAAGTCTATCATCTTATGCTATGACTGTCAACTACAGCACCAGGGAATCTAGATGAAACTTGATAAAAACACAGTTTAGGTTCTTTTGATCTTCTAAGTGTTTATTTGCATATATATTGAGATATATTTGCCTATAGAGCCTGACCTAGCTAGAAAACCTCAGACTAAATCATAGTTTATGAAAGGTACAGAGTGGCAGAGATTACTCAATGTGAAGGCACTGGGTAAAGATGAAGAAACTTGCCAAAAATCACTCAGTTAACTGATAATAGTAAACACTGCACGGATGTCCTCAGTGACTTTGCAGAGCAGCCCCAATGGGACAATTATTCTCAAGCTGTGGCAGTGGTGGTGAACAGAGACTTCCAGTTGTCTCTTGGCTTTTCCTCCCAGATGTCTAACTGAAATTGAAAAACAGGAGAGTCCAAGTGAGCTTCTGTACCCCTCCTGTGCAGGTCTCTTCTCTGGCATTGGCAGTCTTGGTCAGTGACAACACCAGTCACCTTGTTACAGAATCCAGAAACTTAACAGTTTAAAGCAGACTGTCGTGCTATAACTTCTCATTGTAATAAGCCTCTATACTTGGTTGAGTCAACCTCTTTTTTAAAATTTACTTTTAATTTTAATGTTTATTTTTTTGAGACAGAGTCTCACTCTGTCGTCCAGGCTGGAGTGCAGTGGTGCAATCTCAGCTCACTGCAACCTCCGCCTCCCGGGTTCAAGCAATTCTTCTGCCTCAGCCTCCCAAGCAGCTGGGATTAAAGGCGTGCACCTCCACACCCGGCTTTTTTTATTTTTTATTTTTTATAAAATAAAAAGAGACAGGGTTTCACCGTGTTGGCCAGGCTGGTCTCAAACTCCTGACCTCAAGTGATCCACCTGCTTCTGCCTCCCAAAGTGCTAGGATTAGAGGCGTGAGCCACTGTGCCCAGGCAACCACTTTAATGTTCCAATCATCCATTTCTTTTATTTGATCTCCAGTATGACAACCTTCACCTTCCCAAAGCTAAACCAGAACCATGGCTTCCTAGTTGACATTTCAACCTCCAGGCTTGATGACCTTCACAGAATCTATTACCAGAGGACTCATAAAACTATAAAATTCTCTGATACTGTCTTGCTTATAAGGCACCATAGCTCCTCAATGTCTGTGAAGTGAAGTCTCAATGTCTTAGCCGCTTAGAAAACATTTAAGACCTTACTTAATCAAATTTCTTCTTGCTTTTCCAGTTATATTTCTTACTTCTCCCTTTTATGCTCCAACAATGTCAAAGGATATACCTTTTCACAAAGGTATCAAGTTCCATACTCCGGGAACTCCTCTCTACCAGGACTTCTCTCATTCTCCATACCTGCCTTGCTAAGTCTTATGCACCCTACAATCCTTCTGTTTTCTATTCAAATATATCTTTCTCTGTGAACTCTTCCCTGCCTCATGACAAGGAAAACGTTCACTTTCTTCCTTGTCCACATCTCTCTCTTGCACTATCTTTGTTATATCATATAGCATACGCTTAGATAGATAATTGGTTTATGATTGCTTCTTTCTACCATAGTGTGAACATATGTGATTTAATCTTAGTACTCCTAAAATTTAAACTACTGTTCTTCATGTATTAAGTTCTCAGCATGTGTTTATGGAATTAAAGCTTCATGTAAGCTTTTATATGTGATGCATATGGTCACGTGTAATGGGCAATGGTGGTATTCATTGGGGTCAGATTGTGAAAGGTCTTGTATGACAAATGTCGAAGAGTCACTCAAAGTAATCTAGAAAATGAGAGCCTGACCTTGGCAGTGGCAAATTGGAGGGGTTTTCACAAGCATTTCTGAGGACAAGCCTAGTGCCTGTATTGATATGTGAAGTGAAGGAGGAAGAATAGTAGAAGATTCCTCTGTGGTTTCAGCTGAAGAGACTGGATAGATAGTGACACCATTGTTTGAGATAAAGAATAGAGCAGATTGGCCAAAATTAGCAGACACTATTTTCCTAATATGGAATCTCAGATGAGCAAAGAATACAGACCATGGCAATTATTTGCATACAGATAAAGGTTGTGTTTGTTGGAGCTTTACTATCACTGAGATAATTTCAATTTAGAACTGGATGACTGACTTCCACACAAAGGTTAGGGTAAATTCCCTGTAGACCAGAAGGCATTTTGAAGAGGAGTAGTATGCTGCCACCTCTGCCCTAATATCACCCTTCTTTGCCTTCTTAAAAAAAAAGTCAAAATAAACAGATAAAATATGATCCCAAAGGTGGCTGAAATATACCACCTCTCCTTTGTGTATCCTCAGAGCACCTGAAAAACAGTGAGAACTTTACTGTTGGGCCAAGGTTTGTACTTAATAAGAGGAATAATAAGATTAACATGCCTTTGTGACTACATCCGGGGATCACTTGGAATAGAGTGCTTGTTGCCAAGTAGTTATCTGAAGGGTATACACACCAAACAAAGTAATGAAATCCAAATACCAAACAAGTGCCTTTACTGTAGTTAAAGGCCAATCTGATAAGTTAATTCTGAATAATACTATATGAATGAGGTACGACTGTTTCTTCATGATGTCACTTATCCAGAAAGTTTACCCACTGAGATCACTGAAAAACTAAGCTTTTTGGTGACTCACTTTCAAGCGTCCAGAAACAAAGGCAATGTTTGAGCCATCACAAAGGATAGATCTTAATTCAAGACAGGGAGTAAAAAATCATTAAAGTGCCATATTCATATGTTTTTAAAAAGACCTTTTTTATCTTAAAGGAATATAATAGGTCTTGGGTATACCTTTGTTTTGTTCACAACACATTTTATCTTTTCATACGCATCTGTGACTCCTCTACTAGGCATTAATAATACAAGATGAACAAGTCCTCCCTCTTCTGGGCTATCTGTTCTCCATGCTTTCAACTGTTTCTCATGTTTGATGGATTCCAGTTCCTGCATCATTCTGCTTTTCCCACTCTGACCATATTCCAGTTTCATGCCAATCCACTTAATACAACTAGCAGTTGGATTCACACTGCAGCCATTGACAAGGATAAGCTGTAAACAGCAGAAGGCTCATTCCCCAAATCAGAGAACTATATGTCTTCTGCTGAAGCTAAATCTTACATTAAATTTTAAGGTAGTCATGCTTACTTTTGGCTTACATTGAGCTTATAGTAAGTTTGTATTTTTTTACATAAGCTGTTAGTAATCTTCCCCATCTACTTCATCAAGTGATCTTTTAAAAATTGGTGGGAAAACATTTTAAGAGGAAGCCATAAAGTTATTCCTATTGAGTTTCATGTCATTTCAGCTCATTGCCTGAATGCATTAGGATCTTTATCAGCAGTTGTTTGCTTCTCTAATATGATGACTTTCCTGATTCTTCTTTCAATCCAAAGTGAAAATTGTAAAATGAACATGGGGAAACCCTATTGGGTGCTACTATTGATTTTTCTGATTTTCCTCCTCAGTGACTGACATATTGCATCAATCAACACTCTTTGGATATAACTGTTCAAGTAAATATGGTTTCAACTAATCAGCCTATAATACAGCCAACACTTTTCAATCTTGTCCGTAGGATATGTGTGATGTACTTGCATGAGTTGTTGAATATTAAGATGCTCTTTGTGTATTTGTAAGCTTCTCTTGGTCTAGTCAATAATCCTATTTTGTTACAAATTATCCCATGATTATCTATTTTTATGCATCTACATTGTTTATATTGATGACCAGTTTCTTTGTTTAAGAATGATTTTATAACCCTTTGTAGAGCTTTTCTTGGAACTGATATAAAATTTGGTAATATTTATAATAATGTAAGGACTTTTTCTTTATTCTCTTTTGAAAAATATTATGGTGATATTGGTACAGCTGAAGTCACCTAACTCTTCCATCCATATATATGATTTTTAAAAAAAAATCATTAACAATATTTCTTCAATTGTATCTGCAAACTTATTCAATATATTTAACCTTAGCATCTTTTAAGTACCCAAGGCTGTCTTACTATTTCTCACCTTCATTGGACTTTAAATCTCTCTTAATAAAGTTTTAAAAAATGTTCTTTTCTATATTGCAAATTTTTCTCTGTGATTAAAATAAATAAGAACAAAAAAGGAACATAAGTTGAGTAGTTTGGTCTCATTAAACCATCTGCCCAAATGATTGTACTTAGGCCATCTTTGGTCTTGTTCTAATTTTGTTTTATAATACCCTATTTTTTTCCTTGTACTATAATCATAAGAATTGAAACTGAATCATGTTTCCATAGGCATCCTTGGTTCTATGTTTCTCTTTCAATACTTGAAATTATGATTTCCAAAATCTGAGCTCAACAGAAAGCTTCTTTTAAAACTCATTTTGTTTTTATAGAAATCTGCTCTTTTCCGTCAATTTAAGGTAACTTGGCGATTGTATTAATTTTAGAAAGTCTCATCCCTGTTGAATATTACTCTATTTGAGAGTTTCTCTCTGTTGTATCACTATGTCTGTTTCCTCTGTGAATTTGAAAGTAAGGGAGTCATATTTGATGATACCCCAATATATTTCCTGTCATTGTAATTTCTTCCCTCTGTCATTTTTACTTAACACTTTCCAATTTTTGTTTAGTGTTTCTCTTATTTTTATCAAAGTGAATGAGGCAAATAGTAAAAATTAAGCAGTATTAAAGATTTTATAATATTTCATCTCATTCCTCACCATCTCCAATCCTGCTACTGAGAAGCAAGCAGTTTTAGTAGTTCTCATAGCGATTTTTCTGGTGGTTTCATCTATAACACTAAATAACATACCAGTATTTCTTGATTTAGCAAGCAAATCTTCTATTCTCTGAACGCAAATTACCACTTTCAGATGCCCTCATGTAGCCATCCATTATGTTCTTAATTTTATTACTTACGTTATTATCTTAGTTTAGTCATTACTTGATTTTTCTTTAAATAGAATTATTTATATATCTTGATCTGTCAACTTCAGACGGTCACTTATTTTATTAACTAGTTAATTAATTTATTTTTGAGACAGAGTCTCCCTCTGTCACCCAGCCTGGAGTGTAGTAGTGCCATCTCAGCTCACTGCAACCTCTGCCTCCCGGGTTCAAGCAATTCTCCTGCCTCACCCTTCCAAGTAGCTGAGACTACAGGTGTGAATCACCATACCCAGCTAATTTTTGTATTTTTAGTAGAGACACGGTTTCACCATGTTGGCCAGGGTGGTCTTGAGCTCCTGACCCCCTGCCTCGTGATCCTCCTGCCTCGGCCTCCCAAAGTGCTGGGATTACAGGCATGAACCACCACAGCTGGCTCCAGTCACTTCTTCAGTTGAACATTCTAACATTCCAATTTTTTCCACGTCTTCTTCACATTCACCTTCTAAATTCTGTCAAAGATAGCTTTATTTTGACAATGACAACACCAATAACATTTTATGTTCTGTTTGTAACCATAACTAAGTACAACTTGATACTTGAAACCCAAAAAATAGCATTGACCTGATTGCAGTTGTGTAACTATTTCCCAGTGAAGAGCAACATGCTGGTCAAGGACACCATTCAAATCTCTACATATCCCAGGTCACATACACAGGACCGCCTGAGAATAATATTGCTTAAATACTAAAGAAATGTACTTTCTATATCTCTTCAATTGTCTGAAATCATGCCTTTTTTTTTACTTTGTTTCATAAATTAACCATGGCTCTTTAGTACAGCTCTTTGTTTTTCCTACAATTTCTTAGTACAGCTCTTTATTTTTCCTACAATTTCTCAGTGTCCCTACATTTACCTGGTTGAGAGAATAAATATATGCATTCTTCAACATAACACTAAGAAGCCCCAGTTTCCTATTTATTTCAACCACTAATTAGAAATTATCTCATTCTTTTTAAAGACATTCTTCTTAGGGTTCACTGACTTTAGGATTTAATTTGGACCAATAACTTTTTAGGCTTACACAGACAAGTCACTCGGGCATTTGTTTCACTGCGTTCCTGACTCAGTTGCACAGTTTCTCCTTCACGACTTTTACCTTTATTTTGCTGGATTACAACCTCAAAAAATTTCCTCATAAAGGGTATATTAAAAGTGAACTTATTGGTTAGGCGTGGTGGCTCACATCTGTAATCTCAGCACTTTGGGAGGCTGAGGCAGGCGGATCACCTGAGGTCAGGAGTCCGAGACCAACCTGGTCAACATGGTGAAACCACACCTCTACTAAAAATCCAAAAAAAAATTAGCCAGGCGTGGGGCATATGGCTGTAATCCCAGCTACTTGGGAGGCTGAAGCAGGAGAGTCACTTGAGGCAGAGGTCGCAGTGAGCCAAGACCTCGCCATTGCACTCCAGCCTGGGCAACAAGAAAGAAATTCCATCTCAAAGAAAAATAAAAAATAAAAAAGTGAACTTCTCCATTGCTGCAAGAATTACATCATCTTTATTGCATCCACAGTTGAGTACCAGTTTGATCATGTATAGATTTGCAGGTTAACTGTCAGTGGGATTTTGATTGTGTTGTAAGACTTATATTCTCTCTTTCTCTCTGTCTCTCTCTCTGTCTCTGTCTCTTTCTCAGATTTTAGGGTATGTATTTATTCTTAGTGCTATAAAATTTCACAGGGATGTATATATGTATGGGATTTTTAGACCCCTCTTTCTACACATTCTGGGAATCCTTTTTATTTTGCTTGTACTTTTTTTAACCAACCAAATTATGGCGTTTCTTATCATTCTCTTCATTATTTTAGCTTTCACTCTTTAAATTAGTATACAATAGAATTCACTGTGGTATATAGTTCTATGAGTTTTGAGGACAGTATAAACAAGACAACCAAGATATAAAACTGCTCTGTTGTTCCAAATGTTCCCTGTGCTGCTGCTTTGTAAGTTAACTCCTCCACCTATCTGCAACTTCTGACAACCTGTGATGTGTTCCCCATTCCTACAAATTTATCATAGGAATATAATCATACAATATGTAGGCATTTGAGTTAAGCTTCTTTCACTTAATATGATGCCGTTCAGATTCATCTGTGTTTTGTGTGTCATGAGCTTGTCTTATATTATTACTAAGTAGTATTCCACTGTATGAATGTACTAGAGTTTTTTTAATCCCTTCACCAATTAAAGGACGTTGAGTTATTTTTAGTTTTGAAAAACTGTGAATAAAGCTGCTTGTAAACAGTCACATATATATGTTTGTACAAATACAGGTTTTCATTTCATTAGGAGAAATACCTAGAAGATTTGTTCTTTATATGGTAAGCATATGTTTAAATATGTATGAAACTGATACACTCTTATAAAGTGCTGTAACATTTTGCATTCTTACCAGCCATGCATGTAAACACCTGCCATTCTACCTCCTCACTAGCATTTGGAATTGTGCCCTGTTATTAATCTTAAATATTGGTGTGGATGTCCTTTCTGTTTGTTACTTTTCCTTCTAACAGACAGGACCCTCAGCTGCAGGTCTGTTGGAATACCCTGCCGTGTGAGGCGTCAGTGTGCCCCTGCTGGGGGGTGCCTCCCAGTTAGGCTGCTCGGGGGTCAGGGGTCAGGGACCCACTTGAGGAGGCAGTCTGCCCGTTCTCAGATCTCCAGCTGCGTGCTGGGAGAACCACTGCTCTCTTCAAAGCTGTCAGACAGGGACATTTAAGTCTGCAGAGGTTACTGCTGTCTTTTTGTTTGTCTGTGCCCTGCCCCCAGAGGTGGAGCCTACAGAGGCAGGCAGGCCTCCTTGAGCTGTGGTGGGCTCCACCCAGTTCGAGCTTCCCGGCTGCTTTGTTTACCTAAGCAAGCCTGGGCAATGGCGGGCGCCCCTCCCCCAGCCTCGCTGCCGCCTTGCAGTTTGATCTCAGACTGCTGTGCCAGCAATCAGCGAGACTCCGTGGGGTAGGACCCTCCGAGCCAGGTGTGGGATATAATCTCGTGGTGTGCCATTTTTTAAGCCGGTCCGAAAAGCGCAATATTTGGGTGGGAGTGACCCGATTTTCCAGGTGCGTCCGTCACCCCTTTCTTTGACTCAGAAAGGGAATTCCCTGACCCCTTGCGCTTCCCAAGTGAGGCAATGCCTCGCCCTGCTTCGGCTCGCGCACGGTGCGCGCACCCACTGACCTGCACCCACTGTGTGGCGCTCCCTAGAGAGATGAACCCGGTACCTCAGATGGAAATGCAGAAATCACCCGTCTTCTGCGTCGCTCACGCTGGGAGCTGTAGACCGGAGGTGTTCCTATTCGGCCATCTTGGCTCCTCCCAATCCAAACCCATCTGTACATCACCATCATCAAAGACCAAAAGTAGATAAAACCACAAAGATGGGGAAAAAACAGAACAGAAAAACTGGAAACTCTAAAACACAGAGCGCCTCTCCTCCTCCAAAGGAACGCAGTTCCTCACCAGCAATGAAACAAAGCTGGATGGAGAATGACTTTGACGAGCTGAGAGAAGAAGGCTTCAGACGATCAAATTACTCTGAGCTACGGGAGGACATTCAAACCAAAGGCAAAGAAGTTGAAAACTTTGAAAAAAATGTAGAAGAATGTATAGCTAGAATAACCAATACAGAGAAGTGCTTAAAGGAGCTGATGGAGCTGAAAACCAAGGCTCGAGAGCTACGTGAAGAATGCAGAAGCCTCAGGAGCCGATGTGATCAACTGGAAGAAAGGGTATCAGCGATGGAAGATGAAATGAATGAAATGAAGCGAGAAGGGAAGTTTAGAGAAAAAAGAATCAAAAGAAATGAGCAAAGCCTGCAAGGAACATGGGACTATGTGAAAAGACCAAATCTACGTCTGATTGGTATACCTGAAAGTGATGGGGAGAATGGAACCAAGTTGGAAAACACTCTGCAGGATATTATCCAGGAGAATTTCCCCAATCTAGCAAGGCAGGCCAACGTTCAGATTCAGGAAATACAGAGAACGCCACAAAGATACTCCTCGAGAAGAGCAACTCCAAGACACATAATTGTCAGATTCACCAAAGTTGAAATGAAGGAAAAAATGTTAAGGGCAGCCAGAGAGAAAGGTCGGGTTACCCTCAAAGGGAAGCCCATCAGACTAACAGCGGATCTCTCGGCAGAAACCTTATAAGCCAGAAGAGAGTGGGGGCCAATATTCAACATTCTTAAAGAAAAGAATTTTCAACCCAGAATTTCATATCCAGCCAAACTAAGCTTCATAAGTGAAAGAGAAATAAAATACTTTACAGACAAGCAAATGCTGAGAGATTTTGTCACCACCAGGCCTGCCCTAAAAGAGCTCCTGCAGGAAGCGCTAAACATGGAAAGGAAAAACCGGTACCAGCCGCTGCAAAATCATGCCAAAATGTAAAGACCATTGAGACTAGGAAGAAACTGCATCAACTAACGAGCAAAATCACCAGCTAACATCATAATGACAGGATCAAATTCACACATAACAATATTAACTTTAAATGTAAATGGACTCAATGCTCCAATTAAAAGACACAGACTGGCAAATTGGATAAAGAGTCAAGACCCATCAGTGTGCTGGATTCAGGAAACCCATCTCACGTGCACAGACACACATAGGCTCAAAATAAAAGGATGGAGGAAGATCTACCAAGCAAATGGAAAACAAAAAAAGGCAGGGGTTGCAATCCTAGTCTCTGATAAAACAGACTTTAAAGCAACAAAGATCAAAAGAGACAAAGAAGGCCATTACATAATGGTAAAGGGATCAATTCAACAAGAAGAGCTAACTATCCTAAATATATATGCACCCAATACAGGAGCACCCAGATTCATAAAGCAAGTCCTGAGTGACCTACAAAGAGACTTAGACTCCCACACGTTAATAATGGGAGACTTTAACACCCCACTGTCAACATCAGACAGATCAACGAGACAGAAAGTCAACAAGGATACCCAGGAATTGAACTCAGCTCTGCACCAAGAGGACCTAATAGACATCTACAGAACTCTCCACCTCAAATCAACAGAATATACATTTTTTTCAGCACCACACCACACCTATTCCAAAATTGACCACATACTTGGAAGTAAAGCTCTCCTCAGCAAATGTAAAAGAACAGAGATTATAACAAACTATCTCTCAGACCACAGTGCAATCAAACTAGAACTCAGGATTAAGAATCTCACTCAAAACCGCTCAACTACATGGAAACTGAACAACCTGCTCCTGAATGACTACTGGATACATAACGAAATGAAGGCAGAAATAAAGATGTTCTTTGAAACCAACGAGAACAAAGACACCACATACCAGAATCTCTGGGACGCATTCAAAGCAGTGTGTAGAGGGAAATTTATAGCACTAAATGCCCACAAGAGAAAGCAGGAAAGATCCAAAATTGACACCCTAACATCACAATGAAAAGAACTAGAAAAGCAAGAGCAAACACATTCAAAAGCTAGCCGAAGGCAAGAAATAACTAAAATCAGAGCAGAACTGAAGGAAATATAGACACAAAAAACCCTTCAAAAAATTAATGAATCCAGGAGCTGGTTTTTTGAAAGGATCAACAAAATTGATAGACCGCTAGCAAGACTAATAAAGAAAAAAAGAGAGAAGAATCAAATAGACACAATAAAAAATGATAAAGGGGATATCACCACCAATCCCACAGAAATACAAACTACCATCAGAGAATATTACAAACACCTCTACGCAAATAAACTAGAAAATCTAGAAGAAATGGATAAATTCCTCGACACATACACTCTCCCAAGACTAAACCAGGAAGAAGTTGAATCTCTGAATAGACCAATAACAGGAGCTGAAATTGTGGCAATAATCAATAGTTTACCAACCAAAAAGAGTCCAGGACCAGATGGATTCACAGCCGAATTCTACCAGAGGTACAAGGAGGAACTGGTACCATTCCTTCTGAAACTATTCCAATCAATAGAAAAAGAGGGAATCCTCCCTAACTCATTTTATGAGGCCAGCATCATTCTGATACCAAAGCCGGGCAGAGACACAACCAAAAAAGAGAATTTTAGACCAATATCCTTGATGAACATTGATGCAAAAATCCTCAGTAAAATACTGGCAAAACGAATCCAGCAGCACATCAAAAAGCTTATCCACCATGATCAAGTGGGCTTCATCCCTGGGATGCAAGGCTGGTTCAATATACGCAAATCAATAAATGTAATCCAGCATATAAACAGAGCCAAAGACAAAAACCACATGATTACCTCAATAGATGCAGAAAAAGCCTTTGACAAAATTCAACAACCCTTCATGCTAAAAACTCTCAATAAATTAGGTATTGATGGGACGTATTTCAAAATAATAAGAGCTATCTATGACAAACCCACAGCCAATATCATACTGAATGGGCAAAAACTGGAAGCATTCCCTTTGAAAACTGGCACAAGACAGGGATGCCCTCTCTCACCACTCCTATTCAACATAGTGTTGGAAGTTCTGGCCTGGGCAATTAGGCAGGAGAAGGAAATAAAGGGTATTCAATTAGGAAAAGAGGAAGTCAAATTGTCCCTGTTTGCAGATGACATGATTGTATATCTAGAAAACCCCATTGTCTCAGCCCAAAATCTCCTTAAGCTGATAAGCAACTTCAGCAAAGTCTCAGGATACAAAATCAATGTACAAAAATCACAAGCATTCTTATACACCAACAACAGACAAACAGATAGCCAAATCATGAGTGAACTCCCATTCACAATTGCTTCAAAGAGAATAAAATACCTAGAAATCCAACTTACAAGGGATGTGAAGGACCTCTTCAAGGAGAACTACAAACCACTGCTCAAGGAAATAAAAGAGGATACAAACAAATGGAAGAACATTCCATGCTCATGGGTAGGAAGAATCAAAATCGTGAAAATGGCCATACTGCCCAAGGTAATTTACAGATTCAATGCCATCCGCATAAAGCTACCAATGACTTTCTTCACAGAATTGGAAAAAACTACTTTAAAGTTCATATGGAACCAAAAAAGAGCCCGCATCGCCAAGGCAATCCTAAGCCAAAAGAACAAAGCTGGAGGCATCACACTACCTGACTTCAAACTATACTACAAGGCTACAGTAACCAAAACAGCATGGTACTGGTACCAAAACAGAGATATAGATCAATGGAACAGAACAGAGCCCTCAGAAATAACACCGCATATCTACAACTATCTGATCTTTGACAAGCCTGAGAAAAACAAGCATTGGGGAAAGGATTCCCTGTTTAATAAATGGTGCTGGGAAAACTGGCTAGCCATATGTAGAAAGCTGAAACTGGATCCCTTCCTTACACCTTATACAAAAATCAATTCAAGATGGATTAAAGACTTAAACCTTAGACCTAAAACCATAAAAACCCTAGAAGAAAACCTAGGCATTACCATTCAGGACATAGGCATGGGCAAGGACTTCATGTCCAAAACACCAAAAGCAATGGTAACAAAAGACAAAATTGACAAATGGGATCTAATTAAACTAAAGAGCTTCTGCACAGCAAAAGAAACTACCATCAGAGTGAACAGGCAACCTACAAAGTGGGAGAAAATTTTCACAACCTACTCATCTGACAAAGGGCTAATATCCAGAATCTACAATGAACTCAAACAAATTTACAAGAAAAAAACAAACAACTCCATCAAAAAGTGGGCGAAGGACATGAACAGACACTTCTCAAAAGAAGACATTTATGCAGCCAACAGACACATGAAAAAATGCTCATCATCACTGGCCATCAGAGAAATGCAAATCAAAACCACAATGAGATACCATCTCACACCAGTTAGAATGGCAATCATTAAAAAGTCAGGAAACAACAGGTGCTGGAGAGGATGTGGAGAAATAGGAACACTTTGACACTGTTGGTGGGACTGTAAACTAGTTCAACCATTGTGGAAGTCACTGTGGCGATTCCTCAGGGATCTAGAACTGGAAATACCATTTGACCCAGCCATCCCATTACTGGGTATATACCCAAAGGACTACAAATCATGCTGCTATAAAGACACATGCACACGTATGTTTATTGTGGCATTATTCACAATAGCAAAGACTTGGAACCAACCCAAATGTCCAACAATGATAAACTGGATTAAGAAAATGTGGCACATATACACCATGGAATACTATGCAGCCATAAAAAATGATGAGTTCATGTCCTTTGTAGGGACATGGATGAAATTGGAAGTCATCATTCTCAGTAAACTATCGCAAGAACAAAAAACCAAACACCGCATATTCTCACTCATAGGTGGGAATTGAACAATGAGATCACATGGACACAGGAAGGGGAATATCACACTCTGGGGACTGTGGTGGGGTGGGGGGAGGGGGGAGGGATAGCATTGGGAGGTATACCTAATGCTAGATGACAAGTTAGTGGGTGCAGCGCACCAGCATGGCACATGTATACATATGTAACTAACCTGCACAATGTGCACATGTACCCTAAAACTTAAAGTATAATAAAAAAAAAAATCTTAAATATTCTGTGTGTATCACATTATGTTTTTAACATTCATTTCTCTAATGACTAATGACTTTGAGCTTTTAGTCATGGACTAATTTACCATCTGTATATCTTCTTTAGTGAAGTATCTGTTCATATGTTTTATCCAGTTTGTAATTGGGTAGTTTCTTTTCTGAATATTGAGTTTGGGGTGTTTTTCATGTATTCTAGATACAGTTTTTTTCAGCTATGTGTTATGCAAAAGTTTCTCTTAGGCTGTGCCTTAGGTTTTAATTAGCTTATTGTGTCTTTCATGTTGCAAAAGTTTTTCATTATGATAAAGTCCAATTTTTTTTATGGATTGTGTTTTTGGTATTAAAACTAAGAACTCTTCACCCAACCCAACATTCCGTTGATTTTATCTTATATTTTTGTCTAGAATTTATACAGTTTTAAGTTTATATTTAGTTCTATGATCCATTTTGAGTTCACATTTGTATATGGTGTGAAGCATAAATCAAAATTCTTTTTGTTTTATATACAGATATCCAGATCAAGTCCTTTAATAGCACTTATTTGAGGGTCAATGCTCCATTGTATTTTTTCTTCAAGGGTTGCCATTTTAGAATGGCAATACCATTATTAGGCTAAGGCATGTGTATTTTTTCTCCAGAGAATACTGGATTCTCTCTTCTTTTTTTTTTTTTTTTTTTTTGACGGAATCTCACTCTGTTGCCCAGGCTAAAATGCAGTGGCTTGTTCTCAGCTCACTGCAACCTCTGCCTCCTGGGTTCAAACAATTCTCCTGTCTCAGCCTCCCAAGTAGCTGGGATTACAGGCGTGTGCCACCATGCCTGGCTAATTTTTGTATTTTTAGTAGAGACAGGGTTTCACCATGTTGGCCAGGCTGGTCTTGAACTCCTGACCTCAAGTGATCCACCCGCCTCAGCCTCCCAAAGTGCTAGGATTACAGGCATGAGCCACTGTGCCTGACCTGGATTCTCTCTTTAACAGTGGTGTATTAAAATTTTATGATGATGTACCTGAGTGTGAGACTCTTTTACTCAATGTGCACTCTACTTGTTGCGCATATCAATAGGTAAGACATTTCAACAAAGCAATGTTGGCAGATGAAATGGATTCCAGGGAGCTCTGGCACAGCATATGCAATGCACTAGTAAGAGCAAAAAGGAAGAAGAAACAAACAGAGGAGATAAAATTAGATAAATGGAAAGCCTGATACTCAGAACAGCTGCATTAGTTGATAAGCTGCCCAAAAGAAATGTCTTAAGCTCTTTTCTAAAGAAATTGAGCCACATTCTATGGGAGAACTGGAGCGGCTTGTCTCCATGTTAGTGGCCCAGAGCACATCACTCTTCATTCTTGCTGTCAGCAAGAATAGGGAGTGGAGGAGAGTATTGAACTCAACCCATCTGTCAGTTCCTGACTGTCCTAAGCTCTAGTCAACTAGGGATGTAGTTGAAGTAGGATGGTGAGAGAATAATAGACTAGGTAAATGGGTGGGAAGCTGGGCAGCAGTAAGGACCAACTGTCCTTAGTGATTATTGATTTAAAGTGAGACAGGGCAGCATGGCTGTGTGCTCATGTCTAGCCTCAAGCATCTGCACATTTTAGGTGCAAAGTAGGTAGAAGGTGGGAATTTTGTCCTCTGCCATTTCACGTATTAACTTGTGAAATCTCAAATCATCCATTGCAATCAACTACTTAGTTCTCATCACAGAACTTTTATTCCAACTGTTATTTAATCTTTACTTTATAATTTCTCCAAAGACAGTGTTTTTCAAAGACAAGGATCAAGGACTCTCCACAAATGAATAGCCCATGTACCTGTCTGTGTTCTCCTGTGTCCTCCTCTTTCATTTCATTGTCTTTTACATGTTGCGGAGCCCTTTTCTGAGGAAACAGAAAAATAATAAGGCAAATAACTACTAGCTCGGAGGAAGATATCCCCAGAGCCATATCACCAGCAGTGTTTAAAACACAGCAGCAGGAATGCAGGAGAACTAGGTGCTGGAAGGAGCCAAATCAATCTCCAACCTGCATAGAACGGCACTGAGATTAACAGACTACTCAACTTAGTAGGGGCAAGGGGAAGCCTGGTGGGCCTGAGTGCCATTTGAGGAGTACTAAAAGCAGAAATAGACCAGAGCCTGGATGACCTTCCAAAGTGTGTGGCCTCCTTTGCACTTTGGTGGATCACTTGGTCAACAGTATGTACGTGACTTAACTCTTGACCCTTGGCTCTCTTTACCAGCTTTTCTAAGAAGTTCGTAGATTGTAGCTGGGCTGCAAAATGTTTGTTGCTGATCTGTGGGGAAATAAGTACAAATAACAAGAGTAAGCACTTAAAAACTCAGAGGAATTTGGCATTGCTGTGATATTCCAGCATGTAAATTTTGAATTTTATACATTTATTAATGATTGACCGATTAGGATTTTTAAGTTAAATCTGGTCTATCAGAAGCTGGCCATGGTGGCCCACAACTGTGATCCTAGCACTTTGGGAGGTCAAGGTGAGAGGATCACTTAAGCCCAGTAGTTCAAGACCAGCCTGGGCAACACAGTGAAACCACGACTCTAAAAAAAAAAAAAAAAAAAGAAAAATAAAAAATTAGCTGGGCGTAGTAGCACACCCGTTTTCCCCAACTACTCGAGAGACTGAAGCAGGAGGATTGCTTGAGCCCAGAAGTCCAAGGCCGCACTGAGCTATGATCACCACTGCACTCCAGCCTGGGTGACAGAGTGAGTCCCTGTCTCAAAAAAATTAACTAATTAATTACCTTATTTTAAAAATAGTACCTTTATTGACCTATTTTAGACTTTGAAATTATGCTTTTTAATACTTTCTAAATGGATTTTAATGGTGATTTCCCCACCAAACCACCTCAGCATCCCCCACAAAAAAAGGAAAAAAGAGAAAAATATTCTGCTAAAATGTTTTAAAGTCATTGTTATAATCATCGAATCCATTCAGTTTTTCCTTAAGCTAAGGGCAGCTCAGGTATGACTTTAGGTGAGAAATGTGTTTGCCTCTGGTTGGTGGCTTGTTTCAGTCTCACTAGGCTCACCTCAGGAGTGAAAAATATTTTCAAAAATCCCCCTTTTCTTCATTTTCTTCTTTAATTTTTCATTTTCTATCTCTCTGCATTTTCTTGTTATTGACTTAAAGACCAAGCAAGTTGAACATTTTGCAGAACTTTATGTGAATGGAAATGAGCCCTAAAGAATGTTGCTTTTTAAATATTTTATGTCTCTTCTTTTGTTAGCACCTCAATGACATGTGCTTTTTTTTTTTTGGTTGTCTTTTTTTTTTTTTTTTTTCAGTGTTCCTCATCCTTGACTAAAACACCTCAGAGGCTCCCTATTGCTAATTCTATCAAAGCTAAATGCATCCTGCTGAAGGAGCCGGTGTGGTTTCCCCATGATGCGGTGAATGTGTGTATGTGAACAATGGGAACAGATAGCACATTTACACTTCAACAATTTGACCCCCTCGTTTCCCAGGAGTGGTTAGGAGAGCTGAGCACTGCATTGGTGAGCAGAGTCAAAGGTGTTAGATTGTGAAATAAAACTTCAAAAGCCAAGCTTCTGAAACATAAAACAGTCACACTTCTACCTGAAATCTCTTTCCAGCTGCCTGTACAGTATTGGAATGTCTAACATAAGAATTGGGCAGAAGTCTAAATTCTTTGAGGTACTCTTTGTGGCTACCTCATTTTTCCTAACTTAGATGTTATCAGCTAGAAAGAAGGAAAAGAAATTGACTGAAATGTCAGGAGGCTTTATTTTAATTTAATACTTTCAAATAATTGCTCAGAGCATAAATCTATGCTACTGGTTCCAGACCTGATTGGTGCCTGAGATTCCAAATCTAAATAGTCAAGGGGACAGGGAAACATCTGAAGCAGATGGGATGCCCCTCTTAAAATGTTAAAGCACTTTATTTCATTAGTCTTTTTAAGCAGAATCTTTTCCATGGGGAAAAATTCCTTCATTTATCACAGGACTAATTAAATGAATATTATCAAATTTCCAATAAACTAGCAACATTTCTTTAGAGGCCACTTCATACAGATTATTATTCTAGCACTCAGAAGAAGGCATCTCTATTAAATTTAATTACTCCTTTTTGCCAAAGCAATGCTTCTGTAGGCTTCACATATGTATAATTACGTCTTGTATCATAGTTAGCTGTTTCTCTTTCTCATTCTCCCTCTAGACTGAAAATTATTTGAAGGCAAAGATTAGGTTTTACACATCTATGTATCCCCTTCAAGCACCTAGTATAATCTAGTTTTCTATATACAAGATGTTCAAAGAATTCTAGCTAAAATAAAATACTGTAGGAATAATAGGCTGGTTCCCCCCACATGTGGGGTTTATATGGGAGAAATGACCACAGCTTTGTTATTAACTAACTCATTTGGTCATTGAGAAAATATTTATTTTGTACCTACTATGTGTCAGACTTTGTAAGGTTCTAGGGATATAGCTACAAAAAAAAATGTGGATCTCGTAGTCAATGTCCTCATGGAGTATACACACTCAATGTTGGATCCAAGACTGGATTATTTGACTTCTGCCTCTGCACATGATATGACAGTATTTCAATAAATTTCAAAGAATTTGATTTAGACCATGTTAAAATGATATGATCTATACTACATTTTTCACTTGGAGATAAATTAGAAATCAGTAACAAATTTATTTTGAAAATCCCCATTTATGTAAAAGCTAAATAACACAATGATAGGAATGATAGGCACTGGAAACTACAAGCAGGGAGAGGGAGGGAGGAGGGCAAAGGCTGAAAAACCGCCTATTGGGTACAATGCTCACTACCTAGGTAATGGGTTCAATCGTACACCAAACCTCAGCATCACACAATATACCCTTGTAACAAACCTGCGCATGTATCCCCTGAATCTAAAGTAAGAGCTGAAATTTTCAAAAAAGAAAACTTCTCAACCTGATAAAGTGCATCTTTGAAAGTACTATAATATCATAATCAATGATGAAAGCATAAATGTATCCCTGCTAAGCTCAGAAACATGTCAAGGATGACTGCTGTCATCACTTCCATTCAATACTGCACTAGAGTTTCTAGCCAAGAACATAGGCAAGAAAAATAAAATAAAAGGCATCAAAGTTATAAAAGTGAAGCCATCTTTATTTACAGATGACATTGTTGTCTATTTAGGAAATCCTGTGATATGTACAAAAAACTACTAAGATGAATAAGATTAGCAAATTTGATAAAAGTACACAAATATCATTTTTCCCATATACTTTTAGTGAACAATTAGAAAGTGAAATAATACTATTTGTAATAGCATCACAAATATAAAATTCTTCAGATAACTCTCAAAATAGTTGTGCAGAATTAGTGTACTGAAAACTATAATACATTGCTGAGATAAACACATAAAAATGGCAAAATATGCCATGTTTATGTTAGGTATCATTTCTCTCCAAGTCGATCTTTAGACTCCAAGGAATTCCAATTGAAATCTCCACAGTCTTTTATTTATTTAATTTTAGAAATTAAAACTGTGATTCTAAAATCCATATGAAAATGGAGAAGACCAAGAATAACAAAGTATCTTTCAAAAAAATGAACAAAATTGGAGGACTTATACAACCTGACTTCAAGACTTATTGTAAAGGCACAGTAATCAAAACAGTGTGGTTTTGACATGAAGAGAAACAAAGAATTCAAGGCTGGGTGCAGTGGCTCACGCCTGTAATCCCAGCACTTTGGGAGGCCGAGGAGGGCGGATCACGAGGTCAGGAGATCGAGACCATCCTGGCTAACACGGTGAAACCCTGTCTCTACTAAAAATACAGAAAATTAGCCGGGCGTGGTGGCAGGCGACTGTAGTCCCAGCTACTCGGCATGCTGAGGCAGGAGAATGGCCTGAACCCAGGAGGTGGAGCTTGCAGTGAGCCGAGATCATGCCACTGAACTCCAGCCTGGGCGACAGAGCGAGACTCCGTCTCAAAATAAATAAATAAATAAATAATACAAAAATTAGCTGGGCGTGGTGGCACGCACCTGTAATCCCAGCTACTCGGGAAGCTGAGGCAGGGGAATCATGGAACCCAGGAGGCAGAGGTTGCAGTGAGCCAAGATTGGGCCATTGCACTCCAGCCTGGGCAACAAGAGTGAAACTCCGTCTCAAAAAAAAAAAAAAAAAAAAAAAATCAATGGGACAGACAGAATACAGAGTCCAGACAGACCCACACATATACAGTCAATTGATTTTTTTTAAGTTGCAAAGATAGTCCAGTGGAAAAAGATTATACGTACAACAAATAGTGCTGAAACAATTACATACCTATATGCAAAAAAAATAAAATTTGATCCTCACATGATATATAAAAATAAACTCAAAACAGATCATAGATATAAATATGAAACCTAAAACTGTAAGACTTCTTGAAAACAAAAGAGGAAAATCTTTGCATCTTTGATTTAAGCAAATATTTATTAGATACAAAACACAAAGTGTATAATCTATAAATAAAGAAAATAACAAATTGGATTTCATAGAAAATAAGGACTTCTGCTCTTAGAAAGACACTGTTTAGAGAATGAAAAGACAAGCCACAGTCCGGGAGAAACTATTTGCAAGTATCTAATGAAGGACTTGTATTCAATATACAAAATACTCTCAAAACTGAATAAAAAGAAAACAGCTCATTAAAAATAGGCAAAAATTTCAAACAGATACTTCACTAAAGATGTATGATTGGCAAACAGGCGCATAAAAACATGCCCATCATCATTAGTCATTAGGTAAATGCAAATTAAAATGACAAGGAGATACCTGTACACACTTATTAGAATGTCTAAAATTAAAAAGATTGAGCATAGCAAGTATTAGTGAGGATATGGAGGAACCTGAATTGTCATAAACTCACTGTGGGACTCTAAACTGATCAAAATACATTAGAAATAAGGCAGTTTCTTAAAAATTCAACACACACCATATGACTGAGTGATCACTCTCCTGGGTGTTTGTCTTAGAGAAATAAAAACAGATCTCCTTAAAAAGACTTACACCCAAATGCTCATGAAAGCGTATTTTCTAATAGCCAAAAACTGGAAAATGACTCAGCAACCAAAAGAAGTGAACTATCAATTTCAATACACACAGCAACATGGATGACCCCTGCAACATGCTGAGTGAAATAGCCTAGAGGGAAAAGCAGTACATACTGTATGATACCATTTATACAAACATTTTATAAAATAATCTGAAGTGACAAGAGGCAGAATGGAGTTTTCAGGGAAAGAGAGGGTTTGGAAAATGATAAGAGGGAGATAAAAAGGGAGAGGGAAATTTAGGAGGTAATAGATGTGTTCATTATCTTTATTGCGATGATGGTTCTATCAGTGTGTGTTTGTGCCTGTGTGTATACACACACATATATAGATACCCACCTGTATCTATACATATGTGTCAAATATATATACATATTTATTTACACATACATATATATTAGAATTTATATTGTACAATTTAATTCATTTGGTTTATTGTACATCAATATTTCAACAAAACTGTTGAATGAAATTGCACAATTCTCTGCCATTTAAACATTGTACACAAATACAATTGTCTTTTTCTTACTAATGCAAGATTATCATTAAGTATGTTAACCACATTTTAGGGCCATAATGTACAGATAATGTCAGCATCTTTAAAGTTAATTAGCACTGTTTACCCACACAAATGCCCCTGGGCTTCTAGTCTACGGTTTGTGCAACTTTGTTTCAGCTTTTTATGATTTATTTGTTGTCTATTGCTTCCATAATAGACAACATAATTTTAAAAATATCTGTTTTTTAAATTATTGCTATAAAACTGTCATAGAAATAGAACTCTTATTCAGTTGTTAAGTCAACCAAAGATTAGAGAAAGATGTGTTGTGAAAATACAAGCTCTGAGGCCAAACTGAGGTTCAAATTTCGACTCTGCCGCTCACCGGCTGTGGATCCCAGAAAACTTATTTAACTCAAGCATCAGTTTCCTCATCCTTAAGTGAAACTATCAATGGCTAGTTCAAAGGTTTGCTTGAGAGGATAAATAAAATATTGTATACAAAAGGTCTAGAATACAGTAGACACTTCATATTTTTTCATTTACTTCTTCATTGTATTAGATAAATTGACACTAGCTCTGTGCTGAGAAACCCCAAAATCTCAACAATAAATGCAACAGATAATAATAAAATATCCAACTGGGAGGCTGTATGTTTTTTTGGGTTTCTGCCATTTCCAATACAAGACACACTCCAAATAGCCATGTGGAGAGAGGTAATGGAGGGTGTTGTAAGAGGTTTCTATGGCAGACTTGGAAGTGACAGACATAATTTCTACCTACATTCACTTCACTAGAACACAATCCTATCGTCGTAACTGTAGGGTAGCTGGAGAAAGCAGATTAGCTCTGTGCACCAATTATGTTTTGGTGCACAGCTAGCATGCTTCTGCCACATTCCCTGTGTAAATTAAGAACGAAGGTCTAAGGAACACTCAGATGAGCTTCAGTGTATAGCCTTAGTAATATCTATGTGTTGTGTAGAGCCTATGTTAGGGCTATATTCCAGAGAGTTCAGGTTGCTGGCATATGAATTATTATCATGTGATATGTTATCACTCTAAATGCTAATGCTCACAAGGCTATAGTAATCATCATCATTGTGAACATCATCATCAGCTACCATTTATTGAATGCCAACTTTCCCACAAGATTTGAACTAAGCATTTCACCAATATTATTTCATTAATTTATACTTTAAAGTGGAGAATTCTTAGGGACAGAAGCCATGCCTTACTTGTTTGTCTGTCTGTCTGTTTTCCTGCAAGTCTTTTAGTATCAAATAGAGCATAAGCAGACTATGATTAATTAGAAAGAATGAATATTAGAAACAGAATGTCTTAAATAACCCTAGGAAGTCCATCTTGGTCTTTCTAGTGTCCCAAACATGAATATATACACACCTTTTTAAAAAATGTATCTTAAAATGTATTAATATGGGCTTATCAATATCAATAATACAAGTGTGGGAGCTGTGCTTCTCAGGATTGAATAAATTACATCTTCCGACAAATTTGCATCTAAAGAATCTGATTCTTAGAGGACAGTGGCTTATTCACAGAATTATTTGTGTGTAACTCATCAGTTATTCATGCAATCACTGGATATTCACTGCTGATTTTCCCTGAACTACACATTCTTTTACTGAAAAAGGAAGGTGTTTTCCTTTTAAATCCGCTGTATACAACAATGAAAACAAAATAAGATTCTACACAAATGTGCATGCTCATTGCTGGTTAAGTTACTGGTTTATGTTAATTCAGGTCATTCCAGTATTGTGAATACTTCTTTAATCTAGATTCTCTTTAATGAGAGTCATGTTTAAAATGGCATTTCTCCCTGACAGATCCAGAATATGTCTATCTTATATAAAAAACTTAAATGTGAACTGGATTTGAAAAAGATGAGCAGTCAAATTTAGTGCAATATGAAAAAAGATTAATTAAAAAATAATAAAATTATTCTTTCACCTGCCTAGATATATTGCCTGTGAAATTAAAAGTCAAATCCTAATCTTGTTATTTCTTTTAAAACAATTTTACTTAATGTAGTCTGTCAAGAACATTTACATATCTGGAGAAATTAGAGTACTACATAATTACAAGAAAGTTTTTGAAAGGGTAAAATGTCTTGAAGGGTAAAATTAAAATGCTTGAAAGTGAACTCTTAAATACGATATTTCTAGACATAAAAATCTGGAGCATGTCTCTTCTCAAAATTTATACAATAATATGTTAATTTTTGTTAGTTATTGGGATATTCTGATTCTTTCTCCCCCATTTACCACTATGCTGGTAGATAGTTGACCCAGATTCATTTACTATCATTAGTTCCTACTGTATATAGATGTATATATTTTCTTTTTTTGCACTTACTACTCTTGAATTCCTTCATATTTGTTCTTCACTACAAATAGTTATTCCCAACCTGTTACAATTATTTCAATACAGTTTTTAACCAAGTATTTCAAAATGTGAAAAGTCACTCCACTCAAATGAATTAATTTGATAATTTAATGAAGAAAAAGGTTGTGAATGGCTTACAGGTCATACTTATTGTTTTCAATTTTACCTTGAAGACAGAGAGGATCTTCTGAAAAAAATTTAAGCAGTGGAGTAAAATACATAGCTTATTGTTTTAGGAGTTTGGTAACACTTAGGGGCTAGATGTAGCAATAATGTGGAAGAAAGAGATACAGAATGACTTTAATATTAATATTTCTGTCTTCAGTATCTGGGTATGTGGTGGAATCAAGAATCACCAGTGGAAAGACTGACTGGATGGAAGATGGCCTGTTTGGTTTGTGATGATGAATTTGTGAGTGCTGTACGTATTTTCTGGTGGAGACATTATTCGTGCAAAAATGTTGGTTTAAAATTCAGCGTCAACCAGTCTCATCTCCTGAAATTCTCCCACTCCTTGGTTTTTGTACCACTGTTTCCCTGGGTTGCCTCCCACCAGAGATTCCCTGGGTTCCTGGCTGCAGGCTCTTTCTCTTCAGAGATGTCATCGCCTCAGCTACCATCCTGGGGACATGAAAATTGCAACTTAGGAGGGGTAGTAAGAAAACCTGGGGGCAGAGAAGTAGAAAACAAACAGGCCAGAGTGAAGCTATGGAAATTTCTGGTGGAATTTTTAAAAAATCAGTTGTCTATAGCCTAAAATTTTATTTAGAGATCAAGGAAATAGGAATTACAAAGGGTCTTTTTGTTGAGAAAATTAGACATCTTTTATCAGAACAAAGCCAAATTGCAATGTGCAAGGCTCAAGCCATATGACAATGGGTAGAAGAATAAAGGAGGGAGAGGGGATGAAGACAAGAAGAGGAAACAGCATGTGTAGATTAATCAATAAACAAGTTTTGGTGCTTTATTGCACAGTAGGATGACTATGGCTAACAATATTATATTTTATATTTATAAATAGCTAGAAGAGAGAATTTTGAATGTTCTCACCATAAAGAAATGATAAATGTATGAGGCGATAGATATGCTCAATACTCTGACTTGATAATTATACAACGTATATACATGTACTAAAACATCACACCATGCTCCATAAATATATACAATTATCATGTATCAATTTAAAAATTTAAGTTTTAAAAGAATGTCAGGGAATAAAAGAAGGGAGTAAAACAGAAGCTAAGTCCATTGTATTCCAATATTTACATCTTTAATGAAAATTGTTAAATAAAACATAAAGCAAAACATTCAGTGAAAAGAATTTAAGGTTAAGATCCTTTCATTTCACTGGATTGGCTACTATAAAGAAAAACTAGTCAGGGTGTTTTCAAACATCTTTCTTCAATTTTTTTGTTTGTTTTTGTTTAGCACGAGAAAGAAAGCTCCCCATTTACTAAACCTGATGAGGGATGGGTTTTAAAATTTGGATACATGTTATATTGTATCATACACATGTTTTTATTAAATAATAGGGTATATCCTGACACCACAATATATTCTCAGAGCAGTTCAGGTCAATCGAGTTTAATAAATACATATTGATTATCTATTGAGAGATCATTTTTATGCTAGGTATTGGTGATCCAAACAGGGATAGCTAAAGTCTTAAAAACATAACCTACATAATCTGAAAATTGTAATAGAATGTGGTAGGAGCTAAGATAGTGGTAGGTACAGTGAGCATTGGCAACACTTAATCCAACCTAATGTCCCTTTTTTAGGCAAGAGGTATACTGAAGCCCATCTTGAAGGATCAATAAATATTAGCCAGAAAAAGCAGAGAGAGGGAATTGAAGACAGGGAATAAAGTAAGGAAAAGTTAAAGATCTATTACAGAGCATGATACATAAATGGCATTATAAACAGCAGTTTGATTTACCGAGGCATAATGTACAAATCATGGGAGGAATGGCTGAAGAAGATGAAACCACGTTTATGAAGAACCTTGTATGTCATTATAAATAAATAAACTTTATATGGTAAATAATGGTCATTATTAAAGATTTTAAAGCACCGAAGTAGCATGGTCAGAGTTGCATTCTTAGAAGACCACTCCTGCTGCAATGAAGAGAAGGCAAAACTGAGGAAATGGAAAGAAGATAGGAAGATAGTATAATAACCTGGAGATGAGACGATGAAGGCCTGATGGGGCCATATAATAGAAATGGAAATAGACAAAGAATTCAAGACCTACTCAGACAGTGGAAGAAGTCAACAGCGTTTGGTGCTGGATTGCAGGTGATTGGTGAGTGCAGAAGTCTAAGAAAACTCACAGGTGTCTGGTGTTAGTGACTTGGTGGATAATAGTGCCATGAATTCATATAGTATAACAGGAAATGAAATAAATGTGAATGGAGGTGAAAGGCAGATGATGGTGAATTTAATGCAGACCCATTAAGTTTGAGATAACTGGAAATTTCATGATTTGTCTAGTGGGCCTTTGGATTTACAAATCTTAAACTGATCTGAGAGGATGTAGAAGTTATCACCATTTTAATGTTACTCGAAACCATGAGACTGGATAAGAACGCTCTATTAATACAGAATAAATTTATGTCGTTCACATTCACCATTCAAAATGCCCTTTGAGTTCTTTCTTCTTTCACAACTGTGCTTCATTTTAAAATACATGCACACTTTTGATATCACATTTGAAGGTATCTCTCTAAAATTGACCTCATTGGTTTCGTTCTCAGCAAATTGACCTGGGCCACTCAACATGGCTTTTATCGTGCCTGATGTTAATGCATGTTCTCCTTTTACAATAAATTCATGGCCATCAGATGATATCAATTTGACATACATGGCACCAGGGCCTTCACATCCACCACAGGTTTTCTCCTCTCTATCCATTTTGTTCTTACGAAATTCTATTTCGCTTCCCCAGGAAGTTTAGTAGTTGCTCGCCACCCCCGCAGCCATTGCAGCCGGGTCCCCGTGTACCGCCGCAGCCCGTATTGCAGGGCTGCCCCCCACCACCCTCTACGCTTCATTTTCATGGGATTTTACCTGTCTGACGATTTTGTGGTCTAGGAGTGCCGCCATTTTGATGTAACTAGAGAATCGGAAACTCTTGCATAGGAACCCTATCTGTCCATGGTTTCCAATTTCCTGTTCTCACCAACATGTTTGCTAACTTAACCAGCTTCGAGTTAGCTTCTCCAAAAGTAGGTATACTTTTCTGCGCTTCTTCTATAGTGAGGGCTACCATGCCACCCACTACCAATAGGGTGCTTTTGAAAGCATGCTCCCAACGCCTGGGTAAGCTGTCTGTATTAGTTTCCTGTGGCTGCTGATACAAATTACTACAGACTTGATGGCTTAAAACAACACAAATTTTTTAATCTTATAGCTCTGGAGGTCAGTCTAAAACCAGTTTAACTGGGCTAAAATCAAGATGTTAGTAGACCGGTGTTCCATTTGGAAGACTCTAGAGGAGAATCCTTTTTTCACTTTTTCTAGTTTCCAGAGATCACCTATAGTCTTTTATTGATGACCACCTTCCTCCATCTTCAAAGTGCATGATTTCAACCTCTGTTTCCATCATCCCATCTTTTTCTTCTGCCTTTGACTTTCTTGACTCCTTCCTATAAGTACCTTATGTTTACAATTGGGCCAACTAGGGTAACCCGGAAGCCCAATCACTGGTAAGGCACCAATCACTGGTTCCAAGGATTAGAACTTGGACATCTTTTCATGGCCATTATTCAGTGATGAAATGAGCCCAGATGACAAGCTCTGGCTTGCAGTAGTGCTTACAGGTGCTATGAGAATACAAATAAGGTAACCAGCCATAGGATATTTAAACAACATTTAAAAATCTCTTAACTAAAAACAAGCATACGAATAACAACAACGAAAAGAAGTGCTATCAGTTTTCCTTACACAATATCATTGTTTGTTTTCAAGTAACTATAAGAATTAGAATATAAATTTCATGGCCAAAGTACCAGATGTATATCATTTTTAAAAAATCTCAGCATCAAATCCTCCTTATTCATCACTCTCTGATTTTATTTTGAGGAATTACCTATCTTCAATTATGTATTCTTGTGGAAGTGTCATAAATCCAGGTGCCCACCCTCCATCCTGAAAGTCGAGAAATCAAACGTTTCTTCTTCCTGTCCTGGTATATATAGCCAGGGAGTCAGTGCCTCCATGAAGTTTGGCCAAGCAAATAAATACTCAACCCTGTGATTTTGAATCTTGATTCAGTAATGGAAGGTGAGAAAAATTTGGTATTTTCTCAAGTAGACTGTGCAGCACCAAACCAAACTGCTGTCTTTCCTGCTTCCTAGCCCATCGGTATTGCCTCAAATCCTGACTGTTTCCAAGACTGCTTTCCAGTCCTCTCTTTAATTCTGGAAGCTTTCAATATTTTTCTAATAAATTATTTTCACTTAAGTTAGCCAACTTTGGTTTCTGTCACCTACAGTCAGAAAAACCTAATAATAGCAATGTTACATCGATATTATTGTTGCTGGGTTAAATCTACCATAACAATTTTGTAAGAAAATTGATTTTCCACTTCAAGTAATTTTATTCACTGAATTCATCTAATTTGAGTTAGGGCCTGACAATGATACTGACCTTCTTATTTATGTGATGTCATTGGAAGAATCTATGGATTAAACGTGGTTAGATACCAGGATTAAGCTCTAGTATTCAATAGTACAGCAGAGGAACTATATAGTTTAATTTATTGTATATTTCAAAATAGCTAGAAGAGAAGAATTCTAATGTTCCCAATACGAAGAAAAGATAAATGAGGTGAGGGATATCCCAATTACCCTGATTTGATCATTATGCATTGTATATATATACCAAATTATTGTATCTACCTGCAAAATATGTGCAACTGTGATATATCAATTTAAAAATTAGAAAAGAAAATCTATTAATTAAACATATTTACAAATCTGGAAAGGCAAATTTTCCAAATTATGAAGGCTATTATCACATATCAGTATTTTGCCTTTTCAGGGAATCCGATTTGAAGTGTCCCTATAATAATTCTTTTTTTTTTTTTTTTTTGAGAGTCTCGCTCTGTCACCCCGGCTGGAGTGCAGTGGTGTGATCTCGGCTCACTGCAATCTCCACCTCCCGGGTTCAAGTGATTCTTATGTCTCAGCCTCCAGAGTAGCTGGGATTACAGGCGCCCACCACCAACCCAGCTAACTTTTGAATTTTTAGTAGAGATGGGTTTTCACCATGTTGGCCAGGCTGGTCTTGAACTCCTGACCTCAAGTGATCTGCCCATCTCGGCCTCCCAAAGTGCCAGGATTAGAGGTGTGAGCCACTGAGCTGGGCCCCTATAGTAATTCTTGAATTGTCTGAGAATATCTTTTAGATCATTGCTAAAGCGTCGGTGCTCATGATATTACAATGCTGAGAATTTACCTCCATTTAGTGGTTTCAGTAATTGTTATTTTCTTTAATGGAAAATCACTCAGTGAAATTGCAGGAAAGAGGTTATTTATCTGAGTCATATTTTTATGAAAACTGTTTTTCACTTCCTTGCATTTTTAGAAGTGTTGTCTTTAAAAGGATATTCTATTAATATTTATAATTAGACATCACACAAAACAGATGCTAAATCTTATGCTATAACTTCTGGATAAAATTACATAAAGATTATGTACTTTTTGGCATAATATTCCCTCAGGAAGCTGTAGAACAAAGGACATTCTCCATGAAGATGCCATTTCTTTTTTTAATAGAAGGAAATAATAAGGCAGTGATTAACCACGATTATTTTAACTACTGTAACGTTTGCAATTAAGTGGGCAGCGCAGGAGCTCAATAAATACTTAATTGATTTACTTTTTTCTCTCCTTGACCCACATCGCAATTCACCCACTCACGCCGCTATCCCTATTCTAACTTTGAAACCAAGTGGATTCTCTCTGTTTTCAGTTTGTGGAAGCGTGGTGCTCAGCCTGTGTGGAGGGGCCTGGCTTCCAAGTGTACTTGGGGTGGAACCTGGGGACTTTACCGAGGGCACAGGTCAGGAGATGAGATTCGTTTCGCTTTTTGAATTACCTTTTGGCCTGTACCAAGATGAACTGGTGGGATATATAGTGTCATCGAACCCGGGAGAGTTGTTGTGGAGGTGAGGAAACAGCTCTGAGGGATAACGGTTTGAAAGTAGTGGCGCTGGGGACGAACATGGGTCCCTGCGAGTCTGAGACTCTCTATTGCCCCCATCTCCTTGCTGCCGATTACTTCTTCAAAAATTCTCCTAGGGACCCTGAGGAGGGACGGGAGAGGTCAGCAAACCCTCTGTCCACCAACTTGATTTCCTGTGATACAAAGTGTCATGAGTTCTCCTGCTTTCCTCCCTTAAAAAAGACAAGATTAGGAACAACGGCTGGCAAGAGAGGAGGGGAAAGCTTAATTCTCCACAGATGCTGCGCAAGGGAACCAATGGGTCACGCCCACTCACGGGTGGCCGCCTCTCTGTTCCATCCCGGGGATGTTGGGCTTTCCCCTCGGTCCGGGGCGAGCGCACTTCCCACCCGGAGACTGAGCGGGCAGCACTCGCAGGCCAGGAGCGCGTTCCGGGAGGCGCCGGCGCCTCCCCGCGGCCTGGGCGCACGTGCCTGGGCTGGGGCCGGAGCCCGCGGTCGCGCCGCGCCGTAGTAGCTGGGGCGGGTGGGAGCGGCTGGCTCCGGGCCGCGGCCGCCGCCCGCCCGCCGGCTCCGGTGGTTGGGCGGAGGAAGCGCGGGACTCCTCCTCCCCACCGTATTAACATGCACCCAGGGGCGGGTCACCAGCCCAGCCTTGCAGCCCCAGCCCGCCGCGTCCCGGCGCTCAGCCTCCGCTCCAGAGGCGAGCGCTGCGCTTCGGGCGCCGCAATCTCCAGGACACGGCCTCGCGGACACCTTCCGCCTCGGGGAATCGGCAGCATAGGCGGCGCGAACGGCCGCCGCCGCCTCGGCTCCTCTCTCGAGTCCTTCCCGTCACCTCGCTGAGAGCCGGTCCTGGTCGCGGGGACATCTCTCTCCTTCCTCCGAGGCTCGTGGGACCAACGGACGGACGCAGCCAGCGAGGGCCGGACTGCGGGACGCGGCCAGGTAACGCCGGGCTGCGCCGCGGGGCTGGGGCGTGCGCGGCGGCGGCGGTCGCGGCGCGCTGGGTGGCTCCTGGCTGCTGCCTGCCGCGCGGTCGCCGCTTCCCTCGCCCGCGGAGGGGCTGCGGGCTGGGCTCCCCCGGCCGCTGGCTCGAGAGTCCGCGCTCCTTACCCTTTCAGCCGCCCGGGGTGCACTCCCGGGCCCTCCGGGTAACCTGGGATCTCGGGGGCGAGCGCGTCCTCTCCGGCCATGCGGTCCTCGCGGCTCCCCACGGGGACCCAGGCAGGGGAAGGATTTCTAATTGCGACAGGGTCCCGGAAGGGGGAGGGGAGGAGAACACCGGTCCCCTGTCCCGGTCATGTCCACCGGTCAAATTCGCACCCCCACCCCACCCCCGATGCACCTTGCAGGGGAGGAGGGGGCTGCTCCCCGCAGGGCTTTCTCGGCAGGCTCCTGGGTCGTTTGCAAAGCAAGTTGTTGCACTAGCTTTTTGGGTGACATTTTGGCATTGTGGAAAAGGACCAACTCCCCCGTGCGTTTGTAAGAGAAAGCCAAAGAAACAGAGACACAAAGACAGGCACAGAGAGAGAGAGAGAGAGAGAAATGGGGTCCAAGGAGGAGGTCACTGGAGAGTCGCCCCCTGCCCGCGGCCAAGGCCAATTCCCGGAGAATCGCGGGGCGGGCCGGGAGACCCGACATTCAGCGAATTGAATGAGCCGGGCTGGAACCAAGGCCAAACAGGGACCTCTCCTCTGGGCTGGGCGAGATAACACATTGCACTTTCATTGAGGGGCGGCTGCAGCTGGGAGAGGCACCTTCGGAGGGCCCGCGGCGATGAAGACCCTGCTTTCAGGACTTCGGCTGCTGCGCTTTTTGCGGAAGGCGCGCTGTCCCGGCCTCGCTGGGTGGCACCGGGAGGCCGTGGGAAGGGGTGGCCCGTGGCTCGGCTGCCGGCGCCGGAGACACTGAGTGCCTGTGTCCGAGTGCCGCGCTCGCCCCCGGCTGCAGGGCTTGCCTCCAGCCCGACCGTAGCGCTGCGGAATTTTCTGCTAGAGAAGGGGAGGATGTGCGGAGGGCAAGGGGTTAAAGGTAGCCAGGCGGCAAGCAGTGGGACGCTGGGTGGGAGATGTCACGTCTTTTGTGGATCCAGGCGAGACTCTTCACTCCTTACTCCTGACACAGAGACTGACTCCCGGTCGTGGGAGGTGAATGCTCCCTGCCTCCTTCCATAACACGTGAAGTTAGGGAATTACGAGGAAAGACATATAATAAAAGTACCAATTAAAGACAGATCTTTTAGCTTTTGTGGTCTTCGTGAATGGCTTCGTAGAAGGTGAGGATAGATCAGTCTAAGATGTGGTTAGACATGGAGATGAGAAATGCTGAGAACTAGGAAAGCGATTTTAGGTCCTAAGGCAAACATCCTGCAAATTATTTTTTACCCTGAAAGAGCTGTTCTAAAAAGAACAGCCCTTTGACTGTTATTTATAGCACGATTTCAGTTCAGGAAACGACTTTCTATTGGCCTAGGTCATTTTGCATATAAAGCAATACTTTTTATTCCTTGAATAAAACTTGAACGGAAATGACATGGAGGCAAGAAATTTTACAAGATCCTAATTTATTTCATGCCAGAAGAATATAAAGTTTTCTTTAAGTTTTTAAAAGGAAATTCAAGCCTATAAAGAAATAATGAATATGTCTATGCAAAATGTATGATTTTAAAAAGTTTAAGTTATAAACGCTACCCTTGGTTCAGAAAATTCATACTCTGGCATGAAACAAGAAAGTTCATAGAAGTCAGGTGTCAGTAGCCCTGTTCTTAATTTCCTTTAGATTTAGTACTTAAATGTAAAGTTGTTTCAGTTGGTTAGTGCCTTGCAATACCCCTAGTCGCAGATATAAAATTCTGTGAATTTTTAAAAAACTAATTTACTTAAGAGAAAATGTTAGTTACCTTGTGTGAGTAAAGAAGAATGTACTTGCATACATAGATTTTTTTAAATTTATAGCTATCTATTTCTCTATATTTCATTCTAAGATTAGTCTGCAAATACAATACTTTATCTCAAACATTACAGGCAATATAAATATGGGCAAAAGGAACTGGTTAACATTCTTTTAAATATGTCAAAATAATTTTCTGACAAGGCTTCTTAAATCTCACACAAGCAATTGTGCTTTGGGGAAATAATGAGTATATGAGTTTTCCCTAGGAGGGAATTTTCATGGTTTAGCATCTTTAATTTCTCCATCAACATAAGCTTTGTTCTGCCAGGACTAAAAACCCAGTAAAAGCATATTAGCGATTAGTGAAAGCAAATGGAGACAAGACCTTCCTTCCAAAATATTATGTAGCGCATATAGAGAAATAGCCTAAAACTAATTGTAGTGTTCTACTTTTTAAATCCTTCTAAGCTTAAGTGTCCTATTCAACCCAATTTGGGAATAGAAACTGCATGCACTTTGAGTTAACTCTATTAAATATGTGTGCCTTTGTTCCATATAGCCATTTAGATTGATTTTTTTTAAATATAAAATTAAAACTTGGAAGAGGGGGACTTGTTTTACAAAGTACTCATTTTAGTGAATATGAGCAATATTCACTAATATGCAGCAAAGTAATAGTTTCATCTACAACTTAATCGAGATGAATACCATATTCTTTGAACATCAACTCTTTCAGAAACAAAGAATTCAGTGTTTTGATTCTGATCTCGTAATATTTCAAATTCAGAGATAATAGTAAAATGTTATCTAATGTGTATTTCTATAGTGAAATTTCTATGATCAGCTCAAATTCATGTTACCTTCATGACCATTCCCACAAATTGCTCCACTGTTTATCAGAGGAGAGGAAATTGGTTTCCTCTCAGGAAGCATCCAATTAAAATCTACTTTTATGTAGATTTCATCTCTATAGAAATCACACTTACCTCTCTTTTCTTAAATTAAGAAAATGATACAATTTTAGGTTATTTTGTTTATTTTCTCTTTTTCCATTGGTAATTATATTTCCCCTGGTACAGGAACACCATTGAAATAAGAAGGCTAAAAAGACTCTTGAAAAACCTAAACACGTTTCCCCAATCCTCACTTCTCATAGTTATAATCTATGCCTATGTCTGTGGTATGTTGGTCTTTTGTACATTTTTTTTATTTTAAAGAAACACTATCACAAAAAGATACTTTGCTAGCATTGTAGAAAAATCTTTATGTTGTTGTTGAAACACCTGAATGTTCAAAAACATCCCATATCTTGAGCTGTTTTATTTCCTAAGATCCTAAGTGCTACTAGTTCTCTATTTTCAGAGAGGAATAACTACAGTGTCCCTCAAAAGATGTTTTTTCTTTCTTTTTTCCGAAGCATGAGAATTTGTAGCTCGATTCTTGTTACTGCCCGATGAAGGTGACTTTCTCTAGTTGTGTGGTCTATCAGGAATTGCCAAAGATGCTGTTCCTAGGAAGATCTAAAACATTGCATTACCACAGAGGAGGATTTAGAAATAGTCTTCTGACATTCATTTTAATCTATTAGACACCCACAGATAACCGATTGTATGAGATACCAGGTACCAGTTCTTTTGCTTCTAAGATGTAACTATTTAGCTTATACAATGCTGTATACTGTATATTTGCTACACCTTTCCCTGTAACCCTGCCAAACACACACCTACAGAGCAAAACATGTGATTGAGAACAAGAAAAAAATGAGGTGTGATTATAAGGCAGTTAAAAAGGTGAATGACATCCCTTTGAGGTCTTCTGTTCTTTAGTCTGATTGTACAGAGGTTGGTATTGCACAGGAGCCGTGTTGACCCAACCATTTCCCATCCTTCTCTCTAGTAAATGGTAGGGGACAGATAGCTGTTGTATAAGTGAGAAACAGGGTTATCTTCATCCATTATTGACTTAAGATTTTTCCTGGTTGCTTTATTATTTTCTCCCTCCTATAGGAGTTAATGATTACTGGGCAGCAAGTAACATCCCACTTAGGAAAACCAGCTCATGCAAAAGGAAGCCCTGTGGATCTATATCCACAGATATTTGGCTCAGATCCTTGGACTTTTTCTTGGATAGACAACCAGCATAGCTGGGATGTGATTGTCCCACTGGATATCTAATTGTGAACTAGATATCAGTGTTCTGAATATGTTATGAAGATGCAAACCACCTTCCTCCCTCTCCCTAGGATTTGCCAGCAACCAAACTGTTCATTTTCATATTCACTTATCATGGTTTGCTCATCTGTTGCCATTGACAATTTCTCTGTCTTCTCTCAATGTTTTCTTATCAGATTTGTAAGCAACAGCACAACAGCAAACCACAAAGTGTGTGATTTGGAACTGCTCAATCTTGCCAGGTTTTCTTAATATTCAGCAGAGTTGTGGTCTTACTGAAGCCATGGATAAGCATTTGGATGAGGAGACATTGTGCTGTGACTTGCTTATCTCCCTAGCCTTGCATCTGAATCTCTGCACTAGGAGGGCTCAGAGACATTTAAATGGCTCCCTCAGGCGGCTTGTGGGAAGGTCTCTCTGGGCACATTTCCAGCTTTGCTGCTTTACTCTGGTGACACGGTTTTAGCTAATTTGAAAACATCTGCTAGAGTAACTTGCTGTTTTAATTCTACTACTGGAGAACATCTGAGTATGTGATAGGAGGACTGGCACTAACCCTCATTCTAACCTCATGATTACACCCTTTCCCTGGATACCCCTTCTTTCTTGGTTTCAATTTCAGTAGAAATCAGTGTGGAGTCTATTTCTGGACTGCAAATTTCCCTGCTAGATATCACTAAGATTTCTTTACAAAACACATGCTGCAGTTTCAGAGGAAAATGGCATTTTGATCTTGTCTCAGACTTTGCAAACAACCATTCTTTGATATGATTCATCATACTATACTAGCAAAAAGACAAGGCACATTCACTCTCTTCAAAGCTATTTTCGTGTAGACATTAACCCAGAAGGCAAAGTCACCTTTTCATCCTTTCAAATTAGGATGTGCTTTCCGTTTAGAGTTTGGGAGGGTCAGCAGGGGAATCTTGAAGTGGTAATGCATTTGGAAGTCTTTCCTGTGAATCCTTGCCTAGGTAGTTCAGATAAGACTCACTTGATTCTAGAGCTTCTATGGAGCAGGCTAAGAAATCTTTCCCCCTCTCCTTGGAATGCTGTTTCTTACATTGTTCCCTCTTTCCTGGACTTCAGCTGAAAAGTCATTTAATCAGGGAAGGTCTCCAGCTGAATGCTGTTTTAGCACTTTATTCCTTTTTCATGGTCCTTTTACGGTCAATAATGATGTGTTGACTTGTGAGTGTCAGATTGCTTTCCCCACTGAACTGTGCATTCCGTGAGATCAAGAACTAAATATAGAATGTTCACCAAATATCACTGATGCCTAGCACAGCACCTGGCACTTAATAAATGGTGGGTAAACATTGGTTGAGTGAATGAATAAACAAGTGAATG
This sequence comes from Homo sapiens, assembly GCF_000001405.40. Lineage (NCBI taxonomy): Eukaryota > Metazoa > Chordata > Mammalia > Primates > Hominidae > Homo > Homo sapiens. The sequence continues at coordinate 4,449,537 of NC_000018.10, read as the reverse complement.
CACATCTGTATTCTTAGTGCATAAGGGCCATAACTCTGAGGATGGTGTTACACAGCTTTTGCATGGCACTTCTTTGCAATGTCAGATGCTGTGTTCTTTGGTCCTAAGTTTACTCTGTTAATACCTGGTAAACACTGAGCTGATCCCAGCCTGAATATAAGGTGATGGGCTACGCAGTGCTACATTTCCCAACTAGGCAACATGCACTCTGCTGGCAAGCAGAGGTAAGGTTTTGAAATACAATAAGGATTTTAAAAAGGAAGCAAAGAAAAAACAAACTCCTGTTCCCTCTTCTTCCTCCTCCTTCTTATTCAAAATTAACATATTAGTAGATTAATTGTCTTACTTTATTCTGACCCTTTAAGGCTTAGCATAAACTTCTTTCCTACCCCTCACCTCTTACATTGAGTTCTCCTTTTTGTGTCTCCATTGAGTCTGATACGTAATTATAACCTAGTTTTGTTTTTCATTTTCTGCGTATATGCCTGTCTCCCTCTAGGAGACCAGAAGCTCAAGGGAGACCAGAGACAGTGGCCCCTATGTGGTTTGTAAGTGGAAGAAAGCAAAAGTTCACCAAGGACTCAAAGAATAAATCAGATCACAGGGATGAGGTGGAAAGTGTTGTGGGAGGCAGAGAAGCAGCTACAACTGCCTTTCTTGCTTGAGGCTGATCTCTATGTAGGTACGTAGATGTGGGTTGGCTCTCACAGGGGAGACTGGAATCTAACATCTTTACTGATGTGGAATCACAGCCTTCTAGGTATTTTCATGAATTTTTTATACTAGTTTTGTTTCTGGCCAGACATGTAGTGTATTCTGTTCTACTATCTGCTTCTGAACTACTGGAATGATGTGGTGAGGTGGGCCAGCCTTGGGGATATGTTAACCTTCCATGTGGCACCCTGCTGTAGATACCACATCTACCATTCAGCTTCGAATGGCCTGTGAGGAATGGTGAGACAGAATGCGAACATGCACCATGTTTTTATAAACTATGGTGCATAATAATTCCTCTAGATTTGCATGTGCTTTATAGATAATTGAAAACACTCTGCTTTGATGATATGAATCCTAAGGGATCTTGATGATAGATGTCAGGTATTTTGGTAGGTATATATCCAGCCTTTCCAAGTATGGGCAAACAAAAAATATTTGTAACATCTCCTGGGTACTTATTACTGTGAAGAATATAGAAGAGCAAGACCTAGTTAAACTCCTTGGGTAGCTTGAAATGTAATACAAAGAATACGATTAAAATGTAGGAAATAATTAGTAATAATGGGTTACAGAATGAAACTGGTGCTCAAATGTACTTATTTTGGGCTTTTCTGTAGGAGTAGGGGCTCAACAGAGAATGAGATCATTTTGGAATGCTTCCAATAGGGAAGATCTGAAGCTAGATTTTCATGGATTTGTAAGACTTACATAGGAAGAAGGACCGACTTTCAGATAGAGAAAACATTTGCATAGACGTGGAGGTGCAAATGAACTTGGCATGTTCCTGGTCCAGAAGATGGTTCTCTCCTCCAGTTCCTCCACTTTAATTAGACCTGAAGATGAATTTGATTGAGAGGGTCATTAATGGCTATACAAGAATGTTTAGATTTGATAGGAACCACTGACAGATTCTGAATAGGCAGTGACGTGAAGAAGTGGCCTCTTGGACTGATAGGAGTAGATGGGTCTAACACCAGACTGGGACAGAGAGAAGCATGAAGAGGCTGTTTTAGTGAGGCTTACATTATTGGGAATCAAGTCCAGGGAAGTAGAAATGGGAGTAAATATTTTGAAAAATTTTCAAGCAATATTTGACTCTTTCCTTTCTCTTTTACTCTGTACCTGTGTCACACATTCTTTTTAATTCTTTATTATTCATTAAAAATTCCTGTGAAATATTTCAGGAACACCAAAAATTAAATAATATTATAAACCCCTTTGTGTCCACCACCCAGATGGTGAAATAAATCATTGCATACACTGTTGAGACTTCAGTGTACTCTTCATGTCTTCCCTCAGAGGGACTCAGCCCACTGAGTTTTGTGTTTATTGTTCTTATGCATGCATTTCCTTATTCTTTGCTATGTATGTATGTGTACCTAAGCAATATAGTCTTGTTTTGCTTTTTTAGACTATTTATAAGTAGTAATAATGCTCTTGTAGTCTTCTTTACCTTACTGTAATTGTTCAGTATTTTGATGACATGTAGATCTGATTTATTCATTTTTACTGATATATGGTATTCCATTGTAGAACTGTATCATGATAAAGGTATCAATCTTTGTTGATGGACATTTAAGATGTTTCCAAATAAGGCTGATGTGAACATTCACGTGTACATCACCTTGTGCTAACAAAGGGGACTCTGATTAGGGTGGAGGGGGATTGCAGTAGGGTAATAGTCGTATCTTCACATCTAGCAGATAATGCAAATTACCAAAAATGGTTGTACCTATTTATGATCCCAACAGCAATCTATAAGAACACCTTTTGTTTTATATCCTTGTCAACACTTGGTGATACATTTTATTTTTGGCCAATCTTATGGATATGAAATGATATCTCATTGTAGTTTTAATTTGTTCTTCCATGTCTCCTGGTAATGTTGATGATTTATTCCCTCTCTTTATTAATATTCTAGTTGCTGTGGATTCCTTATTCATACATGTTCCCCACTCTCCTACTTCTTTTTGTTAAACTTATTGATTTGTAAGAGCTGTTTATATATTCTGGATACCAGAGTTTTGTTCTGTAATAGGCATTTCAGTTATCTCCACTCAGTTGGTGGCTTGTCTTCTCATTTTTATGATGTCTCTGGATGAAAAGATTATGTTTAAATTTAAAATAGTTGCATTTTAAATTCTCTTTATGGTACCAATAAGATATGTTTGAGAAATGTTTTCCAATTCTGAAATGACAAAGATATTATTATTTAGTTCTTCAAGACTTTTATATCCATAGTTATTTTATAAAGCCTTTAATTACATTCTAAATTTAGGCAAAACACCCATCTTCTCTTAGTCTTAATTTCTTACTCATTACGTTAGAGAGCAAGGTGGTTGTACTGTATGAGTTCTGCTGCTGCTGCTGCTGCTGCTGCTTGACTTCACAACTTCATCATTTTATGCCTGGAATACATAGCAGCTTCTTAATGGGATGTCTAATCTCTAGGATCTGATTAAACTCACATCAAAATTTACTTTTCTAAAATGCTCTTGAGGTCATCATGAAACTCCTCAAACTTTGTCCTGGAGCCCCCCAAAAGAGCAACAATCCCATTCGCTAGTATTCCCCTGCCTACTCCAGACCCGAGTATGCCTAGAACGTGGTTGGCCTTCAGATGTGTCAGTGGGACGAGTGTGTGAAGACACAATTGGTTCTCATCATTGCTTACCCTCATTTCCTAATAATCTCTTGCATCAGCCTCCACCATGACCACTCCTGTTTGTCAGGGCTCTGCTGTTCCAGCTATTTTTCCTCTTTGTTTATTTGCATGTACTCAAGCTCCATCTACTTGATGAATTGTTAACAGTGGCTGCTCCTAGAGACTAGGACAAGGAGCCTCAGGGGTTTTCTTTCCCTTTCTGTCCTTCTATCTAGTTGACTGTTTTACCAGGAGGAAGGATTTCTTTTAAAATAATTGTTTTAATGTCCTTTGTATCCTTCAAGGCCCAGCCAAATCTCACCTCTCACAGCACACATTTTATGACTACTCAGCTGAGGGTAAACTCTTCTCTGAATTCCAGTTGCATTTATCTGGATTACTTACTTTATTATAATATTCACATTTTTAACATTTTATGTGAATATTCTGAGATTTTAAGCTCTTTTAAGTAGTGAATTAGCTGATGTTTTTTGCATGTCTCATAGGCTTGAGCCCAGTAGCTAGTAGAGTGACTTTTCAAGGGGTAGCAGCTGCTTTCTTGATGATTGGCATGGATGAAATTGGAAATCATCATTCTCAGTAAACTATCGCAAGAACAAAAAACCAAACACCGCATATTCTCACTCATAGGTGGGAATTGAACATTGAGATCACATGGACACAGGAAGGGGAATATCATACTCTGGGGACTGTGGTGGGGTGGGGGGAGGGGGGAGGGATAGCATTGGGAGATATACCTAATGCTAGATGACGAGTTAGTGGGTGCAGCGCACCAGCATGGCACATGTATACGTATGTAACTAACCTGCATAAGGTGCACATGTACCCTAAAACTTAAAGTATAATAAAAAAAAAAAGATGATTGGTAATTAGTTATTAGAGAGGGAATAGGGTGAATAGAGATTTGGAGTGTAAAGATATTGGGAGTAGTGACATTACTGGAACATCTAAGCATTTGGAATAGGGAACTGATTTGTAGTAATTGAGCTATATTTTGGTTATATTGATTTTTGAGATGATATTGGACATAGCCCATAAGCAACTTGGAAAATATTAAACTCGAATTTATGAAATGATAACATTTGAGGTGCTAATTAAGGAGTTACCTGTTGGAAGATAGTCAACAGATTCATGATACTAGTAGTTGCTTCTGTGTTCCAGATGGGAAGTGTTACTGCCTTCACAATCCAGATTCTACTATCATGATTCATCTAACTAGCTAGACGACTTTGGACAAATTAATTTTACTGAGTCCAGTTTTCTCATCTGAAAAATAAGGATAATTCGTCTTACATATCAAAGTTTTTGAAAGGCTTAAATGAGTCACCTTATGTGAAGTATCTAGTTCAAAGTTGGGTTCATGGTGAGCAATTAGTAAGTGCTATTAACCATACTGTATATTTTTTTTCTGCAAAAACCGATCTGCCAACCATCTTTTTACATCAAAGTACTACCAAGTAAAGAATTTAAAAATTACTTGTCTAGTCATGATATATTTTTCTGCTGCTGCTGAAAAATCCCTGTCTTATTATTTCATGTTCCTTTATCATTCATTTGATGACACTGACAGCAACTTGCTGAACAAGTTTAAGAATAGCTGATATTTACTGAGCAACCTGGACTTTGTACTCATGCAGGATACAGCTCTCAGTATTGCACTGCATGTAGGCTGTATGTGCTGTTCCTATAATGAGTAGAGGCTCATAGTCCCTCAGCCCAGTCCTGCCTGATATGGCACCATATGCTGTGAGGAGATTACAAAGGAAGTCAAAATCATGACTCTCTCCCCAAGGAAGATTTAATTGTGTTGATGAGAAGATATTCTCATGAAACAATTCAGTGCATCTATAGCAACATTCAAAATGTAAGTTTTAATTTACTGTGCTCAGAATACATATTTCTTAAGGTGAGATGGGATATGGGGAAAAAAATGAAGAGGCAACACTGAAAAGCAGTCATGCCCTGATCCTTAAAGAGGAGCGTCTCCCTCGTGGTCACAGTGGGCTCTAAGTTAGCTGCACACCGGCAGGTGGAGTGCACCTGTCTTCCAATTGCATTCACCTTCTCTGCCATCTGGGGCTTATCTTCTGCCTCTCTATTGTGTGTGTTCGGTTAACCCAGTTTCTTTCCTTAGAAGAAGGGATCAGTAGCTGAGCACATGTGCAAAACATAACTGGAACACTTTACTGATTGATTAGGTGGGAACATTCCACTGGTTTTCACTAAGGGAAAGGTTTCTGGGCAGTTATATCCAAGTAATTTGGGTTTTGTAGTTTTCTTTATTGTTACGGTAACACAGTATTTCACATCTTGTGGTTTAGGTTTAAAACCTAGAATAAAAGACAGAAAGCTTTTTCTCATGTCTTTATTTTCTTACGGATCCCTTTTGGGTAGCCATATTGGCATATCTAAAGTGACTTGAGTTGCTCCGAAGAGAGCTGATAAACACACACTTAATACAATTTAAATATCGGCAATACCAATTTACAGATAGGTTGTGTTCCAAAGGTGTATTTGTTAACTGAATACGTTTGGACACTGAACAGTATTTTCCCATGGAAATTGTGCTACACGGTAGTGACTGGCTTCTAACTTAATGACTTCTAGAGTCTTTTGACCCATTTTCTGTAAACTAAATAGTATTACTCTAATGAAAACCATGTTTAGGACCCTATATTTATGAAAAAATGAATTCTAAATTTTAACCAGGAACACATGCCATCCCTTCTGCTGCAGAAACAGAACTCCCTGGCTCTGCCAATGGTTGGTGCTAGATGATGCTCAGCCATCAGCAGCTCCTCCTGCATGAGTGTGCCTTGATCCAGGAACAGAACTGGTGAGGGGAAGTGGGAGCAAACAGAGCTTATTCATGGCCACTAATAATTGCTAAGTAGCTACATTTATGTAAACTTCCCTTTATTTGACTACTGGAACAAAGGAAGGAAAGGATAGTTCAGTTGTCCTTCTGTTCAGTTATCCTTATGTTCTGCATTGAGAACCAAGATATGTAGACTATTTATAAATCAGATTTCATTAAGTTAGGAGTTATAGACAGAAATGTATTCTTTTCAACTTTGGCAGTTTTTGACAAATTTTTCTATGTATTTCACATTCTGAAGATGTCCGCTATTGGAGAATGGCCATTGTCAATCCATTCATTCATTCCTTCACTTATTTGTTCAACCAAAACCGATTTATTGAATGACTACTATGTGCCAAGCACTATTCTAGGTGCTTTGAGTTCAGCCCCGAGCAAGAACATCAACAGAAGACAAAGGCATGCCCTTGTGGAGCCATGGAGCATACGTCCCAGTCGGAGAAAATAGAGATAATAAACATAATGCGTTTCTTTTAGAGTGTTAGAAAGGAATAACAGCTATAAATAAAAATAGAACCAGATCAGGAGGATTGAATTACTGTGCTCTGATAGATTCCTGGTATATGAGGACATTAACTTTTTTTTCTTTTTAAATTCAAACCTTCAGCAGAAATATTCTAGCTTTAGGTTTTGAAAAGAGGTGTGAAGCTACTTTTACCACTTTCTCATTCTTTGTCCTTTCTGTTTTAATAGTAGTCAGTATATCTAGTCTATATGTCTAGTACTCTACACATCTATGTAACCCCAGGTAATCTACTGCGTTGCATTATAGATACCTGTTACTGTATTTTGATCTCCCACTAGGTTATTAATTGTAGCATAGGGCGTATTTTCTACAAACTTGTATTTCTGTAATAATGATGCTAGTAGTAATAAATAATAGTGAGTATATTTTTTTGAGTGCTTAGTATACACTAGGCACATTATGTAAATAATCTCATTTTAACCTCATGCTCATCCTATGTAGAAAGTGATTTCAGGGCTGGGCAAAGTGGCTCACGCCTGTAATCCCAGCACTTTGGGAGGCCGAGGTGGGCGGATCATGAAGTCAGGAGTTTGAGACCAGCCTGGCCAATATGGTGAAACCCTCTTTCTACTAAAAATAATAATAATAAAAAAATATCCCGGCATGGTGGCGTGCGCCTGTAATCCCAGCTACTTGGGAGACTGAGGCAGAAGAATTGCTTGAACCCAGGAGATGGAGGTTTCAGTGAGCTGAGATCGCGCCACTGCACTCCAGCCTGGGCGACAGAGTGAGATTCTGTCTCAAAAGAACAAACAAACAAAAAAGTGATATGATGGTTTACAGAATATGTTCTCAGACCACAGACCTACCATGGGTGGAGCTGATAATTGAACGAAGGTCTGTTAGCGCTAGGCTCTATATTCTGCTGATGCCTAACCCAGTGCCTGACAATTGGTTGGCATCCGAGAATCGTAGAGTGAAATGGAAATCAAATAAATTGTTGTATTGCCGAATTGATAACTGTCAGAAATGTATCTCTAGTAGCATGCAAGATATACCCTCCTCTGGTTTTATTTCACTTCACAGCCTAGCTGTCCCAGAAGGTGATTATTTGGAAATTCTTGAAGTGTCACTTCTCTTATTTTTTCCGTAATTCTTTCCTACTGTTGCCATACGTCTTACATGTGGAGATGCAATAGAAATAAAATTGCTTCTGCTAAAATCACAACCTTTTAGTCTGAAGGCAAAGCTGCTTTGTTCTAGAATGCCTGCGGTATTAAGAAATCACCATGTGTCCTTTTATTTTTGAGTTTTACCATGATTTTTACTAGTGCCTACTTCAATGAGTTCTTCCAGGATGCAGGCTATTTTGATGACATCTTAAACAAAGGGAATAAGAATTGTCTTTGCCTTACCTTCCTTTTCCCACCTTTCTCTTCCCACTTGTCAGAGAAATTTTGCATGACAGAGGTGAATCTCTGTGGAACCTTCTAGGGGTGTGACCATCTGCTTGCCCTGGAGAGAATCAGTCTCTTCTTTCCAAGAAACGATCTGTCACTGCTAGAGAAACCTCAGCTCCCTGCTGCCCATTGAGTAATCTATTTGAAAGCATAAATGAACAGATACCTCAAAGAGAAAGAAGCACAAACACAGATGAGGTCTGCAATAAGGACACAATTTAGAGAACGCAATGAACAAGCCTGGCTTTGGTGCCGCTCAGACAAGAACTTTAATAGCAAGGGGTAAAAAAAGATGTTAGAATATCCTTGTGAGATATACCTGAAAGAAAGTTCTCATTGCCTCTTATAATTCTTTGCAATTCAGGCCGATGAAAGTAAAACCTTCAGTCTATTTAAGTAGACATTGTTAAATCAACATTGTTGTACCCTTAGCTCAAAGCAAAATGTTTGAGTCAGTCCACAGAATACTAGAGTGTTGCTATATTTTTGGTTTTAACCTTAATTGTTCAAGAAAGAGGCACGTTAAATATGTAAGCATCCCTGCCTTCTGTAAATAAATATTGGTTGAGGATATTTGGTTCATGTAAATTAACAAAAGCTGAAATGAAGATTAGACACATGTAAAACTGATTGAATAGTGAGTGTCCTTTATAATGTCCTAGCTGTCACACAGATGACACATTTTATAAGTGAAATGGCTTATATCTTTCTTCTCGTGTGTCTATATAGGTTATTTCTGGCACTTTTGTTTGGTTCTGAATTACCTTATGTTCTTGACCTCCCCCCAAATTTGAATGTTTAATTGACTTAGGAAGGATATAAACTTAGTGAAAGTTCTAGACAGATACTAGTAAAAGTAATGTACCGATAGTAAAGCATTAATTAGTCAAAGATAGGAAATAGATGGCCAAAGGTTTAACCACTGTTAAATCCACAAATGTCCCATACTGAAAATCAATTTATTTATATTGGACATGTAAAAATAATTTTTATATACATGTATTGAAAGTGAGTCAAAATATTCTATTAGTCATTCTATAATTGAGATTGAGTACATCACATCACAATCATATAAGATGAATGATAAGTAATATTTTCTAAAATATTTTATTCCATCTGCCTGGAAATTTGACCCCTCATAACTCCCCAGTCCTCTTGACATAAATGATTCTTTCTTATTGCTGGCACTTATTTTTCTCTCTCTCTATTTTTTTTTTTTTTTTTTTTTTTTGGTGACGGAGTCTCACTCTGTCACCCAGGCTGGAGTGCACTGGTGTGATCTCGGCTCACTGCAAGCTCTGCCTCCCGGGTTCACGCCAGTCTCCTGCCTCAGCCTCCCGAGTAGCTGAGACAACAGGCACCTGCCACCACGCCTGGCTAATTTTTTGTATTTTTAGTAGAGCTACGGGGTTTCACCGTGTTAGCCAGGATGGTCTCGATCTCCTGACCTTGTGATCTGCCCGCCTCAGTCTCCCAAAGTGCTGAGATTACAGGCGTGAGCCACTGCGCCCGGCCATTTTTTTCTTTTTTTAAAATTTTTTACAGACAAAATCTCACTCCATCTCCCAGGCTGGAATACAGTGGTGTGATCATGGCTTACCATAACCTTGAACCCTTTTCCTCAAGCAGTCCTCCTGCCTCAGCCTCCTGAGTAGTTTGGAACTACAGGTGTGTGCCACCATGCCTGGCTAGTTTATTTTTATTTTTTTGTGGAGACAAGGTCATACTATGTTGCCCAGGCTGGTCTTGAACTCCTGGCCTCTAGCAATCCTCCTGCCTTTGCTTCCCAAAATTCTGGGATTACAGGCATGAGCCACTGCACCCAGCATAATGCTGCTCTTGATCACCCTTTGTAAAGGAATTCAACCTGTCCCCATTATTCTCTTTCTCAGCACCCTGTTTAGCATAGAACTTCTTAATAAATATTTGTCTAAAGAATGAATATGAAATAACAAAGCTCAATGGCTTAATTTCTTGCTTATAATAACAACTAGGCATGTTTTAACTTAAAGTTTTAAATGATTATTTGTTGAAGGAGCTGGATTTAAAGGTTTGGTTTGAAGTCTGAGTTCTACAAATATATCATCTCCTGAAAAGGGCTTGGAACTCACTAATAGAAATGGCAAAATCCCCATGACAGGGAACTCATGGGCTAGTGAGAAAGAAGGATGGGTAGGATTAAACCCAGGGGGGCAGCAGGATGCTGAGAGGCCACGGGGTGCTGTGATGGGCCTGAGCAGGTGACTCACCTCAGCAGGTCAGTCTCTCCTTTGGGGCGGGGACCAGCGATGTCAAAGGAACATCAAGGCAGGAAGGAGGCATTCAGTGGATTGTAGCCAGTTTGCACAAAGTTCCTCCTCTTCCTAACGTGACATTGCTAGCCACAGTGTTTTGTAGCATATAACGTGCTCCTCCCTCAGGGTCTCAGTTTACCCATATATCAATTGACAGGGGTCATCATGTGATTTTGAGCTTCCTTTAAAACACTAATATTCTTTGAACTAAGTTTCCCATGAGAGAGGCGTTTCATGGAGATTTCAGCAATATATGAAATAAACACTGGAGTGGAATGAGTTTATAAATGTTATGTCTGTGATGATGAGCAGGCTAGGAATCAGGTAAATTTCAAAATGCTAGGATGCCTGTCAAGGAGGTTCGAGTGTGTTTTTGTAACCTACATTAAGGAGTAAGTGTAACAAATGAAGCTGAAGATAAACTGTGTTTCTCAGGGGGACTAGGAATATGCTCTTGGGGAGGGTGGTTAATAAAAGTGATGAAGAAATGAATGGGGATAGTGGAGTGGGGCTAGGGGTACAAGATGAGGCTCTAGGAGGGGGCATGAGAGATTTAAACAGTTGCTTTCAGTTGAAAAATGTGGGCATATGAGATGAGATTTCTTTTTTTTTTTTTTTTTTTTTTTGAGATGGAGTCTCGCTCTGTCACCCAGGCTGGAGTGCAGTGGCGCAATCTCGGCTCACTGCAAGCTCCACCTCCCGGGTTCACACCATTCTGAAATGTGGCATAGCCAGATAATTTTCCAAAAAGTTAAAATAATGTAGGACCCATCAGATGATAACATCAGTCTAGTACTTCACAACATTTGTTGATTCCTTATTCGCCATGCACCATGTTTGATCCTGGGTCATGGAAGGACCAGTATGTAAGCAAAATTTGGCAATATGTCATAATAAGTATACAAGTGACACCACTGGGCCCCATGGGAGGTGTTACATAAATCTTCCAAAGCTCTGTGGAGGCGCTAAGGTTTTTCTGATGTGGACAGTCCATTTTTGATGACAAAATTAGCCCTAGTATAAAGAATAAATGCCTTTTCTATGTTAATTCTGTTTCTCTACCTTAACATAACCTCCAACTATATTAAGTGGACAATTCAGAGATTATAAGAAGCAAGTAGAAATGCCAGTTTCACATAAAATCTTTTAAACCATATTTACTATATGTTATAAGTTAATTCCTATATATGTTAATTACTATTTGTCTTTATATGTTAATTCCTATTTCCCTACCTTAATATAACCCTCCAACTGTATTAAGTGGACAATTCAGAGATTATAAGAAGCAAGTAGAAATGCCAGGTTTGCATATAATCTTTTAAACCATATTTATTATACAAGAGAAAGATTAGTAAACAAAACCAAGATTATACCAGCATAATGTACAGTCAGCCTTCTGTATCCATGGTTTCTGCATCCATAGATTCAGCCATCCACAAATGGAAATATTCAAAAACAAATTTGCATCTGTACTGAACATGGACAAACTTTTTTTTCTTGTCATCATTCCCTAAACAACGCAGTGTAACAACTATTTAGATAACATTTACATTATATTGGGTATTATAATTAGCCTGGAGATTATTTAAAGTGTAAGTTATATGCAAATACCATACCATTTTATACCAGAGACTTGGGCATCCTCGAGTTTTGGTATCTACAGGAGGTCCTAGAACTACTCCCTTATGGATATTGAGGGACAACTGTATTCCATTAGTTATTGTTAATTGATCAATTATTTAACAATTCTGAAAAATGCAAAAAAGATAAAAACATCATGCCTGCATTCAGGTGTTCCACTTGGCTAGTATGTTGTGAGGCTTTATTGATTATTTTTCTTATCTCTAAAGTTGCATTAAAAATCTCTGTCAATGTTTCAGTCAGCCAATATTCTTCATAAAATTTCAGAAATTAATCAACCCATCTGTTCCTGGAGCACTGTCATTCCTCAGAAACTTTATTGGATTTTCCCCTTGGCTGCTTTATTGTTGTTTTGGGAAAATTGTTTTTCTTCTAAGTCCTGGCAGCATGGATGGAGAAAACCATAGTCTTCCTTCTATTGTTAGAGATTTCTTCTTTGTTTCTTCAAGGTAAATTAAACCTTCTAGGAAAATTTATAAATCATCAGTGATATTACCCAAATACTTTATTGGCATAAATAGGACTTTGTTTGAGTCTAGCTTAGCAGGAGCTGTAAGTAATGTGTTTTTGATAAGCATAATCACTGTTAGACACCAATGAAAAATATTAACCCCTAGGTGTCGAGAGAATAGCTGGTTCACCTTCAGGAAGATGTCTTGCTGAATCCAAGAAGGAACTTACCCGTCAACATTTAACTTCAATTCTATTTGAAGTTAATTAATTTGAAGTTCAATTCTGTAATTTGAACCTCAGCTATGTATTGAATCATCTAGAGAACTTTAAAAAAGTGTAGATCTCAGGACCCTTTCTAGACCACCTCAGTATCCATCTCTAGAGTGGGCTCAGGCATGAATGTGTTTATAAAGCATGTCCTATGATTTTAGTGTCCATTTAGGGATAAGAACCGATGACTAATGTGGTTCCCAAAGTATGGGTTCTGGACCAGCAACATCGCATCACCTGGGAATTTGTTAGAAATGTATATTCTCAGGCCCTAGTTTGGAAATACTGAATCAGAAACTTTGGTGGTCGGGGCCCAGAAATAGGATTTTAACAAGCCTTCAGGTGATTAAGATGTGCACTAAAGTTTCAGAACCACTGGCTTTTAGGTTCCTGTCTCCAGACAGGCACTTATATTTATACATCTTTGCCTGCTGGTCCCAGACAATCATGCTTTGGAATTGTTTCTTTGCATGAGAAAAAAAAGAAAAAAGAAACATAAAAGATCACTGCCTAAAGCAAGAAATCATTACCAGTATCTCCCTAATATGACCATGTTTATCTGCTTTCCAGATCGCTTCCCTGGATATTTTCTAACCTTCCCTACCTTTGAAACTGTTTCTCTGAGCTTCTAACTTTCTCCTTACCACCAAAACCATCTTGCATGTTTTGAGCTTCTTTGCTGATAGTTCTCATCACTTTTCCTGCAGTCTATTGTCCTTTAACTACCTACTTGTCTAATTTGTGACACCTGTGTGCGCATCTGCTTAGGTTTGAGTCCCTAAGCCCGCCTCAGCTCTCTGTGCATTTACAGCCTGTCCTCTCTTTCCTGGTCCCATCCAGCTCCTATATGTGTGACATGATGCTAACCTGGCTTTGAATGTTTTGCAGTTTAAACTTTTCATATGTTGGAAGAGGGAAGTGAAAGAAAGAATTCAGAAGTTGGGCAGCTTTTATCTCTCCAGAATTACATTTTTGCAGAGTGGTTTTATTACTGTGATTAAAGAGTTATGTAGAACATCTGGAGCAATTGCATTCAAATATACCAAAACTCTTTCCAGAGTTAAATTATGGATGCAGCTAAATCATGGTGATTTTACATCAGTGCCCTCCCTCCATCGGTGTGGAGATTGAGATACAGCTGAATGCTGCTGCCTCCTTTGTTACCATTTTAACTTTCTATTTCCGTTTCCCCTCTCTTCCCCCTTCTATATTGTTTTCTGCAATTCTAGGAATTACCTTTCTTGACTCCTCTTCCTTTTCTTTTCATCTTTCCATAATACCTTTCCATTACTCAGAATTTGATGTCAGTATTTTTATGTGACTATATTTTCTGTTTCATATACATCATCCTTATAGTTGCTCAAGCAAGAAACTTAAAAGGCAGCCTACACTTTTACTTCCTTGTATCAAAACATCAAATTTTACTGACTAACTGCCTACCTTTCTCTCAGATAAGCTTCCTGTCCACAACTCGGGATTCTCTGGTACGTGATACCTGCATCATCTCTTTTCCCTGCAAATCCAAGAGCCTCCTTACTTCTCATTCCATGTTCAATTTTATCCTCCTCCAAACTATTCTCTGAAGTTACATTATATAAATCATTTTGAAAGGTTTAATTTTGCTAAGTTCCCAAATTAAATCATTTCATGTCTAGCCCTCCATGACCTGTCAGATGAAGTTTCAAGTTTGTAGTGTGCCATTTAAAGTCTCTCATGACCTGGTCAAGTATAATTTTCCAGCCTTAACTCTTAATACTCCTCTACATCATGAGGTTTTATGCTTGTTTGTCATTTCCTAAATAACACGGTGTTTTATGATGTTTCTCTCTCTGTCTTCCCGCTCTTATTTCCTTTCCTTGGGATGTCCTTACTTCCTTTTCTGCATGGCAGACCTCTAAACATTGTTCAAGGACAGCTTGAGGATTCCTACAGTTTCCCTGAGATTTACATACCACCTCCTCTGGGTTCCAGCAATATCTCATGGGTACTCCTTACAATGTATTGCAACATTTTGTCACCCTGCTGATTTCTCTGTGACTTGGTTGAGAAGAACCAGCCTCTTGCAGGACCAGCAGAGGAAGCATTCCTCCTCCAGAGGAGTTGAGAGTTGGGAACACAAGAAGGTAATGCTAGAACCAACAGGAAGTATGTAAGACTCACAGTGTACAAACTGGGTGCTGGCAGCCTTGCAGCACAGGGGAAGAAAGAGAGTAACGTGCAGGCTGTTTTTAGAATTTGAGCAGATTCAAGGAGAACCAGGGTTTAGGGAAAAAAGTTCAGAAAACCAGGTGCAGAACCTAAAAAATAAGGCAAGGGGAAGGAGAAGTTAGTGTATCAGTTATCTCTGTATTGTATAACCAATCAGTTAACCAATCATTGCCACACTTAGGGGACGCTACAACACATTTCATTGTGCTCAAAGATGCTATGGTCAAGAATTCAGATGGGGAATAGCATTTTTTCGGGGGAGGTGTATGTAGATGAGAGTCTATGATATAAAGCAGTAAAAAAAAATGCTGTTGTATAGGGATGCAATATTTTCGGTGTAAGGAAGAGGTTTTAATTCATAAAATAGAAAACAGGTTGGAGAAGTCTTTAGGAAAGGGATACCTTTTGGGTTGGCTTTTGAAGGAGAAGTTTATACCCAGGTTCAAGCTGAAGGGCTAAGTGAGTAACTGAAAGGGCTGAGCTATTTGGATTACCATGAGGAATTTGTGATGGCTGGAATGTAGGGTGTGTGACCAGATGTGAATCACAGAGGAGCCCACAGAGGAGCTTCAGCACATAAACTAAAGAGTTTGATTTTATTCCTTACGCAGCAATGAATCACTGATTTTTTTTGGCAGAGCTTTCTCTTTTAGAGCCTATCCACATTGTGATACTAGCATATTCTGGAAATGACTGAAGAATAAATAGATGACAGTCACATATATTTGCATAGGTCTTATGCCCTGAAATCTCTAACAGATAAAATGCATTAAGGTTCTGGTGATGAGATTAGAGAGTAAATGAGTCAAAGTGATAAGCATGTCTTTGCTCTCAACCCATCATTAGTCTTTCAGGATAGGTTCTCCTTATTCATGCAAGAGTGTGAGGTCCATGAGGGCAGCTATGTCTGCACTGACTATAACAGTGCCTACTATGTTAACATTAGATGAACAAGTGAATTAGAGGATTTTTAAATGTGTATCCATCAGTGTATGGACACACTCCCTCTAACTTCTTCAAAAAACAAAAATTCCTGGTAGAGCTAAGTGGTTTTTAGAAGTTTGGTTTTGGTAACTGATTTCTACGAGATAATTGAACACTTTTTAAAATAGTTGATCATTATGTCAAACAGCCCTCAACAGTAAACTTAAATTAGGTAGAATTATAGTAAGCTGGAAGAGAAAATGTTCCCAAAGAGCATTAGTCCCTTTCTGGCACCTTATTACAGATGAATAAATTGAGACTCACAGAAATTAAATGACTTAGCCCCAGTTATCCAACTAACTCCTTAATGTGAGGCCATGATTAGGAATAGGCTTCTAGTATTCAGTCCCATATTATTTTGACTGCGTAATACCACGTGCCACTTTGATTTTAAAGTCAAATCTCGGCTTGAACTGTATGGGGAAAAAAATCTCCAGCTGGCTCTGCTGAATCCCCAGAGGGGCCCTCCACTTTATGTGGCTGCTGAAAAATTTATATCCTAGGGTGGCAGAACTCAGGAAAGGAAAGGAAATTAATGTTGTGGTATAGTTAAATAACTTAGTGTTTTTTTTAAAAAGACCTATATGAACTGATTGTACACTTAAGTAACTTCTCGAGGGCCTGTTTGGGAGAACTGAATTCAAGTAGACTGGACTTTGTCTATGGAAGAAGGCTTAGATCTTTATAGAATTATAAGAATATTCCTTAGAGCTGGTGAGGGGCATAGAGAGGGGAGTGCAATAGGGAGGTGTTGATTAAGAGTGCAAAGATTCAGTTAGACAGGATGAATAAATTCTGGAGATCTATTGTACAGCATTGTGACTATAGTTAATAATAATGTATACTTTAAGAAAGTAGATCTTAAATATTCTCACCACACACACACACACACACACACACACACACACACACTATGTGAGGTGATGGATGTGTTAGCTTGACTGTATCATTTTACAGTGGACACATATATCAAAACATCAACTTGTGCACTGTAAATATATATAATTTTTAAAAAAATTTATTTCAATATCTAGTTTCCTTTTAAAATTAGAGCTATTGGACAGTTTTTTTTGTAATTTAAAATTTAATATCAGAGGTGGGGAAAACATTAACAAATATCAGATACTGCCAGTGAATAAAATAACTGGATGATGCATTTATAAAACCTATGTTTAATAGTAAAACGTTTCAGTTACACTACTTAACTGAAGGAAATATCCTTCAGCTCCTTACTTCTAATAATTGCACATTCTCATTTCAACATAATTTACCCATTTTAGCCAATTACTACCATGCCCAACAAAATTCTTGCAAAGTTTAAGCTTTTCCTCACCACTTATAAAGTATGACTTGACTATTGCCCTTTAAGTGTTTTCTAAAAGAAATTTGAGATTTTAACTTTCACGTTGAATCTAGTTGATCAAAAAGTATAAGACACCACCACATGAGTTAAAACAAAGACTGGAATAAAAAAACGGAAGTTGTATCTATACAATCAGCAAATTATTTGATAAGACATTTAAACTATTTCACATTTCTGTTTAGCACAAAAATAAACTGGTTCTAAAACATTGCAGTGTGCCTGACATCTTTACTGCAAGTGGCACTGTTCTCAACAAGTTATCTCGAAGAAAATGGCAGTGTTCATCAATACAAAAATTGTTATATCCAGCAGGTGGGATTCTACATAGCCAATCTAATAAGAGAACTCTTTGTAAAACTAGGTTAAAAATTCAGAGTGTCTTGATCATTACCAGTAATCTCAAAGGTGAAAATCAGAAAAAGTACAGAAAATAGAAGTACTCATTAATAATATGAGTTGCCTTGAGAAAGCCAGAATGATTCTATTCCGAAAAATAAGCAATAATGATAAAAGATGTGATTAACATATGGTGTCTTTTAAGCCAAAGCATATTTTTCACCTCAAAGAGGATGGTTTTGACTATTACATTCTTAATTACCTTTGTCCAGAAGAGGATCCCGTTTTAAACCATTATTTGAATAGAGTTTATTGACTGAAGTCATTTTTATCTGCAGGATATTTTCATTTCAGTACATAAGATGCAAAATGGGAAATGACTAAGTCAGTTATAAAATCTTTGTAGGATAATAAATGCTAATTTACAATAACTTCCAACAAACACCAACAAGTGTTTATACCCAAGTCTAAAAGTTACTGCAGTACTAAGGTCAGAACCAATATAATTTTCCCATATGGCGAGACTTTGTGTATTAAATGACACCACAGTATCATGAAATCCAAAGAAGAGATCTTAGTGGGTCCTTTCAAAACTGCAGAATTTTCCAAATGGTTTGTCTCTTGTTACAGAGCCTTCTCATTCCGTTTGTCCTTTTTGAATCATTAGCTTCAGCAATATTTTCTTGACATTTTGTTTCTTCTTTTGCACCTTTTCCCTAGCCTCAATCATCTTGGCCAGTTTCCAGGACAACAGGGCACATGTTAGGAGCCGTGAAGTAGGAGACAAAGTCGCTATTGTAAGGAAGCCACACCGGTCCTTCACAGTCCATTCCACAACATACTCAGCCTAAGCCTGCAGAGCAATCGTCTTCATAGGAGCCATAGGAAAACATGCTTGAGCAATGATCTCTGTCATTGACCTTGGATTATTAATGAGCCAATCACAATTTCAGATGACTCTTGGTTGTTTCTCTTCTTTAGTTCTGCTGTACACTTCTGAGAGTAGGTTTAAATTCCTAATGGCAGCTGATCACAGGGATTACATTCACCCCAGTCCCTCAGCCTTGGCAAGTGCTGGTCCCAGGAATCCAGGCTTGGCCATACCACAACAGTTGCCATCAGCCTCCCCTACATCAAGTGGAGGACCAGCAGCTCAGACCCTCACTCTCACATAAATGTATACAGGTTTTACTGGTGAATTATACCTCAATAAAACTGCGGGAAAAGAAAAAACAATCAAAAGAAAACATTTGAATCACAGACACACACACACACACACACACACACACACACACACACAGACACACAAGACTATTTACCAGAAAAGACCTAAGGGATTTCCTATCAAAGAATCTGTATTTTCAGATTGGAAAAAGAATATCCCCAGAGAGATTAAGTAACATGTCCAAGGTCACAAAACTATTAATGACTGTATAAAAACTGGGATCTAGAACTTTTAATTTGGGGGAAGTGAATATCGCTTTTTAGCTATAAACTATACATCCTTAAAGGTAATATTTAAGTTTAAGGTGATGTGTTTAAAAAATATATTAAACTTCCATGTCTACTTATGATAGAAGACATAACAACTCAACAAATACCCTAACCACACCATCCATCTGCAGATAGAACATCATCAGCAACATTGAAATACCCCATGTGCTCTCTGCTTCCTAATCTCAGCGCCCTCCTGTCCTCCATGATGAATGTTTCTCTTGAAATTTACTTTGTTGTCTTTCTTTCACTTTTCTGTGTCGTTTTACCATTACATGCATTATTCCTAAAGTCGTTCTTTTTGTTGGATTTTGCTTGCTTTCAAATTTTATGAAAATGGCAGCAAAATGTTTATATTCTTCTGCCACTTGCTTTTTTTCATTTAATATTGTTTTGAAGATCTATGCATACTGATGCACACTGATCATATTTTCAGTGTTGTACTAATTACAGTTTATGACTATTCCACAATTTGTTCATCCATTTATTCCCTCATTTTTGTGTATTTGGTTTGTTGGAAGATTTCCTGGCTTTTTTTTTCTATTATCAACTGGGCTGCCACATATGTCTTTATGCCTGTTTCATGATAAATACGTGCAAGAGGCCAGGCTATGCAAAGTGCCAGCTTTACAAGATCATGAGCAGCTGTTTTGCTACGTGGTATTGCCAGTTTAGACTCACACAAGTGGTAAAGAAGCATCCCCAGTGTCCTAAATCCTTGCCAACACTTAGTGTCACCAGGCTTCTTAATTTTTACCAATCTGGCCAGTGGATAATAGCATTGAAAAGTTATTTTTATTGTGATTTGGAGTCCAATATTTTTTCTGTAAGAAATGCATGTACAATGTTATAAGAACATGCAAAAATCAAAATACTTTATAAATGTTCACTTTATAAAAAATGAATGAGAAAAACATAATGCATTTTACATAAAGAAAATCTGTAATGCTTTTGTTATTGGCTGGGTATTTTCACACCTTCCAAGTGGTGGCTGTTGATAAATTCAGCAATAATACCTTTATGTTTATTAATATTAAATGATAATGTCGAATTAATTAAATGAAGTTCAATTTATTGATAGTTATTCATTATATCCTGCTGTTCTAACTCATCCTGGAAGAGAATAGAGTGAAAGAGAAATTGCCTTTATATATAAATGACTCATAGAATTTCATATACTGACCTAAATAGATTTCATTGCAAAGGTATTATAGAGGTAATAACACAGTAACTCTTAGGACTGTTTTGAGATTTTCACAATTTGAAAAATCCTTTTAGATCCTTGGTTGACAAATGCCCTGGCTGTGCTAATTATATGACATTTCCTGACACTAGTGACGTGGCATGGCCTCTCCCGGCTTACATTATAGATTGTTTTCTGCCCCCATGGGATCTGATTTGTTAAGGCTCATTTTCTATTTTAATGTGGTGGAAGAATTTTAGAAACCCTAGAACCCCACTTTCACCCTCCACTGAAACAAATAGAAGCAGTGTATTAGTCAGTTTTCTCACTGTTATGAAGAAATACCTGAGACTGGGTAATTTATGAAGAAAAGAGGTTGAATTGGCTCATGGTTCCACAGCTGTACAGGAAGCATGGCAACATCTGCCTCTGGAGAGGCCTCAGGAAACTTTTACTCATGGTGGGAGGCAAAGTGGGAGCAGGTGTCTTATGTGACAGAAGCAGGACCAAGAGAGAGACGGGGGAGGTGCTACACACTTTTTTTAAAACAGAGTCTCACTCTGTCCCCCAGGCTGGAGTGCAGTGATGTGATCTCGGTTCGCTGCAACCTTCGCCTCCCAGGTTCAAGCATTTCTCATGGCTCAGCCTCCCAAGTAGCTGGGATTACAGGTGTGCGCCACCATGCCCAGCTAATTTTTGTATTTTTAGTAGAGACGGGGTTTTGCCGTGTAGGCCATAGCTGGTCTCGAACTTCTGGCCTCAAGTGATCCGTCCGCCTTGGCCTCCCAAAGTGCTGGGATTACAGGCGTGAGCCACCATACCTGGCCCCAGCTACACACTTTTAAACACTAGATCTCTGGTAATGCATTATCTTGATGACAAGACCAAGGCGCGTGGTGGTAAACCATTCAGGAGAAACTGCCCCCATGATCCACTCACCTCCCACCAGGCCCCACCACCAACACTGGAGATTACAATTTGACATGAGATTTGAGGGGGGGACCCAGATTTAAACTGTATCAAGCAGCTTTGCTATAAAATCTTGTTACCAAAAATAGATGAATAAACTCAGAGAAGTGGAACATCTTTTGGTAAAGATCCAGTGAGTGCCCAAAGTTAAGTGAAATTTAATACATACCTTCTTTGATCAGAGATCTGAACAATTTACATCCAGGCTTGACAGTAAAGACCATCTTTGTATTCTGAAATGATTTTGCAATAACACAGTGAGCATTGACACAATGAGGTCACTTTAAGCATTATTTTTCCCATAAAAACTGTGAGCTCTGGACAGTCACCTATCAGTAATCAAAAATGATAACATTTGGCAACCACATTTATCTTGTGATCTACTCAGAACTCAGCATTTTCCCCATGACTTACAATTCAAACCTGTGGCCATCCCAGAGTATCTCAAAATAATGGATGACAGACAGCAAATGGTTTTCTGTCTGAGGCTGGATTGACCAGGCCCGGGCACTGCCTTTGTTGATTTGTCTCTCCTACTCCCTACTGTCTTTGAGTGCGTTCTACTATCTTTGATGGCAGCAAGGGACTCAATCTAAATTTCAGGTTCTGAGATTTGCTAGTTGCCATGCCAATTTACAAAACCTCCCTGAAGAACAAGCTCTTCCAATCTAAGGTTCCTTCGTTGCATTAGGAGGCCCGGTAGAGAACTGAGAAGATGTGGATTCCCAAACTTCTGTTTTACTAATGCTGGTGAATTTGCATAATTCAAGATCCCAGACTCACATATTCAATAGAGCTAAGGTATCCCTCCAAGTCCCATCCTTTGTTTATTGCATAACTCCCCTCCCAACTCCACCTCCAACCTTCTCCCAAGGTGGACTTACCCCATCTGCTAGGTTGCTCTGTCCCCATTTATTCTTCACTTCTGCATGTGGCTTTGCTCAATATGATATCACTACCACACGGGAACAGTCTCTCTGCTCCATTTGGTTAATTAATCTCCGACTGTGTCTGTGGCTCACCTTGTTCTTATGTTTACAAGATGATAAAAACTCTGAAAGTTTTCTTTCTTAGTTTTCATGCATCTTCATATATCACACCAAACAAACTACAGTTTCCAAAATCCATTATGGCAAGGCATTCTATTTCTACTAATTCAAAATCTATAATGCCTTTAACATTAGTAAGTTCATAATTATATCTCAATAGTTGATCTTCTTAACCAAAGTCACTTCATATGTTTATTATTTAACCTAATATATTTTCTCCTTCATTACAGTTATGTCCCTTCAAACCATTTTTACTTGGTATTCTTGAAGGGACCCAATCTCATTTTATTGGTTTTACGTGATTTCAGGTCTAATTGAGATAATTCATTTATAAGAGGAAAACAATAATTTAATAATATCTAGCATTTGCTGAGATCGTATTTTGTTCTAGGCAGATGATACTTCGTGTGTTAGATGTATTTTCACTTACCTCTTAGAATAACCTATAGTGTAGTAATATTCTTGTCCACATTTTATGGAAACTGAGGCACAGAATTGTCATAGTCATACAGGGAGTAACTTGTGAAACAAATAGCAAGGTGGTGCAAAGGCAAGATGTCTGGCTCCTGACCCACCATTCTTAACACTATTCTCTACCTCCTTATCAATATGACACATGTTTTATCCTCTTGAAATCCTTTCTGAACAAGATAGACCTTCTAAATCAATAAATCTGGTAGTACAAGAATTCAAAAGCACAAGCAGTCACCGCCAGCATTTGTATTTAAGAGAAGGCATTCTGGACTTTAATTCAGAGCATGAATAAGACAATCCTTTATCAAGACCATTTGGGGAGAACTTTTTAAGGGGAAGATATCTTCTTCTATCGTGGCCTCAAATCAGGCCATACTGATTTTCTACATGCACTAAGGGTGTGGAGATGGGGGTTAGGGTAGCAGGGCTACAAGAAAGGATCAGCAGCTCTTGTGCACATGGAATGTCTGAACGCTGAAACAGAACTACATCACTACCACACAGCCATGCTGCTCTATGGAGAACTTTTATCTTTTGCCTTTCACTGTGTTTTTATAGTGTTCTGGGTGTCATAACTTCCTTTTGCTATTGCTTTTCCTGGAAGTGAATGTGACTTTATCCATTTTGCAGAAAAAAAAAGCCTGCACAATGTGAATCACTAGGCAATTGGCTGTTAGAAGAGGATGTACAACCTATTATGCTATAGGATTCCTGCCCTCAAGGAATTTACTATCATGCAATCAAATTCAGTGGGAAAGAGAGAAACTTTAATGAATGACTTTATGAAAGTAACTCTAAAACCACTAAGATATGGTCATATTGGGGGAGTTGCAGGGGGAGAGAAGTAGGGAGAAGGGTTGTCCTCTTTCTTTCTAACCTCCCCTCAGTCTATCCTGTAGTTTAAATTCCATGAAGGTGCTGGCCATGTCTATTTTGATCACTGCATTGTCCTTAGCACCTATCATAACATCTAGACAATAGCAGGTATTCAATAAATGTTGGAATGTGTGAATGAATAAGAATTTCAGGCTGAAAAATAGAGGGAAGTTGTTTTCTGCATTCTTGAAATCAATATCATATTCCTGTCCGGGGAACTGACTAAACTCTGGGTCTTTAGGCAGATATGGAAGTGTCCTTGGCACAGATTCAGTTCCATTTGCAGGTTTGTGTTCAGTGTGTCCTGTCATCATGACTGTACCACTACGCCAGTCCCTGGGAAGTGGACGTGGCACCTTCCTTCACCCTCACATCAACAGGAGGACAGTTGGAGCCTGAGTTCAAGTTTACCTCAAATAAAAGCATGAACATGGTTAGTCACCAGTATCCAACTTCAGACCAAAGTGGCCAAATATTAAACAGTTAGTTTTACAGTTGGATTTCAAAATAATGTAAAGTATGTTGCTTTGCTGAAATATGAGTCAGCTAAACTCTTATAGTGATGATTTGTGGAACCATTTTATAACAATTTTTTTTGGTTTTGAAATATTTTTTCTAGATTTTGAGCTTCAAGAAATGACAACAATGAAAAAGGAAAGAAAATAAAAATCAAATTTTAGCGCCCCGCCCCCCGCCCCACCAAGGAATGCGTGGTTATGTTGCATCTCCCTGGATTCTTGCAAAGATTTTTGTATATACTAGGCAGTAAATATGTGTTGGAGTAAATGGATAGGTGGAAGTAATTATATTTTAGATTTAAAAGAAGTTTCTTTCAGTGGAATAAACAATGCAGTAAATGTTAGATGGATGCTGCTAGGGAAATTTAGCAATAAATTGGTTTTGTGAAGTAAATGAAGAATAAGGTGCAAATTTAGTAGTCAATTTGACCATCTCTTGTATTCGCAATTTCCTCTCCCCTCAAAAACAAAAAGAAAAAAATCATGACTAAGAAATAAGTACTTCAACCAAACTACTGCTTTTATCTTTTCCAATTTGTGATTAATAACTTTTCTCTTTCAGATATGCCATGAATTAAATCAGAATCCCACAGAGAACAGTTTGGTCACAGTTTGAAGGCATTCCCAGATGGTTTTAAAGAAAAACGAATTTTAAGAGACTGTGATATAAATGACTAATTTTATCCTTGAAAGTATTAATGGTCCCCTTATCTCAATGACTGGCCAGCTTGTATTATCTTTACATCAAGTATACATAAATTTAAACTTATAGTAAAAGATTTTCTTAATAATAAAACTAGGAGGATGGTGTAAAAATCAGAAATAGAGGAGGTGAATTCTGGAAAATGTAAATCTTTTAGCTTTCTGCAAATTGAAATTAAGAATTTGCATGCTGTTAACACAGTTGCTTATCAGGAGTCAAGTAAACTAAAAAGGAGAAAAGTTTGCTTAGTTCCCTATTTAATATTCAAAGATCTGACTGCATCCTTTTAGGACTCTTTGCCAACTTCCACTATGCCCAGTAAATTCATATGACTTCATATTCTTTGCCCTATACTTCCCCAGGAATTGTTAAAAAAATTTTTTTTTAAGATGGAGTCTCGCTCTGTTGCCCAGGCTAAAGTGCAGTGGCATGATCTCGGCTCACTGCAACCTCCACCTCCAGCTTCAAGTGATTCTCCTGCCTCAGCCGCCTGAGTAGCTGGGATTACAGGTGCATGCCACCACGCCTGGCTAATTTTTGTATTTTTAGTAGAGATGGAGTTTCACCATGTAGTTCAGGCTGGTCTTGAACTCCTGACCTCATGATCTACCCGCCTAAGCCTCCCAAAGTGCTGGGATTACAGGCGGGAGCCAACGTGCCTGACTTTTTTTTTTTTTTTTTTTTTAAATTCCTGGGCACTTTCCACTTAACTAGTGTCTCATGCTCCCAGGATATGGGAGGTGTATCACCATTCCCAGGATGTCTATATATGTTGTCCTGGGGTAGGCAACCTTTAAAGAAGTCTGTGAGTTGGCAGAATTGAAACAGTTCTCTCATAATTAGGTATGTGTTAGAAGAGGAGCACTGCATTCTCTCAGTGACAGGTGGTAATGACATATCAACCCTAGTTTTCTATCAGATGTTAGAATAATCTAGCAAATTCTGTTGATAAAACATAAATCTTGAAAAATTTCTTTTAGATTATTTATAATTCTAACAAAGTTGAATCATTTACTATACTTTGTTGTAAAATGTTGAAAATTCCAACCTACAACAACCATTTAGGAAAACTATTTCTGTAATTTGATGTGAAATGCCGTGCACTTAGTAGGCAAAGAGAGAGTCATACAGTGAATTACGAAAATTTTAACAACCTAATCAATTTCATAGTTGTTAAATTAATTGTGTGCCATTTCTCACCTTAATATTAATGCAGATGTTCTGCCTGTGAGCACTGCACAATTTTCATTGTTTATTTTATGAAGAGCTACATAAAATTCTCCATAAAACTCTAACAGGACATTTTTTGATTAATCCATTTTCCAGGTGAAGAAGCAAATACCAGAGAAACTGAATATTTATTGCTTTGGGAAGAATTGGTAGATCCCATTTAATGATAGTGAAATAACAATTTCATGGGAATTTTTTTAGGTTTGAGCTACAAAAGTTACTTTCTAGTAGTAGTATATAAAATATCATTATTTTGTGAGGTATATATAAATAAAAATATCTTGGAAGACGTATTTTGTGGACAGCAGCACTAATCATTATGCTAATCATTATGTTAAGGTTAGTGCCTCTTCCAGAAACATTTAAATTTTATAATTTATGTGTATAATTTACGTTTGTGGATGTTATTCATTCATGGTCTCATTTACTTTACCAGGCATGCATAATTGGCTTTTAAATGGCTCATAGAGTATACTGACAACTGTAGGCTCGCTTTTTCTTAAATATAATGAAAGTTTGTTACATTCAGAAATAAAAGATTTTCTCCCATTTGTTAGGACAATACATGGATAATGCTAGTATTAATATTTTTGCTAAGGTGGTTCACATTTCTTCGATGTTTGGACTTTGTGATGTTTAGGAAATAAATATTTCAAATTTATTTTTATATATTTCTATATAGTTTTTTCTTTATCAGAAGACAATTCATATCTAAATTACATTGAAATGTCTGAAGTTTTAAGAATTATAAATGTACTTTGAAGAAAAATTAATATGTGTTTAACAAATATATTCACTTTTTAGTTATTTTAAAATATTGTAAATAAACTCACTGCACAACATTTAAACCCATAGGTAAAAATGAGTTGGATACAATTCCAGTATTAATATTTTTGGGATCAATTTATCCAGATTGTTTTAAATACATATTTTTACTAAAATGTTATTATACTACACATACCATTTTATAAACTTTTCATTTGACAATATGGTGAATTATTTTATATGTCAGTAAACATGGCATTATATTACCAAATTTAATGGCTACACATCATGTCATTGTATAAATATACTACATGTGCGTACATATATTTTTATATATACACTTGTTTATATATATATTATAAATTAAGCCTCAGGTAAGCCCCTATTATTGGGCATTTTATACTAGATTCAACCTTTCTTTTCAAATAAAAAAGACTGCGGTGAACACACTTGCACATTCACATATGAACCAAATATTTTTATGCTAGAGTTCTGAAATTGTCATTGCTGTGCTAAAGGCAATATGCAGGCCAGGCATGGTGGCTCACACCTGTAATCCTAGCACTTTGGGAGGCTGACACAGGCAGATTGCTTGAGGTCAGGAGTTCGAAACCAGCCTGGCCAACGTGGTGAAATCCTGTCTCTACTAGAACTACAAAAAAATTAGCTGAATGTGATGGTGGCGGGTGCCTATAATCCCAGCTACTCGGGAGGCTGAGGCAGGAGAGTTGCTTGAACCTAGGAGGCGGAGGTTGCAGTGAGCCAAGATCCCGCTACTGCACTCCAGCCTAGGTGACAGAGTGAGACTCCATCCCCCAAAAAATAAAAATAAAAACTAAAAAACTATAAAGGCAATATGCACATTTTTTCCAAGACTTTTGCTTGACTTTGCCAAATGTTCTCTGAAGACATCATGCTAATTTAAATTTTTTCAAACGTGTATGAATCCTCTTTAACTCCATAGTCTTGTGAACTGTGGATGTTATTTTAAATATATGACAGAGTGCTTGTAGTAGGCTGAATAGTAATCCCCTAAAAGACATGTTCATGTCCTAATCCTGGAACTTGTCAATAGCAACTCGTACGGCAAGAGTGAACATTACCTTATATGGCAAAGATGTGATTAAATTAATGATCTTGAAAAGAGGTTTACACTGGACTATACTAGATTCTCTGTGTGGGCCTTAAGTGTAATTGCATGTATCCTTAGAGTTGAAAGATTGAGGGAGTTTTGAGGTAGATGCATAGAGGAGAAGGTGAAGTGAAGACAGAGCAGAGAGAGAGAGAGATGTGGCTACAAGCCAAGGAATACTGACAGCCACCAGAGCTGGAAAAGGCAAGGAAAGGATTCTCCCCAAAAGCCTTCTGAGGGAGCATGGTTCTACCAACACCTTGGTTCAGACTTCTGGCCTCAAGAAGAGGGAGAGTATAACTTTCTGTTATTTTAAGACACCTGGTTTGTGATAATTTGTTACAGCAGCTCCAGGAATTTAATACAGTGCTATACAGACTTCACTGTTTTTGAAGATACTAATAATAGTTTCAAGGGAAAAATCTCTGAACCAAATTCTCAAGAATCATCAGATATATATGTATCATCATGTATAACAGACGGAGTGGAAAGAGAGATACTAAGGGTACCTTATCAATAATGCCTCATGGTTGATTTCATGTGGAGGTGATAAATGATAAGATGCACAATTCTGGCTTAAATATCTTAATGGAGGGAAATATGAATCACCACGGTAGGTAATTAAGGAAGTGGAACAAGATGTTGAATTTAGCAATAGTATGTTGGGTTTGAGGTGCCAATAAACTATCCAGAGAGCAACTGTCTAGTAGTCTACAGTCCAGTAGTGTGATATTAGGCAAAATTATGAATCTGAGATTTATCAGTGCATAGCAATAACTAAATCCTTGGGTATGGATGAGGTCTTCCTAGTGAGAAAACTTAGGTGAGGACAGAGTCAATGATGGAGCCCAATGCTCAGGGACCCATTGACTGACCACTGAGGTGAGGAGAAAGAGAGAGAGAACTATAAGTAGAAACGAAAGATAAAGTAGGAACTTGACTTTATATTATTTTAAAATGTTAAGAGATTTTTATAAGCCAGAATATAGCCAGTCTATTTTGGTTGAATGTTTCATGTCCAATGGAAAAGATTGTGTATTCTGCTGTTGTTGGGAGGAGTGGTCTATAAATGTGAATTATGCTGAGTTGGTTGATAATATTGCTCGGGTGTTCTATATCCTTACTGATTTACTATGTACTTGTTCTGTCAATTATGAGAGAAAAGTGTTGAAGTCTCTAACTATAAATGCAGATTTGTTTGTTTTCATTTTTATCAGATTTTGCTTTACATCTTTTAAAGCTCTAGGGTACATATTTAGAATTGTTATGTCTTCTTAGAGAATTGACTCTTTTTGCAAGACATAGTATCCTTATTTATCACTGATAATATTTCTCATCCTGAAGTCTACTTTACCTATTAGCATAGCTACCCTTGCTTTCTTGGGTTAGTGTTTCCATGCTTTAACTTCTTCCATCTACTTATTTTTAAGCTGTCTGTATCTATTTGACCTGTCTGTACATATGTAAAGTGTGTTTCTTGTGGACAGCATATACTTGGGTTTTGATTTTTTTGGCCTTCTATGTTAGCTGTTTTCTATTTGTCTTACCTGTTGTTTGTTTCTTTTCTCTTTTACTTACTTCTTGTAAAAATTTAGCATTTTTATGTTTCTATTTTTCCCTATATTATTTACTCAATTTTGTTAATTTTTTTAGTGTTTGCTCTGTGATTTGCAATAAATATCAAGTAGAGTCTACCTACAAATATTATAATCCCACTGCATGCATTATGTAAGGACCTTAAATAATCTGAATTTCCCTCCCATCCTTTATCTTATTATTTTCATAAATTTAACATTGAAATATGCTACAAACATACAATATGTTGGTACCATTTTGGCTTTAGAGAGTCAGTTATATTTTAGCACAATTAAAATATGAAAAAAATTTATTTTCCATTCATTGATTCTATTTTCAGCACTCTTTATTTCTTTGTGTAGATTGAAGTTCCTGTTTGCTATCATATTCTTTCTGCCTATAGAACTTCCTTTACCACTTTTTGAAGGGTAGGTCTGCTGGCAATTAATTATTTCAGTTTTTCTTTGTTATTATGATATGGTTTGGCACTGTGTACCCACCCAAATCTCATCTTGTAGCTCCCATAATTCCCACGTGTTGTGGGAGGGACCCAGTGGGAGATGATTGCATCATGGGGGTGGGTCTTTCCCGTGCTGTTCTCATGATAGTAAATGGGTCTCACGAGATCTGATGGTTTTAAATAAACTTCTTTCTTTTGTAATTTGCCCAGTCTTGGGTGTGTCTTTATAAACAGCATGAAAACAGACTAATACATATTACTTCTTCATTTTTGAAAAACACTTCAAAATATTTTCTGAATTCACATTTTTTTTAGCACTCCATTGTCTTCTAGCTACAAGTCTGCTATAGTTCTTATCTTTGTTCTTCAGCATGTAATGTATCTTTTTCTATAGTTGCCTCCAAGATTTCCTCTTTGTCCTTTGTTTTTAGCAGTTTGAATATGATATACCTGGGTGGATTTTGTTTGCTTTTTATCTATCATGCTTTGCGCTCTCTGAGGTTTTTTTTTTGTTTTGTTTTTGGCTCTGTAGTTTGGTGTTTGTCTTTAATTTTTAAAAATTCACAGCCATGATTTCTTCAAATGTTTGTTCTGCCCTGTTGTTTCTCTTCTCTTTCTGTTATTCTATTTACATGTCAGTTAGACCATTTGATATTTTTTCACCTCTCTTGGATACTCTGCTGCATTTTTTCCAAACATTTTTCTCTATATATTTCTATTTGAGTAGTTTCTATTGATCTATCTTCAAATTCCTTGATTCTTTCTTCAACTATGTTGAGTCTACTAATGAAGCTGTGAAAGCATTCTTCGTCTCTGTTACAGTGGTTGTATTCAGTTCTAACATTTTCATTTGATTTTTTTATAGTTTCTGGCTTTCTGCTAAACTTCCAACCTGATCTTTTATCATATCCTTCTTTTCAGTTAAATCCTTTAACATTTTCATCATAGTTATTTTAAATTCCTTATCAGTTACTTCCAACATCTGTGTCATAGTTGAGTCTGGTTTTGCTGCTTACTTTGTCTGTTGGGAGTGTGTTGGTGGTTTCTGTTTTTTACTTTTTGCCTTTCTATATACTTTATGTTTTTATTGCTGTTGAAAATTGGACACCTTCTGTAGTTCAATGGAAACTGAAGTTAACAGTTTTTTCTGCCTAGTAGTGGACATGCCTTTCCCTCTGCTGGGCCTTTAGTGCAGGGGTTTGAGTAAAACTAGTTAGGAGTTGGGTTAGGTGTGAAGTGTGTTATAATTGTTATTTCACTCAGTATACCATAGGTTTCAAATTCCTCTAGTAACAACTTGTTTTTAGGATTGAGGCTGGGTTGTCAAACGTGTTTTGTTTTGTTTTCTCTCAATGCTTGCTCTATCGCCAGCTTTAAGTCTTTCCTTTGCACTGAACCTTAGAGAAGGTCTCCTTCCACACTTGTGTTTCTCTCCAAGCAGCACTGTGGATTACTTAAGATATCTTAGCTTGGCAGTGAGAAGTGGCAGCAGCGGAGTGTTCTCTGTTGTTCTCATTTCACCACACTATTAGACAGACAGTGTATCCCTCGATATTGAAGTGTGGCTTCCTTAGTTCTCCTGCCCCTTCCCATCTGCAGTTCTCAGCCCAGAATCTGCCTCTCTATCTTCCCCAGGGTTAAGTTGTTTTGTTTTGTTTTCTGTTTTCTTCCCTCAGCTGAAATTGGTTTTTTCCTGTGCCCAAGAGAGGCAGTGTTAATTGCCCTTCACTCTGGACACTTTACTTAAACTTTCTCCAATAGGTTTATGATATTTTTCAGTTTCTCCAGCTTTTCATTGTAAGTGAGAGAAAGATCTCTTCCCAGCTTTCTTTACCTTAAAGCGAAAACTAGAAGTCTCTAGAACTCTTATTTTTTACTAAATCATTACACTAAAGACAGCAGTAAGCAAACGTTTCTGTCTCAGGACCTGTTTACACTCAACAATTATTGAAAACCCCATATTTACTGTATTAGAAATACAACCGAAATATTTTAAAATATTTATCAATTCATTTTAAAATAATAATAAACCCATTATATATTAACAAAACATTTTTTGAAAATTAAATCTATTTCTAGAACAAAATATATTTAGTGATAAATATTTTAGTGATTGTTTTATAATTTTCCAAATCTGTTTACTGCCTGATTTCAGAGACCACACAGCTGGATTCTCTGCAACCAGTGGGTTGCCATGTCACAGTCACACATCATAAAACCTCTGGAAAATCCCACTGCAAACTCATGAGGGAGAGTGAAAAATGGAAATGGCATCTTAGTAATATTACAAAAATAGTTTTGATCTTACAGACTCCCTGAACAAGACCGGGGTTGACTTCCTTCAATGGGTATAGAATGACTGCAATAAGGAATAAACACACTATGCTCCTGACTTCTGACCCTCACACTACTGAATATATATATCAAGCCCCAGAGTGACAGAAAGTTCAGTTTAGTTTTGTTATACTTCATTTTGTAGGACTTAAGAAAGAGAAAAATAAAAGAGTGAAAGTGAACCTAGTCAGTGTCTGAACTTGTGTTTGAACCCAGGTCTTCTGACTGTAGAGCCTGTGTTCTTTCCCCCATGCCATTCTGTCTGTGATGGGTTGGAAAACAGGCAAGCCCAAGAGCACTTTTTGATTAATGCATATTTCCTATAGCATCTCATATTGGTCTTCCAAAAACTGATAACAACATCTCTTAGCCTCTTTGGCAGTAAACAAATATTAAGATTATTGGATCTTATAGAAAGTTAGATGAGCTTTGCCTTTGGGCATTTAGAGTTCTAGAGGTTTGTATATACACAGGTAGTTCATAGACTTCTGACTCTCTCATTAACCAAACATCTTTAATACTTTTTAAAAGCTCATGGTGTATGTTGTTCTAAAATGTCTTATGATGCATATCTTACTTGAACTAGAAAATGGTTGAGGTCAACCTGTAATTCCTTTATTTTTCATGAATAAAAGGAATTCAAAATTGTTATTAATAAAATGTGCCAATTTTGATAATCCCTTCTAATATAGGCATAACTCAATAGCAACCTATTATCATCTGACCTTGGTATAAGCTCATCTATGGAATTTGAAACTATTATAATTGATCCACAAAGGACACTATTGCCAGGATGCTTGAAAATAAATAATGACAGGATAGATAATATTGTATGATGAAGTGTGAACATATTCTTTGTTCTTCCTTAAAGGCCACTGAATCTTTGTTGAATTTCATGATGTATTAATATGTCACTACAATTTAGGTTCTGAAGCATACAATATATTCTAGCCAGAATGCTTGCCAAGATACTAGTGCCAGAATTGAAATACTGCAATGTGTTTATTGAAGAGCATAAACATAATAAATAGGACTGCAGTTTTATATTCTACTGTGAAACCTCAAAGCGATCAAATGAGAGGGAGAGAGAGAAAGAGGACTCACAAGTTCTGAAAAACTAAAACCAATTCTCAGGCACTTACCAATATAATTAATAATGCAAATATCATGATATAAACACCCTGTCTTTATTGAATTCCAGTTGTATTTCAGTGTGTTAGATTCTTCCCTGACATTGTTTCTGTTCTTCACAATGACTTTCTGAGGCACATGATAATCCCATTTTATAGATGAAAACACTAAGGTTCAGAGAGTAAAAAAACTTAGCCCAAGACATAAAGCTAGTAAGTGACAGAGCCAATTTTTGAATCTATATCAGCTGAAGTGCAAAACCTATACCATTTACATTCCACAAAGCTGATTTATTAACAGTAGAAAATAAGTGAACCAATTATAGTAAAAAAAGTTAATATTTGTTTTTAGAAACTTGAGCTGAATCTACTGTTAAAAGGCAATTCAGTATGAGGAATTATGTTCTAATGAACTTTACAAATCTGTAACCTGATTCATTGCATGCAAGTCTTACCGATTTAACAATTTTTCATTTTTTGAATGTTTATTTTATAAGGCAAGTAATAAATTTTAATATTACAAACACCACAATATTTTTGTAGCTTTTATTTTATAAACATTGTCATATCACATGTGCCAAATCAATTCAATGACTCAGATTTTAAGATACTAATTAAGAAAGTTGTCCAGAACATGATACTTTTCATTTTTCAATTGTGGATTACATTTTCATACAATTTGTGTGTTATCCATCAAAAATACTAACTGATAATATATTATACAAGTGTTTGCTCTGGGTGCTAAGGTTTATAGAGTATGAGAAACAGTATTTGATTTAAATTCACTTTGTAAACTACTCATTGATTATAGATTGTTCCTCTAATATCAACAGTCATTATATATATATATATGTGTATGTGTGTGTGTGTGTATATATATATATGTATATTTCAATTGACCCAATGTTTTAAACACAATGTTGTTTTGTATAATATCACTGAAAGTCCTGTAGAATGAGCACATCATCTTCCTTCAGAAATTAAGGACTGAAGATTCAGAAGATAAGTAACTTATGCAAATTGACACTGCTAGTAATTGGCAAAGTCAGAATTCAAATATAAGAATATCAAATTTTATAAACCATGTTCATTTGACAATATGAAGGTGCCACCTATTCTCACTTTGCTGAGAGAGAATGTAGTCTCTATATTACTACATTACTTATCATGATTCTTTTTTTTTTTTTGACAGAGTCTTGCTCTGTTGCCCAGGCTGGAGTGCAGTGGCTTGATCTCGGCTCACTGCAGCCTCTGCCTTCCGGGTTCCAGTGATTCTCCTGCCTCAGCCTCCCGAGTAGCTGGGATTACAGGTGTGTGCCACCATGCCTGGCTAATTTTTGTATTTATTTAGTAGAGATTGGGTTTCACTATGTTGGCCAGGCTGGTCTGCAACTCCTGACTTCAAGTGATCCACCCATCTCAGCCTTCCAAAGTGCTGGGATTACAGGCATGAACCAGCATGCGCAGCCCTTATCATGATTCTTATAACAGACCAAATTATGTCATAATGACATTGCTTATTTATATGCTAAGCATCATATAAATACAATTATTCTGTGTACACCAAATCTAAACTATCAAGTAACTTTTATTGATTGTTATGTGTAAAACAAAACAATTTCATCTTTATTTTGCAAAGCACTTCCAAGACATTTCATATAAATAGTTTAAATTTACTTTTCTCTCTATCTTATTTTCCTGATGCAGATAGTTGCCATATTATTGAATGTTTGTATTCTATTTTAGCAATGTTATATGTTCTTTAAATGGATTATCTTATTTAGTAATCACTTTTCATTCACATTGGAGATGAAGAAACTAAGTTCACTGAATTGAAGATTTGACCAGCTTCACATAGTCAGTGTCTCAGTCTGGCATTGAATGCAGCCTGTTGGATTCAGAGCCTAAGGATGAGGGACGGTCATTCATATTTAATTTGATGACCTCGTGCCACCTCAAAGTGAAATTATTTCTGAATTGTTAAGAAGGACTGTGAAATATCAGTTTCCAAAAACCGTTTTCTTGAAGTATAGAGTATATAAATAAAGTGTGGCCATGCTGTAATCATGATGGCCCAGCTTGATGAATTTTCAGAATTTATATCCATGTCAGTAACCCCCAGATAAGAAAGAGAACATTATCATTTCTCCAGAAACCCTTTTATCTTTCCTTTGAGCCACTGCCTTCCTACAAAGGAAACCCCGTCCTAATACCTAACACTAGATTTTATTTCTGCCTATGTTTGAGCTTTATGGAAATAATGATTATACTGTGTGTGTCCTTTTGTGTTTGGTTTCTGACTAAGATTAACTTTCCTAGAATTCAATCCTGAGATGGAGATTGACAAACAAGAAGTTGACTGGGGAGCCCTCGTGGCAGAATAGCCCGTAAGGGAGTAGGGGAGGGAGGTTCTGTCAGAAGGAGGAATTGAATGGAGATGTAGTTGCCCCAGAGTCCTTATCCAGGCCCACACAGGACTTCGGAGCTTCATGGCACAAATGAGCAAGGGGGCCAGGCCTTGACCATCTCTCTCTTGGAGAGGGGATGGAGGAGGTGCACTTGCATGTGCTATAGTCCACCTGCCGGGCTGTTGGGATCCACTTGCTTCATTTAAACTCATGGGGAAGAGTTCCTCCAGGGAGTGGAATGAATCCCTAGCTGCAGCAGCTGGTCTCTGGGCTGCACTGCTCCTCCTCATGTCCTTTCTCTCCTACCAATACTAGATTCCCCACATCCTCTGTTAGCATCTCTGTTTGTCTAGATGGATAACGAGGTAAAGTGATCCAGATCTCCATCTGAACACCATGCCTGTCTCAGGCTGTGGCACTTCTCCATACTCCATCACAGTTGGGCAGGGAGTATCAAAAACGCCCCAGTGAATTCCCTGATGCCAGACATGTCCTTCCCTGCCTCCTTGTGAATATCATGGGCTTGGCGCTCTGTAATAGCATCCCCTCCGATCTGCCATCACCTAAAAAGGCAGCACCACTGAGCATCGCAGCATTGCCTGTGCATGTCTAGGCAGCACATTTCTTAGGACTTTGGCAAATCATGTATTATCCAGGACAGAGTGTGGGGACCTGGTGGGTTTGCTGGCCTTTGTGTATCCTGGAATCTATACTCTATCGTGTTCACTTCTCTGTATGTTTTTCTTTTTCTTTTTCTGTTGTTGGCCTTGCTTTGGACCATTGCCACCTCCAAATTTCAGAGAGCCACCTTAGCAACATGAATTCTGTCTTCTGGTGTCCTTTTTAAGAGTTAAATCCTATATAACAGGTGGTTGTTCTCATGTCAATAAGCTGTTCCTTATTAAACTTTATGTTTCTCCATACTTGGTCCTAGACCCTGAACCCATCCTCTCAGCTCTAGCCATGCATGTTGGGCAGGTGCCACAGCTCCTTCAGTGTAAACACCCTTCTCTGTTAGCAGAGCCAGCACTTATCCAGCTGGATTATGTTGTTACCTGACCTAGTTATTTGTCTGGCAGCCTGGAGGAGAAGCTGACTATATCTTGATGAGGGCACTTGCTATCTTGCAAGGCAGAGCCCTCTGCATCATGTTTATGCCAGGCAGAG
Organism: Homo sapiens; assembly: GCF_000001405.40. Classification (NCBI taxonomy): domain Eukaryota; kingdom Metazoa; phylum Chordata; class Mammalia; order Primates; family Hominidae; genus Homo; species Homo sapiens. The sequence goes on along the minus strand of NC_000018.10, from coordinate 4,412,335 downwards.
ATGATAGCCTTAACAGAGTGGAGTGGGGTACTTGTTTAGGCCCAGGAGGTTGTGGGGAATCTAGTGATAAGCGATTTTCAAGTGCATCCATTGAGATATTGCAAATCTCACAGTCCCCCTCTTCACTAACACAGGACCAGGCCTTGGCACAGCTGACTTGCTGGGGCTGGCTGAGATGTCCAGTTTCCCTCATCATTAAGCCCTGAGCCTTATCATCAGCCTATTCTGCATCTGACTATAGGAAATGAGTATCTTTACACGATACTAAGGAGACTGTAGTAGTTAGTCTTACAAGATAAGGACGTCCTTCCCTGCTTTAACTCCCCTGACATTCTCCCTATATAAGCATGTCGCATCCAGAAATTGAGCTTATTTTTTGCTCCCCTTGAACCTGAGCTGGACTTTTGACAGGCTGTGATCAATCAAATGTGGCAGAAGTGATGGTTATGTTCTCGGACTTCCAAGCCCATTAAAGGACTGGCAGATTTCTCTTTCTCCTCTTGGAACCCAGCCATCATGCTGTTAGGTGCCCGAGCAACATGAAGAGGTCACATGAAGGAGGACTGGGTGCTCTAGTCAAAATCCTAAGCTGATATCCTAGCCTATGGCCAGAATCCAATGCCAGTTGCATGAGTGAACCATATTGGTTGTTGCAGAATGTGGAGCCTTCAGATGACTCCAGCCAATCTCACGTGGAGAAGAAAAGCTGCCTCGCTGAGCCCATCAACCTCCAGATTATGAAAGATAATAAAATGGCATTATTTTAAGACAAAGTTTTGGGGGTGATTTGTTATGCAGCAATGGAAAATAGAAATTGACTCGCTCTGATCTATTCACTTTGCTCTAAATTGCTGCTTTCAGTTTTTCATTGACTTTCTCTGCCCGCTATACCCTAAGCAAGAGCCATCTGATCCCATTACTGTAATTATGAGTCCACCCAAACCTTGCAAACAGCCATGATGTTGTATCCTCCAGTGTATTTTCTGCCATTAAAAGTTTTAATAACTGTACCATTATCTCATCCCAGGGGCTATCAGTTCTCTACTGATGATGGGTCTCCATTGTTAGCTGTGTGGTGGGTGATGTTTGGACTATTCCTTGTACCAACCCTCTTTTCTTGAGTTCTCCAGGAAACAGACTGTGAAACTCAGAGAGTTGCATGAAAAAAAAATTTGTTGGAGAGCCCTCTTGGCAACACCATCTCCAAGGGGCTGAGAGAAGTAGGTTGGTCAGAGGGAGAATTTGAACTAAGATGCAGTTGCACCAAAGGCCTCAGCCAAACCCGTGAGGTGCTCTGGAGTAAGGACTGTTCTCCAGAGATGTCCCATATTGAGGCAAAAGGGCAGGCCCATATCACCCACTTATTGGGGGGTTGCTGCTTTTGCCAGAGGAAGTCAGGCATGAGCCTTCAGCAGGCAAAACTCCTGGAGCTGGGAAAACGATTACCTCAGGTTGAAGTGGGGATTCTCTGTGGTACACCATGTCACATGGGACAGCATCTTTTGTTGGTTATAATTGTGAGATCCATCGATGTTGTCGTGCATAGCAATAGTTTGTTCTCATTGTGTCACTATCTTAAACTTTTTTGATTGCTTTTGTTGCTATGAATGTTCTTGATTCCATCTTTTGATTATATATATATATATATATTTGGGGGGAATTGTATGTCTGAAAATAAAATTGCTGGATCAGCGGATACTGTATATGTAATTCCATTTATAGCAAACAGTTTTCCAAAATGTTTTAAGCAATTTATACTTCCATCAGCAATGTATGAGAGTTCTGTTATATATAGTTTTATACTTTCATATTCCATTTTAATGTTTGGAAATGGGATACTTAATATATGCATATATACTTTATATGTATGTACCTGTATGTATGCTTCTGATAATTCTCAGAATGCTATATTATTTGGAATTATTTAGAATCTACTTTAAAAATGGAAGCTAACTTTATTTGATTGTTTTGACTATTTTAATATTGAAAATCTAGCTAGACTTATTGAATTTTTCTACCAATTTTTTTATTTTTCCATAAGTTATTGGGGTACATGTGGTACTTGGTTACATGAGTGAGTTCTTTAGTGAAGATTTGTGAGAACCTGGTGCACCCATCACCCAAGCAGTATACACTGCACCATATTTGTTGTCTTTTATCCTTTGCCCCTCTCCCACTCTTCCCAAGTACCCGAAGTCTATTGTATCATTCTTATGCCTTTGTGTCCTCATAGCATACCTCCCACATATCAGTGAGAACATACCATGTTTGGTTTTCCATTCCTGAGTTACTTCACTTAGAATAATAGTCTCCGATCTCTTCCAGGTTATTGCAAATGCTGTTAATTCATTCCTTTTTATGGCTGAGTAGTATTCCATCCTATATATATACCAGAGATTTTTTTATCCACTCGTTGACTGACGGTCATTGGTTTGGTTCCACAATTTTGCTATTGTGAATTGTGCTGCTACAAACTTGCGTGTGCAAGTATCTTTTTTCAAATAAGGACTTCTTTTTTCCTCTGGGTAGATACCCAGTAGAGGGTCAAACAAATCAGTAAGAAAAAAAAATCAATCCCATCAAAAACTGGGCTAAGAACATGAATAGAGAATTCCCAAAAGAAGATATACAAATCGCCAACAAACATGAAAAAATTATCAACATCACTAATGATCAGGGAAATCCAAATCAAAACCACAATGCGATACCATCTTACTCCTGTAAGAATGGCGATAATCAAAGAACCAGTTAAACTTTAACCTGCATAAAGCTTTAACAGAAATAACTAAAGTCGTTGTCTCTCATCGATATTAATTTTATATCCCTCACTATCTTCAGAAAGAAAAATGTGTTGATTTTATTTTCAAGATTTGTGAATTCTGTGATAGAGATAAGAAGACCAAAAGGTTGCTATTTCTCAACATCACATTATCTGTAAGATACCCAAATTTGCAGATAGCATATTACTGCTTACTGCCTTCCACATAGGAAGTTTTCCAAATATTTTAATCTACTTGGAAAAAAAGAATTATAGAAACTGCAAAAGAGGGAAATAAATAAAAAAATTAACTGTAGTCACATGTATCATTCTCTTTTCAGCATCATTTTTCTCTTTATAACTTAGAAAAATGGAATACTGTCAGTAACCACCTTTTCTTGCCTAATATTTTATAATAACTAGTTTCTTTATCAAAAAACAAAACCCTAAGTTACCATTTTTTAAATTATTTTATAGTTTCCATGTAGTAGATATATCATAATATTATAATTTATTTAAATAACCTATTGCTGGACATTTGGGTTGTTTTTATTTTTTGGCTTCTACAAAATACAATGTGTGTGTGTGTGTGTGTGTTTGTGTGTGTGTGTGTGTGTATAATGGTTTCATTTGCCAATTGAGCTTAAATTCTAGAAGGAATTGCTAGTCTAGGTTAGAGCGTTTTCCTAGATGTTGTCAAATTAACCCCAGAAATATTCTTATTTGACAGTGATATACCTACCTCTGCTTTTGAGTATATGATTTTTCTACACTTTGGCTGATACACAGTTTTAACAATGAATCACCTTTGCCAATCTAATATATGAATAATATATGTTATTACTTTAATTTTTATTTCTTCCTTAGTAGTGAGACTGAATTTTTCGCAGACTTATAATGGACATATTATTAATTTTGTACATTTTGTTTTGTTCATTCTTAATTGGTTTGTTCATCTTTTATCAATTTCTATCAACTATAAACCTTTTGCTGTCCCAAATGCCAATACGTCTCGTATGCCATATCCCTTATACCAACGTCATGTTTATATCTTGCCATTGTTTTTCAACTCTTATTGTAATTTTGACATATTCTTTTTTGGTTTTCTGTTTGTTTATCATTTATGGTTTCTGGTTTGGCCTTATGCTTATAAAAAAACCTTTTCAATCCCTGGTTTTTCTGCTGATTTTAGCCTCCAGTTGGATGTAGTAACAATAGTGAACTGCCTACTATTTTAGTTCTGTGCTTTTTATGGTATTTTCTATGGCTGGCATAGTACCTCTGTTCTCCCACCCCCTGCAACACACCCACACGAATACGCACAGCATTGTAACCACTACCGTGAATATGCACCTGATAAATATCGACCCTTTTGGGAAGACTCTGATCAAGAATAACTTTTCTTTGGAGCCTTTCCTGACTCGCCTCCCTTTCTCCTCTCTGTAAAGTTGACTGTTCTTTTTTTCTTCTTTCCTTCTACCACCTCAAAGTATCTATCACAACACCTCAAATACTTTAAGGCCCAAACTTGATTACAGATTTGTATGATCTTACTCAACTCTAAATTCTTTGACAAAACTCACGTTCATCTCCATACCCCCAGAGTGTATGATAGCACCTGCTGCAGGAGAGTTGGACAATAAATGTCTGTTGAGTGCCTGTTAGATACTTTTCTTATTTATTTATATATTTATTTATTTATTTATTTATTTATTTAGAGACTGAGTCTCACTCTGGCGTAATCTCGGCTCACTGCAACCTCCCCCTTTTGGATTCAAGCAATTCTCCTGCCTCAGCCTTCCGAGTAGCTGGGATTACAGACACATGCCACCACTCCCAGCTAATTTTTTTGTGTGTTTTTAGTAGAGACTGGGTATCACCATGTTGGCCAGGCTGGTCTTGAACTCCTGACCTGAAGTGATCCTACCGCCTCAGCCTCCCAAAGTGCTGGGATTACAGGCGTGAGCCAGCGCACTCGGCCTGTTAGATACTTTTAGATACATGATTGAGGGAAGGGATTTGCCGAGACCCAGAAAGCTCCTAGGGAGCATAGCCAAGCCTAATGCCAATGCTAGGTTCTGTTGACTGCTTTGCGTTACTGCTACTCTACTTGCAAGTGGAGTCAGTAATGAGGATCAGTAAGCATATCCTTTGTACAGATAACTAAATCCAGAAAGTTTACATTCAAATTCCCTCTTTCATTATCTAGCTTTCATCTAGCTAGAACTTATTTAATTTACCTGTGTAAAGATGACATCTCTTTCTCTAAAGGGAAAAACTTGGGCAGCCAAATAGTACTTTTGGGTGGCTAGAATTAAAAGTCTTCCCATCCCCAATTACCTTGTTTTTTTACAGCAAATGCTACTTTTTTTCCCTTTAACTAAATTGTGTTTTGCCCGTTATTTTTTCTGGTTGGTAAAATTTGCATTGCTAAAGTGGGATTAAACTTAACTGTTATTGTTTTGTGGCTAGAATTGCATGGAGTAAGCCACCTTCTTACATAAAGTAAATAGATTTCATGGTTCAGCAACTAACAAAAATCTAACTTAATGTGACAGGAGAGTGCAATTTTAAAAGGAAAGCTCCCAATGATCATAAAATCATCAACTTCTTTTGAGTGAGAAGAGACCACAGAAATTGCTTTTTATTCAAATTGCCAACCAAAGTCAACATTGCAGAAATATATTTACCCAGCTTTTGACTACACTGTCTCAGTTTGCACTTTCTCATAAAGCCACTAATTTTATATTTTATACAGTTCTCATGCTTATAAGATTTCTCCCGATTTCAAGATCAATTAGTCCCTCTTTCTCTCCATTTACTATTGCAGGACTCTTCTAACTGGCTTGCTGGTTGTCCTCTAATTCATTCCCTGACACAACCACTCCCAATATCCTACTCGAATTCTAGTGTATAGAGAGAATTAGTGGCTAAAAAAGGATATCTACTTATGCGCTGCCTCTCTTCCCACCTGGCAAAAAGAGACTTGCCTTTTCCTAGCAGTGTGACCTTGGACATTCACAAACCTCTGTTAACCTCAGTGTTCTCAGTTATGAAGCATGATAATACCTTCCCCACCTCACAGAGTTGTTTCACCGATTAAAATATGTGCATAAAAACACCCTTACAACTCTGCAAGGCTTTATGTTAAATTCTCTTGAGGCAGGAGAATAGGGTCTGGAGGCAGGGAACCTAAGGCTGATTCATGCTGACTTCCTAGAACTAAATCAGAAGGAAAACCCCAAGTTTCCATGCTCAAGTAACAATAGGACCAGGGGTTACTGCCTTTGCAAACTCCCCTCCCTTTCTGCATCACAGATGAAAAATGGAAACTACTTCTGATTGGTCCACTCCCACAACCAATCAGACTGGTGGTGGGCCTAGTTTTCATCTGCATAGGGCAATAACTTTGTAACCACTTCAGCCTCTGATTGGTCCCCTCTCACAACCAATCAGACGTTTGCATAAGGTGTAACTTTGTAACGTAAGTCTCTGATTGGTTGCAGGCCACGCCTTCACTTACATAGGGCGTAAACCAAGTAACTAATGGGAATCCTCTACGGTTTAAATACCCCAGAAAATTCCATAACCAGGGCTCTTGAGCTGAGCCTGCGCCCACATTGTGGAGTGTACTTTCACATCAATAGATCTGTGCTTTCATTCCTTCGTTCTTTAGTTGCTTTGTTTGTACTTTTTGTCCAATTCTTTGTTCAAAACGCAAAGAACTTGGACAACTGGTAGTCAAAACCTTCCCCCGGTAGCAAGTCTATTCTCTGAAGCTAGTTTGGAGCCCCTGTTGGTGGCACCAGTGATTCTAGTGTTTTAAGTGAACTCCCTGGACCCATCTTTGTCTTGAGATAGTCTTCTAAGCGCACAAGATAAGTCAGTTAGGTGAGAAACAGTGAAAGCCACTTTGTATTAAGTGTAAGAGTGTAAAATGTCAATCTTCAGAACAATAGGGACGTATTGTGTCCCCTCTCACTGTCTATTTTTATCATTATGCATATACATGTATATTTATAGTTTAATTCTCAGAAAGTGGCAAACTTGCTGAGAAAGAAAAAAAATGGCACTTTGAAAAAATGCTCATTGTGTTGTTCTTTGAATAATTCCTGACACTGTGCTGGAGTTAAGGAAATATGTTTTTTTTTCTCCCTTCCTTTCACTTGCAATTAATTATGAATGTTTCAAAGTAGTGTCTGAATTCCAGAAACTATCCAGATAAAATGACATAGGAGGTATTGTAAATCTGTCATCTATGTTGTATTGATATATGCTTTCTCCACCAGTGGAAAATGGACCACCACGTTGCCCTCTGATTTGGATTGCCCTGAGGGATACCTATGGCATTAATACTCCTGCTTTGGTGCGAGTGTTCTAGCTGCTGATGTAAACCCAATTTTGAGTTATAGTTTATAATTGCAAGAAAAATCCCTTTTCTTTTTCAACCACTGACTGAAGTGCTGAAACCTCACTTATGAATGTGAATACTTTTCCAACTGTGTGTAATTGAATGTACTTAAACTTAAGTAGTTGCTTATATTCTTGTTCTTTCCCCGTACAATGAAGGTACCATTCTCTACCACGATTATTCTCTATCTTAGTTATTTTCTCAAAGAACTAGTAGGATATAGTTGCTTCTATTTTTAGCATTTATTTCAAGATCATAGGAGGGCATGGGGAGAAGCCTTTTTTGTTGTTATTATTTTTGTTTTAAAATCAAACTATTAGGTGCCTTACATAATCAGCCCATGTCTAGCATGTGGGACTATTTTACTGTCCTGCCAGAGTCTTCTGTGACTTTGCTGTATTTGTCTGGCCTTTATGCGTTTTCCTCATATTATTATAATCTCTGATTTCATAGGATTTCCTTTTAAATTGACATTTTCCTTTGAAAGACTTTGAAAAGAAATACAGAAAAAAATTATGTAGAATAAGAAAATACAGACTCCATTCAAATTCATTAGATTTATTTTAACCCTCAAAGCTATTTCCCAGTAATGTATGTAAGAGTAAATTAGTTTTCATCTTTATGTAATATTGTATGTTTTTGTCAGCTCATGATAGCTGTGCTTTTATTGTCTACCTTGGCTATTACCTGTGGCATTTATATTTTGTTGTTGTTTAAGCTTTATTCCAACTTCTTCCTTGCCATGTTTTCTTGCGGTCTCCAGAGCAGCTAGTGTGTGCTCAGCAAATGTAAACTCAGTCAAATAATTATTAGGAAGGAAAACTGACTTCACAGGAAAAAAATCAAAATGTATTTCAAACTCAGCTAGAACTGAATTTTGAGTTATCTAATGCTATTAAATGAGATTTCACTTGCTCTGATTCATTAATTAATATCCTAAAGAGTTATCTATTCTTTCCAAGTCATATACAGTGAAATACTCATATGGTTATAAAAACAACAAACTGTTGGATAAGGAACATTTTTATCACCATCTTCCCTTCACCACACCTTTTGCACTTTCCTTCCTCAAAAGTCCTGTGACTTTGGTGTCTGGCATGTGGTATCTCTGCAGGCGCTGATCCTGAGAGCAATTTGGCAGAGGACTTTTGACTGGGACTGGGAAGTTTAAAGGTTGATGACCAGATAGTTTGGGGAGGAACTGTCTTCCCACACTCTCTGAGCAAGTGGGAAAAAGGGCTGCAGAAGGGAGCCAGGGAGAAACAATATAAGTGAGACCCAATTCTTCTTCTTGATATTTCATAGCCTAATTACTTAAGTGTGAAACCTTCTCCAGAATAGCAAATAGATCTTGCAAATAACCCATGGACACTCAACTGGAGTTTGGCAAGAAAAAACATAATAAAAAGAAAGAAAGGAATCAAAAGCTATTTCCATTCCAAGGGACAATCTCAGCCTTTTAAATAATTATTTAAAAATTTGCATGCACATAGGAACAAATTTCTCCATTTTAAAATGTAACAAGACTTTGATTTGCATTATTAAAACATTTCTTAAAATATAATTTATAATTTGGCAGGAATATAATCAATGGGGGAGGGAAACTTTGTCATCAGAATTTTTGTGCGTAATTTAAAGCATGCATGGCGAAATATTGCCTATCATTTAAAAATTGTTTTGTTAAGGAGAATTTTTTGCTAAAAACATCTTTTATTTTCTTTTCAAACATAGATAACATTAAGCATTATTATTGTAATACCGAGTTTTGAAAATGAAAATTAAATAAGTAGAATTTTCATTATGTGGGTAAAATTACATTGCATTTTCTGAATTTTAAAAATTCAACCTATATATTCCAGGTATATTTTAGTTGATCATAGGGAAGTGGACTTTTTGGTGGAACTTCAGTACTTGGTTTATAGATCAGGTAAGCATTATATGCTCTCAATCCACATTAATGAGCAACCACTCACACATTACAATGGACACTTTTAAACAGCAGTAGGGCCTATAACATATCAACTTTAAATTTTGCCAACATTTCTAAATCAGAACTAATAATACCTACCATTAATTAATGTAGAAAATACACCTTTAGTTTGCAATATTATTCAGAAGAAAAAGAAATGGTAAGAATATCTTTAAACCTAGTATTAGTCATGGTCAGAGTTCTACCATAATTCATATATTGAGCCATTATCTTTTGCAATATAATACTAAGTGAAAGATTTCAGAGTGTACAATATTGTTGGAGATAAGGACATCTATAAATCTGTACAATCTCCATTAAGGCTGGCTTGACCTGTAAGCATTCCAAATAATTGCTTTGGGAGACAGGGAAATTTTGGTGAGAGATGTGGTGAAAAAAATAAGCCAGACTCCATTTGCTGCTGGCTACAGACATAACATTATGGACTCTAATGGTCCTTTTGACTGTCTTCTTTTTACTTCCTCTAATTTTTCTTTTTGCAAAGCAACTTTTTACCAATTCAGTGCTTTTTAATAATTAAAAAAGCAATACTCTACAATGGTAACATCCTAATGTTAAAAAAAATTGGCTTTGAGATCCGATTCTGATGTTCATGGGCCAAGTGACCTTGAAAATGTCATTTCACCCTGTCTGAATCGTTCTCATCTGTAAAATAGAATTAACCATGTCTTCCCGGCCTGCTTCCCATAGTTTTCTTGAAGAGCAAATAAGGCATTTTCTTTGTTACTTTGAAAATGACTCTGCTAAGTGAATGTGTGAGATTATTATATTTTAGTTCCTAACATTAATAATATAAATAGAGATATCTGTTTCTGACAAACCTGTTTTGTTCACCAATTTAAAAGTAATTTCCTAAAATTTAGTGGATTAAATGAAACATTATAAATAATATAGATGTGAGTTTAACTATGACCTCTTATGCATCTTAATGTCCTAAAGGAGTGTTAATATTATCATAGCTAGATTACATGAAGACATTGACTTCTGATTAGGTACTTATTGGCCAAAGAGTGGTGAAGTTCAGTTATCGCCAAAAGGGATGATATATTTTAGTGTTCTCTGAAAGCTGTAATCAGTAGCCCCCTGCTATTGGATTGTGTAAGTGCTGAGGCTACTTTCTCTCAAGGAACCCTGGCACTTTACTCTCCCTGTCTGTGTCCCCTCAGTGTGGTGCTTAAATCACCTAGGTGCTTGTTAAAATATAGATTGCTGGGCCCTTGCTGCCTGCAGCCTTAAAATATAGTTTAGAATTTGGCAGGAATATAGTCAATGGGGGAGGGAAACTTTGTCATCGGAATTTTTGTATGTATTTTAAAGCATGCATGGTGAAATATTACCTATCATTTAAAAATTGTTAAGGCATATTTTAAGCTAAAAACATGGCTTTTCTTTTCAAACATAGATAACATTCAGCATTATTGTAATACCAAGTTTAAAAAATGAAAGTTAAATAATTAGATTTGTCATTATCTGGGTCAAATTACATTATATTTTCTGCATTTTAAAAGTTCAACCTACATTTTCCAGGTACATTTTAGTTAATCATAGGGAAGTGGATCAACTTCCCTATGATCAACGGGATTATGCTTTTTAAAGAAGATCTCCAGATGCTGCTGACACACACTAATGATTAAATATCACTAGTTCTTGATCACTAAATTCTCAGTCTGACAATAAGTGTAATTCTTCTAAATTTTATAAGCAGAAAACTCAGAAGGAAAAAAAATACTTTCTCATGCCTAGTGTAGTGCCTGGTACTTTTGTTCTGGATCTGTTTTTACTGGCAGTTGTGGCCTTTTTGTTCTATACAGAATAAGCAGCATGGTTTTTGCAAAGAAAGTAATTTTAAGAATGCAAAGATGAGGTTAAAAGATTTAAGCTTCTTTCACACCTTTCATCCAACCAGGGTCTGTGATTATTAACTGAAAAATTGTAGAACCCGTTTTGACAAAGGAGTTTTGTGTTGTGAGCTATAATAGGAATTGGTTTGGCTCCACCTCTAACTGAAATAAATGAAACTTTGGATCTGATCATTAACCATTTTGAAGTGCCTCTGCTGACATTAGTAATAGTGTGTCACTTGATTTCCTGTTTCCTGCATGACTTACCCAACCTGATACTCTTTGGCTGATACTTCTAAGTAATTTGGAGTATTTTGACATATTTTAAACTACCCAAGGAAGAGAAGAGTTGACTTGTGTTTGAGTGTGAAAATAAGGACCTGCAGTGTATTTACAAAAAGTAAACTTCAGTAGGGAGGATAGGCTGAATTCAGGGAAAGGAAATCTTTGAAACTTTGAAGCCAAAGTGGATTGTTCTATAGCAGGAGCTCTTAAAGGGTGAACCCCAGCCATCAGGTGCAGTACCCAGTGGAGGTTGTTATACATGCACATTTTCAGGCACCACCACAAATCAGTATTCTTGCCTGTTGAGTTAGCCATGATATGATGCCATCAGCTCTTGAATTTATTTTCTCAACTTCTGACTTTGTCCTAAGAGTCTTAACATCTTGGCCTCCTCAGTCACAGAGGTTGAGCCTTGGTTTCAGCTGCTGTGTCTACCAGTTGCTCCCCCGAGAGCCCCACAAAGAACATTCTGTGTATGTCCTGCAGTCTTTATTTCATGTCCTTTACACTTAGTGACATATATCCGTGAAAATATACATGGGACACAGGAAAGAGCCAACCTGACAGTTTCCTTCTCTGGATTGGCCCCAGTGGCCCAGGCATCATCTGCCCATTAGCAGATGCTGTAGCAGCAGGTTTGAAAACTCAGCTTGTCCTTTTTCCGTTCTGAACAACAGCAGGAGAGGAATTGTCCTTTATGAGACATATTAGGTCAAAACTTGAATGTTTTCACAGAATTATTCAGGTCACCTTGTCCCCAGAGAAAATCAACCTGATCAGCCACCTGTTAACATCTTGTCAGAATCTTTGTTTCCTCTAGTCCTAAAGGGAACACCAACGCCATGCTTGGCTGCTGGGGAGATGGGGAGTGCAGGCAGATGCTCAGGGGCGTGCTGCAGGTGGATGTCCCGGGTAGTGGTTCAGGAGGAAGCCCTGGGGATGTGGTGCAGGTGGATGCCTGGCGGGGGGTGGGGGAACATGTGGTGCAGGAAGCTGCCTTCAAGAGTGGTGCAGGTGTCACTGCAGATCCTCGATTTGTTGACATCCCTGTACTTTTTTTTATTTAGGGCTTTATTAATGATGCTCTCAGGGCCCTTCTGAAACTAGACATACCTAGCTTTTTTTCCCGAGTCAGGTTGCTGCTTAGTAAGCATAGAAGTGAGTCAGTGCTTTACAGGTATTTATGCATGGAAGGAGAGAAGGCAGGTCTTGGGAAATACAGGGCACTTACAGAATAGGTTCTTTAGCCCCCTATGAAGTGAGGGATATTCTTCTTCATTTTTTTCCAATAGATGTCTCTCTCTATGCCTCTTGCTTCTCTACCTGCCTCTCTGGAGAAAGCCAGCCTCTGCACCTGCAATTGAAAAGTAGTAGGCTTCACATCCTGTGGGATTAATTGTGCTGAACGAGAGTGCTGGCTTTATCCCCAACAGTCTCAACAAAGGATTTCTGAGGAAAGATGGAGAAAAAGGTATCCTAAGACGTTGTAAAATAGTGAAAAATAACACTTGACATCAGCTGCTGCTATATTTACATTTTTATTTCTCTACTCATTAGCTGTTTAATTTTGGACAGATAAGCGTTCTGACGCTCAGTTTCATCACCTGTAAGATGGGATTCTAATAATACTTATTTTACAAGGATTTTTTAAATAAATGTAATTAATATAAGGTAAATGCACATAAATAGACCCTGAAACACTAGTAGCTATCATTTGTTACTCTTGTTGTTTTCAGGAATTCTTGTTGGTAGTAGTAGATTAAACATTTCCAGTGTAAAAAAAGATAATTCCACTTGGTGTCAATAGTTTTTTAAACATAGAAGTAAATCCTTTCTTTTTAACAACTTGACATTGAAGTGAGTTATGAAAAAGATATTTTGAAATCATCTTTTCTAATGATTTTTAAAATGGGTCCGTCTAGGCCTGGTGCGGTGGCTCACGCCTGTAATCCCAGCACTTTGGGAGGCCAAGGCAGGCGGATCACAAGGTCAGGAGATCGTGACCATCCTGGCCAACATGATGAAAACCCTTCTCTACTAAAATAAAAAAAATTAACCAGGCGTAGTGGTGCGCGCTTGTAGTCCCAGCTACTTGGGAGGCTGAGGCAGGGGAATTGCTTGGACCCCGGAGGCGGAGGTTGCAGTTAGCCGAGATCACGCCACGGCACTCCAGCCTGGCGACAGAGTGAGACACTGTCTCAAAAAAAAGCAAAACAAAAAAACGGCACTCTTGATCTGGAATAGCCTGGCTTGTCTTACATGGCTAAACTCTAAAAATTCTTCCAGGTTTGTGATTTAATGAATTACCCCTGGCTTAATGGACACATAGAGTATTGATTTAAGTAACACAGATGAAAGCAAAGGGACAACAGTTTCTCTCCATTTACCAATTTCCTGTGTTTCTGAAGTGGCTCCTATATTTATCTTTTCATAGCAGCAATAATGCCTTCAACGTCCATCCCCCGCAATCATCTTCCATCAGTTTCAAAACATTTTCTGTAATAGCTATTAAGTTAATAGACACTGCGGGTCTGCTACACTGAGAGTTGGTAAACAATTTGTCCAGGATCAAGCAGGACCAAGCATGTGTAATTTCAGTTGGTATGTCCATAGCATATCCGCTAACTGTAATGTAATTTCCCCTTTCACTGTATTTGACTTCAACTTCTAAGGTCACTGGAGAAAGTGAACAGTCACATTTCTAGTAATGAAAAAAATTGCTTTATGAAAGTCTGTTTTTTTGTATTCCTGCAGAAAAGCAATGGGGACAAATTGGGATTTTCAGGAATTCCTATTAGATGTTTGCCTATTTGTACTTAAAATGCTTAAACAGATGCTGTTCTTTTTCACTGTTTGCTTTTCATAGATATGCCTTATCTCCTCATGTGATTTTATGTGGCCTGTGGCTCTGAACACATACAAAGATTTTATGAATATTTATTAACATTAATTTTGATATACATTGGTATTTCTAAAAAAATTAATGGCAGAAACAATACACATCTGAGTACATACCCCTTAACTAATAGATCATATTGTATCCTCCATTCTCTATTTAGAATTATGCCTTAGAAAGTCATTACATCTTAAAAATAGAAGCACACACTAAATTAGAATAACATATTGATGAATCATCTATAAAAAACCTTTTTTTCACTCATAAACCCTGCTCTTATTAGGCAGATAAAAATGTCCTGAAAAAGATGATTTAAGAAATCTTTACCTCCGGCTGATTAATTTAAATTGTAAATACCACTGGTTCCTAACATATGGTAAGATTGATCTACAAAAATTACCAGTCTATCCTTATGTATCTTAAAATTTTATCAACTAAAAACATAATAATGGTTGAAATTTACTTATTTCAGCTCAAATAATTCCAGATTCAGGACAGTTTTACTCCATTAGCTTGTGGCTTGTACTGCTTATGAAAAAAAATACTTGTTATCTCTGTAAGGTGCAATAAAGAGTAAGGAACATACCTGAGGAAAAAAATATTTGAGGACTTTGCATTTCTGTTACAATATACAAATGCATGCTGATAATTTCAAGTGGATATAATCAGTTCAAAGAAGATGAACATAGGATCCAAGAAGTGCTTTGATATAAAGTGTGGTTTCAAAGTACATAGAAGTAATAAATCAGATGTTTAAGATGTTATTACCTAGACTATACTAATTTAAAATGATCTATTTTAGTACTTACTCTGACTTTTATATCAGTTACAAGTAACCAAAATCAGCTTTCTGAAGCCAGACTAAGGAAATATAGCCTTCTAATGACATAGTTAAGTCATGGTTGTTGAGGAAACTGGTACTAGTAATAGTGACTACAACAACTTGTTATACATGCTACACACTAGGTATTATGCAAAGGACTTTAAGTGATTTATTTTATTTACTTCTCCCAACTACCCTATGGTGGAGATACTTTATCATGCCTGTTTGACAAGTAAAGGCATGGAGCCTCAGAGTTTAAACACCCTGCCTTGGTTGCATAGCTAGTGAGTAACCCTGGGATCAGAACTCAGGTGTGTCTGGCTCCAGAGCCCATGTTGTTACCTTTTGGCTCTAGCACCTTCATTCCATGGCAGCTTTACCCTTTGTTTCATTCTTTCTCCACTGTGATTTTATTGTACAAATGATATTCTAATTAGCTTAGAGAGCAAATTTGTGCACATTATGCAATATGGGTTTGGGAAACCGTCAGCAAAACCCAGCCAAGGGCTCTTCATTCAGTGAACCACAGACACTACCCTCCAGCATGCTCACCCTCTCCATCTGTCTGGGAGACTCATCCCTCCTTCTGGCTCACGTGGTAAAAAGATATAGGAGGTTTCTCTCTCTTGCTCTTCCTTTTGTACTTCTTTTGGTCACCCAAGCCCTAGCATGAGTTTCTACCTTTCCAAGTGAACCAACCAAATTGCTCTTGAGAGGGAAGAACATGTGGCTTCCTCTCAGAGAGCGCCAATACCCAGCACTACTCAGCTCCACATGGTTTATCTACGGGAAACCTTCCCTGTACTTTGATTCCTGGGAAAGGCTTTTTCCTTCCTATCTCTTGGACTTCAGAGTAGCAGAAAACCGTAATTCGTGAGAATAACCCAATCTCTTTCTTTAATTTTGCTATTTTGGATAAACTCTGGGTCCTCATGATCATGAAGGACACTTCTACTGCAGAGTTGCTTCTGTCCGTGTCATTGGAGTGGCTGTGGAATTCTATGCTGGATTTCCTGGTGGTCATATTCTTTTACAAAGTGGGGCTAATGAACCTTTTGGAATCATGGTCTTTGTGTCTTTGTTGAACATCCTTTGGATGTGGAAGCTTCATCGATTTGCTGCTCTCTGCCTTTCTTTACACTTTTCTTCCTCGGACTGGGGATTGAATGTTAAATTTGTATTTGCTCTTACTAAGTCATAGAGGCAAATCCATCTGGAAAAGACTAACAGTATCTTTCAAACATCTGCAGCCAATTACTCTAGCTTTCCCTGTGCCCGCAGCCGGTGGAGTTAGAATATCTGTTAGTGGATGCTCCTTCATATGTTTGTATTCTACAGGGTGCATATTTCTTGGGTTGAGGAGGCCCTGGGTCTTCTTCAGGTAGACTCTGTCACTTTTCCCATGGTCTAGTGTCAGAATGTAAGTGATGTTGAATTTGTCTTTATCGTGGGGTTTAGGAACATGTTAACTGCAGCTCCCGCATTCAGCATTACTTGGGCGTTTGATTATGAATGTTTTTATATATCTTTCTGGTATTCCAGCAAGGCTGTATAGCATGTCCCCTCTCTCTCACAAATTAGGAGTTTTATTATTTAATGGGTATGGACTTAAGTAGATTCTGTTATAAACGCTTGTATTCAAAAATCATTAGGTTGGAAAAATGTTATTTGGCTCTCAAAAGATGTGTATTGTGTTTATTTACTTTTACCAGAAAACACCATTTCATCTTTCCTTCACCCGTCTCCACCCCTCCATGTTAATGAATCTTTACAGAGAACCATGTTAATGATCTTTACAGAGAACCAGCTGCATGCCCAGCAGGTCTCCCAGGTTAGGAAACCATCAGTCTCTGGCTATAGGTAATACGCGGAGCCCTCGTACTGAGGTAGATGCTAGAAATAATAATTTTAAAAGTAAGGCAAAAATCTTGATTTTACTTTATACCCCCTATTTGATTTTGATTAAGTTTATCTTGATTTTTTTTGACCCAGAGAAAAGCGATACTTACCTCCCCAATGTTTTAGAGATAGTAATAGGGATATAAAAAGGAAAAAGAAAATATTACATAAAAGTTAATACCCATTTGGAATTTTACTTTCTCTTTCTTTTTCTTTTGTATGTCAATAGGGGAAAATGTGAACTTAGGTAAAGAATTCCCAATGCAATGTGCTATTTCTTTTACAACTTGTGTTTTGTGTTGGAACACTTCAAAATTAGGCATAAAACTCAAAGGAAAGTCTGAAAAATCAGAAACTGGAAAGTTAACATTGAAATGTCCGGGTAATTTTTAAAGACTGTTACTTGTTTCCTTTGTTCAAACACCATTTTCTGACTATTCTGAGCAAGATTTTATTTCTGGGTAACTACTAACTTTCAGTACCAAATGGCTTAATTTAGCACAGTAGGGCCGAATGAAGGTATTCCTGAGCTGTCTCATGTTCACTTGTGCAGGCTGAGCATGCCTTATTTTCAATAGACGAGAACTGAAACTCTGTAAAGCAATTTATGAAATTCTTTAAGAGAAAACAGATCTAAAAATATCACTATTGGCATAAGAACCTTACTAATTTCCGTGATCATCAAAATCTTGATTTCTGAAAATAGGTTTGTTCCCACCTATTTAAAATTAATTATCTGATACACTGGCATAGGAATTTGTATTACAAAGAAGATATATTTTAACAATAAACTGTAGTTTTCATTTAAAACCTACGTTTTCATAAATAATTAACTAGGCTAATTATTCCAAAAATTGATTAAACCCAGTGATTAGAGGCATTCTATTTTGGGGATTTTTTCCCCCAAATTCTTCTCCAAAGGAATCCTTCCAAGTAGATGTGCATTTTTCTGGATTTTTATGTTATTGTTTAAATATTGTCACCTGAACAATTACTTAGTTTGAAGTAAGTTCTTTCAAAATGGCAGTGAAATAGTGAATCAAGCAAAAGGAAATTTATTCTTAAATTCTTATCTCACACACCTTCAATAGCTTCTTGTTTCCTCCTGATTAAAGAACAGTAGACATTTGATAATTGATACTGATTAGAATTGTGCCCACTTATTAGCAAAAGCGAAATCCGTGTCATCTAGTAAATGAATACGTTTTTTCAAGGCTCATGGAACTCATAGTCATCCTGACGGTGGCTTTCTTCTTTTACTGTTTTGTCTTCACATATGCAGAAACTTTCTTGTCACCTTATTATGTTTAGCCATATAGCTACTTTTGTATTCATTTATTCAATAAATATTTATTACATACCTTCTACGTATTAGTTGTTCTAGAGCAGGGATCCCCAACCCCTCTGCCATGGACAGTACCAGTCCCTGGCCAGTTAGGAACCTGGCCGCACAGCAGGAAGGAGATGAGCCATGGGTGAGTGAGCATTACCACCTGAGCCCCGCCTCCTGTTAGATCAGCAGCGGCATTAGATTCTCACAGGAGCGCAAACCCTGTTGTGAGCTGCACATGCGAGGGATCTAGGTTGAACGCTTCTTATGAGAATCTAATGCCTGATGTTCTGAGGTGGAACAGTTTCATCCCAGAACCACCCCTGCCCCCGGTCTGTGGAAAAACTGTCTTCCATGAAACCAGTCCCTGGTGCCGAAAGGGTTGGGGACTGCTGTTCTAGATAAGGGAGACTCCAGGTGAGTAAAAGAGTAAAGCAGATGTAGAGTTCATGTGCCAGCAGGAGAGACAAAAGCAATCAGACAAATACAAATGAAAATTTCATTACAAATTATGGTGTAGCTACATCAACAAACTATGGTTGAGATCCAGAATAATGGGAGGGGTTGCCATTTTAAATAGATTGGTCAAGGAATGCCTCTTGAAGAAAGTACCATTTGACATGGGACCCAAATGTGACAAAGAATCAACCATCTGAAAAATTAGAGGTAGAGTCCATTCCAGGTAGAGTACAGAGAGTGTGAAAAGGCTCTTGCGTGGGAAAGAGACTGGCATGTTCACCAAATGGGGAAACACAAAAAGATGGCTGTGGCTGAAGCATAGTGAGAGAGAGAGGCATGGAGTACGATAGAAGAGGAGTCTAGGTATGCAAATAAATACGGGTCTTGGTAGACAGAGTTTTCATAGGCTGCGGTAAGGAGATAGGATTTTATATTAAGTGTTTTATTTTATTTATTCTATTTTAAGGCAATCAACAAAATTGTTCAAGTATGCAAGTGACAAAATCTAATTTATGTCTTAAGAAGATCATTTATTTTGCTGGAAAGAAACCAACTGTAGGAATTTGACAACCACGTGAGGGCTGCTGTAAGTGGTAGATGATGAAAGTCTAGTTCAAGTTGATGGCAGAGAATGTATATCAATTCCTTATGTATCTTGGAAATACAGTACACATGACTTGCTGATGGATTACGTATAAGGCATGAGGGTGGGAACAAAGATGACTTTTACATTTCTGGTTGGAATGGTTGGCCGGGAGTGCCATATCCTAAAAAGGAGAAGGCTAGATTTGGGACCAATTGGGCATCAGGACTCAAGTGTTTTATTTTGCTCATTCTAAGTTTGCAGCGTCTTTGAGACACCCAGGAGAAAATGCCAAGCAGACAGTTTGAAATGTGAGGCTGGATCTCAGAAGTAAGACTTGGCCTAGGGATATAAAATGATGTTTAAATCCATGGGCCTACAATCACTGTAGACTGTACAGTTATTACAGAGTTTAGTAGATTATAAAGCTTCCTGTCTTATATGAGCCTTTAAACTTTGAGTAGGTGGATCAGCCAAGGGAAGAGACCTAGCAGCACTCTCTTTTAACTAGTTGTCCTCAAGAAGGCATTTTTTAAAGTGTGTTATGACACAAGATCAAATTCCTTTTTTTTCTTGGAGCATCTGAAACTTGGATACAGCCTCAGAATAAATAATACATTATTAAATGGTCTATAATGAGGACCCCTAGAACTTTGTTAACCTTTCATGGGAAAATTCTGGTGTATTTTCACTCACATTTTAAGGGCCCAATCAAACAATAAGTGAACAGATCATGCAGCTTCCTAAGGGGAGGTAGAGAAGTCCCACCTGGATATGAGCAGCTCCTCCACTAACATACCATAATGATGTGGAGCAGGAGGTCTCTATCCATGAATCTCAGGCTGTGCTGCCTACCAACTGCCCCTCAACAGGCTTTGGGCTACCCATCTGGGTTGCTGGTGGCGATTGCTGGCTCTGGAATCCGTTTTTTATGACCTAGTAATCAGGAGGAAACTGGTTTCATTTCCCTTGACCCACTTTCGTCAGGGGAAATTGAACTTTCGGTTCATGAGAAGAGAGCCATCAGTTGAATTTCTCCTTTTAAGGGTTTCTAACCAAAACAAGTGACAACAACAAATCAGTAACTGATTAAAAACCAACTACCTCAATCGCCTTTGTAGTGTGACTTTTTTTCTTTAAAAATATTTTTAGACCAAATAAAGAGGGTACGGTATCAAAGCCATGTGTAGATGTGGAGGGAATGAGGCTGGACTGCTTCTCCATTACAGTAAACTACTGTTCTGGAGACATTCAGAAACTCCTTAGGCTCCCATGAGGTAAATGTTTAGCCCAAGAACATGCGTTTCTGGGAGCATACCTTAACAAAGGGTGTAGATCTGTCTGACCAAGAGGCAAAATAAAAGTCAGTATTTCTACTTGAGCAATCCTGAAGGTTTATGCTTCTAGGAAGGACCAGGTTATTTAAATTGCAAGCTGGAATTCAAAAGGGATGTTATGGGCTATGTAGTCGCTTCTTCAATTTCCTTCAAGCTAAGGGGATCTTCACCAATCAGTACCACAGAAATCACCGAAAATAGGTGTCAGCCAGCTATGGATTGGGGTGAATATTACTCGGCATTTGAGGTAGCAAAGAAATAACCACTGAGTGAACACTAGAGGATGGTGAAATAGGTAAATAGGACTATTTCTTAAGCAAGAAATTGAGATGCTAGAAATTAAGAAACCCCACCGTGGGTCAAACTGGCCAAAGGCAAAAGCAGGATGAAGAAAGCAAACTTTCTGAGCACATCTTCCGCAACTGGACTCTGCCATTTTTATTAAATGAAGGAAGGGTGGGAAAAGTGACCCGGTTGAGTTTCCCTAGTTGCAGAGGCCTCCTGCTCAGTGCTGTTGAAAAACAAATGCTTGCATTTGAGAAAGTGATTGCAGGAGGAGCATCTTCCTTGGGAAATATATATGTCTGTTTTGTGACATAGATAAGCTCTTCTGGGAGATTATGTTTATCTGGCTTAAAGCAAATTTATATAAAAAGGATACACTGGACTTGATTATATGTGTCAATCGGGATAGGCTAAGTTAAATTCAGGTAACAGTGTGTTTAAGGTATATGACCATTCTGTACTACTGACCGTACCAAGCTTCTTTCTTCCAAGATGAGCGCAGGCTGATGGAGCAGGCCCAAGAGGAGCACTTCCAGTTACAGGTCAGAGGCAAAAGAGAACATGGAGGAACCGTGAAAAACAGTGTTAAAGATCTCAAAGCTTTGCCCAGGGGCCTCTAGAACTGCCTATGATTTTTATAGAAATTTTATTCATAACTGCCAAAAACTGGGAGGCAACCAAGATGTCTTCCATCAGTGGATGGATAAACTGTGGTACATCCAGACAGTGGAATATTATTCAGCTATCAAGCCACAAAAAGACATGAAGGAAACTAAATCCGTACTAAGTGAAAGAAAATAATCTGAAAAGCCTATGTACTGTATGACTCCAACTGTATGACGTTCTAGAAAGGTCAGAACAATGGAGATAGTAAAAGGATTTGTGGTCACCAGGGGTTAGGAGGAATGGAAGGATGAATAGGTTGGGCACAGAGAATTTTTAGGGCAGTGGAACTATTCTATATGATACTACAATGGTGGACACATGTCATTATACATTTTTCAAAGCTCGTAGAATGTGCAACACCGAGAATGAGCCCTGATGTAGAAACTGTGGACTTTGGGTGATAATGATGTGTCAATAGAGGTTCATCAATTACAACAAGTGTACCACTGTGATATGGGATGTCAGTAGTGTTGTGAACATGTGGGGACAGGGGTGCATGGGACCTCTGTCCTTTCCTTTCAATTTTCCTGTGAACCTAAAACTGCTATAAAAACATAAGATTTATTAATTAAGAAAAAAGGGGGAGGAATACATCTTTTTTTTTTTCACACAATTTGTTATGGGCCAACATGGTATGGGGACATATATTCTCTCCATAAGGAAGGGCAGAGAATATTTTGGAGAACAATACAATACACTATTAGAATGTATTTCTTAAGATCAAAAACCATACCTCATTTAGCCCTGTAGCCACTGGAGGGACTAACACAGTGCCCTACATGTAGCTGATGTTCAGTTAAATTAAATGAATTAATCTTGAAGTAGAAGTATCTTAGAAACATGAAGGAAATAGACATCTAGATTTAATAATGAAGACTATTCACCAGTAATATTTAAACTATGCATTATTAATTGCAGGTTATAGTAATTGATGTGCATCTTAATAGACGTCATTGTGTGCCAACAGCAAACTCGTGACACAGAATATAACAGAATAATGCAGTTGCTCTGAAAGCACATTGGAGATGTACATCAATTTGCGTATAATGGGTAGTGTGAACTAGTTCATTGGAATAACTTCTATTTTGACTATAAAAGGTACACATCCCATTGTAGTAATTTTGGATAATCCATGAAGATAAAGAAGAAAATAAAAATCATTTAATTTAACCAATCATAGAAAATCATTCTACAGTCAATCTGTTTTTGCTGTCACCATTCAGTTGCTTTATACAATTTTCCATTGTAGTAAATTACACAGAACATTAAATTTACCATGTCAGCCATTTTTAAGTGTACAGTTCAGTAGTGTTAAGTACATTCATATTTTTGTGCAATCAGTCTTCAGAAATTTTTCCTCTTACAAAACTGAAACTCTATGCCCATTAAAGAACTCCCCATTTTCCCCTACCCGTACCCCTTGGCAGCCATCATTCTACTTTATTTCTCTTGCTGTGAATTTGACTATTCTAGACACTTCATTTAAGTAGAATCATAAAGTATTCATCTTTTTGTGACTGGCTTATTTTACTTAGTATAATGTTCTCAAGGTTCATCCGTGTTGTAGCATGTGTTAGAATGTCCTTCCTTTTTAAGGATGAATAATAATTCATAGTTTCTATATATCATATTTTGTTCATCCATTCATCCATCAATGATCAGTTGTGTTGCTTCCACTTTTTAGTTATTGTGAATAGTGCTACTATGAACATAGGTGTACAAGTGTCACTTCAAGACATTGCTTTCAATGTTTTTGGCCATATACCCAGAAGTGGAACTGCTGGATCTTATGACAACTCAATTTTTAATATTTTGAGGAACTGCCAAACTTTTTCAGAGTGGCTGTACTATTTTACACTCCCGTCAACAGTAGACAAGGGCTCCAGTTTCTCCACATCCTCACTGACATTATTTTCTTTTTTTGTTTTTGTTTTGATAGTAGCCAACCTGATGGGTGTGAGGTGATATCTCATTGTGGTTGTTACTTTCCTGATACGTATATGAGATAATTGTTAAAATTATATCAGATACTTTACAGTTAAGATGTCTTTGGCTGTAAGTAATAGCCAGCGGGTGGGGGAGAGTAACTTTTTCCTTCCTAATATGAAGTCTGAAGTTTGTAAAGACTGTGATAAAGAAAAATTTGGGCATCTTACCTGCAATAGTTTCAGTACAACATGACTCCTTATTTTTCTTCACCAATTTCTTTCTGCCTTTACCCATTCCTTAAATGCCATTGTCCTAATGGTTCTGTTCCTGAACTATATGTACCCTCTAGGCAAGCTCACCCTTTCCCGCAGCTCCAATGGCTTTCTTCACTAATGACCCCTAGCTCTAGTATCTCCAGGTGAAGGAATGTCTCCTGCGTTCCAAGCTGCATATCCATCTACCTCCTACATACTTCCCTATGGATGTGCCACAGGCACATGTGCAAAACTGAAACCATTTTTTCCTTCGAAACCGTCTCCTTCTTGGTCATTAGCTTCACCATCCTCTAATCAGAAACTTGAGTGTCATTCTTGAGTTTCCCCTCTCTATGTTTTACTTTACTGTGTCCTGTCTGCTGCATTTCTTAACACTCTTTAGCATTGCCCTTACCCTAATTCAGAGCCTCATTTGTCTCTTGAAATATTGCAAAGATTTAAATATGACTTTAGCTCACTGTTTATGCCTAGCTTCCACTCCGTCCTCCACACTGCTGACCCCGATTCTTCCCCACTAGGCACTCAGTCCCTGTAGAGAACAGTCCAATTTCCTGAGCTTGGCAAAAGAGACACTTCATTACCTGGGCCTTTTGAGTGTGTGTGTGTGTGTGTGTGTGTGTGTGTGTGTGTGTGTGTGTATGTGTGATGGAGTCTCTGTCACCCAGGCTGGAGTGCAGTGGTGTGATCTCAGCTCACTGCAGCATCCACCTCCCGGGTTCAAGTGATTCTCCTGCCTCAGCCTCCCAAGTAGCTGGGACTACAGGCACACACCACCATGCCCGACTAATTTTTGTATTTTTAGTAGAGACGGGGTTTCGCCATGCTGGCCAGGCTAGTCCCGAACTCCTGACCTCATGATCTGCCCGCCTCAGCCTCCCAAACCTGTGCCTTTCTTTACTTAACTTCCTCAGCTGCATTTCTTCTTCATTCTTCCCTTCTGCTGTATGTGCATTTATTCTAGACAGCTTAGTTGTCCCCCAAAATGTCATAGAGAAAGCACTGGACTTAGAGATAGTGCAGAAGACAGTTTGTTCTTATGAGCAAGAGACATAATTAGAAGTATGCCCTAGAATAAGCAGCATAATAGTCATGAAATTAAAATGAAGTGTATTTATTTCCATTTAAACAATATACTTCCATCACAATTACTTATAATAACATTTTAAAATCATCGTCTGGTCACATATATGGCCCAGCTTAAATCTTTATTACATTAATTACTTATGTATAGCCTTGTGTGGTTTATTTTCACTCAAATGTGGCTTATTTCCCAATCAGACTATTAAATTCTTTTTTTACTCCCCAAAGAATCTAGAAAAATGCTGTGCAGGTGTGTTTGTTATAGAGGCTTAATAAATGCCTCTTGACTGATTGATATTGCCTACCTTTTCACTCAACCTTGCTCCCTCATTTCTTCATCTTATCCTTTTCATCCAGTCCCATGGTTTTTATTACAATTCCAATGAGGGTTTAGGTATTTAGAACACAATGGGTGGTCCCTAAATATTGAAGAATAACAGCATCATCCCCATACTAACTTAAATCTTGTTTCATTGCGAGTGACTTAGAAAGGTAGTTTACTCTTACTTATCTCAGAATATTATAGAGGCCACATTTCTCTTTCACCCCAAACAGTCATGCTCCACAGATTTTATACCCTAATTACCCCTATTATGCAACCTGATGCTCTCCTATCTTTCTTTCTTTGCCTCATTTCTTTTGCTTTAACCAGCATCTTCTCCATTCTAAACATAGCCCTACTTTCTGTTTGCTTATTTTCATTCTCACATACCTGGGCCTCAGAGTGTTGTTCTCCCAGACAGTCAGTTTGTAATGGTCTCTAAAAGAGTTGCTGCCCATATCCCTATTTCCTTTTAAATACTCTGCATATGTGATCTTTCTCATTACTCTATAGACCTAAGAAAACTCATGCCCATATTTTCCCATTATCACCTGTATTAACTCTGAGCCAGCTCTTTGACCTTGGACAGGTCGACTGGCTATACAACTACAGCTCACTTAAAACTGTTACATCACTGTCATTCTTGCTTCTACTTATAGCTAATGTGACATTAATCATGATGGACTATAGTTATATTTGATAATTTGCCATATCCAGTGGACTGTAATCTCCTGATGGAATGTTTGAGTCCCTAATGTCAGTTAATGGAAAATTTGGGGTTGTTCATGTTTACTAGGTCAGTGAATAAGATAGTCAGATTTTTGTTTGTCTTCTAATAATAAAAAGAAATGGAATACTATTCTGAGAAGACACTGCCTGGGAAATTACAGGATCTAGCCTTCAGATAGTCTAGGTAGTCTTTCTCGATCTGGTCGGCATTCTGACCTTTCTGATTGTCAAAATGATAAATGAGGATAGGATAAATTTAGCTATATTAGAACGGGGACATAAGAAGAAGTCATAGCTATCATTGTAGCCACCCCCTTCCCCAGCCCCCAGCAATCCCTTGTCACAAACACATTCAAATGTTTGTTGAGGAAATGACCCTTAAATGTGACACTTCATTTAGCCCACACCAGGCCATTTTCTAAATCCTTGAGGCAGCTTCTTAAAGTCCCAGTTCTCATTCCATATATTTCTTTGTGCTTTTCTGTGCTTGAAAAGCTTTCATAAGCTTTCCTCTAAATACCTACAGAAAGTTCATATTCTCTACAAAAGTGATTTCAACAACAGCATAACATTAGTGCCAATTTACAGGCATGTTTACTCTAACTGGATTCCACATGGCTCCACCACTACTATGAAATTATTCGTAACTAAAGCAATGAAAGTAACATGTAAAAAAATAAATTTACTTTCCAATGTATTATATTTGTGTGTATTTGTATTATGTATCTTGTTTTAGAAGTCTCTGGATGGTGACAGCCCTGAATCTGTAGATTTCTTTTCCTAGAACAGCCTGTCAATTGGATGCTACCCGGTGGTTTCTGTGAGGTGCCTACTGCTCATTCCCATGGCGCTTGTTTTATTTATTTATATAATGTGACACATTATTCCTGGCAGCAACCAGCAATCTGCATCTCTCAAATCAGATGTGATCAACAACAGAGTTTTCTGCTAAGGTTTGGGAAAAAAAAATGAAAGTATTGTGATGATGTAACTAAAAAAGAATGAAAAACAAATATCCAATCTAATGCCGTTTTGACCCAGATTTCAGGGGGTCTGAGGAGGGCATTTTGAGAGCTAACTTTTCCTGAACATACAGGTTGTACACTAGCTATGATCTCAAATAATTATCGAACAAGTTTCATTGTCTCACTGCTACTTTGGCATTTTCTTTATTCAAAATCTATATGCTGCCTGAGATCATCGGAGAGTATGTATATGAAAATGAGAGTGAAAATAAGAGAGGAATTTAGTGATCTAAGGACTACATTAAGGGAGTAGCTGTTAGTGTCAGTAAGTCTGGGTTCTATTTCTGAGTCTACCCTCCCTTCCTACTGTACAGCCTGCCTAAGCTTTCATTATTACTTATTGTATTGTATTGTATTGTTTTTTAAAGTGATTATTTCCATGGCAATGAGGCACTGTTGCAGGCATTAGGGAGGCATTACAGCCACAGTGGAGTTCGGAATCAGCAAAGAAGATAAAGGGAGTGGAGAGAAAAGGAGCAGGGGTTGGAAAAACTTTGAAAGCAAAGATGTAGGATGAATCCAACAAAGCATCAAAGATATTCTAATTTCTAATATCAGTTAATGGAAAATTTGGGGTTGTTCATGTTTACTAGGTCAGTGAATAAGATAGATTTTTGTTTGTTTTCTAATAATAAAAAGCAATAGAATAGTATTCTGAGAAGACACTGCCTGTGAAATTACAGGGTCTAGCCTTCAGATAGGCTAGGTAGTCTTTCTCGATTGGTCGGCATTCTGACCTTTTTGATTGTTGAAATGATAAATGAGGATAGGGTAAATTCAGCTATATTAGTACGAGGAAATATAGAGAGAGTATTTGATCTAGAGTTAGCCCTGATGTTAAAAAATAACAAAGGAAAACTCACACTATTGCTCTTAAAAGGTTCAACCTGTTTTCCAAAGATGAAAAATAAAATTCCTTTGATGAACAAGATATGGTGTATGAAAATGAACTAATCCCTGCTATTACATTCTGTCATCAAAGTGGACTGGATGGTTCCACATGAACACAAAGATGGTTATCAGATCAGTAATAATAATAATTATAAGGATCTCAACTTGCTGAGCACTTACTAAGATCCAGGTGCTAGTCTAATAAATTTCAACATATTAACTTAATAACTTCTCTGAGAAGAGAGAGATCTTTCGAAATCAGACTTAGTGTGTGCAGTTGCCTTCACAATGAAAATTTAGCTCTGCAAATGTCCTCCCTGGACCCTAAGAAACTTGGATAAAGCCGATATTAGGTAGGTTAAACATTTACTTTTCATTATCCATCAGATAGAATATTGAATAATATCTTCAATTCTGTCATTAGCACTCAATTTAGGAGTAAGTCTCGTTGCTGTTGACCAAAGTTATTTGAGAGGGTGAAATTGCTTGTCGCATGGCTCAATTTACCATTTTATGACATTACCATAGTGTATGGAAGCTGTTTTGACTTTTGTACATCTTATTAGCAGAGTGAAAGGGTGTTTTACACTAATCTTTTCCATTTCCCTGAGTCTGGATAATTGATCCAGAGTTATTTTATTTATTTGGTAGGAGCCATTGAAATGGTTGCACTTAATCTCATCCTCAAACTTGTGGATTAGATGTGCCAGTAGAGTAGGTTCAAATGGAGATGGAACAATTCTGCTTCTTTCCTTCAATATCATGATATTTGTGTTTTCTCCATTTGGTTACTTAAAACAGTCACATGGTCATATTATGTGGGTTATCAAAAGGAAGTATAATAATCTGTGATGTTTAATCACTTCGCATTCTACATAGCATAGTCAGAAAGCAGTTCTACTTGATTCTCATAGGTAAACATCCCTTTTTTTTTAATGAGCAAGGATACTCGGTTTTGTCTAAGTGCATACAGAGCTTGTTCAGTAACTGATAGGTTTAAAACCCAGGTCTCTTATCTCCCTGTCTAATGCTGTTTCTAGTACAAGCTCCTGCCAGTAAACTAGAGGGAGATATCTTACATGCCCATTTTATTAGGATTATATTTTCAAAATTTAATTATGTAAGGAAAAGGAAAATGAATGCTAATGAAAACCATGAAAATCCCATTAATGTACTAAATATTTTGAGTTTAAGTACATATTATTTTACTCATTAATAAATATGCTTGCACAGTAGTTGAATTTTAAAAGTTAAAGTTCTAGAGATAATGACCTTTCAGTTAGATGAATATTAGAACATTATTCCCCAGGTAATGTTTTAATGTTTTGTTTGTGCTTTTGTTCTATCTGGATAATGATGCAGTAATTCTTAGGACATTTAGCTTTTGTAAAAAGGAGTGAAGGTAATTAACCTCTGATTCCTTTGCTAAACTCTGTTAGCAGGCAGATCAGTCATTTGACCTCTATTAGGCAAGATAATGTAATGGAAAGACATGGCTGGTTATCCTCTGTGAATTCTAAATACAGTTACTGATATACTGGCTGGCCCTATATACATTCTTTGGTTTCCAAGGTTCTTAGTTGCCCTGGCTTTCAAGTAATCCAGTGTGTGGCCATTTAACCTATGTTGCTGAACTGCAGGGTCAAATTCGTGTTTGATTTAAACAACTTCAGGAGACCTATTTAATAAATCTTTCTTAAATCTTTATTATGCCTAAAGTAGTATACTGAAGTGAGAATTGTATACATGTGAGATAGCATGAAATATAAAACAAAGAATACAGGAAAGGTTTCATTTTTCATATAGCCTTTTCCAAAAACTGAATTAGCATTCCTATCTTTTAGAGTTAGCAAGTAAGTATTTTATTTAAACCCAGGAGCCAAAGACCTGAGATATACAAAACATAGGTTTTTTTAATTGCAAAGTAACTGATTGTCCTCCAGATTTGTTCCAGTGGTTTTATTAGTTACAGAGTAAGGAACTTTCCAAAACAGTTTCATACCAAGAAGTAATACTTAAAAAAAAAAAAAAAAAGCATAATGCTGTTTTTATTGGCCCCAGTTATTTTTTTTCTCATGATCAATTAGTAGATTTTTCTTAGAGAAAAAATTTCAAAATATGGAAATAAATGCTGACAACCATAATGCATAATTTTAAAATATCTAATAATGGCTAAACTTTATTGAGTACTTAATATTTTGAAAATGCTGCAAGGTAACTCTTACAATTATCCTCGTTATATATATGAAGAAATTAAAGTTTAGTGAGGTGTGCTGGGAATGGGACTCCAGCTGCATCTGACTGCAGAGTCTGACTCTTAGCCATTCCGCTGTACTGGGTGACATAAGAACAATTAGATAAATATAAGAGATATGGCTTGGCTGTGTTCCCACCCAAATCTCATCTTGTATTGTAATTCCCATAATTCCCACATGTTGTGGGAGGGACCTAGTGGGAAATAATTGAATCATGGGGGCAAGTCTTTCCCGTGCTATTCTTTTGGTGGTGAATAAGTCTCATGAGATCTCACGGTTTTATAAGAAGTTTCTCCTTTCACTTGGCTATCACTCCCTCTCTTGTCTGCCGCCGTGTAAGACGTGTCTTTTGCCTTCCGCCATAATTGTGAGGCCTCCCCAGCCACGTGGAACTGTGAGTCCTAAACCTCATTTTCTTATAAATTACCCAGTCTCAGGTATGTCTTTATCAGCAGCATGAAAACAGACTAATACAATAAGCAAGTGCCTGGAACCTTAGAGTGGAAAGAGAGCCTATCAGTATGAAGAAATCAAGAAAGATCTCCTAAACATGGTGATGTTTTAGTTGGGCTTTGAAGGCTGAATAGGATTTGAACAAACATGTTAGAGAGAGAGGAAGGTTAAATGTCAAAGGAGTAGGAAACGGGGGACTCCATTGTCAGATTCTTAATCTGCTAGAACATGGAATTAACAGAAAGGAAAAGCAGGACAGACTGTTAGAAAGGAGGTAAGAAACACATCTTAAGTATGAAATAACAGACAGCATAATTAGTGATACCCATCTAGATACTTTTACTTTATTCCACAGAAGATTATTTTTGAAGATTTTGGAGTAAGTAGAAGATTCATCAGTTATTACCTGAGGACTGGTTCTTTTGAAATATGCTCACTATAGCTTTTATCAATTGGGCATCATTCTGCTTATATTATATGATGTAAATGCACTTCACTGTTGAATAGTTATCAGATTGTTCATTTTTTATGTCTATCTATTTGTCTATGTATCATGCAATCATCTCTGAAAACAATTGTAGGCCCACTCCAATAGATAGAAGAATGGCCATACAAAGTCAAACTTCTAGGCTTTAGGGAGCAAAAGCACAATAATTTTAACATGGGGAAGTCTTTTTCATCATCTCTATTTCAACCATTTTGAATCGTTAACTATAAAATATATAGTGTTAACCACCTGGGTGATACTATGTATGATAAGCCAGTTGGAAATTAATGATGGTTGGTTGGAAATAAATTAAATGAGTATTCTTGATTGTCAGCTAAAGCTCCTCGAATGTGAAAATAGGGTGTGCCTCACACTGTAATACATCTGCTTTAATCAGGTCAATAGGGAGGGAAGTCACATGTATGTACCAGTGGAGAACCATATTGGCAGCTGCATCATTAAGCTGCCTTCTGGAACATATCTCAAGAGAGGCTGAGTCCTGATGCTGGAACAGTGGATCAAATGACAAAGATGTATCTCATCAATGCTGTGTCTGAGTGAAGGAGATGAGTTTCGTTAATTAGTATACAAGCCGAGAGTTAAGATTCTGGGAAACATATTAATGATATGGCAAAGCCAGAACGGGGTGCACAGATAGGAAGTCAGAGTTTGGTAAAGATTAAAAGAGAGTTTATGGTGAATATCTGCTAGATTAGATTCTATTCTCCATTATATCCCTTAAGCGCTCAGCTTGGTATGCTTCTTGAGACTGGGAGCATGTATAGAAGTAACCAACCTTCACATAGATCATCTATAGTAAAGGGGGAAAGGGAGTGATTTGTGAGTAGAAAGCAAAGGAAAGAATGTGTTAATATCTGACTCCCTTTCTTCTATGAGTCTTTACCCTCCATTTTTATTTATTGGTAGACTTACATTCTGCAGTCAAGGGCAAATGCCCAGGACTCCCCTCTAGTCCTTGTTAAATTGGCAACTTCTTAAAGGTCATTGTAATTTTGAAGAGGTGGTGATTTTCTTTTGTTTTAGTGGAAACTGTAACAAGAATAATTTTCAAAATGTAATGATATTCGTTTTATTTTCCAGTAAGTGATATTTGGGAAATCATCAAGAAGTGTATGTTTGTGATATTACTCCTCATTATTAAAATCCTTAAACTACAAGTCCTATTCATAGTCATGAGTATAATTTTACTTGACTTTTTCATCTATCTCATTTATTCTTTTCCTGGAAGGACATTTGTGTGTAAGGAGTACAACACATTAGCAATAATATTTCACTTGCTCTATTTTATTTCTCCATGAGATTGC
The DNA here is from genome assembly GCF_000001405.40 of Homo sapiens. Lineage (NCBI taxonomy): Eukaryota > Metazoa > Chordata > Mammalia > Primates > Hominidae > Homo > Homo sapiens. Next base: position 4,380,001 of record NC_000018.10, on the reverse strand, counting down.
ATCTGAGTTTTGAACATGGGATTAATGCTTGCCACATGTGCTTTAAATATCTAAGTAATGTATATTGGTTTATTCATTTTTCAAAATTGGCTTAAATTTTCTAGCACAAAACATCTTTTTAAGGATCTCTTCTTTCATTTAAATATTCTTGTTAGATCTCAATGCCTTATATTAGAATCTATACTTAATTACTTATTTCAGTTGAGTGAGATTCAGTTATATTTTTGGAACATGGGCTCAGCAACTTAATTAACATATTTCTGGAATGCCTACTGGAGTGCTCCAATTATAGAAACTATTGAAGAAATACAACACTTTACCTCTGCCCTAAGGAGGGTTTCAGTCTAGTGAGTTATAGTCTATCAAAGGCATTGTTTCACAAGTGAAAGTTGCTCCCATCTCAGCTTAAATTATGAAGTGCAGATTTTGTGTGATGTATTCAGGAATGATTGGTATGAGTTGGCATCATGTCCTTATCTTTTCATGTGATTCAAGAAAAAGGAAGAATTTGGGTGGGCCTTGAAAGATGTAGAATTGATATAGGGACAGTCAAAAGGGAAGTTCCCCATCAGGTATCTAAGACACAGAAAGCCTGTCAAATTAGCTTCTCTAAGAAAATATTTATTAAAAGATGGCAGTAGTATTCTGGATAACCAAAGAAAATGAAGACACACTGGGTTTTCTTGGGAGTAGAGCTAAAAAGCCTGGGGAACAAAGCAGCTATTCCTGTCCCATCTCCTCTACTCTTCTTTTCTCCTCTCTTGTTCTCTCATCACCTGGTTCCTGTTTCTGCTTTTAAATGTCTGCAACCTGACTCTCTCTGCTAAATAATTAGTACACATAGCCCCTGGGGCTTCCATAGTTTCCCATTCTATATGATTTTCCAGCTCCAAGAACTACTAGTAATTGATTCAGTCTTGACTCTGTTAGTTAAATTATTAAGAGAGAACATCTGAGCTGTTTAGATCATGAGTAAAGGATCAACCCTTGGTCCTATCAACTGTGGTCACGCGGCACAGGAGATCACATGCTGTGAACATGGATAAGCAGGGACTCACTCTCTCTGGAGGGGAGTGGTGGGTGTGTAGTTGTCAAAGAGCTCCCAGGAGAGAGGATGTTAGCTGAGGAGGAACCCCAAGTTTATTAAATGCAGAGCTAAATAGTAAGAATGAATGAGGTTCATGGAATGGTGTTTATGGAACTGTGACACAACCAAGCTGTTAGGAGGGAAGATCTATTTAGGAAAGAGTTGGAAATAAAAACAGATAAAATGGGTTCAGATTAAGTAGTAAGTTAAAGTTCTCAAGAGGACAAGATACCTACCCTGATGGAGTACATATTAGGTACGGAGCACCTTAGGTGCTTTCAAATTGTGTAGTGTGCCTCCCCACCATGGATTCTTAAGCACTCTAAGAGCTTGATTTTATTTGTTGATTTTGGTTTTAATAATTCAGTTTGTAGGTTCATAGAAGATAAATCTTGATATTTCGTCTCAAGGTATCAAACCTACTTACCAATAAGACAATCAAACCTACCTCAATTTGAGTGTTAATTCTATTTCCTGACCATACTCTTTAGATGTTTAAGCTTAATTATACAGAATGATTTTGTCGTTAAAAAGTTATAATGTATTGCATTGGTCCTGTTAACATACCTTCTAAATTTTTAATTGAAAAGTGATAGAGTTACATGTTCAATGTAAGTAACACAAAACTAAATGTGAAAAATAAAATGTAAAATGCGAAGACTTTTATTCTTACCTCTTTCCTGGCTTCCCCATTCCACACCTCCCCCATTCAGTAGTCTTCCGTATAGATAACCATAGTTTGTAGTATCTTTGCAGACTTTTTTCAAATATATATAATATAAATTTTATATACAATATTTCTAATATATGTTATATATTAGAAAAAAGATTGAAAAGTGATATATATATTTTATAATATGTATATATAAAAACACATAGACAAAAATAGATAGATTTCATATCATTCTGTAATATGGATTTAATTTGGCCATACTCCAAAGTACATGCTCAGTAAAGGTTAAGTAATTATGCTATTATTAATGTAACAAACATTCTTAAACATAGTTTTGTGCATATATGATTATACTTATAAATGATGGATTCCAAATTGTAGAATTTGAAAATCAAAGGTACATACTCTTTATTAATACAGCCAAGTTGTCTTCTGAAAAGGCTCTACTGATTTACACTGCCACCAACAGTGTATGAGATAAGCTATTTTCCATTCCAACACCATTTTTATTAAGAATTTTTTTGGCTTCTTTTCAAAGTGAATCATGACTGTGTGTATATTACTCAATAGTGTGGATTATGTATTTTATAAGAAAGTAATAATTTACATGTCATAATATAAGGACAATATAAAAGAATTTTTTTGTAAGTGACTGAAGATTAAGTTAATTTAAAATTCCTAAGGAGTGTAAGCTCTTCAATAAAACTTGTTTATCCTTTGAAAGGAAATGTTTATTATTCATCTCAGTGAGATCAAAATACATTCCATGTTTTCTCAAACTGACAAAACCATGGCCAATCACTAAAGTTCATTTTAGAGTTTTTATAAATACTTGACATTTTTAAGCAATGTATTTTCATAAGAAAATTAGCTCAGAATCTGGGAATCATGAATTTAGAGGAATATGATAGTTCTTTTCTATTCAGAACTTGATTCTCTTCTTGAGTGGATGAGAATGGTAGTAAATGCTCTCTCCAGTTTGCAAGAGGCAGGGTGCATCACTGGTCATTTCTTATTCTCTTGTGCATCCAGTTCTAGAGGGAGCATCATCCACAAATGTAGCCATTATGACTGAACTGTGTGTGTGCAAGCGTGTATGTGTGTGTGTGAGAATGGGAAATGCATAACAGTGACTTCCGAGCTCTTGGAAATGCCTGGCTTGTATGGCAGAGTCACAGACCTTTGAAAGTTTAATATGTTGGGAAGTGAACAATTCTTTCTATTCAATCACTGGATGGATTCAGAATTTATGATGTCAGAAACTTCTGCCAAAGTTATACTCACACCAGATCACCTAATCTTTAAGTAATCTAGATAACCATTGTCAAGGAAATTATATTTTAAGTGTACTTCAGATGGTTTTAGGTTGATAGTTTAGTGCCCCAATGCACAATGCCAAGTTCGAACACCTGAAAACCCAGGGCTCTGCTCTGTGTCCAATAAGCGCCTGATGAATCTGTTAAATAAAATTAATTCCACCTCTACCGAGGATTTACAGAGAGAAACACAACCCATTAAGAATCACTGACCAAGTGCTCAGAATCGTTCTTGAAATACACCCTGACTTTCTTACAAGACTGTTCTTTTAAGACTGAAGGCCAGTTATTCTTCTGATATAGAAAGTTTCCTCTTGACATTAGTTATCTTTGGTCTAAAACTATTATATCCTAAATTAATGGATATTCCTTCTTAAGAAATGATAAACACCACGCCTTGAAATAGGAGTACTAGGATGCCTATTATCTGTGGTTGCAGTAAAGATTGATCACTTTTATTTCCACTGAAATTCAAATAACCATTAATAACAGTATGGGGTATGTGAGATAAAGCAAAGGGAGGAAGAACACAGAATTCAGTGATTTCTACGTGGATTCCACAAAGGGAGTTGTGCTTTTACATCATGGAAAATGTAATCAGATTGAAAGCTCTTGAGATAGACGAGAACAGGTTATGGAACTGGAGTATGTGCCAAAAGTAATTACTGAATATACTCAAAAATAATTTTGTAAGTTGCATAGGAGAGCCCAGTGACATTAACAGCTGGTTGGTGCCTTGGCCGACATACTGTATTTGAAATAATTCCTTTATAGATGCCAAGCATTATTTAAGTTCATGATGGCTTTAGGTATCTATTTGATACTTTCTATCATCAAGTATAATTCAGTGTTTTCAAGCTCTTCTGAAAGGTTCTTCTCCTTGTATAATCTATAGAATTACCTTTTATATTGATATATCAAATAGAGGTGCATTATAAATTAAAATCATCTGTGTTTGCCAAATGTCTATATATCACAGTTATAAATTGTGAGTTTAAACTGATGAAGAGAAAAACAGTTGTTTTGCATATCTGTAAGCAATGAGCTTGATGTATGGATAGTCTTAAATATTAACTGGAAATAAGGATGTACTCTGTTTGAAGAAAACATTTAGTATGATAAATTCAACTCTCAAATCATAATTCAATTGAAAGGATTTTATTCTATTGCTTCTTACTTACCAGGCTTTTGCACAGATACATCTTGAGCCCTGCCATAGTGTGTACAGACTAGTATGATGTTTAAAACTCACAGTGATGAGAGTGAAATAACATTGTTCCACTGCTTCTTCATTGTAATGTTGAAATCAAATCAATCTAGGAGGCTCTGGTAGATCAAATAAAGCTTAGAAAATCATTTGCTTTAGAAAGAAGAACATAGCTTTGGTCTCAGGTTGGTTGGTCTCAGTTTCGAAAACTTAAATCTATTTATCACCAAGTAGACAAGTGGCTTTTGGAGCTATATATTGTTGTGGCACAGTGCTGAGCAAATAAAAGACAGAATATGTTTGGTTGCTTAATATATAATTGAATGCTAACAATAAAACTTCCATTCCTGTTGAAGCTCAAGTTGGGTGAAAAGTATTAACAGGACCAAAATTTTTGGATTAATTTAATTCAACGAATCCAAATACTGCTGTATGATCTTTGACTGTCATTCTGTAGCTTCGTTCCTCATCAGCATGCATTTATTAATATTTCACTGAAAAACACATTTGGAACTCTTAGGTGAAAACTACCAAATCAGTGGAAAGTGCTATGGTAAAGTGATAAAATTGCATCTAATAAAAGGTAGAAGAAAGAAGAGATCGCAATCATAGAGTGCTCAAATACAATTTAATTTCTGGATTTTCTTCCAAAATTATGTGAGTCAAATTTATTTATGTGAATTATGCATTAATTATTTGTTTGAAAAGCAATAAATCCTCTAAATAACTAGAAGAGAAGTGATATTTTATTTTTTTCTTGTCAGTTTTTCTATTAATATAGTTAAAATTTGTCCATTTCCTTTTCTTTATTTCCAATCTAGTAGATATATTTAAACTACAAATTGACATGTTACCCATACTTATATTTCATTAGGACAGTATTTTTTTCACTCCCTAATATGGTCAATGTTGAAATAACTGTATTTTCTCACTTCTTAACTATTTGTCACACCACGTGACTGTATTTCTTAACATTTACCTTTTTACTGGTAAATTGTATTGGTATTTTACTGGCAAATTGTATTTCTTAACATTTACCTTTTTACTGGTGAACACACTGAAAACCATCATTGTGTGATTTACTGGATTTAAATGATATGTCATCTCAAGATTTAAAGAAGAGAAAATGAGAATCTTTAAACTATATGTCATTTTTTTTACTCTTTTTCAACTTTTCATGCAGTATCTGTCTTCTCTTGTATAGCCATAATCCTGCATTTGTTTACCCTTAGTTATGCCATTGAATAGATTCAGTGCCCCTGCCAATCTTGTGCTATAGTTTTTTCATTCATCTCTGGGTAGCTCTAGTACTTTCAATAATAAATTAATACTCATGGAAAATATATTACTTAATGTTTTTGCATTTTTAAAAAATGTTGGTATGTTTCTTTTTCACCTCCATGCCATCTTGGGATAGTATAAAATTTCTAAGTTACATTTTCCATTCCTTTCTTTTTGTGTGTTTGTGTTTTCTTACGAATTTTGGAAGCATTGTTCCATAGTCCTCTAGACAGTGATATGTGGTCAGTGGCCAGCCTGGTCATGCGTTCCCCATATAAATAGTCTTTTTGCCTGGCTCTCCAAATACTTCTTTAGTTTTACAGACAAGTAACTTTGTTAGATTATAAGTTAGTGTGGATCATTTCTGTGATTAGTTTTCCCAGAAAACCATGTCCCTTTACATCTATAGAGTGAAATATTACTTTTATTGTCTTTATACTCTCCTTGAATTATATTGTTAAATGCTTTCAGGTTCTTTTTTCTTTTCTTTTTTTTCGGTGACTCCAATTGTTGCCTACTTAAAACAATATATCCAAAACAGAAATACTTATCTTTCCTAGCAAACTTGCTCCTATCTAAATTTATTAGACAGGATAAATATGTTGAACTAAGTGTTTACACCAACTACTGTCCAGATTCCTGAGAAATGCAAGTCTAGGGAGGACCCTTTCTTTGGCTGAGTGGGGAATGAGAGACGAATTAAAGAAAAGAAATAAGGGCTAATAAATACTCTATGTGATAAAGGTGTCAACTGAAAATTCCAGAGTGTGTATGTTGCAGAGGCGAGAGGAAGAAAAAGAAGAGATGTAGATGAGAGGAAGGGATCACCAGATTGTGTGATTGTTCATATGCGTGTATGTGCACCTGTACATATGTGCTTATGTGTGTGCAGATGCATGTTTTGATCTAGCTAACCTGGAGGTGGGCACCAGGTGCAAACAGTGGTGGCCTGAGATGGCCGAGTTACATTTCATTCATCCTTGGATTCCCTTTCCTCCACGCTGGAATCCTAGGAGCTTCCTTTGATGCCTCCCACTTCCTCACTTGCTTGTTTTCTCACCTCCATTGCCCAGTGTTTATAGCTTCCACTTTCTATGGATTCTGCTTCTTTAATATCTCCTGAATCTGGCCCTTCCTGTCCATTCCTCCTGCTTGTCTTCAGTTTCTGCCTTACTCAGGACTTCATGACTTTCTCTTAGATTATTACTGTAGCTGTTTTATTTCCTCCTCCCCTGTAATCCATTGTTGACACCATCATTATTAGAGTGATCTTGCCAAAATTCAAATGTGCCTTTCTCTTGATGAAATGTACTCAGTGGCTGCCCACTGTCTACACTAAGCAGAATAAAGGCCAAACTTTTTAGTGTAAGCTGACTCTAGGAGCTTTGTTGACCATCACCCGTGCACCCCCAGTGCCTCAGCTGTACACAGTTATGTGCATTATTTTCCTTTATTTTGTTTGTTTTGTCTTTGATCTGTACCTTTTCTTTTTTTCTTTTCTTTTTTTTTTGAGATGGAGTCTCGCTCTGTGGCCCAGGCTGGAGTATAGTGGCTTGATCTCGGCTCACGGCAACCTCTGCCTCCTGGGTTCAAGTGATTCTCATGCCTCAGCCTCCTGAGTAGCTGGGATTAGAAGTGTGCACTACCACGCCTGGCTAATTTTTTGTATTTTTAGTAGAGATGGGGTTTCACCATGTTGGCCAGGCTTGTCTCGAACCCTTGACCTCAAGTGATCCACCCGCCTCACCCTCCCAAAGTGCTGGGATTACAGGCGTGAGCCACTGCACCTGGCCTGATCTGTACCTTTTCAAAGGATGTTTTCCTCTGCTTTTGTTTCTTCAAGACTCAACTCCAGCAGCAGTGAGACTTGCTTTTCTGTTAGTCCACAAATCTATACCCCTTCCTCTAACACCAGGACTTCCAGTCAGGAGTAGTGACACTCTTCTATTCCTCTTTACATGCTGTGGGTATCTCCAGCACATGCTATTTTGAGCTTATAAATTCAGCACATATTTATTGAGTATTCACCATCATGTCGTCACTCAACTGAACCCCTCACAAGGCCATATCGTGGCTGTCCACTGCCACTGCCTTCCATAGTGCCTGTAAGCAGTAAACACAAGGTAAAGGCTTGTTGAATGAATGAAGTAGTAATGAAGAAATGCTAGTATTTATTTGTATGATATGTATTAAATGTTCACATTAATATTTAGGTTTTAGCCATTTTATACCTGGTTCTGTGTACCTTGTGACCTAGCAAGCCAAAGTTTCTCAAGACATAAACCATATATTGCATTTCTCCTTAACTCCCATCTATCTCCATCTTAGAACATTTTCTATGTGTTAAGTACATTGAAATTACATGGCTTTTAAGAATATCTTTGGTGTGCAGCTTGACTGCTGATAGAAGCATGTGCTGTAGTGTAATTTAAAGGAAGAGATGATTTTCTCTACCCAAGAACAGCAGCCTGGTCTTAATATTCTATGTTCAGAGAGATACATTACTTTAGGTTAAGAATTAACACCTGTTACTTTGTCCTTCTTTGTGGCTGGAAATTGAAACAGCAACACCTTGATGTGAATTAGGACATGAAGGTGATGGGACAGGATTAAGTACTGCAGCAAAAGGGCTTGCTGAAGGAAGGGCCAAAAGGGAGGATGATGTATTCAGAAAGCTGACTTTGCCTTTTTACCATTTTGCCTCACACTAATCCCAAATACAAAATATTTACTCTCTGTGTGAAATCTTCATACATTTGTAGTCTTCCTGCATTTTTATTCCTAATAGACTTAGATACATAAAGCCCAATTTGAATAGGCAATGATTAAAGACTCAATAATTAAAAACAGAAGTTATAAGGGTGACCAAAAAGCTTAGGGCAGTCCTAAATAGAGCAGGAGAGCAAATAACATTTGAAGTGAAATAGGGTTTGAGTCATCTGATTCTTTGCAGGTTAAGAGGGTTGTCTGTTGAAATCACAAACGCATGTGATGCTATCTGCTCTAACAAATATTTTATGGAAAGCAAACAAAATGCAAGTTCTAAAACCAAGATGTTAAAGGCAAGATTTCTCAATGCCATGCAGTTGCATAGGAGAGGAATGTACTTCTTTCTCTTCCATTGCTCTTCTCTCTCAGCCCTGTACTAAGCCACATATATTTGACTTCTTAACAAAGTCTGTTGTAATCATGTATTTATTTATTTATATTCATTTGTCTGTTTTGTTGGCTAGACTATAAACTCCGTGAGGATATTGGCAGTCTTATGTACACTTATATCTCAGACACCTGCAAATGTACTTAAGACAACTAATTGTTGTCAAATGAATGAATACAACTACAACAACTGCTCTTCTCTACTGGTCATGCTACCTCTATGTCTCCTGAATCTTTTTGTTTTGTTATTGACTTTGATGGCATGCATCTGTGTGCATGCGTACACGCCTGCACTATCTTCTTGTTATGTTGTTAATTTTGACCAAAGGATAGGAGAGGTATGTACTTCCCATCCTAGTGTACAACACTAGGCCCACTATTGTGGAATGATATATTACTGAAAATATAATTGGCTGGTTACTTCAGATGGGGGAGGAAGTGACGAGTGTTTCCTTTGTATTTTTGTATGTATTACATGAATATCACAAACAGGTCTTATTTCTGAAAAAAAAAACCCACACATATGCATACACATACAGCAGAATTTGGGAATGGACAAGCAGTGTAAAGATATGGAATAAAAAGCTTTTACTTAGGGGCGCTTCTTCCTCTCTCTTCCTCAGAATCCATAGCAACTCAACCTGCCACATCCCTCTGGAGGGGAAGAAGATCCAAGTTCACTCATTTTTCTTCTGGGAAGAAGAGACAATACTTGGTACCATTAAGTCCTAAGCAAGATTAGGTAGATAATGTAGATAAACAGACTGAGGACTAGGGGAAAAGTCGATGAGAAGTGATCCCAGTTTAACAATGGTGCTTTGCCCAAGTGATCTCAGTAATTACCATAGTTTTAACTCCTCATGTACTGCTGGTCATGAAATCTCTATTTCCACCTTGACTTCTTTCATGAGCTCCAAACCCCCATATTCAATGGATTAGTGAACCTCTCCGTCAGAATGTTCCACAGGAACTTTGCGTTCATGGTGTTATCATCTCTTTCCTGCTTTTCTTTCCCTTGCCCTGATCTGGATCTGTTTTTCTGTCTACATTTTCTAGCTCAGCTAAAATCTTTGGATTTTTCTTCATATTGCTTCTCCCTCTCATCCAATTCTAAACATTCAGCAGGACCTGAATTTTTTGCTGCCTAAGTAGTTTTTCAAATTCACCCCTCACCTATAGCCTTATTACCTGTGTCCTAACACCTGAGTCTTTGCCTTTTTTCTCTTCCAGTCTAAAGCTCTAGCTTCCTAATTAGTTTTCCCGCCTTCAGTCTTGCTCCCTGCTTCTCCTTCTGTAACAGCAATTGTCACAGCAATGCGATCATAACCGTATCACACCCTCCTCCAGGCTGCTCCAGCTGGGTCCCCTTCCTGGCCCTTTGTGTGTCCATAGCCCTGATGTGCTTTATTTTCATCACCCAGATCACTTTTCTTCCCCCCGCCTTTTTTTTTTTTTTTTTTTTTTTTACTAAGACTTTCTCCTTTCAACCTTTAAGATTTATACTAGGTTTTGTTACCTCTATGAATTCCTCCCTAAACACATTCACTAATCCCCCAGCCACATTCACACACTCTCATTCCCTTTCACTCTGGGCAAAATTTCTGTCCTCTTTATTCCCCGAGAGCCTGGGCCCATCTGTCTGTCAAACACTGACTATGGCATTGAAGTGAGTCATTGCCTCTGTTTCACATTGCGTACCTGGCTATTCAGTAGGTATTTTAATTTAGGTGCAGGAAGAATAAGACAAGGTCCTTAGATTGAGATCCTAATTCCAGTGCAAACAGACAATATTAAGTTATTTAAATTTAAAAAAAAAGAAATAACAGTTGTGGTAACGAAGGCATTGGGGAATGATTCTAGTCCTTGATTACAATTATAATCCGAAGATAAGATTTGGGATCTCTTGTCAGCAGGAGACAAGGTAAGAGAACAAACATATATTGTTTGCCAGGTATAGGATTTTTCACTGAAATACACACACACACGCACACTCATATGCATGTATACACAAACATATATGCATATATAGTCAAATACACACATATGTGCACACGGGTTTATATTCATATGCATACATATTAAGGAACATACACCTAGGAAAAGTTATTTCAACTGAAGAGTACATCTCAGATATAAGGAGAGGCAGCTCTATTTCTGGCTCTTCCATCAGAGGTTTTGTGACCTTAGAGATCCATCTTTGCTTATCTGAACATGTTTCCTTCCCTGATAAAAAGAGCTGCATATCCCTGATGCAGTGTAGGATGCTGGTTAGCTGTGTCGGTTAAACTTGCCTGCAGTCTTTAACCTACTTTGCTCCACAGTTACTGCTCATCGATATTTGCCATAGAAAAATAGAAGGAATGGGAGAAATATTGCTTGCTCTACTCTCCTGTCTGTCTGTCCATCTATCCATCCAGCATCTCTTTTTATCTACATAGAGAGAACCATGAATTTTAATAATTTTTGTATTTCAATATTATATTGGGCATTATTAATACTTTATTTAAAACCTTTAGTAATATTATACTATCTTGAAAATTAGAAAAAAATATAAATCTACAGTAGTCATGGTTCTCTAGAGAAACAGAACCAATAGGATGTGTGTGTGTGTGTGTGTGTGTGTGTGTGTGTGTGTGTGTGTGTGTATGAGAGAGAGAGAGAGAGATTTTAAAGAATTGGTTCATATGAATTTGGAGGCTGGCAAGTCTAAATCTGCAAGGTCAAGTAGGCAGCAGACTGGAGACCCAGAAATAGTTGATGTGAGTCTGAAGGCTGTCTGCTGGCAGAATTCCTTCGCTCTTGGGATAGGTCCTTCTTTTTCTTAAGGCCTTCTACTGATTCGATGAGGTCCGCCCACATTTTAGAGAGTAATCTGCTTTACTCAGTGTCTACTGATTTAAACTTTGATCTTATAAAAAAGCCTACCTTCACAGAAACATCCAGATGTTTTAAATAAAATATCTGCTTACTGTGGTCCAGCCAAGGTGACATTTCAAATTATCCATCACAGTATCTAAATCATAAAAATTCAATACCATTGGCTAAAGTGGGAGATAATATTGCGGCAGTTAGACAGTATAGACTTGTTAGAAATTTCTTTAAATTTTAGAACAAAATTTAGCCAAGACGCTGCCTCTGATTGACTATCCTTAAAACTTTTAAAATTGTATTTAAATTGTTTTTTTTCCTTAGAATCGTGAATATAGTCTAATGTGTTGCCCATCATTTTGAAGGTCATTAAAAATGTGTGCATTGCATATGTGTGTAATGTTTATGCTTCCTTATACAAATGAAATGTTGATAAAACAAGATTCATCAAATTTTTGATTCATCAAGATTCATCAAATTTTGAAAATTGTTGAGAAAATACGTGGCCAACTAAATACTAAAGTAGTAATTTCTTTAAAAAATTTTAAGTTTCTTTTTTTTTTCTGAGATGGAGTCTCACTCTGTCGCCCAGGCTGGAGTGCAGTGGCACAGTCTTGGCTCACTGCAAGCTCTGCCTCCCGGGTTCACGCCATTCTCCTGCCTCAGCCTCCCAAGTAGCTGGGACTGCAGGTGCCTGCCACGACGCCCAGCTAATGTTTTGTATTTTTAGTAGAAATGGGGTTTCACCATGTTAGCCAAGATGGTCTCGATCTCCTGACCTCATGATCCAACCGCCTCGGCCTCCCCAAGTGTTAAGTTTCTTGAAGAAGCTGCTTTACTATTTCTGAATGTGCCCTCTATTCCTACATATAATTTTTTTTGGAATAATATTGGTAGAACTGCTAATTTTTAAGGAGTAACTTGATTCTTTATACTGAAAGAAATAGATACATTGAATTCAGCTAGGAAGTTTTGCAATTTTTTTATTGTAAAGAAAACTTACTTGGTAAGATGGAGTGAAAGCAACTCAGGATAAAATTAGGAAAGGGATCATAATGGATACATCTTTGAACCCTAAAAGTAATGAATCAAATCAAACTAAGATTTGACATTGGCTAGTTTATTTTTCAAATAATTCTGAAAACGATATGTGCACTAACTGTTCTGAAGTTATACTACGCAAGTTCTTTTAATGCATCTATGTTGCTACTTTTGAATAACTATATTACATACTAGATGTAATTAGTGTTTAAAATTAGTTTCCTTGATGGTCTTGAAGTCAGTCCTTTATAATTTAGGTCAGCAAAGAAAATGCCAGTGTACTAAATTAGCACAGTTTTCACTGTTTTTATTCAGCAGCTGCAGGATAAGAAAAGTACAAGATTTTTTTTTTTTTTTTTTTTTTTTTTGCCATTGACAGAGCCGTATACTGGATTTTTACATGGAATTTACATATTATGAAAGTAAAAATCAAAAGATCAATTTTTCTGTGAGATAACTTTGTAATTTGCCTATATGTAATTATTGTGTTCATTTGATTTATGGCTTAAAGATGAGAAACAATCTTGATTTTTTGGATACAGCCTCTAGATATGCTCTAGAAATGTTTCTTGCATTCTTAATGTCATTTCACATTATCAAGTAGAAAGAGTTCAGTTTTGTAAAGGTAACCCACAGGCTCTTACCTATAGTGAGATTTTTTTTTTTCCATGGACGTTGGGAGGTAGAGCCAAATAAATTGATTTATCTGTAGAAGTGTCTTCTATACCAGTGTTTCTCAGCGTTTTTTTAAATTATCTCCCCACTAAGGATTCTTTTCAGACTTTTTTTTTTCTGAATATTCCCCAATGACACTTTAATATCACAGGTATACTGTATTTGGTTTATGTACTCTGGCCCTAGGAAGGCCACAGATCATGATAGTGTCTAAGATTTTTCACTCCCTACAAGAAATAATTCTTGTATTGACAGTGCATGACATGCTCTTTTTAGTTCTTATCTTTTCCATCAGATTTAGAAATGAATGGGCTTTTAAATTGAAAGAATCTAAATTATTTTTTCTCAGAACCCTAATTTTCCAAGAAAAATTCAATTCCCCAACTTCCCTTAATATGGTTCAAAATTTCCAATTCCAAATGGTTTGATTTAACATAGATTTATTTACACCTAAAAACATTTTTAAAAGATTATTCAGTATTTAGGACCCAGATGAATTCTTTTCAGGGTTTCAGGATTGTGTAAATCCATTTTATATTGAAATTTTGACCAATGGAATTCAGATTTATATCAGTTTTATTGCAGAATGTTGCCCCTGACTGTATCAGTTGAAAGTATATCTCGGTCATTTTGACAGTACGTATACAGTATGTCTATAAATCATTCACCAAAATTACTGTTACTTACTTCAACATTAATATAATTCCACTTGAAATCAGTGTATCTTGCTAAAGAGGTGAGACAAGACAAGTTTACGCTGATAACATTTAAAAAACTTATGAGTAATTGCCAAGCTATTTACAGAGCCAGCTTTTGACTTAATACCTTAGGGACAAATAACATTTAGTTATTAAATAGAACTTTTAATTTCAAAAGTTGTCAATAGCCAAATACTATATTTAAGTATTTTATTTTTAGTGAGTAAAATTAGAAGAGGATATTTTATTGCCTACACAATTTTAAGGAACAGGATTAAATAAGTTTCTCGTTTTCAAATTCATGCCTGTGCTTAACACGGAATAGCTCAATTTAAGAATATTGAATTTCTTTAATTTGTGGTACATACACATATCCATATGCATATTTTCCACTGCCAATTGGGTCATTATATTTTAATAGTTTTATTGAGGTATAAATTGCATACAGTTAAATTCATTCATTTTAGTTGTGTAATTCAATGATTTTATGTACGTTTATAGGGTTACATAATCATCATTCTAATTTAGTTTTAGAACATTTTCTATCACTTCAAAAGGATTCCTTTAGCCTGTTTACAGTCAGTCTTCCTCCCCACCCCAAGCCCTAGGCAACCAGTAATCTGCTTTCTGTCACAATAAATTTGCCTCTTCTGAAACTTTTCATAATAAAATCTGTTGGCTTTGGGTTTAGTTTGCGCTTCTGCTTCCAGTTTTTTAAGGTAGAAGCTTAGGGTACTGTTTTCAGATTCTTCTTTTCTAATATTGCTGTGTAAAACTGTAAATTTTCTCTTAGCGTTGCTTTACCTACATCCTACAAGATTTGATACACTATGCATTTATTTTCATTCAGGTTGAAATAAAGGCTGTTCACAAGGAATATTATTGTTAATATTCACAAGGAAGATTAATTCCTTATGATCTCTTCCTTGATCCATGGAGGGTTTTGCTTATGCAAAAGAAATGAAATCATAACAATCAATCTCTTGAACCACAGCACAATCAAATGAGAAATCAAGACTAAGAAATTCACTCAAAACCATACAATTACATGGAAATTGAATAACTTGCTCCTGTATGACTTTTGGGTAAATAATGAAATTAAGGCAGAGATCAAGAAGTTCTTCGAAATGAATGAGAACAAAGATACAACATACCAGAATCACTGGGACACAGCTAAGGCAGTGTTAAGAGGGAAATGTATAGCCCTAAATGCCCACATCAAAAAGTTAGAAAGACATCAAGTTAACAACCTAACATCACAACAAAAATAACTAGAAAACCAAGAGCAAACAAATCCCAAAGCTAGCAGAAGACATGAAGTAACCAAAATCAGAGGTGAACTGAGGGGGATTGAGACACGAAAAACCATTCAAAAGATCAACAAATCCAGGAGTTGGATTTTTTTTTAAACTACACATTTTAAATAATATATGGCAGCATCTCAATTCTGGGCACTCCCTCCCATGTTTTATTGCCATTACTGTTTGTTTCATTTCTTGTCTGAACTAATTCTATGAAGTCTGTATCCCCTGCAGTGTATACATATTGATGATTGTGCATCTTTAAAAATCTTTTTTTTATTACTTTATTATTATTATACTTTAAGTTTTAGGGTACATGTGCACAATGTGCAGGTTAGTTACATATGTATACATGTGCCATGCTGGTGTGCTGCACCCATTAACTCGTCATTTAGCATTAGGTATATCTCCTAATGCTATCCCTCCCCCCTCCCCCCACCCCACAACAGTCCCCAGAGTGTGATGTTCCCCTTCCTGTGTCCATGTGTTCTCATTGTTCAATTCCCACCTATGAGTGAGAACATATGGTGTTTGGTTTTTTGTCCTTGCGATAGTTTACTGAGAGTGATGATTTCCAATTTCATCCATGTCCCTACAAAGGACATGAACTCATCATTTTTTATGGCTGCATAGTATTCCATGGTGTGTATGTGCCACATTTTCTTAATCCAGTCTATCATTGTTGGACATTTGGGTTGGTTCCAAGTCTTTGCTATTGTGAATAGTGCCGCAATAAACATACGTGTGCATATGTCTTTATAGCAGCATGATTTATAGTCCTTTGGGTATATACCCAGTAATGGGATGGCTGGTTCAAATGGTATTTCTAGTTCTAGATCCCTGAGGAATCGCCACAGTGACTTCCACAATGGTTGAACTAGTTTACAGTCCCACCAACCTTGTAAAAGTGTTCCTATTTCTCCACATCCTCTCCAGCACCTGTTGTTTCCTGACTTTTTAATGATTGCCATTCTAACTGGTGTGAGATGGTATCTCATTGTGGTTTTAATTTGCATTTCTCTGATGACCAGTGATGGTGAGCATTTTTTCATGTGTTTTTTGACTGCATAAATGTCTTCTTTTGAGAAGTGTCTGTTCATGTCCTTCGCCCACTTTTTGATGGGGTTGTTTGTTTTTTTCTTGTAAATTTGTTTGAGTTCATTGTAGATTCTGGATATTAGCCCTTTGTCAGATGAGTAGGTTGCGAAAATTTTCTCTTAAGTCTGGTTTCCTGGAAGTTACCACTCACTGTGTTAGGACAGCTTAGTTATCCTGTGAATTATTACAGTGTATGTTTAAACACCTTGAGCCAATGTGGCTTCCACCTTTTCCCAAGGATCCCTGTGTAGGTTGGGTAACATCAAGTTTGGTGATATTCTGCCCCAGCTTTTTATTTCCTGTGTCTCCCCTGTGTATGTGCGAGCACTCACATGCAATCAGGGATGTGTGGATAGCCCGGGCCCTTCCTTGTTTTCCCTGTGTGCATGCAGCCTTGCCCATGTGTGCATATTTCCAGGCTTACATTTACATTTTTTATCTCCACAAGGAATATTGGGGAGCTTATCAAGGCCACTATGGCCATTTCATTTACTGGATCTCCCTGTAAATCTTAGGTCAGTATGCCAAGTCTGTTGCTTGCTCCAACTAGAGTTGCAAACGCAGGTTAGCTGTGATGTTGGCTTTTCTGGTTTGTTTGCCATCGACATTGCTTCCAGTAATGCCAAGGGGATTGGGGTTTTCCTTGCTCCTCTCCAAGTCAAGTTGGCCCTCCAGCAGTGAAACTGCTGTTTTTAATGGCTTGTCAGAGACTCCTGCTGTTCTTAGCCAAAGTTCAGTATTTTCTCTTGATTAAATGCCTTTCAGTTGCTTGTATGTCTTTGTTTGATTTTTCAGAGTCCTGAAATTGTTATTTTTGAACATTTTCATCCAGTGTTTTTCATTATGGTAAAATGTACGTAACATATAATTTACTATCTTAAACGTTTTTACCATTTACAGTTCAATGGTGTTGAGTACATTCATATTGTCATGCAACCATCACCACCGTCCATCTCCAGGGCTTTTTTCATCTTGCAAAACTGAAACTCTGTACCCATTAAACAGTAACTTTCCATTTCCCACATCTTCCCAGCCCCTGGACTCCACCATTCTACTTTCTGTCTCTGTGATTTTGAATACGCTAAGTACATCACATTAATGGAATCATACAGCATTTGTCTTGTTTGTGACTGGCTTATTTCACTTAGTGTAATATCCTCAAGGTCCATTCATGTTGTCAGAATTTTATTTCTTTTTAAGGCTGAATAATATTCCATCATATGTCTATCCCACAGTTTGTTTATCCATTCCTCCATCGATGGACACTTGGTTCGCTTCCACATTTTAGCTATTGTGAATAATTCTGCTGTGAACACTGGTGTACAAATATCACTTCAAGACTCTGCTTTCAATTCTTTTGAGTATATGCCCAGAGGTTGACTTGCTGGATCATAAAGGAATTCTATTTTTAATATTTTGAGGAACTACCATACTACTTTTTATAGTGGCTGTAACATTTT
The DNA here is from genome assembly GCF_000001405.40 of Homo sapiens. Taxonomy (NCBI): domain Eukaryota; kingdom Metazoa; phylum Chordata; class Mammalia; order Primates; family Hominidae; genus Homo; species Homo sapiens. The sequence continues at coordinate 4,362,140 of NC_000018.10, read as the reverse complement.
ACATTCCCACCAACAGTGTACAAGTGTTCCAGTTTCTCTACATCCTCACCAACACTTGTTATTTTATGTTATTTTATAGTAGCCATCCCAATAGGTGTGAGATGGTATCTCACTCTAATTTTGATTTTCATTTCCCTACTGATTAGTGATGTTGACCATCTTTTCATGTGCCTTTTGGCCATGCGTATATCTTCCTTGGAGAAATGTCTATCTAAGTCCTTTGCATACTTTTAAATTAGGTCTTCTGGTTTTTAGCTGTTGAATTTTAGGAGTTCTCTATTCATTTTGGATATTAATCCCTTATCAAATATATGATTTGTAAATCTTTTCTCCTGTTTTGTGTGTGGCCATTTTTTTCTCTGCTGTTACTGTCTTTTGACACACAGTTTTTTAAAAATTGATAAAATTATTTTTTGTTGCCTGTGCCTTTTGTGTTAATCAAAAAAATAGTTGCCAAATTAAGTGTTTCGAAGCTTTTGTTTTATCGTTAAGGGTTTATAATTTTAGATCTTACATTTACATCTTTGATCCATTTTGAATTAATTTTTATATGTAGCATTAGGTGAGGGTACACTTTCATTTTCTTGTTTGTGGAAATCCATTTTTCCCAGAAGCATTTGTTTAAAAGACAGTCCAGTTTTCACTGAATGGTCTTGGCACCCTTGTCAAAAATCATTTGACCATTAATGTAAAGATTTATTTCTGAACTGTCTATTCTGTTCCATTGGCCTGTATTCTGTCTTTATGCCAGTACCACAATGTTTTGATTACTGTAGCTTTACAGTGTTGAAATCAGGAAATATGAGTTCTCCATATTTTTCTTCTTTTTAGGTACTGTTTTGGCTATTCAGGATTTCTTGAAAATTATTATTTTCTGCGCAATGTGTTTTACTTCAAAAGAGATAATTTTTTGAAGTAAAATTATTTGCACATATCAATAAAATATATTATGTTATTTCATAGAAACATTATTATTAAGATATTAATTTCTTAGACACTCCCTGAAGCCCTCTTCTGAAATTTTCTTCAGAAAGTTTCTTCCAAAATCTTGACAGAAAAACTATAATTTCTGTTGATTTCTTCTACAAAGAATGTATCTATAGATAAGGTTTAGATTTATCTTTGTCTCATCTTTTGACTCTTTTCATAACTAATAGGTAAGTATAAACACACTTTTTTTTTTTGACGTAGAATCTTACTCTTGTTGCCCAGGCTGAAGTGCAATGGCTGCCTGTTGGGTTCAAGTGATTCTCCTGCTTCGGCCTCCTGAGTAGCTGAGATTACAGGTGCCCGCCACCATGCCTGGCTAATTTTTTGTGTTTTTAGTAGAGACAGGGTTTTGCCATGTTGGCTAGGCTGGTCTCGAACTCCTGACCTTAGGTGATCCACCTGCCTCAGCCTCCCAAAGTTCTGGGATTACAGGCTTGAGCCACTGCACCTGGCCTAAACACACTTTTTTGATTCTCTTTTCATTCCATCAACATTCTCTGTTCCTTTTCACTCCCTACAGCAAATCCTTTTGACTACACAGTGCTGTATTCATAACACTGAATTATAGACTTCACTTTTCTCACCAGCCTCTCCAAACTTGCTTTATTTATCTATGTTTATCATTATTTATGTGTGTGAAAATATTTCATTTGCATAACTCCACTGAAGATGAAAGTCTTCACTTTCACTTTCGTGAGTTCCACCTTTTGATTCGCATTTCTCTTCTATCTCCATTTCCTCTCACATCCTACTTACTTAGCTTCTGCTGTGTAAGTCTGTTCTAGACACTCCTTTTGCTTTGTCTCACTTTTGTCCTTTTTCTAATGTAACCCTATAAAATGAAATACATTAATTCCTGTTTTATAATTTTCTATTTTAATTTGCTCCCAAGTACACATATTCCATTCCACCCTGTCTAATGCCACAAAATTAAACTTTAGCACACTTCTTGGAGCTCTATCCTCAGCCATCCTCTTTTTTCTGTCTATATTCTTCCTCTAAGTAATTCCATGGTGCCCAGTGGATTTAAACACCATCTGAAAATTCCCAAATTCATATTATTTTTCCAGACCTCTCTACTAAGCTCCATAATTGTCTACACAACTCTTTACCTGAGAACCACACTTGGATAAGTCACTATTCATTACCTACAGCTACTCAAGACAGAACCTAGAAGTCATATTTGATACTAATTTTTTATGATCCTTACCTCAGGTTTATAAATCCCTTCAGTTGACCTGTTTGTTTGCATGTATATTGTTTGCTTCCCTCCAACTTTCAAATACAGACTATATGGAATCAAGATTACTGACTATTTTCTTCCCTACTTTATCTCCAGTGTCTAGAACAGGGCCTGCTTCCAGGGCCTGCTTGAATGTATATTCCAATTCTTTACCCTTCTCTCTCTGCCTGCCATTATCAATCCTAGTCCAAGGCACCATCGTATCTATCCTAAATAACTATAGTAGTCTCGTGCAGAGGGATTCTCCTGCTTTATCTTTTCCCCACCAATTGCTAGGTCCATGGCTGAGGTCTTTATAACAGAAGACATTAGCAAGAGAAAAGCATACATATTTATTTAATATAAGTTTTATGTGACACGGGAGCCTTCAGAAATGAATATTTAAAGAAACAGGAAAACCTGTGTACTTGTAAGTTTGATGAAGAGGTGTATCGTTGTGAAGAAGTATGACTGGAAAAAGGGGGTATGATCTAATGAAGGGAATGTACAAGGCCTGTTTGTTTGGATTCTTCTCCATGTCCCTGTATCTTCAGCGATAAAGACGTTCCTTTCCTCCAGGAAGGGCACCTCTCACATGAGGGTCTTATGATCTACTCCAGCGGAAGATCAGAAAATTATTTCTAGGTTTTATGAACTGGTTCAGAGGAGAAGGAAGGAGAAGTCAGAGAGATCATCCCACTTCTGCATTGTTTTCAAATACCGAGGTGCCATATTTTACGGTAGCATGTCCTGAACCCCATCACTCCTCACTAATATCTTTGCTTTTCATTTCCCTCTGTCTGTAATTCAGTCCCTAAATAAAAGCTAGAGTCATCTTTTTAAAACATAAATTAGATCACTGTATTTCTTGTTCAGAAAAGAAAAACATCCAAGCTTCCTTTAGGAGTTTGAGAGGGAAGGCTGTTAATTATAACTCCCTCATCCCCGCCAGCATTTTAAAGCAGTAGAAGGAGACAAAAGAGTTAAACACATGGAGAACGGACTGTCAGGTCTATTACTAACAGAGCTCTTGGAGAATGTGGCAGAGTGAGTGCCAGCCTGGGCTTCCTGCTGCTGCACCAGAATTAGATGAACTGACCCAGAAGCCACAGGCAGCACCGAATACCTGCACAGCAGGTGCTACAGAGGTAAGCTGTGGCCACAAAGCTCAGCCCTAGGCCCAAAGCAGACAGGAGCCCTGCTCTCTGCAGGCAAGAGGAAGGGACTGAGCCTTTCATGCCCAGTTCTTCCTACTAAACTCACCAATCAAAGGCACGAGAACAAGAGGGAGGCCCTAGGTTTCCCTTCACATGAAGAAAACAATGGAGAGTGAGTAGTCTGCAGTTATATCTCTAATGCCTTTGCATTTGGAGTAAAGCATGAACTCCTTACTTGAGGTCACTGGGATTGTCTACTTCTCCATCTTCATCTTTTCTAACTTCCTCTCACTCCCTAAGCGGCACACACACTGGCCTTCTTTCTTTGTTTCTCCAGTATGCCACATTAGTCCCTAAAGGCCTTTTAACTTTCTTTTCCTTCTTTAAGGACCATTCTGCCCTCAGGACTAATTATTTTTCATTATTCACATTTGTGCTCAAATGTCACCACAGCGTAATAACATGATCACCCAATTTCAAAGAAATCTTTCAGTCATTTATCATCTTATTTTATTAGATTCACTGAACTAATCATTATCTGAAATTGTATTGTTTATCTGTTTGTTTGCATGTATATTATTTGCTTCCTTCCAACTCTCAAATATCGACTTCATGGAATCACGATTATTGGCTGTTTTGTTCCCTGCTTTATCTCCAGTGTCTAGAACAGGGACTTCTTCCAGTAGGCCTTTTGTAAAGATTTGTTGAGTGAACGGTTTATGCTCTCTGTTACTCCATCTGATCCTTCCAACAGGCAAAGCTTGAGTTATAAGCTCCAGCCTTGGGCAAGCACAGATGTAAATATTTATAATCTACAAACTCACAGTGCTGATTACACTGGGGCTCAAATTTCAGATTTTCTGCGTTGAGAAGCAGTGAGGAGCACAGGTAACTACCTTCCTGCCAGCTGCATTTCTCACTGCCATAGGGCTGTGGAATCCCTAGGACTAAGGTGGTACATAGGCCCTGCCCTCCAAAGGGGCCTGTTTGTTAATCAGTGGAGAGGCGCTGCGAAGCACTGGGCCCACTGACTAGCTGACCTTGCAGCAGTGAGACGGTGTCAGCTGCTGTTGCCAGAGATGTCAGTCAGTGGAGCAGATGAGCTACTCTGGTTTTTCAGAATTCTCAGGAGGTAGGCTACTCCAGCTACACCAACTCTTCTCTTATTTGGAAATAGAAAATTACTTGCATAATTGGTTAAATAATTCATTCAGGCCACGATTATATATTGACTTATCTTCTGTGTTCCAGGCAAGATTTAGACACTGAGAATACAGAAGTGAAAAAACAGACAAAAATCCTGTCCTTTGAAGTTTACATTTGTGTAGGAATCCACAGATAACAAAGAAAGAAATGGTGGGAGGCCGAGGCGGGTGGATCATTTGAGGTCAGGAGTTAGAGACCAGCCTAATTAAAATGGTGAAACCCCATCTCTACTAAAAATACAAAAATTAGCCAGGCGTGGTGGCACACACCTATCATCCCAGCTGCTTGGGAGGCTGAGACAGGAGAATCACTTGAACCCAGGAGGTGGAGGTTGCAGTGAGCCGAGATGGTGCTACTGCACTCTAGCCTGGGCCACAGAGTGAGCCTGTCAAAAAAAAAAAAAAAAAAGGAAAAAAACAAAGAGAAAGAACAAAGAAAGAAATGGTATATCGTACACACACACACACACACACACGCACACGTATATACACAGAGAGAGAGAGAGACAGACAGACAGATGATGAGTCCTTTGGAGAACAGCAAGGCGTGGAAAGATAAGAATTCATCTATAAAGGTGTCATGTGGGCACCTGAATGGTGAAGGGGGAGTGTTATCCTTGTGGCTACCCATGCTGGAGGAACAACAAAGGCTAAGGTCCTGTGACATGTATGTGGCACGTCCTAGAAAGACCAAGGGGGCCAGTGGACTAGAGCAGAGCAAACAAAGGTGATAATAGGAAGGGAAGAGGTCGGAAAAGTAACAAACAACAAAATATATAGGGTCTTTTTGGGCAGAGGAATGTCATGCTCTAACTTGTGATTTAGGAGGAGCACTTAGTTTACTGCACGGAACAGGCATGTAGGGAGTGAGGGCAGAGTAGCAACATAGAAAACTATTTCAAGAATCCAGTCAAGAGATAATAGTGGGCAAGAATAGGATGATAACAGTAAAGGTGGCGGGAAATCCTCGGATTCAGGATGTATTTTGAAAGTAGAGCCAACAGGATTTTCTGATGGATTGGACATGATGCATGAGAGGAGAAATTCATGACACCAATATTTTTGACTTGTGTTGCTAGAAATATAAAATTGTCCATTGTTGACATAGGAAAAAACGGGGATGGGCAGGTTTGGTGGGGTATCTGGAGCTCAGTTTTGGTCATGTAAATTTTAAGGTGCCTACTGGTAATCTATGTAGAGATTTGCAGTGGCTGTTAGATACAAGTCTAAGATTCAGGGAAGAGACTGGACTAGAGGTATAAAATAGGGAGTTGTCAGTGTATAGGTAACTATTTCAGCCTAGGGGTCGGGATGAGTTTACCAAGGGAATGGGTCTCTGGGAAAAAGAGAAGAACCTCCAAATGAGACCAAGAAGGAGCCACTCATCAGGAAAAAAAAAATCGGGAGAGTCCATGAAGTGAAGACAAAGTCCTCCTGAAGACAGAGTCCAACTGACTACGGTGCACTTCCTGCTGTCAAGGCGGTATTGGGCCTGGAGTGACAGATGTGCAATGGAGATGAATAGCTGACCCCTAGACAGGAACATAGATGTCATTGGTGATCTTGACAAGGGCAGTTTCCTGGGAGCTGGTGAAAGAATCAGAGCTATGATTGGAGCAGATGCAAGATAGCATAGGAGAGGTATTAAAGGCAACAAGTAGATAAATTTTGAGAAGTTTTCTATTAAAAAAGCAGAAGAGGAAGCAGAGAGCAGCAGCTAGTCTAGTATGGGAGACTCAAGAGAAGATTTCTCTTTTTCATTTTTATACTTCTTATTTTGAAATTATAGATTCACAAAAAAATTGCAAAAAAAAAAAAAAAAAAGATCCCGGATTGTCCCATGTAACTTTAACCCAGTTTTCTCCGAAGATAACTTGTGTAACTATAGTACAATATCACAACCAGGAAATGGATGTGGGCACCATCTACAGAAGTCACTACAATTTCACCAATTACATATGCACTTCTGTTTATGTGAGTGTGTGTGAGACAGTGTGTGTTCCATTTAATTTTATCACGTATGTAGATCTGTGTAACCACCAGCATAATCAAGATCCAGAACCTTCCGTAACTATGTGGCACCCTTATTCTATTCCTTTAAAGCCACACATCCTTTATTCCTATCCCCTGGTACCCACTAATCTCTTCTCCATCTCTATAATTTTGTTATTCCAATAATATTACATAAATGGAATCACACCATATGTAACCTTTGAAGGGCTGACTTTTAACACACAGTATAATTGCCTTGAGATTCATTCAAGCTGTTGTGTGTATCAACAGCTCCCTTTTATGGCTAGGTAGTAGTCCATGGTATGGATGGACCTGTTCAGGGACACCTGGACTGGTTCCAGTTTTTGGCTATTATGAGTAAAGCTGCCATGAACATTTGTGTACAGATTCTTGGGTGCACATAAATTTTCATTTCCCTGGGACAAATGCCTAAGAGTGTCATTGCTGAGTTATATGTCAAGAGTATGTTTAGTTTTAAAAGACACTGCCAAACTGTTTCCCAGAGCGGCTGTACAATTTTACATTTTCGCTAGCAATGTGTGAATGACCCAGAGTCTCTGCATCCTGGCGAGCATTTTGTGTTGTCATTATCTTTTGTTTTAGCCATTCTGATGTGTGTGTAGAGAGGATTTTTTTTTTTTTTTTTTTTTTTTTTTTTTTTTTTTTGGTGAGAGTAATTGCAGAAAAAGCCAGGAGGCTGCCTGTACCTCTAGTTTCTTCTTAGGTAGCTTGAATATTGTTAAAAATCCAGCCCATATTTAACAATAATGAGTGGCTGTTGAGACATGTATATACAAGGATGGGTATTGTGTGCCTTAGATATGGATGTGTGGAGATCATCTTGACCCATGAAGATGAGGAGCAGTGTAGGGGCAAAAAAGATGTGATACCTTTCCTCCCTATCATGAGGGTCACAGCTGACACCCCTATAACAAAAGGCAGGTTAACAAGAGAAAAGCATTGCAAATTCATTTAATCAAAGGTTTGCGTGACATGGGAGCCTTCAGAAAATGAAGAGGCAAAGACTTAAGGAAAGCTGTCTGTTTTTATGCTTAGGTTCAATGAAGAATGTACAGCTGTGTAGAAATGTGATCGGACAAAAAGATATTCATCTAAGGGTAATAAAACTAGGGCGTGTCCAGATTCTTCTGGTCCCTCTGTGTGGCATTCCGTCTTCCTGGGTTTGGGCAGGGACCTTCTGGAAGGAGATAGGTCAGATTTCTCTATGACCATCTTCCACACAGCAAGGTGGAGGAAGGTTAGAGTAATCGTTCTAGGTTTTATGACTGGCTTTGGAGGAGAGGGGTTCTGGTTTCTGTGACTCACCTTGGGGAAGAGAAACCCTAGTTTCTATCATCTGCCTTGTGGGAGAAAGGAGAGTAGGAGAAAGAAGGGCAGAAGGCCAGAAAGAGGCTTTGCTTTTGAGGCCCCTTCAGGGTCCTGCAGTTCAAAGTAACGAGCCCCAACAGCAGCAACTATGTGCGAGTCACAGAGACTCCTTACCTGTCGATGGCGGTAACAACAGCCAGTTCACACTGCTGTTTTGCCTCAGTCTGAAAGTCTCATTCATCTCAGTTGTACACGTTTACCCACAAAACCTACTCAGCTTCTACGGTTAAATTTACAGTAGCTCACAGCAACTTAGGCATTATAAATTTGAGTTCTTATGTTTGTTTGGCTATTGATTTTTCAGAGCGACAGTGATTTCAAAGTGCCTAAAAGTTGATATAACTGATTAGCCCAACACTAAACTTCAGGATTAAGAAACCCCTTGAAAAACAGAGTGGAGGAAAAATATATATTTAAACATATATTAATATATACATAAATTATATGTTTATATATCGTGTGTATGTTATATATCATATATATTTAAATATAACATTTTAAATATCTTACACTAGTTTCACGGTTTTAAGACGTAAAATCCTTTTCCTTCTCAGTCTGAAAAGTTTTCTCTAAGCCAAATTTGCTCATTATAAAAAAGAGCCAAAAAGCAGAAGGCTGCAGAAAGCTTTTTACAATGAGGAGGAAATTATCCTGTGATGGAGAAAGCCAGACCGTAAAACTGCCAATCACACGGAGGTTGCAATCTCCTGGGAATGGGAAGGAGCCCGTCTTTTGGTTGTTTGCTCAGAATGCGGCTCACTTTCGAAGGTCCTTGTAATAACTTGACTGAACAGATGTAGCTACTTCAGGTCATTTGAAACATGTCAGCTTGGGGTGGGTGATCATCAAGGAATTGTGACTCGCAGCCCCGTGCTCAGTGGGAAGCCTTTACTGAGCCAGTTTATCCCCTGGGACCTAGAGAGAAAGGAAGAACAAGATAAAACAAAGCAAAACAAAGGAGGAGATAAACAGCCAAGTGTTCTGAAGGCAGAGTGAACAGTTGAAGACAGAAAATCTTTGGTGTGTGAGGGCTTGTATTTTAAATGCTACAAATTCCTGACTTACGGTAGATCTTTTTAAATAGAAGAGTTTGCTGAGCCAGGGTTGTTGCCCAAATGCGGGCTTTCTTGCAGATGATAACTGTACTTGACTACAGCCTTTTGCCATGCAGTTCTGCCCAGAAGACTTTTCGGGAGTGAGGACCATCTGTAATCCAGGTGGATGATTGTCATACTCACCGAGGGCTCCAGTGCTTAAACGTGCTCAGTGCTCCACAAGTTACAAGCAGTTCCTCCTCCCACATTTACAAAAGTAACGGGGATTCACATACAGAAAATCATTGGTAGAGAAGCATTAAGTCAAATAAGCGTAAAGACTGAGACATTGCCATGAAATACTGGTCGTGAGTGTGTGTTTTAAGGGCATAAGGCAAGAGTGAGTACAGAATTCTGCATTGTGGTTGTCCTGGGTGGGGAAATGTTAGCTTTTCTTAATTCAAACAGAAACGTTATGGAAAAGACAAGTTGTCAAGTGTGGGTAAGTGGGTGAGAGATTGTTTGACTGCTAGAAGATGAAGGAAATTCAGGCATTAGGGGCTACTTTATATGACAAACAAATAAAGAGGACATTTATCTTTGTTTACAGAAAGCCACTTCATGTCCTATGTATACCTGTATCCCCCACAACAAGCAGAACAGTGACTTTCATTGAGTAGGTGCTAAGTAAATGTCATTAGCTTGATCGATAGGACATTAAGAAGGCAGAGAGTTGCCTTACCAAGCCATGGTTAGAGAAAGCAGTATTGATGAGAGTGCCACCTACAAACATATGAGGGGCAAAGTGCTGAGGAGAGGGAGAGATTTGAGAGCATTTTTCTCTAAAGGCTGGAGTTCTCAGCATCTATAATGAAATTGACCTATCATACTGCAGACAGAATCTAGAAGCCTGATATGATGCTTCTATTTTAGGTTGCATGAGACAACAAAGTAAGGGAAGAAAGAAAACTGGCAGGAGACAGAAAGGTGTGTCCTTGTTTTGGTAAAGTTGGCAAATGCCTCTGAGTGATTCAAACAGGTGGCTTGATGCCATTTCGAAAGTTTATGCGAGCTTTTCTAGAAATAGTACTGTGAATATTTTTCTTCCATGATGATCTTATTCTGTTGCACCTCATGGTTTTATTCCAGATTTGTAAATTAAGTGTGATAAGGCAATCCGTGAGGTAGGATTTTTATGGAAAAACTACGTGTTGCTTTTAACAGAAAGAAAAAAACACATTTGAGTGTTTGAAATATACCTAAACAATCTTCTTACTAGAGCAAGGTTATTAATTTTAAATCTTAGCATAGTGCAAACAAAATGTATAGAATAAAATAAATTTGAGCCTAGTATGTCTTTGATTAATGATTCAATTTGCAGCACCACATTTGTACAACAAATCTAAGCTATTCATGATGAAACTCATACTTTGATAACTGATAACTGACTAGCTACTCAGATTTATCTATGTTGGACAGGAATCAGAAGAAACTGAAGCAGAAATGCATGGTTTTAGATACTGATTTTTTGCAGTCTATTTTCACGTGCCATGGATTCAAAAATATTTTATTGTCCCATGTATGTATGTATCTTTTAAATTAGAAACAGAAATTAAGTCACCTAAGAGACCCTTAGCTAGATTTCGAGTCAGAATAATCTAAGATTTTAGCATATGTACTAAAAATTTAAATTATTTATCTCAGAGCTACTAATAACTTACAAATATGACCCTAGAATAGATAAGTATAGCTATTTTTATAAATTCTTACAAACCAGAAAACTCCTCTTCCAAATATGTTGCGCTTAATTTTCTGCTCTGTGGAGCACAGCTAGTGAGGCAGCAAAGCCCAGTGACATTTTCCACAGTGTGAGTTGCCAACCACTAGAAGCCTGTGGCAGTGTTTTAATCTACAGCAAACACGCTAACAATTGGTTGAAGAAAGGATTATGTAATTCCACCTTGATATTCCTTTCTGTGGTGCTTACATCAGTGTCAAAGAATCATAAAGGCAGAACTGGGTGAGTGCTAAGGTAGCATTTTCTCAGTTAGGAGCCAATTTAATCTTTATGCTTTCTGGAGATTACTTTAGTCAATCTCTCCATTTTCACTAAACTCCTAAAGAAATGAATCTTCTTTGAGTGTGGCTATTTCAGTGTGTGCTGGGGCCCTCATTTCAGTGGTCATTATTTCTGCAGAGTGGTCTATATTAATTCCAAAGTCTCCTGGAGATCATTAGCTAGTAAAATAATAACATGCCTCTACCTAGATTCTAATAATGTTTTGGTAATTAGATCAAACCTACTATTTGAAAAATTGGTAATGGCAGAAGAAAGAGTTAAATTCCGAGGACCTGGAAAACTTTATTGTATGAATAGAATAGAATAAAAGTCAAAAGAAGACCTCTACAATATAATGGACAAAAAATATATGTATGTTATGAAATTCTATTAAAGTTCTAGGGGAAATATGATTATCCAAATTGTCCTACTGTAGCACCCCAGCTTTGTTCCCAGATCTGTAAATGACTTTACTTGGCAATATTGGTGAACGGAAGAGTCATAAATAAGTAAATTTTCTAGCTAACTGGAACATATTCTCACTGGCTAATTTGGAGTTACTACAGATGAAAAATTCTGGAAATTTTATAATTAAGAGAAAATTATATTTACTTTTAGTGTTGAGGAAAATTGAAATGCATTGCTTTGCATTAGCACCTTCATATAGCTAGAGACATTTTGATAGTTTAGGAAAATATAATATCTCATTTAAAATTTGTTTTTTTCTTTAAAAACAATCGGTTTTGGTACACATATGTTAAAAATATTTTGCTAAGATATCTCAAAGTGCTGAACTTCATTGTATCCGATAACTAATATTTCCCTCCATTTTTAAAGAAGAAATAAACGCTTTGAACAGATGGAATAATTAGCATTTATAGCAAAAACCAGGATATTTTATTTTCTCATCATCGAAAGTGACCAACAGATATCTGAAGCATACATGTTCAGCAGAGGCATTGAAGAAGAAAACAATTCTGCTTCTCTTCTGTTGTTTTATGAAGAAGTGCAATCTCAGAAGTTAATACTTGGTTTTAATTGCATCCTTTAGAAAGTTCTGTCTGATAAAATGGCACGTTTAAACTATGAAAACTGAGACAAAAGAATACATTCAATAAATGTTTTTGCATAATTCTCCACTAATTAAAACCTACCTATGATAAAGTACCTGGATCTTAAGTGTACAGCTTGGTGAGTGTTATTTAATCCATAAATAACACGTGTAAGCCTCACAAATAGAAAGATACAGTGCATTATCATCCACCCAAAGGCCTTTCTGTTACTTGTCCTGATTAACACCCCCAGAAGTACTCATTAGAATACATTTTTTCACTACCAATTCATGTTATCGGTTTTTTTAATTTCGTATAAATGGAATGACACACTATGCCCTATTTTGATTTTCTTCCTCCATATCATCTCTGTGGGGCTGATCCATGTTGTATAATTTATAACAACAGTTTGATCTGCTTTGCTGATGCAGAACAGTAAACTTTGTAAATATACCATAGTTTTTTTTCACTTTTATTCTTTTACCTTTACCCTTTGACTAACATCTCCCCGTTCTCCTATTCCCCAGATCCTTGTAGCCACCATTCTACCCTCTGTTCCTATGAGTTTGTGCCACAAATGTCATTTTTCTGTATTAAGATCCAATCCAGGATCACCGACTGCATTTACTTGTTATGTCTCTTTACTCTCTTTTGATTTGGGGTACTTCTTAGACTTTCCCAATCTTTTATGACTTTGACAACTTTGAAGAGTGCTGGCCAGTCGTTTTGGAGAATGTCCTTCAATTCTGGTTTGTCTGATGTTTGTTCATGATTAAATTCAGGTTTTAAAAATTTTTGCACGAATACTGCAGAGGCTACACTGTGACTTTCTCAGTGTGTCATATGAGGAGTTACATGATGTCAACACGTCTCATTCCTGGTGATGTTAATTTTGATCACTTGACTGAGGTGGAGTCTGTCAGTTTTCTCCACTATAAATTTATATTTTTCCCTTGTAGCTAATAAGGATCTTATGGTGAAAGAGTTTGAGACTATGCCAATGTCCTGTTTTCTCATAAACTTTTGCCCACAAATTTTAGCTTCCATCAATGATTCTTACCACTGTGTTTGTGAGATGATGATTTTCTATATCCATCATTCCTTTTGTATTTTGAATTTGAATTTCATTCTAAGGATTTTGTCCTTACCTATTAATTCAATTACTTATTGGTGGTATGGACTCAAGGTTCTTTATTTTATTCCATGAGATAAACTTCATTATTATCATCATTTAGTTTGTTGCTCTCATTCTAGAATTGGCCATTGGGGGCTCCTTCAGGGTGACTCTGATGCCACGAAATTTTGAGCACATGCTCACTGTGGCACTACAAGATCTTGCGGGCTCATCTTGCTCCATTTCTTCATCCCGCTAATATCTACCCATTCCCAAAATCAACCTTTCTGTGAAGGTTATTTGGCTCTTTTTCTTAGCGAAAGGTATTTGGAAACAAAATCTGAGTGCTAGATGTGCTCATTGCTCTTCTGCCATTGCTTCTAGGTCACCTGACAGAGCTAGGAAATATGTGTACATATACATCCACATATGCGCACACATCTCTACTTTATGTCAGTTTGTACACACACACACACACACACACACACACACACACACACACACATTCCTGAGTTCATCCTGAGGCACCTGATTCCAGTCCAGCATCACAGGGTTCATTCTAGCCAAATCCCTTCCATTACTTGTAACTCCTCTTTTTAACATTGAGAAACTTCACTCTCAGTATCCTCTTTTTAACATTGAGAAACTTCACTCTCAGCATCATCAATTTATTTAATTATTTGCTTAATCTTCATATACACACAATGTAGTCTCACAGTCGCAATTTCATACCACTCTGAAAAACAAACCTTTAATCAGACAATATGTATGGATACTTTTCCTTGTCTTTGGGCTTGGAGTAAGCGGTCAAAACACTGTTTTCTAAAAGTTATTTAGCTTAGTTCTATTCTTTCCCATCCCCTTCACTGTGGTTATTTATTTATAATGCAATGTACATGAAGGATTAATATCTTAATTTATGAATATTAATTTCATATCCTGTTGCCTTACTAAATTATTTTACGATTTGGGAATTAACATTAATTATTATTGATTCTTAAGTGTTTTTCAGGTATCATATCATCTATAAGTAGGGATACTTTTACCTCTTCTCTACCAATTCTAATACCTTTAATAGATTTGTTTTGTCTAATTGCATTTTTTTAACACTTTCAGTAAAATAATAGATAGTAATGGAGATAACTAGCATCTTCCCCTTGTTCCTGATGTGAATAGGAATGCTTCTAGTGTTGTCCAATTAAAATACCAATTTTAGCATTGACAAATATATATTTTTAATATGTTAAAAATCACATTCAATTTCTTGAATATTCTTATAATGAGTGAATGTTGAATTTCATTAAGGCCTTTCAGCATATATGGAAAAATCATATTGCATATGATCATAATAGATTTCCTAGTAGGAACCAACCTTGAATTTCTATAATAAATCCCACTTAGTTGTATTCATTATTTTCTTAATATGATATATAATACTATGCATGCCAACATTTATTTTAGTACTTTTGCATTGATATTCATGGACAATATAGGTCTATAGATTTATTTTCTTTTGAACAAAGTTTTTTAGGTTTAGGTATCAACGTTATTCTGGCTCAGTAAAAGGAAACATTGTCTCTTTCATTTCCAACGTTTTGCAGCAATTTGTAGAGTACTGAGATTATTTGATCTTCAAATGTTTTGTAGATTTTTACCATGACACTATCTGGGCCTGGTTGTTTTTTATGATATTCATCCTTAATAATGTTCTCTATTTCTTGTATGGAAATTGATCTCTTTAAACTTTCTCCATTAATGGAGTCAATTTTAGTACACGTGATTCTCTGGAAAACTGTGTCTTTTATCTAAATTTTCAAACTTGTATACATAGATGTCTGTAGTTACTTATGCTACTTATTTCATTTTATCTTTTTTTCAATAGCTAATTCTTCATGTTATTTCTCATTTTGTATAGTTTTACCTTCTGCCTTTTGTTTTCTGATCAAGGTTACCAATGGTTTGTTTATTTTGTTAGAGTTTTTAAAAACTGAGGGTATTTATTTATAGAGTTACTGTTTTCTGATTCTCTGAGCATTAATTTTTACTTTAATCTTTATTATTTCCTCCTATATGCAATTATTTATTTAGCTAGAAATGTATTTTATTTTAATTCTTTCATTTCTCCTGACAAAAGCACTTAAATGATATACAGAAATAATGCAATGCTATTGTATCACAAACGATGGTTTTGTGAAAATTAGCCAACTGACTCTAAACTTTACTATATTCTCCTCAAATGTGAAAAAGGCCAGAAGATCAGACAGATGTGTCTTAAGTTCCAAATCCACTGTTTCCTTGTTGTCTGACTTCAGCAAATATCTAATTCCCCGATTATCAGTTTCCTAATTTGTAAAACTGAAATGATAACATCTCATCTGAAGATTAAGTGAGATAATTTCTGGAAAACACCAACTCAGTGCTTAATATTGTGTACTCCATAAATGGGCCCTCTCTCTATCTTTCTGAGTTAGGGATAAAATAACTACTCTTTATTGAGCATTGTTAGAAGCATTTTGGTAGTAATACCTTATTTCTTTTTTTCACAGTCTTCTGCAGAGGATGTGCATAGCTTGCCCTTAAATACGATAGGTCCAAATTTTGACATGAATTCCATCCATCTGACTTGGAGCTCATGCTCTTTAAAAAAAAATCTGATGTCCTTTTTTTTACTTATTTTAATTGACAAATAAAGTTCATACTCTTGATGACTAAGCTAGCCTGGCTCTGAACTGTAAGTTAAAAGATTAAGACTGCTATTCATAAGGTTTAACATGTATGAGTAACATTGCAAAAGTAATCATGAAGCTCCATTAACAGACTTGCCTTCCTTCTTTGTCCCCTTCTGCATTTCAGCACATCGTGAGTGGTGCTCTTGAGTCCCTTCAAGTGATTACTACTTAGATCTTCCCCGGGACACCTTCTTGAAAGGATCAGCATGCATCCACTTTGCTTAGATATAATCCCAGATCAGTGGAGGTGTTGCAAAGCAGACTTCACTTGTCTCACTAACACTGTGTAAGAGTTTGAAAACTATATTTACTGTTTGCAGGTGATATTTGATGTCGTGACCTGATCTGAAATATTTCTGCTTTCTTGTAAATTGGAAAGCTATATTAACTAACTAGACACATAGCAGAAGGGAAAAAGTAGGCTAGCACAAAAAGGCATTGAACATCGATTGAGGTGTTTAAGATTAGCTAAGCATATGCTGATGTATTTGAAGATATTTTTCATACTTATGTGAAGTAGAAGGAGCTAACATTTAGTGCAAGTGGAATTTCATGACAAGCATTCTTATTTTTGGGTATAACTGAAATATAGTTGTGTGAAACCTATAATTGCCACAATTTGTGTTGTTTCTGCCACGTAAAACCAATACCTATAAAATGGAGATGCTAACTCCTTTCAACTGGTTATGATGAAGTGTGCCTATTGTGAGTATCTATATGCAAATCCTTCCCTAACTGTGGGGTTCCCTTACATGTACTGCTAGTGCATATAAGTTTACTTCCATGTATCTTTTCCTCAAACTTAAAAGTCTTCTGTTCCAAGATATTACATTGCCAGTTTTACTCTAGTCAGGATTATTATCAAAACAGAATTGGAGCTGAGAAAAGACAATAGAGTTGAATGGAACGGCAGAATAGGAATAGTTAGTGTAGGGAATCCTTGGGAGAGATTAAAAAAAAGGGGAGCCATGAGACTAAGAAGACTTTGTCTTAGAAGTGCATTCCAGTGACTTCTATGAGAGCAGAAGCTAAGGGATGTAAATTGGCGCTTGGGCCATGACACGGACTTATCTTGGGTGGACGGATGTTGAGAAATAAAGGTCATCCAAAGGTTTGCCCTCTCAAGCACACAGGTTATACTGCATCTCAAAGCCCTGAGATTCAAGAATGAGTCAGTATCTCTGAGACATAAATCAGAGAGATATTGAATATTAACATGGAGGACTAGGTCTCTTGAAATGCACATTTATCTAAAATGTGTAACAACTTTTGCAGTGTTTTATGTCCTGTGTAGGAAAAAGGTATCTCAAAAATGTCCTAGTGAACAAGGCTTGGTAAATGAAAACTGGGAAGATTGAAGGTGTATAAATGCCCCGGGTCATAACACGATGGCTGAGAACATGGGCTCTGAGGACAGATTGGTTTCTCTGGTCTGAATCCTGACTCTGCCACCTTTTGGCCATGACTCTTGGGGTAGTTGGGAAAATTAGAAGTCTAATTTAAAGAGTGCTTAATTCCAGACCTGGCACATAATGTGTGTTCAGTAAATAGCTATTTTATGTTAAGTGATTGTACAAATATTTTAAAAGCTTTGTAGCCTCACCAGTGACCTTGACCGTAATACTTTTCTCTGTTTTCTCTATGAGGACATAAGTTTCTCATCTGTAAACTCTTCTACTATGTTGAATTTTCGTTAATCTCACATAGCAAATTATAGTTGAGATGACATTACTATTATTTTCAAGAGTGGATTTTTTTGTCTTTAAGTCTGGCATGTTATATTTCTGAAAGTAGTTGATATTTTAAATTTTATCATCTCAAATCTGCCACTTTCTAGCATCGCGATATTGGTCAAATTACCTAACTTTTCTCAATCTCCTCATCTTTAAAATGGGAACAATAGAGTATCTGTCAGAATCATTGTGGAGATTAAATAATATAACGCATAGTGCATGACAAAAAGTACCCAATACATGTTAGCTACTACTAACATTATCACTACTGTCATCATTATAATTATTCTTCTTAAATGCATTCTTAACTACCTCTGGTATGATTGCTGATGTTGTCTGTCTTTAAATTGTGGAATTTGAAACGGGACACTTTATAGAATTTTAAATAAAATATTCATACATTCAAAATCTCAGGACACCTTTTCACTTTTGAAACCACAATTCATCATCATCATTTTGTACCCTTGTAATACAGTTTATTTAGCTTAAGCACAAATCTCATGTCATGAGGTTACTAAATTATCTCCAAGGACAAGTTCTTTTATAAACTTCCCAGACTTGATCCTTTCCGGAGGAGATTATACAACTTCCATTTTAATTTAAAATAAATCTTAATTTATAAAGGGAAGTAACTTAAAAAAATTTATTATACTTTAAGTTCTGGGATACATGTGCAGAACGTGCAGGTTTGTTACATAGGTATACATGTGCCATGGTGGTTTGCTGTACCCATCAACCCGTCATCTACATTAGGTATTTCTCCTAATGCTATCCCTCCCCTAGCCCCCGACCCCCCAACAGGCACCAGTGTGTGATGTTCCCCTCCTGAAAAGGGAGGTAACATTTTAATTTAGAAAGGAAAGTAACATTGATTTAGTGCTCACCATATGCCAAACTTTATACTTTGATGATTCTTAATATCAGAGTTTGGCTGTTTTACCCTTATTTATAACTTTAAACTGCTGACCCAACCTAATAAATCTTAAACTTTATAAAATAAATATTAAGTAATCAGGATACTACCACTATCCACAACTCACTCTGTATAACTTGTCTGGATTTGTACTCAGGCTTATCTCCATGGTTCTGCATGCTTAGAACCTAGTTCCATAATCTAAACTTTTTTTTTTTTTTTTTGAGAAGGAGTGTTGCTCTGTCGCCCAGGCTGGAGTGCAGTGGCACGATCTCAGCTCACTGCAAGCTCTGCCTCCTGGGTTCACGCCATTCTCCTGCCTCAGCCTCCCGAGTAGCTGGGACTACAGGCGCCTGCCACCACGCCCGGCTAATTTTTTGTATTTTTAGTAGAGACGGAGTTTCACCATGTTAGACAGGATGGTCTCGACCTCCTGACCTCGTGATCCGCCTGCCTCGGCCTCCCAAAGTGCTGGCATTACAGGCATGAGCCACCGCGCCCGGCCCCATAATCCAAACTTAGTGTTCAACTATGATTTAGATTATATTTATCCCAGTACAATCCTGAATCTGAAATAATCCGTGAGCTTTATAAAGCCAAAAATTTTGGCTTCATCTCTCATATTCAGATCTGATATTGTTTATGCAAAGCTATTTACTAGGGTTGTTAATAATGTTCTCTATGAATTGTTGTAAACAATTAAATCAAAAAATTTGTAAAGATTTTCTGTCTATTAAATATTCTTCATTTTGGGGGGTTTATTTCCAGTGTCTTTTAAAATAACTTAATTGTGTAAGCAAGCAGGTATAAGAATGATATGTCAAATCTTTCAACATACATCTGCAGATTTGTGGCAAATGTAGTATTAACCAAAACCAAAACAAATACATTTTCAATAGAGCTAATTTCCCTCTTTGTGTAATCTCAGCCTAAGCCAGATTCTTGGAAAGAATGATGTAATTAAATTATTTCATCAAAGCATTTACAAGTAAATGCACCATATGGTCTTTCAAAGTGGGCAATGAGGTAACATTAGGCCATTTGATCAAAGTTAGAAATGGCTCTTATTTAAAAGAAAGCAGAGTTTTAAAACCATTTAGTCTTAGTAGTGCAAGATATTTCCTTTCCAATTTTTAAAATGTAAGATATTTGGGAGTGTTTATCCATTTAACATATTCTATTTATATTCATAAGTATAATATTTTATAGTTCAAAAATACAAGTAACATCTAATATAAAAAATCCTCGCCTACCATTAAAATGCAAGCAGAATCAAGTTCAGGGGCTCTGTTGTAGGTGATCCCAGGGTTACCATTTCTAGAAACACCCTACTGCCAAACTGGGTGTCAGAAGAGACTACCACTTTGAGTCTGTTGAATATTGCCAGGTATTGAATCTTGTGTCTTTTAAAATTCTATGGATTTGGGAAGGGAAGGAACATTTATTTAGTGTTCACCGCATGCCGAGGACTTTATCCGCTCAGAAATTCTGAAGATGATCTTGTGTGGCAGGTTCAGCTATTTATTTTTACTTGTGGATAAAATGAGATTCAAGGAATTCAGTAATTTGCTCAAAGTCACGCCACCAAGAGATGCAGAGAGAGAGAGAGAAAGAGAGATATCAGTTTAATTCACATCAGTTTAATTTCAAAGCTATCTTTCATCATTTTATCATGCTTTTCACTTCACTATTCTTTCAAAGACTCTTTGAGAACAAAACATTCTTCCAAGTAAGAGCTAAAATGAATCCCTCTTATGTTTGATGTCTGACAAAAAATATGCAGTATCCAGTATACCAAATACTATTTTAAAAAAATTCTAGACTATTATTCCTACTTCTTGATAGTCTGTAAGGACTGCTTTTCTTGTTTCTTGGAAAAGACAGGTGTAGGGTGGGGATAGGTTTGTAGAAGCGGGAGACATAAAAGAAACCCCAAATGTCTGAGTATACTCTTAGTGTACCCCAGGGTAGGTCCTGGGAAGAAATATTCTATCACTTCTCCACTGTTCTGGAGGAAATTAAGTATTTGGTATTGATATTAGTGGTTAATGAAAATTTAAGGTCCACTGAAACATTATGTCCTTTCATTAGATCATTACCTAGTCATTTTGGTATTGATTACTATGGTGTTCATTGATAATCCAATTGTCTTGTTTTATTAATTTGTTAAGAGGTGTTAGGAAGGCTTCAGAGACAAAAATTTCTTAGTACATAAGCGATTTTTGTTTTCTAAAGTGCATGATGTATAATTAGTACCTAATATTTCTACTGAATCCTGTTTTTGCTTCATAAGAAAGTAGCTACTTTCCCCTCTTCTTCACATTTTTCTTTTTATATATATATATATTCCTCTATTCTTAAAGCAGATAGATAAAATAGCCGTCATTCATAGTTCTTAGTGTGAATTGAGAGGAAAGACTATGGAATTTCACTCAGGTCTAGTATTAAGTAGATTACATTTGTGAGATACTTAAGGGCTCCTTAACTCTTAAATAATATCAAAACTAGCATTATTTCATATGTAATCTCTTATTTAAGTTTCTTTCTATGACATAATTGCAAAGATTATGGTCTCGTGAATTTTCCTTATATAATTTTTGTAAAAGTCTATTATTTAGTAATAGAAGTATTTTTAGTGTATTTCTTGGCAGATTTATTCAGAGAGAGCTGCTTAGGTGTGTCCAAACCTGAAAGTGAACATTCATCATGTTGAAGCAGGGATGATTGTCAAGCAAAGAAGACTAAAGTGGATGCACAAATATCTTCCACATTCTTATATTCACCCTAAAACTAAATCTGTTTGTGAGAGAGAAAGGGTGCTGGACTTAAGGGCAGAGAACCAAGTTACTAACTGTGATTTTAGGCAACTCAATTTCTTGGTCTCTTCAACTATAGTTTTTTGGGTTTTTTTTTTCTTAATAACAACAATTTACTGGGCTGTTGTGGACATTAAATGAGATAGTGTTTGTGGAAATGTTTTTGAATTTTAAGTCTGTATAAAAATAATGCATGTGAATGTTGCTGTTACTAAGAGTGTACAGCAATCCCCTTATCCATGCTTCCATTTTCCATGATTTCAGTTACCCATGGTAAACCGCAGTCTGAAAATATGAAATGGAAAATTCCAGAAATAAATTCTAAGTTTTAAATTGCATGCCGTTTTGAGTAATGTGATGAAACCTCACTCTGTCCTGCTTTGTCCTTCTGGGATGTGAATCATCCTCACATGTAGCATCTTCACAGGGTCTACACTCCCCACCCATTAGTCCCTCAGTAGCCATCTCAGTTATCAGACCAACTATCAAGATACCACAGTGCTTGTGTTCATATAACCCTTATTTTATAATATGTCATTAATAATATTCAACTAATAATTATTAGTTATTGTTGTTAATATCTTATTGTACCTATTTTATAAATTAAACTTTACTAAAAGTATGTATGCATAGGAAAAACATTGTGTATATAGGGTTTAGTACTATATGTGGTTTCAGGCATCAGCTGGGGGTCTTGGAAGATATCCCCCATTGATAAGAGAAGACCAATGTAACATAAAACTTTGTTATAAGAGAGTTAAGGGTTTAAATATATAAGTCTAAAATCTTGTAGTTTAAAGAATTCCAAACTTAAACATCTTCAGTAGACTTGACATTGTATTTGTTATATCCTATGTCAAAGCATATCTTCTTTCACTTTTTGTGCAAGAATTTGTGCTTTTTCATTGGCAGGACTTGTACATTCAGGGTAAATGATAAGTATTGCTATTCAATGCTGTATTTTTGTTAAATATTAAATCCATCTTGGATAACTGAGTCTGGAAGATTCAGAGTTCCTTGGCATTGGTTTCAGAGAAATTTTAAGTAAGGAATAATAGAATCTATAATTTTAGGGGTTCTGATGAGGTCAATTAAAATTATGAATATTTCATAATATAATTGGAAACTGGAGTGAGCTCATTATTGTGTGATCAGAAAATACAAATAATTGATAAGTGGCCTCAGTTTGTATAGACTGTATTTTTTACATTTAATTTAATTCTATTTTATTTTATTCTAAGTTCCAGGATACATGTGCAGGATGTGCAGGTTTGTTGCATAGGAAAACATGTGCATGGTGGTTTGCAGCACAGAACAGCACCTTACCTAGGTATTAAGACTCGCATGCATTAACTTTTTGTCTTGATGCTCTCCCTCTGGCTGCCTTCCCAACACACACAAAACAGTGTGTGTTATTCCCCTGTCTGTGTCCATGTGTTCTCGTTGTTCAGCTCCCACTTATAAGTAAGAACATGCAGTGTTTGGTCTTCTGATGAACTGTATTTTTTGACACCAGCAGAAAGTTTGTACATATAGATGAAAACTTGGTCCTGACTTAACTCAGTAGACTGAAAGAGTCAATAATTCATGGGAATGGAGTCAAAACCCAGTTTCATGTGAGTCTAAAGTCAGGACCCTTTAGTTCTTAACTAACCTTCCGCGTACATATTCTAAATGAAATCATTGATCTGCGGTGTGTTAAATGACTATTTTGTCCCCATCAGTTGGACACAGTCTCAGAGCTATATAAATTGGAAAGCACTTGTATAATAAGTTATTTTCAAGGAAATTTTTAATATATGAGCAAATAACGTATTTTTGAAGGTCCGCTATAATAATAGGCCATTTACATTGAATAAATGACTCTGTTAATGTCCTGATCAGTGCCTTGGTGACCTATGAAATTATTCATAGATGATCACATAGGGGAAATAGTTTATTTGCATAATGGAATCTGCAATTATACTTCTCAATCTATGTATAAAGAAACAAGCAGCTCCTTGCTGTAAATTTATTTAATGTCTTATTCATTCACCGTCTGTCGTATTTATCATCTTGCCATACAAAGAATGTACACTCCTCTATTTACCTTTTCATCGTGAACTCCTAGAGAGAACTGTCTATAATCTATTCATCTTGGTATACTTTCTCTGAGCCACAGTTCCTGATAAATAATAGGCACTCAGTACACATTTAGGAAATGAATGCCTGAAGGATCAATATAATCAGGTACATGCCCAGGGTCATTTAACAAACCTGTGTTACAAGGATAATAAAAGGCCTTTGAAAATTTCCCAACTATTGACACTTGGTATGATTGATTTATTTACTCCAGAAGTATTATTGGACATGTACTATGTACTCAGCACCTTTCTGGATTTTGGAAATATCTCAATAAACAAAACTGACAACAATTTTCTACTTTTAGGGATTTTACATTCCAGCTGATAAAACTGTGTCTGGCCAAACTTTTAAATCCTTTAACAGTAAAAATGTAATTTCTTTCCAAGAAATTATTTGTGATCATGATTTGAAAATGGATTGCCTTGACAGTGGAAAATAGATGTACAGTTTCACAAAATACTCAAAGATCTACAAACTGAGACTGATTGGAATTTTTTAATGGATGCTAAAATTAGTGGTAAGATTAGTTTCTACTCAACATCCATTATTATCTTAAATACAGCAGAGAGATAAAAACTATGATTCACTCTGTTTTAAAATATGTGGTGTTTCAAATGCCACTGATAATTTTTTAAAAGCGAAACAGAAGTGAAGGGAAATGTTGAGACAATATGGAAAAAAAATGACCCCTGACAAAGACTTCTGTGAAAAGAACATTGTAAAATACAGCACTGAAATAGCTGAAATTTCATTTCAGCTATGAAAGTATGAAATAAAAAAACTAAAATGGCTCCAGTATAAAAGTAGCGGTTTGATTCAAATATTCCAATACTGCCAGTAATGTTCTCAGTGATGTTTATGAGAAAACTATGACTTTATATATGTATCTATGTATTTTTTTGGTTTCGGCTGGTCAATTATTTTTCTTATTTGTTGGAATTGACAATTGGCTCCCGACACACAACTCTTGAGGAGATTTGTGTGATTTTTATAGAATACTAGAGCTAAAATATTTCTCTCTAAAATGTCATACATTTGTAAATTCTTCTTACAATCTTTTTAAGGATATGAACTATAATTGTTTTAAAAAGCCATCTCTTTGCCGGGCACAGTGGCTCACACCTGTAATCCCAGCACTTTGAAAGGCTGAGGCAGGTGAATCATTTAAAGATCAGTTCCAGACCAGCCTAAGCAGCATGGCGACCCCGTCGCTACAAAAAGTAGGAAAAATTAGCCGGGCGTGGTGGCATGCACCTGTAGTCCCAGCTACTCTGGAAGTTGAGGTGGGGGGATCACCTGAACCTGGGAGGCAGAGGTTACAGTGAACCAAGATTGCGCCACTGCACTCCAACTTGGGTGACAAAGTGAGACCCCATCTCAAAAAAAAAAAAAAAAAAGCCAACTATTGGCCTATCAATGTATCAACTGACCTACTACTACTTTTGCTCTTTTTTTTTTTTTCTTTTTTCTTTTTTTTAAGATGGAGTCTCACTCTGTCGCCCAGGCTGGAGTGCAGTGGCACAATCTCGGCTCACTGCTAGCTCCACCTCCTGGGTTCATGCCATTCTCCTACCTCAGCCTCCGGAGTAGCTGGAACTACAGGCGCCAGCCACCACGCCCGGCTAATTTTTTTTTTTTTTTTTTTTGTATTTTCAGTAGAGACGGGGTTTCACTGTGTTAGCCAGGATGGTCTCGATCTCCTGACCTCGTGATCCGCCTGCCTCTAGATACCGTAATGCTAACATAAACTAGATTAGATCTTATCCTCAAGGAGTTTACACTCTAATAGGAGAGAGACTCAATTCTATAAGCCCCTACAACAAACTAGAAAAGTTTTATTCATTGAAGCTCCTTTGTTCGATACATGTCCATATCAACTGTTAATAGTAAAATGCCATCTATTAATTAAAGTAGAGTGGATGTTAGGCTTTGAATTAGCCACTGACCCAGCCCCTTACATGAGATAAGATTAGATGCCACAGGACCATTTTGATAGAAGGAACAGAAGCTTTGGTGAAGGGTATTTACTGGGAGGACACACTAGTATATTATGTAGGTATGTCACAGGAGCTCATCCTGGCCTAGAAGTAGCCGTTACTCTCCTTAGCTGCCAGCATCTTTGGGCCTCATTGCCTCTCTTTCATTCTTTCTTCAAATTCACTCGTCTATATTTTTCTACCTTCAGACCAGCTTCTTCCACAGTTGTATGTGGTCAGCACAGTGGTCCTCAAAGTGTTGTTTCTACAGACTTTCCAGATCAGCTGTCTAGAGCTAACAGAGTCCACCTCTATGGACCACATTAGATTTCTGGGAATAATATGATTGGTCAACCTGGAATTATTCACTTATAGCCCAATAAGCAGAATTGGAGTTGGAAGAATGGAGTTGTATGGTGCATACGTATCTTTTTCTGTGCCAATGGGCAGCAAAAGTACCTATGAATGGTGTGTGGGTCAGGAGGGCATTGTCGGCACGTGCACTGTAATAGACGTACTGCAGTATGCTAATAGTGATAACAGGCAGATTGGCATTGATAGTGCATTTTGCTGCTTCTTGTGTGATAAACTGAAGCTTGTATTTTGATATATCAATTTGTGCCCCAAATGGCAATGGAAATCAACCAATAGTCTTGTGTTTCTAAATCATAAAAATGTCACAAATAATTCATGGCATGTATTTCATATGCACACTTTAAATACCTGAATATGATAAATTGCTGATAGAATTTTCAATTTCAAAAGCCCAGTAGAGTGCACACTTTTTTTTCTAACGCAGTCTTTCAATTCTGTGACATTGCTGATTGCTCCTTTAAAACACATTTTGCACCAAACATTTTAGAATATTTGATTCCTGAGGACTTAAAACAGGACATATGTAATTTTATTTTTCTTTTTTTACATTCTCAGGTTTAGTGCATAAGCTTGGATGTGAAGCCCTGGAGTTAGCCACTTTGCTTTGAAAGAGGACCTTGTTTCCTCCAGACAGTACTGTCTTATGTTTCCTTCCTTTTCCAGAGCCAGGTGAAACCACAGGACTTCCCATTGCAGTTAAAGTAATCTGCATTTTCAATGACCGGTCAACCTAAAAATTCAAGTCCTGATAAAACAAACTTAAGCAGTATGATGAGGCTTCTTGGCTTTGTGAACTATTAAATTATGTATTCACCAATTTTTATTACTGATACTGTGCAAGGCACTGAGTTAATTCCAGAGGACCTAGGAATGATCCTTGTCTTTTCTCTCGTGTAGTGGATCATGCTGTGGAAGGTGGGAGGGAGGTAAAAAACAGCTTTATGATTGGCTACACTTTTATCATTTAGTCCACTGTTTCTGCTCATTCTTCGGGATGGCTTTGATGCCAACCACATAAATGTCTTTATTTCTATTCTGGACATTCTCACCCATAAGAAATATGCTCCTATTGGGATAATTGTTTATTGCTCAGTCAACTGTTTTTTAATTGGATGAATTAACTGCTCGCTGCCTTATTGTGTCTTTCTGCAGCCATTTGGCCTATAATTCTTAAAGAGAGATTCTTGAACCAAGAATTTGTTTTTAATAGTATTATTGTCACAACACAGCTATTGCATGAAATGATGTATACATTCACATTCAGTGTTAACAATTGTTCAAAGCCAAATGTAAATACTACCAAGCTTGTTAGGATTTCTCTTGGCTTTCTTCACTGTACCTTTTATTTTCTCCAAAGACTTGAAGAACCATTAGGGTGCCTTACTAGAGTCATGATTTCCATAATTTAAATAAAGTCAAACTCAAAGGAATATATTGCTTCTATTTAAAATCATTCTTAAAACAGATGCAGGTGGAGGCAGGTTTGAGGTTGAGGAGTGGTATTAGTGTGGTAGCAGCCACTGTTGTTTCAAACCTCTTCCCACCCTGCCCTAAGAAGATCGGAAACCTCTCCTCTCTCTTGCATTTTGTGTTCCTGTACAGTTGATCCCTCAGTAGAATGCAAAAGTTCATTTGCATGACATGTAGTTGCTGAAGACACATGACCCATCCCTAAACTCAGACTAGGACATTTTTACAAATACTTTTGCAAATTGAAGTCAGGAATCTTCCAGCCATCATTAGGGCTGTAGGATTTCAGTTTGCTATGGCAATACAGAGATAACTTCTGCAGTACCAGGAAGGAAATTCATGCTAATTTACAGATTTCATGTTGCCCAATCAAGAAGTTGAGTTATCCCATTTCTTTTGACCAATGTATATGCAAATGACACTAAAGTATTACCACAAAAAAAACAAAGTACTTACTTTGTCATAGAGACTAGACTAACATATGAAATAGACTGAGGTGAGCGTTGTTTTTTTGTTTGTTTGTTTGTTTGTTTGATGGAGTTTCAATCTTGTTGCCCGGGCTGGAGTGCAATGACGCGATCTCGGCTCACCACAACCTCTGCCTCCCGGGTTCAAGCAAGTCTCCTGCCTCAGCTTCCCACGTACCTGGGATTACAGGCATGTGCCACCACCCCCAGCTAATTTTGTGTTTTTAGTAGAGACAGGATTTCCCCATGTTGGTCAGGCTGGTCTCGAACTCCTGGCCTCAGGTGATCCACCTGCCCTAGCCTCCCAAAGTGCTGGGATTACAGGCGTGAGCCACCGCACCTGGCCTGAGGTGTGGGTCTTTTATCAGCCTGTTCATTTAGTTAAGCATTCAGTTAAAAATATGGCCGGGCGCGGTGGCTCACGCCTGTGGTCCCGGCACTTTGGGAGGCCAAGGCGGGCGGATCACGAGGTTAGGAGATAGAGACCATCCTGGATAACACAGTGAAACCCTGAAAATAGCCGGGCGTGGTGGTGGGCGCCTGTAGTTCCAGCTACTGGGGAGGCTGAGGCAGGAGAATGGTGTGAACCCGGGAGGTGGAGTTTGCAGTGAGCCGAGATCACACCACTGCACTCCAGCCTAGGTGACAGAGCGAGACTCTGTTTCAAAAAAAAAAAAAATTATATATATATATAATGTCTTGAGCGCCTTTCATACATGCATGGCACTGATACCGGGTTCCAAAGAAAATGCTTCTTTTTTTTTTAATCTAAAGATATGGTCCATTATAACAAATGACCACGAATTATTTCTCTCTCTCTATTGATAGTGACATTATAGGTCTTCCTATCCAAAAGTGGGTTGCTTTGGCCACTGAGACAGTTGTAAAAATGATTTGAGTAGAATCGTGAAAAGCACTTGTATAGTAGAGCTTACCCTCTGGATGCTTTTAGTACCCAGTACCCATGGGAAGAAGCACAGGCTAGCCTGCTAGATCTTGAACACAGTGTGACCCAGTCATCAGCCAACTGCCGTAAACCTGTAAGTGAGGCCATCTGGGATGAGCAGCCCCTGGCTGACTCTCAAACTGACTTCAAATGCATAAGCTGACCTAGCGAGATCAGCAGTACCTAACCAGGCCAGACAAACTGCTCAGCAGAATCGTGAGCTAAGTAAATGGTCATAGTTTTTAGCCATTGAATTTTGGAGTCATTTATTAAACATCAATGGTTAACTGATTTGAGAGATGCAAGTAGCGCACCTATGAAACAGTTACACAGGAAAGCAGGATAATATGTAGCTAAATATCACCAAGATTAGATTACCAGAACTTGCTGACAGAGAAACTTTTATAAAGATGAGAACTGAGGGAGAAGAGTTTAGTTTTAAACTCGATTTTTTAAAATAAATAGAATTTGGGTAAATACAGGTAGGCAGAAATAACATGTATAGGTAAATAAGACATTAGTTAATTTCAGCATAGCTGAGAGGTCAGAAGGAAAATGGGGCTTAAATGTAAAATCACACTTTGAAGTCAATTTGGAGGAATATGTCAAGTGATGTGAAGTATGGCACCATTTGGTACATTAGATGACTAACTTTACCTCCAACCCAGGCCATTTGAGGTATCAGCCCCAGAAACAAATGTGAAATATTCAAATGTCTCTGCCTTTTGTATTGGTCCATTCTGCCTCTAGTTTTAAGTCCACATCAAAAGAAGAGTTGAATTGTTTTGGCATCTTTGGATGAGGCCTAAGGAATGCAGCTTTGGAAATGAAAGTATTTCTTGTTTTTGCTAATCTTTACTATCATTAACATGTGTTTTTATTTTACTAAATTTACTAGTTAGGAATCAGTTTGCTTTTTAAAAAAAAACCTTGTTATTACTCTTTTAAAAAAATCTTTTCTACCTAATAATACGCAAAATATTATTCCTCTTTACTGAAATAATAAATCCATAATTTTACTTTCAGATAATATGACAAGATTGAGCCACATTGAGCATGTTGTAACTAATTACTAATCATGATTTGTCTGATCAAAATTGTCATACTGTATCTTGTTAACCGTACATGTATATGAACTAAAGTTTCGATTAATATGATTTTCCTCACCACTGGATTCACAGTATGCTGGTTAACTCCTACTCCCCATTCCAATCATGGTCAAAGAATCCATCCTCAAGAAAGCCTTATTTACAGCCTCAGTTGATTTCCATTTTATCATTGGTTTCCATAGAGCTGGGCTCACTTTCTTTATGTGACTTCTTTTAGTGCATATTTGCACTTTCCTGGAGTGATGCCTGTCTTCCCCATTGAATTGTAAGCTCCTTGAGAGCAAGGACCAAATATCTTTAGGCTCACCATTTCCTTCTCAGCATGAAGCTTAGTGTCTGACATCTTGTATGCATTGAACAAATATTTGTTGAGAGAATGAATGAATAAAGTGATAACACTTTCGCATGCTTGCAGTCTCAGTTTAAATGCTAATAATGGAAAGTACTCAGGTGAATTTATTCCAGGCAGAGGCAATAGCAGAGGCTCTAGATAAGAAATAATTTAATAGAATCAAGAAGCCGAAAGACCAGGAGGAACCGAAGTGTGGTGGTCCACAAGGAGAAATGGGCTTACAGAGGAAGCAGGGCGCCAGTCATCTAGGGCTTCTTGGTCATGGGGAGGAATTTACATTTTGTTCGAAGTGCAATGGGAAGGGACCAGGGGACTTAAAGCAGGGTCATAATGCCATGTATTTAAGATCATCCTTGCTGCTGGTACAAGAAATGGCATGAAGGTGGGTTACAGAGGGAGCTAGGAGGTAGGTCAAGAGCTCTAGAGTCATGAAGATCTTGACCTCTTTTAGGTTTGTACTGTGGATGTGGAGACAGGTAAACGAGTTTTTTGTGTTTTCTGAAGAATCACTAGGATCCCCTTGATGGGTAGGAGAAAAGAGGAATGGAGTCATTTCCTAAGTTTCTGTCCTGAGCGCTGTCTTGTGTCCCATTCACTGACCTATAGAGAGCTCGATAATGGGAGTGATGCACTGGTGGAGGGGTGGAGAAAACACAGTCCCGTGATACATTTAAGCAAGACATTAAAAGTGAAAAGATGAAAATTGGTGTGCCACACAAGCAGTAATCAAAAGAGAGCTAGGATGGCTTTGTTAATGTCAAATGAAGTAGATCTTAGACAAGGAATATTACTGGGGAAAAAAGGGACATTTTGTAATAATAAAGATATCACTTTATTAAGAGGACATTCCAGTCCTAAACGTTTCTGCACCTAATGACAGAGCCTCACATCATAAGAAGCAAAACTTGATAGAGCTACAAAGAAAAAGAGACAAGTCCACAACTACAGTTAGATATTTCAACACTCTGCTCCCAGTAACTGATAGAACAAGTAGAGAAAATTGGAAAGAGTATAGAAGACTTGAACAAACTATCATCTAACATGATTTGCTTGAATATTTCTCTCATCAACAGAAAATACACACCAAGAACATAACCCAGAAGAGACCAGATGCTGAGCCATAAGACAAATCTTAATGAATTAAAGAGGATTGAAATCATGTGAAGTATAATCTCTGACCACAAAGAAATTAAACTATAAATCAATAACAAAAGAGTATCTTGAAATTTGGCAACTATTTAAAAACAAAAGAACACATTTGTATATAACCCACATTTCAAAGAAGAAATCACAAAAGAAATTAGAAAATATTTTGAACTGACTGAAAATGAAGTTACCATGCAACAAAATGGGTAAAAAACAGCTAAACAATAATTAGAGAAATATTTTTGCACTAATTGCTTATATTAGAAAAGAAGAAAGTATCAAATCAATGGTCTAAGTTTCTGTCTAAAGAGACTATATGGCAAGAAAAGAAAATTAAAACCAAAGCAAACAGAAAAAAGGAAATAGTGAGTATAAGTCAAGGACGTAATTAAATAGAAACAGAAGAACAGTAAAAAATAAATTTAAAGAAAACAAAAGGCAGTTCTTGGAAAGCATTAATAAAATTGACAAATCCTTAGCCAGTCCAATCAGAAAATAAAGAGAGAATACAAATTAATAATATCAAGAAAATTATATGAGTATCATTACAGATTCTACAGAAATGAAAAGATGGTAAAGATGAGTGAGCATCTTTAAGCCAATAAAATTGACAACTAAGATGAAATGCAAAATGTTTTTGAAAAACACAAACTATCAAAGTTCTGTCAAGAAGAAAGTGGTAAATGTTGAAAAGCTCAATGTCTATCAAGCATTTTAATCTATTGTTTAAAATATCAAAAAAAAATTCAAACCCAGGTGGCTTCACTGATGATTTCTATGAAACACTCAGGCAAAAAATATTTCCAATTCCATAGGAACCCTTCCAGAAAATAGAAGAGGTAATTCTCCAAACCTCGTTTTATGGGGTCTGCAATATCCTGCTACCAAAACCAAAGACATTATAACAAAAGAAAACTGAAGACCAATATCTCTCATGAACATTAATTGCATTTCTCTATACTAACACCAATAACTAAAAATTGAAATTTTAACAATGGAATTTATAATAGCATGAAAGCATTAAAAACAGAAATAAATGCAACCCATGTTTTCAAAATCTATAGACTGAAAACATAACCAAGAAATTTAAAAAGAACTCAATGACGGAGAGATATTCCCTTTTCACAGATTAGATGACTCAACCGTGTTGAGATATTATTTTCAAAGTGATCGATAGTTTCAATGTAATCCTAGTGAATTAAATAATATAGAATCCTATAAAACATTATAGTAGATTGACCACTTAATTCTGAAAAGTACATGAGACTGCAAAAAACAGAGTAATTAAACAAAATTTTAAACAGAAAACAAAGCTGGAGAACTTACAATATTTGATTTCAAGTCATACTCTACTGCTAAAATAGTCAAGATAGTGTGATATTGCAATAAGAATACATATTAGATCATTAGAAAAAATAAAAAATTCAGGAATATGGTTAATTGGCTTTTAACAAAGGACCCAGGGTAATTCAATGTAGAAATCTTCGTTTTTTCAAAAAATGATGCTGGAACAATTGGAAATCCTTGTGGAAAAAGTAAACCTCGACCTCACATCCTTCATACAAAACAATTCAAACTGGTTTATAGAGCTATAAACTATATAGAGAGCAGTGAACTATAAAATGTAGAAGAAAAAAATAATATCTTTGTGAGTTTTGGTGAGGCAAAAAGCACAAGTCATAAAAGAAAATGTTGGTACATTGGACATTTTAAAGTTAAAATATTTGTTCTTCACAATATACTACTTACAAAATTAAAAGACCAGCTACAGACTGGGAGAATATATTTAAAGAGCATATATGATAAGAAATTTATATCTAGTAGATATAAGAACTCTTATGACTTAATAAGGCAACCTGATTTTTATTAAAAATACTTGCACTTTATTTGAAGAGAGACTTCACAAGAGAAGGTAAATGAATGCCAAATAAGTACCTAAGTAGATGCTCAACATCGTTAGTAATTAGAGAAATGCAAATGGAAATCACAATGAGACACTACTTCACACTCACTGGGGTGGCTAAGATGAAAAGGTCTGGCAATAATAAATGATAGTGAGGATGCAAAGCAATTGGAAACGTACATTACTGGTAGAAATGCACAATGGTACAACTTACTGGAAAATAGTTTTACAGTTTCTTAATAAGGAAGGTAGACCCTGTGTGGCCCAGTAATCTCACTACTAGGTATCTCTCCAAGAGAAATGAAAACATATGTTTATGCAAAGACTTGTTTTCAAATGTTCTTGCAAGCTTTGTTTATAATAGTCAAAAACTGGAAACAACTCTAAGTGCCCATCAACTGATGAATAGGCAAGCAAATCATGGAATACAGATACAATGGAACACTATCCATTATGAAAAGGGACAGATTATTGACTCATACAACAACATGGATGCATTTCAAAATCATTTTACTAAGTGAAAAGAGATGTAGGGAACGAAAAAATTTTCTTTTTTCTTTAGTTCATTGGCTGAGCCCTTGTAAATTAGACTGACAAAACACAGCTTAAAGAGAGAGAGCGAGGAAAAAAACAGGTTTATTAACATATGTGTTGCTCATATACTTGGGAGTTCTCAGTGATGAGTAACTCAATAGGTGATTGAATTTGGGGTCTAAATGTCTAACTTAGTAGGGGAAGCGGGGAGGAAAGAAAGGGCCCTTTTGGAAAAGAAAATTATTTTGGAAAGATAAATGAGCTCTTAAGAAAATAGATAAGAGATGGTAGTTGCTCTGGGGTAGGGGATTTATGACAATTCAGTCTTTTCGTATTATATTAGGAGGCTCTGCTTTAAGGCAGATAAGGGATTTCAGGAACTCAAATGTCTTCAGCTCAAAATAATTTTTGTGCTAATATGACACATGTCGGCATGGTATATACTGATTCCCATCAAAGCAAAACACAAACATTGCATCCCATACGATTCTATTGATGTGAAATTCTAGAAAAGAAAAACTGTAGTGACAGAAAGCAGAACAATGGTTTTCAGAAGCTGGAAATGGGGTGACACTATTGAATACTAATGGATGCAAGAGAGCTTTCACAAAAATATTCTATATTCTGAGTATAAAACCTGAGTACATCTGGAGTGTACCCATTATACAAGAGTATATGTTACAAATTAAGATGTATGTGCACAATTGATAAATTTTATTGTGTGCAACATGCATTTCAATAGAAGAATAAGTTTATATAATTCATACAGAAATATTTGATCTTCTACAGAGACCTCAAAGCTTGATCCATTATACTTCAATATTGAATAATTTCTAATTCTACTAAAATTGATTTTTTAAATTCTAGAATCTAAAAGCTCTTGATTACTTACACCTTCATTAAGTGAAAAACATTGAGCAAGTATAATCACTTCTTTTAAATTTAAATTTTTATTTTAATTGGCACATAATCAATATATTTAGGGGTACAGGATGTAATGTGATGTTTTGATATATGTGTACCTTGTGTAATGATTAAATTAAGCTAATTAACATATCCATTACCTCACATACTATCTTTTCTTTGTAATGAGAACATTTAAAATCTACCATGTTAGCAGTTGGGAAATACACAATACATTATTATTAATTATGGTCAACATGCTGTGCAGTACATCTCAAAAACTTATTTCTATGTCTAATCGAAAATTTGTAAATTTGTATTCTTTAATTAACATTTTTTTCATTCCTTCATTCCCACCCCCATGCCTTTGATGACCACCATTCTACTCTGTATTTCTATAAATGTGACTTTAGGTCCAGGGGTACATGTGCAGCTTTGTCATATAGGTAAACTGTACATCGCAGGGGTTTGGTGTATGGATAATTTTGTCGGCTGGGTAATAGGTATAGTACTCAAT
This sequence comes from Homo sapiens, assembly GCF_000001405.40. Lineage (NCBI taxonomy): Eukaryota > Metazoa > Chordata > Mammalia > Primates > Hominidae > Homo > Homo sapiens. The sequence goes on along the minus strand of NC_000018.10, from coordinate 4,326,892 downwards.
AGGTGTTTTTTCTGATTCTCTCCCTTCTCCTACGCTTCACCCTCAAGTAGGCCCACTGTCTGTTGTTCTCCTCCTAGTAACGATGTGTTCTCATTGTTTAGCTCCATTTATAAGTGAGAACATGCAGTATTTGTTTTTCTGTCCCTATGTTAGTTTGCTTGGGATAATGGTCTCCCACAAATGCAGCACCGTCCTTGTTGCTGCAAAGGACATGAGCTCATTCTTTTTTTATGGCTGCATATTATTCCATGGTGTGTATGTACCACATTTTCCTTATCCAGTCTACTATTGATGTGCATTTAGTTTGATTCCGTGCCTTTGCTATTGTGAATATTGCTGCAATGAACATATGCGTGCATGTGTCTTTATGGTAGAATAGTTTACATTCCTTTGGGTATATATCCAATAATGGGATTTCTGGGTTGAATGCTAATTCTGTGTTCAGTTCTTTCAGGATATGCCACACTGCTTTCCACAATGACTGAACTAATTTACACTCCTTGGGTATAAGTGTTCGTTTTTCTCGACAACCTTGCCAGGATCTGTTACTTTTATTGTCTTTTTAATAATAGACATTCTGACATCTGTGAGACAGTATCTCATCGTGGTTTTGATTTGCACTTGTGTGATGATTAACAATGTTAGCATTTTTTCATATGTTTATTGGCTGCATGTGTGTCTTTTTAAAGTGTTTGTTCATATTCTTTGTCCACTTTTGCTTGTTTTTTGCTTACAAATTTGTTGGTTTCTTATAGATTCTGGATATTAGATCTTCGTGGGATCCATAGTTTGCAAATATTTTCTCCCATTATGTAGATTGTCTGTTTACTGTGTTGATAGTTTCTTTGTAATGTAGAAACTCTTTTGTTTGATTAAATCCCATTTATCAATTTTTGTTTTTGTTGCAATTGCTTTTGTCATCTTCATCATGAAATCTTTGCCAAGTTCTATGTTTAGAATGGTGTTTCCTAGGTTAACTTCCAGGGTTTTTATAGTTTTAGGTTTTACATTTAAGTCTTTAATCCATCTTGCATTTATTTTTGTATGTGGTGTAAGGTAGGGGTTCAGTTTCAATCTAATGCATATGGCTAGCCAGTTATCCTAACACTTTTTGAATGGAGGATCTTTTCCCCATTGCTTGTTTTTGTTAGCTTTGTCAAAGATCAGATATTTGTAGGTGTGTGGCATTCTTTCTGTGCTCCCCATTCTATTCCATTGGTCTATGTGTCTATTTTTGTACGAGTACCATGCTGTTTTGGTTACTCTAGCCCTATAGTATAGTTTGAAGTTGGGTAATATGATACCTCCAGCTTTGTTTATTTTGCTTAGGATTGCCTTGGCTATTTGGGCTTTTTGTTTGTTTGTTTCATATGAATTTTTAAATAGTTTTTTTTTAGTTGTGTGAAGAATGTCATTGGTAGTTTGATAGGAATAGCATTGAATCTGCAAATTGTTTTTGGCCATATGGCCATTTTGATGATATTGATTCTTCCTATCCATTAGCATGGGATGTTTTTTCATTTGTTTGTATCATCTCTGATTTCTTTCAGCAGTATTTTATAATTATCATTGTATAGATCTTTCACCTCCATGGTTAGGTGTAGTACTAGGTATTTTATTCATTTTGTGACAATTATAAATGGGATTGTGTTCCTGATTTGGCTCTCAGCTTGGCTGTTGGTGTATAGGAATGCGAGTGATTTTTATAGATTGATTTAGTTTCCTGAAACTTTGCTAAAGTTGTATATCAGATCAAGGAGCTTTTGGGCCAAGACTATGGGTTTTTCTAGATATAGAATCATGTTATCTGCAAACAGGGATAGTTTGACTTTCTCTCTTCCTATTTGGATTTCTTTTCTTTCTCTTGCCTGACTGTGCTTGTCGGGACTTCCAATACCATGTTGAATAGGAGTAGTAAGAAAGGGGATCCTTGCCTTGTGCCAATATTCAAAGAGAAAGCTTCCAGCTTTTGCCCATTCAGTATGATATTGTCTGTGGGTTTGTTATAGATGGCCCTTAATATTTTGAAATATATTCCTTCAGTGCCTAGTTTATTGATGGTTTTAATATGAAAGGATGTTGAATTTTATCAAAAGGCTTTTCTGCATCAATTAAGGTAATCATGTGGTTTTTGTTTTTAGTTGTTTATGTGATTAATCACATTCATTGATTTGTGTATGTTGAACCAACCTTGCTTCCCAGGGGTAAAGCCTACTTGATTACAGGGGAATTAGCTTTTTGATGTGCTGCTGGATTTGATTTGGTAGTATTTTGTTGAGGATTTTTGCACCTATGTTCATCAAGGTTATTGCCTGAAGTGTTTTTGTTGTTGTTGTGTCTCTGCCAGGTTTTGGTATCTGGATGATATTGGCCTGATAGGATGAGTTGGGGAGGAGTCCCTGCTCCTCAATTTTTTGGAATAGTTTTAATGGGAATGGCACCAGCTCCTGTTTATACATCTGACAGAATTTGGCTGTGAATCCATCTGGCCTTGGGCTTTTTTTTGGTTGGTAGGCTTTTTATGACTGATTCAATTTCAGAGTTCATTATTGGTCTATTCAAGGATTCAATTTTTTCATGGTTCAGTCATACGAGATTGTATGTGTCCAAGAATTTATTGATTTCTTCTAAATTTTCTAGTTGCTGTGCATAAAGCTGTTTATAGTAGTCTCTGATTGTTGGTTGTATTTCTGTGCGGTCAGTGGTAACATCTTTTTTGTCATTTCTAATTGTGTTTACTTGGATCTTATCTTTTTTTTCTTTATATGTGTAGTTAGTGGTCTATCTTACTAATTTTTTTCAAAGAACCAACTCATGAATTCATTGATCTTTTGTATGGTTTTTCAATCATAATTTCCTTCAGTTTCACTCTGATTTTGTATTTCTTGTCTTCTGCTTCCTTTGGGGTTGGTTTGCTCTTGCTTCTCTAGTTCTTCCAGTTGTTATGTTAGGTGGTTAGTTTCAAATCTGTCTACTTTTTGAGGTGAACGTTAGATGCTATAAACTTCGTTGTTAACACTGCCTTAGCTGTGTCCCAGAGATTCTGGTATGTTGTATCTTCCTCCTCATTAGATTCAAAAATTTTCTTGATTCCTGCCTTAATTTCATTGTTAACCCAAAAGTCATTCAGGAGCAGCTTGTTTAATTTCCATGTAATTTTATGGTTTGAGTGATTTTTTAAGTATTGGTTTTTATTTTTATTTTGCCATGGTCCGAAAGTGTGGTTGGTATGATTTGTTTTGTTTTGTTTTTTTAATTTGCTGAGTCCTGTTTTATATCAGATTGTATGGTTGATTTCAGAGTATGTGCCATGAACCACATTTTCTCTATTAGTTTATTTGTTCATGGACAATAAAGTTGATTCCTGATTCCCTACCTTAGCTGTTGTGAACAATGCTGCAAAGAACATGGGGATACAAATGCCTCTTCAGCACACTGATTTCAATTCCTTTATATATATAGCCAGAAGTAGGAATGTTGGATTATGTGTTAATTCTATTTTTATCTTTTAAGAAACCTCCATACTGGTTTCTGTAATAGCTGTGCTAATTTTTATTCTAATGGTGTACAAGGGTTTCCTTTTCTTCATGTTATTTCTCAAATTTATCTTTTGTCTTTTAGATAAGACCCATTTTTACAAGTATAAGGTGATATCTCACTGTAGTTTTATTAGCCTCTTCCTGATGAGAGTTATGATGAGCATTTCTTCACATATCTATTTACTATAGGAATGTTTTCTTTTGATAATTGTCCCTTCAAATCCTTTGCTCGCTTTTTAATCAGATTATTTGTTTTCTTGCTATTAAGTTCCTTATGTATTCTGGATATAAACCTTTCATCAGATGTGTGGTTTGCAAATATTTTCTCCCAATCTGAGTTGTTTCTGCAGTCTCTCGTTTCCTTCTCCATGCAGTAGCTTTTTCCTTTTTTTTTTTTTTTTTTTTTTTTTCTGTGCCCAGGCTGGAGTGCAGTGGCACAAACTCAGCTTACTGCAATCTCCGCCTCCCGGGTTCATGCCAGTCTCCTGTCTCAGCCTCCTGAGTAACTGGGACTACAGGCGCCCGCCAAAACGCCTGGCTAATTTTTGTATTTTTTCGTAGAGACGGAGTTTCACCATGTTAGCCAGGATGGTCTCGATTTCCTGACCTCGTGATCCACCTGCCTCGGCCTCCCAAAGTGCTGGGATTACACGCGTGAGCCACCACGTCTGGCCTCTATGCAGTAGCTTTTTACTTTGATACAATCCTATTTGTCTATTTTTATTTTTGTTGCTTGTACTTTCAGAGAGTGATATCCAAAAATAATTGCCCAGATTACTGTTGTGGAGCTTTCCCCCTATGTTTTCTTCTAGCAGTTCTACAATTTCAGGTCTTACGTTTAAGTATTTAATCCATTTTAGTTTATTTTTATATATGGTTTGTGATAAAGAATCCAGTTTTATTCTTCTGCATGTGGATATCTACTTGGGTTCCCAACATCATTAAGTGAAAAGACTGACCTTTTTTCATTATGTATTCTTGGCACCTTTGTTGGAAAGCAATTAACTGTAAATGTGTGAGTTTATTTCTGACCTCTCCTATTCCACTCCCTTTGTTGATGGTTCTCTTCTTATGCCAGTACTATGCTGTTTTTATTATTATAGTTTTGTAATGCTTTTCCCTTTTTCTTTCTTTCTTTTTTTTTCTTTTTTTCTGAGATGGAGCCTTGCTCTGTTGCCGAGGCTGGAGTGCAATGGCATAGTCTTGGTTCACTGCAACCTCAGCCTCCCGGGTTCAAGCCATTCTCATGCCTCAGCCTCCCATGTAGCTGGGATTACTGGTTCCCCCCACCACACCTGGATAAATTTTGTATTTTTAGTAGAGACAGGGTTTCACCACGTTGACCAGGCTGGTCTCGAACTCCTGAGACCTCATGTGATCCACCCCCCTAGGCCTCCCAAACTGCTGAGTTTACAGGCGTGAACCACCCTCACCCAGCCTGTAATATATTTTGAAGTCAGGTAGTAGGATGCCACCAGCTTTGTTCTTTTTGCTTGAGACAACATCTGGCCTCATGCAAAAAGAAAATATTTATAAAAATTGTTTCAAGGTGTACGCTTAATTTACTTCTCCTGCCTCATTTTGTTACATAATACCTAGAAACAAGAAATGTCTTAACTGATAAAATATAGTAAGTTCTTGTAGCCATTTCTAAAGTCTTATTATTTTGTATTATTTAACCGAATTGGTTTAGTATTTGTTTCAGATGGTCTGCTCTGAATTTTCTAGGAGTGTTCAAAGCCTGTTTTCAGTATCTGCATGGATACTTGAATTCTGGAAATCATTGCTGTCTGTATAGTTGGATTTTAATGTGAATAGGATCTGTGGGGTGGGGACTACTTTTAAGTTGGAAGTTGCTAGAGATAAACTTTCCAGTACTATGTGAAGCCACTCTGGTGTTTTTCACTGTAGTAGAGAATAAATGACAAACTACCCTCATGCTCAGACTTGAAGCTGTTGAGTGATTTTCTGTAGTTACATTCTTTGTCAATGATTGAGTACTTTTACTATGATCATAAAATCTAGTAACAGGTGAAATAATAATGATGCTGTATCATAATACTTGTAATTAATGTTTTATGGCTAAGTCAGATTGATTCTGTGTAAATCATTTCCACTAACTCATTTTATGTTAGCATTAATCTTACATATTTATAAATTTACAGTGAACATTAGGTGCTGACAATATCCAGGAGTCTCTCATCTCAGTCTGCATATGGAAAATGATGTTTTTGTTATCTGCAGGAGACTGCAGAGTCCTCAAACTAAGAGATGAGAAAAAGGGGATTAATAACAGCACTTTCAAAATATTTTTCTTTTATAAATGATGACGAAGTTAATAAATATTTTTCATTTGCACTTAGAGATATTTACTCAAAAATGTCTATTTTTCCATCCTGAAATTCTGGAATTAAAAGTGTTATGAAGGTTATTTTAATATCAGTGCCCAGAAAGGCTTTATTAAATTCCACAATACACAATAAATACTAGGGCACTATTGGCCTTTGGTAATTTTTCATTTTCATTAAACGTCTCAGAATTGTGAAGTATTCTTTTTTAATCTTACGGGTTTTCTTTTTGCATTGGTATTGTGTGTGTGTGTGTGTGTGTGTGTGTGTGTGTGTGTGTGTGTGTGTAAAATTGTAATTAGGGTTTCCACCACAGATGTTTTAAAGCTTGGAAAGGGCAACTTTAATTCCTTATGCATGAGGGCAAGAGTGAATTAAAATCAGAGCTTTTGATTGTGTTTACAGGAGAGTGAATGAGGGGACTCAGGCACATTGATTATACAGTTCCGTGTTTCACATCTTGCCTGTTGGCTTTCTGTATTTGCCTCCCACTCAGTTTTGCTACTGCTTTGGCTAAGAAGAGAGTCACAGTGTACTGTGGGGCTGTGTTAAAGAGAACAAGAGATTATAACTCATGAGACAATGACAGAATATATCATTTATAGAGCTCTAATAAAAAATAAATATATTTAATTCAAATAACTTTAAAAAGTAACTCCAATTTACCTGTTCAGCTTGAGTGCATCTAGAAACAAAAAGGGAACTCATCAAATGGGCATCTTTTTCCATATTTGGAGTTGTTATGGTCACTTCCCTTAGCCCACCAGCTAAAATGACGCAAGCAGCTGTGAAAATCGTGGGAGGAAGAAACAGAGAATGAGCAGTTAAACAGTATCTCACTCTGTCTTTCTCATAATTGCCTCCTTTCAAAGCATGATGTTTAGGGGGAAATGCCCCTAGGACCTTCTACTCTGCTCTCATTACCTTTCTGAATGGCATTCTTCTGAAATTTAATTAACATTGGATTATTAAATTCTCACAAGAAGGTTATAATAGCAAAGACAAGGTTGGAGGGAGAATGGAGGGGAGACAAGTGATGGATGGGGTTCCCTCCCAGAGTGGGAGGGCTGAGACCCCAGAATGAGTGGTTGGAGAGGCCTCAGAATTGAGGAGAGAAGAGGCAAATGTGTATATGAAGGAATGAGGGAGGCTGGAATTTCCTCTAAATATTGCTGAGTCCTATTCCCAAAATTCAAATGTGATTTTCCTGTTTAGAAACTTTCAGTGACTATTGCCTAAGCCAGATGGGGATTTAATGACACAAAATGCCAATCAGTCTCATCTCTTACTAGTTTTTCATTCTCACTTTAGTACTGTCCCTTGAAATGCTGAATCCTGGGCACAGTAAGTAGATTTGAGCCTTTTCAACAACCGACTTCTCTGCCTCTGTTCTTGTCAATTTTTATGAAAATCTTCTGGACCCACTTAAAATGTCTCCACCTTTCTATATCATTCTACAATAGTCATCTTCAAGAATTAAAGTTAATTTCTCCTCCCAGGATCCCCCTTCTGATTATTAATATGACCCTAATGGAGCTTGTCTCATATACTAGTTGTATTTGTTTGGTCCCCAAACTAGACTGAGTACTCCTTTGTTCAGCCCTCATGTTGTTTAGCATAATTAGACATCCACTAAATGTTTAAATTAGGATATACAGAAGAAAATAATTTAGGACAATATAATCGCTAAAAATCAAAGCATGAAGGGCTACATAAGATAGTGTTACTGTTCTTTTGTTCCAGAGGTGATACATTTATAAATTTTTAAACTGTTACCACAGAGGTAGCTCTTAGTAAAACAAGTATATGCTAGGAATTTTGTTTTAAAAAAGCCATAGATATATCTTTTTAAACTAATTTATTTTTTACCTCACAGATAACAATTGTATTTATTTATGGTGTGAAACATGATGCTTTGATATATGTATACATTGTGGAATGGCTAAATCAAACTAATTAAAATATCCGTTACCTCACACTGTTATAATTTTTTGTGTTATGAAAACATTTTAGAATCCATTCTCATAGCAACATTTAGGTATATAATACATTGTTATGAACCATAGTCACCTTGTTGTACAATAGATCTTTTGAACATATTCCTCCTATCCAACTGAAATTTTGTGTCTTTAAATGAAAACATCTACATTGTCTTAACCAGAAGCCCTGTAAAATGTTTTTGATATTAATAATGATAAACATATGACAACTTCAGTACCTGGATCTAAAAGATTATTTTCAGTGTAATGCCCTTATTTAAACAGATGAGTACACTGAGTTTTTTTATTGAAATATGGTGACATATGATGCACATTCTTAATGAAGTTGCAAATAGAAAATGACATTTTCTGAAAAATAAATAAAGGAGACCTTGCTATCCCTGATTTCTTTTTCTCAAGATGGAACTCCTGCATCGACTCCAGAAAAGCCTTTGTGTGTATATCCTACCAATTCTTGCCCCGATCTGTTCTTTCATGCATTAGAAGGAATTCCAAGCAGGTCCACATTGTAAGCAAAGGCTTAATGCATTGTTCTAGATTCAGCCTGCACTTGAATTGGTCTTTGATTTTTATATCATGTTACAACTTTCAGATTTCCTACCGTTTTTCAAGCAGGGCAGCTTCATGGTTTAACAGCTCACATCTTAATAATTCTTATTCTCTATACGTATTTGTAAATTTTGCCGTGTCAAGCAATAGAAATGCACTGAATTTTCTTTCAAGCTATGAATGGTGAAGCCACAGAGGAATGTTTTAGTGATGCTGGAAATAAAAAGTTTTCTGGGAAGTATTTGAGCCATTTGCCATATTTGGGTATTATGGTATGTCTTTCTTTTTTAATATCACTTTCTCATAGCTGGGAAATATTTCTTTTAAAAGGAAAGCTTTTATGGCCAGGCATGGTGGCTCATGCCTGTAGTCCCAGCACTTTGAGAGGCTGAGAAGGCCTGGCCAACATGGTGAAACCCTGTCTCTTCTTAAAATACAAAAATTATCTGGGCGTGATGGTACGCGCCTGTAATCCCAGCTACTCAGGAGGCTGAGGCCGGAGAATCGTTTGAACCCACGAGGCGGAGGTTGCAGTGAGCCGAGATCACACCACTGCACTCACATTCTGGCCGACAGAGTGAGATTCTGTCTCAAAAAGAGAGAGAAAGAAAAGGAAAGCTTTTAGCTCTTTTTATATATTTTACTTGTTGTTCTATAACTGCCCAATGGCAATAGCTGTTAAGGTTTGTGTTTGATCATCCTGGGGATCAAGTTCCAATTATGCTTCAGCTCTATGCCTTTCTTCCCCATCCTGTATCTGCACTTGAGATTCGAGAGGAAAACAAAAGAGATACTTAAATAGAAACAAGTTTCTGGGTGAATAGGGAGTATGCAAACTTTTTAATATCTGAATTCAGTGAAACAGTTATTCATGAAAGAGTGACTGTACAGCCCTGGAAAACATATGTTTCCTTCAATCCTTTCACTGCTAACTTCAGAAACAGAAAATAGAGCAAGAAGTACACTCCTTTATTGTGACAGTGTACAAGAAACTACATGGAATAGAATTTCAAAGGTAATTCTATGTCATGATACCTTAAAATTATCATGGATCTGATTTTTTTCTATGTCATGACCTGTCAGGTGGTACTAGCGTAGCAAACATGTTACAAGTCCAGCTCAGTGAGCAGAACATATCATTTGAAAAAGATGGTAATAGATGAAGAATTAAATAAGCCGGTGAATGTGTCAGTAACAAGGATGTGACGGCCCTACATGAATAGGTGTCCCAACAGGTGGTAAAACCATACAGTGAGGAATCTAAGGTCATCAGTAGGACTGTGAACATGGATGTGAAATAGGAAGGCATCCAGCGCTCTCCTTTCCCCCCTACATTTTCACATTTTGCGTGGAAATATTAAAACCTGACCTGATTTCAAAATAGGCCAGTGACATCTCTGCTGGTGGTATCTCATGTCTAGGGTATCTCCAGCAGGGACCTCACCAGTAGACCTGGGTGTAGGTCATGAGGGAAGGAGGACAGAAGCAGAGGAGGGACTGCTGGTAGAAAAAGCCAACGAAACCCCTAAATTCCTGCAAGGTCGGGGGCAACCGCAAATTGATGTCCCTATCCTAAATAAGCTGGAGAGCTCAGCAGGGATATGGACATGGGAAAAAATTATAAATCTAGTGGCCAAATTGTGGCATACAGTCAGTAACCGGACTCAGGAAGAGATTGATCCTGCTAATTTAATCACATCGGGGCACAGTACAGTGTGAGAACAAAGTGTCAAGTGTTCAGTTCGACGGCCTTAAATCCTCCCTGCACATAGTCAGGATATGGCTGCAACCATGCAGAGAGAATGTAGAGTGGCAGGAAACTGTACAGAGGCCAACACTGTTCTCAGAGGCCTCCATCATTGTTGTCTTCTGTGCTTGGGGTGCCCTCTACTCTTACATGTCTCTCCAGGGCACACGTGGAGCCATAGGAGAGGACCGTGGTTTTCTGGGATATCTCTGAGTAAGACTGTGTCAGAGTGGCAGTTTCATTGAAGCAGGCTTGCTAACTACAACTGTGCCACCCGACCCTGCCTGATTCCCATCTTCCCCATCAAACATGTGACAGCACTTTCTACAGGATGGAGAGTAAGAGGTAGAGCCACTTGTTTTCTATAGTGTACGGCTGTGCATGGCAACCAGAACTTGTGGTGTTTTCGTATGCAATATAGAGTTTAAACAGTTAATAGGCGGTTACTGTCATTATTACTTTCAGCCTACACGATGCCATGTAACACACGGATCAATAGGCATTAGCAGCTCAAAGTTAATGAGAGAGGTTTAGGGAAGAATTTTATGATGGATCCAGTTGGGCTTAAGAAATAGGCTTCTGGTTTCCCTTTTAGTCCATCATATTTTCAACTAGTAGTTAAAGAAGGCATAGATAGCAATGAAACCAGATTGTACAAAAAAATTCATTCTTAGTTCTGTTTGTGTTTATACCTTATGTTTTTCTTTGTGTTTATAGCAAGAACCTGTGGTACAGTTTTTGATAAATTTTTAATAGTGATAAAACCCAACCGTCCTATGAACTCCTTAGGCCATCTCATGGGAAAACCATCAGTTCAGCCATTCATTCAATCAGTATTTTTTGAGCACTTACTATGTGCTGAATATTGTGCTTTTTCACTCATTTCTGCTTCAGAGTCAAAAAAATTACTATGATGTATCATGCAAATGTTAGAGGCAAATAATCTGAATATTTAGGAAGTATATTTCAAAAGTTTGTGTAATTTTACCAGTCTTTAAAATATCTGATACCTGGGCTGAATTAGCTTTCATTAGTTTAAGTTTGCAAAACACTGTATTTCAAAATTAATTGACCTTCAGACTAATTTAGAAGGGATAATTGTAATGAATTTGGTAATTATAAGCATAATAAATTGCATTCAATGTATAATACTTAAAAGATTGTAACTTTTTACTTGTCTACTTCTAGAAAGCAATTGAGGTAATTTAGAGTTTTGAAAGTTATATAAGTCAATATAATTTGAGAGTGGTTAAAATATAAATCAAAAGCTAATTAGCAGGAGAAAGGGAATTGCCAGGTACCCAGGGATGTTTGCTGTGGCAAGCAAGCATTTAATTCTTTCCAAAATATCTAGATAATAACATGCAGCCTGTATAGTCCATATTATCAGTCAAAAGTGTATAGATAGTAATAACAATAATAATCAATTTACATCCTACCTGCCATAGGCTAGGCACTGTTATAAGCACTTTAAATATATTGTATAAACACCTTCTTTCAACCCTAGGGCTCACTTTGCAGTTGCTATCCCAGTTTGGCAGATGAGGAAATTGAGGTTAAGCATCTTACTCACCCAGTGAGGGACAGAACTGGGAGGCCACCCTAGCAGTTTGACTCCAGGGTCTATGCTCACAAGCCTTCCCTTAAATTATAAGTTAATACCTATGTTATAGGTAATGTTTTAAATAGTCTAAGTAATAAATTTCATAAGTCCCAAAATTTAATTTTGGGGAAAAACAGATATTCTTTAGATAAATGTTTCTCATATTGTCCCTCGGTAAACCTGGGAGCAATAACAGTGCTTTACATTATTGAAGTCAGCACATATTCTCTGTATCTGTAGGCTCTGGGTATTTCACTTATCTCTTCTTGTCACCTGCCTGTCTACCAATTAGACTTTTCTTTTATTCTTCACCACGCCCTAACGTACCATCCTATGAAAATAGCTGAGTACATTTTATGTCATAATCCCTCTGAAGGTCTTGTTTTCTGGATGTCTTCACTGATTATTTAGGGGAATGTTTATTGTGTGACTCCTTTAGGCACTGGCCTAGGTGTTGGGGAAACAACAGTAAGGCCAACAAGCCTGGTTCTTACCGTTTTTATAAAACATATTTTAGAGAGATACATGCTGTAAATCACTTTATAGAATTAATTATATGATATTCCATTATATAATTGTCATTTTATTTTAATTACCGTTGTAGAAACCCTCTGACATTGCAAAGCCAGGCAAGTTTACATAGTAGGGGATTTGAGAAGGCTTCTTTGAGGAAGTAATATTTGAGTCAAGGAATAAATACAAATAACAAAAATTACAAATTTGTGATTAGAGAAATTACAGAGGTTCATAAAATCTTATTGGGTCTTCAGAGCAGTTATTGCTTGGTTTTTACTTACAGACTTCCTTTCTCAGATCATGGGGCATTAAGAAGTAGCAGCTGGTGTCCTCCAGTCAAAGTTCCTAGACTTCAGAATCTGCTTACCCAGTTCTGAATCAATGTGCTGCCAAGTTGCTCAGAATATAGATAAAGGTCAATCATTTGGAAAATGGGCTTCCAAATTGTTTTTTTCCTAGATGCAAGTCCCTCGGCTTTGTCCCATTTACATCTGCATGAGGAAGGGGGTCTTTCTTTAGCTCACAAAGATGCCTCTCCTCTCTCCACTCTTGTGGGGCTTCAATATTTGCAGTCAAAGGTCTCTGATTTTTGCTTCTGAAACTCCCGTGCTTATCCTTGTCCCCATGGCAAAGAAGGATAGTTCTCCATATGACCTGCAGACATTTCCCCTGGGCTGCACTTTAGCTAAGAGTCTCGGCTTTATCTATCCAAGTCTTGTTGAGCACTGATCTGGGTCAGTTCTAGTCACTTCTTTGTTAACAATTTATTTATTCATTGCTTCTGCAGCATGCTAACTAGCCATTTTTTAGGTCCTAATCTGTAGTGAAGTTCAACTTGTTATCTATTCTTTTTCAATGTATTACAATAGTAAATACCATCATTTCAGAAGGTTCTCTTTTTGTTCAGAGGATGTCCAGGGGAATTTTCATTTTTTATCTCAGAAATGCTGCTAAGCCAGAGCCTATTTGCAGGGCAGAAACGATGAGTGTCCTGCATTTGTTCATTGTCAATCTAGCCCTTTACAGCTCATTTTCACCCTCAATGAACTGTCAGAGTTTCGTCTAACACACATTTTGGTCTCCCTATTCACAAGAATAAGCATTTAAAGGCAGTTTTAAGTAATAAAAATATTCTTGACTGACCAGGTTGCACTCCCCTCATGTAGCTGCATGGCTAACTGCATCTCTTTCTTCTCTTCTCCTCAAACAGGTAGCCATTTCTCAACGGTACCAACCAGGACCACCCTATTTAAGGATACAACTGTCTCCACTCCCATTACCCAGGTCTCTCTATCCACCCAACCCACATCTACTTTTTCTTTATTCCATAGCACATATCACCTTCTCACCTACTATAAAATTCCTTATTTAGTGCTTCTATTATTTATGGTCTGTCTTCTGATACAAGCTTCGTGCAGTGACATTTTTCTGTTTGTTTACTGATAATATGCCAAGCACCATAAACATTGCAAGCAGTAAACATTTGTTGGAAGACTGAATATGACTTGCAGAAAACATGACAAGCATAATTTTTTAGGAGAGGAAAATGTAGGTCACTTTCTGCTACTCTTAATAAGGCTAAGAAGTAAGTAAAATGAGGACACAATATGGAAAAGCAAAGCTTAAATGAGTTTGTGTGTGCATGTCCTGGCACGCATGTTTGCACAACTAACACTAAAATATTACCATAGAGAGTTAATAAATGACTTTCATTTTCCCTAAACAAATTTTCTAAGGCTATGATTATATTTTAAAGTCACTTAAATTCTAGTAAAACTTAGGAATAACAAAAATCTGTTATTTCTGTACTTTGGCACAGAAACGATTATATCATAGAATTATTCAGTAAATATAATATTAGAAATAAAATATGGTAAAATAAAACTGACAGATAAATGTAATGATAAAATGCTACAATTATGTTTAATAGTTTTAGTCAGAAATTTTATGATTCAAGTCAGTGTTTCCAAATTGAAGTACAGATGCCCCTCATCTTGCGGTGGGATCACATCCCAGTAAACCACTGTAAGTCAAAAATATCAGTCAAAAAGACATTTCACACCCTGACAAACTTAAAGTCAAAAATTATAAGTTGAATTATTGTTAGTTCAGATGCTCTTCCACTTATGGTGGGGTTCTGCCCTGATAAACTCATCATAAAATTGAAAAATTTTTTAAGTGGAACCATCATAAATTGGGGACCATCTGTATCACCTTAGTTAGTATTGTATAATCTTGGTGTAGGATGTAGTGGTAAGACCATGTTCAAATTCTAAACCTGTGTATAAATCGTAGGCATTGCTTCTTGGTTGTGAGACACTGAATAAGTTTTAAAATACCTGTCAATTTTTGTGTGTATATAATCACTGAGAACAGTACGTGGCAAACTCTTATTACTGAATTATCGCTTAGAAAATTTTTGATGAAATTATTGGCACTGGGCCAGGCACAGTGGCTCATGCCTGTAGTCCCAGCACTTTGGAAGGCCAAGGTGGGCAGATCACTTGAGGCCAGGAGTTTGAAATCAGCCTTTCCAACATGGTGAAATCCTGTCTCTACTACAAATACAAAAATTAGCCAGGCATGGTGGCTCACATCTGTAATCCCAGCACTTTGGGAGGCCAAGGCTGGCGGATCACTTGAGGTCAGGAGTTCGAGACCAGCCTGGCCAACAGGGTGAAACCTTGTCTCTACTAAAACTACAAAAATTAGCCGGGCGTGGTGGCGGGCACCTGTAATCCCAGCTACTCAGGAGGCTGAGACAGGAGAATTGCTTGAACCCGGGAGGTGGAGGTTGCAGTGAGCCGAGATTGCGCCACTGCACTCCAGCCTGGGCGACAGAGCGAGATTCTGTCTCAAAATACATATATATATTTAGTTGGCATTGGATCTAGAGGAGCACATATCTAGATTAAATTTAGAATTAAGTATCAGTAGTACACTACTGAAAATGTTCAAGAAGAGGAAATGCTCAATGATCCACTAATGGCCTATAATTTCTAGCATTGGAATCAATATAAAAATCTCAAGAAGAAAATAAATGAAACTTGACTCCAGTGTAGCCCCTAGACAATTCAAAAGGATTTGTTACTAAAAGATATTAAAAACCTGGTATTAACATTTCACAAATGTTATTCTCATATATTGTATTCAGTGCTAAAGATAGAAACTGCTAAGGCATCCCTGGCCTTTGAGCTTATTATCTAAATAAAGCCGACATGAGTGAAACAACCACTGTAATTATCCCAGTGGGCACTCTTAAAAAGTAAGGCTGATGAGTAAATGAGGAGATCTTATGAATTAGAGGGTAAAAAGATTTTGCCTTTGTCAAAGTCAAGCTATCTGCAATAAAATGTTTATAGTTCTGCTCAAGTCAGTATCCAGTAGCAGTGATTACAGATGAATTGTGCCCTAAGGGAGAACACATCTTATCAAGTAGGCCTAAGGTGTTGGAATTGGACTTTGACTAATACCTGGGCTTACTTTGTATAATGCTGCAGAATTTTTTTAGTTGTTTTCTCTTTAGACCTAGGCTTTGAAAGGAAAAATAAGTCAGCATCCTTTACATGCAAGCATAGAGTAAAAGTGCATTTAGTGGGCTAAGAATTTGAAAGAATCAAACCCAGCAGAGAGAATTACTAAGGTGTTCTGTAAGGCACCTACGGTGTTCTGTAAGGCCTTCTAAACAATCAGAGAATTGCTAAGATGATGTAAAGAACTGGGCTAGGGAGGCTGTGTCTTATATATGAGAATGATGTGAAGAAGCACCAAAGCAAGAATGAATGAACCTTTTGGCATACAGAATAATGTTTACTATTTAAATGGGAAGGGACAGGGTGACATTTCTGTTGCTTCTAGATAAGTATCTTGTGCTCTTACCTACTGAGTGCATCGTTATATGCCAGACAACTAAACACAGGATACAATGAGGAATAAGAGGGTTCTTGTTCCCAAAGAACTCGCAGCCTGGAGTCAGAAAATGTATGTAAACCTGTACACTATGATAAAGCACAGTGCTAAAGATGTGTTCAAGGTTGTAGGAAATCACATAAAAGGAGTACCTAACCTAACGGGAGGAGAGGAGTAAATCAGGAAAGCAGTGGATGATTGCAGCCTTCTTGAAGAAGTGGAAATTGAACTTACCTTAAAGAATGAAGTGGGAAACTTCCTGGGGAAGATGGCAATTGGAATTTTATTGTAGATGTTTAACTTTTTCAAAGCACCAGTTGTTTTGTGTTTCAAAACAACACACGCATGCGTTGAGCATATGCACATATGCAAGCTGACTAATGTTAACAGTAAAAACAACAAAAAAAGGAGAAAATGTGTAATCTAATGCAATTAAAAAAAAACTCACACCCAAGAAACTGGAAAGTATCTTCTGAATGAGGAGTCTCATTTCCCACAGGAACGATTCTAACCCAACCAAATCCTGGTATAAGTCCTTCACAGAAGTATCTCCTAGGTGAGGTCAGAGCCTAGGTCTTCTAACAAAATGTGTTAATTGAAGCTTTCCCATTTCTCCTGCAATTGAATTAGATACAAAAATATGGCTAGATCACACAATATTTAGTCCTCAAGTCTAGCCTGGAGTGGGAAAAATTATTTCATAATATCACCAGTGTCCAAGAAGCCACTCACACTGAAGCAGAGCGGATACTCAGGCCCTTCTCTAGAGGTGGAGAAGAGATGGTGTAAGAGAAAGAAGCTAAACATTATCTCATCTGAATTTCATTTTCAAAAAGCCTGTGGAGCCTTTTTTACTCTTTGACTATTAATGCCCCCATTTGATACATAAGAAAACTGAGGTTTAGAAATGCTAAATAAGTTGTCCTAGGTCACTAGGGGAGGAAACTTCTGGAGTGAGAATTTGACCTCATTCCTAGAAATCCGAAGCTGTCACTTTTTCTCTAAGACATCATGTTGCTTCCTTGGCTTTTGTAATTACAGCATCTTTCCTTCTCCACTGACAGTGGGCATTGGACTAAGGAAGAAAAAAAATGGGCTAAACGATTTTTTATTTCTCTTTGTATTTCAGTTCTGTGATTAAAGTTTCGGGGAAGATAGAGGCTCTTCTTAGTGCTTAGTTCATCCTGACTCAGCCTTCCAGAGCTGACCTCCTCATCCATGCCCCCTCCTTCTACTGTTCTAAATCCCATCAAATCTGCAAACTCTGCAAATTCTCTTGCACTCTCTTGCTTTTGAAACCTCCCTCAGCATTTTAAAACTTTTCTCACCTGACCCACAAAATTCAGCACTGGCTTATCTTCCGCCATATATTTAGTGCTATTGCTATGTGCGCTCTTTCCATTTCCCCAAGCGGTTTGAAGGCCTGAAGTACATGTATGATACTGTAAATTTATCCTTGAACCCCAAAGCACAATGCTGAACAAAGTGTGTATTCTCAATGGATGCTATCACCAGAAACTGTACAGGTAACCAAGCCCTTAGTTGAAAGCAAAGCCATGTGTGTTGTCATGTCTTACCTACCTACCTACATCTTACCCGATAACTGTAGAGGCCTACAGTGTATGGAATATTTCTATAGGCGTTATTTTATTTTATACTGCATCAAATATATTTATATGACTTAGTTGTTATAATGACCACAAGGTGTTTACTTTTCAATCCGCTTGTTAAGGAATGAAGCAATTACATTTGTTGTTCTGGCCTCTGTATCTTTAAAGGGCTTGGATTTCACACGTCTTACCATTTAGTAACTTATTTTAGCTTGGCTGGAGCTTTTAAAAGATGAAGTTCATTTTATTTGGCAAAGGGTAGAATAGCAGCTTCTTCGCCTGAGGCTTTGTGTTGTTAATTAGATTTGCCGCCAGCTCTTCACATAGAAATTGAAGTTGTTCCGGTTTTTCTTCCCCTTTCCTACTTGAGTCTCAATCATAGACCTACTACTATTTGTACCAATTTAAACCTTTTAATTTAATTCTTTGTCAGGTAAGTTTGGGGGTAGTCCTTGTGTTTTTATTGTTAATCTGATGGAAAGGTTTTATGATTTTCCTATATCTGAATGAAATTGGATGTTTAAAGTTATACGTATGGTACAAAAATAATTCTTTCCATAATTGGAGTTTTCTAGTTAAATTTATCTTCCATGAAGTTGAAAATGTCACTGGAGCTATTACAGCTTGTAATACACAGATTATTTTAAAGAGCAGCCATTAGATACAGTAGTTTTGATCACTGTTTCATGATTCTAGCATATTTATCATATTTATTAGATATTTTTATGTAGCTCAAAATAAGTTTATGTTTATTAAGTCCTGGTAGAAATCAGTACAGTTATAGAGTACCTCTGCATGGTTGCAGATATTTGGTAGAGCAAAGGCAGAGGGCAGTGAGTAGAAACTTGCGCTGTAGGGCAGGAGAGAGTCTTTGGGTCACCCAGTCACCAATTATCAGACAAGCAGTCTTCCTCAAGTGACTTAGTCCCTATAAGCCTCAGTTTCCTCTTGTGCATAAGTGAACAACAGTAGTGCCTTGCTCATCAGTTTGTGGTAACATTCAGATGGGATGACAGGTGTGAAGTGTAGTACAGGGACAGGTATAAAGCAAACCCTCGGCCGGGCACGGTGGCTCATGCCCGTAATCCCAGCACTTTGGGAGGTGAGGCAGGGGAATCACCTGAGGTCAGGAGTTTGAGACCAGCCTGGCCAATGTAGCGAAACCCCATCTCTACTAAAAATACAAAAATTGGCCAGGCGTGGTGGCGCATGCCTGTAATTCCAGCAACTCGAGAGGCTGAGGCAGGAAAATAGCTTGAACCCAGGAGATGGAGGTTGCAGTGAGCTGAGATCATGCCACTGCACTCCAGCCTGGGTGACAGAAAAAGACTCTGCCTCAAAAAAAAAAAAAAAAAAAAAAAAGTAAACCCTCAAGTTTGCTACCTGAGGGACAGAGTGCTGGCGGGGCAGAGTGCAGAGACTGCAGGCCCTGCCGCCTGGCTCTGCCGTGTTCTATTTCTGTGGCTGGTGCACTGTTTCTCTAAGCCTTAGTTTCTTCCTCTGTTGAAAGAGATCATATTACACTGGAGTATTGTTGCATATACATGAAATAATTTATGTAAAGCACCTAGAATATTGTGTGGCATTTAGCACGATTTGGACAGATGGTGGCTGTGTAACTTTGTGTGTGAAAAAATATTTACCAAATGAATAAATCAATGCATTTCAAAGGTGGAAACCAGAGATGGCATTTGAGAGGCTCTGGTAGAACAGAGTTTTTGGTTGAGGTGACGTGAAAGAGGAGAAGGAGTCTGTCACCTAGCAATGAGTATCCAAGCAGAAGGGAAAAGAACCTTCTGGAATGTCTTAAATATGCATCTCTTCACTATTCAATGCTAAGACTTTCAATTCTATTGGATTAAGTTGGTCTTTAGGAATGCATTTCTTCCAGGACAACCTGGATACACACAGTGCCCTCTCCTATAGCACATTAACACATTCTAAAGGGATTTTGGTGCTCAAAGAAAGCCTCACTGTGTAAAATCTGAAATTTCCCAGGTATGAATTTGGGTGATTTATTTATTAGCACCAAACTTTTGATAGTTTTTATTTGTGTTTCTTGTGATTCAATTATGAAATCAAATTGTATGCCTTTTAAAGTTAAAATTAACGTGCTATTGAGAAGGACAAACAAAACAAAAGCTCATTGATTCTCTGAAGAATTTTATACCATTTACCTATAACCTAAGAACATAAATGATCTGCTTCACTGGAATAAACAAGATTAATAGACTTAATAAATTCTTGTGAAAATTACTCAACTTGCCTTTGGATAGATAACTCGAGTCCTAGGTTTTAAGGTAGCAAATGTCATTTGAAACAGGCACCACATCCCTCAAAGAGGCTTTAGAAGAGAATGTCAGTTAACTGAATCCCTAAAAGTAGTAGTCTAAAACTTCCGTATCATTTGGGAAACTTATTATAAAATGTAATAGTAAGTTATAATACCTTCTAAAATTAGATTTAATTTTTGGAAAGCTATACAAGGAAATAGTTTAAACCATAACCAGGGCTTCTGTTTTCCTCTCCTCCTCCAACCCCCTCTCCCACTCCTTCC
The DNA here is from genome assembly GCF_000001405.40 of Homo sapiens. Classification (NCBI taxonomy): domain Eukaryota; kingdom Metazoa; phylum Chordata; class Mammalia; order Primates; family Hominidae; genus Homo; species Homo sapiens. The sequence goes on along the minus strand of NC_000018.10, from coordinate 4,306,514 downwards.
CCTTTCCCTCCTTTCTTCTTTATTTTCTTCTCTGTCTGTCTCTCTCTCTCTCACACACACACACACACACACACACACACACACACACTCTTACTTTCTCTTTTTTTATTCTCATATCCTTCTGATATGATCATATTAAACTTTTTGGAGGGACGGCAGTATGATAGTTTGACAAAGTAAAGCATGGGTCTTCCTTCTTCTAATATAAGCTTTCTGTCAGTCCCTCTACTTGTGTCCCCTTTGTAGCCAACTTTCCTAGCAATGTAGAAGATCTGACATGTGAATCAACTTACCAGTAAGCTTTCTTCATTCAGAGCTCAGGCAATTGCCTTCCTGGGATCTGGTTAAGCAGTCATTCGTTATCCACCAGTTTTCCAGATATCACCTATCTGCTGTTATTTAATTTCTCTCCCTCTCTCTCTCTCTCTCTCTCCGCCCCCCTCTCCCCCGTGTGTGTGTGTGTGTGTGTGTGTGTGTGTGTATTTGTGTGTGTCTGTGTGTGTGTGTGTAATGTTTTGGGAGTTGTTTCATTAATGAGACTGATAGCATTCTACTCGATAACTTCCCCAAAACTAAAACCTAAAATTCCTCTGACAAAAAAAAAATAATAATCATGCCAAATTTTGTTGTACTGTTTTCCCAGGTTCCACACTATCTTTTCTCACCTTGTGTAGATTTGCTTGTTTTGTTTTAACATTAGAAGGGATAGGTAATATCATAATGTGATTTAAAACATAGGCTTTGAAGTAAAATGACCAGAGACAGGTACCTCAAATTACTAATTTTCTGATATTGAGAATGGTATTGAATAGACTTTCTGAGCATGACTTTATCATTTGTAAAGGTGAAATAACAATAGTACTTTACTTAGAAAATTGTTGGAAGGATCATCTGAGACAGCATGCATGTAAAGGTCGTGTCTTCGTGGACTAAATGACCTGTGGTTTTTCTTTTTCTTTTTCCTTTTTTTTTTTTTTTTTGAGACGGAGTTTTGCTGTTGTTTCCCAGGCTGGAGTGCAGTGCCACGATCTCGGCTCACTGCAGCCTCCACCTCCCAGGTTCAAGCAATTCTCCTGCCTCAGCCTCCCGAGTGTCTGGGACTACAGGCGCGTGCCACCACACCCAGCTAATTTTGTATTTTTAGTAGAGACAGGGTTTCACCACGTTGGTCAAGCTGGTCTTAAACTCCCAACCTCAGGTGATCCACCCGCCTCCGCCTCCCAAAGTGCTGAGATTACAGGCGTGAGCCACCACGCCCGGCTGGTTTTTCATGTTATTGTTCATTCTCATTGTCATCATGCTTTGTCTCCCTTTCCTTTCACATCCCTACTCTTCCTTCACCGCATAAGCACACCCAGATAGGAGTTTTGAACTCAGGGTCTGTTCCTTTTTGTGCGTCCTCACCACAGGTCCTGGCACATGATAGGAACAAAAATATTGTTTTAATTTATTCCATGAATGAATTAATATTTATTAGTCTCAAGACTAAAAGGAGTGGGCAAGGAGAGTAACATACAATGTTAGGAATGACTTTTAATGAATAATGTTAGCAAAGTTCACAATGACAACTTTTTTTTTTTTTTGAGACACAGTTTTGCTCTTGTCACCCAGGCTGGAGTGCAGTGGTGCAATCTCAGCTCACTGCAACCTCCGCCTCCTGGGTTCAAGCGATTCTCCTGCCTCAGCCTCCCAAGTAGCTGGGATTATAGGTGCCCGCCACCGCGCCCAGCTAAATTTTGTATTTTTAGTACAGATGAGGTTTCACCATGTTGGCCAGGCTGGTCTCGAACTCCTGACCTCAGGTGATCCACCCTCCTCAGCCTCCCAAAGTGTTGGGATTACAGGCGTGAGCCACCACGCCTGGCCAATGACTATATTTTAGTTAGTATTATTTTAGATACTAAGATAGTAACTTTAGAATACATTTTCTTAAAGAAGCTTCTGCAATATTAACAATGTGTAAAATCTGCAGTAGTGACAAGGCATCATTAACTAATTATATCTTTCCAAAATGTGTTCACAGAATCAGCTAGCAATTGTTTTTCAAGTGGAATTGAATTATGTGTATAATACTAACAACTGCAAACATTAATATGAAAAAGCACAAATAGGTGTTTGAAAATTTTTTGAATAATTGTTTCTAATTATTGAGGGTTCCCCACCCAAGGTAAGCACTGGGATCACCATTTATTTTATTTTGGTTTAGTATACATAACATAAAATTTACTATTTAACAATCTTAAAGTGTACAATTCTATAGTATTAAGTACATTCACATTGTTCTACAACCATTACCACCATCAATCTCCAGAACTTTTTATCTTCCTCCACTTAAAATCTGTACCCACTAAACACTAATTTCTCATGACCTTCTCATAACCAACTTTTCATTTCTGCACAGTTTTATGAATTCAGACTAAAAAATGTACATGCCAAGATCAACAACTGCTACCATGCATCCACAAGTATGTCTGATAGGGGAAAGCATATGTCCTCAATTGGGAAATAGTTAAAATATTTATAATTTTGCTTAGGAATAACACATGGGTTTTCCTTTTTTGTCAATGTTATCCTAAGTCATCTTCTCTTGAGCACTTTTCAAAACCAGTTCTAACAACCAGCCAAGAATAGAATTAAAAAGGAACTAGGATTTTCAGGACCAACAAGGTATTCTAAGGCCATTTGCATTTCTCCTTCTTCTAATACACTTCAGATACACTCAACTAAAATATTAAGAACCATTTCTCTAGTAGGCACAGAAATCAGGGAACATTACTCTTTGCATAATTGAAGTTCATTCAGATTATGGAAGGAAATGAAGTGGGTGCCACACCAGGGTTCATTCCCTGCAAGGATTGAGATGATGAGTTAGGGAGGAGTCCCAGCCTTGCTATGCCACTTCTTCTAAATTAACATTGGCCAGTTTGGAGAAAAAAATTTGAATTGTCAATACAATCAAAATTTGATGGTGCTGTAGCTTCTCACATGGCACTGCTGTTCTTGGGGACTAGCATCCTAGGGCCCTCACTGCTCTGAGAGAGGCCAGCCTGACTACCAGAGGGAGGTTTGTGGGGGTTGCTTCTTGCCAGGTTCCACTCTCAGCTGTGGTTGCTACAGCACACAAGAGAGATCAGCTGCCCTCATGAACAGAGGTGCCTATATGCAGCTGTGATGTTCTGCCTACATTTTTTTTCTTTCTCCACATTAACCTGGTCTCCCAACTTTGCTAATGAAAAAAAAAATAGAATAATACCTTTCTCTTCTTTTGGCTCAGATAGAAAGAAATTAACAGAAGCCACACATTCTTTTCCAGAGCTCAATGAAGCTATCGATATCAGACTAATTGATTTCGTTCATGCATTCACTCATTCATTTAATCAACAATTGTTTTAGTGGCCTCTATGTGCCAGTCACTATTCTGGGAACTGGGAACCCAGCAGTCAACAGGGAAAGTTCCAGCTTAAGTATTAGTGGAAGGAAATAAACTAGTAGAAGGAAAGTGCCACAAATAAAATTACACAGAGAATCCCATCTACAATAGCTACAAAAATTAAAATACTTAGGAATAAAGTTAACCAAAAAAATAAAAGAAATAAACACTGGAAACTCTAAAATATTAAGGAAAGAAATTGAAGAAGACATAAATAAATGGAGAGATAGACTGTGTTCATGTATTGGAAGAATTAATATTGTTAAAATGTTCATGCTACCCAATGTGACCTATAGATTCAGTGCAGTCTCTATTAAAATTTCAATGTCATTTTTCATAGAAATTAGAAAAGTTTCTAAAACTCATATGGAACCACAAAAATTCCCAAATAAGCCAAGGCAATTCTAAGCCAAAAGAACAAAGCTGGATGTATCACACTACCTAATTCAAAATTATACTACAAATACTAATTTAAAAGCATGGTTCTGGCATAAAAATAGACACATTGTCAATACATTAAAAACTTTGTGTTGTACATGTCAAAAAAATGTACTTTATAAAAAATAAAAAAAATTTAAAAATACACACATTGACCAATGGAACAGAATAGAGGCCCAGAAAAAAGCTCACGTATGTACATTGATTTTCAACAAAGGTGCCAACAACATACAATGGGAAAAGAATAGTCTCTTCAATAAATGATGTCAGGAAAACTGTATATCCACATGCAGAACAATGAAATTGGACCCTTATCTCACAGCATATACAAAAATCAACTCGAAATGGATTAAAGGATTAATCATAAGACCCCAGACTGTAAAACTACTAGAAGAAAATACGGGGGAAAAACTACACAACCTTGGTCTGAACTGTGATTTTTCTTTTATCTGACTCCAAAAATGCAGGCAACAAAAGCAAAAAAGTAGAGAAATGGGACTGCATCAAACTAAACAGCTTCTGCACAACAAATGAAACAATGTACAGACTGAGGAGATATCCTAGAGATTGGGAGACTATATTTGTAAGCCACACATCTGATAAGTGGTTAATATCCAATATATATAAGAAACTCAAACAATTCAATAGCAAGAAAACAAATGACCTGATTAAAAAGTAGGCAAGGGACCTGAATAGACATTTCTCAAAAGAAGTCATGCAAATGACCAACAGATATATGAAAAAAAATTCAATTTCATTAATCATTAGAGAAATGAAATCAAAACCACAATGATTGTTACCTCACACCTGTTAAAATGGGTATTATCAAAAAAACAAAAGGTCATTGGCAAGGATGTGGAGAAAAGGGAACCCTTGTACACTGTTAGTGGGATAAGTAAATTAGTCTAACCAAACTAGATGTAGGTTCCTCAGAAAATTTAAAAATAGAATTATTATATGATCCAGCAATCCCACTTTTTGGTATTTACCCTGAAGATTTGAAATCAGCGTGTCAAAGGCATATCTGCATATCTGCATATCCGTGTTCACTGCAGCATTGTTCACAACAGCCAAGTTATGGAATCAACCTGTGTGTCCACCAACCGATGAATGGATGATGAAATTGTGATATATATATACAAACACATGCAATGGAGTACTATGCACTTTTAAAAAGAAAGAAATTTAATTGTTTGTGACAACATGAATAGAACTGGAGAATATTAAGTTAAATGAAATAAATCAGAAACAGGAAGACAAATACTACACATTCTCACTTTGTGTAGAATCTGAAACAATCTAACTTACAGAAGTAGAGAGTGGAATGATGGTTACCAGAGGCTGAGAGGTGGAGTAATGGGGAAATGGTGGTCAAAGGGCACAAAGCCTCAGTTAGATAGGAGGAATATGAGTTGTTGTTTTTCTTTTGAGATTTATTGCATAGCATCGTGAATATAATTAAAAATAATGTATTGTACATTTCAAAATCACTAAGGAAGTGAATTTCAAATGTTCTTACCATGAAAAATGATAAGAATTTGAGTTGATAGATATGTTAATTGGTCTGATTTAATTATTCCACATTGTATTCATATACCATAATATAACTTTGTATCCCATAAACATCTACAACTATAATTTGTCAATTTATAATAAATATTTTAATTAAAAAATTAAAGAGGATAAAATGATCAGAAGTCAAGTGAATACTTTTGGATTGGGTTGTTTGCAAAGGAGAGATAACCTTTGATCTAAGAATTCAATGACAAAACAACCCTAACATTGGAAATAGGGGAGAAAGCTTTCTTAAAAGAGAATGGCAGAAAGCCCTTGGTGTGCAAGAGTATATAACAAATCCTTACAAGTCAGTAATAAACCTATCATTCCGGAGGCAATGACAGAAAAATGTTTTAACATATGAGAACTCAAAGTGTATAACCATGTACACATAAAATCGTGAAAAAGACACTGTGCCATCTAGACAGACTCAGAAAGGGAAGACACTTTAAAAGCAGAAAGAGGGGTGATCAGTAATACCAGTAGAGCTCAGAATCAAGTCTAAACTATTATTGCTGTTAGTGTGGCTGTAAGGCTTAAAACAAATATAAAAAAATTTCTAGAGTATTGCAAGAGTTTTTTTAATTGTAAAATCAAAAGAGGCGTGTAATTGTGTTTGGAGAATGAGTTTGTAGGTGTATCTGTACATAGGGTGGGAATAGGTTTTAGGGCAAAGCGATCAGTAAAATTTGCTCAACATTTTGTCTTGCATGTGATATTACTAGAGATTCAAACATTTTACGATCTACAGATAAACCATAGTAGAATATGTTTTGTGTGCATAATTTATAAGTGGCAGGAAAACATTTAAACACGATCATTTTATCAAAATAAGACAAAATATGTATTAAAACCCAATCATATGGCATTAAATAAGGTAAATAATAAGTTTAAATATTGTTATTGTCATGGATTATCATTGTGGATTAAATTCCTTTGCTAAAAGACAACACTGTTAAATTGAATCAAGTATTTCTCTATATGCTTTTGTATAAAAAGGACACACTATTTGCAAATAAAGATATGGGCAAAGCTTTATCGCACAAATGAGAAATAAAATTTGTTAGTACAGATGAGATTGCTTTTTTTTGGATATTCTAAATAGGTTTTGCTGGTACATAGCAAAGCTATCGATTATTTGAAAGTATGAATTTACAGATTTCTTATTAGTTTTAATGATTTTCCAATTGATTTGATTCTAGGGATTCCTTAGAGTGCCGTGTAACTTTTTATTGTGATAAATAGTTAAAAACATCACTTTTATACATCATACTGTAGATGATGAATTGCCTAAATAAATTATAGTTTATGGGAATATTTTACAGCCATTAAGACCTGATACTTGATATTGTCCTAAGGTAACCTTCTGGTATTTTGTTTGTTTTTTTTGTGTGTGTTTTTTAAACAAAATCTTGCAGGGAGGAATACAGAACATGTATTAATAACTTTTAATTTTTTCACTCTCTTTTATATTTGCTGAGTAATTTTTATGACAAGTAAGCACAATTTGAAAAAGCAAGACATTTCTACTTAGTGACAGTGTGACAAAATGGGCTGTTTATTTTCATAGATGCTCTGTACAGATGATTATTTTTGGCTCAGCCAAGTAATATAGTATTTGAAATTGAGGAAACTCTTCTAATTTACACTAAATTATGGTTGTGAGTGCAGAGTTTGTACTACTATTAAATATTTGAATTAAAAAAATCAAACACATGAAAGTGATTTCTTCAAAGAAATCTTAATTCTTTTAGAGATAGATCTGTTGAGTGTTCTTTCAAAATGAATTTGTGTTAGCAGGGCACTGTCAAATGGAGCTACTGTTACTAGAAACATATGAACAGAGTATGTTTTGTGGTTTGTAAATCTTGGTGTGCACTGGAATTACATGAATGGCTTATTAAAGCATAAATTGCTGAGCTCCACCCCAGAACTTCGGATTCAGTGGATCTGGGCTGGGGCCCAAGAATTTGCTTCTATTTTTTTTTTTTTTTTTTTTTTTTTGTCTTGAGACAGAGTCTCGCTCTGTCGCCCAGGCTAGACTGCAGTGGCGTGATCTGGGCTCACCGCAAGCTGTGCCTCCCGGGTTCACACCATTCTCCTGCCTCAGCCTCCTGAGTAGCTGGGACTACAGGCGCCTGCCACCACGCTTGGCTAATTTTTTGTATTTTTAGTAGAGACGGGGTTTCACCATGTTGGCCCGGATAGTTTCGATCTCTTGACCTCGTGATCCACCCACCTCGGCCTCCCAAAGTGCTGGGATTACAGGCGTGAGCCACTGCGCCAGGCCAAGAATTTGCTGCTGCTTTTTTTTTTTTATTTATTTAAATTTTAGGGTACATGTGCACATTGTGCAGGTTAGTTACATATGTATACATGTGCCATGCTGGTGCGCTGCACCCACTAACTCGTCATCTAGCATTAGGTATATCTCCCGATGCTTTCCCTCCCCTTTCCCCCCACCCCACAACAGTCCCCAGAGTGTGATATTCCCCTTCCTGTGTCCATGTGATCTCATCGTTCAGTTCCCACCTGTGAGTGACAATATGCAGTGTTTGGTTTTTTGTTCTTGCGATAGTTTACTGAGAATGATGATTTCCAATTTCATCCATGTCCCTACAAAGGACATGAACTCATCATTTTTTATGGCTGCATAGTATTCCATGGTGTATATGCTTCTTTAACTATTCCCCAGGGCTGATGTGGGAACACACTTTGAGAACTTCTGATGTTAATTTAGAAACTGAGGAGGGTCTCAGATTACAGTTGACCCTTGAACAACATGGGTTTGACCTGCACAGATTTGTGTATACGCAAATTTTCTTTCAAGCAAACACAGATTGAAAATGCAGTATTCGCGGGGGATGCAAACCTCGCATCTAGAAAGGGCTGACTTTTAGTATATTCAGGTTCCTTAAGGCGGACTGCGGGACTTGGGTATGCACGGATTTTGGTATAGGTGAGGGTCATGGAGCCAATCGCCCGCATATAACTGAACTCTACTTGCAAGCTAACAGGTTAGCCTTGCACAGTTTTATGCATATACTGACAGAAGACACCAGAGTCCGGGGCAGAGACACAGAGCCTTATGACTCACAGAAAAGCAGCAGCCAGAGAACTGTCTTCCCTCTGGCTTGTGGCTCTAGTTCCCAGTCCTTTCATGGCGATGCTGTTAAGAGTCAAAAGTTTACCTGCGTTTGCATTAGGTTTGCATCATGGGAGAGGAACCCCCAAATTAGGAGAGACTAAACTTTCATGGGCTACTCGCACCTCTGCCTTGCCTGAGTAAGAGCAACAGTGATAGATAGAGAAAGAGAGAGAGAGAGATTGAGAGAGAGAGAGGAGAAATTAATTATCTGTTATACCAGAATGTAAGCCAATCTCATCCGGAGAATAGAAAGGAGAGAGCCTTGTCTCCAGATCTCTCCCGTGCTGTCTATCTTAATGGAGACATTACTCTCCGACTTCCGAGGCTGTCTGTTAAGCAAACATCCTTGCAGTACCCTTTGCTCAGAGGCTCAGGATCATACTGAAATGTGAAAATAACCAAGGATAATAAAATAACCAGGGACAATTGTTTCCCAACAATAAGTATAGAGGATATGTTACAATGTCAGCTATTTTATATTTCTAATTAAGTATCTTTACCATTGTCTCTTCATGAATAAGTTTTAGGCATAAAGTTTTGTTGATTTTTCCATGTGGATATTATATTTCAATAAATTTTTCCCATGGCATGGAGCGTCTTAGGCACCACCAGACATTGATGGTTTTCTACAGGTCATGGCTCGGTGTGGTGGGAAGAGAGGATGTCTTCAGATTCACCTTTATGGGACTCCCTTCTCTGCCCCTTCTTGGCATCTTACCTTGATGCTAATCCTTACCTAAATCTCTCTGAGCCCCAGGTGCCTCATTTATAAAATTGGCATATCTTCCTTATACTGTTGTTGAAGATAAAAACAAAATTTATCCACCATTTTCTATAGCATCTACTATAAAAAGGGTGTTCAAAAATTATAGTTATTATGGGATGCATAACAGTCATAGGTCCTCTTTACAGACCTGTTCCACTCTTAATTTAGGTGAAGTACCGGTCAGGTTCAAGTGCCATTACCCGAAAAATAACTCCAGATGATGCATCACTTCTGGGGAAGTGCTATTTGGTGATGAAAGATGTTGGAAGTTTAAATCCATCCATTGCCTGCTCAGAAAGTGGCTACTTTTCCAGGCATAGGAGAGCTGCTTGGTCAGATGCCACCCGCTCTGTCTTTCAGTGCACAGGTAATGGGAGAAGACAGGAAAATATGGGTTCTGATGGCAATAGCCTGGCCTCAGGAATATAGTTTCAGTTGGTTATTTATTCTTTTGATGCTGAAATTGCCAGCATCTAGAGGTAAAGAATTACTTTGGAACAAAAAATGTTTTGTCCACCAGAGAATGTAGACGTTACAGAGCTATTAATCAAGACAGCCAATCTGAAAGTGGTTTTCACAACAGGATTTAGGAGAGAAGGAAAACTGGAATTAAACTATAAAATGACTCAAGGTTGAAGGAGGATGAACTAACTGAATTACAGATTTTAGAAATTCAACAAATTATACAGGTATAACACTGTGAATGCAAGCACGTGGTTCATTTGAGTGGTCTAGTTTTTCTGTTCATTGCTAAAATGTTTCTGAGAGTGGCCCTCCTTTAACCTGCTGTGTCTTTTCCAACAATGTGGATCTACTTTGTCACTTCTCCTCTTTATTTGTGTGTGTGTATGTGTTTCTGTGTGTGTGCACCTGTGTGTACATCAGCTTTAGGCTGTGAGAGTTATAAAGGTGAGTTACACAGTCTCGGTCTTCAGAAAATGTACTGTTTACTAGAAGGTAAAGGAAGGCTGCGTGCTTAATTATAATAAGGCAAGTTCTAACAAAATTAAGACGCAGGGTGGTGGGGCCATAATGTGTGGCTAGATTCATAGAAGGTTGCTTGAATGTTGTATATTTGCTAAGATCCCAGATGATGAAATGAGAAGCACAGTTTTCATGCTTTCTCCTTACTAACCTTGTGCTGGTTATACTTTTTTAAAACTGTTTCCTTGATGTTGCAATGGTGTAATCCAGTGAGAATAGATGACTGGCTCAAAGTAAGCACTCAATAAATATTGACTGTGTTGACTCTCATTACTTTAATCATTAGTATCTTTAAATACACTTAATAAAAGCCTTTCTTAACAAGCATAGCTGGAGGCCTTTCAGGAAACAATAAGATGATAATAACTAACACTTACCGAGCACAAATTTGTGTTTTACACACTCTGCTAAGCACTTTACTTACTTTTATTTGGTTTTATAAACAGTGCTAAGAGGTAGGTATTATTTTTGTGTCCACTTCACAGATAATGAAATAGAAGATCAGAGAGTATATGTGATTTGTCTCAGGTTGCATAGCTAGGAAGTAGCACAGCCAGATGAAATGGTGCTAGCTCATTTAGTATTATAGGTCCTTGACCTCCATTTATTTTTGTATGTGTTTGTTTTACTGCTTTGTTCCCACCCATGAACACTGCTAGAAAAATTAAACTTTTGGTTAATCTATTCATTTAGTATCTCAACAATCTTTTTTTAAGCTTCTAAGTGCTAGACATTGTGCCCTGGTGGAAATAAGACATGATATCTACTTTAGAAACACAATTCAGTGCAACTCAACCATTTTATTGAGGCCCATCTAAGAATCTTGCACAGGGAACACCATTAGGCTACTGAAGAAACCAGACACATAACCAAATACCCCAATGTGGTGTGGTGAGCACTAGAATGCAGGCAAATATGGACCCTTTTAGAGCAAAGGGAGAAAACATAAAGAAACAGATGAATTTCGCGTCTGCACCAACTGGGTACCACACATCTTTATGATGCAGAAAGGAGACAGGGAAATACTGGGTAGAAGAGGGCAGTTCCCCAGCAAAAGCCCCACCCTCTAGCCTGGATACAGGACGGGCATTCCTGTTTTCATGCCCAAAAAGCTGCCTTTTGACCTGACACACACCCTGTCCTGTACCCGTATAAACTCCGAACCCCAGGCTCCAGGAGCAGATGAGGAGACAGGAAACAAGGAGATTAGCAAACTGGATGGCAGAACAATGCAGCAGAGGAAAGAAGAGAAGGACTGTTAGGAGGAGTTCAGCTGGGGATGGTCAGAGAATCAGCCAGTGGATGGCCAAGCTCCAGGGGAAGATGATCTTCCCACTCCATCCCCTGTCCAGTTTCCCATCTATCCTGCTGAGTTCCACCTCCACCACTCAATAAAACCCCCACATTCATCCTTCAAGTCCCTGTGTCACCTGATTCTTCCTGGATGCTGGATAAGAGCTCAGAATACAGAAAGCTGTCACATTGGCCCTCTGCCCTTGCAAAAAGGCAGAGGGTCCACTAAGCTAGTTAACACTTGGACAGCAACACTAGAAGAGCACACTGTAACATGTGCCCACTTGGGTTTTGGGAATCACAGAAACTCACCCCTAGACACTGCTGTGGGGCGGGACCCCAAAAGCTCTCGCTCTGGTTCCTGCACCTGCTCATCTGCATGCTCCACCTCTTGTAAGGGCTTTGAGCTCATAGCAGCCAAGAAGAGAGCCATACCCCTGTCACACATCCTGTGAGGGGGACCAGGGAACTCTCCCATTTCACTTATACCCACCTCTGAATGATGGCAGAGGACATGTGTGGTCTTCCCAGGCCACCCTGACTCTCAACCCTGTGGAATCAGGGGTGCTCTCAAGGAGGTGGTGACATTGGGGTTGTATCCAGAAGGATAAGTAGTAAATGTTACAGAAGGCATTTAGCTGGGAATATAACATAACAAGTGTGGTCAGCTCTGGAAAGAATGTATAGTTTGGCCTGACTAGAAAATAGTGTATTTTCGGAAGAATGAGGAGGCAATATGGTGGTGAAAGTTGTTTAGAAGCAGCTGATAAAAGGTGTTGAATCATACCAAGATAGATTCTGGAATCACAAGTGGGAAACAAAGGTTATGTCCCAAAAGAAAAAAAAGGAGGGGATACAAGATACCCCAACTTTCTGTTCAATTAAACTCACTGGAATTTCTAACACACTGATTTACGTATAGTTTGAGATGGGAGAAAGAAGTAGAATACCAAGTTTAAAAGATACAAAGTTTTGGCAGGTAGGAAAGTCTAAACATGGATTAAAGAAATAAAGTAAAAATATATTACTTTTAAGTGATCAATCTCATTCTTAAAAGCTTAATTATCTCTGGTGGAGGTTGGGTGGAGGTGAGGAAGGAGTATGGGGACAGGGACAGGGTAGATGGGAAATGGGCTACAGAAAACCCTTGAATTATACATTATGCACTATAGTTGTTAATTATTTTAAATGCGATAAAGATTCTTCTGAGCTAAAGTTTTTTGTCATAAAGATATTCATTCTATATTCAGGAAAACACAGATAAACATAACCTCTTTACAAATACCAAATGGTCTTGTACATATCTGAATGAAAATGAAACTTAGTAAGGACATACAGTCTCAAGAACATGGTATCCTGTGACCTAATTGTTTTGTCTTTGCATACAGAAATCTCTGAGAGGAAGTTCTGCTTTTACATGATTCAGTATTGTTTTGGAGTGCAGTTTAATCTGATTTTGCAAAAAGCAATGTTCTTATTTTGATCATTGTATCTATGATCTCTACTAATATCATTGAATTAATCACATAAACTGGATCTTCTCTGTCCTTTCTCTGACAAATGAGGAGACTTGTTTCAGAGCCAAACTTGACCATCCACTGAGTCTGCCACAGGTAGTTTTTAGAGATATTGCTGCAGGCAGTCTTTTCTCTGTTCCAGAATGGTATACATGTAGTCATCACATTCTTCATTATTGGAACCGGATCCCACCTTTGTTCATTTGCTTCGATCTTCTTGCTCTATGAGAGAAGGTAGACATTTCTGTGGTCATTTCCAGACATAGAATCATAATCACCTTTGTCCTTAAACAGCTCCTTGAACTTCCACTGATTTCATCTCCGTTTCCTTGTGTTCTTTGGAACACTGTGCGTATTGTAATCACAGCCTTAGCTAAATAGGTAAGTAAATGTCAACCTTTCAAAGTTATCACCTATAAAGAAATCCTCAAGAGAACTATAATGGATCTTCTCTGCTCACTCATGTTGTTGGCAGTTCCTAGGAAGATTGGGACAGGGATCTGCTAGGTATCAATCACATACTGATTTTGTATTCAGCTTCTTTGATAAGTTGTTTGGTCCCATGTCACACATTTCTTACCAACTTTCTAACTTGTTTCTCCTGTCTGATTTCTATTTCCCAGGGGAGAGAAAAGACTACCCTTGAAATTCTATCTGGCCTAATATTTAGTTGCAAGAATTTTTAGTTTGTATGTGTATGTATTTAACCTTCAAGCCACATTCCTGGAAATATATTGCTTTAAAGATGTAGAAATTATTTATTTCAAAGACATAATTAAAGAGCAATCTTTGTAATAGATAATTTTCTTCTAATTTCTGAAATAATAAAAATTAGTAAAGTATATTATAATATGAGCAAAGATAAATTTTAAAATGTGATGTTGTAAGAGATTATCCAACAACATAGGAAATGCTCATATTTTACTACATAAAAAATTTGCTAAAATACAATCTGGTGATCTGACTTTAAAATATACATATTTTCAAATGAAAAAAAAACTTGGTAGCTGTGGCAACCATGGGACATTTTGATTATGGCTGATTCTATCTGCTTTTTGTTTTTATCTCTGTTTTCCAAAAATAGCTATATTTTGCTTATTTTAAAAATTAAACAATGATAAAGTGGAATTTTTTTGTAAACAGATTCATTTTTTATTACTCTGGACCATTTTTATGGTTGCTAATGCTGCCTAATTAGGGCAATTCCATATTGCTTATGCTATTCAATTTTGAACAATTGAGTTCATTAATGGCAGAATACAGATTGGAAATATCTATTTGTAATGTTTTAAATGAAAGTCATCTAGCAGTGATTTCTGTAGATTGCTGGATTTCTAGTTAAAATAGTTATTGGGCATCTACTGATTCACGGTGTGTATGTGAGAATCTAACAAATGTCAACAGTACCCCAGAGAATTCTAATGTAGAACCCAAATTTGCAACTTCTAGTCTATAGGCAGATTTGACAAAACCGTTTCCCTTTCTAACTTTGTTTTTATGCAATTCAAACATTTTTTCTTTTCTAGTGCTCTTCCTTCAAGATCGATGCTTCGTACTATTTCTCACATTTATGATTATCAATATTCATTAAATTTATAAGTGTGTATAGGATTGGCACCTTAGTAGACCATAGGCTTCCTTTGCCAGCTGAAATTTTAACAATAAACACAATATAAATTAATAGTGAGACATAAAGTATTATATAGCATCTTATTTCTCATGGTAGCTACAACTGTACCTACTTTATTGTCATAAATGAGACCTACTGATGATATTAAAAATATATGTGTGTATGTATAAAATAATCCAAATGTGTGTATGTATGTATGTATGTATAAAATAATCCAAAATTTATTATTTAAGAAACTGCCATATATGTATACATGACATACCTGGTAACAATTGGAATTTTGAAAGATAGCTTTCACTGGACTGTCTTGTTGTGGAAAGTTCTATAAACAATATGCTTAATGAATATTTAATAGTGTTTTGTGATAAAGGCCACACCTATATACATAACACCATAAAACCAAGCAGGAAGAGCCATGATGACGCAGGGTTACCCCTCTCTGGACAAAACCAAAGAAATGCCAGTAGCCCTGTACTTATTTGTACAAAGTCCTTCCACTCATTTTCTAATGAGTCTTGACATCTACTCAGTCTGTATTACAGTTTCCATTTATATTATCTGCCTGAACTGCGCCAAGACCAGGAAGCCCAGATGTCATCATAAATACCATCACCCATAATATAAATATTCCAATTAGATTCCTTCTATTTTCAACATCTACCATTTTGAGCTAACAGGAAATATTTGTATGAAAATGAAACCTAGATTCTAAGGTCTTCCTATTCCTCCCCTTACTATGCTTTTGTTTTTTAAAAAGATTAATAATATTCAACTGCATTTCAGTTTGTGTTATCAAATGCTCATTTTCTTATTCACACAAATAAGAACTATCAAAACACGCTGAGCACTCCGTACAGGGCACTTCACATCAAGGTGGCCAGAAGTTCATTACAGATTGAAAGCGTGAAAAAGATAGACCACATGTGGGTTTGGTTTTTCTTTTCACGTTTTTTAGAAAATTTTCATTTTCCCTCCCTTTTCAATACTCATAACTTGATATTAAATCAAAATACTTTAAACTGTAACCCCAAAAAATCTGAGTAATCATTGACAGCTCAAGCATATGGCCTTTTCTTGTTTTACTGTTATTGGACTTTAATCAACAATTTAAATCTTCACCATTGGGAAACTGAAAATAGTTCTAGACTGTCCGTCTTTGATGAATTCTAAAAGATGACTCGAGACAGACTGAACTTCTCCCCGACAGTGACCGTGAACCTTCTATCTGTGCACTTAAGAGCAGTTGCCTGCCTTGCCATGTGGAGTCCACGTTACCTTTCATCGCCACATATGTGTACACAGCTATTGTCTCCTGGTAACCGAGAAAGAAGGGCTGATAGTTAGATTTTACAGATTATCTCAACTAACATTAGTTTTATAGAATGTTCCATTCTCTGTTTTACACCCATATTCTTTAAATTGCACCTGCAGAATGCATTCTCACTTGAGTTGTTTTTGATAATCTAAGTATTTCTCCTGATGCGTATTCTTTTTCTATTGATTTTGAAACCGTATGCATAATACCTAGTATATAAATGCTAACAAATAAAAAGTATTTTTTGCAAGATGTGAAATGGTCACATTCATCTTCCTGGTGACAAGCACAGAGACAGTAAATTTCTAACAGCAGTTCAAGCTACTGTGTTTGAAAAGCTTGCAGGGGAAATGAAATATACAAAATTTACCAGATGTAGTAGCACTTCTATAAAATAACTTCTGCCATTATTTCCTTTTTTACATAGAATGTTACATAAGAACAAACTAAGAAAACCAGAATATGCTTTTCAAAAGATGAAGAGTCTCAAAGATAAAAATTGAAAGGAGACAGAAAAATTCTCTTAATACATGAATGTTGTAATTGGGTGCATAAATGATTTATACCATTTACTGTACAGAGCTCTTATAATTATGCAAAAGCTAGGTTTCAAAATAAGTACAATTGTTTCTAAGTTCAGGAATGACTAAGAGGGATTTAAACCCATAATTCTAGGACAGATGCATTGCCACCTTAAAAATTTAAAATTTAAACATTAAAATTAGGTTTACTCATTTCCTCATTTTGCTTTCTAATTAAGTTTTTGTTTAATTTTTCATGAAAAAAAGTTTTCTTTCTTTTAAAATCTGTTGAAGGAAATACCTCCACTCCTACTACCCTCCTACCACCTCCATTGAAAATCTCCATGAAGAACATTTTAACAGTTACGGAATCAAATTTGGCTACTTTGGGTATTCACATGGATGTTGGAAGAGTTGACACAGTCAGAATTCATGGAACAATCTGTGATTTTGACCATATTTTCAGCAGCACTTTCATCATGTTTTATTTTTCTGATTTCAAATAACTCCTGTCATTCTTCAGAAAATAGAAAACTGCCCAACACATGCTCATCTCTGGCCACACAAGCTTTTCCATTCTGTCACTTACTTTTCCATGCATCTTCCTGGTTACTGCTGCAAACGTAGGTAGAGAATGATTCACCCTTCGCAGAATGCTGCCATAACCCTCCCTTCCACCCTAGACAAACACACAAGAAAGAACAATGGCACATAAGAAAAATCTGGCCCCATCTTCATTCAGCCAGTCCTTCTTTGTTCCTAGGAGAGTGAGCAGCTTGCCCTCAGAAGGCTCTGAAATAGGTCAGAACAGGGCAGTATTTCAGTCATCTCCAACAACACTCCTGCCCTGGGCTGAAGATTTATCTGTTATTCCGTTTTCATTTTCATATTTGTCCAGACACTTCACACAATAGAGTAAGACAGGAGACGTTTTACAATGGGCGCCACATGACAGAACAGAGGCCAAAATACCCAGCCTCTACATCCAACTCCCCAGATTAGAAGACAGACCTCCCTCTAGCATCATTTTATCTCCCCCAAAGAAATTAAAGTTAAAAATGAAAACCTGTTATGCGAATCAAATCCCAATTACACCAAAGACTAAAATTCTGCCCTCCCAATTTATTTTTCCACTTAGTCGGAGGCAGATGATGAGCCGAGCAGCAAGCGGATTGATTTTAAGCTGTCTTCTAGTGTGCCCCACGTTGAAATGATTCTAACTCCTAAAACATTCAAGTGTCTCCCTCTTTCTCCTTTTTTCCCCCTGCGAGAGCTGTGCAACACATGAAAACATGGCACAGCCAGACCCACCCATGAAATTGCAAAAACACAAGCAAATCCTCAGGGCCTAGAGCAGTCATCCAGGAAAACTGATGTACATTTGAATTAATACATATTTTTAACTGGAGCTGCCCTTCAGATAACAATCATGGAACCAGGTAGAGCTTTTGAGTTCTTTGAAGAAACGAACATATAACAGCCATAAAGGAAAAGCTAAAATTCTCTTGCTTCTGGCTTTTGCATGGTACTCGTCAGTCCTTTCCAAGTTTCTGGAGTCTGTGACTTGTTAATTGAAACTCCTTTGGGAGAATTTTTCCATTAAAACATTAATTGTGACACTATGCCTCCCATATCCTTAGAGAAAATCCCCAATGCCTAGTGCTACTTTCTTGTGGAGTGGAAATGAAACCTCATCTGCCTTATTGCAAAAGATAGCATTGGGAGATATACCTAATGCTAGATGACGAGTTAGTGGGTGCAGTGCACCAGCATGGCACATGTATACATATGTAACTAACCTGCACAATGTGCACATGTACCCTAAAACTTAAAGTATAATAATAAAAAATTTGTCAAGCTGCCACCTTTATTCTCCTGACCTGACTCAGTTTCTGTCTTTGCCTTAATTCTTAACACAAGCCTGTAAAATGTTCACTCTCTTCTCAGTACCCCAAGGTGACATGTATACTGAGGCAGTCTCCTCTGCCTTTGTTAGCAGGGTACCCGCTCTTTTTTTTTCTTTTTAAAATTATTTATTATTTTATTTTTTAAAATTTTTCTTATTATTATACTTTAAGTTCTGGGATACATGTGCAGAATGTACAGGTTTGTTACATAGGTATACATGTGCCATGGTGGTTTGCTGCATCCATCAACCCATCACCTAGGTTTTAAGCCCCACATGCATTAGGTATTTGTCCTAATGCTATCCCTCCCCTTGCCCTCCACCCCATGACAGGCCCTGGTATGTGATCTTCCCCTCCCTGTTCTCATTGTTCAACTCCCACTTATGAGTGAGAACATGTGGTGTTTCGTTTTCTGTTCCTGTTTTACTTTGCCGAGAATGATGGTTTCCAGCTTCATCCACGTCCCTGCAAAGGACATGAACTCATTCTTTTTTATGGCTGCATAGTATTCCATGGTGTATGTGTGCCACATTTTATCCATTGATGGGCATTTGGGTTGGTTCCAAGTCTTTGCTATTGTAAATAGTGCTGCAATAAACATATGTGTGAATGTGTCTTTATAGTAGAATGATTTATAATCTTTTGGGTATATACTCAGTAATGGGATTGCTGGGTCAAATGGTATTTCTGGTTCTAGATCCTTGAGGAATCACCACACAAAAGCGTTCCTATTTCTCCACATCCTCTCCAGCATCTGTTGTTTCCTGACTTTTTAACTGATGTGAGATGGTATCTCATTGTGCTTTTGATAACAAATCATTTATTCTCAGACTTACGTTTATATGTTGACTAAGCTCTGGCTATACCAGACTGGTCTCGGCTTGGCTTGGTTCCAAACTACCAGCTGTGATCAGATCTACTATATATGCTTTTCATTCTCCATGGACTAATGAGCCACCCATGACATGCTTTTCTTAAAGCAATAGCAGAGGTGCAGAGGTACCCGCTCTTTTAACAGGCACCTCTTCATGGCCTCAAATTTGTCCTGCTCTTGAGTCTGAAGGGGATAGATTCCCAAATATCCATGTGGTTCACTCCCCCAATTATCGTTAAAAAGTCCTCTCTTTCCCTGGCCACTGTATTTCAGCCCTCAACCCCAATACTTCATATTCTTGTCTATTTATCTTTTTTCTTTTAAGATCCTCCCTAACAAAATTATTTCCCTCATTTGTCTTGCTTATTTTCTGTAACCTTCCTGAGAATGTGAGTCCTGATAAGGCAGAGGTTTCTGCCTCTCTTGTTCCTTGGCAATCAGTACTAACTAGTTCCATCATGAACACTGCCTGACTCTCACTAAATATTTCTGAAATGAGTGACTGAAGGGTCATTCCCAAACTCTGCTCTTCTCTCTGTATTTCCCCATCCCCAGCAAGACCCTCTGACGCTTTTAATCCTGTGCTAAACGGCTGCTGTACTCCTTCTGCTCTGAAATTCTGGAGTCCTAAAAGTCCTGTGTCCTGGGGGTGGCTTCCTCCCAGACCCTCAGCATTAGCGTCATCCTCCGTGCTTGAAATGAGTCATGTGTTGATGCTTTTCACTGCTTGTGCCCTGAGGGACCCCAAATCTTGAACATTCTAGGCTCAGAGAACGGTCCTGTTTGGAATAGTTTTCCTTGTAGTGAGGGGTCTGCCTCTGGTGTTGTTTCCTTTCAAATAGGCTCAGCTGGATTTGCTTGGTTGGTTTCATGTTTGTTTGATTGATTTTATTACCTGCTGCTTAATTTGGCCCATCTCTCCTCTACCATATAATACTGTTTTGCTCACAGTCATTTCTTCATCCTTCCTTTTTGGCTTCTGGATCCCAACATTGTATCTGTGAACACTTTTGCCCAGAGTCAGTCCTTTGACAGTGTCCCTGAGGAAGAGACATAAGCTGTTGTGTTCTGAGTTTGCCGGAGTGACACTTTGTTTTTCAAATAAATTTTGTCCACATTCCTCTCTCTCTCTGAGTGGGGTAATTTTACTATCAGTCCGGGACCAGGCTACTTTAAAAGTCATCAGGAGGTTATTAAAGCAAACTAAATATGGCCTGAGAAAAACTCTGTACTTCTATATTTGAGTCCTTGTGGATGAACTGTAACCTGGGTTAACAGGTAGACAAGACAAGATTGAAAACCTGACTTAGGAGTTTGCACCTGTAGCAATAGCTCAGTCTTGACCAATCCCAGTAGCCATGTTTCAACCACTCATGGACTGCTAAGTGTTCAAACTGTGTTCAAATAAGGCAAACGTCAACCTGTAACCAATCCAGCTATTTCTGTACCTCACTGCCGATTTCTGTATGTCATTTCCCTTTGTCTATAATCTTCTTCCACTATGTGGCTGCCCTGGAGTCTGTGAATCTGCTGTGATTCTGGGGACTGTCTGATTCATGAGTCGTTCATTGCTCAATTAAACTTCTTTAAATTGAATTTGGCTGAAGTTTTTCTTTTATCAAGATCCATAATTTCTTTTCCCTTAAAAATCTGTCTGATCTGCCCTATATGTTCTTGAACATTCTCCTCAGGTAAATTTTCTTTTCCTTGCACTCTGACAACATCCTGTTTTCTTTTCAGCTCCATTTTCTGCCCCTCTTCTTACTTTAGATACTTGTTTTTAACTAGTTCATTTCTCCTTGAGTCTCATTTTGGGATTCTAGATAGAAAGATATCTCTGGGCATGAGAGTTTTCCATTCCCCTTTTAGCTTCAGTTTTGTAATAATTGTAGTGAACTTTTCTCTGGGTGTACTTGCATAAAAAGCATTAATAAGATTTCCCTTCATTCTACTTTTTAGCAACCAGATCTTCCACCTATAGGCCTGGGTCCCTGATATCCAAATGATGAACAGGATATATAGGGATTGCCAACTCTGGCAAAAATAATGGCTTTACAAAAAGTAGAAATTATTACTTTATCATTATTTTTGTAAAAAAAAATAGTTTTACAAAAAGTAAATAACATCCTCCCTTTATCTTTCCTAGTGCAAGCTTTCAGGAGCATTTGCTTTATTGCGAAAGCACTTTAACTCATCAATATTTCTTTTGAAAAGTGACTCTCAGAAATCAGCATTGTACATCAGATAGGGTCCAATTTGCATAGAGTACAATGGGACTATTACTCTCCTTGGTGCCTTCATTACCTCAGTTCTTCAGCCTAATATTTTATTAGCTTCTTTTGATAGCCATGCATACAATAGACCAATTGAGCCTGCAGTCCACTTCCTATAGCTTGTCACCTGAGACCTGTGAAGGCGGCACTCCAGAAGGCCATGGGTCTGACCCCACCTCCTTAGTTGTAACATAGTGAAAGCCGAGCAAACTAGCTGATCCTGTGTGTGGGACATCAGTTCCTAGTGACTAAGTATGTGAAACTTAGGAGTACCAGCTTCAGCATCACCTGTAATAATTCTGCTACTACCATACATCAAAGGCCACAGTGGTGCCCGTGACACACCTTCTAAAACTAGAAACCACAACTGTCTCCTCACAGGCTCTTTGACACTCCATTTTAGCCTTGGTACTCGAACTCAAGAGCTCCTTGTTCATAGGCCTTTGATGGGATAAAGCGTTTGATGCATTAACTGGTTTCCCTTCCCTCTATTGTATTTTGTTTCTTCTGTGTCTTCCCATTCCACCTTCCCACCCTGCCTGTGTTCGGCTTGTACTTTCTGGGCCTGTTTACCTCAAGGAAGAGCCGACATTATACCTCTGCTGCTGAAAGGCTTCTCCCTGCTTGGAGGGCCACACTTGATTTTTTTTTTTTTTTTCAGTAGAGGCAGAGTTTAGCAGTGTTGCCCAGGCTGGAGTGCAGTGGCTACTCACAGGTGGATCATAGTGCACCTATAATCATAGTGCATTGCTTGAGCCTCAGACTCCTGGGGTTAAGCCATCCTCCCCCCTCCACCTCCTCAGTACCAGGAACTACAGACACACACCATGCCGGGCAGGCACACTTGATATTTAATGCTCTTACGTGTGTTTCCTTTGGGGAAAGAATCATCTGTTTGTTCCTGCCTGCAAGCCCTTGTCTTTTATTTAACCCTGTTTGACTGTCAGGACTGAGCCTTGGATTTCTTGGATGAGACAAAAGCATATTCATTCGCCAGTTTGGATATAGCTGTATGTTGTTTGAAGTTACAGTTTTACATAGTTTTATAAAAAAGAGTGCTTTTCTAATTACTTGTTAACTATATTGAATAAAACTTTTGTGCAAGTACATGGATAACTTCTTGGCAAAATCTGTCTATGAATTTTATCTTCATTAGCATGTTTAGTATTCTCAAGAAAAGGTCTTTATCCCAAACTATTTGATCCCTTTAAAACTTTCTTTATAAACTCTATTGATGAGGAAACTTTTCGCACTCTCCCTTTATAAGTTGTACACAAGGTTTCTTGAAGAAAAGGGTGTGTGGAGTGAAAAGTAAAGAAATTATTTTCACTAGAGTTGGCAATCCCTGTCAGTTATTGTTTTTATTTATATATATATGTATATCTTACAGGGCCCTTTACCCATTGGTGGTAACTAGTATATGTTTGTGTTTGTACTAACTAGTTCAGGAAATCAAAATAAATCTAATCCTTTTGCTACATAATATTGCCTAAAATATTCAAAGACAAATATTTCTCTAACTCTCCCATGTTACTTAAGAAATGTCTTCCATTTCTTTATCATTCCTAGTACAAACTTTCGGGAGTATTTATTCTGAAAGCACTTTAACTCATCAATGTTTCTTTTTAAAAGTGACTCTCAGAAATCAGCATTACATATCAGATAGGGTCCGATTTGCATAGAGAACAATGGGATTATTACATTCTTTGTTGCATTCATTACTTCAGTTCTTCAGCCTTATGTTTTATTAGCTTCTTTTGACAGACATGCACACAGTAGACTAATATTGAGCCTGCAATCTACTTCTTATAGCCTGTCCCATTCATTTTGTCATTTTTCATACGGCATAATGTCAAAACAAGTTTTCCCCATCCTGAGTGGCTAAAGTTGACACTTTGAACAGACTGATTACTATTTTTGAAACTAAATAGGATAAAATGACATGACTGAGACAAAACAGTCCAGACAGTTTATTACAGTGTCTGCTAATTTATGACATATTTCCTGGAATTATTTGCTATGATCATATCCATATTTTTAAAAACTGAACTTTAAGTCAGAGGCATGCTGCTGTGTCGTAACTGGTAAAGCAGGCTCTTCTCTCGCAATGCCAGCCCCCAGTTATGTGATCACAGAAAAGGTTACTTCTATTTTTTTATGTGCATAAATTTAGCAAGGTTTTGTCAACAGATATAAAAATTTGTTAATGCTTCTATGGCAAACTCTTCTTTTCAGATCTAAAGCATTTCATTATTTACTGAAATGTTGTCAGTGCTAAACATACATCAGATGTATTACTTGCATTGGAATGGAAATTGATGTTTATTTAAGATTAATTTATGGCTTTGTACATACTTACTATTTTGTTTCTATAAGGGACTTATGTATTATAATATGTGTTATTATCCAGCACCTTATCTGTACCAGCTTTGTTCACAAATCATTTTGTTTTAACAGCAGAAAATTCTATCATTTTTACTCTTTTTTTTTTTTTTTTTGAGACAGAGTCTCGCTTTGTTGCCCAGGTTGGAATGCAGTGGCACGATCTCGGCTCACTGCAAGCTCCGCCTCCCAGGTTCATGCCATTCTCCTGCCTCAGTCTCCCGAGTAGCTGAGACTACAGGCGCCCACCACCATGCCTGGCTAATTTTTTGTATTTTTAGTAGAGACGGAGTTTCACCGTGTTAGCCAGGATGATCTCGATCTCCTGACCTCGTGATCCGCCCGCCTCGGCCTCCCAAAGTGCTGGGATTACAGGCGTGAGCCCCTTCACCCAGCCCATTTTGACTCTTTTAATGAAAACATTATCATAGACATTGATAACAATTGGGAATATTGATCACATTGATTATTAAACATTTTAAAATATTTCTTAAAGTTATAAGTACTTGTAACAAAGTGGAATGCATTTAGAATTCATTATAGACTACCCTTCTTACATTATAGATGTTTCACACAGAAAGTCTCTTCTTTGATACACAGAATTATAAACATAGGAAGTATATAGGTATAAATATTTATAATATGTGTACATCTTATGCATTTTATATGTGTATGTGTCTCTGTGCATGTGTGTGTCTATAAGTGACTGTTTATACAACCCCTGAAGGAAATTAAGAAATGAGCTTAACTTTGTATTTTTGAGGGAAAGCCTGAATATTTTTTGACCCTACAGAAAAGTGGCTATATTCTCTTCACTTGGTGTTGTGGGAAACAATAGAAAACAACTGCTGCAAAGAAATGAAAGCGAATTATTGCAGACATAACCAATATCAGTGCAAATTTTCTAGATGGACCACATTTTTTTGAGATGGAGTTTCGCTCTCGTTTCCCAGGTTGCAGTGCAGTAGCGCAATCTCCGTTCACTGCAACCTCTGCCTCCTGGGTTTAGGCAATTCTCCTGCCTCAGCCTCCCGAGTAGCTGAGATTACAGACTCCCACCACCATGCCCAGCTAAGTTTTTGTATTTTTTTAGTACAGACGGAGTTTCATCATGTTGGCCAGGCTGATTGCGAACTCCTTTCCTCAGGTGATCCAACCACCTCAGTCTCCCAAAGTGTTAGGATTACAGGCATGAGCCACTGCGCCCGGCCCCACATTTTAAGAAACTTGAAAACAAACAACAAACAAAATACAACTTTAGGCTGTAACATTTCTCCAACTTTTCTCAAACATATCCCAAAAGCAGCTACGTTCAGATCATTGACGTAAAATACATATAAATGTTAGTACTCAACAAGTATTACTTTACTGGAATTTCAAATGATGGAAGATGGAACTAGAAAGACATTATTAGGCTGATAGTTTGTTCCAAAATTAGCAGGCATAATTAATCTGTTTCTCATAGGATATCTCAAGTTATAAGTCCAAGACAATTTTAGGGTTAAAAAGAAATTTATATTTCCACCAAGGCCATGAAGAAAAAGACAAATAATCTCATTTTTGAAAGAATGCTGAGGGTGGGATTAGTAACAACAGCATAAAAATTATCTCAGAATTCTTTATCAAAGCTAATCAGTCATCAAGTATTTCACAGCAATTATCTATGCCCAACCACTGTTAGATTCACGAGTTTAAGAGGTCATCGTTGCTTACTTCATAATTGGGAAGGTAAGATCATGGAGCCTCCTCCCTAGAAAGGAACCAAAAGGGAAATCATCACTGCAAATGGTAAAAATCATATTGTTTTTATCAGACTGTAGAAAAGTCTAATTGCAGCAATTGTTAAA
Source organism: Homo sapiens (assembly GCF_000001405.40). Classification (NCBI taxonomy): domain Eukaryota; kingdom Metazoa; phylum Chordata; class Mammalia; order Primates; family Hominidae; genus Homo; species Homo sapiens. The sequence continues at coordinate 4,280,632 of NC_000018.10, read as the reverse complement.
TTACTGTTCAGAAATCATTACAAACAAGTGTGAGGTGGTGTGGTAGGAAGAGAAAGAGGGACAGTGTGGAACTGTGGGAATATCCCTAGTCTGGGAGTTGACAGACATGCATTTTAAGCACCTCTCTACCATTAACTGGATATATTGTGATATGAAGTCAGGGAGTAAATACTCAGCACTATACTAGTTGTGGGCTTTTGGTCAGTAATTTATTCACTCTGTGCTTCAGTTTCTTCATTTGTTTTAAGTAAGACCATGAAGACAGGGATTATTTTATTTGTTATGTTCATCCATGTATCCCAGACACTAAGAACAGTTCCTGGCAAGATTGTTTCCAATAAATATTTGTTAAATATATGAATAAATTAATAATTGCCAGGGTGGGTAGATTTATTAAAATTATATCATGATTAATTGGCCCTTTAAAGGGTTGGCAGGACTATACATGCTTACATTTTTTTAATCAACTTATACAGATATTAAGATTTTATCGAATGTCAGAAATGTGAAGTTCATGTTGAAGCTAAATAGCAACCAACAGCCAGTATGTCATATTTAACAAAATCAATGAAAAAAAGTAAATGTCAGAAAAATGTTAGTAATACTGCAAGAAAATAGCTTAAGATGACAGCTTGTTTTTATTCATTATAAATTGAAAATAAATTGGGTACACTATGATTTAATGACTGTTTAACGAATAAATCAGATTTTTGGTTCAAAAACAGCCATGAGTATACTTCAGTGTTTAGGATAGTAAGATGAAATAACATCAATAAAATTAGTTGGCATGGTTAATGCAACATATATAATTAATGAAAACTAAAACATTGAGATGATATGCTTAAGTTTTATCATTCTTCAAATAATTGAAGAAATGATTTCTGTTAGTAAATTTGATATAAAAGAGTTTATATGCTTTACAATAAATGTTTACTTTAGTTAAGAAAAATAGCAAATTATTTAGAGTTATCTTACTAATATTCAATACGTTAGACACATTTAAATCACTGTTGTAATTGGACATATAGGCACGCAGGTGTTTGTTGAGCTAGAGGGAAAACAGATCACTTGTTTTACCTACAGCTTTGAATCTTACACATCAGGCACTTCCCCACCAGCACCAAGATTCAGTCAACGGTTTATTTTTTAAAGCCCATGTGGTTTTTCTCAAAGAAGCAGGAGCTTTATTACTTTACTTTAACCTAAATACTCACAATCCTTTGAAATCACTGCAAAAACATATTACTTGGTGTATCTAAAATGCCCAAGGCAAGAGATATTAGCCAAATAAAAATTAATAGATATCAGTGCTTCTTCTTAATCTAATGGTAAAAAAAATTATTTGGATGTTTAAGGATTTCTATTTTAGAATGCACTTTCCTGTATGTTGCTAAGTGAAGTGAAGTGTTATTATCCCTGTTTCATGTTAGAAGAAACACAGAAAGTTAAAGTGACCTAGAGTTATACAGCTACTAAGAAATAGTAAGAATTGAACCCCAGGTCTGCCACTTCCAGTCCAGCGCTTGTTCTGCATGTAACTATTGCCCATGTAACCATTGCCTTTGCAGAAGGCTGCTTCCAGCATGATTTTTGCTTCTCTCAGCCAGAAAATAGACACATTCCACTAGTGTTCACAACTGCCTCCAAGGTCAGGAATATTTTTTATTTGCTTTGTAGAGGAAGAGGTATTTTAAGGTTTTTTCTTGTTTGCTTAAAAATAGATCCAGCAATCCCACTAATGGGTATCTACCCAAAGGAAATCATTATATCACAAAGATACCTATATTCCTATGTTTATTGCTGCAGTGTTCACAGTAGCAAAGATACGGTATCAGTCTAAGTGTCCATCAACAGATGATTAGATAAAATATGTGTGTGTGTGTGTATAACATTTTCATATATATGTATATACACACACACATGCACATATATATATGAAAATGTTATATACACACCCACACACACACATACACATACACACACACCATGGAATACTATCCAACCATAAAAAACAATGAAATCATGTTCTTTGCAGCAACATGGATGAAACTGGAGATCATTATCTTAAGTGAAACAACTCAGAAACAGAAAGTCAGATACTGCCTGATCTCACTTAAAAGTGGGAGCTAATGTGTACACATGGACATAGAGTGTGAACTAATAATCACTGGAGACTGGGAAGAGTAGGAGAGTGGGAGGGCTGAGGGCTGAGAAATTATTTAGTGGGTACAATGTACACTAGTTAAGTGATGGTTCTCTAGAAGCCCAGACTGTACCATTGCTCAATGTATCCATGTAACAACATTGCACTTGTACCTCTTAAATTATACAAATAAGTAAAATAAAATAAAAGGCAGATGTAAGCAAACTTCCTTTAAAAATAAAAGACCATAATACTCATTTAGTTTATCACTCTGAGAAAAGAAGTACTATATAAATGCAAAAATCAGCCCCATAGCCTTTTTGTATACATATTTAACTCACATAACATGCTGTATTTAAAAAACTATAGATTTGTAACAAAAGTATTGTTACCAAATACAAAACAACAACAATAAAAATAATAAAAAAGAGCCAAAGGTAAGTAGCTTTTCTCTTCTAAATCAATTTGAACACGTCCAATGGTCTAAGAAAAAAAAAAATGCAATCTCTTTCCCACTTTTCAGGTTCCTAAGTAAAGGACTGCTCAACAGTAGGTTTTTAGGATAACAAGGTGGGAGAAAAGGCTTTTAGAGTGGAGCAGACATTGTATTTCCAAGGGCTGAAATTCCATGAAGAATAAAATTTAATGCAATATTACCGATATGTGGACAAACAAAAATTCAGACAGCCAAAATACATAAAGTGACAGTGGGAGATAGGTTTGTGCTACCCCTGCTGAGTTCTATCACAGTAGTATCTCTGGAAACTGTCTCGGCTGCAGTAATGTGGGATAACAATCCACCAAAAATAATTTGCACTAAATAACCGAAAAAAGAGAATTAGAACAAGTGCAATTTCATAATGGGTTTTATACAAAGGAATATTAAAGGGAACTTTAAAGTTTCCTTTTAAAATAAAAAATAAATAAATAAACCCACAACATTCTATGGTTCCTAATCTCACAGACATCCTTCACGGAACCTATGACATATATCTTACCCCACAGAAAACCCACAGAAACTATTCTTACTTTCAGAATGCTAACAAGCCTTGGGTTCAAAGTAACCATGACATCCTTAAATTATCAGAATGCGTATTACAGTGAAACAGTGCAAATAAGCTTACACACACACACACATTCTCCATTTGTGAAACTGGATTTTAAATAAAAATTCAAGAATTCTTTAAGCAAGTTTTAGGTTAAGTAACATTATGCAATTCCATGTATTCATCAAGGCTATTTCTGACAGAAATTTGCAGCATTATTAGATCACAAGGGCATCCTTTGCACACAGTCCTCAGTTGGAACACGCCTATTTCTCACAGTCGTCTATATCACGTGTATACACAGGAAAATCATCAAATGCCATTATACTAGCAGGGAAAAAAGCCTCCCACTGTTTTGGTGATGAGATTTTATTTAAACTTTTTCTTCTTTTTAAAAATCAGCATGAGCTAAGTTACTACACAAATTTATTTATGGGTTAGAAAATATATTCATTAAAGTCTAGCAAGCAAATGAAATGTGTAATGAGGCTGGAACCAATATGTATGCATATTTAACAAATAATTTAAGATACACTTTTTTAAAATCTTACATATGCATTACTGTTTCTATTTATACTTACTGATACAACTCTAGTCAGACACAGAAATCTGTATTTCTTATTTAAACTTCACTTAAGAATCACACAAAATTTAGAGTACCAGATATTAATTTCTTGAGTTTCTCTGACCTTATGCATAAAAAATAGACTTTGAAAATTACCTATTGGTAGAATTATACTGTAAGACATTTTACTTTTACCATGAAATACTCCTATGAGAAAATATATTTGTTTATTTTTTTTTTTTCAAGCTGGTGTCTTGCTCTGTCATCCAGGCTGGAGTGCAGTGGCGAGATCTTAGCTCACTGCAACTTCTACCTCCTGGGTTAAAGTGAGTCTCCCACCTCAGCCTCCCAAGTAGCTGGGATTACAGGTGCATGCCACCACACCCGGCTAATTTTCGTATTTTTAGTAGAGACAGGGTTTCACCACGTTGGCCAGGCTGGTCTTGAGCTCCTGACCTCGAGTGATCCGCCTGCCTCAGCCTCCCAAAGTGCTGGGGTTACAGGGATAAGCCAACGTGCCCAGCCTTGTTTAACTTATTTTAACCTCCATCTATAAACAGAAATTCTAAAAAGATCCTGAATAATCAGAGCTCATTACAATTCTCCACACTATAGCCAAAGTCAAAGTCAGCTCATCAAAACATAATTATGATCCTATTTCTTATGCCTCCCCCTGTCTCCTGCCCTGCATTAAAAAAAAAAAAAAAATCAAGCCCCCTCCCACCCCCCGCCAAAAAAGAGACACATCAGTGGTTTCCCATTTTTCTTGGACAATAGACAAAACTATCATTCAGCCCATAAGGTCTTTTCCGGCTGAACCCTCATACCCTCCTGCTACCCCATATAGTCCTCTCTCTTTTTTCTGCTCCTCCTAGCCACAGAATATTTGCATGTTCTCTTTCCCTTGTAAACTCCTGCTTGTAGTTCATATCTCAGTTCAAGAATAACTTTCTGATATTTGAGCAAAGGCTTTTCTAATCAATGAACTCACTTCTGGATATATTTTCTTTGTTATATTTTCATAAGACTTTATTTCTTCAGAATAAATATGTATCTCAACTTTATATTTTATTGTATATGATTATTAATTAGCCTCCATCTCTGCCACTCAGAAATAAACTCCATGAGAGCAGTGAACACATAAATTTTAACACATCGTCTAATAGTATGACTAGCACAATAGTTAGCATTTAGTAAGTGCCCAATAAGTATTTCTTGCAAGAATGAGCCATGCTCAGTTTTGGGCATTTATGATATTCTAGCGAGAGAAAAAAAAAAACAGCTAAAATCCTTGCTTTGTTAGGATTTACATTCTAGCATGGGGAGAAGGACCAAAACATATACATAATAAACAAGTAAATTATGGAGGGTGTTAGAAAATGATAAATGTTATTCAACATAGAAAAACTTATATTAGAGTAAGAGGATCAAGATTGCCAACAGTGGGAGAAACATGGAGGCAGGTTGAATTTCAAATAGGATTTTAAATACATGCATACCTGTTTGAGAAGTAACATTTGAGCAGACTTGAAGGAAATGAGGGAATTCACCACGAGGATCTCTAAGGGAAGAGCATTCCTGTGAGAGAGAGCACTCAGTGAAAAGATGGGAGAGCTCCTAGAATAGCAAGTAGCCAGTGTGGCTGGAGTGGAGTGAGCAAATGGGACGGTACTGGTCAAAGTCATTAGAGACATCATGGGGACCAGACACCTTAATGGAAATAATGAAAAGTATATGATTTTTAAATGCATTTTGATACTCTCTCATTACTAGTAAGTACAGTTTATAATGCTGATTACAATTTGCTAGCAGATAGATGTATGATTATTATATATTCCCATATTAATTCACCAATTTCCCAAATTAGAAGTCAGTCCCATTTTGATAAATTCTTTGAAAGATTATTTCTTAAATTTCAAAAATATTATTTAGTAGCATCTTACCAATTTGTTCCCATTAATGATCAGTGGAGTCTATTTTTTCTTAGAACATTCATGGTCAGGACTGGTTTTGTCTCTCACTACTCTATAATAAGTCCAGTCAAATATTACTTATGCAGTTATTTAAATGGTTTAGTGTGTTCATTTATGACAAAATAAACATCATTTCTACTTCTTATCTACTAAAAGCGGGGTTTTCAAATACTCAATTGTTGTGGTTTTCTCAATTATAGCTGTCAGAATTATGATGCTATTAAATTACAAGTGCAAGTTTCTGCAATGATTTAAATGAAGGAGGCCTGCATGGATGTGTAGTGCCTATCTACCTGTATTGACATTTGAGTAAACATAGCCTGATTATAATATCAAAGCTCTCTAATGTGAGTCAGATTCCAGTGAAGAATTGGCTATATATTATTTCTATTTTAAGTTAGAATTAAAGATATTGAGTAAATTCTCGACTGTCCAAAGTGAGAGGGAAGAGGACTGTTTTCCAGAATGGACCATATACTAGTCCATAAAGCAAACCTCAACAACTTTAAAAGAAAAGAAATAATACAAAGTACATTTTCTGACCAAAATGGAATGAAATTAGAAATCAATAGCAGGAAAAAATTGGGGAAACTCACAAATATGTGGAAATTATATGACACACTCTTAAATAACCAGCGGGTCAAAGAAGAAATTAAAAAAGAAATCCAAAAACACTTTGAGATGACTGAAAATGAAGGAAGCATAGTAAGACTTATGGAATGCAGATAAAGTGTTACTTAGAGGGAAAGTTATAACCGTAAGGGCTTTTGTGAAAAAAGAAGAGTTAAATAAATAACCTAACCTTCCACCTTAAGACGGAGGAAAAAAAAAAAGCAAACTAAACCTAAATGAGAGAGAAGAAAACAAATAATAAAGATTTGAGCAGAAATTAGTGAAATTTAAAACAACAAAAATTATAGTAAAAATCAATGAAACTAAAAGCTGGTTGTTCAGAAAGATAAAAAAAATTGACAAGCCTTTAGCTAGACTGATGATCAAGAAAAAAAAGAGAGAAGACAAATTACTAAAATCAGAAGTAAAAGTAGGAATGTTACCAGTGATTTTACAAAAATTAAAAAAGCATTGTAAGAAAATACTATGAACAATTACACACCAACAAAGTGGATGACGTTGGACTCCCATTTCTCACCATATGTAAAAATTAACTTAAGGAGGGGCACAGTGGCTCACGCCTGTAATCCCAGCTATCTGGGAGGCTGAATTGGGAGAACTGCTTGAGCCCAGGAATTTAAAACCAGCCTGGGTAACAGGGTGAGACCCCATTTCCACAAAAAATTAGCCAGGCATTTTGGCGTCCACCTGTAGTCATAGCCACTCAGGAGGCTGAGGTGAGAGGATTGCTTGAGCCCGGGAGTTTGAAGTTACACTGAACTATGATCTCACCACTGCACTCCAGCCTAGGTGACAGTGTTGCTTTCATTCTGTAAAAACAACATTCACAGAATGGTTGTAATGCTGTGCCATGGAACATCATCAGTAATACCTGGTGGTGCTGGGTAAAGTATGTGAGGGATTTCTTGGTTCAGCCAAGACCAGGAAAAGGAGAGCAAGTACCAAGAGGAGACCCATGTATGCTGGGGAAGCAAGAGCGGGAGAGGCAGGGTGCATGGAGGGTTTAAGAGATCAGGCTATTTCTCAACATGGTGAGAGGTTAACAAATGATTGCTTTCCTTCTCCACACTCAAATTTGCTATAATGGAAAGTTTTTGTTTCAATGCTGTATTAGTTTCCTGGAGGCTGCAGTAACAAATTACCACAAATAGGGTGTGGAGAGGTGGTAAAGCAACAGAAATTTATCCTCTTACAGTTCTAGAGGCTAGAAGTTCAAAGTCAAGGTGCTGGCAGGACCTTCCTCTCTCTGAAGGCCCTTGATGAGAATCCCTCCTTGATGCATCCTAGCTTCTCATGGCTCCCAGCAATCCTTACTGTTCATGCCTTGGCTTGTAGCTGCAGTCTCCACCTCTGCCTTCACAAGGTTTTCTCTGTGTGACCTCTCCTCTTCTTGTAAGGATACCTGTCGTTGGATGTAGGGGCCACCCTGAACCAGTGTGATCTCGTTATAACTAATTATGTCTGCAAAGAACCCATTTCCAAACAAGGTCACATTCACAGGTTTCAAGGGTTAGCACTTGAACATATATTTTGAGGGCATACAATGTAGGCCACTATAAAACGCTTTCCCGTAGAAGAGTTAGGGCAATAGGAAATCCTTTTATATATGTTGAATCTGTGTCTCTGGCTTTTTACTTCATATGGTGCTGCAAAACAGTCTGATCTCATGGTGGCCTGCTGATGGCAGAGAAAATAGCCTGGAATTACTCAGCCTGGGGGCTAAGGGACTAAGTCGGATTATTATTTGACAAGTTTAACATTTTCCAGTATTTTGTAACTGAAATGCCATCACATGGCTGCTATGTTGCTCTGCATGGTTGACAGGGAGTTTTAGCTCAGGGATACTATTTAGTGAGATAATATATTCATCTAATATTACATATATATTTCATACTTAAAAATCTCTCCTGGCTTTAACCCAAAGAACAAAAAAAGGTAAAATAAACTGAATTCACATCACACCTTATACTGTAACTTTTTGATGCATTCTTCAAAAAAGCTGCAGATGAGGAAATCTTATATAAGTTTGTAGATGACAGTTCTTCAGAAGCAATTTTAATGACAGAAGTAGACAAAGAATTACGCAGTTCTAAGAAGTGAGATAAATATATATTTCTTACGCAATACACCATTTAATACTATTCATACTCTTCTACCTTAATATTAGCCTAACTTCATAAAGTTGGAATACACTGCACAGATCATAAGCCTAAAATATTAAAATATCTGAATACAGTCATGAAAGAAAAAAATGGATAAAGAATTGCAAGGAGGAAACTTGGTCTCAGTCTTCAAGTGCTTTCTCTTGCAGAAGAGCCATTCCTGTGTTCTCACCACAGAGCCTACTAAACATGAATTGTGTGCATCAAAAAGGGTACTTGATTTAATGAGCATGATTACCTGTTCCCTCAAGCTTTAAGGTCTTCTCAAAATATATTAAGTCATTTCAGCATAATCAATATTTACATCATTATATTTGAAGCAGAAAGGTCAAAAGCAAAGGGAAATAGGTGGGTTAAAATCACTAAGAAGTAATAATTGAGACTGAGGCATGATAAGAATCACCACCTCCAAAAACTTTCACAACTCTGATACCATTAAGTGGAGGAGTAGAAATATTACAAAGACAAGCTAATACAACTACAGGTGTCTACAATGATAATATTGAACCATCAAGAAAAGATTAAATAATGTTTAGTATATTTTCTTCAAGGTATAGACTTACATAATATTTATTAGAAAAATTCCCAACAAATTTGGTTAAATATTTAATATTCACCATTGGTAGGCCAAATTTTTCTTATTTGCAGTATTCTTTCATTCATAATAATCATTCCCAAAGGATACCAGGCAAATGATATGTTTCTCTAAGATTGCCTTACTTGCTCTCACTTCATATATGTGAAATTAGGTAGTATCATGAAAAGCAAGAACAACATGGTAAAGTATTTGTAAATGTTCCAACTAGAGGTTGGAGGTTAATGATTAACAATCATTAGAAGTACTTCGGGAGGGAGCTTCAAAAATATTGGTCCTGGGGCCTACTCACCACAGACCAATTAAATCAGGACCTCTCGGGATTGGATCTGAGCTTGAGTTCTTTGTAAAACTTCCCCAAATGATTCTAGTGTGAAACCAGCTTGGAGAAAGCTGTCAACCACTTTCTAAGTCAAGAATACTCCCCCTTTATAGAGGGGATTGTGAATCAGCTGGCTTCTGTGTCTTCTGGAATATGAGTCAGGATGGAAACCTGCCTTTAAAATTATGTTTCTAAGCTTTGGAAAATAATCCACAAGGGAAAGAAAAATTTTCTGATGAAAATTGTTACTTCATAAAATGTTCTAGTGATAGGATCAAACAATAAAAGGACATAGTGATTAAGGAATCTCATTCACCATGAAAACGACTTAAGGTATAAGTCAACATCTGCAAACAGCATCTCAGAAATGCCCACACTAAATGCATGACTGCAGTTCTATAAAAGGTTGTTCTTGGAACTTTACTTTTGGAAAGTAAGCTTATAAAATCACCTGATTACTAAATTAAAATTGAACCTACTAGTAATAGCCATAGAATGCTTGTCAGAGGCTTTGGAAGGTATATTTGGAGGGAAGGAGAGGGATGGGACAGTGTAAGTGTTCTTTATTTTCTTGTAAGTGTTCTTTATTTTCAATAAAGCCTCCTCTTCAGAAAAATATATTCCAAACATTAAAAATTATTAGTTTTGTGTGATGAAACCATCAATGTGAAATATTTTGGAAAAATATTATGTTATCACTAAATTAATTATTCTCGTGAAAAGTTACTTACTCAAGTTTTAAAGTAACAAATCATCTGTCCTACACCAAATGTTTTATACGCCTCCCAAATGATGCCATTTGAGCTAGTGGGAGAGACATTGACACAGTGAGCTGGAAGGAGAAATGTTGCTGCCTAAGAGTAGGTTGTCCCCAGAGGAAGAACAAAGTGAGGCTTGGCTTTGCACTTTCTGTTAAATAAGCTGCAGGGTAATAAGAGGGGAAAATGAAATAAAGCCATTGCAAAACAACCTACCTGAGAGGTGCCAAGTGCGAATGAAACCACCCTGTATTAGTGATGACACAGTGCAGTAGTGCATCTCATCTACAAAGGGACTTTCTCAGAGAATGAGAGAGATCCGGTTCTTTAATAAGAGGAACTTGAGCCATTTTGTCAAAAACTAAATTTTAACACAGAGCTTCTGAACATTTAAACTATGCTACTGTAACATGTGAAGGATCCTATTGTGAATAGCATAAATTTCTATTTCAATCATTAGCATGCTAAAGTGAAACAAGCTGCAGTAGAAAAGGCCTTTGTAAAGGGAACCTAGAAAGAAGACTTTACAAACAGAATTTAAAACAGACATAAGTTCAGGACAAAATTAGTCAGAACTCAAGAAATTCTCCCCCTAGTACTCATAGTCAGCCCTAGCATTTTCTAGATAAATGTATGCATTGGTAGAATGTCTGTGATGTTTAATAACTAGACTTATCATTGGCCATTTTAACTTTATAGCTGTAACATTAATTATAGACTATGTCAATGGCCCTTTCAAATGGCTTTTATTTCTCGGTGAAAATAAAATAATAATAGAATATGGCCGGGCGCGGTGGCTCACGCCTGTAATGCCAGCACTTTGGGAGGCCAAGGCGGGTGGATCACAAGGTCAGGAGATCGAGACCATCCTGGCTAACACGGTGAAACCCCGTCTCTACTAAAAATACACAAAAATTAGCCGCGCATGGTGGTGGGCTCCTGTAGTCCCAGCTACTCGGGAGGCTGAGGCAGGAGAATGGCGTGAGCCCGGCAGGCAGAGCTTGCAGTGAGCTGAGATCGCGCCACTGCACTCCAGCCTGGGCGACAGAGCAAGACTCCGTCTCAAAAAGAAAAAAAAAAATATATATATATATATATATATGTATATATAAAATAATATGAATATTAGAATATGAATGGTATTGTGATAGTTTTCCAAAGAGAAATTATTTATACTTTCAGGGAGTCAACATTGTAGTCAATATTACATGAAAATTAAGTAGATATATGGAAAGATCAGGCTGGCGTTTGTTGGATACATTTACTATATCTTACTGCAATATGGGAGAAATTCAGTAAGTAGCAATGGATTTATTTAATCCTTTAAAAGGGATTTCTTGATATTATAAGAGTTAATATTAACTGGGACTACTCTGATTTGCCAATTTTTAATAATCCATCAATCTGACATTTACATTTTGGCTTTGTTCAAATTATGTCCAAAAAACTGCTAATAGCTAAGCAAGAAAAACATTATATATAACACAATACTGAATAAAAGAACTCTTCAAAATTATTATTATTTATATGGTGGATCTTATTCTTTACTGATCTCTGTATTGTGTAATTTCTTAAAATTGGTACTGGACCGATGTAAAAGTTATTAAATACATTGATTTTAGTCCATTGGTTTTTATATGTTTTCAAGCAAGAAGCAGACATGAAATCTATTATCTTTGAAGTAAGAATATGTATTTATGGAGTATTTCAAGTTCAATAATTATTTCTTCCCAAAATAATAGTTTCTATATTTAATATGTAAAATAATTCTTATAGAAACCTAACAATTCTGCCATATTTTGCTGCAAATTACATAAATGAAATTGTAGTTACAAGATATTAGAATGGCTGTAACCCACAAACCCTGCTGTTAAAACTAGAAAATAGAAAATTAATCTGGTACTATAAGGAGAGAAGAGAGGAGAGATAAATTACAGCCGGTGTGGCAAGAGTTGTGGGATAAATATTATCCTAATACCTATTTCAGCATCAAATAGGTATTCACTCCAGTCTGTCTATATTCATAATCTCCCTTTCTCTTTTATTCACTATTTTTTTCTTCCCCGGCATACTTTCTATTTAACTACACTGTAGAATAAAATTATTAAAAAATACTGTTTATTCCTTTTTGAAATTTCCAAAAATAGCAGTCAATTTGAAATGTTCATATTCCAATAACTACAAGAATATATAAGCCATCAACATCAAGGGAATTGTACTTGTTTCTTTCCCCTCATCTCTAATGAAGTTAAATTTTGGCCTGTCTGAGAAGAGCTGGTCTAACAGTTTTAATTGTGCAGAGATGGAATAGGCTGCCACCTGAGGTAGTAACCATCCTGTCAGAAACTGAACAAACATCTATGACAGCCAGCCTCCAAGATGGCCTCTGCTCACCACCCTCTCCTGGTTGGTATTCACACCTTTGTGTGATCTTGTCCGGAATTTCAGTAATGATATGTGACCAATAGAATATGGCAGAAGTGATAGTATGTCCCTTCCAAGATTTGGTTGTAAAAGGCACTGCATCGTATATTTTGGTCAATCTCTCTCACTCCCATGGATCACTCACTCAGGGAAGCCGGCTGCCATGTTGTGAGTGGCCCTGTGGAGAGACCTACGCAGTGAGGAAGTGAAGCCTCTTGTCAACAGCTTGTAGAAGTGGATCCTTGTGCCACAGCCTAGTTGTCAGATGACTGCAGCCCCAGCTGACAGCTTCACTGCAGCCTCATGTGCGATCCTGAGCCAGAACCACCCAACTAAACTGCTCCCACAATCCCAAACCTCAAATTGGGTGAGATAATAAATGTGTGTTGTTTTAAATTGCTAAGTTTTGGAGTAATTTTGTATGCAGCTGTAGATAAGTAATATACCATCTGACAGGAATATTTCCTTTGGGTGCAAGATGAGATTTTATGATTACTCACATATCTTCTAATTCTTGTGTTTGTTAAAACAAATGGAGGTGGGGAGAAACTTCCCATTAAGCATTTTATAACCAGACAATGTAACTGTAGAGTTTAACCAAAGTAATTTGTAGGGCAACAAAATGTTTCTGCAAGGGAAGGAGCAATAGCAAGTAATCTTTGTAGTTTCCCATTGATAGTCCATTTATCTCTGCCACAAATTAGAAGTTGTAAAGATTAGGTGCACAGGTGGGCAGGTAAGACATAGCATTAATCACAGTATTAAGACAGCAGTTGACTGTAATATTAGGCTCATTAGATAGGTAGATAGATACACACACACACACACTCATTACAGTGATAGAAACAAATATTGGTCTTCAGTCTCATCAGGATATTGTGTTTGTGATAAGCTATTGTCATAAAATGTCCCAAACCAATACACAAACCTAATAAAAAGTCAGGCAGAAGAAAAAGAAAAGGCAAATAGTTGCAAAAGAGTAAGGTAAGAGTTGTTCAACTAAGGCAGCTATCAGTGGGTGGGTGAGCACATTAGTAAACTCAGCACCTGAGATGAGTGTATGGATATCAGACTTGATCAAAATGCCAAATTTATATAAAGATTACACTTGGAGTCTTTTATTTGCTTGTAAATGTTATCTAATGAGTTACTAAAAATTATACATATAGCCCATATGCTGATTTCAAAAATCATTTTAAAAAAATCACAGACAGCTTGTTTGCCCAGAATGCAGTTGATTTTTGATCATTGTTGTCATAAGACATGGATGTATGTAATCATCTGAAATTTACCCAAATATCATTGAGCTTTTAGTTTTGACTTTCCAGCAACTGGTGCACCTGGAGAAACTTGTGCTGTCTGCTGTCTTTAGATAGAAATTTGCTGGAAGTATGAAAGAGCAATTGAAATAATTATTTTTACTTTCTTGATCTCCTCTTGTTGCCTGCTAATCAGGGAAATAAAGAAAAAAGTGAACAGACAAATAAAGAAGCAAAGGTCCTCCCCAGTCAGCTCTGAAGATACCTATGCTCTGTGCTCCCCGTTGATCTAGCGAGGCCTTCAAAAATGATTTAGCCCACTAGGAGTTCTCCAGTTCTTAGGATAAGCATTTATGCCCAAATTGCCATTATAGTGATTTTCTGTGCTCTCTAGTCTGTGGCATTGTATTTTTATCATCCAAGCAAGTGATTAGTGGAATCTATTCATGCTTTATCTGTGGCAAACTCAAATTTACATTCTTTCCCAGCTTGAGGGCTGTATAGTTGGATGGAGTGTAGAGCTACTTATAAAGGGCCTGCAAGAAGAAGTGATGGAGGTTGGTTGGCTAATGGGTAGTTTTATTCAATATAATTTATTTTGAAAAATCAGCTAAATGAAAAGTAACTCCATGGTCAAAATGATCTTTTGTGTATCCTACAAATTTCAAATTCCATTATATCACTGAGATTAATAAACACACTATAAGAGCAAAATATCTTAAGAGAGTTCCTCATACTGAACTATTCAGTGTTAATTATATTAATAGTTGGGCATGGTGGGTGATGCCTGTAATCCTAGCACTTCTGGAGTCTGAGGAGGGAGGATCGCTTGAGCCAAGGAGTTCAAGACCAGCCTGGGCAGCATAGGGAAACCCTATCTCTCCAAAAAACAAAAAAAGTAGCCAGGTATGATGGCACACACCTGTGGTCCCAGCTACTGAGAAGGCGGAGGCAGGAAGATCAGTTGAGCCGGGGAGGTCAAGGCTGCAGTGAGACATGAGTGCACCATTGCAGTGCAGCCTGAGCAACAGTGAGACACTGAAGAGAGGAGGGAAGGAAGGAAGGAAGGAAGGAAGGAAGGAAGGAAGGGAGGGAGGGAGGGAGGGAGGGAAGGGGAGGGAGGGAAGGGGAGGGAGGGAAGGAAGGAAGGAAAGAAAGCAAAAGAAGAAACAAAGAAAAAGGAAAGGAAAGGAAGGAAGGAAGGAAGGGGAGGGAAGGAAGGAAGGAAAGAAAGAAAAAGAAGAAACAAAGAAAAAGGAAAGGAAAGGAAGGAAGGAAGGAAGGGGCTGGGTGCAGTGGCTCACACCTGTAATCCCAGCACTTTGGGGGGCCGAGGCAGGAGGATCACAAGGTCAGGAGGTTGAGACCATCATGGCTAACACAGTGAAACCCGGTCTCTACTAAAAATACAAAAAAATTAGCCAGGTGTGGTGGTGGTCGCCTGCAGTCCCAGCTATTCCAGAGGCTGAGGCAGGAGAATGGCGTGAACCTGGGAGGTGAAGCTTGCAGTGAGCCGAGATCGTGCCACTGCACTCCAGCCTGGGTGACAGAGGGAGACTCCGTCAAAAAGAAAGAAAGAGAGAAAGAAGGGAGGAAGAGAGGATGGGAGGGAGGGAGGAAAGGAAGGAAGGAAGGAAGGAAGGAAGGAAAAATTACATTAATATGATTAAGATTTACCGGAAATCTGTCATTATTTGAGAGAAAGAATTTTGTCTGATGCACAGAGAAAGGAAGGGGAGCCTGAGAAGTTCTAGGTGGGTATGTTTTGGCTAGGCAGGGGAGCACTGGAAAGCAAGTGAAAAGCACAAAAGGAAATTCAAAGGTAAGATTCAAAGATTCCAATCTTCCTACCTTCCTCATGGTTTTGCCGAGGGCTGTTTCAAAGGTTGGTGCACCTGGAGAAAGCCTTGCCATCTGCTCCCTTTGGACAGCCTCAAGTTTGCCTCTGCTGGAAGTGAGCTTCCAAAATTAGTCTGGAACATTAAAAACCTCGGTTTCCATTAATTCAGCTCAAGGTCCCCAAGGACTAGCATATTTAATCTAGATTTAGCTGATTAGCCTGCATTTCGCTGTGTAATTCCCATCCTTGGCTGCTAAAATGGGAGGAAAAAAGAGCAAGTGAAAGTAACAAGTCCTGTCGGGATTTGGCTCAAGGCAGGAGTTAGAGAAGCCAGGTGGCAGACTGCCTGGGAGGAAGTGCAGAGTGGGAACCAAGGGTGAGGCAGAGGTAGAGTGTAGAGTTGAAGGTCAGTGAAGGTGAAGAATGAGTCTTATGAAGTAGTTATTGATGCAAGGGCAGGAATCTAGCTACTGACAGATCATCAAGGATTAAGAGAAAATCTTACACAATACTTACCAGAGAACAATGACATTGAACTTTGTTCCTCTGACCGGATGTGGATCTCAAAATGTGAGTTCAGTGTGGGAGCCAAGCTAGCACATACATCTGCTGGCTTAGAGGAAGAGGATGGAGATGAGAAAAGCAAATGATTGCCTTGGAATGTTTAGAGCAAATGGATGCACTTTCCACATCTTCTCTTTCCCTCTCTATTTTTAGTTCAATATACAAGGATTTCTGTGGCTCCAAGAAATCTCAACATCCTTTTCCTAAAAATACAGGAAGCTCCTGGATGGACTTTATGAATTTTCCATTTTATAATTGATTTTGCCTCACCAACCCTGGTCCTACAGAACGTAATTTAACAAAGCACATATGACTTATTTATATTTATGAGAAGTTGTGGGAAAATATCTTCATATGTGATGCTTAAAGAAATGTTGACTTCAGAAAGACTATTTGCTTTCGTTATCATAATAGTTGAGCCAATATTAACCAAATTATTTTTAATGAGTAGGGAGTCATTCATTTTGAGAGAAAATGTTTATAAATCATATCTTCTCATTCATGTAGTTTAATGTTCTGAAGTAACTGAAATCTATCTAAAAGAAAAAACACATTAAAAAAATACAAAGATGATGTACAAAGAGCACCTATTGAATTTGATGGCAACTGCCCTTCCATAGGATATGCTGAAATGAACCAGAATTGATTAATTGCACATTTATCCATTTATTTTTCTTTTAAATATTGAAGTTCTGGGCACCAATTACCAAGATAAAGTGAGGAGGAGGACATAGGCCTTGCCTTTATTCAACTTAAACATTTAATGGAAGTATTTTTCATCTAGAATTTTCTTTATCCTCTTTGGCCATATTTGGTAGTAGATCAGATTTTAGGACTATTCATAAAGTCTTTTTGTATTTCTTAAATTATGCATTTTATTTAATATTTACTTAAAAATTATTTTAAAATATCACTTCAAACAAATTTTAATAAGAATTCATTTAAATGAATGGAAGAATTTTTTAAATCTCATATATGGGCATTTTTGGTAATTAAAAGCAATACGGAAAGATACCTACTCTGTTAGTTTTCTAGTCAGTAATATTATTTTACTTTGTATTGATAGTTGCAGAACCACTCAGTATGAAAATGCGTCCTGGTATAATAATAGAAGGCAGGCCCGGTACGGTGCCTCACACCTGTAATCCCAACACTTTGAGAGGCCGAGATGGGCAGATCACGAGGTCAAGAGATTGAGACCATCCTGGCCAACATGAAGAAACCCCATCTCTACTAAAAATACAAAAATTAGCTGGACGTGGTGGCACGTGCCTGTAGTCCCAGCTACTCCGGAGGCTTGAGGCAGGAGAATCGCTTGAACACGGGAGGCAGAGATTACACTGAGCCGAAATCACACCACTGCACTCTAGCCTAGTGACAGAGTGAGACTTCGTCTCAAAAAAAAAATAATAAAATAATAATAATAATAATAGAAGGCAATATTGTGAATACTTACCATGTTACACCTCTGTTCTTAGTGCTTTACAGGGGTGATCTCATTTAATCCTCCTCTCTCAATTCTATGACATAAGTAATATTACATCCATTTTACAGATATGGAAACAGAGGCATGCTGAAATTGAGTAAATTTGCCAGGGACACATAACTAGGGATTACTGAGGGTGGTTCAAACCCAGGGAGTCTGGGTACAGAGAGTGTGCCCACTGGCACTCTGCTGTGTTGCCCACGTAGCACCTGGATGTTGCTGTGTCCCTGAGGATTTTAAAATCTATTGCTTTTCATGTCTAGACACAGGATCAGGAGTCATTTGAACAATGACCAGTTTTATTCCTATTTCCTTGCAAGTAATTAAATGCTAACAATCATTTAATTTAGTGTCATGTAGTACAAAATGCATTCATTTGTTTTATTTGTCCCGCAGTGTGGCCACTGATTCCTGACGGTGCAAGGGCACACTGTAAGGGTTCAGTGTCTTCTCCTCAGTTATTTCTGATAATATAACCCACTTAGACAGATATGCACAGCATCCCTGCATGCACACACACTGTGCACACACACACACCTACACAGGGACTGCCCGGGAATTCCTTTTACTTTCTTAATTAAGGGAATTAGATAGAAGAAGTGCTAAGTACTAGCTCACATTTTTGCAGTTTGTGTCTGGCTGTATCCTGCTTCTCTGCAGCAAAAGCTTTCTTTGAATAGCTTTGGTTTTAATTACATGTAGAACTACATGGCTATGGATGTGTCATTTAAAGATGAAAATGGATCTCCTTCACCTTTGAAATGGGGAATAAGTAGTTGAGACTATAGAATGTTAGGATTGGAAGAAATCTTAGAAAGTACCTAACGATCTAATATAGCCTCCCAATCATGAAATCATTTTTATATAGTACTCCTTGCACTATCAATGATGGTTAACATACTTTATTACCAGGTATTCTTTTCCATCTTTAGACAAATATGGTTATTAGAAAGTTGTTTCATTTTTAAATGAGTTCCTGTTCACTTTTTCTTTCCTTCTGGTATTGTCTAGCTCACTGAGCTTTACTGCTTGGCACTCAGTAGGCACTTAGTATATACATTTGTGATTAAGGAAGTTCATTTACCTTTTAGCATGAGGAACATCGAGCCCATTTCATCAGATGTCTTTTCACAGCCACTATCAGATAGAATCTCTGCTTAGCAGTTCACCAGCTACGGAAGACAGTCATACACAGATCATTTTAATTCACTATATGCTAAAAATATATATGTATAAGATGCTACAGGATTCCAGAGGAGGGGCATTGGATGGGACAGAGAGGTGGAATAGGGACGAAGGGGGGTCACAAAATGTTTTCTAGAGTAGATAAGTTTGAGCTGAGTCTTAAACATGAGGATGATTTATCCCATGAAGAAGAAAAGCAGAGGTAAAAGGGCACTTCAAGGGGAAGAATAGTAGCAAAATAGCATGGAGACACAGCAGCATATGAGGAAAATCTAAGGGGCTCCATAATGCTAGAAGATAGAGTAAAAGTGGGAGCAGAGGAGCAGGGCTAGAGGATGGGGGAAGCCAGGTCACTGGAGGCTGTGAGTGCTGCGTGTGATCACTTCATGTTTGTGAGAGCTGGGGATCAAGGCAGGCATAGAGTCCGACTTGGACGGCTACCCTGTTTTCATTAGTTCAGCTTCTTTTCAGGCACAGCAGCTATTCCC
This sequence comes from Homo sapiens, assembly GCF_000001405.40. Taxonomy (NCBI): domain Eukaryota; kingdom Metazoa; phylum Chordata; class Mammalia; order Primates; family Hominidae; genus Homo; species Homo sapiens. The sequence continues at coordinate 4,261,189 of NC_000018.10, read as the reverse complement.
TTTCTTTCTCTCTCTCCTCTGTGACATATTTTCAGTGCAAATCCCATCATGGACATACTCTGCCTTTTAGATACCAATGTACCACTTGAAATGAGGATTCAGACATTGAACCGAATATTCTAGAGGTTTCCTGACAGAATCAGGGCATGAAAAGATTCGTGTTTGTCCTTTACACACTCTCATTTCATTAACACAACTTGTTCGTGTTCACTTTTTGGTAAGCTGTGTTATGCTGTTGATTTGCATCTATAGCCAATTAAAATGCTAGATGTTTTGTGAGATGTCCTACTTTGTAGCCAAGATTTTCCAATCGTTTCTGGATGTTTTTCCATTTTGTTTAACCTATGTGTATTTGTTTGTATTATCCAGTTCACCATGTCTTATTATTAGTTCCTGATGAGATCATTAGAATGCAGATATTGTCTCTAGTATAATCACCAATTTGCCTTTTTGCTATTTACCTATTTGATAGGCATGTCTTTGGATCTTGGGACAAAGCATCATGGATATGTTTCATCCTATCCCATATAAAATATATATCTGATATTTATCGAGAAATATGGGTATTAAATAATAAAAGCAATTTAGCCATATGAGATATTCATTTATATTTAATATATCTTTCGTTATAATAAATTAAAATGGAGACTTGAAGAATCTGTGAGAAGACTAAGACAGGCCTCATAAGTCACCTTAACTTTGCTTGATTTGCAAACATAAGTGAAACTTAACTTGAGCTTTTTCTTGTAAATGCTTATATTAAAGAAAAATGAAACTTAAGGCTGATCAATGAGAAGTCACCAACTTATACTTCCGCAGGTTGGGACTTTCCAGCAGCATGGTAAGGTAACTGTATAACTGTAACCCCTCAAATATTTGCTTTGCCTCTGTGTTCATCCTATTAAAAAGCTTTGCCTTTGTGTTCCCTCAGCAGAGTCCCCAGCCCATTTCCGGTTTCGAGTTGCCTTTAACATGTCATTGTGCCTCAGTTTACCATTTAACAATTTACATAAACTGAACCACATTCTCCTAAAGAAGATAATGTTAATTTGTTTTGTTCTCATGTTAGGCAGAGGTGGAGACATTATTAAATATTTAACCATAAAATAGGTGCTTCTTGTTTTCAACTTATATGACCCTGAGTTTATACATAATATACTTGATTTTCATGGTTGTGACCTTTTAATTATATAAAATTGTTTTCATCTTCAAAGGAGGTCTGGTCCATATTATAGACTAGAATCTTTAGAAAGTAGTAGAGAATTTAATGCATAAAATAGAATAATAAAAGATAGCAGTAGACCTAACACAGAGAGATTATTCTGATGGACATTAGATGTTTTGCGTTTGGAAATGTCTACTTCGTTAATCAACTCATCCTCTCTCTAAGGGCACAATAGACCCCTTGAAATTAGCTAACTATTTTATTTTTGTTCTTTATATTATTTCTATAATTTAAATTATCTATCAAAACACATTAACCTTGCTGCTGAATATTGAGTGTTACACTATGTAATGGCATTGGTCAACCACTCAAGCCAGTGAAGCTCAAGGGGTTATTTAGATTTCTTAGCAATCTGGTTTATCTCTAGAGATCACATTGCCCTTCATTCAGAGTGATGCAGACCCAGAAACTAAGCCTCGCCACTACAACTGCTGAATATGTAATCTCAGTAAAAATTTCAGATCACAATCTTCTGTCTACCATTTGCCAGGAGGAAAGTTGACTGTGTGAATTAATGAATAATTTATCTGTGCCTTCTCTACCTCAGAGTATCCAATCTGTGTATGAGTTAGGCACAAGTCTAATTCACTGTCTTCTAAATGACTTTTTGAGGAGTTATTTCAAATGAAAACAGTGAAGTATTACATCTTTCAGTTTGTTCCACATTCCATCCCACACACCCTAGGCTCCTCTTACTGACACCGGGGCTTTCTCAGATTCCCTTTCTTCTCTTCCCTCCATTTTCACCTCCGCTGTCTCTAGATCTGACCTAACCACCTATCGCAGTGGTTCCCCACCTGTTAACTACGTACTATCTGGAGGGTGAATGATTGCTAGGAGTGCTTCAATCCATTTATGTACCAGGCACGGTTAAAACAAAAATCACGGATGTCCTGCACGTATGTACAACGAATATATTCAAATATATCTAGGTGCTTTGGGGACTAATAAAATATAAAATAATGTAAAAGCATTGCAGAATTTGCTTGGCAGTATTCCTAACTGATCTATAAGGTCCACATTCTATGAGATTTGCATTAGGAGTGTAGGAAGATGAAGGGTTGGAAGGAGTCTCTGCTTGGTTCCTATTGTTCCACAAGATTTAAGATCATGCAGGGCTTTTGTTCATGACCAAAGAGTAGGAAAAGGCAAAGTTTCAGAAACTTAGTACTTTCATCTCCTTTATTTTGCTGATCATTTCTATTTGAGTAAATGCACTACAATAAGGAGCAGTATTGCCGTAATGAACGATGATCAGTTAAGAAACTATTGAAATGAAATCAATTAAATGTTATTAATTTTATCCAACTCACAACATAATTTAGTTGCCATGTGTAATATTTTAATATTATATATTTTTTCACTTTTCCCACTTTGGTGTTTATATTTTTCTTTGTGTAGGAAAATGTTCACAATTATATCATGCTTTTTTTTTGTATTTTTCACATAAGCACGTATGTAAAAGTGATGCTTGATAAGTCTTACTGGCTGTAAGGGAAATGGGATATAAAACAAAACGTGACTCCCGATCAAAACATTTTGTCCTTCAAAAATGGAAACTTTAGGAATGGGCATTCATCAAGAGGTGGTGTTGACGGCTATGTTGAAAACAGGCATCCTGGGCTGGGTGTGGTGGCTCAAGCCTGTTATCTCAGCACTTTGGGAGGCCCAGGCAGGACAAACAGTTGATCCTAGGAATTCGAGACCAGCCTGAGCAACACAACGAGACCTCATCCTTGTCTCTACCAAAAAATTTAAAAATTAGCCAGGCGTAGTGGCGCACGACTGTAGTCTTAGCTAGTAGGGAAGCTGAGGCAGGAGGATCACTTGAGTCCAGGAGCTGTGATCGTGCCACTGCACTCCAGCCTGGGTGAGTCCCATGCTTATCCAAGCTAAATAAATAAAGTTACTTTTTGCTGACAGAATTCAACATAGGTTATACGCGCGCGCGCGCACACACACACACACACACACACACACACACACACACATATGTATAACTCTTGTTGTAATCCATAACGATTGCTAGAAAATGAACTGGGCCGGGCGGAGTAGCTCACGCCTGTAATCCCAGCACTTTGGGAAGCCGAGGCAGATGGATCACTTGAGGTCAGGAGTTTGAGACCAGCCTGGCCAACATAGTGAAACCTGGTCTCTACTAAAAATACAGAAATTAGCCAGGCATAGTGGCATGCATCTATAGTCTCAGCTACTCGGGAGGCTGAGGCAGGAGAATTGCTTGAACCTGGGAGGTGGAGGTTGCAGTGAGCCAAGATCGTGCCACTGCACTCCAGCCTGGGCGACAGAGCGACACTCCATCTCAAAAAAAAAAAAGAAAGGAAAAGAAAAAGAAAAAAATGAATTTGTTAAAAGAGCTTTAGGTCTTCAACCAGAGTTTATAAAAATTCTAGGAGATCATTGAGGGATGTAAATGATATAATGTATAACTTTCTGTGATGAATAAGTTTTTAAAATAAGTTTTTGTTACAATCTAAATATTTTAACAATTTCCTTATTTAACCCTATTTAGCCAGATACTGCCAAGTGGAGTAACATATACATTCACTGTATATTATAAATTCCAAATTGTAGATTTAACCGGGTAACCAGTTGACATCAGACTCTATTTTCCCTTCTGAACTATAAGACTTCACTAAGTGCCCTCCTCCAGCCTCTAAATTTTACCATGTTGATGCTTTAGGCATCCCACATGCCATTTGGACATTTCACTCAATATTTCTCTCACTTCCTTATTATAGATCACAATAGCTTTCTGCTTACCCTGGCAATTCTGTAGCCTACACTTTCAAGGAATTATTAGTGGTTTACACAATTATCAGTGTAAACATAACTAACCATAACTATCTCCCTTACTCTGCTTTCTGTAGGCTTCTTCTTCCTTTCTACTGTGAGTACACGTGCTAACATTCACATCCTGGGCAGTGTGTCACTCTGCTGTTCGTCTCAGCCAGAATCTATGCCAGAGTCACACTGTGTGAGTGTTGACAGTGCTGTTCACACGTGCTCTGTGCTGGGGAAGAACCCAGCAGTTATGGTCCTTCTCCTCCTTTCCAGCTGTCTTCGCCCTTCTTCTTGGTAATGTCACATTTCCTGTACCCTCAGGCTATCGAGGAAGCCTGGCATTAAAAAGCAAAAAGAGTGAAACCGTCTTTATAGCACATTATGCTTTTCAAGGAAAATGCATTCCCAGTGATTTATACAGTTTCACTACTGAAAGTTCTCTCAGGAGAGAGTAAAAGCTAGCATATTAGTATAATCTGAAATATTTTATCAAAGATTATATTATTAAAAAAAACTCATGTAACAAGAAAATGAAAACTTCAGCACGTATGTATGATTTTCCCCAGAAGGACCTTGAGTTGAGTACATTTTAATATATACACATGCACACATACCCACATATTTCCCCCTAAGGAATCTAAGTTGAGTAAGTCTGAGTAAATTTTACAAAACACAGTGGAGTAAAAGAAATTCTGTTTAAGTAGGAGAACTTATATACGGAGGTATGATTTTTGTTTTATTTTATGTATTTATTTATTTATTATAGAGGGGATCTCACTGTGTCACCCAGGCTGGAATGCAGTAATGCAGTCATAGTTCACTGTAACCTCGACCTCCTGGGCTCAAGCAATACTTCCACCTAAGCCTCTTGAGTAGCTGGGAACACAGGCGTGAGCCACCATGCCCAGCTAATGTTTTGTTTGTTTGTGTGTGTGTTTGTTGTAGAGATGGCATCTCATTTTGTTGCCCAAGCTGATCTCAGAAGAAGTATGATTTCTATTATATAGTATTGCTTTTGATTCACTGTGGCCCCAGGACTGGCCAGAAGAGCAGGGCATCAGAATGATTTGCTTATAGTAATGTGGAGAGTCAGTGGTTCAGCTTGAATTAGCATCTACATCCTTATTAGCTGCCTTGAGTTGTCAGAGCCCTCTGTGCTTCCCTTCAGTCCTTGTTCTTACACATAAGTATTAAAAGAAACTTGGTTAGGGTGGTAAAATCGGACCTTTCATTCTCTCACTAAAGAAACCAAATAATGATTGATATTGAATTTCCTTAGGATTTGTTGAAATTTTCTAGATAAAATATCTCTAATATTTTATGTTAAAAATAGCTTTTTTATATGTTTTCTCTTTCAAAAGTTAAAAAACATTAAATTTATATTTAGTTTATTTGGGGAAAAGTATAGTTTTTATCATTTCACTTAGAGGTTTAGGTAGTAACAACTCCTGGCTTCAGTGTTAGACCTGACATATGTGGAGATGATTTCTAAGCAATAGCCCAGATTTCAGGATAGATGGAACTGTGCAGAAAGATGCGGGGTTTCATTGGTGGTGCTCTTTTCCCCATGCTTAAAATTGGCACTTTACTGAATAGGGAAAATAGTGGTCACTAATGACTACAGTTGGAAAGAAAATTGTATATATATATATTTTTTTTTTCATCTGTATATAAATATATATATATATGTATATCTCTCTTTTGGCTGTATATACATAGAGTTGCAAAGAGAGAGAGTAACATAGAGAGAGAGTCAGTTTAAAAGAAAGTCGAAACAAAAGGAGAGAAGAAAAATACAGTTTACTTGGGGAAAAGATGGACAGCAATATTCTGTTGAATAAACACAAGAATTAAGAGCTCAGAAATCTGCCACTTAGGACTAATGAAAATGAGTTTTCATATTCATTTGGCAGCTTCCTTGTTTCCACCTCTGCTTCTCAAGTAGTTCAGTAAGTCATGGCAGAAGGCAATCTAAAGGATAGATGAACTTGACTGTGCGCTCTTTTCCATAATGCATCAAGTCTAAATCTCTGTGCAGAGGTTTTAATCGGGCGTACGTAAAACTAATTCCTGCCTTATTTCCTGCTGTGCCCCAGCACTCGGCTCTGCTTTGCCCAGGCTGGTTTCCTCACTAGTCCATCATGCTAATTCTGTGCATTCCTTTATGCTTTCTCCCTTGGCCTCTTCAAGGCTCAGCGTGTCTTCCTAGATTACGTTCCATTGAACTCCATTCTGTTGCATACAGTTTAGCACCTTACTACAGACTGTCTTGATTCATGTTTTTGTATGTCAGTATTTCCTCTGCAAGGAAGCTACTTCAGGTCCTGTCTTATTCATTCGTGTTTCTACAGCTGTCAAAGAATCAAAGGGAACTCCAAAGCTTTTCTTGATTCATTGTGTGTTTCTCTGAGAATTAGGAAGTAGAGTCATATGGGAAGGAAATGTGTTCACTTTAGTCTCTTTCCAATTTTCATAAACCAGAACACAAAAACATGCATATTTCTTGCTTCCTGACCTTAGAATTTGGTCTCAATGTCTGTCCTCTGGATAATATGAGATGATATGGTTCTGAGCATTATTTTAGATTTTGGGTAGTGCTCCCAAATGCAGGACAAATATACCTGGAGATAAAAGTGATGTTTTGGAGAAGTCCTGATTGAGTTTAATAAGACCTAGATATTCGACCTGACTCAATTAAGAACAACCGGCTATCTCAGAATTAACATTTTGAGTGATAAAGCTTCTGCTTACAAGCCGAATAACCATCAGCATGATACTTACTTTCTTTGGGCATAACTGTCCTTACCTTTAAGTCAGATTGGACCGGTTGGTCCATCTCTAATCAACCTTTCAGTTCCCAAGTTTCAGTTTCCATTTAATTGTTAAAAATTAGGATCATCAACAGAAGCAGCTCTCTATACAAAATAGGATACCTGTATATCATGGCACTTGGAGGGGACAATCACTTCGAGAAATCAGGATTCCAAATTCGTAAGAGGAAGGTACCTTCTGTGAAACTTGTGCCGTGGATGAGTCTTGTTCTTACTCCTATTGACAATCCCTGCCTGACATAGTACAATGTGGGAGAATAAAAACGTGCTGATCTTCAAAGTTATTGTGCATCATGGGTTATGTGGAAGGGGTGGAAACACTTCACTGAAGCATGAAAATTTCAGAAAGGAATGGGGAAAGTAAGGGACTGACATGAAGGTGGCAGTCTCAGGCTGCCAAACCTGAGAACTGAAGCGAGTAGAAACAACATACAAAGTACAAATATAAATCAGGGAATCACTGGAATTTAGTTGAATTCCAGTGGAATTGAGTCTCGTCTCTTGCAAAATCTACCAGGGATTGGGTAAGTATTTATGTTTTTCTGTTCCAAAACTATTTGTATCTAGAGCCTTAATTGTGATCGCCATGGATAAAAGGGTAGTGTCTTGATAATAATAGTTCTGCCAGGCACAGTGACTCACGCCTATAATCCCAGCACTTTGGGAGGATGAGGCAGGTGAATCACTTGAGGCCAGGAGTTCAAGAACAGCCTGGGCAACATGGTGAAACCCTGGCTCTACTAAAGATATAAAAATTAGCTGTCATGGTGGTGTGCATCTGTAATCCCAGCTACTTGGGAGGCTGAGGCATGAAAATCATTTGAACCTAGGAAGTGAAGGTTGCAGTGAGCAGAGATTGTGCCACTGCACTCCAGCCTGGGTGACAGAGTGAGACTCTGCCTCAAAACATATATAAAATAAATAAAATAAGATAGTTCTAAGAAATATCTCTGTTGTGTTTACTATGTTCAAATATTTCAGAATATTATTTTCCTTTTCTCACTGAAACTTATCTTTTGGGTAAATCATAACCCCACTGCTTATTCTTTTGTAATTCTTCATTGTATCTAACACAGCATCCTGCAAGGGGTTAGTTAGGGCTGGATGAATGGAGTTGATTGGCCATAAAATCCTACTGCGTAATGCATTAGTGTGTTTCTTAGGATTCTTTCCTTTATGTGACTTTACTGAGGGAGTGAATGATTCTTTGCTACTTCCCCAGAAGCAGAGAGAGTTGGTGAGTATGCTGATATACAGCTACGTAACACCGCATACTGCAGCAATTGCCTGTGTTTGTCTTCTCCCAGGGATTCCAAATGCCAGCTACTGGCCCTGGGCCTGTAGATAAAAATCTTTAGCTGATATGGTACTTTAAATTGGAAGATCAATCTCCAAGTGCCTTGAAAGCATTCAGCTTCAAAAATTCATGAAAGTAAGAAGAATATGACTTTGTTTAAGAGAAAAGGTAGCTCATGATTGGCGCTACAGCCATTGTGATGTGTGAATTGGTTTCTGATGTTCAGCTCTGTGGCGATAAATAATCTGACATCTGGGGCAATGTTCTCTTGTCTCATAATCAGCAAATGTTTTATCTTCAATGGCTGCATTTGAATTCTGCAAAAATTATTACGGTCGAAATTGAAGGGAAACCTAACAGTTTTGTTTTGTTTTGAATATTTGGCTTTCGTTTCTTTAGCTACTAGTTTAAAGGGAAAGTTCAACTGTTTTGTAAGCCATTTGCTGTAAGAGAGTCATGACTGCTGTTTTGTGCAAAGCAAAGGAGTCTAAAGCATAATACTGCATAGAAACACTGCTTTTTTCTTTTCTGACTCTCTCAATGTAAGTATGCACAAACTTTCTTTCCAATTTATGCAGTGAAGCTGTTGCCTACCTCAACTTCAAATACTTTTCTCAGTTCCCCCATCAATACTTAAAGAGGTTGTTGTTAATTTCTGAAAAATATCCCTTCCCCCAAATTGCTCATGTATCAGGCTACTATTTACAGTAATCTAAGTGAATAGATATCATTCACACTCTCACAACCTCAGAATTACAAAAATGAGGCAAAAGAGAAATGAGACTAGCCCAAAATTCCATAGAATACCTTCCTTCCTAGTCACAGTAGAATAAAACTCTCCTGATTTGCAGACCGAAGCCTCCCTCCATGAAGGTGTTGCCTCTCCTGTGACCCAAGCCACCGGGCCAACTCCCTGAAGGTCATTCAAGGCTTGAGATGACTCATTCCAACTCCACTTGGGGCCACACTCTTTTTGGTGGCAGGTGCCTGGGCACTTATTAAGCTGTTTAGTCCAGAACTCTGTTGACTCCTTTCCAGAGCTCACGGAGAGCCAGACTGGTGCCTGGAACAGAGCAAATGCTCAATCCCTGGGTGTTACCTCCCCATCCCAACAACACTGCCAAAAATAAATGTTAGGGCTTGGGAAGGAGAGCCATATAAATGATGAATGGCTTAGAAATAGATAAAGAAGTTCAGGTCGTCTTAGAGACATGTAAGCTGAAAATGATACCAATATTCTTCCTCCTGCAGGGGTAGCACAGTTGTGCGTTCATGATTCCCTCTTGAGGCTCACTATAGAGTGGGAGTCAGGAACCACCCCCTGCTTCTTTAGACAAACTCAGCTTCCACTGTTTTTTAATAGTGGCTGTTACATACAATTGTATTTGTACCAGGGATTGTAATCCTATTTTACAAAGAAAAAAGTTTGTGATACACATACTCTATTTTCACTGGATTTTATATGAGATAAACTGTCATGGGCATCTGCTTATTCATCTGTCAAATGAGACATTGAATTTTTTTACTCTGAGCAAACTGCATAACTCTCCAAGGAGATTGTTGTACGTGGGTTGTCTCTGACATTGGTTACTAGAGACAGGCATCAGGGTGAGAAGTTAGGACTCCTGTGGTCCAACCTTGCCTGCCCGCAACTCACTGACCTCCTCTGACCCTGGTGCTTCCATCTGTAAAGTCAAGTTCTTGGACTAAATGAGCTCTGACAGACCTTCCAGCTTTAAAAGTTATATAATCTCAAGTCTGGAAAACTTTCTTAAGAGAAAAGCAATTTATAAGATTTATGTCTAAGAGGATTTTAAGGAGAAAGATAACACCCATCTGTCTTTCTCTCTGTCTATCTATCTCTCCCTCTCTCAAATGCATGTGAGAGTATTTTTCTGAAGGCCAGGAGGATTTAAAGACCCTTTCTTTAAAGACTCTGTCACTTCTGTGTTTCTAGGGTTTTCAATTCTCTAATACTCCAGTTTAACGCTGTTTCCTGGGGCATTATAGATTTCACTTGTGTAAATTCTTCTTGTGTTTTTGTGATCTCTTTCAACCAGAAATGAGTTTTGTTTCTTTATTTTTGTGGCTGTTTTTTGTGGGGTTTTTTTTTAATTGAATATAGTAGCTGACTTAAGTTACATGGTTATATTCTTCCTAAATTCATACTTTAGGGTTTTATTTTCTTTTTTCAGCTTCATGTAGGTCTGCTTTTGAATAAGTCATTGAAGCAATTGAATGACATTTTTGAAATCTTGTTTTATAAGTTCACTTCCACACACTAGAGTCTATTAAATGGAAGGGACATATTTTCACTCCATAGTGGAAAGTTAATGCATAGAACAGGTACCAAGACTCAGCTTTTCTCCATGTTTGAAATCAAGATGCTTTGGTTCTTTTTAGCAAAAATCTTGCTAAAGTATGAGGTGACAGGCATGAGAAGGTACAATGCCACTAAATATGAACCACATTACAAAAACAAATGTTCCTGAGCTGGAAATAAAAATTAGCTCCTCAGGAACTTAATGAAACACGAGGTATAAAATGGTAGCAAAATAATCTTTAATAGTGATCTTCAAAATTGTTGGCATCAGGACTTTCTCAGGTACAGAGGAACAGTGTGACACAGCAGCTGATGACATTATTTTTCGTTCCTGTTAACTACTCAAGGAGGTGACAGCTGTGAGTGTTGTACCTAATAGCAGAAGTGAGCTCACCTCAAATTATAAATACCAAGGGTAATGTAGTGATAACTTCTCTCACCTAAATATTTTGCCCTCTTGGTTAATAAGGCCTTCTGTTTCACCTGAGAGATCATTTCTTTTTTGAAATTGCTGTTGTGAGCCCAAGGAAGAGAAAGTATCTTGGAGCAGAAGAGAAAAAAGCAGTCTCCCCAAACATCTATAAGCCCTGCCCTGCCCTGCCTCCAACAAACTTCCAGCATCTGCTGAACTCCGAAGTGCGATTTGCTTAGTGGGATCTAAACCCTTTGCTCTATAAAGAGGAACAGAGGTAGTTACCTACCCAAAGATGCATGGCTGAAGGATATGAGCTTAAAGGCTATCAGACATAACTGTGGACAGTGGAATAGGACAGAGAGAGAAGAGTTTATAAATATATGGATATGGAGAAATTGAAACTTACATGGTCACGCTTGGTGGCTCACGCCCATAATCCCAGCACTTTGGCAGGCTGAGACGTGAGGATCACTTAAGCCCAGGAGTTTGAGACCAGCCTGGGGAGCATAGTGAGACCCCCGTCTCTACAGAAAGCAAAATAATTAGCCAGTAATGGTAACACATGCCTATAGTCCCAGCTGCTGGGAAGGCTGAGGTGAGACGATTGCTTGAACCGTGGAGATAGAGGCTACAGTGAGCTATGATTGCACCACTGCACACCAGCCTAGGCAATTGAGTGAGACCCTGTCTCAAAAGAAAAAAATAAATAAACTTGAGAAACAAATGCAGAAATCCATCATTACTGAACGGTTACTGTACTTCTATAGAGTAAAAGTGTTGCCTGACTCATTTGGGTAAGCATATCTAATATGCATAGCCAATATTCACTTTTTTTTTTTTTTTTTTTTTGCCAGAACATTCAACCATGTCAGGCCATTAACTTGCTGGGATCCTTAGTACTCTCGTGTAGCCAGGTGCACTCTTGCTCTTTTTCACATCTAGTCTCTTTATTTTAAAAAACAAAATTCCATACATCCTTCATTCATGTATTAATTCAGGAGCTCTACACTGAGCATTTTACTTTGTGCCCGGCAGTGTTCTCTGCATTGGAAATGAAGCATGAGCAAAAGAGGCTGAAATTTGTCCTCATGTAGTTCACATCTGGAGGGAGTATACAGCAATGAACAAAATAAGTGATTACAACATATAAGGCATAAGATATGGTGAGGAGTACAATGGAGAGAAATAGAGCAGGGAAAGGGAGGGGAGTGCCTCGGGATTTTCAATAGGGGAGTGAAGGGTACAGCCTCGCTGAGCAAGGCATATTTGCATAGAGACATAAATAGATGCACAAGTGCCCTATGTGGGTATCTGAGCATTCCAGGCAAAGGCAGCACATACATGGGCGGGAGGCCGGAGGGTGCCTGACCAATTCAAGGCACTGCATGTGAACCAGTGCCCTGAAGCAGTGGGAGTGATGGACAAGGATGTGGCCGGCGGGGTATGAAGGTCAGGCAGGGACTCAATGATGACTTAGGCCTTACTCTGAGGAACAAAGGAAGCCATTCGGTAGGTTTTTAAGAAAGGAGTAACGTGATTCGACTGACTTTTTAACAGGATTGCTCTGCTGCTGTGCTGAGAATAGTCTGAGAGGGAGAGATTGGAAGGTCGTTTTTAAGCTTGAGAATGGTAATAGACATCCAGGTGGAGATGACTAGGCGGCAGATGAGTCTGGAGTTCAGGGCAGCTCTCCATCGATATTTCTAGCTCGCTTTGTCTACAGTCATGGTAAGTCCACGTGTCTAAATGTCTCCCCTTTCCCCCCTTGAGTAATTGAACAGATTCGGCAGTCTCTATAAGAAAATGTTAAAACAGGCAGTTAGGCAGTTAGTTAAAGTAGAGAGCCATTTGTGAGCCTGATTTGCTGGAAAATAATAAAGAAGAAAAGAAAGCTGTACATCAGGATAAGAGAAATCCTCATGCAGTAAAGTCTTCAAAAATGTTACAGACTCCAACGAGTCAATATCCTGAAGGAACTGAAAGTATGGTTCGGGCTCCTGCTCTGTTCTTCATTTCGCCGTGAAGGTTATTGTTAATTATTTCCTTTGAGCTTTAAAGTCAGCATTCATGCTTGTTTCCTCATTATTTTCCCACTAAGCTAATTAATGCAGTTGCACAGGAACCCCAAGATAGGCTTTTGGAGAGGCAGCAAGGGTTTGCAGTGAAGACCCGAGTGAAGGCCCAGGGAACTCAAGTGCCAAGTCTAACGCTACCATTTGGGGGTGACTTTGACCAAAATCACGATATTTTTTTCATCTCTCGCACCAAATGCCATATTAATACTCCCAAAATTAAAATGGTTTTGCTTTGTCACTGGCATATTGAATTTTAGATCCCAGTATATCCTGAGTTCTCAGATAGTGGGAATTTGAAGATCAAATAGAAATAAGAGTGAAAACCTAGGTTAAATCCCAAGGGCCATGATTTAGTGACCTTCCAAAAGACATTTAATCCTCTTGACTGCAATATCGTTACATCCCAAACCTTGCTGTGAAAAATATATGGGATAACTTTTTTTTTAAGATGGAGTCTTGCTCTGTCACCCGGGCTGGAGTGCAGTGGTGCGATATGGGCTCACTGCAACCTCCATCTCCCAGGTTTAAGTGATTCTCCTGCCTCAGCCTCTGGAGTAGCTGGGATTACAGGCGCCTGCCACCACGCCTGGCTAATTTTTTGTATTTTTAGTAGAGACGGGGTTTTGCCATGTTGGGCAGACTGGTCTCAAACTCCTGACCTCAGGTGATCCGCTCGGCTCGGCCTCCGAAAGTGCTGGGATTACAGGTGTGAGCCACTGCACCCGGCCTGGGATAACATTTTTAAGGACACTTTTCACAGGGAAGAGGCATAGAAATAAGGCAGTATATTGTAGCTATGAAAACCACGGAAGCTGAAGCCAAGGCCGCATGGGTTCGAATTCTGGTTCTCTTCCTTACTAGCCAGGTGAACTCAGCCAAGTATCTTAACCTTGTATGCTTCAACTTCCTCATCTGAAAAATGGGAATAAGAGTATAATGTCTAATATAGCTGGTGGTTCTAAAGATTAAATGACTTAATACGTGAAAAATACTTACATCAGTGTGAAACACATGGATGCACTCAGTAATGATTTATAATAAATATTACTATTACTGCTAGTAATATAGTAATACTATTGTTACTGCCATTTTCCTCTTTCTCTTCCTCATCCTTCTCCTCCTCCTTCCCTTCCTTCTCCTCCTTGTCCTATTACAACTACTACTACTCCTCCAATTCAGGTGAAATTCCAAACATAACCGAAGCATTTTAGACACTAGCAGAATTCTAAGCCATTATCATTGAATAAAATAAGAGAGCTTATCTCTCATGGGGCTTTACAATCTTGAAACAAGATATGATGATGAAAGAATTGGTATCTTATTCCCATTCTCTCTCGCTTTTTCTTTTCTTTTTCTGAAGGAAGAAATAAAGGTAAAATGAGCTAACAAATGTCACAACAAATTGAAAAGAAACCAACAACTAACTGACTTGAGTGCTTCTTGGACAACCCTTCTTGCTTTTCTTCAACGTTTTTTGCCATTCTTCCTTTGTCCAGTGGTGAATTAACAGAACCTTGTTTTCTGTTCTAAGCAATTACCCTCGAGACGGAAGTCCTGATAAACAAGAAAGAGATGCTGGGGATAGAGGGTGGGTGTGTGGGGAGACACAGAAAGCACCCCTGACCTTTCACCCTGGGGTTTGACACTGTGCGTCCCCAGGCCAGCACTGGCCCTTGGGAGGATAACTGACTCCTCACTGCAATGAGAGGTTGTGACCAATTCTGTTCCCTGCTGAGTTCTCTGCACCCCAGAAGTTAGAGTTTCAAAGGTGTGACCATATCCCAGATTGATGCTAACAATACAGTTAGTGTGCACTTTTATGTTACTGGAAAATCATCCATTTTCACCCAGAACTGTTATACATAAATGCTTTGTCCTAGAAATTCTAAATAAAATTTGTTTGGCCTTCCTGAAATATCATCTGCCATGGCTATTTTTTTTCCTTTTTTTTATCAAATCAGGAAGTGAAAAATATCAGTTAGAAAATTTCCTCAGCATCTATGTTAAGAACTTCATAAAACCTAATTACATTTTACCACATTTTATAATTCTGTCATGCTGCTCCTACTGGGGGATATCATACATGCAGCCCCCAAATAGCCCCAAGATACACACACATACTTTAATAGGAATAAACACACACACTCTTCAGTGATAATAAGATGAAGACGTATAGGGAAGGTTTGTTTCCCATCAGCAAGTGGTACTGAAACACTTGCAGGTTTTCAGTGGTAACGTTTGAATATATATTTAAGGGATTTATTATGAAAAGCTTCTCCCATTCCATGAGGATGACTTGGAGACTTGCACAGGCAAAACAGATGAGTCGGGGCCCTGTCCCCAAGATGAGTCGGGGCCCTGTCCCCAAGCCCTTGGCTTTGTTTTCAGCTTGTAGGTGTGATCATATTAGGTGAATAAAAGAGTATCTTTGCATTTCATTGATATAAATGCTCCCAGCCTCTCTAGAAATAGCAGAAAAATCAAATCTTACTTGAAAAAGAAGCCTAATGCTTCTTGGCAAAGCGATACCACCCAAGCGGATTCTGATGATACATCATTATTTCCTGCTGTAAGGTCAACGAATTGCTCTGGGACTCTGTGTTATCTCTGTGCTGCTGTAGTCTGGAACTTGCTGCTCATTTGAAAGTCTAGGGCTATTGCTTATAAAAAATAATAGCTTTGCTAAGATTAATACTTTTGAGGGATTGGAATGTTTGTTTTGTTTCATTTAAAAAACAGAGCAATAGAGCTGCTAAAACAGCAAGCTTTGTCTTTTTTCTGAAATCCCTTACTTCACTAAAGAAATGTGCAGGAAAATCTCTTTGTAACATAAGCTCCCAAAAAAGTACATATGTCTTTTGCAGATTTTATGTCACAATTGTAACTTATCACAATATATGTTTTCATAATGCTGATGAAAGAAAAGTTGTGCACAAAATATTGAAACATCAGTAGCAATTAATATGAAAATATTCGGATTTTACAGAATACTATTATACTGATAATACCCCTCATGAATTGAATGTCAAGTACCGAGCACTTTCCTAAGCAAATGTACAAGCTTATACACTTTG
This sequence comes from Homo sapiens, assembly GCF_000001405.40. Lineage (NCBI taxonomy): Eukaryota > Metazoa > Chordata > Mammalia > Primates > Hominidae > Homo > Homo sapiens. The sequence continues at coordinate 4,245,147 of NC_000018.10, read as the reverse complement.
AATATTGGAGCAATGTTCTGAGTTATACCAGTAGCAGCTAACAACGTAGCAGACCACAGCTATCACAATTGCTAAGTTGAACAATGTGAAATTGCTAATATAAGATCACTTTTAACCTATAAAATGGCAATTTCCTGTGATTTAATCTTGCTATATTTATAACAAGAATAAGGGAGAACTGTTTATAGAATCTTACAAACTCTTCAGAAAATGTACTAATAGACACTTGCTGCATTGTGAGAAAAGTTCTAATATGATAGGCTATTCTAAGTACTTGGCTAAGAACCATTTCGTTACACTGGATGATAGCGGATATCACTGAGATGCATACAGTTTGGATTTGTGTTATGCCCCGGCACCTATGAACTAAAAGCAATTCCATCCTATATCCATTAGCCTTTTAATATCCTTGTGATGTTGATGGTGACATAATCCTACCTATTTTATGGCTGAAGAAAATGACACACAGATCATGTAACTGATCCATTGTCTCTTAAATATTTGGGCTCGGGAGGGGAACAACCTTTGATATAGAATCAACGAAGAATGACCAGCAGTATTTATTTTATTTTCATTGCCATTTCCCCCATCACTGATTTGGCAACTCATAGTTCTCATTACTCTGTTGCAACTAACGCAGTATTTACTCCAAAAGATATACCGCATGAATTTCTATAAGAGTAAATAGGTGAATTGTGTAAATTAGGTAGTTTTTTTAATTTTCAAGAGTGAATTTAATATATTATGGTACTATCAGAAATCTAGAAACATCTCAAAAAGTCTAGAAATTAAAAGATGTTATTAAATATTAAATGTAATTTTTGGTAAATGGAAAGCTAAAGTCATTTGTTAAATTCTTAACAAATTCACAGTAATCTGATCTGTGTGTGGTTGTCTTAAGCATCTTCCCCTCCTACGTAGGACTTGAAGGGGGAAGGTGACCGTTGTTAGTCCAGATTTCCTACTGACACTCTTATCCAGGAAAATATATTTCAAATTATTATCTTGATAGAATGGACTATGTATTAGATAAGAGATATTTTTGATGGACTTGTGATTATGTGGGATATATGAGTTCTTAAGATATGCACAATGTCTACAACTTCAGATGGTACAGAAAAAAAAAGAGCAAGAAAGCAAAATAATAATCGATGAAGTTACACCATGGGCACCCAGGTGTTCGTGGCATTACTATTAATTTTTCTGAAGGTCTGAACAATTTGAATTTTCAAAGGTAGGGATAAAATGTTCCAAAATATAGCTACCTTAATTTTTAAATGCCATTTTGACATTGTATACCTTTCAGCCACAGTGTAGGGTAAAAAAAAGATAAGCGGGTTTCATTTTTTTCCAAAAATCAGAACTACACACCTGACTGAAACATCCCACTTTCCTTATTTCAAAATTAGTAAACATTTCTGATGCCAAGGAGATATCCCAAAATGATAATATTTATCACTGAAGTAAGTGCTCTTAGAAAGAAACATCATGGGACATGAGGATATCACGGAAGATCACGTTGCTGTGACATTGTTTTGTTTTGTATTCAAATTTGTCTGTGTCATCATGAGTTAGTTACTGAAATCTCTAACACATGTACTATAAAGTGGCCTCAAAATAACTTGTTATATGATGAGATCATTGATGAAGAATACTTCTTGCCAAGGGGATGAGTTCTCTTCTCATAAAGCCCCAGAAATGCAGAGCCTTGGGAGGATCTGGCAGGAAGTCCACAAAAGCAAAACTGAGGACAAGGCTGTCCTCAGACTGTGCCCATCCGTGGTCAGTCCACCTCCAAATGCCTTAGAGATTATAGCAATCAGACTTATGAGTTTTGTTTCGGTTACGTAAGGAGTACTTGTTATATTCCAGGCACTGTACTCCGCAGAGGCACTTTTTAACCGAAAAGAACTATTAAGGAACTATTATTGCATTGATTTTACAGATGGGGAAATTAGAAATTAGAAAGATTTTAAATAATGTGTTCCAAGAAACTGGTGTTTTAGGTGTCCAAGAATGATTCTACTAAACACTACAGCACAAGGCACAAGCCTCACAACACACCATCTAAGAGCGGTGAGAGGGCAGGTGAGTCAACTGAGCACTCTCCCCTTTCTTTCTGACACTTTCTCACCAAACCAGTGTGATGAGGGCCACTGAGGACTGCTCCATGGCCACTTTGTGTCAGTGCATCTCTAGCCCTCATAGTGAGTACTCTTTGGGTGACCTAGCCCTCATCGTGGGTACTACATGTGTGACCTAGCCCTCATCATGGGTATTACATGTGTAATTGCCCTCATTGTGAGTTACTATGTGTGTGATCTAGCCCTCACATGGGTACTACATGCATGATCTCACCTTTATGTGTACTGCATTTGTAATCTAGCCCTCATCATGGGTATTACATGCATGATCTAGCCCTCACAGGTATGCTACATGTGTGATCTAGCCCTCAGGTGGGTATTACCCATGCGATCACAGGCCCACCAGGTATCGGGTTCCTAGTGCCACTGCCTGCCCTTCCCGCTTTCTTCCTCCCAGGTGTGCAAATGTTTCTGAAAAGAATTTTTGAATGAGCATGCAAGGTCCCTTTGTTCTGCCACTTCCCAAAGAAAGTTCTGACTCTTTTTTTGAAGTGGAAAGTTTTTCCTAAGTTTGCATTTCCAAGAGCAGATTTACCCCAAATCCTCCTTAATGCCTGGCTGCTTGTGTTCTCCTTCATTTCAGATCCATGTGCCAGAATTCTGGGCGGACTTTCTAGCACCCACTGGAGCAGTCAGCTGCGAGAGCTGATTGTGTCCTTGAAAAGGTGATCCAAGAACAAAATTAATTCCAGTGGATTAAAAAAAGAATGCATAAAATATTTCAAGATGAATCTTGATAGGTTCGTCATATGGAGAATAGTCTTTGTCCCCTAAAAAGCCTGGGGAGAAAGCTATAATCTTCCCAAAACAAAGAAATGGAGTGTATTTTATTGTAATGAAAAGACACATTCTACAAAAAATCAGAATCATACATTACTAGGTCGAGGGCTTTGAGGATGAAGGGGAACTGCTTTTGAGAAGCAGATATGTCTGGCGCCTGATGGTTTTCATGATGGAAGCAAAATAATGTATCATTTTTCTATATAATGGCAGATGACCATCCCAGATAAATGACTATAAGGGATAGCTTGATTTACCCTTTCCACAATGTATGTATATTTCAAAACAACATGTGGTACATGATAAATATATACAATTTTTATTATCAATTAAAAATAAATTTAAAAATGTTTAGAAAACTAATGATAAGGAAAAAAATCTTAGAACAGTATCATTGGCCTGTCAATAGTCAATGGAAGTATTGCCTAAGTTTCTTTCCAAAATATTCAGGACAACACCAATGTGTAGGAATCTAATGGCAGTCCACAAAAACAATTTTTAGAAAAGTAAAAGAAATACTTAAAATACTTTTTATTGGTGGCATCCCATATCCTCCAGCCAGTGCTGTTGGATTTTGCATTTCTATTTGTTTCAGAATGATGGTATATTATTTCCTTTTCCTCCTTCATCCATGTAACTAAGATTTATCTCTTTGTAATAAGTGCTCTGTAATTTCTATCGTATGTTTGCATTTCATATGCGACCATTTTTTTTCTAAGAGTTGTGTTCATAGCTGACACAGCTTTGATGTTACTTTATGGACTTACAGTGAGATTTCATTATCATAACTGACAGGAAATGAAAGGCAGTCTATGAAAATTCACAGACTGGTTCATTTATCAATGCTGTAAGCGAAGTGTGTTTCTCAGATAATAGCATCAGCATCACCTGGGAACTTGTCAGAAATGCGAACTGAGGGGCCTAACTCCAGACTTACCGAATCAAGAACTCTAGGAGTGACCTCAGCAATCAGTGTTTTAAGAACCACAGGGCATTGGAATCCCCAGGAGGACTTGTTCAATCACACATTGCCGTGTCTCATCCACATAAATTCTAACAGACATAACCAGTCACAGGCAAGTTTTGTGCAGTGATAAAAGATGTGACTCAAGCCCTGGGTAACTTATTGTTTTGGCTTTTAATAAACCAAAAATGAATTGCTCAAGTTAACCAAAAAAGAAATGAAAAAGATAACATTTTTCTCCTTTAGTTCTCAGTACGTCGATTAAACTGGGGAGTAAAGTAACAGTGAATGATAGGCCTATGAATGCTGACATGAAAGAGCGGGCACATCTTGTGCTATATTTGTTTTCCATCATCATTTAGCCAAAATGAAATTGTGTAAGTTCGTATGATTGCATAGTAACCACATGGAACTTTTGAGAAGCCCATCATTTGTTGATCTTTTCAACAGCATGCATTGGAAGAGATTTGAAACTTTTGCCAATTTGTAACAAAATACTTTCCAAATTTCAGTGCTCTCACAACTCAGTTCACATCAGAAAAGAAGAAATTATTTCTATGGATCATAACTGGAATTATCCAAAAGGCTCTGATTATGTGAATTATGTTAGGACACTTATGATTTTTATTCTATTTGTTTCATTTTCATAGTTATCTATGTATAGGAAAAGAAAACTGATGCAGAGTTTAATCTCTTTTTTGACATTTTCATTCTGGTCTTACATAAGTTCTACTTTCACCAGAAAATCTGATTTCAAGAGATTATAATTAGTCTGATATTGATGTTCCAGAAACCTATTAAAAGACTTACTTTCTTAGGAATCTATGTCATCTTCTTTTTTCTCATTTTCTTTCTAATATCTTTATTTTGATTGTATTTTCCTCTAGCAGTGTATTTGGTAAATAAAGTTAAGGCATTATAGTGGTCATTCTTACTGATAAATTATACCTACTAGATTTTAATGCATAAATATAGATGTAATAAGATGCATTATCAAGGCTATAAGGAAAACTACAAGTAAGAAAATTCTTCACATTTTTTTAAATTTAAAAAATGCATATAAACACTGTGGAAACTATGTAAACAGTAATTATTCACTGGGATTTCCTGGCCTATTAAAAACAACTATTTGAATCTGAAAACCAGTTTGCATTTCAGTAAAGGACTATTTGGTTAATTGACAATTCCTAACACAACAAGTAAATTACAAGACAAAGGAAATGTCTCTTTGGAGGACTAACTTGACATGCTTGAAAGACTAAGAAGATGAAAAAAGAGGTTTAAATAAACAAACAGGGCATGGAAAAGGAGGATAAAAGATATGGGGAGGAAATTATATTAAGTAGGTCCTAATGGATTCAATGTGGATTTGCAGACTCATATCCAGATTGAAAAATACTCTTGAAGTTGGACCAACTTGGACAATCTGCACTGAGAAAAGTAGTAATCTCTCTTTGTAAACCTTCCAAATAAATATTATTTTAGATTCTGTTTCTGAAAATATCCATCAACACACAGGCAACTAAGGAGGCCTGTATAGTTTGATTTTAAATCGAAGACACTTTGTTTAGCATCTCATTTGAGGAAACGGGTGTTGAGATGCTACAATTTAGTTGTGGCTCCAGAGCCACTTACCCTGAATATCACATGAATGTGGGCTAATTTTTATAATGTGAGACTATTTTTTAAAGCAGTATTTGGTACCACTTCCATACGAAAAAAAGAAGAAATCAATTTTTATAGTTTTCTTTTTATTTAGGGACCTTCTGAGTACATAACTAAAAAACTGCAGACTAAAAGCTGATCATTCTCAGCAGGTAAAATTGCTTATTCAATACTTTAATGACCCAAAACTTCTAAACAAAAGATTTTCTTCTTTCTTCAGTTCCTTTGTTTAAAAAACCTAGAATTCATCAAATAAATGATGAAAAAAACTAATTTTTTTTAAATGATGTCAATTATCCCTTTAGGATTTAGGAGATAGATCAAAACACAGTCCTTCACACATCTCATGCTTGATGACATTGTAAAGCTGAAGATTTGAAAAGTGCAAATGTGATAGATTCTCTCAGTTGCTATTTTGGTAACTTCTCCTTGGCAACCATAAGATATGAATTAAATCTTGCAATCAGAGCTGCTGTACGGTATAGACTGTGATACCAACAGCACTCTCTGAAGTTGTGCACTGCACAACACTCCCAGCATCACATAGTGGCCCACTTTGACTATTGCCTACTCAGTGATAAAGTCTACCACAGATGATCTGAGTTATAGTTCTCAAATTTTGATGTTCATGCAAATTATGTGAAAAGTTTTTATTGATGATTTTTCCTGTATTCTACTTCTTCAGACATTATAATTCAATAATTTGGGGTGGAGAGGGGCATTTTTCAAATTCACCTTATTGAAAAGTAATTCCAAGTAATTTGGATGCAGGTGGTCCACAGATTACTCTTGGAGAGATCTTTGCCTAAAGGGCACCCATTTCTAATAATATGAAAGCAGCTCCTATTGCCAGCTCATTTGCTTTCAGTAACCTGAAAGGGTAGTTACATATTTTGATTAGAATTAATAGTGCTGCTATACATATATAATCCCTCATTATCTTGTATCATCATGTTCATATTTACTGAATAAAACTTCTCAGCAAGTAGTTACTGAGTAAGTTTTTTGAAGGAAGGATACCAAAAATCGAGAGTGAAAAAGAGGTATTATTTCTCAAAACTTCTACGGTGTATTTACATAGTTAAAAAATTTCAACACTGAGACGTCTTTTCTGCTTCTATTTAATTAAAGGAGAACACAATTCATCAAAATGTTGTCAAGAAGTTGTCAAATTGACTTAAATTAAAAAGCTAGCTTTATGCTTTCTGATGATCTAAGTAACTTCAGATATCAGGCTTTTTTATTCTATGTATCAGGGATATAAACCTGACCTTGGGTTTTCAGTAGAAAATAGTTTGGAATGTCTATTTAGATTGGGGTCATAATTCACAGAAGTTCTTCTAAGAACGTTTACAGATACCATCTCATTTAACTCACAATATTTTGAAGAAAATAGCATTATCTTTTATAATTGATGAAACAGAGAGGAAGCCTACCTTGTACAAATAGAAATACAAATTGAGCATCCCAAATCCAAAAATCTGACATCTAAAATGCTCCAAAATCCAAAACATTTTGGGCACCAACAGGATGCTTAAAAGAAATGCTTACTGGAGCATTATGGATTTCAGATTTTTGAATTTGGGATGCTCAACCAGGATGCTATACCTGAAATACTTTAAATGGCATATGGCATCTACAGATTTTTCTTCAGGTAAGAGATTTAACGGAATGTTTCACTTGGCATGTATGATAATATTGCATCATAATATTTTTATTATAGCTTTACAACTCATAACTCATTTGGCAGTAGTCATGATCAGTGATATGAAATAATTACAAAGTGATTCATGTTAACATAACTTAGTTTAAGTTCAATAATTCCCGCTGTCACTGGAGCCATTTGTACATATTGAATTTAATCTACTCATAACTCAGGCAAAAATTGCTTCCTTTTTTTTTTTCTTTATAAATGGAGTCTTTTAGGGCCTCTTGCTGAAAAAAGAAACTAACTCTGGATAACATAAGCAAGCAAGAATGTATTAGAAGGATCTTGAGGAAACTAACAAATTTGAAGAGAGGGCCGCAGAGTCAGTCTCAGAAAAGGCAGGAACCTGGACTTTCCAGAGCTGTGGGTGGCAGGAACAGTGTGGCTGAACCACTCAACCCCCGTCCTTCCCCAGAATCAAGGCATTAACCCTGACCGTTTTTTCTGTCTTTCATTTCTCCACTCAGTTGAAAATCCTAACAAAAGGAGGCTTCAGGGTCTCCGTTAGCTTCTAGGACTTATCATCATACCAAGACTGCGCCCACTGGAGGAAGGGAAATTCCCCAAAAAGAACTAGGTATACTGCTGAGAAAGGGAATGAATATTACTAGCAAACAACAACAAGTATAAATTTAGAGTTTCCAGTGCAGGATCTACAGGTGTATCCTGTCCTTCAGATCACAAATAGGCAAGGACCGAAGCTTCAGATAGCGTGGTAATTAATTGGCGAGTTCAGGATTAGTAACAGAAAGGCACACACAGTCATTTCCCGACTTCCCTCTGTCCTAACACTGAGCTACTCGATAGCTTCAGACAGTGAACTCTGAGAAGAGTGGAGAAAGCACAGTCTTGACTAAACCCCTAATGTTCTATGTCAGGGTGAATATGCCTGAACCAGAAGGAGCAGGGGAGACGTGACTCATTTATTTAGTTTTCAAGGGTAGGAGAACTGTTTATATGTTTTTCCCATGCTAAATTGTGCCACGAAGCACATCTCTTTAACTGCTCAATAAATGTTTGCTAAATTAAAATGAAGGAATAAGAATAGAAGACCTATATGCAAACAATTGGTTATTCAATATTCTGGCGACTGGTAGAGACATGGCCTTACATGTTTGTAAATCAGCTAGAAAAGACAATTGCGCAGTTATTATTTTATTTTATCTAGTAGAAGCCACCTCGCTTAAGATAAATATCAGTGAAAGTAGCTCAACATGGGGAATAAACAACATTGCATTAAAGCATTAAGATAACTCATTTAAGGGAGGGAAAAAAATATTTATAAAACTTAAAGAGTCTAAGCTATAAAGTGCAGCTTGTAAATTAGGGTGTCACTTTTGACTGATGTTTGAAGATATTGGTTCAGTATAAGGCAGTGGCACATAAGTGAACAAATTCCTAAGCGTTGTGAGGAAGAGGTGTAAAAGCACAAGGAAAATGATTGCAATCTCCTTCTACCACACCGTGCTTCAGTGGCACATTTACTAGGTGCAGTTTGCACACTATCCTTCCAAGAGACATAATGGACTTGATGAAGACCCAGCGAAAGGAATGTTAAATGACTAAAGGAATTATGGCACTTCTACTGATAATCATTACAATTATGTCCAACACTGCTTTAGTCCTTACTGTATGTAATCCATGTGGGAGTTCATTTTCATGTACTTACTGATTGAAACCTCACAAAATCCTATGAGGCAGGTAATATTATTTTATCCTCATTTTACAGATAAAGTTAACAAGGATCAGAGGCTTTAAATGGCTTGCCCAAGTCAGAAAACTAAGTGGCTGAGGCAAGATTTGAACCCAGGCAATCTGGTCCTAAAGTTCCTGCTACATGAAGATAGAGAAAAAACATTGAGGCCAGGCATGGTGGCTCATGCCTGTAATCCCAGCACTTTGGAAGGCTAAGGCAGGCGGATCACCTGAGGTCAGGCATTAGAGACCAGCCTGGCCAACTTGGCCAAACCCCGTCTCTACTAAAAATACAAAAATTAGCCAGGCATGGTGGCGCATGCCTGCAATCCCAGCTACTAGGGAGGCTGAGGCAGGAGAATTGCTTGAACCCGGGAGGCGGAGGTTGCAGTGAGCCAAGATCATGCCACTGCACTCCAGCATGGGCAACAGAGTGAGACTCCGTCTCAAAAAAAAAAAAAAAAAAAAAAAAGACATTGAAATTGAAATTTATAAAACTGTAAACCATGTTGACAGACATAACTTGGGTTTATCTTTTATTTCTCAAAACACTGAAAATGGGTTGTATTTTCAATCAAATAAGAGAAAGTGTTCATTTAAGCAGTGCTGGCAAAAACAAATGAACAAAGAAATTTTTATGTAACACATTATTCCAAATGGTGCTAGGAATTAAAAAAACAGCAGGTTCAAACAAAGCTTAGATAATTTCATGGATTATAGCTTGATTTGCAGAGTAACTGCTATTTTACAGGCCAACATGAGCAATTCCCAAGTGGTTCATATGATGTTACTCTCACGATGTCTCCTCTGGCCCCCAGTTACCCCTCACATTTGAGGGGAGGGAGTGCAGCAAGCTCAGTGCTTCCCCAGTTTTCTCCATTGAATATATGCACTTTTTGAATTTTTAAAATCAAACAATTTTTCTAAAATTCAACTTAATAAGTGGTTAATGGGTGTCCACTATGTGGTGGGCCCGTGAGGGTACAAAATGAATGTGTCATTCTTCTAATTTGAAGGAGTGCTTCACCAAGGGACAGAAGAATATGTGCTTCCAATAAGCTGGAAAACAGGTTTGAGTAGGGTGTTCGAAGAGAGACAAAAATATTGTGGGTAAGCTCAGAAAAGGGAACAACCCTGACTGGGCAGAAGTCAGGAAGCTTCACAAATGAAGTAAAGTCATCTCTGAAATTTTCTTTTTCTTCCCATATCAAGAAAGAGAAGGGGAGAACAAGGGAGGGGAGGAAGGAAGGAAGATTTAAACACAAAGTTCAGGGTTCACGTGCACATCCTTTTTTTATGACATGCCTTTCTTTTACTTCTTTTAAACTATTCTTTTAGATTTGTTTTCGTGAATAAGTAAAACAGGAAAAAAAGAACGTCAGCATCTATCCAAATTGCCGTGAGTTGAAATGGGTGTAGTGAGAGTTGATGCTGAGACTTGTAGAGAGTTGACATAGTATATAATTACTACAGTTATCTGAGTGGCACTAAATTTGTTCACCTGTCATTCTTCTAGTGGTATATATTTGCTAAAATATGATTCAAAGAAGTGTTATTGTTTTTATAATTTGAAGAACAAAAGGCCTGTATTATATAAAATATTTTCCATTTAATATATTCTTTCTATAAAAGTTAAAAATCCAAAGAAATCTTTCAAAGTAAATTATTGTTCTCAGAAGGAAGGGTAGAAGAGTTTATACATTTGAAATTAAATTGGCTGGGTGCATAACTAAGAACATATTGAAAATGTACAGCACTTGAACCCTGCTGTGTTATCATCATAGTGAATCACAAGTTTTGCTTGGTTACTGTCAAATGGAAATAGAAATTAAATTTAAACAGAGCTTATTAAGACTTGTTAGTCTGAAGAGCACTTCATCAGCTTTAAAGTGTATGTAAGTGTCATGGCTAATTAAAATTGAGTTTTAGTGCAACTAACATAATTTTCTGTCTTAAAAATATGCTATCTGGGAACCTCTCCAGTACTTTGTCAAGATGTTCTTGGTACCATTATTAGTAATCATTAGGGACCATTATAGTTAATGTCTATTTGACCTTCCATCCAAGAAACTAAAAAAAAAAAAAAAATAGCAAAAAAGAAACTTTACATGGCTTGTGTTTGGAGGACAGTTCTTTGGTGTCATTTTTTATAGATGACTGGAATTTTGCTCAAACTGAGTCAGAAGTGAAAATTAAGATATTTAAATATTGAAATCATGCTTCTCAAAATATTTTAAAAACGTATGATGTAGTATAGCATGACAGGAGGAAAATAGAATACATTTGTATTATGTTTATTTGTATTAAAATAAGTATAGGAATAAAGAAATGGTAATGGACTGTGAATAATCAAAATAAAGTTGAAATACTTTCTCAGATCCCCTGTGATGTTATCTGTTTCCTATACAGCTTTCTATCTCCATCAAAAAGTATCTTTTATCTCCAATTAAAAACTAATTGATCTCTGAGGGGGTTTTAACATATGCGCATATTCCTTGATAATACTCCCTCCAGGAGGTGAAGCTTAATTCCCTTCCCTTTGAGTGTTGGCCAAACTTAATGACTTCCTTCTAACAAATAAAGCATGGAAAAGGAGAAACAGTAACTTTACAGTAGAGAGAGCCAGCATACAACATCGTAACCAGGCCGAGGTTAACAATAACAGTGATAAATCATGTTGATATAATGTACCCTGTGATATTATGTGATGAGAAGGCACCTCACCTCTGAGGTAATCTCCCCCTAAATCCATAACTCCAGCCTATTAGTGAGAAAAATATCAGACAATCTCAAACTGAAAGACCTTATGCAAAACATCTGACCAGTAAGCTTTAAAATGTACAATTTTTAAGGTCATGAAAGACAAGGAAATACTAAGGAATTGCCACAGATTAGAAGAGACTAAGGAGACACAATAACAAACTTCAATCTGTTTTCTGGCTTAGATCGGGGCCAGGGATAGAACATAAGTGGGAATACTGGGGAAATAAGTAAAATCTATAGTTTAGGTCATAACTCCGTACCAGCATTTCCTAGTTTTTGATCATTGTGATTTGATCATGTAGAATGTTAACATGAGGGGAAGATGGATGAAAGGTATGGGAGACTGTGCCAATTTTTCAACCTTTTATAAATCTAAAATAATTTTAAAATAAAACATTTTAAAACTAACAAATTCATGAGCAGTCATGATTCTCCTCATTACTCAGTAGCTAAGCTTCAAGGTGGTCCCTATAATCTTGACTTCTGTGTTCCCACACTTGTGTGGTTTCCTTTGAGAGCTGACCTGTGTACAAGATTTCTGCAGAAGTGAGGGTCTGTGGTTTCTAAGGCTAGGTCACAAAAGGTGCTGGCGGTTTCACCTTGGTCTCTTGAGTTGCTTGCTCCAGGGAAAGCTAGCTTTCATGCGGTGAGGTCCCTTCTGCTGCCCTAAGTCCCATATGAGAGGAGCTAGTGCATTTTTCCTTGACCATGGATTGAGTTACATTCCAGAGGTCCACAAACCAGATAGTGTAAAATTTCTTACATTTGTTATGCTGGAGCTTTGTTTCCTTGTTCTTAATGTCTGATTTTAAAGTTGATAGTAAATTTTAGGCTCTTGCACTTCTTTCTGCAAAAAAATGGCTTTTACATTACAACAACATTGTCTTATAAATTCTCTTGCACTTTTATAATTTTAAGACCTTCATTCATAAAATGACACATTCATTACATCAGCCATTAGACTATTTCAAGGTGCTGTTTAGTTGCAAAAAGTTCATTATCGAGAAAACAAGTCTAACCATTTATAATTTCTCACAATTTCTCTCCAGTGTGCACTGACTTCTGACTAATTTCTCTCCTATGTAAAGAAGAATACCTTTAGCCACATTTAAATTCAAGTTAAGCTTCTGTCAAATGTGATTTTAAAAAAAAATTTAAGGACCCCTCAATAGAATAAGAGATCACATAATTTTTTGCTATAATGAACATTACATTTTCTGACCACCAACATCTGTTTCTTTGTTGGATGGCGGGAATTCTTGGGATAGTTTGTAGGTTTTATGCTCATTGTTTTCTCTTTGTAAAATTAATAGGTGTAAATGTGACAAAATGAATCCGTGATTTAATAATACCTTACCTTTAAACTTCAAGCTCACCTCTTAGTAAACTCCAAATAATTATGAAATAGTTATTATTCAATTTATTCAGTTCTACATGAACTGAACAACTATGTATTAATACTTATTATTAATACACAATGGGCTTAACCTATTAGGGATTGCACATCGACCAATAGCCACAGAATTTCATTCTTAGTGTCAATAGCATATTCCCTACTAATGTGTGCATCTTGTAGACATTTAATGTTCATTTCTTCTCTATGAATATTCTTTCCTCTCAATTAGATACATTAGCTTTGATTTAAACACCTTCTGAATCATTCATTGTCCTGGAAGGAAAGAGGATTTACTCAGATGATTTAAATGAAGAAAGTTTTTAAAATAAAGAATTTGTTTACTAAGGAAAGAAATAGAGGATATGGGAGGATCCAGAGAATAGAAATGGTAGGAATGAGTTATTAAAAAAAAAATAGAACTGAAAACAAAGGAAGAAGCAAGCCCCAGGGAGGGCTAGAGCTCTAACAGAGAGATCACACAGTGGGAGTGGTAGTCTTTAAAAATCTAATTGCTTCACAGTAATTTTGCCAAAGCAGTGAAGGTGCAGGGAGGAAATACCCCAGTTTCTCTCTCAGCCTATCTGATAATCTCTTGCTTTACTGCCATTACTTCCCACAGGCAAAATCCAATCAAAACCCAGCTAGCTTGGCAGGCTGTCCTAGAGATCAGCCACCCAGGCTTCCAGAGCAGGGCAGAGAAGTATGAAAATTGATTTTGGAAAGGGGGCTAATGGAGAGCAAACACCATAAGAAAATGCTTTATTGGCAGCAAGCATTTTGTCTTTCCAGGTCATATTTTAAATATGCTTAAATATAAGGAAAAATTTATGCGTGTTTGAGATTTCATGTAAATATTTATATAAGTTGAATAATTATAATATTCCTGAATATGACATTTATTTCTTCTCAAGAGATAATATTTCTGACAATAAATAAGAAGGAAAAAAACTACCTGGTAGGTAATCTTGAAATTAATTTGTATAAATTTGAGCAAGTATTGAAACAAACCAAAGTGGATTCCTATTCAGGACTGTGGACAAGTACCACGGACAGCTACCACAGCGCTGCTTTTTAGGTTTTTTGTTTGTTTGTTTTATTTCAAATTATTTATTTTTAATTTTGGAGTATGTAGTAGGTGTATCTATTTATGGCATACATGACATATTTTGATAGAGGCATGCAATGAGTAATAATCACATCAGGGTAAGTGGGGTATCCATCACCTCAAGCATTTATCCTTTGTGTTACAAACCATCCAATCATACTTTTTAAGTTATCTTAAAATGTACAATTATTATTGACTGTAGTCACCCTGTTTTGCGGTCACATACTAGATCTTAGTCATTCTTTCTATTTATGTACCCATTAACCATCCCCATTTCCTCCCCACCTTCCACTTCCCAGCATCTGACAACCATCATTCTATTTTCTATCTCCATGAGCTCAAGTGTTTTAATTTTAGCTCCTACAAATAAGTGAGAACATGTGAAGTTTGTCTTTTTGTGCCAGGATATTTTACTTAACATAATGACCTCCAGTTCCATCTATGTTGTTGCAAATGACAAGATCTCATTTTTTATGGCTAACAGTACTCCATTGTATTTATATACCACATTTTCTTCATTCATCTGTTGATGGACACTGAGGTTGTTTCCAAAATTTGTCTATTGTGAACAGTGCTGCAGTAAACACGGGAGTGCAGAGTGCAGATATCTCTTCGATAATACGAATTCACTTTCTTTGCATAATATATCTAGCAGTGAGATTGCTGGGTCATATAATAGCTCTATTTTTAGATTTGGAGAAACTGGCAAACTGTTTTCCATTGTGGTTGTACTAATTTACATTGCTACCAACAGTGTATGAGGGTTCCCTTTTCTCCACATCCTCATCTGCATTTGTTATTGTCTGTCTTTTAGATAAAAGCCATTTTAACTGGGGTGCTATAGCATTGTAGTTTTAATTTGCATTTCATAGATGATCAATGATGGTGACCACCTTTTCATATACGTTTGTTATTTGTATGTCTTCTTTTGAGAAATGTCTATTCAGATATTTTGCCCATTTTTAGTTGCATTATTAGACTTTCTTCCTATGGAGTTGTTTGAGCTCCTTATATATTCTGGTCATTAATCTCTTCTCAGATGGGCAGTTTGCAAACATTTTCTGTGGGTTTATGTCTTCACTTTGTTGATTGTTCCCTTTGCTGTGCAGGAACTTTTAAATTGATGTAATCCCATCTGTCCACTTTGGCTTTGGTTGCCTGTGCTTTTGGTATATTAACTCAAATTGAGCTTCCCCATGTTTTCTTGTAGTAGTTTCATAATATGATGACTTAGATTTAAGTATTTAGTCCATTTTGCTTTTCTTAATATGGCAAGAGACAAGGGTCTAGACTCATTCTCCTTCATATGGATGTCCAGTTCTCCTAGCACCATTTATTGAAGAGACTGTCATTTCTCCAATATGTTCCTGGAATCTTTGTTGATAATGAGTTCACTGTCGATGTATGAATTTGTTTCTAGGTCCTCTATTTTGTTCCATTGGTCTATGTGTCTGTTTTTATGCCAGTGTCATGCTGTTTTGGTTACTATAGCTCTGCAGTATAATTTGAAGTCAGATAATGCTAGTCTTCCAGTTTTGTTCCTTTTGCTCAGGATAGCTTTGGCTATTCTGGGTCTTTTTTGGTTCCATATAAATTTTAAGATTGTTTCTCTATTTCTGTGAAGAATTTCATGAGTATTTTGATAGAGATTGTATTCCATCTGTAGATTGTTGTAAGTAGTATGGACATTTTGAGTATTTATTCTTCCAATCTATAAACATAGAATGTCTTTCCATTTTTGTGTCCTCTAATTTCTTTCATCAATGTTTCATAGTTTTCATTATAGATCTTTCGCTTCTTTGGTTAAGTTAATTTCTAGGTATTTAATTTTATGTGTAGCAATTATCAGTGGAATTATTTTCTTGATTTCTATTTCAGGTTGATTGCTGTTGGCATATATAAATGCTACTGATGCTTTATGTTGATTTTGTATCCTTCAACTTTATTGAATTTGTTTATCAAATAATTTTTGTGGAGTCCTTAGGTTTTTCCAAATATAAGATTACATAATTTGCAAACAAGGATAATTTGACATCTTCTTTTCCAGTTTGGATGCCCTTTTTTTAAAATTTTTTTTGTTGACTGCCCTAGCTAGGAATTCCAGTATTATGTTGAATAAAAGTGCTGAAAGTGTACATGCTTGTTGCTTACCAGATCTTAGAGGCTAGGCTTTCAGTTTTTCTCCATTCCATATGACATTAGCTGTGGATCTGCATATATTGACTTTTATTGACTTTTATCTGGTGTTTTCCTTCTATACCCAGTTTTTTTAGGGTTTTTATCATGAAACAATGTTAAGTTTTATCAAATGATTTTTCAGCATCAGTTGAAATGATCACATGGTTGTTATCCTTCATTCTGTTGATATGATGTGTTGATGGATTTGCATATGTTGAACCATCTCTGTATTCCTGGGATAAATCTCACTTGGCCGTGATGGATGATGTTTTTAATGTGTTGTTGGATTCAGTTTGCTAGTATTTTGTTGAGGATTTCTGATCCATGTTCATCAGGGATATTGGCCTGTAGTTTTCTTTTTCTTGATGTGTCTTCGTCTTGTTTTGGTATCAGGACAATACTGATCTCATAGAATGAGGTTGGAAGTATTCCCTCCTCCTCTGTTTTTTAGAACAGTTTGAGTAGGATGTTTAAATGTTTGGTAACATTCAGCAGTGAAGCCATCAGGTCCCAGGCTTATCTTTGCTAGGATACTGTTTATGGTAGCTTTGATCTGGTTACTTCTTATTTGTCCATTCAGGTTTTGGATTTTTTCGTGGCTCAATCTTGGTAGGCTTCATCTCACTAGGCATTTTTTTTTTCATTTCTTCTAGTTTTTCTAATTTATTGCCTGACAGTTACTCATAGTAGCCTCTAATGATCATTTGAATTTCAGTGGTATTGGGTTGAAAGTCTCCTTTTCCATTTCTAATTTTATTTATTTGGGTCTTCTCTCTCTGTATTTTGTTAGTCTGGCAAGAGTTTTCTCAATTTTGTTTATCTTTTTAAAAACAAACTTTTCATTTTAGTCATCTTTTGTATTGTTTTCTTCATTTCATTTTCATTAATTTTTGCTCTAACCTTTATTATTACTTTTTCTTTAATAATTTTGGGTTTGGTTTGCTCTTGCTTGTCTGATTCTTTAAGATGCACCATTAGTTTTTTTTTTTATTTGAAGTTTTTCTACATTTTTGGTGGAGGCGCTTATAGTTACAAAATGTCCTCTTAGTACTGCTTTTGCTGTATCCCATAGGTTTTGTATATTGTGTTTCCATTATCATTTGTTTCAAGAAATTTTTTAATTGCACTCTTAATTTTTTCACCCACTTACTAATCATTTGGGGGCATATTATTTAATTTCCATGTGTTTGCATAGTTTTAAAAATTTCTCATTATTGATTTCTAGTTTTATTACATTGTGGTCTGAGAAGATGTTCGATATATTTCAATTTTTTTAATGTCTTAAGACTAGTTTTCTGGCCAAACATATGGTTTGTTTTAGAGAATGATTCATGTGCTGTGGAGAAGAATGTGTATTCTGCAGCCGTTGGATGAAATGTTCTGTAAATATCTATTAGGTCCATTTGGTCTAGGTGCAGATTAAGTCCAATGTTTTGTTGATTTTTCTGTCTGGGTCATCTGTCCAAGGCTGAAAGTGGGGTGCTAAAGTCTTCTTCTATTAATGTATAGGGGTCTACCTCTCTCTTTAAGTCTAACATTTGCTTTAAATATCAGGGTGTTCTAATGTTGGGTGCATATATATTTACAATTGTTATATCCTCTTATTGAATTGACCCCGTTATCATTATATAATGACCTTATTTTTCTCTTTTTTATAGTTTTTGTTCTGAAATCTATTATGATGTAAGTATAGCTACCGTGCTCTTTTTTGGTTTCCATTTGCATGGATTATCTTTTTCCATCCCTTTTATTTTCAGTGTATATATTTCTTTATAGGTGAAGTGCCCTTCTTGTAGGCAACAAGTCTTTTTTTAAAAAATTTTATCTATTCAGTCACTCTATGTCTTTTGATGGGAGAGTTTAGTCCATTTACATTCAATGGTATTACTGACAAGTAAGGACTTATTCTTGTGATTTTGTTACTTGTTTTCTGGTTGTTTTGTGGTCTTCTTTTCCTTCTTTTCTTCCTTCCTGGCTTCCTTTTAGTGAAGGTCATTTTCTCTTGTGGTCTGTTTTCATTTATTGCTTTCTATTTTTTTGTGTATACACTGTTTTTTTTTTTTTTTGAGTTTACCATGAGTCTTGCAAATAATATCTTATAATACACTAGTTTAAACAGATAATGTCTTAACACTGATTATATAAACAAATTAACAAGCAAAGAGAAAACTAATAAAAACTCTATACTTTAACTTTGTCCCCACACTTTTTAACTTTTTGTTATTTCTATTTATATCTTATTATACCACCTATGCCTTGAAAAGTTTTTGTAGTTATTATTTTTAATCAGATTATCTTTTAATCTTTCTACTCAAGATATGAAAAGTTTACCCACCACAGTTACAATGTTATTATATTTTGTTTTCCTGTGCATTTACCGTTACCATTGATTTTTATACCTTCAGATATTGGTCATTAAAGTCCTTTTCTTTTAGACTGAAGAACTCTCTTTAGCTTTTCTTATAGGACAGGTCTGGTGTTGATGAAATATTTCAGCTTTTCTGTTGGTCTTGAAATGTCTTTATTTCTCCTTCATGTTCAAAGAATATTTTTGCTGGATATCCTATTCTAAGATCAATGGTTTTTTTCTCCTTCAGCACAGTATATATATAAGGCCACTCTCTCCTGGCCTATAAGGTTTCCACTGAAAAGTCTGCTGCCAGGTGCATCGGAGTTTCATTGTATGTTATTTGGTTCCTTTCTCTTGCTGCTTTTAGGACTCTTTCTTTAATCTTGACATTTGGGAGTTTTATTATTAAATATTTTGTAGTCTTTAGGTTAATCTGCTTGATGTTCTATAACCCTTTTGTACTTGAATATTGCTACCTTTCTTTAGGTTGGGGAAGTTCTGTGTTATTATCCCTTTGAACCTTCTACCTCTATCTCTCTCTCTCTGTCCTTTTTAAGGCCAATAACTCTTATATTTACCCTTTGGGGGCTATTTTTTAGAACTTGTAGGTATGCTTCATTCTTTTTTATTAATTTTGCTTTTATCTCCTCTGTGTATATACAAATACTCTGTTTTCAAGCTCACTAATTCTTTCTTCTGCTTGATCAGCTCTACTGGTAAGAGACTGATACATTCTTCAGTATGTCATTTGCATTTTCAACTTTTTTCTGCTTGATTTCTTTTAATAATTTAAGTATTTTTGTTAAATTTATCTGATAGGATCTTGAATTCCTTCTCTGCGTTTCCTTGAATTTCATTGAGTTTCCTCAAAAAAGCTATTTTAAATTCTCTATCTGAAAGGTCCTATATCTCTGTCTTTCCAGGATTGGTCCCTGGTGCCATATTTAGTTCATTTGGTGAGGTCATGTTTTCCTGGATCGTCTTGATGCTTGTAGATGTTCATCAGTGTCTGGGCATAGAAGAGTTAGGTATTTATGGTAGTTTTCACAGTCTGGGCTTGTTTGTACCTGTCCGTCTTGGGAGGATTTTCCAGGTATCTATGGGATGTGGGTATTGTGATCTAAGTTTTAGGTCACTGCAACCATAACTGCATTAAGTGGCACCCCCATCCTTGTAATGCTGTGACTCTTCCAGCCTCATAGAGGCTTGAAGATCTGACCGCTGAAATGGATGATTCCCCTCTGGCTAGAGCTGGTTTAAATGCTACCTTCATGGTTCTTGGTAGTATTGCATGAGATACAAAAGAATTTTCTGGATTACCAGGCAGAGCCTCTTGTTTTATTCCCTTACTTTCTCCCAAAGAAACAGAGTATCTGTGTGTGCATGCATGTGTGTGTGGGGGGGTGTGAGTGTGTGTACCTGAAGCTGGGGGAGCAGTGACATAAGCCTTCCTGTGGGCATCACCACTGTGAATGCACTAAGACCTGAAGCCAGCACAGCACTGGGTCCCCCAAAAGCCTACTGTAAATACTTTCTTGCTACCTCCTATGTTTTCTCAAGGCCTTAGGGCTCTACAATCTGCAGGTGGCAACACCAGCCAGGCTTGTATCCTTCTCTTCAGTGTAGTGAGTCCCCCTGGCCCCAGGTGGGTCCAGAGATATGGGCCCAGAGCCAAGACCTGGAGACAGATACCTTTGGAACCTACCTGGTGCTCTATTCCACTGTGGCTGAGCTGGCACCCAAACACAAGACAGTTCTTCCCACTCTTCTCTCCCCTTTCCACAAGCAGAGGCGTCTTCCTCCGTGTCTGCCACCACCACAGGCCTGCAGGTTGTATTGCCAGGCTACTGCCAGTGTTCACTCAAGGCCCAAGGGCTCTTCAGTCAGCTTATGGCAAATGTGGTCAGGCCTGAAACTCACCCTTCAGGGATGTGGGTTCCCATATGGCCCAGGGCAGGTCTAGAAATGCTGTCCAAGAGCTTAGCCTGGTATCACGGACCCCAAGATCCCCCTTGGTACTCTACCTCCTTATGGCCAAACTGATACCTAGTCTGTTTTCTTTACTCTTGTTTCTGCTTTTCTCAAGAAGAAGGGGTCTCTCCTCATAGCCATGACAGCTGTGAAACAGTTGGTCACACCTGAAGTCAGCACATCTCAGAGTCTCACCCAATGCCCAGAGAGTGTGGTTGCCCACAGTGTGTGCTACCTGGCTACTGCTGCTGATTATTCAGAGGCCAAAAGCTCTTTAGTCAGCCCGTGATGAATCCTGCCAGGACTGAGTTCTTCCACTCAAGGCAACAGGTTCCCTTCTGGCCCAGGTTTTGTCTAGAAATGTCAACCAGGAGTTAGGGCCTGGAATGAGTGTCTCAGGACTCTGCTCAGTGTTCTATGCTCATTCTCATTTCTCTAACTAGAATTTTCCAAGTTGTATCTAAATGATTGAAGCTATTATCTGACTGGTTATATAAAAATGTCATGAGGTTACAGCTAAGAATTAAGTTATAATGATTTAGCTCTTTAATGTAGACATTCACCTTCCTATGGCAATGATATGTGCCATAAGGATGCTCTTTGGACTACTTCTCTGTTCTCTGTATAGACTGGGAAGGGTGATATTTTATGTTATAGTAGTGGATTCTGAAAAAAGTGAGTCTGACACCACTAATACACTTTCAAGAAAATTTTGCATTTCTGACAAGGAAATATAAACATTTAGAGTAGCATTCAGAATTATAGTAATGCCTTTACATATCTGGTGACCATTTTAATATCTATTGTTGTTACATAATCTTGAGATTTATTAAAATAAATGATGAAATTCTGCATGACCTCACTAACCACACTTTTCTAACTATGTAAACTAGATTATTTCCTGTAAACAAATGCGATGATACTGTGATCTTTGCACATCTTATTCAAATGTTGTGAGTACCCACTGATACCTCAAAGTGCTATATAAAAGGCTGCAACTATTTTGGTACATAATTGTAGACTAACACACTGAAATACAAGGTTTCAAACATGGATCTGTTCTTGGAATACTTCTTCCATTTGGAAAATATAAGAAACAGTGAACTAGGCCAGTCTCACTCTCTAATAAATTATACATTTTATTCCTGCATAAACATGTTTCAAACTCAGCTGGAGATAAGAAAATGTATTTTTATATGTTTATTAAATATTAATTTAAAGGTCAGCAATATTTATAAAACATCTGTAGGGTATAAAGTATAAAAATGTACTAAATGCTTCACACACCGTTTAAAAAGAAAATAATAACAGTATTTTATTTTATTTTATTTTCTTAGAGAGACAGGGGTCTTGCTATGTTGCTAGTACGATGGTCTTAATCTCCTGGACATAAGTGCTTCTCGTACCTCAGCCTCCAGAGTAGCTGAGACTACATATTTGTACCACCATACCCAGCAAAAATCTTTAATATGTGTTTATCATTTCTTTTATTTCTTTTCTGTTTATGGTCATTCCAATATTTTAACTATGTCCTCTTATTTTCTTTCTACATTTTAACTCCCCCAAATTAGACATTATTATGGTTTTATTCAGTGAGTGCCTGTATCAGTTTACCCACATTTTTGCCACTTTCTTGTCTATCATTATTCTTGCATCTCAGCCTTCCATCTTGTATCATTTTTTTTTTTCTGTCTAAAACATATCTTTTGGAATTCCCTATAGGGAAACACCACTGGCAAAACAAACTCTTCATTTTTTTTAATTTATATTAAAAAGTCCTTAATTCTGCCTTGTTCTTGGAAGATATTTTTACTCAATATACTATTCTAAGTTGATAGTATTTTCTTTTAGTTTTTATATTACTCCACTAACTCCTGACTTCCATTGTTGTTGCTGAAGAATTAGTTGTCTAACTATAGTGAATCACCTGAAAAGCAAACTGCAAATGAGCATATCTTTATCTGCAGTTTTACCCTGATGTACAGAATTGTTAATTGTTTGATTTATCATGCTGGGAATTTTGGTGCCTTGTATATCAGGTACTCCAAGATTCAAAAATGGGCACGGGCTCTGCCTCATGGAGTTTATGAGAGAAGGAAATGAGAGAAAACAAAATAAACACCAGAAACAAGCATGGTTTAGGGCAAATGGTTAAGCATTATGTTTGGGGCATATTGAATATCACTTTAAGGCATGTAAGCAGAGACATAAAGTAGGCAATTGGATATATGTGTCAGAAATTCAGAGAAGTTTGGACTGAAAGCATATGTTTGAACATTATTTAAGTAAAGAAAGAAAATAAAATCATCTGATGAAGCTGTCTAAGAAGAGAATATAGAATGAAAAGAGATGATGTTTTAGGAGAGAAAATTGAGAAACTAATATATTTAATACTCAAGGAAATGGGGAATGAGAAGGACTGAGGGGCAACAACAAGGTTTTGGGAAAAAATCAGGAATATTCGTGTTCAAAGATGCAAGAGATTCTTCTGAAAAGACTGTTTCAAAAAGAAGGTAGTGATCAACTATTTGAAATGCTGCTTAGAGAGATCAGCTAAAGTCACACTGAAAAATCGCCATTTAACTTATTGACATGTAAATGCGAAGAGATAACCCTGAAGTCAGATTTTAAGCAGGTTGAGTAGTAATGGGGAGGGAGAAAATGGAGGCAAAAAGTCATGTACAAGTCAACATAGAGTAAAGTATGAGGCAGTAAAAAATACCTTTAAAATTTCAGCAGGCACACTATTGCAAGGGTTGATTTTGTGCTCAAACTACCGTGTACTGTCAGTCAACTTCACGTCTGCTGATGTCCTGCATCTTCCAGGACCAGGGTGAAGCAGCAGGTGTTATTCTGAGGCATCGTTGGTCTTATGATGGAAGAAAAAGAGAAAGGAGTAGGTGCATGCAATTACTCTAAAAGCTGCTTCTTGGAAGCAGCACACATAACTTTCATATATATTTTATTGATGAGAGAAAGTCACATAACCAAACCTGATGTCAGTGAGGCAGCAATAGAGAGGGAATATTTTAATTAAATATATAATCTGTCATATGTACAGAGAGCTCTTTTGATTATTTTTATTGTAAATGAGGAAAATGGGAAACAAGAAGCCATATAAGTTGAGAGAATTTTTTTAATGGAGATAATTGATAATGTTTAATTATAACAGGCAAGGGATTCAATTGTAAGAAAATTATTGAATATGTGGGAATAAGAGCGGATGGTTGCTATTTTGAGGTTCCCGAAAACATAGGATTCAAGTTACAGTCTTGCATTGCACAGTAACCAGAATACGTTCTGAGAAATGTATTGCCAAGCAAGTTCATTGTTGTGCAAACATCAACAAAAACCTAGATGGTAGAGACTACTATGTACTACATGATATAGCCTATTGCTCATAGGCTACAAACCTGTATAGCATATGACTGTACTGAATACTGTAGGTAATTATAACATAGTGGTAAATATTTGTGTATCTAAACATATCTAAACATAGAAAAAGCACAGTGAAAATATGATATTATAATCTTATAAGACCACTGTCACATATGTGGTCCACTGTTGACCTAAAATATCATTATATATTGCATTGCTGTGTAAGAAGAGGCCCTGGACCTAGATAGAAAGAATTTCTTCCCTGCTCATCAAATAAACATTTTTAAAAAGAGTAAGAGTTCATCTAGATAGATTTGTAGGTTTGTTAGGGAATACTAGATGGAATTTCCATATATATGATGGCTTCTTCTTGTGTGAAGTAGATCATAAGAAATTTACCATGTCAATGGAGAACATTAAGGAATTTGTCCAAGCTTGAGGCAAATGGAAACGTTTTGAAAAAATCACTATGGGAGAAACTAGAGAGAGTGGAAAATAAAAATATAGTCAAATTGCTTATCCGTCCTGAGGGCCATTTGATGTTGTTGATGACAAATTTACAGTGTCGCCATCCACCCTCTTCTGATTTCCCCACCTGTGCTTGCACAAATGGAGGCAAAATAACCCAGTTGAGTTGCACTCATGCACAGTTGGGATTTTGCCAGATGGAAGTGAAGAAATGAGAACAAAGGATACTAAGTTCTTGGCAAGAGTCTTAATGAAATTATGAGCCATAGAATCTAAACTGGAAAAAGAAGGAAAGAGAGATTTAGATTTTATGTACTGTCTTTGTTCACAGATGTAAAGAAATCGATCCCATTCAAAACAGCATACAAAATACTTAGGGGTAAATTTACCCAAGGAGGTGAAATACACTGAAAACTATAGAGCATTGATGAAAAAACTGTAGAGAACACAAATAAATGGAAAGGTATTCTGTGTTCACAGATTAGAAGAATTAGTGTTAAAATGCCCACACTACCCAATGTGATGTACAGATTCAGTGCAATCCCTATCAAAATTCCAATGTCATCTTTCATAGAAACAGAAAAAACAGTCCTAAAATTTATATGGAACCACAAAAGACCTAGAATAGCCAAAACAATCTTGAGCAAAAAGAACAAAGCTGGAGGAATCACACTACCTGACTTCAGAATCTATTACAAAGATGTATTAATCAAAACAGCATAGTCCTGGCATAAAAACAGACACAGTGAACAATAAAACAGGATAGAAACACCAGAAATAAACCCAGCCATTTATAGTCAATTCATTTTTGACAAAGGTACCAAAAACTCACAATAGAGAAGGGACAGCCTCTTCAATGAATAATATTGAGACAACTGAATATCCACAAACAGAAGATTATAATTAGATGCTTAGTTAATACCATACACAAAAATCAACTTAAAAATGGATTAAAGATTAAATAGACTAAAGACATGAAACTATAAAGCAACTAGAAGAACACATAATGGAAATCTCCGTAACATTGGTCTGGGCAGTGATTTTTTAGATATGACCCCAAAAGCACAGGCAACAAAATAAAAAATAAACAAATAGGATTACATCAAACTAAAGAGCTTCTGCAGAGCAAAGGAAACAGTAGTGTGAAGAAACATTGCATGGACTGGGAGAAAATATGTGCCAACCATATATCTGATAAGGGGCTAATATTCAAAATATTTAAGGAACTCAAACAACTCAATGGCAAGAAAACAAATAACCCAGTCCAAAAAAAATGGGCAATGGACCTAAATAGACACTTCTCAAAAGAAGACATACAAATGGCCAACAGATATATGAAAAAATGTTTATTATCCTAATCATTAGAGAAACGCAAATTAAAACCCCAATGAGATATCATCTTATACCTGTAAGAATGGCTATTAACAAAAAGACAAAAGATAACATGTTGACAAGGGTGTGGAGAAAAAGGAACTGTTGATGGGAATTTAAATTATTATAGCCATTATGGAAAACAATTTGGAGACTCCTTAAAAAAAAAAAAAAAAAAAAAAAACAAAGATAGAACTAGCATAAGACCCAGCAATTCCACTTGGTATATATCTAAAAGAAATGAAATAAATATATCAAAGAGATATCTGCACTATCATGCCTATTGCAGCATTATTCACAATAGCTAGGATGTGAATCAACCTAAGTGTCAATCAGTGGGTTAATGGATAAAGAAAATTGTGTGTGTGTGTGTGTGTGTGTGTGTATGTATGTATACACATTTTCTTTATCACTTAAGTATATACACACAACAGACACATAGCCTTAACCTGGAGGATATTATGCTAAGTGAAATAAGCCAGACACAGAAAGACAAATACTGAGTTTTACTTATATGTGGAATCTTAAAAAGTTGAATTCATAGACGTATAGAGTAGAATGATGACTATCAGAAGCTGGGGTGGGACATGAATGAGGAAAAGGAGATGTTGGTCAAAAGGTATAAAATTTAATTTAGATCGGAGGAATAAGCTTTAGTGATCTATTGCACAGAATAGTGACCATAATCAATAATAATGTATTATATATTGCAAAATTGCTAAAAGATTAGGTTTAAATGTTTTCATCACAAAAAAAGATAAGTTATATGAGGTGATGAATTTTCTAATTAGCTCAATTTAATCATTCTACATTGTAAATATATATCAAAATATCACAATATATCACCCCTACAAACATATACAATTACTATTTGTCAACTTAAAAGGTTTAAAAAGGAACAACTACAAAGCTACAATAATTAACACAGCATAGTATTGGTGAAAAGACAGAAAAATAGATCAATACAGCAGAATAGAGAGCCCAGAAATAGACTCATGCAAATGTTGCCAACTGATCCTTGACAAAGAAGCAAAGGCAGTTCAGTGAAGAAAGGACAGACTTTTCAACAAATGGTCCACATGCAAAAAAAAAAAAAAAATTCTAACAGATCTTACACCTTTCACAGAAATTAAATAAAAATAAATCGTAGACAGACATGTAAATTGCATAACTGTAAAACTTCTAGAAGATAACATAAGAGGGAAAAACGTACATGACTTTAGTTTTAGCAATGTGTTTAGATATAATACCAAAAGTACAATTCATGAAAGAAAAAAATTGATAACTTGGATTTTATTAAAATTAAAAACTACTTTCAGAAAAAACCTTTTTATACATCTGTGGTTTTATTGAGGGATCTCCATACTGTTTTCCAAAAGACACAATAAAGATAATAGAAAGACAAGCCACAGACAGGGAGAAAATATTTGCAGAATATGTGTTTGGTAAAGCATTTGTATCCAAAGTACACAAAGAAATCTTAAAACTCAACAATAAGAAAACAACTAACCAAGGAAATGGGAAAAAGGTCTGAACAGACATCTCACCAAAAACAATATACAATCTGAGTCATAGCACCAAACATATATATATATATTATGTGCGTGTGTGTCTGTGTGTGTAGACGGTAAGTAAGCATATGAAAATACACGGAACATCATCTGTCATTAAAGAACTGCAGTACCAAATGCTGGCAAGGATGCAGAGAAACAGGAACTTTCATTCATTGCTGGTGGAAATGTGAAATGGTACAGCCACTTTGGAAAACAGTGTCACTTACAAAATATAACCACATGTACTAGCAATCATATTCCTTGGTATTTATCCAATTCAGTTAAAAACTAATTTCCACACTGTAACCTGAACATGAATATTTATATCAGCATTATTCATATTTGTCAAACCTTAGAAACAACCAAGATATCCTAGGTGAACATTTAAACAAACTGTGGTACAAAAATAGAGTGAAGTATTATTCAATGCTAAAAAGAAATGAGCAGCCAAACCTCAAAAAGATGTGCAGGGACCCTTACATACATACGGCTAAGTGAAAGGAGGCAGCCAGAAAAGGCTGTATACTGCATCTTCTCAAGTATATCACATTCTGGTATAGGTGAAAATACAGGCAGAAAAAAGATCAGTGGTTCCCAGGAGTTCAGAAAGAGGGAGAGACGGACGGATATATGGAACACAGGAGATATTTAGGGCAGTGAAACTATTCAATATGATACTGTAACAATGGATACATAACATTATTGTTTGTCAAAATTCCTTGAACTGTACAACACAAACGGTGAATCCTCATGTAAATTATGGACTTCGGTTAATAATAATATATTAATATTGGCTCATCAATTGCAATAAATGTACCCCACTCATGCAAGATGCTACTAATAGAGGAAACTGAGTGATGTTAGGTTTTATGAGAACTTGCCATACTTTTCATTCAGTTTTTCTGTAAACCCAAAACTGCTCTAAAAATAAGGTCTACCAATTTAAAAGTTCAGTCATAATCTCTTTAATCCTAACTATGAGGGAGTAAGATAGAAGTTGTCTATTCTAAGCCTTCTGTGCTTGTCTTAATAATGGAATCCTACAAAGATAGTACAAGGTAACTCTACGATTCAATCATTGTTGCATTAAGCTAGGATATATTTACTCATGCTTAGCAAAGTGATGTGAATGTGTCTGTACATGTGGTCGTGTATGGCATGTCCATGATTTTTCTAAACATTCAAAATGGTGTTTAAAAAATTTGACTATGAACATGAATGAAAATAAACAGGTAGAAAATTAAAGAGTGTAACATTTAAAATTAGTTGGTAGGTGATATGGTTTGGCTCTGTCACCAGCCAAGTCTCATTGAATTGTAGTTCCCATAATCCCCATGTGTCATGGGAGGGACCTGGTGGGGGGGGGGTAATTTAATCACGAGAGCGGTTACACTCATGCTGTTCTCATGATAGTGACTGAGATCTCACAAGATCTGATGGTCTTCTAAGGGGCTTTTCTCCAGCTTCACTCTGCACTTCTCCTTGTTGCTGCCATGAGAAGGACGTGTTTGCTTCCCCTTGTGCCATGATTGTAAGTTTCCTGAGGCCTCCCAGCCATGCTGAACTGTTAGTCAATTAAACCTCTTTCCTTTATAAATTACCCAGTCTCGGGTATGTCTTTATTAGCAGCGTGAGAATGGACTAATACATTTAGGAGACAGTGAATTTAAAGGATGCAATACATTTTTGTGTTCTAAAATTGCTTCAGGTGTATTCCCTTTTTGTCTATGTCCCTAGTATAATCCTTAACCTTCTTTCAGTGAATTTTCAGTCTGCATCTTCCTACCCAAATGTGTTCCTGCTCCCACTTTTGGCAGGAGAAATGGACCACCAACATCAGGAGGAGATGCACTGCCAGAGATGTGATGTTTTACCTTTGCTATGAAAATTGCATTTCTGCTTGTTTTAAAAACACACCAAGCCATTACTTGAGTTTTAAAAATCTGCCAATATCCTTGGCATAGTAAGGATGCCCCAAATTAATGCTGATTCGCTTTTGGACAGCAAATGAACCCATCTGTTTTAATGAAAGGGGAAAAAAATTTCCCTCTTACTGGCCACATAGAACCAGAAATACTGACTGCAGTATCAGGGAATGGTTACTGTCCTTCCAAGAGTATTTACTTTTAAGGTTCATTTGTTAGATCTATTCGGTGAAAACACAGCATCAAGGCTGACAGAAACCTGGATCATATGAGATACGCCGTTCAAAGAATGAGACTCTGCTCGTCCCCTTAGTTATTTGTTAATATCTTCACTATTTCTCATGAAAATCTTGGAATTTGTGTAAGGCCTGTCTTTAAATATTGACAAAGATAATTGGTAGCAACATAAGTGCTGCATAAAATAGCATTTTGTCATTCATAATTTTATTTTAAGATACTTCGTGGTGATACCTCTGAGTTGATGTATATCTAGATAATTTTTAATTTAAATTAATGCAATAAAAATAATTTATGCAGATGGCATCATTTCAAAATATTTTACCTTATCACTTTCTTGGCTCTATGGTATATAAGATATTGATAATACAAAATTATCTTGCATATTATGAAAAGGGAAACTGGAGCAAAATACAATAAAGTGAGAATAAAGAGAACAAATTTGATACTACAGTAAAATAAATCTCAGCTTTCCCGATAAGTTAACCTGAACTCTTTATCTCTTTCCTTATCTATTTATTGGCCTAAAATGTCGTTCTTTTTATTGTACATTTTCTTATCAGAGGGAAGACACTGGATCAAGAATTGTATTAATATCCTAATAATTAAGGAAAAAATTCTGGTGTTTGTTTTCTTTTGGTGGGATTCTCTTCCTAAATGAACCAGATAATTAATTTTGTTCTCCAGAATAGAAAATTGCCCTGATTAGACTAAGTTCAAATGGAATTCACTGCTAAGGTTAATTAATTCTAGTCCCCTGGCTACATTTATAACTAATGTATCTATATAGTGGTCAACATTTAAAAGATTGCTGTTTGCAATTATGTTAAGGAGGGTGAACTATTTTAATATTGGTTTTCATGTCTGAGAGATAGAAAGATATACAGGGCTTTCCACTGCAAACTGTAAATCAATGCTAAGATTTCCACAGATTGCCTTGGATTAGAAATTTACGTGTGTACCCTCTGCCTCCACCCCAGCTCCAACAGGGTGGGTTTCTTGTGGGCAGGGACCTTGTTTGATTTACCACTGTATCCTCTGTGTGCCTAGCACAATTCCAGGATGAGAGAAACCTTCACTGAGTCTTGCTGAATGAATAGGAAAAATGGGCCACCCTATGAATAAAATCAGAGTTAAACGCAGGGTTTTATACTGAATCCTTTTCCCCCCACCAAAAAAAAAAAATCTGTTTCCTTAACCTGTATCTGTATGCCCTGATCAGTCTGTAATCCACGACTCCGGTTCCCATCTCCTCCTGCCACCTTCCTGTTCCTCAGTTTCCCTCACTTTCTTTTTGTCTTTGATACTCCCTTCTCTTCTGTCTCTTTCTTGTAAGGTTTAGACATGTCTATCTTCAAACAAATAAAGTCCAAAGTCCTCTTTTGACCTTTATCCGTCTTGATGAGTTTCGGCATCTTGGAAGCATTGTCCTCACCTCATGTCTCCACCTTATCTTCTGTAGCGATGACTCCTCAATCTAGGGCACTCTGGTGTCCACTGAAATTTCTCGGGCCACAGTCTCAGGAGACTCTTTGGTGCCAAATCAAGAAGACTTCCTACATGGACTCTGAATCACCTGCTGCCCTCAGCCAGGTCCTCTTTCTTTACCGCTGGCTCCTGGACTTTAACACCACTTACTATGTTAATTTTCCTCCTACTCATCTGAGTATTCTCCATTCTTCTTGTCAGGCTTGTCACTACTTAAATCTTGGAAGCCCAAGACTTGTTCTTGTATTTGTCTTATTACTCTCAGAAAACTTTCCTTGAGATATGGGGGAG
This sequence comes from Homo sapiens, assembly GCF_000001405.40. Lineage (NCBI taxonomy): Eukaryota > Metazoa > Chordata > Mammalia > Primates > Hominidae > Homo > Homo sapiens. The sequence goes on along the minus strand of NC_000018.10, from coordinate 4,213,717 downwards.
GTCCCCATTGTCTTCTGCAGCTATTTGACACTGTTAATGCATATATCTCTATAGCCTCCACTGAAATATCTCCCCTGATCTTCAATGGGTACCATTTCTACTAAAATTTCCCATTGACATTTCTGATATAAAATGTCCAAGTTTGATCTCATTGTGTCCCAAGGTTAAACCTGCTATTCTTCCAGAGTTCTACATCTCTGAGTGGCACCATATCTGCCCAGAGACCCCAGTTAAAGTTTGGAAATAATCTTCTCCTAATTAACTCTCAAGCTAGTGGGTTTTATACTCTTGCTGTCACTCCAATGCATCTACTCCTTTCCATTCTTCCTCCTGACTCGATGTTACTTCAGGGGTCAACTTGGCATCATTTCTTGCCTCAGTTTCTGCCATGCTCCTCCAACTGGTTCCCTCAAATCATTTCCCAAGAGAATCTCCATGTGAAGCTGATCATATCACTTTGCTCCTCCAAACCCTTCAATGGTTCTCTTCGCCCTCAGAGTAAAGATGAAATCCCTTGGTACCAACTCTCATGTTTTTGCCCCAATTTGCTTTGGCATCTGCTTCAAGGAACGGCAGAGACTGTATCTCATTAATCTTTATACCTTCAAAGTCTAATTTCATGCTTTGTACTTAATCCCCAAAACCTGTTTGCTCAATTAATAAGCAAACAAATGAAAGTAATAAGTACTATAATTATGCTTTAATATGTGAGAAAGTACCTTATGAAATGATGTAAATATAATTTATTTGCCACTTTATTATCTGTAGATTGTTGGTACATCTTTAGATGACAGAATCTCTTATTTATGACAAATTTAATTGTTCATATAATAATACCAATTTATCAGGCCTTCCTGAAACATTTTTTGAATGATTAAAATTGGTAAATTATAATAAATATGATTTATGTGATGGGATATTTTTATACTGTGTAAAAATTTATAATCTATGTGACGTATATTGATTCCCAATTAACCAGAATATTTGTATTATGAGGGATATTATGAAAAGTATACCAATTAAGCTATTTAATTTTCATAAAGGACCTATGATGAGGTATCATTATTATCCTTTTTTTTTTTTTTTTGAGATGGAGTCTCCCTCTGTCACCCAGGCTGGAGTGCAGCAGTGCAGTCTCCTGCCTCAGCCTCCCAAGTAGCTGGGATTACAGGCACGCACCACCACACCTGGATTTTTTTTTTTTTTTTAACTTTAGTAGAGACATGGTTTCACCATGTTGGCCAGGCTGCTCTCAAACTCTTGACCTCAAGTGATCCACCCACCTCAGCCTCCCAAATTGCTGAGATTACAGGTGTGAGCCAGTGCGCCCTTTTAAAAATTAAATCACCTTATTTCCTTTTCCTGCATTTCCAGATTACTAGCAGAATCTGTCAGTTTGGGAATAAGCGACATATATGGTATGTTTTAAGGACTAGATAGCTCTGGCAGTACCTATAGTCCAGCAGGACTCATCTCAAAGTCATTGAGTTTGATGACATTTGGAGTTCAGTGTCCTTTGCCCTGCCTGTCAGTGCTATGCATTGGGCAACAACCTGCCTGCCTTCCTTCCTGTCACAGAGTTAAGTAATGTACAATTTGACCTGTGTAGATTCTAAAACTGCAGGAAAAATGTATTTCTATTGGGAATACCTGTTTCTGCAAAAAGAAACTGTATGTATGAAGTGTGGTAAATGCATACATTTTCAAAAACGCATACAAAACACAGACATGTTTGTATTTTTAAAAAGTTTCTTGGGACTGCTGAACATATGAAAAGCTGCTTGCATTCTCTCCTGAATTTGGCAAACAAGCTGCAAAAGAATGGTCAAAAAAAGGAGAAGGGGTGAAGAATGAAGCTAAAATCTAATTCAGAAAATCTTCATTACTACAGTGACTTTTGTTGACATCACAAGAATAGCACCTGTCACTTGCCTGTAGTGATTCATTCATTTTACATAGGGGTGTACTGCTTTATCCTTGTCTCGAGAGACTAAGGAAAATGCTGACCATTGTTTCTCTGTGGAAGCTAATTGAGTGATTGCTGATCTTTCTGGGTGAAATGCAGGGAATCATGACTCACCATCAAACCCTTTCATTAGGATCTGTGCTCATATGTACTCGTCTTATTGGAGAGTCCCTAGGATATTCCACTGAGGAAACATTTAAAGGCAGAGGTCTCACTGGGCTCTAATACAACATCAATTGGTATCACTCTCTGTCATTTGGAAAGATTAGGTCTAATGCCTTCCAGATTCAAACTAAGGACCTACCAAAAATGGTAATTAAACAATCTCCCTTGATAACCCTTTCTAACATTTACTAATGAAAAGAGTTCATACATATTCAGCCCAAGTCAGTAACACTATCATGTTGGTCCATCATTTTTCTTCTGTACTTAGGCGTTATGAAGAACAGGTGTTTATCATTCTCTACAAGCTGCTCGTGATTCATGCCATTAGTAACTCAACCCTCAACATAAAACCCCCCAGCCATCTGCAGATTCATTGTCATCACAGGCCTGGAAATCTGTTAGTTCTGTAGGTTTGCTGTGATCTTAATGCGGTAAACCAGGTGGCTACATTGTGCAGTGTGGACCCATCTCATTCTCGAGCTTCAGAACTCAGGTTGAGAAAACTAGTTTCTACCTTTAACTTCAAAAAGGTAGTATAAGTAGATAAAGCTACATTGTTCTCTTTGAATTTTATTCTTCAAACTTATGGGTAATTATTTTGCCTCTTTAGAGCTAATGCTGTGAACCCTGACCTCAAGGTCAGGAGACAGGAATTTTAGTCCTAGCTCACCGACCTGCACAATGTCACTGAACCTCTCCTGGGCTTCAGCTTCCTTACATGTAAACGAAAGGGTTAAACTAGATGAGACGTTCTCTTTACACATCAGTATTGTCTGAAGAGTTGTAATAGATCTTTAGTCTCCATCCAGACATAATACAGTCTTCTGGGATTGGAATCAGGAATCTTCTAAATTTTGGTTTTTATATAGCTGTTCTCTATCTGGAAGCCACTGCTGCAGATAAACTTTATGTTCACTCCATCCCTGCCATTTCTATTCTCCGAGAGGCCATCGTCCTCTTTCATCTGCAGAGTTTTCCATTCCTCTTGCTCATTTTCCCCAGAGACATCATGTATATAGTAAATATTGAATCAATCAAGGCAGTAAGAATCATGTGAAAAAGTCTGTTCCACTGGAATCGTCTTTTCCTTTTCCTAGCTCAGCATAAATGAGGCATTAATGATAACTCTTGAGTCTACTTTTCCGATCAGTAGTGTCCCAATCAACAAAAAGATATCCAAGACTCTCTATGAGCTGAGTACATTTCCACCTTCATCTCCCATCACTCTCTGTTTAGAACTTAATATTTCTGATTATTATATAATGCCTCTTCCATTCATGTATTCATTCATTTATTCATCAGATACTACACAACACCTTTTAATGACCATACTCTTGATAGGGGAGTGAATTTGATAGTGAATATAACTGGTGCCACCCTTCAGGGAGCTAACAGGCCAGGGAAGGACTCAGACAATGAATTGACTTTTTAAAATTACAATTCATGAGAGAGGACGTGGAGCATTCCATGGGAACAAATGGAAGGTGTAATTCACCCATTCTGTGTGGTTAGGGGAAGTTTCTAAGGATGTGAATTTTAAACCCAAACAGAACTGCTAAAGATAATTTAAGCTGAATTAGGGCATGTTCAAGTCCCATGAAAAACCATATAATGGCTCAGGAAGAGAAGTATTATTGGAGTAGAGTGGAAGTCAGATTGCAATGAACGAAGGAGTAGGCGGCAGGCCAGGAAATACAGATATTGAATATTTTGTGTCCTTGCTTTGGCTTTTCTATTATTTCTGCTATGCCTTATCTTCCAAGAGGGCAAGAACTGTGTCTTTCTTATACACTATTATATTCACTCCACCTAACATAGATCTTGGCACCAATTTGTACCCCCCAAAATTTTGTATGATGAATTAACCTTTATAAATGATAGTTAAAATTCAAACACGTATTAAGTAATGTAGTATCCTGCTTTATAGTATATTTGTTTATACATGTTCTTGTTCCCCTCAAAAGGATTTACATTTGATATAAACAAATTAAATATATTTAAATATGAGGCCTATGATCTCCTTTAATTTTACTAAATTAAAACAGGAGAGTATATACCTCAAATGCGTGATAGCTGTATCCGTTTCAATGACTCAAACAATAAGTTGAAAGACTTATTAAAATGAGTATTTTGAAACACTAATCAAGGTAAATCTGCTTATCAGATATTCAGGATTGAAAGAGCAGGCTTTGACTCGTACATATATAACTTGCTACTGTCCATTAAGTGAAAATGGTGTTTCTCTTTATGGCCCTTTTGTCTTCTGGAAAGAGTAACTTCAGTTTGTCTCTTTTGGCCTCTTTGCATGGCTCCAGTTCAGTCTTCCTGGCAGCTCTCAGGCTGCCTGGTGGAGAATCACCACCGCCATAACCCCAATCCTTGCTTCTCCAGCACCACAGTGAAAGGAGTCTCAGGTCCCCTGCCTTCTGTTGCTGGTAGATGTAGAAGCTACATTATTCCCACATGAGCCTCACCCTCAGCACCATCAGTTGACTCTTAAGGAGTCACCCTCCCTCCCTTCTTTTTAATGAAGGGAGCAGCTTTCCACCCGGCCTCACCTGAGGACAGTTACCGTTATTTACTTCTTTTCCCACTACTTGAAAATTTAATTGCCACTGACAGTGGTTGTGGTCACGTGGGAGCTCTCTCTGCTTTCTGCAGGTAATGAGTTCTCTGCCTATTATAGCTGCCATTTTGTCTTCCATTTGAGTGCATGTCTAGGTAGTTAAATAGTTGGCTTGTTCCCACAGCTCTCATTCATTCTCTCTCTCTCCACCCCCCCAACCTCTCCTTCTCCCTTTTCCTCTCTCCCTCTCTCTTTCTCCCTCTCCCTCTGTTCTTTCTCTTTCTCTCTCTCTTTTTCTCTCTGTCACCCTCTTGGTGTTGGTGAGAGAGGGAGCATCTTAAATACTTTGAGTCAAAAGCTGGTGAAAATAAAAATTTATTTCTTGGCTCAAGACCCATTTAGCCATCTTTCCCTATTGCGAAACTCCCAAACTACAGTCAGCATCTTCCCACTCTCATTGTTCCATTCACTCTAAATTTCAACAACATATGTTACTGGCATAATGGAAATAGATCAAAATGAGTTCCCAACTCCACCTATGGCTCAGACTCCAGCATTAAATTAGTCAAGTCATTGGGCTTTGCATTGGTTCAAAGAGTGTTTTAATGTGTGTAAAAGAAAAACAGATCATAATTACATTTGCTGTTTCCTATTATTTCATGCAAATTTATGGTATTTCAAGTATATTGTGTATCAAATTTGCTTTTATGAGCTGGTCTGGAAACAATTACAATTTATAATATTTTTTCTATGGAAATTATTTTAGATGTTCCAAACACAAAATTTACAAGTGAACTTCCAAAACACAACCTGCTCCTAAGGTGGAGGCAGCCTGTACAGGAGATCTTAATGGCAGAGATTTTATGTTTTATTTCCTCTCTGATTGTTGTATCAAGAATAGAGCAATTTTCATTTTTAAACTTAATTGTGTAGAAATTTTCTCCGTGCAGCTGTACTTTCACTGAAAGTGAAAAATATTATACAGATGAGGATTCTTAGGGTGAGGTAACATTGTAAGTATTTGAACTAAAATGGACACCTGGTATCATTTAGAAGAAGTAACAGGTTCATTATTTCAAAAAAATGCGGATGATTTCTAGTAGATAATACAATATGAGGCATTTATTCTGCTCCACACACATAAATGATTTTTTAATAGGGGAAAAAAGAAAGCTTAAAAGACAGACCTAGAATTCAAACCAAGATAAACACATTCCTGGACAGAAATACAAATCTGGGATTTGGGTCCCCAAACAGGCAGTGGTGGATAGCAGTTTGGCTCTTTGGTGGTTAGCTGGACTAAAAGCAGCTCATGTGGAGAAGCGGGTGGATCCAGAGGCAGATCTGTGTTTGGCCTCTCCCAAGGCTGCAGAAGCTGCTCCCAAACCCTCCCAGAAGTCAAGATACCTGTGAAGCTACATGAATAGGGGGCCAAGCTGAGCCACACCGCAGGTGGGCTTGTGACTACCTCAGATGGTAAATTCCGTTGAAGCCTTTGGGATTCAAATTAGATGTTATCTTCTTTGCGGTCTGCATTCTTGCCTCTTAATATGGTTTTTCTGTGTCCCCACCCAAATCGCATCTTGAATTGTAGTTCCGGTAATCCCCAGGTGTCATGGGAGAGACCAGGTGGAGATAATTGAATCATGGGGACATTTTCCCTCATCCTGTTCTTGTGGTAGTAAGTACTCACAAGAGCTAATGGTTTTATAAGGGGCTTCCCCCTCTGCTTGGCTGTCATTCTTCTTCTCCCTGCCACCATGTGAGGGATGTGTTTGCTTCACCTTTCGCCATTGTTGTAAGTTCCCTGAGGCCTCCACAGCCATGCTGACCTGTGAGTCAATTAAACCTCTTTCCTTTATAAATTACCCAGTCTCAGGTATGTCTTTATTAGCAGCGTGAGAACAGACTAATACACCTCCTTTTCTTCTATGATGATGGAAGAGTGGTCTTTCCTCCACCTCAGTGCTTACCCACCATCTGCAATTGGATCCCATCGCCTCCAGCTTCTTATGAGACTTACCAACAATCCTTTCTCTTCTGTAACTTCAATGTCTTGGTCTTTACTATCTCTTTTACATTAATATTTAAACATATTCAATTGCTCCCCATCCTAAAGAAATTCTCTCAGCTTCATGTCTTCCTCCATCATTAATCTGTTGTATTGCATGCCTTTTGTGACTTCATTTTTGCAAACCAGGGAATGAATGGGGATGGCTTTCTGTGAAACAAGCAGGAAATTGATGGAGATGAATGAAGGTAACAGAATTTAGAAGTGGAGGGTACCTCTATTTTCTTTGTGATGTGGAAGACTTAGTCAAAAGTGAAAGAGAGGTGAAGGGGCATAAAGAAGGAGGAAATAGAACACTATGGCTTTTAACTGTCGTATGCAAGGAATTCCCTTATCTGACAGTAGGCAGAGCCATGCATGCTGATGTGGGCCCTCTCCAAACTAGTGTAAAGACTGGAAGACACGGTTTCTTTATCCTGGCCTGAGGAGTTTTCCCTCCCATGGGCATCACTGACCCTCAGATCTTGGAACTAGGGTGACATCAGGGAAGAGCAGCCACTTCCCGGTGCCCTCAGCTGGCATAGTTCCTTTGCACTGCTTGTTTGCAGGTTTGGTAGCAAAATGGAGTGAAAAAGCCTTAAACCCAGACTCAGTCATTTTTGCAAACTTCAACCTCAACTCTCCTTTCTTGTTTAACCTAGCTTAAAAACTTCCGGAATCATGAGAAACTCACAATGCTTGTTTGGGGCAGTTGAGAAAGGAAGTGGATTGTAAAGGAAAAGGACTGGAAATTACTTTTGAGACCTATTCACTTAAAGCTCCTCTTTAAGTCCCTAAGTCCCAGGCACCTCCAACCCAACAGGTCAAAAAATAAACTAATCTCCTTTCTCCAGTCCACTATAATTTCCTCTAGTGTCTTCCCGTCAAAGTGTTACCATCCACCCAGGCATCTATACCAGATACTTAGCAAAGCCCTCTCAGTTCTATCCCTGGAAATCTTCTGAAATAGGCAACTCTCTCCACCTCCCCATAGTTAAAGTTTCAGGTGAATCGCTAAACAGTTTCCTTCTCACCGGCCCTCTACCCCCACGCCCATCCTTCACACTACATGAGTTACTTCTTTCATCAAGCACAGTTTTCATCAAGTCAATCTCTTACTTTACAATTAGCGATTGTATGTGGCTTCTCCTTATTTAAGCAGCACTGTCTATTAGTATTTGGGGTGAAATGGAAACATTCTCTGTGTTATCCATTATGATAGCCATGAGTCACATGTGGCTATTGAGCACTTGAAATGTGGCTAGTGCCTCTGAGGAACTGAATTGGTGTATTTATTTTTCATTGACATTTAAGGCTGGGCATGGTGGCTCATGCCTATAATCCCAGCAGTTTGGGAGGCTAAGGCCAGAGGATCACTGAAGCCCAGGAATTTGACTTTACTGTGAACTGTGATCACACCACTGCATGCTGGCCTGCGTGACAGAATGAGACCCTGTCTCAAAAAGAGAAAGGAAAGAAAGAAATGTAAATGGCCACAGGTAGATAGTGGCTATCATATCAGATAGTGCAGGTCCAAAGGATACAATCTACAATCATTGGCATAACCTGCAAGATCCTTCACAGACCAACCATAGCTTCTCATCGCCCCCTCCTATCCCATCCACTTAGTGCCATATGCCGTAGACACACACCACCATGGCACCCCTTCAGATCTCCTAAAGGACCACTTGTTCTCACCTACTGTGTATGTGTGCTGGTTTGTATGTGGTTTTTTCTGATACTACTCTTTCTCCTCTTAACCTCCCGAGAACATCTACAAATCCTGAAAGGCCATGTTCACATGTGACTTCTGAAAAGCTTCCTATTACCTCCTCAGGCATCTGTCAACATGCTTTTCAGGGTTCCCACAGCAACTTGTATATTCTGCACTGAAGCACTGAAAGTACTCCCTGGTAATTATTTGTTTTCTTGTCTGTTATCTTTAATCTTAATTTTCCCCTTAAGCAATCAGTTAGAAAGCAGATTTCAAAATTATTATGTATGATGGATAGTTAATATGTTGGGGGGAAGAAGAGTCAAGCCAAAGTTCAAATGGATTATGAAAGAAAACAAACCACAAAAAAAAAAAAAAATTGGGAAAAGGCTCACCTCAGTTACCACCACTGAATACTTCCGTGCATATAAGTCTTTTGAGGGAACTTAAGGAAAGGAATTGACTTTGACCTTCATGGAACATCCAACATGTCCCTTTACAATTCTAAACTGAATTTTTTTTACCTCTTACTTCATCTACATTTCAAATGTATTCCTGTTTGATGTCAAACCTCTTAAAACTAATTAAGTAATAGATTTTTCAATTGAGCACACCATATATCTTTCAAGGTTAAGCAAGAATAAAACACTTTGCCTGGATTTTCCACTGTGAAATTGATGGTGAGGAGGGAGGGTGTTTTTAATGTGATGCACTGCGGTCAGAAAAAAAAACAAAAACAAAAAAAAAACCACAACAGTCCTGTCAGTTAAAACTGCTAGATACAGCCATCCTTATGAATGTTTTATAATCATTGTAAAAGATCAAAGTGAATTAATGATATTTTTGAAATTTCCTGAGAAAATGACTTCCTGCCCATTGAGTTGTCTTGGCAAGATTCCCACCTTTTGAGCTTACTGGAGAATGAAAAGAATAACAACCTTCTTGTCCTGATTTTATGGAAAGCGAAGCAATCTGCTGTGTTTTTGAGGCTGCTGTTAGTACCATTTTTTAAAAAGAAGATTATCTTAAAAGAGTTTGCTCCTTAGTACCTATTCAAACTCTTCTAGTTTTATTGACACTATTATGTACAGACAGTTGAAAGAATTATGGCGATTAAGCCGAGTTAAATATTATAGAAGATGAATGCATAATGACTGGGTTTCTGTTACTTCCTATTTTCACAATGAAGAGTTTTGTAGTCAACCAGATTTAAAATTATGGACCATGTGTTATTTGACAGTCAAATCTAGAAGCATGGTAAATCCTAAGCTTCTTGTGTTTGCGGAGATGCTACCAGGAAAGCATTTTGAAAAACAGCTGAAGCATTAATTCAGTGCCTCCTCTTCTGAGTTCTTTCTGACCTCCTCGGGCTGAGTAGGAAGCTGCTCTTCTGTGCCTCAAAGCACCCTGTGTTCATATACATTTATTACTGAACTTACTGAGTTGTGCTGTAATTAGATGTGTATATTTCTGCATTTCCACTGACCTATGAACTTCCAAAGCCAAGTACCATGTTGTATTAGTCATCATTGTGTTCCCCTGAGCCTAGCATGTTACCATGAACCAGAGAGGCCCTCAGGAAATGTTTCAGGGAGGGAGAAAAGGAAGAAAGAGTGGTTGTTTTCTGGGCCTGACTGAGTCAGAGCATGTTCTCAGGAAGTTTTATGAGATCTAAAAGCTTAAATGCCCCTACGTTTTAAGATACCTTAAAGCTAAAACATGTGTCAAAGTAGAAGCCCAAATAAAAGCTCATGGCAAACAAAATTGTGTTTTTAAAAGATTAATTGATATCTGCTTCTATATTAAAGATTTGAAAAATGGAACTCGATTCTACCCGTTCTTAAAATATTTCCTCATGACAAATGTGGGCCCTTAGAAAATATTTAATGAATATTTCAAGGATGCATTCTTGCAACTAGAGAGTATTTTATACTATATTTATGCTTTAAAATAACACACTTTTATAAGAGTATCTTTTTTTTTTTTTTTTTAATCTCTCTGTTGCCCAGGCTGGAGTGCAGTGGCGCGATCTCATCTCACTGCAACCTCCGCCTCCCGGGTTCAAGCAAGTCTCCTGCCTCAGCCTCTCAAGTAGCTGGGACTACAGGCACCCGCCACCACGCCCAGCTAATTTTTTGTATTTTTAGTAGAGACAGGTTTCATCATGATGGCCAGGCTGGTCTCGAACTCCTGACCTTAGATATCTGCCCACCTCTGCCTCCCAAAGTGCTAGGATTACAGGCATGAGCCATGGCACCTGGCCAAGAGTATCATATTTTAATCAGGTGATTTAAGGACTAATTCAGAGAGAAAATCTGCCTGTGTTTATCTGTACTTCCTAGAATGTAACATGATTTAAATTATCATTTTACTGTCAAAAGATATTTATTTAGTGTAGAATGTTTATTTTGGAATAATATAGGATAAAACTTTCTAGTCAGAAGTGGTAAAATCTTATTGTAAAACCACTCCTGTCTTCCTTCTGCCAGAAAAAGAGTAAAATTATAAAATACCATGAATTTTGTTAAACATTCCTGAATCCATGTAGATTGAAAAAACTGAGAGTGAATAGTTGCTGACATTAGTGTAATGTTGCATCTTTTACTTTTCATTAATATCAAGTACAAAATCCATACTTGATTTTTTTCTTTTAAATGTTTAGAAATATTCCTGGCTTGCCATAATGTGTTGGTTTTATCACTGTTGATTTCAACTAGCTTTGATCTTTCTATTGGATATAGTCTATCTTTCTAATCAAAACATTTTTATTTCAATAGTTTTAGGGGTACAAGGGGTTTTGGGTTACTTGAATGAATTGAATAGTGGTGAAGTCTGGCCATTTACCCATTATGCAAGTAGTGTACATTGTACCCAACAGGTAATTTTGGAATCTCCCTTCCTCATTCTGAGGCTCCAGTGTCCATTATACCACTATGTATTCCTCTTTGTACCCATAGTTTAGCTCACACCTATAAGTGAGAACATACAGTATTTGTTTTTCCATTCCTGAGTTACTTCACTTAGGAAAATGGACTCCAGTTTTATCCAAGTTCCTGCAAAAAACATTCTTTTATTCTTTTTATGGCTGAATAGTATCCTATGGTGTGTGTGTGTGTGCGTATGTATACACACACACACGCACACACCACAGTTTCTATATCTACTAATCACTTAATGGGCACTTCGGTTGATTTCATATTTTTGCAATTATGAATTATGCTGCAATAAACATAAAAGCTCAGGGGTCTCTGACATAATGACTTATTTTCCTTTGAGTAGATACTCAGTAGTGGAGTTGCTGGATCAAATGGTAGATCTACTTTCCGTTTTTTGAGAAATCTTTTATACTGTTTTCCTTAGAGGTTGTACTAATTTACATTCCCCTAATAGTATATAACTGTTCGCTTTTCATTGCATCCATGCCAACATCTATTGGTTTTTGACTTTTTAATAATGGCCATTTTGACTGGGGTAAAGTGGTATCTCATTGTGACTTTAATTTGGATTTTCCTGATGGTTAGTGATGTTGAGCATGTTTTCATATGTTTTTTGGCCATTTGTATAATCTTCTTTTGAGAAATGTCTGTTCACATCTTTTCCATAGTTTTTAATGGTATTCTTTGTTTTTTTTCTTGGTGATTTGTTTGAAAGCCCAAGTAGCCAAAGCAATCCTAAGCAAAAAGAACAAAGTTGGAGGTATCCCATTACCCAACTTCAAATTATATTACAAGGATATAGTTACCAAAACAGTGTGGTGCAGGTACAAAAATAGACACACAGACCAATGGAACAGAATAGAGAACCCAGAAATAAAGCCAAATACCTACAACCAACTGATCTTCAACAAAGCTGAAAAAATCATACATTGGGGAAAGGACCCCCTATTCAATAAACGGTGCTGGAAAAATTGGATAGCCACATGTGGAAGAATAAAACTGCATCCCTATTTCTCAACATATACAAAACTAACTGAAGATGGATTAAAGACCTAAAATCATAAAAACTTCTGGAGGAAAAACTCTTCTGGACATTGGCCTAGGCAAAGAATTTGTGAGTAAATCCCAAAAGCAAATGCCTCAAAAGCAAGAATAAATAAACGGGACTGAACTAAACTAAAAAGCTTCTGAACAACAAAAAAAAGTCGTCAACAGAAAGACAACCTATAGAATGGAAGAAGGTATTTGCAAAGCATACATCTGACAAGGGACTAATATCTAGAATCTAATCAAATTTTACCTAAAGTCTAGTGGAGGAGTTGAGCAGAGCAGATTCTCATTACAATGTTGTGAAGTTGTGGAAATAAAACTGAAGTTACTCTGATAATTTGTCGAAGGCCTACAAGATCCCTATATTTCCCACCTCTGAAATAAATCCTTTATGTCAGATAAACGGAAATGTAGTTTACAAGATGTAACATCACTATAAGGATTGTGACCAAATATTTACATGTAGAAATTAAGGACAAGAATTGCCCTAGTTTTAGCATATACTAAATTTAGTCAATTATAATTCAACTGTGAAGTATTGGTGGCATTTGTCTTAAAATAAATGTATGATAATGGTGCTTAGTATCACCCTAATTATTTAACATTGTTTTGAAAGTTCTGGCCATTGTAGTAAAAAATTTTAATATTTTCACAATATTTTTTTTAATATTTTAAAGTATTAAATATTTAATATTTATTCCTCTAAATATTAGGTATAAATATTAGGAACAGCAAAATATGTCCTTCTTTGTGAGTGATGTTACATATCTTATAAATCAAAAGGGATCAACTAAATTGTAATTAATAAGATGTTGGTAACTTGACAAGGTAGAATATTATAAATAAGCAATTGTAATTTTGTGAACATTCTTTTAGAAAATAAAATAGAAAATAATTTTATTTATGGTGGCAAAAGTATATAAAAATCTGGTAATCATTTTAGTAAGACTTACAAAGAATCTATGTGAATAACTGAAATTATGAGGGCATATTTCTGAAAGAGTGGTACATAGTATAGATATTTTAATTCTGTATAATTTGACAGATTTGTTAAAATCCTAATAAAAATTTCAAAAACATCTTTACAAATATCTCCAAATTACATTAGAAATATTGAGGAGGAAATATTATACAAACATACGAATACTGAATACTACTCAGAAAATACTTGGAATCCAATTGTAGCAGACTAGACACAAGATAAAAAACTGTGTATACATACAATAACAATGTAAAATATGGCTATGAAACAGACTGGAAGGAAATACATCCATAATACTAAGAGTTCTATTTGGATGATGAGACCATGATTTCATAATTTTGACAGTGAAAAATACATTGAAATGTAGGACATTTTGAAGGACACAGTTATTTATCTGGGGAGCCAAACTATCACTATGCTGCTCAATTTTCTGTAAAGCTCTTGGGGGAATTGTTTTCAACCATAAGGAGACCCTTACATTCTTTTTATAACATCAAGAATGCCAACATTTTCAGGAAGGAAAACTGCCTCTAAGAATTAAGCAAAACACCTTGCATTCTTCTTATCTCTTCCATGGTCCTAAAGCTAACCCATTAAAGTAATTTCCCCATCACATAGTTTTCCAAAAATGCTTAATTTCTAAAGGCGGATCCAGAAGTCAGAGTCTCCCTGTAGATGTGGCTGTTATATTAAGGCAGTGGGTAAATGGGAGAACAGTTTCCCCAGTTCACATATGCCAGAAGATATTAACATGGATGACAACCTCTCATTGGCATGACCAGGATTATTCACAGTTATCTTAATTCACCAAATCTGACATCCATGGTAAAATACACACTATGTACCAATGAGTCAGAATACAAAAATGTTTCCAATTAAACGATGACATGTTGTTGATTATAAGTATTCTTCATAGTGTTGAAATGTTTTTAAAGGCATACTAAAATTAATGAAAACGTTGATATAATATGCTTGCAATCACTCTTTCTTTACGCCACGCTGGAGAAGATGTCTGAAGGCAAGCAAGAAGACAGAGATGTTTACAACCAGCATGAGTGGGAGGCCCACCCTCCTCCAGGACAGAAGGTCCAGGCAGGATCAGCAGTGCTTCTCTGCTGGCTCCCCGAGCAGCTTGCACACAGCCTCAGGCTGATGTTCCGCTCTTTTCCAATTTCACACTTGCAAATGCTCCTCTCATTATTCATTGCCAATAAAAAGTAGAGTAGGTGAGGGGTAGGGCTCCTTCTTGTAAAACCACACAAGGTTCCAGCTGCAGCTCCATTTTGACTGATGAGCACTTGCAGCAGAGCAGCCTCTTGCTGGCCCTCCACCCACTACAATGCACACCTCTCACTACGATGCCTGCTTTTCTTTTGAGCCACAGAGGTTGTGGCATTTGCCTCCCACTGCAATGCAAGTTAATAAGAATGACATTGTTAAAAGGATTATAGTGACTCTACCTTAATTAATTTTAAATATATTCTCCAAAAACTGCAGAATGTAATACATCATTTGATATGCACCTACAAGGAATATGAGGAGAAAGATGAATTGTACCTTGAGGCCAATCTCTTATCCTTATTCTTGTTAAATTTCTGGCAGATTAAATGATGTTAAAGATAAAATTTTGAAAACTGCAATTTACTGACATTCTTGCCAACTCATTCATCCTATCAAATATATGGGTTTCATTTTCGAGATTAAAAAGTTTCCATAATATTATCGATGACCATCCTAAACTATTTTTAAAGGATTAGAAAGGGTGACAACTGTCTGATGCGTTAAATGTGCATTATTCAAATATGTTCTCAATAATATCTATTAATTGTTTCGTGGACCCATTACAGTACCTAAATGAAGAAAAAGAAACACAAGTTATCATGGCCTTTGGGGACAGAGCTCATTGCTTTCATTGACAAAACCCTTATTTGAGATCCTCTTGGGTTCTGGCTTCTTCCACAGATGGGAGATAAATCTCAAATAGGCCATGACCATCTCTTAGAAATCCAATGATAGGTGTTTTTATTATTGTTATTATTTATTTCATTTATTTATTTATTTATTTTTTGAGACAGAGTCTCACTCTGTCGCCCAGGCTGGAGTGCAGTGGCACGATCTCGGCTCACTGCAAACTCCACCTTCTGGATTCACGCCATTCTGCCTCAGCCTCCAGAGTAGCTGGGAGTACAGGCGCCCACCACCACGCCCCGGCTGATTTTTTGTATTTTTTTAGTAGAGACGGGGTTTCACTGGGTTAGCCAGGATGGTCTTGATCTCCTGATCTCGTGATCCGCCCGCCTCAGCCTCCCAAAGTGCTGGGATTACAGGCGTGAGCCACCGCGCCTGGCCACAAGAATAGGTTTAAACATCTTTTTCCACAAAACTTTTCAGCTTCCCATGTATGGTATTGTGGCAACTATGAGGGCCCTGGGAAATAAGTGCTGGATGCCCACTCTTCTCATTCAATAATTTCTCCCTACTTCATCTCTAACATTCACGGGGTTTTAGCTGACACCTGCAGATAAATGATTCCTAAAGGTTTGCATCCTAACCTCTTTTGGAAATTCCAGCCTAGATATTCTGTGGGCAGCTTGTCTGGAGTGGCACCCATCATCCCGCTCCATACCTGTCCCTACTCTCTTTTGTATCCCATTAAAACATTACTGTCTTCTCAGTAGTCCAGGCTAGAAGCATTTGGAACTTCTTTAAATTTGTCTTCTCTCTTGTCCCCCTTGTCAAATCCTATCAATCTGGTCATGCTCTGCCACTTCACAATGCCACCATTGTTATCTTCCTCCAATACAGACTTGATCGTCACTCCCCTAACACTGCCAGACACTCACATCTAAACTCTTTTGTCTACCATTCTAGATGCTCTGTATTTTGAAATCAACCAATTTTTGCTAAATTTATGCCCTATATACTACCCACCCCAGGGCATTGTACTCCAGTTTACCAACATGCCTTCTTCTCGATCAGATTCTTTATATTTCCTATCTCTGTACTTTTTTCTATATTTGAATAGTTCTCATTTGGGAAGCCTTTCTCTGGAAGGGTTGCTGCCTCTTTCTTTTTTTTTCTTTTTTTTTTTTTTTTTTTTACTTTTTTTTAAATTTGAGACAGAGTTTCGCTCCTGTCCCCAGGCTGGAGTGCAATGGCACGATCTCAGCTCACTGCAACCTCTGCCTCCCAGGTTCAAGCAATTCTCCTGCCTCAGCCTCCCAAGTAGCTGGAATTACAGGCGCCCACCACCACACTGAACTGATTTTTGTATTTTAAATAGAGGTGGGGTTTCACCACATTGGCCAGGCTGGTCTCAAACTCCTGACCTCTGGTGATCCACCCACCTCGGCCTCCCAAAGTGCTGGGATTATAGGCGTGAGCCACTCCACCCAGCCTCTTTTATTTTTATTTTTCTAATTTTCTTTTAATATTTATTTAATTGTGCTTCTCTTTGTGAAAAGTTTTAAGATGTGTCACAAAAATGTGTACATATACAACACTCTGTAATTAAATGAGATAGAAGTGAGAAAAATGAAATAAATGTATACACATAACAAAGCCAGAAATAAGGTTACTTAAAAGAAAGAATGGCAACAGAATCTATGCACCGCACAAAGTAGCTTTGTCACTGGGAGTGTCCTCACATGTCTCTTGTGCTGTTTCTGGCTTTCTTTGCTCCTCTATCAGTTCTCAGCACATCCTGCTGTGTACAGAGTAATAAATCTTTCTGTCCAGCTAATCAGTAAGCGTGTTGGAAGTGGACGTCTGTCGCATTCACACTGCCAAAAGTGTTGAGTAGGCACTGCTCATGTAGTAAGCAGTGTTTTTATAAATGAATAATACATGAATACTGTGTGAAACTTTGCAAATAACACCCACATGGCAATCAGCATTTTTGCTTTTGTTTTTTGAAGTTGGAAGCAGAGAACTTTCATTTCATTTCCTAAACATAGTGTTCATGGAAGCATTGCCTGTACTCAGGCAAGGTCAGTTTCCACCCTTATGTTCTCTTACCTACCGTTTCTCCATGGCCTGTTTTCAGTGTGTAGCAATTTATACTTTAGTGAGCTCTCCTATGTCTCCTTTACTGTAATGTCCGTAAGAGTAGACACCCTGCCTGTCCCTTTCACAATGACAACCCAGTGCCTAGATGGACTTTTGATGCTCAGCAGTGTTTGGTGCATGATTGATAAGTATTGAATGAAGCACTGGATGAAGGAGCACCAGTCCCATGTGGATTTTCTTTGATCTCACCCTTCTTAGCACCCACAGGCATGAGAACCAGCTAACCAACTGATGATTACAATAACAAAGACACAGCAGACTGGATTATCTGTGCCCTGTTTTTCTTATTCCTAAGGTTTATCTGTAAACTCCCTCTTCAAACATGTCCTCTGTTGTGCAGAATAGGGTCTTCCTCAAAAAAGTAGTCAGGCCGGGCGCGATGGCTCATGCCTGTAATCCCAGCACTTTGGGAGGCCAAGGTGGGTGAGTCACCTGACATTGGGATTTCGAGACCAGCCTGACCAACATGGACAAACACTGTCTCTACTAAAAATACAAAAAATTAGCCAGGTGTGGTGGTGCATGTCTGTAATCCCAGCTACTCAGGAGGCTGAGGCAGGAGATTCTCTTGAACCCGGGAGGCAGAGGTTGCTGTGAGCTGAGATCGTGCCATTGCACTCCAGCCTGGGCAACAAGAGCGAAACTCCATCTCAAAAAAAAAATAAATAGATAAAAAGTAGTCATCTGTGAAAAACAATAACACCCGATAGTTGAATGGCAATTTTAAAACCAGTCCTTTTGAGTAGCATGCAAATTTCGCATCTTTTATCATTTTTAGAGCAAGACAATTGGGGCTGACTAGAACCAGACAACAAAGTCCCTACTGCAGCTGGAGCTTACTCCACTTATGCCTATTCGTAGGCTTAGTAGTTGTGAAAGATGCGTATTGTTTCCTCAAATGGCTTGTTTATCCAAGCATAGTTGCTCACGAAGTTAAAAAAAAAAGTTCAAAGTCTCATATATTGTACTGTGTCTCATGAATCTTGAATGGGAATGGCTTAATCTGGATGGCTTCAAGTGCACAGAGACAAAATTTTCTAGAGTTCATGTAGATAAAACTGTAGTATTCTAAACTACACTCCAAATATTTAAAACAGTAATCATTAGTGATGGCAATTTCAAATATTTTGGTATTTGGGTTTTTTTTCTTCAAATGATATTTGTAAGTTACAAAGTTTCAGGTAGACAGGAGGAAAAAGTTTTTAGATCTATTTCACATCAGGGTGACCATAGTCAACAATAATGTATTGTATATTTCAAAGTAAAAGAATAAATTTCAAACATCTCACCACGCACACACAAATGATAGGTGAGGGAGGTGAGGTCTGTGTTAAATGGCTTGATTTAATCATTCCACGTTGTATACATATATCAAAACCGTGACTTTGTGTCCCATAAATGTATACAGTTATGATTTGTTACTCAAAAATATTTATTTTAAAAAGTGAAATACACCTATAGACTCTATTAAATGATAGAAGGTATCTTAAAATTTCAAAACTGGTATATAACTTTGAATTGTGTTAAATAAGCCAGAATTATAATTCAAAATAACTATGTAGTTATTGTATTTTCATGGCTAAATAGATGTTAGCTGAAAATAATTTATAAGTCTAGGAAATATTAAATAAAAACACTAGGCTATGTTTTGAAAAAAATACGTACACTCTCACACATATGTAGAGTTATACATATAAAATTGTTAATGGGAAGCCTTTATTGATGTAAGTTCTGAACAATTTCAAAATTGGTTTGGCCTTAAATTTACTAATCCAATTCGATATAATATTTTATCTGTAATAAAGCTAATGATTTAATGATTGGACAATAAATGTGTATCTTAATCTTTTTATCTCAGTATTTTTCACCAATACCAAGAGATATTTCAAAATTTCAGCTTTAATCTTAGGAAAATGAGGCCAACATTATCCTAAAGAAATTAACGCAGGAACAGAAACCCAAATACTGCGTGCTTTCAGTTATAAGTGGAAGCTAAACATTGGGTACTCATGGGCATAAAGGTGACGACAGTAGTCCCTGTGGTCTACTGGTGCGGAAGGGAATGGGGCAAAGTTGAAAAACCAACTGTTGGCTACTATGCTCAGTACCTGGGTGAGAGGATTAATTGTACCCCAAACCTCAGCATCAGGCAATATACATATAACAGTTGGGGTTACAGGATGAGTAACAAACCTGCACATGTAGCCACCAATTTGAAAAAAAATTTTGAAATTATAATAGAAAAATAGGGGCCAGCAAAAATCTTTTTAAAAAATCTGAAAATTAATTTCTTCATCTCTGTTATTCTGTTTAATTTCCAGATTTTCACGTTATATTAAAGATCTAAGTCCTTTACAATTTTTTTTATTGTTGGCAGTGTTACCAAGTTCACTGGGGCATTGAAAATATATTCAAAACAGAAAAAGCAAAGTGCCAGTATAGAAGAGAATATGCAAAACTCTAGCTTTTAGCTTTCTCTGGATTTCCCTTCTCAAGTTCATTATTTCATTTTTAGCCAATATTTATAAAACACTAACAGAAGTCATATTTTTCTCCAAATACCATAAAAAATGTATCCATTTATAAAATTCTACAAGATATGCTTGTTTCTGTAATCAAGTCTTTTCTAACCAAAAACTACAAAATTGTTTCATTTTATATTGTTAAATGAGTCTTTTTGTAGATTCCAGGATGGAAATTGGTGGCAGCCTAGCATTTGACTGTTTTTTTCCCCCAAAGCTGTTGTTTTTGGGCAGTTTCACAGAGTTGTGATGTTGGCTCAACTTTCATACAGCCACAGAGTTTCTCTAGGCCGTTCTATTTGGATGGGACAAATTGCAGAAGTGTCATAAATTATTAACTGATGATTTTACTTTTGACCTAGTTTCAATAATCTATGCAAAATTTGGAATATATAAGGTAAACATATAAAAAATGAGATCAAATATGAATTCTAGCCAGAGCTGGCCGTGTATCAGTACTGAAATCCAGGCCAGGCCCACGTCCAGCTGAGTCTCTTCTCTGCAGCATGCTCCTGAGAAGACTTATTGTCCTAGCATTTGAGTCCTTAACAAATCTCATGGACTATACCAATGCACTTGATAACACTGAATTCTAGTTCTATTCAGTGGCTGACTCATCAATGCAGGCAGTAGCCTGCGCAAATGACAAACATTAGAAACTTAAAGTGAATGTCCATAAAGAAAGGTATGAAAATCTACTATATTATGTAGTTTTGCAATACCCTTCAAGATTAAGTGGATTAAGATGTCTTTTTCTGGAATTTGGATTATCAGTACCTTTCTTCAATGAGAAGGTAATTCCTGTCTTTGCCTCTCTTCCAACGTGAACAACTTCTGTCAACCCTGTATCCAGAACATATCCTAAATTCCCCCCGAGCCTACAAAGCTCATGATTTGGCATCTCCTTACAGCTCTAACCTCACCTCTAGTCTGCAGATCCACATTGGCCTCATTTGGTTCCATTGCCCTACCTTAGGGAACATTTATTCTTTTATTTGCCTGGAATTTGCTTCCTCTAGATCTTCACTTGGCTGCTTCTTCTTGACTTTAATGTTAATCCCTCTCAGGGGCACATAATATTGTTATACTGTCATAGAAATAGGAAAGATCAAAAGAGGTTACATTTACAAAGGCTGATAAAATTGTGTTTGGCGGCATACCTTTCGGAGCAGGGTAGAGGGGAACTTCAAGTTAGTTGGGGTTACAGGATAAGTACGTTCCAATAATAGCTTTGCTTTTAGGGTTAAATTAAATTTATTGTATTACTATTTCTAAGTGCTGGCTGCTTGGGGAGGAAGGATGAGTTGCAGTCGTTATCAAATGACATGCTTATGATAGTCTCATTCTTTCTTTGAAAGGTGTGCATTGACAAGCCATCATTGTTCTATCATAAGCCATTCTACTTTCTTTTACTCAACTGGCTCATCAGGCACTTTAAAGCAGAACAGAAATTCAGACAATGGTTTTGTGTTTTTTATTTAAATGCTTTTCTGAGGATAAAAGGAGAGGTATCATGAGAAATAGGACTCTCCTCCCTTACCCTTGAGAAATGTTATAAATAAGGGCGTTTTTTATGATCAGGAGAAAAAGGATGTGCCACACCAACTATATTGATGAAGTCATTTCTTCATTATGTTAATTATATTATCTAAATTTGAATACACCTTCCCCTTTGTCATATCTTTACTATGAGTCCTAGTGTTGCTTCAGGGTTCTCTTGGTGTTAGTTTAGTTATTTAAGAAATAATTATTGGGCATATATGTGGTGGGCCCTGTGGTAGGTTTGGAGGACAGATATACATTGTGTGCACCCATGGAACTCTCATTCCATTAGAAGAAATGAACAGCAAATGTGTAATTACACAAATCACTGAGTCATTGCAGTTGGACAAGTGCTCTAGAGGATGCACCGCATCCTGAGACTGCAAGAGGTGTCCTGACCTACACTACAGAGGCTTAGAATGTGCCTCCCTAAGGAGTTACATTGAAGCTGAATCCTGAAGAATGGGGGACAATTAGCCACAGAGGAGGGGAGAAAAGAGTAAACTGTATGCTTAGAGCCTTCGGAGGATTTTGACACAAATGTGATGGATCAGATTGTGCTTAGGTGAGATCACTATGGCCACTCTGGAGAGAATGGACTAGAAAGGAGAAAAAATGAAAACAGAACAGTTAGGAGGGAATTACAGTTGCCCATGAAAGAGATAGTCACAGCTTGGATAATGTATTGCGAATGGAAAGAGTAGATATATTTTTGAGTTATAATTAAATCTTATGGAAGTACTATAGAGGACTGGCAGACTTCTAATTAATAGCATATCTGTGGTTTTCATCATTTAGTATTTAGGCTCTATGTAAAGGAAAATGTATATAAAGAAGTCTTTGGTATGAATTACTAGGTTAAAGGAACATTTAGAAATATGCTTATACTTATAGAGTAATCAAAAAATTCATGATGCAGTTGTGAAATGTGTAGAAACAAAATCAATGTAAACCTGAAGAGAAAAATGTCATTTTCATCTGTCGTTATGGCAAACATATCTTGATGTGCTAGATGTAGCAAAATGATTGTTTAAAGGAAAAAAATCAATTTCAGGTATACGTCCATGAATGAAAAAAATTTTTGCAACTTTTGGTAAGAGGGTTTATGTGAAGTGAAGTCTTTCTAGATACTTTCTCTTTCTAAATTAAGGGATTAATGAAAAGACTCCTTTAAGCCATGAGTTTCTTATTTAATGTATTTCACATAAGATTATTATACTTGGAAATATTTCAAAATGAAAATAACTTTTCAAACTTGAAGAGTAACTGAGTTGTATTTCTGGAAAAATATTTAAAACTTTACTTGTATTTTAAAGAGAAAAAAACTATATTATAGTCCTTGGAACTTATGTGGACAGAAAACTGACTGCCATTTATTCATAGCTCCAAACCTAGACACAAGAACTCATTGGAAAATCATAACGGGTTAAGCAAGCAAAACTATATACTTTTAAAAATAGACTTTGTTTTTAGAGAAGTTTTAGATTTACAGAAAAGTTGTATAGAAAGTACAAAGTTCCCATATAATCCCTTCCTTTCTGCACACAATTTCTCCCATTATTAGTATCTTGCATTAGTAAGGTACGTTTGTTACAATTGATGAGCTAATATTAATACATAAATATTCACTAAAGTTCATAGTTACATTAGAGTTCTCTTTGTGTTCTATACCCTGTGGATTTTGACGAGTGTATAATGTCATGCATCTACCATCGTATTATCATACAGAATAGTTTCAAAGTTTCAATGCTCTAAAGTTTTCTTGTACTTCAACCATTTATCCTTTCCCCTGAACCTTCTGAACCCCTGGCAACCACTGATCAATTCATTGTATCTATAGTTTTGCCTTTTCCAGAACATCATATAGTTGAAATTATATACCATGTAGCTTATTAAGACTTCCTTCTTCCACTTCATAATATGTATTTCAACTTCCTCCATGTCTTTTAGTAGCTTGATAGCTCTTTTTTTCACATTACTGAATAATATCTCCTTGCATGAATATATCACAGTTTGTTTATTCCTTCATCTATTAAAGGATATCTTGGTTGCTTGTAGCTTTCGTGTGCAGGTTTTTGTGTGGACATAAGCTTGTAACTCACTTGAGTAAATACCTAGGAGTATGATTGCTGTATGTTATCACAAGCCTTTGATAAGGTTTGCATAAAACTGCTAGGCTGTCTTCTAAAGTGACTGTACCATTTTATATTCCCATCAACAATGTATGGGAGCGCCTGTTGCTTCTAAGGTCTGTGTCTAGATTCATTTTTTCCATGTGGAGGTCCAGTCTATCTTTTCTCCATTGAATTGCCTTTGCTTCCTTGTCAAAAATCAGTTGATTGTATTTGTGTGGGTAAGTTTCTGGGCTCTCTATTCTGTTCTATTGATGTATTGTGTATTCATTCATGAATACTGTACTGTCTTAATCATTGTAGTTTCACAGTACGTTTTTAGTCGGATAGTGTCAGTCCTCTGACTTCCTTCTTCTTTAATATTTTGTTGACCGTTCTGGTTCTTTTGTCTTTCCATATAAACTTAGGAATTGGTTGTTTATATCTGTATAGTAATTTTCTAGGATTTTGATTGGGATTGCATTGAATCTGTTGATTGAGCTGGGGAAACTGGCATCTTAAGAATGTTGAGTCCCTCTTAATATGTCTTCAGTTTATTTAGACCTTCTTTGATTTTTCTCATCAGAGCTTTGTAGTTTCAATGCTCACTTCTTAGATGACCTGTTGGTTGTGCAAGTTAAAATTTCTAAACCCAAATATGATATAGTTTTATTAAGACTTATACTTTTAAGCTACAACTGTTCTTATATAATAGTCTCCAGTAATCAAAACAGAAAGAAAATAAAAAGTTGCAACATCTGGGAAGGACCTAATGAAATAAAAATAAAAATCACATCAACAACAATTGGAAATTACCAAGAAAAAATATTATTCCATTATCTTTATATGTATAATACATACTCATTGGTAACAAGCAGGCCCTAGTTATAAAGCATTCATTTTATGGAGATGATGTTCATCAAAATTGAAATTCTTATTTCTGATGGTATTCTTAGATGTTTACAGCATTCATTATCGTACAAATCAGAAAAGAACATAAAAAAGTAATTATCATTTTTAAGAGTTTTTACAGTGAGACAGATGAACTTTGAATATGATTAAATACAAAATAATAAAACATTGATGACAACATCATTCAAAAATATCTCCAGTAAAGAAATCCAGTGAGTAAAAGGTCTTCTGGGTAAATTTATTTGATTTAATTTAATCTGTCAATGACTTTATGTGACGCTTTGCATGTTGCAAAGAGAATATGAAATAGCTTATATGAATGAGTAAACCATTCTACTATAAAGACACATGCACACGTATGTTTATTGCAGCACTATCTACAATGGCAAAGACTTGGAACCAATCCAAATGCCCGTCAATGACTGGCTGGATAAAGGAAATGTGGCGCACCTACACCATGGAATACTATGCAGCCTTAAGAAAGAATGAGTTCGTGTCCTTTGCGGGGACATGGATGAAGCTGGAAACCATCACCCTCAGCAAGCTAACACAGGAACAGAAAACCAAACACTACATGTTCTCACTCATAAGTGGAAGTTGAACAATGAGAACACATAGACACAGAGAGGGAAACAACACACACTGGGCCTTGTCGGGGTGTGAGGGGCAAGGGGAGGGAGAGGATTAGGACAAATACCTAATGCATGCAAGGCTTAAGATGACGGGTTGATAGGTGCAGCAAGCCACCATGGCACAACGTATACCTATATAACAAACCTGCACATTCTGCACATGTATCCCGGAACTTAAAATAAATTTTAAAAAATAATATTGCCTAACATATTTTCAGTAAATATTTGAAATTGAATAAATGAGTGGATTCTAGAACGACTGAATTATCAAATAAATAGAGATAAAAGAAAAGTAATGACAGAGTTTTAAGATGAAACCAATTAGAGCACGGAAATACAAAAATTGGTAACATAAATTTTTGAAATTTTATCACCAAAAACAAGGAGGGAAAGATAATCAGATGCCAATGTCCTTTTGATTTAAATTTGTTATAGAATTTTTTCTTAAAACAATAAAATTAAATTGACAATTTAATGGGTTTGTTTTGTTTTTGTTTTTGTTTTGAGACAGGGTCTCACTCTGTCTCCTAGGCTGGAGTGCAGTGGCACGATCTCTGCTCATTGCAACCTCTGCCTCCCAGGGTTCAAGTAATTCTCGTGCCTCAGACTTCCAAATAGCTGGGATTACAGGTGCACACCACCACACCTGGCTAATTTTTGTATTTTTAATAGAGACAGAGTTTCACCATTTGACCAGGCTGATCTCAAACTCCTGACCTCAGGCGATCCACCTACCTCAGCCTCCCAAATTGCTGAGATTACAGGCATGAGCCACCACGCCCAGCTGACAATTTAATTTAAAATATTATTTAACAACCCACATTACTTTCTTTAGTCAAATTTTCAATAAGATAACTTTGCATAGAAATAGCCCAGATCTCACAGCAACAATACAGAAAATGGATGATACTAATCATACTCTGCTTTTCATCTAACTGAATTTATAAATTTGCATTTATACACACAATATTAATGTACTAAGAATTGAAAAGGCAAGTTTCTGTAGAAAATGTTTTAGTTCTTAATATTTCAGTACTTAAAATCTATGTATAAAATATTAAGACACTTCAAAGAGAAAATTAACACTTTAAATACAAATTTTGGGGGATCAATATCTTGGAACGTTTAAAGGAGCGTTCACTGGGCAAAAGCTGGAAACATTCTTCTTGAAAACTGGCACAAGACAAGGATGCTCTGTCTCACCACTCCTATTCAACATAGTATTGGAAGTCCTGGCCAGAACAATCAGACAAGAGAAATAAAGGGCATCCAGATAGGAAGAGAAGAAGCCAAACTATCTCTGTTTGCCGATGAAATGGTTCTATATGTAGAAAACTTCATACTTTTGACCCAAAAGCTCTTTAAGCTGATAAACAATTTCAGCAAAATTTCAGGATGCAAAATCAACGTACAAAAATCACTAACATTTTATATACCAACAACAGTCAAGCCAAGAGCCAAATCAGGAACACAATCTCATTTACAATTGCCACCAAAGAAAGACAATACCTAGCTAATCAGCGAGGTGTGAGTGATACAATGAGAAATACAAGACACTGGTGAAAGAAATCAGAAGACACAAACAAATGGAAAAACATCCCATGCTTGTGGATAGGAAGAATCAATATCATTAAAATGGCCATACTGACCAAAGCAATTTACAGATTCAATACTATTCCTATTAAACTACCAATGACATTCTTCACAGAAACTATTTTAAAATCCATGTTGACCAAAAAAGACCCTGAGTAGCCAAGGCAATCCTAAGCAAAAAGAACAAAGCTGGACGCATCACATTACCTGACTTCAAATGGTACACAGGGCTACAGTAACCAAAACAGTATGGTACTGGTACAAAAAAAGACACATAGACCAATGGAATAGAATAGACAGCCCAGAAATAAGACCACACATCTATAACCATCTGATCTTTGACAAAGATGATAAAAACAAACAATGGGGAAAAGATTACTTATTTAACAAATGGCGTTGGGATAACTGGTTAGCCATATGCAGAAGATTGAATATTGACCCCTTCCTCACACCATGTACAAAAATCAATGAAAGACAGGTTAAAGACTTAAATGTAAAAGCCAAAACTATAAAAACCATGGAAGACAACCTAGCAATACCATTCTGGATATAGGAACTAGCAGAGATTGATGACAAAGATGCTAAAAGCAATCTCAACAAAAGCAGAAGTTGACAAATGAGATCTAATTAAACTTAACAGCTTCTGCACTGCAAAAGAAACTGTCAAAAGAGTAAACAGACAACCTACAGAATGGGAGAAAATATTTGGAAACTATGCATCCGAAAAAGGTCTAAAATCCAGCATCTATACGGAACTTAAACAAATTTACAAGAAAAAACACCACCATTAAAAAGTGGGCAAGTGACAGGAACAGACACTTTTCAAAAGAGGACATACATGAGGCCAATAAGCAGATGAAAAAAACTCAATATCACTGATCATTAAAGAAATGCAAATCAAAACCATAAAGAGATACTATCTCACACTGGTCAGAATGGCTATTATTAAAAAGTCAAAAAACAAATGCTGGCGAGGTTGCAGAGAAAAGGGAATGCTAATACACTGTTGCTGGGAGTGTAAACTAGTTCAATCATTGTGAAAAGCAGTGTGATGATTCCTTAAAGAGCTAAAAACAGAACTACCATTTGTTCCAGCAATCCCATTGCTAGTGTATACCCAATGGAATACAAATCGTTCTACCATAAAGACCCACGCATGCAAACGTTCATTGCAGCACTATTCACAATTGCAAAGACATGAAATCAACCTAAATGTCCCTCAATGGCATTCAACCTAAATGAAATCAACCTAAATGTCCATCAAATGTCCAAAATGTGGTACATGTACACCATGGAATACTATGCAGCTATAAAAAAGAAAGAAATCAAGTCCTTTACAGGAACATGGATGGAGCCAAAGGCCATTAGCAAACTAACACAGGATCAGAAAATGAAATACCTCATGTTCTCACTTATAAGTGGGAGCTAAACGATGAAAACACATGGATAAATACAGAGGCGAATGAAAGACACTGGGGCCTACTTGGGAGTCGAGGGTTGGAGGAGAGAGAGGATCAGAAACAATAACTATTGGGTACCTGGGTGGTGAAATAATCTGTACAACAAACCCCCATGACGCAAGTTTACCTACGTAAGAAACCTGCACGTGGACCCCTGAACCTGAAATAAAAGTTAAAAAAAAAAAACCTCAAATACTTCATGAAAATCTTGTTTAAAATAGAAACCAAATTTTATTCTTGTCTTATTGTATTTAATATTAAAGCTAATTTTAAAAATAAAATATTAGAAAAAAGGAGCATTCACTCACACCTTTTGCAAATTTACTAAATATTAAGGTAAATAGTATTTAACAGACACTGTCGAGGGCCCTGGGAATAAAAAGATGAATGAGGAAAAGATAACTAGGAAAGTATCCAGTCTAGTGGGAAGACAGGGATGTGTGCAGATCATTAAAATCAACTGCATTAAGTGATCTCTAACGTATTAAAGTGTTCATAGAACATCAAAGGAGTCAGGGAGTAGTTGGAAGAAGAGAAAGAATCTCTGAGTGACAGTGCAGGACACTAGGTGCATATAGTTCAGGCCTCAGAATATAAATGGCTTTTGCAGGGTGCTTAGAATGGAAGAAACATTCCTTCATCCATCAGAGATGTGTATGCGGTAACTTGCACAAGTATCAGGGGATCCCAGAACTTTAGTTTAGTATGGCAAAATAAGTAGATTGCACTCCTAAAAAATAAAAATAAAAACTCATTGATTTCCCTTTTATCTTAAAAGAAGGAAAGGCAGGGTGATGTTGGCTTTTTATCCAAGTAGTAGGATCCTGGGTAGTGTGTTTACTCTCTATATAGGCTTATCGGTGATTAGAAATACCATTGAACGAAATCGGCATGTCTGTGAGGGTTATGTACGATACCGATTTATTGAATAGATTTAAAATAATGACCCAGTGTTTACACTGAGGGATTTTTCTTCTCTGAGTTAACTAAAATTATGGTCTACCAAAGCCCACTAGGAGAATTCTTGACTGTTGAGACTATGTATTTTAATGCAGCATTAGCCAGGAAAGACCTAGTTATCTGGTCAACCAACAAAATGATCTTTATCTCCATGTTAATAAATGTAAATAATTATTCTACCATTTGGTAATGTCAGGATGGCTATGGCTTTTCGTCCCAAGGGGTTTTGGTTCCAGTGCCAAATGTAGCTCTATAAACTGTGCAGAAGCAAATTTAGGTCACGATCAATACAAGCAATTAAGCCTTTGCAAAAGTGGCTAAGCCTTTGAATTCATTTAATTATGTTAGACCCAATGTAGGAAAAGAAAATGTTTCCTTTTTTCTTAAAGTTTATCCAGAATTTTTTCAAATATTTAACGCTCTTCTTTCTGCAGTACAGATTTGCTTTGCGTAAACTGGCTCTATTAATCTAAAAATAGACTGCTTGTAGAATATTATTAACTTTCCTGCGTGGGCATTATGCACATTCTGTACCATCACTCTCTGCAACAAGATGAGAAAATACCCTCGGGTCTGTCTTTTTACTGGGAAAGCTTTCTGGAAAAATAAAATGAAAAGGCTACTTAGGCCATATTTGATGTGAAGGAAAAGTACAGTATTTTCAGATGTTAGTTTTAGACCAAGAGGGAGAATTAATTTATAGGTATGACTAATGCTCAGTCTTGTTAAAGAAATGATTGTGCATGAAACCCAGGTAAAGATTATCTGACGTCTTCCAAGGAAACCTACATGGCAATTAATTCTTCGTAGCTTCTAGCAGAAAGGTTGGAATCCATGACTCTTCCCTTTCCAGAGGAAAGAGGAAATGGATGACTCAAAGGAGCCACATAATTTAAAAAAGAAAAGGAAAATGTACAAAGGTCAAGAAACAAGGTCAAAAGTTTAAGAAAGTTAAATTATAGTGCAAAAGGTAATTTTGTCAATAAAGTGGCTTGTACCTTCAAATAATTTTTTGATTTTTTGAAATGCCTACTTTTGATAGACATATATAGAGAGAAATAATATACAATGAAATGTTCCCTTTAGTCTGCTTCTTCTCATGTAATCTATGAAATCCTGGTATATCTCTCTTCTTTCTAAATATTTCTTATTTCTTCAGTTAGCCTCTCACATTGTCAGTTAAGTCATTTTATTTTGCACTAGAGTTAAACTCGTCTATTTTTCTTAAATCTCAATTAGGGAAAATGGTTTGCCTGGTAGTCATCAAGCTATGCACAAAAAGGACTGACAGTTTTCAGTATGACTTGTATATTTAATTTTCTTGCATATTCAAAATGCCAAGAATTTGATTTAATGTATTTTCTTCCTAAAAAGCTGTTTTGTTCACATATTTTTTCTTTTGGTTTCTGATGGTCTGTTTTGGTAGCTCATGTTTCTGTAACCATCAGTCATTGGCCTACCTTTGAAATAATAGGGACATGTTTATAATTGCCATTTTAAGGAGCCCAGCTATGATTACCCTTATCTGAAATGTGTTCCTTCCTTGTTCACAATCTCCTGCAAACATTGTTTTCTTCCTCTCTACCCTTATGAAGTGAATTCGGTGTTATCAACTATTGACAGACAACAGCTTCATTAAGGGCAGCACATTATTATTTCACTTGATTCTACCTGTCCATGGTCCAGCATTTCTAAAACCCAACTATCCTTTGTAGGTGCTAGTGTGGTGGCAACATTTAATAACCAGTGTAGGGGAAGAAGAATAATTATTATCTCAACCCTGATAAGTTTTAAGTTGGAATGGACCCCATAGCAAAAGACACTTTAAAAAGAGAAAAACAAACAGAAGTTTATTAATATGTTTATTTAATACACGCATGGAAGATACCTAGGGAATGAGTAATTTTCAAAGAGGTGGCTTGAATTCCAACTTATGTGGGATCTTCTACAAAGAACAGTCAATGCTTAGAGAAGTGACAAGACAAAAAAAATAAAAAATAAAAAGACTTTGTATCTCTAGGGGCCACAAGGTGGGGGAAGGAAAATAACTGGCAGAGAAAGGCTGGTTTGCAAAGCTTGCTAACGTAGTTTCCTCTGGTGCCATCTTCCGGCCCGTAAGGGTGAAAAACTCTCTTCAGTGGTTAACCTTTGTTCTTTCAGAGAGGGGAGGTGAAATAGCTTTTGTCTTTGTAAATTTACATCCCAATTTTAGGCAAATAGAGAGAGGGCAAAGAGCCTTCCTGCTTCTGCTTGTTCTTAATTCCTTCAGCCCAATCAGACTTCTGCCAAAGAGGCACATTTGGGTGTAGCGTATTCTGGTTTCCCATACCTGCTGTCAGAAAAAAGGTTGGTAATATTTGCCAGTTTCTGCAGTGCATGCACTTTTTCCACGGCTAGCTTCAAGCTACCAGCAAGTCTTTCCCGACTCCTGCTTTGGAAAGATGGGTATGGTCTCCCTAGCCAGTCCCCACCATGCCAACTGAAAAATAGGC
This sequence comes from Homo sapiens, assembly GCF_000001405.40. NCBI lineage: Eukaryota > Metazoa > Chordata > Mammalia > Primates > Hominidae > Homo > Homo sapiens. The sequence continues at coordinate 4,181,996 of NC_000018.10, read as the reverse complement.
TGGAGCAGGGGGATCTGCAAATCGCTATCATCTTCTCTTTAATTGAGTGCACTTAGTGCTACAGATTGGAATACATATGTTGCTACTGGTGTTTCTTCTAATGGAAGAAAACAGCTCCCATATTTATTAGTAGTACTGCTATTACTTTCTCAGTAAGGGCTCCCCTAATTTCTTTTTTTGGAGCAAACAAAACATTATCTACCGAAAGCTGTAGATGTGTTTGTTGATGAGTACCATACATAAATACAGCCCATGTGAGAAGTGAGAATGTCAAAATACCAGACACTTTAAAAAAAAAAGAAGAAATCCAAAGACACTTAAAGGAACAATAAAGGAAAGAAATTAAAGGTTGATTGTCGTCCAGATATAGTGGTACTTACTTGAAAATGTGTCCTTGAAAGTCTATTAAAAGATCAGACACAGGAGCTTTCGGTTTTGTTACGAATAAGAGTGTTTTCAACCAAGATAGTAGTGCTTCTCCTTGTTCACAGAGGTATTGACTCCTATCACGGGTAGCTCCTGCTGCATTTTCTCCTTTATACTGCCGCAGTATATATTTCAACCACCTGTGAAATTAAAAAATGTCCCTGTAGCAGTTGGATTCGGTTTGTTAGTCCATGTCTTATCAAAAACTGTTTAAATGTATCTCTGGTGACATTTCAATGATAATTAAAAGCAAGATTCCAAGTTTCAGGAGGGAAGCATATTTTCAGTTACATCTTAACTCATCCAGTGTAACTCTGCCAAGAAATGAGTTCATCACATGAAATAACAGGAGTCTAATTCTTCCCATAATCTTTCATTTTAACATTTCATTTATAAACAACCAAGATGAGAAGATGGATGTGATCAAAGGACTCTATTTTATAAAAGAGATGTGAAAAATCCTAGACGTAAATCACCTTACTAAGTTAGGTCAAATAGTCAAGAAAATGTGAGACACTCTTATCTAACTTGGGCACTAAAAGAATATTATTTTATTTTTGCTCAAACCCATCAGTATCTCTGTCCATTAGTAGAAGTCCTTGGTGCCTGGACCTCTGAGCAGCTTCCTGACTGATCCCTCTGTCTCCAGCCTGGCCTTCTTTCTAGACTTCACTGGACACCCTTGTAGTTGTCATCTTCCACAAGCAGAGCTCTGAACATTTGACTTCCCAGCAAATCTTTACTGAAAGCCAGTTTCTCCATTACTTCCTCCTGGTTAGAAGTGATTTTCCCTACCTCTGAGCATATGATAAAATTTTGTAAACCTTCCCCATCTAAAGAATATTATATGTGTGTGAGAAACGGAACACAAATGATAGAGCAAAGTGGTGAAATGTTAATACTAGGTGAGCCTGGGTGAAAGTTGTATGCATATTCTTTGTACTAGTATTGAAACTTTTTGTATTTAATATTTATTTCAAACTACTTTTTAAAAACCTTCAACATCAGATCCCAGTTTATTAAACTCAATAATAATTCTCCCATCGGTGCCACCTGCTCCAGTTACCCCAGGTGATGATGGTATTGGCTCTAAATTAAGCCTTGCAAGATGTGCAGTTCCTGATAGAGCAACACAAAGGGCAATGTCAAATGTGTGGAATTTTGGGAAAGTGTAATGTCTTTGGGGTGACTGGCCACCTCTCCCATTTTGTTTGGGACTGAGTAAAAGTAGTAAAGTCCCAGACAAACCCAGATGAGTTAGTCACCCTCCTTTGTGGGACTCTGCTGGATGAGTGTAACTGAAGCCAAACACTAGTGTCAGGAGTGCTGGGGAACAATCCAAACAAGAACACCTCTGTTTCATTCTGTGTGAAGTAGGAAACCTGATAAGCCCTTTCAACTACAAAGGGAGAGAGTCGTATTATGAAAAGTGTAAGTTGTGTTCAAAGAAAATTCATCTTTGATGCACGCATGATTGTGAAGAGAGGGAGATCACGAGGGAGATCCATGTTGCTGTGTTATTTGAGGATTTCCATTGCCTGTCAGTAAAGTCCAAATTCCTTAGCTCAGAATAGAAGACTTATTTATAAGGACTACCATGTATCCAGGGCAATATAAATGACTTTCACTCACCCCAAAACAACTGATAAAGTTCATGCCATTATGCCCAATTTGAAAAATACAGACACTGAAGATCAGAGAGGTAAAGTGCCTTCCCCAAGGGACGCAGCCGAGATTTAATGGCTCGATAAGTGTTGAGTGAGGTTACTGGGAGAAGATTTCAAGTTGCCAGAAGTTTTGATTCTAGGATTCATGTACTTAAAATAGAAGAAAGAGCTTTCTTTTCATTTTATTACAAATAAACTTATTGAGACACTAAAGCACATAGGATATGTGTGAGGCTTTAAGAGGCTACAATTTGGGCCTAAATGTGAGAGTCTAGGATAACATACTTCTCATAACCAGCTGTGTGACCTTGAATAAGTTACTCTGTGTCTCAGTTTCCTCATCTCATAGAATGATGATAGTATGTCTTATAATTAATGTAAGACACTTATCACAGTGCGTGGTACTCAATAGGCACTGAATCAATAAGAACAATAATAACAAAAGGCATCATGACTATTTTAATGTTGAAAGGAAATGGTCTTAAGTTAGGAACTTAAATGTAAGCAGAAACTAGCTCTATTTTATTGAATAGGGAGCATTTCTGCCTATGAGCATCATTAGGGCCTTTACTTTTGACAGCTGTTACAGTTGCCGGTGTCATTTAGCAGAATGCAGGGCACCCTCAGATGATTCCTATGAACAATGGTGACTTTCACTTATCACGTGGTGACATTTTGATGTTTCATAATCCTCATCAGTTTGAAGGTTACAAAAAAAAGAGGTACAGACTTATCCAATAAATAAAAACCGTATTTCTTTGTCTTAAGCTTAAAGGGCAGAGTTGCATTTTAATCTCTGCTTTGTTGTCCTGCGAAGGAGCTACCTTTACACAAATTGCTCTCAACATGTAAATGTTTTATTGTTTTAGGATAGGAATCATGTTCCTAGCATACTGTGATTTTTACACTAAACACATAATTTTCCTTGCAATGGGTGGGTTTATTATAAATAAAAATGTTATGAATAATGTTCTATTTCAAGATAATCTAGCATCATATATGTAATCATTTTCAGTAGATATTAGTTTAGACATTTCTATATTGCATACTCTTTATAACAATATGTTCATACTCTAAAATGTAATATGAAAGTACATTGACCTTAATATATACTTACTATTTATTATTTAAGTTACATGAGATTTATCAAGCTCTGTATATTTTAAGATTCTTGGAAAAAGCTCTTGGAATGTTTTCATAATATAAAATATGACTATAAAAAGCATGTCCTTTACAGTCAGTATAAAATAATATCATTCTAAACTCTAGTGAGTGTCATTGGTTAATATGCAAAGAAATGGGTATGAAAAAATATTTACTGAACCATATACTAAACAGACATTTAAAGAGCACCTTATTCTATTTCTGAAGCACCATACTAGTCACTATGAGATACACAAAGATAAATAAGGTTTAGTGTCTGACCTTAAGATTATTCATACTGGAAACTAAGAAAAGTATGCAAAAAATTATAAAACAAACTATGATGTGTTCTAAAACATGTTTTAGAATCAAGTAAGCAGAGATAAAAAAAAATATATAGTGGTGTGTGCTTATAGTTCCATCTAGGGAGGCCGAGGCAGGAGGATCCCTTAGGCTGAGAAGTTTGAGTTCAGCTTGGGCAACATATGGAGACCCCTATCTCTAATGTGTGTGTGTGTGTGTGTGTGTGTGTGTGTGTGTGTGTGTGTGTGTGTGTGTTTATTCCAGGACCCGTAGGATTTCTACAGGTAGAGATAAGGAAGAGAGAGTAAGACCCTATAGTGGGATAGTCTGAATCTCAGAAGTAGATAATACTTGAATGGAATTCAATAAAGATTTGAGTGGAAGTCACGTGGATGGTGTGGATTTGAATAGAAAGAATAGGATTTGAATGGAATAGGATTGGATGAGGGTTTGAATGGAAGTGGTAGGGATGTATGTCTGGAAAGTTAAAGGTAAAATAATTAGTCTCCATAAAGACACATGCACCTGTATGTTTATTGCAGCACTATTCACAATAGCAAAGACATGGAATCAACCTAAATGCTCATCAATGGTAGGACTGGATGAAGAAAATGTGGTACATATTCATGACGGAATGCTACACAGCCATAGAAAAGAACAAGATAATGTCCTTTGCAGCAAAGTGGATGAAGCTAGAGGCCCTTATCCTAAACAAACTAACACAGTAACAAAAAAACAAATACTGCATGTTCTCACTTATAAGTGGGAGCAACACATGGAGTATACATAGACACAAAGAAGGGAGCAGCAGACACCAGGGCCTACATGAGGGTGGATGGAGGGAGGAAGGTAAGGATGGAAAAACTATCTATTGGTGCTATGCTTATTACCTAGGTGATGAAATTATCTGTACACCAAACACTTATGACATGCAACTTACCTATATAACAAACCTGCAAATGCATCCCTGAACCTAAAATAAAAGTTAAAACAAAAAAAGAACCAGAGTCTCTAACTAAAGAGTTGAAACCAAACTTGGAAGCAGCAGCAAGCCAAGGAAGTGTGTGTGTGTGTGTGTGTGTGTGTGTGTGTGTGTGTGTGTGTGTTCAAAGAAAGTCAAGGCATATGTATTAGTCAAGTTTTAATCATGAAAACAGCCACTCTAAGTATTGCGTAAATCAAGTATTTAATATGAGAATTCCATCCACTCTGCACAATTGTGGGACAAAGTGAGAAAGGGAAGATTTGCAAGGGGCATATACTGAAGAATCAAACAGTCACTAGCTAGACCACATTAGGGTGTAGCCTGCAAGGAACCCAGGGAGCCTCGCACAATCTGCCACTGGCATGTGTCTGTTAAAGAGGAGCTCGACCCACCTCTATGCCTTCAGTGACAAGTTCAGAAAGATGGATGGAACTGCCAATCCTGGTGAAGCTGCTGACCTGGGGCAGCACCTGTCTCTGAGGGTCTGCATCCAAGATCCAGCTGTGAGCCTGGGGCTGATGTTGGGGCCAACAGGTAGGAAAATATGCTGGGCACACAGTGCATGAGAGCAAGAACAAGCTGGATCCTGACGGGCACCTCTGCATCTTTTATCACCATCATTTACCATGATAAACTTCCATGAACAATGGCATCCGCTCCATTCCTTCTTCCAATTCTCACACAAAGTCCTGTCTTGGCCAACTTATCTCAGAACAATAGAGAAGCAGAGGGTTCCAGGAAAAGTAGTTTCTAGACTTCACCAAGTTGACATAAATGACCAAGAGCTTGACCAGTGCTATGCATTAGTAATAGTATTAATATCAGCAACCTGTAGGCTACAAACAGGGCAGAGCTGGGAAGGAGGGGAAAGGAGACTTCTGTAGTGTTGCAGGAGATTATAAGAAAGATCTGAATAAGGGTAAGACCAGTGGAAATGAAGAAGGCTCCTCCTAGATGGAGCAGATAGGGTAGCTTAAGAAGTAGGAGTTAGCTCTGGGGCTTTGAACTCACATAATATGAATGGTTGGTCCATTAAAAATATACACCACACGAATGGCTGCTGGTTTGAAATAGAAATAAACTTGGTTTTAGATGTGTGGAGGTGCTGTATGACTAGTGAAGAGGATATACAATAAATATCTGGAAATGAAGGGCTGGAACACTAGACACAGAGATTTGGAAGTCATTCACTTGGAAATGATGATTAGTCACTGTCCATTTACAACATGTAGTGAGAAAAGGGTAAACTTCTGACCTATATGAAGGGACTGATGAAATTAATCAGTGTGAATCACTATAAAGAGAATAAAATACCAAGCTAGCAAGGGATGTGAAGGACCTCTCCAAGGAGAACTATAAACAACTGCTCAAGGAAATAAGAGAGGACACCAACAAGTGGAAAAACATTCCATTCTCATGGATAAGAAGAATCAATATCATGAAAATGGCCATACTGCCCAAAGTAATTTATAGATTAAATACTATTACAATCAACCTACCACTGACTTTCTTCGCAGAATTAGAGAAAACTACTTTAAATTTCATATGGAATCAAAGAACACCCCATACAGCCAAGACAATCCTAAGCAAAAAGAACAAAGCTAGAGGCATCACACTACCCGACTTCAAATTATACTACAAGGTTACAGTAACCAAAACAGCACGGTACTGTTTTAAGCATAGTATCAAAAAAGATATAGACCAATGGAACAGAACAGAGGCCTCAGAAATAACACCACACATCTATAAACATCCGGTCTTTGACAAACCTGACAAAAACAAGCAATGGGGAAAGGATCTCCTATTCAATAAATGGTGCTGGGAAAACTGGCAAGTCATATGCATAAAACTGAAACTGGACCCCTTCCTTACACGTTATACAAAAATTAACTCAAGATGGATTAAAGACTTAAATGTAATAGCAAAAACCATAAAAACCCTAGAAAAAAACCTAGGCAATACCATTCAGGACATAGGCATGGGCAAAGATTTCATGACATAAATGCCGAAAGGAATTGCAACAAATGTCAAAATTGACAAATGGGATCTAATTAAACTGAAGAGCTTCTGCACAGCAAAAGAAATTATCATCAGAGTCAACAGACAACCTACAGAATGGGAGAAAATTTTTGCAATCTACCCATCTGACAAAGGTCGAATATCCAGAATTTACAGGGAATCTAAACAAATTTCCAAGAAAAAAAACAACCCCATCAAAAAGGGGGCAAAGGATATGAACAGACACTTCTCAAAAGAAGACATTGTGTGCAAGAAATGTATGAAAAAAAGCTCATCATCACTGGTCATTAGAGAAATGCAAATCAAAACCTCAATGAGATACCATCTCACACCAGTCAGAATGGCAGCTATTAAAAAGTCAAGAAATAATAGATGCTGGTGAGGCTGTGGAGGAATAGGAATGCTTTTACACTGTTGGTGAGAAAGTAAATTAGTTCAACCATTGTGATAGACTGGATAAAGAAAAGGTGGTACATATACACTGTGGAAAACTACAGAGCCATAAAAAAATGAGATCATGTCCTTCACAGGGACATGGATGAAGCTGGAAGCCATCATCCTCAGCAAACCAACACAAAACAGAAAACCAAACACTGCATGTTCTTACTCATAAGTGAGAGTTGAACAATGAGAACACATGGACACAGGGAGGGCAACAACACACACACCAGGGCCAGTTGGGGGGTGGCAGGTGAGGAAACTTAGATGACAGGTCAATAGATGCAGCAAACCATCATGGCACGTGTATACCTATGTAACAAACCAGCATGTTCTGCACTTGTATCCCAGAACTTAAAGTAAAATAAAATAAAGTAAAATAAGGTTGGGTGCGGTGGCTCATGCCTGTAATCCCAGCACTTTGGGAGGCCGAGGAGGGTGGATCATGAGATCAGGAGTTCAAGATCAGCCTGACCAAGATGGTGAAACCCCAACTCTACTAAAAATACAAAAATTAGCCGGGCGTGGTGGTGGGCGCCTGTAATCCCAGCTACTTGGGAGACTGAGGCAGGAGAATTGCTTGAACCCGGGGGGCGGAGGTTGCAGTGAGCCGAGATCGTGCCACTGCATTCCAGCCTGGGTGACAGAGCAAGACTCCGTCTCGAAAAAATAATAATAAAAAATAAAATAAAATAAAAACAATGAAGTTAATCAGTATGTCCACAGGCAGCTCAGGGCAGGTGTTATCCCCTGACTTAAGGACTGGAATTCTACCACAGATGGGAAGCTCCTTCTTGGGCCTCTGGGTTGGGATTCGGTGTGGTTAGAATTCAGGTAATTGGGAGTGCTGTGTTTGGGGAATATTCCCAGGCACCTAGGACTAATGCCCTGAAGCACTGAATAAAATGTCCAATTAGCATTCCAGAAAACTGGAGAAAGAGGGTGGAGGTTGAGTGAATCCTAGGTCAAGGAGAATCACTGATGTTTAATTTTTAGCGTGGGAGGTGAGGGAAAGGGAGGCCAGGTAGGGGTGCAGAAGGTGGAACTTATGTAAATAGTGATACAGGTCATTCCTCTGAGGATAAAGGAACTGGAGATGTCCCGAGAGCCAGGTAGAAACCATGAGTGGATCCAACCGGGTGCAATAATGGGTCAAAGGAGGAAAAGGACCATATATTTGAAATTGCCCCTTTGTCAGGGGACAAGCTCTCAGCAGCCATTACATATATTGAGCTTCCATCAGGTCTGTTTACTTCACTGTCTTATTTTTCACCAAATCACGGAAGGTTTCCCTGGCTCAGAGTCTGGCTGGATTCATATGTGCATTTCTCTTCCTCCTTTTTACTGAGACTTTGCAGTCTACGACTGGGCTAGGCTGCAGTGTCATGCTTCCCATGTGAAGTCCAAAACCTTGAATTTTAATAAGTAGAGCCTAGGATTTTTTTTTTAATTTTCAAATAGAAACCATGAGAAATGAGTTGATTAAAATAACCAATGTCTGAAATCAGTTGAACATCATCCCACTTTCTACACTTAATAAAGCAAATGTCTAATATCCCTGAGGAGAGAGGCATTGTATGGTTACATCGTCTCTACCGATCATAAAGAATTTGACCCCACCTTTCAGCCTTCAGCAACAAGTTCAGAAGTCTACCTTGACTGATTGTAATTGTATGGGCTTCTAGAGAAACCAGCATGGAATAGTAAAGAAAGTCTATATATCTAGCTAAAGCCTGAGATTGGGGCTCTGCAGAAAACCTTGAATTCCCTGCAGGTCAAACTACTATGAGGGTACATCCAAATATTATTAGGCTCTTGGTTCTTCAGCTAATGTTTCATCCTCATGCTTCCTGGATCCCTCAGGATGACATCATCACCACTTTAATCAATATATTTCCTTTTAGATTTTAATATTTCTCAAGTACTGATTATGTGGATTTCTAACCAGTAAATCTTTCTCTCAAATGATCCTTTTAAAAAATTGTGGAAAACCTTCTATCATAGCAAAATAAATGGTTGAAGAAAAGATTGTTCTCTAACATTGCAAGAAACGTAACAGTTTGGATGAGAACAACCTAGGAAGTTTTAGCTTCAAAGCACTTGGCCTTGAGTATTGTAATCAAAGTGGCTTTCAGCCTGCACTAGAGCATTTACAGCTGCTAAGGAATTGTATCGTTTAATACATTCATGCTTACAGTTTCTTTTGTTGCAGAAAAAATGTCATGTCTGACTTTAACATGGATTATGCTTTTTTCCCAAGAATATTTCTTCTAATTTTTCTGGGTTGAAGCAGCTGCGGTTGCTATGCCATCAGCTCTGTTGCTATGGGGGATGGCTTGGGTGTTTGCCAAACTGTGATTGGTTATTTCAGCACCCTTATGTTCACCAGTTGACATTTTTCTATGTTGAATCATTCTATTTTATTTTAATTTGATGGGTAGGCTCAATAATGTTGATCAGCTTTGAAATAACTGGAATTAGATATAAAGGAATCCCACCATTTCTCTCCTTAGAAGAGAAAACTTACTCAGAATTCAAGTGGTATGTATAGGAATCATGCATGTATTCACGCGCATGCAAGACTAAATGGTGATATATTTAGAAAGTTGCCTGTGTACAAGACATGTGACTCTTAAGTCATGAGACTCAGAGAAATTAAAAGGGACGAACATTGGCATTTATGTAGTTATCTTGAACAGAAAAATTATTTCAAATTGGAGGTGGCCACATCCTGTCAACTTCAGTGACAGCTGTCAAAATTAACACAATAACTTCTATTTATGGTTCATTCTCCAAAAATGCAGTTTTCTGCTGTACTTTTACAGGAACATTAAGACATATGTATCTGAGGCAAAGGTTCTCTACCATTGGATCAACTTTCTAATCAGCTGTCTTTGCCTCTGAAATATGATGATGTTATTGAGTATTTCAGAGAATTACAAAACCCAAATCTGAAACTCTTTGAAAAGGAAGGAAAAAACTCATTATCATAATGATTGTCTTCCATCTGATCTTCTTTATCTCAAGTGCTAGAAGGAAAAATCTTTGGAAAAAAAAGATCCAGGAGGCTCTGTGCCCTGGTTGCTTAGTCACTAGTCTATTTAAACAGGACAAGACGCAGTTTGTAATTTTTTTCCAATATACACTCAGAAGTGAACTTGTGAAAAGGATGTAAGTTGGCTTAATACTGGGGAATCAAGATTTTACTACTTAGAAGTACATAATAACCATATTTTGTAATTATTTTTTCTATGACATTTGTGCTCTTCGATATTAGAGAACACTGAAAGCTAGGTTTATGAGTGAATTTGACATTTCTATAATAAAATTTATTTTAGAAAATAACTTTGAATCATTTCCTGAAATCATGTATTCTCAACTGCTGAGTGGGCTTTTCATCTCAATAATTCGCCTCCTAAAGATACTTTCTTTTTTTTCTTTTTTTTTTTTTGAGATGGAGTCTCGCTCTGTCTTCCAGGCTGGAGTGCAGTGGTGCGATCTCGGCTCACTGCAAGCTTCGCCTTCCGAGTTCACGCCATTCTCCTGCCTCAGCCTCCCGAGTAGCTGGGACTACAGGCGCCTGCCACCTCGCCTGGCTGATTTTTTGTATTTTTAGTAGAGATGGGCTAATTTTTTGTATTTTTAGTAGAGACGGGGTTTCACCATGTTAGTCAAGATGGTCTCAATCTCCTGACCTCGTGATCTGCCTGCCGTGGCCTCCCAAAGTGCTGGGATTACAGGTGTGAGCCACCGCGCCTGGCAAAATACTTTCTATCTTTAACAATTAAAGAGGCCTTATGCATTTGGCTTGCAGAAACCACCATTTAACATTGATTTTAAGAAATTATTTATATCGTACTTTTCAGACTAGTGATATATATGGACAAATAAATGCAGACGTTGTATTGTTGGTTAAAAGTTTTTTCATTCTATATAGAAAATGATTACTGGAGGATTTAAAAATATGAATAATATCCTATTTATGATATTTACACACATATATGAGCGCATATACTCATGCAAATTTAAGCCTTAAAATTCTGATATGTTAAAAAACAGAGTTCACTGAGGTGCAAGAACAGACACATGCATATGTGGTTCTCAAGCTGGTCCTCCTCTCCCAGTTGTATATAACCCCCATCAAAAGCAAACAAACAAATAAAGGTAAAATCTAAATGAACACTAATACTCTTTTTCAGTTATGAAAAATAACTGGAATTATCCTTTGTTGTGGAAGACAATAAGTAATTTTATTCTTATTTAAATAAGTAAGGTTATTATTATATAAAGATTAGATTAGATTAGATTAAGCTATTAATAGATAGCTTCACTCCTTTTTCCCCACTCAGATTTGCTGCTTCTCCCACACCGTGGTAACTCTTATGTAGTGTCCCAAGTCAGATGTCCTGGGGTCATTCATGAGTCTTCCCTATCTCTTATATCTCATATCCAGTTTATCCTCAGTTTCTGCTAAACTCCGTTAAATCTCTTATTTTTTTCAGGCCCTACTGTATTCTTGCTTAAATTATATCAGTGGCTTTCACCTGACCTCACTCCCCATTCTCACCTGTCTTCAGGGATTTTTCCATAATATAAATCAGGCCTCCCTACTTATCATCCTTATTAGGATGTCTAATAGACATTTTAAAACTTAACATGTCCGACCTAACACTTGAGCTTACCTACCACTGGAAAGTTTTCAACCTCAGTCTTCATCAAAGTAAATGGAACTCCATTAATCCCATTCTAAAGCTAAAAATCTTGAATTCTTCCTCTACTCCTCTTTCATGCCCAACGTTCAATAAAAAAGCAAATCCTGTTGACTTGGCATTGAAAACATATTTAGAATCTTACTCTTCCTACCTATCTGCTCTGCTACTGGCTTCCTCTAAACCATCATCACTTGATGATGGAAGGTGGAAACAACCTTCCATCATCGTGGAAACAACCTTCCATCATCATGTGTCTCTTAAATAGTCCCTAACAGTCTGTCCCCGCCCATCCCTCACTGCATTGCCTCATTTAATTCTGACAGAGCTGAGTGTAATGTAGAGTGAGTGGATTATTTTCACATTTTACAATAAGGGCCCTGAGACTCTGGAAGTTTAGCTATGAATGATGGAGCAAGGATTTGACTCAGGCTCTGATTCCTAAGCTCATGCTTTCTTTACCTGAGACAACTGAGTCTTATAAAGGGTTAAGTCACTACTTTACAATGGCACAACTATGAAGAAGAGAAACACAGATTGGAACTAGACTCGGTGCTCTGCCCATGCACGTGTGGCATAATTTATACAAGTAGAACGTTAAAGATGTATTTATTTTGACTAATAACACTTTGAAATGAAAATACTCCTGGGACTTCAGCAAGCTGAGCTCTAGTTGATTCTACTGGGAAACATGAAACTTTCCTATGATGGTTGAGATCGGAGCATTGAGGGAGCTGGGATGTTTTTAAGCAGATTTCTAACAAAAAGTATGTGTTAATGATAGCAACTTAACCAACAGATACTTTTAATTTGCCATATGTATTTTGTTAGGTTATCTCCCTTGAATAGTATAACTAATACATGGACATTTATTACATAAGATTCAAAATAATTTACTTTTCTGATCATAAAGGGTAGTACAAGTTGTGTTCTTTTCACACTTAACTTTTTCAAAAATTATTATCCTCATTAGGGAAATATACATTAAGAAAATTACAGTGAGGTACCACTTCACATCCATTAGTTTGGCCATAAGTGGTATAGTGAGATACCACTTCACACCCATTAGTTTATACATATAAAACAGAATATAACAAATACTAACAAGGATTTGGAAAATTCAAAGTCTTGTGCATTGCAAGTGGTAATTTAAATAGTGTAGCCTCATTGGAAAACAATATGGTTTTTCCTCAAAAAAAATTACACATAGAATTACTGCATGATCCAGCAATTGCACTCTAGAAACATACTCAAAAGAACTAAAAGCAGAGACTCAAAGAGATATTTGTATACTAATGCTCATAGCAATATTAATTCACAATAGCCAAAAGGTGGAAACAACCCATGTGTCTATAAGAGGATGAATGGATAAACAAAATATATCCATACAAAGGAATATTATCCTGCCTTTAAAAGAAATGAGAGCCAGACATAGTGGTGTACACCAGTAGTTCCAGCTACTTGGAAGGCTGAGGTGGTAGGATCACTGGAGCCCAGAGGTTCGAGTTCAGCCTGGCCAACATAGTAAGACCCCCATCTTTAAAATAAATAAATTAATCATTTACTTAAAAGGAATGAAATTCTGATACATGTTTAAATATGGATGAACCTTGAAGACATTGTTCTGAGTGAAATAAACTAGTCAGAGGAGGACAAATATTGTGTTTCCACTTTTATGAGGTCCCTAGAGTAGACAAATTAATAGAAACGAAAAGTAGAATAGTGGTTACCAAGGACTAGGGAGAAGGGGGGAATGTGGAGTTATGGTTTAATGGGTATAAAGTTTTAGTTTGGGAAGGTGAAAAAGCTGTGAATATAGATAGTGGTGGTGACTGTACAACATTTTTAATGTACTTAGAATGTAATTGTGAGTTAAATTTTGTATGAGGCATGATGTTTAGTTTGAGGTTCATCTTTTTTGCTTATAGATGGTTAATTGCTTCAGCAATATTTGCTGAAAAATTCCCTTGTTCCATTGAATTGCTTTTGTGCCATTGTCAAAAACCAGTTGAACATATTTTTGAGGACCTATTTCTGGGTTTCCTGTTCTGTTTCATAGAATTGAATGTCTGTTTCTCCACCAATACCGTACTGTCTTGATTACTACAGCTACTTATCAAGCCTGAATATAAGTAGATTGAGTTCTCCATTTCTATACTTCATTGTCAAGATTATTTTAGCTATTCCAGCGCCTGTTTATTTCCATATACATTTTTTTAAAAGCTTCTCCATGTCTACATAGGACCTTGACAAGATTTTGATAGGAATTGCATTAAGCCTATAGATCAGTTTGGGTAGAAGTGATATCTTTAGTATGTTGAGTCTTCCAATCCATGAATGCAATATGTCTTTCCATTTATTTCAATCTTCTTTTATTTCTTCATCAGAATTTTATAATGTTCAACATACAGATTCTGTACATATATTTTTGTGTACCTAGGTACTTCATTTTCTTTGCAGCATTTGAAATTATACTGTGCTTTCAATTTGTTTCCACATGTTCACTGTTAGTATGTAGAAATATGATTGATCTTTGTCTATTGGTCTTGTATCCAGCAACATCGCTGAAATCACTTATGTACTCTGCTATTGTTGGATATAGTTCTGCATATGTCAGTTAGAATCTGTTATTTCACTGTGTTGTTCAGCTCTTCTATATACTTGCTAATATCCTGGCTAGCAGTTTTACTGGTTTCTAAGAGAAGGTTGTTGAAGTCCCCAACTATGATTATAGAGCTACTTCACCTTGCAGTTTTATCAGTTTCTGCTTCACATATAGGATAGTGGCATGTACCCTCTTAGGTGAAATTTCTTTCAAGTTTCATTTGGTACATACATATTTAAGATTCAGGGGTTATATCTTTCTAGCTAATCCTATATTGTGATATGTCCCTCTCTTTCTCTAGTAATTTCTCTTGTTCTGATGTCTACTTTATCTGACATTAACATAGCCACACCTATTTTTTAATTAGTGTTTGCATGATATATTTTTTCTATTGAATTTGAAATAAATCTCCTCCAAACAGCATATAGTAGGGCCATGTTTTTATTTACTCTATCAATAATTATCTTTTAATTGGTGTATTTAGATAATTTATATTTAAGATAATTATTGAAATGTCGGCATATAAGTTGGCCATTTAATTACTTGTTTTGTTTATTTCCTCTGGTTCTTTTTTCTCTTTCTCTTTACTTGCTTTCCTGTTATTTGAACATTTTTTGGAGTCTGTCTTGATTAATTTGTAGTGTCTATTTATTATGGTAAAATATACATAATGTAAGGTTTATCATTTTAACCATCATTAAGTGTACAATTCACTGGTATGAAGTACATTCACATTATTATGCAAACATTATCTATCTTCAGATATTTTTCATCATTCCAAACTGAAACTCTGTATCCAACAAGCAAGAACATTTCCTCCTTCTCCAAGCCCATGCTAATGACTATTCTACTTTTTGTCTCTCTGAATTTGCCTATTTTAGGAACCTTGTGTAAATGGAAACATACAATATTTATCTTTTTGTGTGTTTGGTTTATTTCACTTAGTTCATCAATGTTGCAGCATGTGTCAGAATTTCATAAGGCTGGATAATATTTCTTCATACGAATATACCACATTGTTCATTCATTTATCTGTTCATGAACACGTGGATGGTGTTTCTACCTTTTGGCTACGGTGAATTAATGCTGCTGTGAACAGTAGTATACAAATATCTGTTTAAGCCTATGCTTTCGATTCTTGGGTATATACCCAGAAGAGGAATTGCCAGATCATGTGATAATTCTGTTTAATTTGTTGAGGAACGACCTTCGTCTCCCATGTTCAAGCAATTCTCCTGCCTCAGCCTCCATAGCAGCTGCACTATTTTACATTCCCACCAGCAATGCACAAAGGTTCCAATTTCTTCACATCCTTGTCAACACTCATAATCTTATATATATATATTTTATAACAGCCAACCTAATGGGTATGAAGTAGTAACTCATTGTGGTTTTGATTTTCATTTCCCTAGTGTTTAGTGATATTGAGCATCTTTTCATGTGCTATTGGTCATTTGTATATATTCTTTGGAGTAGTGTCTATTCAAGTCCTTTGTTCATTATTTAATTGGATTTTGTGGTTATTGTTTATTTGTTTGTTTTAGATACAGGATCTCACTCTGTTACCCAGACTGAAGTGCAGTGGCATGATCATAGCTCACTGCAACCTCAAATTCCTGAACTCAAGTGATCTTTCTACCTCAGGCTCCTGAGTGGCTAGTACTGCAGGCACATGCCACCATGCCTGGCTAATTTTTTTGATTTTTTATATAGACAGGGTCTCACTACATTGTTCAGGGCTGGTCTTGAACTTCTGTCCTCAAGCCATCCTCTCACCTTAGCCTCCCAAAGTGTTAAGATTACAAGCATGAGTCACTGTACCTAGCTTGATGTTCTCTCTGTATTTTGGATATTAGTCCCTTACCAGACATATGTTTGCAAATATTTTCTCTATAATGGTTTTGAGTGGATCTCCTTGTATGGTTTTTGTAGTGGTTGCTCTGGATATTTCAATATACATATGTGACTTTTCACAGTCTACTGGTACCAGCATTTTACCTTTTTAAGTAAAGTGTGGGAGCCCCACTTCCATTCAGGTGTCTTTACCTTCCCCACTTTTAGATATGATTGTCTTAAGTATCAGATTGCATTTTAATATTTTTTTCAGTCATCAAATATATTTTATGAAACTCACAATATACCCATATTTCTGCTCTTTTACTTGTTCCTGTTTTTCTTTTGCTTCTAGATTCTTTTATTATTTTCTTTCTGTTTGAAGAACTTCCTTTAGCCAAGTTTTAAAGTTAGGTTGGGTAGTGACAGACTTTTCTAATTTTCCTTTACATAAGAATGCCTTTATTTTCTCTTCTTTCCTGAAGACAGTTTTGCTGAATGTAGAATTTGCTGTTGACAACATTTTTGTTTTATCACTTGAAAACCGTTTTGCCACTTTCTTCTGGCCTTCATGGTTTCATATGCAAAATCTGCTGTTATTCAAATTGCTGCCTCCCTAGAGACAGGCATTATTTTTCTCTGACTCCTTTCAAAATATTTTCTCTGCCTTTCTTTTCAGTTTAATTTTAATTAGTCTACACTTTTTGGGGTTTATCTTGTTTGGAGTTTTCTTGACTCTGTGAATATGTGTATTTCACCAAATTTGGGAAGTGTTCAATCATTATTTCCTTGAATATTCTTTCAGCCCCACCCTCTCTCCATTCTTTTTAAGGATATGAATTTGGATTTTTGTAATCTTCCTAAAGGCCCCTGAAGACTCTGTTCATTTTGTTAATATTGTATTTTCCCTCTGTTGATGAGATTGTGTGAATTCAATTCATCTATCCTTAGGTTCATCGATTCTGTGTTCTGTTATCTTCACTCTGCTTTTGAGTCCATCTACCAAGGTTCTTTTTTTAAAAATAATTATGTTTTTCTATTTTTTAGTTCTAGACTTTCCATTTGGTCCTTTTTTATAATTTCTGTTTCTTTGCTGAAATTCTCTATTTTTTCATTTGTTCCAAGAGCACTTGCATTTGTTTTTTGGTTGTTGTTGTTGTTGCTTTGTTTTGTTTTGTTTTGTTTTTTTGAGACAGAGTCTTTCTCTGCTGCCCAGGCTGGGGAGCAGTGGTGCGATCTTGGCTCACTGCAACCTTCGCCTCCCAGGTTCAAGCAATTCTCCTGCCTCAGCCTCCCAAGTAGCTGGGATTACAGGCGCCCATGACCACAGCCAGCTAATTTTTGTATTTTTAGTAGGGACGGGGTTTCACCATGTTGGCCAGGCTGGTCTCAAACTCCTGACCTCAGGTGATCACCCATCTTCGCCTCCCAAAGTGCTGGGATTACAGGCGTGAGCCACCACACCCAGCCCCGGCAGTGTCTGATCGTTTAAACAGTCTTATGATAGCTGTTTTAAACCCATCAGATAATTTAACCATCTGGTTCATCTCAATATTGGTGTCAGTTGATTGTCCTTTCTCATTCAAGTTGTTGTTTCCTTGATTTTTGTATGACAGGTGATTTTTCTTTTTTTAATGGTATCTTGGGCCTTTTATCCGTTAAATTAGGGACTCTGGGTCTTGTTTAAATCTTTGATTTTAGTGAGGACTCACACTGTTATGTTTAGCGTGCAGGTTCTGGCCTACTTCTATGGACCATGGTTCCAATGGCAGTTTAGTTTTCAGTGCTTTCCATTGCTATTTTGGTCTGCTGGATTCATCTGGTGCTGCCAGAGTTTCCACTCACCCGTGCTAGTACTACATGAGTGAGCTGAGTGAATTTTCACTGGCCAAGCCCCTGGATGTCTCTCAGTGAGGGAGGAGCATCTTAGATCTACAGGGACAAGGAGACTTCTTGGGCTGGACCACTTCTTGTGGAGAATTATAATTTTAATGAAGGGAAATTTGAATAATAATATCTGAAAAAGAAAACATCAAAATGGAAAAGAGAGGTGCAGAAAAGGGACACAGAAAAGTATGGAAGAAAATGTAACTCTCTCACGGCATTTTCCAGAGATGGCCCTACAAACTTTCAATCCATGATGGAAGCAAAGGAAATAAAAAGAGGCTCCCAGCATTTCTGTTCACTGTTTTTGCTTCGGGAATGGACTGTCTTAGCTAATTATTATATCAACAGAATTACTGCCCTCTATTTTAGCAGACATTTTATTGTGATGACATTGGCAGTGGGAAGTATGTGCACAATTTACTTCTACAGATCTGTGCCCATTGTGAACCATGTGGGAACTAATGAAAATAAGTTACAATAAACTGCATTATTTGGGCACTCTACAGTTCATATCACACTTTCGTGTGGATTAGCTCACTCTGCTACCTGGAACACCTTTTCCTCACTGGGCCGTCTAAGGCACTGTAAAGAATAGTAGTGCGTACAGATATACAACGTTGTTCAACTACGATTGCTAAGCTCATAGACTTTTCTCCCACAGTTACCATTTAGTATATTTTCTGAATGTAAAGTTGTGTATAATTGCCCTTCCAAAGTAGTGAATAAGGAATTCATTAAAGACAAAAGTACACTACTGAAGAGTGGGTATATGTATATTAGAAGATATATGTCCAGCAATTCAGCCCATAGACAAGCTTATGAGCAAAGATGAGTGGTTATGAATTTGTAACATTAAACTATATCTTGGGTTTAGATGTCTTTCTATTGCTGGACATTAGTAAAGATGTCTTAGTGCTGGCCTACAATGGGGACAGAATATCAGCTATACCTACTCAACACTCTTAGCAGTGGGCGAGTCAGACTCAAGCATTTAACATCATGGAAGACAACAAAGAGTACTTTGCGACTAGCTCAAAACAGAATGATATTATGTTTTTTTTTAAAAAAAAACTCTGATTATTTCAGATAATGGTGTGCGTTGACATTGCAAAATATTGTAATTAAGGAACAGGCTTAGTAGAGCACTTTAAATTGCACAGCTTTCTGTTTTCCATTATTGAATAGCTTTAGGGTGGCTGTTTCTATTCAGACTAATAGCACATGTCACCACACCTTGTGACCAGGAGCTCAATTTTGCCACTTTATTACAATAATTATTGGCAAGAAGAAGATATATGTTGACTTAGAGGCAAATTTAATACTTTATTGTAGTTATTTCTCTGACACTGGACATGGTCATATAAAATCAGGTATAGAACCTTTTCAAAGACTTCAAATGGATTAATCTCAGAAAATTTAGGTGGAATTTTTGGATTTCAGATTATTTACTTCCTTGTAGTTATAATTGACTTGGATTAGTAGGTGCACACAATGATTTTTATCTGTTAAGGTAAAAGATAATTTTTAATGTGACAAAATTTTCTTTAAAAATTTTAATTGGAAAGTAAAACATTTCCTTTAATCTACATGACATACTTCATCCTTAAGCTCCTTGAGAGCAGAGAGACCCTATCTTATCATCTCTCCATTGGTACCACATAACCCACACCATTCCTATTTATTGATACCAATAATCCTTTCAATGTAACTAGTAGGCTTTTGAGTATATGCACAAAACTGTAACTCTACTAATAAGCTCTTCTGCCTATGAGACATTATCGCTTTGGATCATCCTTATTTCCATAACAGTTTGTTCCATTCTGCCATTACAATGCCAGGATGTAAAGCTCCAGGGGTGCAGGAATCTTTCTTTTTTGTTTACTACTCTATCTCCAGCATCTAGAACATTGTCTGGCACAGGTAACCACTCAGTATTTGTTGAATGTATGAATACATTTTTTTAAGACACAATGACAAAATGGCTGCAGAGACTGCTTTTGTTGTATGGGATGAAGACCTCAGATTTAGTGTCAGAAAATCTCAATGACTGTCCCAAGCTTGCTATGAATTTACTGTGTCATCTTAGGTGTGCCACTTAATCTCTCTGTGCTTTTCTTATATATGAAATGATTATATTAGATCTGAGGCATGATAAACTTCCATCAACCTTTAAAGGTACGTAATTCTCTGCTTCATGATTAGCAGCATGCATTTTCCAAGTGGCTGTCTGGGAACAGAGTTACATTTTGTGGCAGTGGAACCAGCATTGCCAACTGGCATACACAGGCTCGGAAGTAAGATTTTGGTCTCTTTGGCAGCTAAAAATTTGGCTCTAACAAATGAACTAGTCACCAACCTGATTTTTTAAAAAATAAGGCTCTTCTATACTTTGGCATAGAAAATTTATTTATAAGAACAGGGAAAACTTATGTTCATTGCAGCACTATTCACAATAGCAAAGACATGGAATCAACCCAAATACTCATCAATGGTAGACTGGATAAAGAAAATGTGGTACATATATACCATGGAATACTATGCAGCCATGAAAAGAAATGAGATCATGTCCTTTACAGGGACATGGATAGAGCTGGAAGGCATTATCCTCAGCAAACTAATGCAGGAACATAAAACCAAACACCACATGTTTTCATTCATAAGTGGGAGTTGAACAATGAGAACACATGGACACGTGGGGTTGGTCGGGGAAACAACACACACTGGTGTCTGTCCTGGGGAAAGGTGGCGGGAGGGAGAGCATCAGGAAGAATAGCTAATGGATACTGGGCTTACTACCTAGGTAGTGGGTTGATCTGTGCAGCAAAGCACCATGGCACATGTTTATCTATGTAACAAACCTGCACATCCTGCACATGTACCCCGGAACTTAAAAGTTGAAGAAAAAAATAAACTGTGGAATGTATTGTTCAGCCATTAAAAAAAAAAAAAAGCATAAGGAAAACAAAATCTGACACAGAAGAGTACAATGTAGCATAATGACAAAAAGAACTAGATTTAAATCTTGGTTCCAGAATTTTCTGTGAGATCTCATTGGCTAAGTAACGTAATCTCTTAGTGCCTCAATTTTGGTATCTGTAGAATGGGATAATGATAATAATATCTAAATGAAGTAATGTATTTAAAGTTCCCGGAACATGGGAAACTTTGAAAGCCTTACAGACAGGCTTATATTAAGGAATTAAATAAGAAGGGGGAAATTAATTCATAAAAAATAAATCTGCACATTTGACTTGAGGCAAACACTGAGAGGTGAAATTGAGACCAGACTGCCTAGGTCTGTATAGTGATACATCCACTTACAGGTGTAATATTTTGATTTCTTAACATCTCTAATGTTAAGATGAGTTTCTTAATATCTCTGCATCTCAGTCTTCTGAGGGATAATAATCATTGAACAAAATGGTAATAATCATTGAACCTACCTCATTAGGCTTATTGTGAATTTTAAATGAAATAATCGATGCATTAATAATATGCTTTACAAAAGAGTCTGGCATATAGAATGTACTCAATAAATTGTAGCTTTTCTTATAACAGAAGTTAAGCTTATACAGAGGGGGAAAAACTGAAAGAGATGTGAAAGGCAGTCAGCCCAGTGGATGGAGAGAAAGTAATGGGAGTTCAGTAGGGACAAACAGATTATAATAGTCTAGTGAATTTTACTCTCAGAGATTTTAAGAAAAAAATGCCTTGCAAATGTAAGACATGGAGAGTTCCCACATAAGTGATTGACAACAAATATCAAAATCTCCAGTTTATCCCAATGCTTGTTTGATAAACCTCCTTTTAGCCAAGAATTCTACCTTAGGGAAAAGGATTTTTATTCTTCTGCACACAGATTATAAGATATTACCAAATAGTGCAATATCTTAGTTGTAAATAAATTGTAAATCTTTTTGTAACAAGACAACAGTTGTGATATCACAATGAGTCATTACGCACTTTCTGTTCATGGAGGATCCCAAAATCATCTTATTTGCGAAGAAGTGAGTTGGTGTGGGAGGCAGTACCTTAACATTTCAGCAGAGTCCTTTAGCCAAATTCCTGAAGCTGCCAAGCTTCCACAGGCGGACTGAGATATAAGGATAAGAGAGAAGAACGCAGACCAAAAAAAAGTACAAACAAGAGAATGGAGACTAAGTTTCCAACTAGCACTACCTATTTTAAAGTGCTTTTCTTTTTGGTGAACTTTAAAGAAATGAAATAAGCCTATGTATTTCGTGATTGTAAGGCCCTTTTCAATTAACTGGAAAATACCTGGTTATGTTTGAGTACACATTACTTCATTTTTTTTTACATTCAACCCACATTTGTATAGTACCTACAATGTACCAAACTTGAGTTTAGGTGCCAAAGATATCAGATGAACAACACAGGTTCATTCCGTGGGGAGCTTTCATTTTACTGAGAAAAACAGATAAATAGGAAAAGAGTGAAGAAAGGGCTACAGAGAAGAAGCTTAATTTTTGGTGGGGTCATGAAGGATGAGTAGGAGTTTGCCGGGCAAAGAAGAGACCAGCAAAGATTCAAAGGCTTGGTCCATGGACAATGATTCAAAAGCCGGAGGTTGAGTTCAAGAAAGCAGTTTGGTTCTGTTGGAGTTTACAGTATTGGAGAAGGAAAGCAGAGTTTCAGGGCCAGATCATGAAGGGCACTGACTTCCTAACCAAGGAGATTGTATCAGACCCTGCAAGCAATTGAGTTTAAGCCGATCAGTTTCACACTGTATAGTATTTTAGAAGGACTCTCTGGCAGCTACTTGGAGAATGGATGGGAGAGGAGAGTTGAAGACAGGAAACCAGCTGGGCAGCAAGGTACTATGTGCACATTATGTCATCTTTAAAGAAATAATGTGCAATTGTTCAGAAATAGGCAACTGCTCATTCTTTCAAATGGATTAGGGTAGAAGGGCCTTCTTAGCAGAAAGTAATATGAAGTTTTCTTCCTTTAAAATATTGTTTCTTACTAATTAAGGTCATTTAGGCCTAACAAGTGGTTCTTTTTTTAAAACAGCTTTATTGAGGTATGACTGATTGCAAAAAGCTGTACATACTCAATATATGCAATCTGATGAGTTTGGACATATGCTTACCTTAATATCCCTCTAAAGTATCAATTATTTTCATCATTCACACCTTAGACTAAATTTCTTTTATCACTGACTTTTCTCTCTTCCCCAGCTGAGTATTTGACCTTGAGGGCAGTGGCATTTCAAATGGAATATTAAAATTGAATTAAATTAGAAATCAAATTAAATTAAGAGCTGGGGGACTTCTGAGAAGGATTAATTTGAATTAGGAACTTTGGTCAAGTGTCCAAGAAGTCAGTCGGAAAATGAGAGAAGACGTTGAGGAGAACAGAGAGCAGATTAATTCAGTTTGCAGTTGTACTAGGATTTTCAAAAGAAGGTGTTCTATTTCCAAAGTTCTCTATATGATACTTAAGCTGTAAGTTAATAATGCTAGTTGTGTGCCAGTTCATAACATCAGGGTGAATGTTAATGGCTACATAATTTGCAGGGCCCAGGGCAAAGTGAAAATGCAGGTCCCTTATTCGGAAAGCAGGAACAAAGGGCCATTAAAGGTGATAATGTATAAAACTGTCCTTCCTTCTGCCATTCCCCTCTTGACTTTTTCTACTAGTTTTTATTTGATATTTCATGTTATTCCAAGTAAATAAAAAACAAAAATATAAACTTAGCACAAATTTTACCATTCACTTTGTATTGTGCAATGCAACTATAAGAATAGTTGCTTTGCATGCACAATCAGCAAAAATTAGGTATTTCATAGATCGTACATATGTATGTCATCCTTACCCAAACAGTGGAAATGATATACAAGATTTAAATAACTTTATATTTCATTTCTGGATACACTCTCTCCCTTTGACTTACTCATGAGTAAGGAAGGATTGCAAGAAAAAGACCTGTGGTTTGCTCTTTCTTTCTCTCTCTTTGTATGTCTTCATTTTCAGCATAAACAGTTGGCTGATACAGGGAATTATTCAAGGAAGAAAGGATGCAATAGGCTCCCGTGGTCATCTGTGTTTCTTAAAACCCTTTGCCTTCTTGCTAAGGTTGAAGGAAGTTCTGGTTCCAGTGGCGAGCATGGCGTCTTGGGGCTGCCAGCTTCCCCACTTACTCACAGACATAGCACACTTACTCGTGCTCTCATGTTGAAACTCACCAGACTCCCATGAATTGTGCATCCCCCAGAATTCACCATTATGAACATCACGTATGAATGAGGCAGCGCAGAATGGCTGAGCATGTGCACAGTGTGCAGACAGCCCCTGCTCCCTTGATGCTCACTGTCCTATTGGACTTTGCCCACAAAACACTGGTTCAACTACTAAAATCACTGAACAAAGCACAGGGCTTTTCTGAGCATGGGGTCTTCCCTCTGAAGCTGCATGAGTCACACACCCATGAATCCAGCCTGCCTTGAAATCTCTTATACACAAATGAGGAACCAATTAGCAAAGTGATTTGCAAAGAAAGTGGAAACTGACTAGTCTTCCTTCTTTTATTATGTGAACTAATGCTGTCTCAGACACGTGGAAAGTCACAGAATAAATGCAGACCTCATTCTGGAATTTATTTCTACGATCCACTGGAGTGAAGCACATAGATAGTTTACCATTGTTTTCAAACCTACATAATAGTTTATGGACTATAAGGTAAAATTTAAGATAAAATGTGAGATTTAAAACAAATGATGCTTGTTACATAAAACAGGGAGTTGGGTAAAACAACTTAAGGAAACTATTTGAGTGCAAAGACAAGCACCCAGAGTTAAGTGAGCTGACGGCCCGGTCCCACCTCTGATCTTGGTGGTCCATGATCTCAGACAAGACATGTCCCCGTCTAGTTTTCATAAACTTCACGTCTAAAACAGGATTTAAACATAGATGGTTTCTAGTTTAAAATTTGTTCTGTGAAAGAGGCATTTATAAATCAAGAAACTCATTTTAAAGATACAACTGTAGACTTTAAAGATTTCACCCTAGAGCTTCCAGAGTTTCTCAGCCATCCATGCCTTTCAGAAATGTTCCTCCTCAGCTGTGCACTCGGCCCTATGGCCATGATCATCTTTCTCATATTTCTGCATCTTCTTCATCTTATAGGACTATTAATCATTGCTCAAAAAAAAATTCTTAAGTGCTAGAAGATAAAGTAAAAAAAGCAAGATCTGTGTCCAAAATAATCCAGGGAGATCTGAGATAAGTTTAGGGTTTTTTTAGGTCTATAGATTCATATCTGTTCAGTTTTCACTTTCTCTTTAGACCTTTCATCTCCTATCCAAACAAAAATTTACCTTGCTTCCTGGAAATTCTCTTTTATGACTTACTGAGTATGATTATCAACATTTTATCAGGAGATTATTTCCCTTTGTTTTAAAAAGGACTGCCAAAATGTAAAGTATGATATGGTGTCTTGCAGAAATTGATTGGTTTTTCACAGAAAGATAACATAATCTTATAATATAGTCAGTAGAAAAAGATACATTTTTAAATAACGGCAGGAAACAGAAGGGAATTAAAATATGTTGCATTCCTGTTACATACCAGGTACTGTGCATTACATATATTATTTTATTTAATCCTTATATAATCATCTGTGGTGGTGGAAATAGGAATACTACCAATCACCTATGCTATACCAGAAAGCTTCTAACACAAACTCCAGCCCAGACTTCTCTCCCACATTCCGGTGTTGTATATCCAGCCACCTATGTGGCAAGTCCAGTTGGCACTGATAATTCAATCAATATGGCCAGACTGAACGTATCAGCTTTCCCTAAAAAGCCTGCTCTAGACTCAGCCTTTCTCATCTCCAGCGACGTCGAGGTCACTCTTCCAGTTGCTTAGGCCAGAAATCTTGGGGTCATTGTTGTCTCTTTATTTTCTCACCCTAATCACCCAATCCATCAAAAGGTCCTGTCAACTCTTGCTTCAGAACAAGTTCAGCATGGATCTGACTGCTCCTCAGCCCCACCCGAGTCGGAGCAAATGTTGCCTGTCTCCAGGTGGTTCACAAGCTTTCCAGCTACCTGCATCCTGACCTCTCCTATGTACTGTTCCAAACCAGCAGCCAGGATGAGGTTTTGAAACATAAGCCATGTCGACTGTAAGCTCAAACTCCTGCCATGGCCCCCTTTTCACTCTCAGAGTAAAAGCTGAAAAGCCATGAGCCATCCTTGATCCACTCCTTCTTCCACTTCCCCACAGCACCCCACCAGCCCACCATGTTTAATGTTACAAATTCATAACAGCTCATCTTTGCTCATAAGCTTGTCTAAGTACTGAATTGCTGGACATATATCTTTTAATATACATATACCCACTTTTCAGTAGTGTAGTTTGCTCTTAATGAATTCCTTATTCACTACTTTGGAAGGAAAAATATACACATCTTTACATTCAGAAAATATACTAAACAGCAACTGTGGGAGAAAAGTCTATGAGGTTAGCAATCCTAGTTGAACTACCTTGTATTATCTGTACCTACTACTATTCCTCACAGTGCCTTAAAAGACCCAGGGAGGAAAATGTGTTCCAAGTAGCAGGGTGGGCAAATCCACATATAAGCATGGTGTGAACCGTAGAGTGCCCAAATAAAGCAAATTGTTGCGACTTATTTTCATCAGTTCCCACATGGTTCACAATGGGCAGCAGATTTGTAGAAGTAAATTGTGCACATACTTACTAATCTCCTCCCTCACTTCACTCCATCCCATGACTTTATTGCAATCCCAAGACCAACCAGGAACACTCCCACCTTAGCACTATAACCCTGCAGTCCCTCTGCCTGGAACACCCTTCTCTGGCATGGGACTCACTCCCTCACATCTCTCAAGTTTTTGATCAAATCTCACTTTCTTGGTGGAATCCCTTCTCCTCCCTACACCTCCCTACCTATGCACTTCTGATACCTCTTACCTTGGTCTGTTTTTCTCACATCTATAGCATGTTTCACCTTCTGAACTGCTCTATAATTTACTGTTTTACATTTATTATTTACTTTCTGTTTATTTGTCTTCACTAAAATGAAATGTTCACTAATGTATTCTCATCCCCTAGATAGTGCTTGGCATATGATAGATGCTCGCTAAATCTTTGCAGAACGGTGGGGCGAATGAATGAATGAGAGAATGAATGAGTGCTTTCCCTTGTTCCTCATACTAACCTGGCTAAAGTTAGCCAGGAGGTATTTTACAAATAAGGACATTAAAACTGAGAGAGGCTAGGTAACTTTCACAAGTCAGAAACTTTGTAAGAGTCAGATCTGAGATGAAAAGAGGACTTCCTGATCGGGACCTTCTCCACTTTATCACACTTCAAAACATGTATTTGATGAAAATATAGGTGTTCCATAAAATGCAATACCTTTGTAGTGTGTATTCTTCCTTCTCCGCACTCTCAGCCAATAGTTTTTAAATAAGCCTCTTGGAATACCGTAACTAAAGTGACTGGCTTATAGAGTAACACACATAAAATGAATGATATGAGGTGTATTCATCTTGACTCTGGCTGCAGAGTTACAGAAACAAACTAACTTGAGTTAGCTTAAGCCAAAAAAATTAATTTAAAAATTAGTAATTTAATTTTTTTTATTTAAAAAAAAAGGCGGAGGCCAAGGCAGGAGGATCACTTGAGGCCAGAGTTTGAGACCAGCCTGAGCAACATGGAGAGACTCTATCTCTACGAGAAATTAAAAAAAAAAAAAAAAATAGCCGGGTGTGGTGGTGCACATCTAGTCCCAGCTACTCTGGAGGCTGAGGCAGGAGGAACACTTGAGCCCAGGAGTTTGAGGCTGCAGTGAGCTATGATCGCACCACTGCACTCCAGCCTGGATGACAGAGCAAGATTCCGTCTCTTTATCTCTTACGGATACATGAGCCCATGAAAGCCACAGAAAAGAATGAAAAAGAGGGAGCAGGAGGCAGATGAGTTGAGAGAGTTCTTGTTCCACCTTCCATGTGTGTCTCTTCCATTCTTCCTTCTCCATGGTTTACCCATCACTCTTTAACCTGGACAAAGCTATAGTCTCACAGTCCCAGTTATGGGCCTGGTTTGGGAAAAACACCTCTCCTGGTCCAATCAGGGATGTCCAGGAACGAGGACCCCTTTGACAACTGCAGGATGGAGAGTGCTGGGCAGACCCCAAAGAAAGGGACTCAGCAGGCAACTCCCAAGTAGCTGATTCTAGAAAAAGACAGTGGAAGAGTAGGAAGCACATGATTGAATCAAACAGCTGAAGTCCAAATTCCTGTTTTTCACCTTTCATCTGTGTAAATTGTTGCTAATGAGAAAACGTACCTGAATCTTCTGATACTCAAATAATTATAGTGTACTTGTTCTTTTACTCTTGTTCTTTCTCAGATATAGATGCTAAATCTTGATTATGTGGTGGTTAAAAAAAAGAACAGGAAGAAAAAAGTTAAAAAGAGGGACACTTGGGGTAAGGAAAAGAAAAGAAAATGGAGAATCAGGAGTTCTGCATTTTAATCTCAGTGCTGTCACCAAGAAGCAAATGCCCTGGGCAAGTCAATTCTCTGGTTTCAATGCCCTTCTCTATATAATGAGTAAATCAGACAGAATTGGTAGGTTTCCCAACCTGCTTCATCAGGAGAATTAGCTGGGATCATTTTCAAAATGCAGATTCCCCTGCCTTACCCATGAATATTCTGATTTAAACGATCTTGCATGAAATTCTATAATTGTATTTTAATGCAAATTTCCAGATGACTCTGATGATCAACTGCATTTGGCAACCATTACACTAGATGACATTTAAGACCTCTCCTAGTGATTAATATATTTGTTTACCTAACAATTATCTAACTTATAAAACCAATTATAATAAAATGAATTTCTTCTTGTGTTTTGGGTGTCTTTTTCAGAAATTACATAATCTTTCCACTTTGTTTCCAAAGAAAATTAAGAGTACTATCTAGCAGACAATAAATTCTCAATAAATAGTCATGAACGGATAAATGATCAGTTCTATATATTTTTAGAAATTAACAATTTTTCATTATCTCCTGAGTTACTTAGTCCTCATATATGTGGGGAAGAAAGTCCACTCAGAGCTTGTCTGGTTTAATGGAATATTGAAAATACTTAGCAGGATACTAGTATATAAATCAGGGCTCATAATCTTTAAAGTATGACTAAAAGCTTTTGATGATGGCGTCTCATTTTTGTCTTCTATGTCATGGATAAAGAGGTATGTGTGAAAGTCAAGTGTTCCTCCTGTGTATTATTATCATGCCTGAGGCTGTTGTGTTTCTGTTGTTCTTGCCTTTTACCACCCACAACACTTTCATACCTGTCAGCTTTGCCAGTCTCAAAATATTGCTCTAACAAATTCTGCAGAGAATTGTACTAGCCCTGAACTTTTTGAAAGTCCAGTGTTCTTTTTGGAAACAAGATGTGAGTTTCTAAAGAGACTGAACTTCCAGACAGAGCATCTGGGACGTAATTCTGCCTCTGCCTCTGTGCCTATTCACTGCATAAAATTGATCGAGCCATATCACCTCCTCTGACATCTACTTCCTCTTCTGTAAAATGAATTCCACACTCATTTAAGCACTATAATTCTTATAATTAGGAGGTTAAAAAAATACAAATTATATTCTCAATTCTGAATATCACTACATTTCTGCTTATTACTTAGATTTATTATTTTTCTCATTCCCTTCTGACAATATTTTAATATGCTACCTAGATCCAAAAGAATACATTGCTTACAAAAAAATAGAAACAGACCTTTACAGGTATTTACACTTTTCGACATCAGATCAGTTTTCTGTGTGACCCAGGTCCTTTTCTATGTCACTTTTCAGAAAGGAAACTCATAGCTCAGCCATATAGCATGTGATATGATCTGGAATAGTTACCTCCTTCATAAGTGTGGGTCCAGTTATATGTTCCATTTTGTCACTTTCCTAAGAAACTATTTTTTTAATATTATTATTATTTTACTTTAAGTTCTGGGATACATGTACAGAACTTGCAGGTTTGTTACATAGGTATACATGTGCCATGGTGGTTTGCTGCACCCATCAACCCATCATCTAGGTTTTAAGACCCGCATGCATTAGGTATTTGTCCTAATTAAGGATAGTGGCTTGACTTAGGCACCAGCAAGTCTCTAGTAGCACACTTGGGAATATTATGCCATGAATGGCATCCTCCTGTGGCTTTTTTCCAGAATGAAAAGAACCACTCTGGAAAAAAATGATACATTTTAGCCCTTTTTAAAGTC
The DNA here is from genome assembly GCF_000001405.40 of Homo sapiens. Taxonomy (NCBI): domain Eukaryota; kingdom Metazoa; phylum Chordata; class Mammalia; order Primates; family Hominidae; genus Homo; species Homo sapiens. The sequence goes on along the minus strand of NC_000018.10, from coordinate 4,151,686 downwards.
ACACTGGCTTAGTTGTACTGTTGAGAAAACAAATAACGCTCAGGAAGTGAATACAATCGCATATGTATATTATGTCTTACAGAATTGGATCATTGATGCTTGCATTTTATTGCTTTTTAAAGAAAATAAATGATAGGAAATGTATATTGTAGAATATCAAGCCTATTTATTACAGCAACATTGTTTTTTTTCTGGGTGATTGATTTTATTTTCTGAAAAGCATAAAAATACAAAGTGTGACATCATGCAAGAACACGGCCATGTAGATTTTCTATGAAACTCTCTTCTTAACAGCATTGAATATAATGTGTGTCAGAATAGTTCTTATGAGATCATTTTTAAGTGTCTTTTTGTTTCAGGCTAGTTATTACATCTAATTATTGCATTGTTATGTTTCAGAGCAGTTGAACATCAGATACCCAGAGTGACATCAGGTTAAAAAAAAGCCTGCAATTTGGATCTTTTCCTGACTCGGAAGCAAGGAAAATGGACAATTGATAATCAAAGGTAAAACTGCCCCCTTTCCCCCTTACTTGTATAGGAAGCAGTTTCTTAAATAACAGCTTCCTCTTCAGCTATCCTATATGAAACATTTTTTAATAGCATGGTATATTTGAACAAAAATATTCCTGGCATACACTTTCCAGACATATTAACAGTCTGTTGAATTTAAAGCCTGTGTTTTTTAACTTCCTAGCTACCTGTACAGAATCTAGGCCAGATGTATTTTATATATTTAATCTTCATTGTTGTTGTTAATCTGGAACGGCATATTGGGCACATGCCATTTTTATAAATCTGTGGACCCAAATATTGTACATAAGGTAGGTTAGGTATGAAATTATGGAAGTAAATGGCATAGTGTTAGCTTTTCTTAGCATATTGAACAAATTTGCATTTATCCACACAGACATGTTCAACATGATGTAAGTGTGCTAAGAAAGGCAATGAAAGGCAGGGCGTGGTGGCTCACGCCTGTAATTCCAGCACTTTGGGAGACCGAGGTGGGCAGATCACCTGAGGTCAGGAGTTTGAGACCAGCCTGGCCAATATGGTGAAACCCCATCTCCACTAAAAATACAAAAATTAGCTGGGTGTGGTGGCAGGTGCCTGTAATCCCAGCTACTGGGGAGACTGAGGCAGTGGCAGGTGCCTGTAATCCCAGCTACTGGGGAGACTAAGGCAGGAGAATCGCTTGAACCTGGAAGGCACAGGTTGCAGTGAGCCGAGATTGCACCACTGCACTCCAGCCAGGGTGACAGAGAGAGACTCCATCTCAAAAAAAAAGAAAAGAAAACAAAAGAAAGGCAATGAAAACCCTTGAGTCCTTGCTATCATCTCCACTCCTTTCATTATGTAGTTTTTGGAGGGAGAAAAAAAGAAGGGTCTTACCACATATAAATCAAATATACTACAGAAGTGGTGTCAGATCAGAAGGAGATTCATATTGCTGAATAATAAGCTATTGTCTTTGTCTGCGTTACTTGCTTGAGACAGTGACTTGGGTATGGCAATTTATTAGGGAGCTGATCCAAAGATCAAGAGTTGGAAGCAGGAAGAGTGAATCAGGGAAGAAGCGCAGGCCAAATTATGGGTGGGTTAGCAAGTCTACCACTGCAGGCAATGGGAACTTGGTTCCTCCCAGGAGGGGTACAGATGCCCAAATTTCCGTTAGAAAGATGTGCAGCAGGAGGTTTACTGACTGACTTTTTCTCCTTGGTTTTGGATTTCCCCAAGGAGCATGAATTCCCTCACAATGCTGGGCTGTGCCAGCCATGCATGGGTAGAAAGCAGAAAGACACTTAGTTGTCACTTGAGGTGTACACTGTAAGGCAGTGGTCCAGGGACCGGTTTCGTGGAAGACAATTTTTCCACGGACAGGGTGGGGAGGTGGGGAGATGGTTTCGGGATAAAACTGTTCCACCTCAAATCATCAGGAATGAGATTCTCATAAGGAGCACATACCTAGATTCCTCACGTGGACAGTTCACAACAGGGATCATGCTCCTATGAGAATTTAATGCCGCCACTGATCTCACAAGAGGCAGAGCTCAGGCCGTAATGCACGCTGGCCCACTGCTCACTTCCTGCTGTGCAGCCCAGTTCCTACCAGGAACCAGTACTGGTCTATGACCTGGGGGTTAGGGATCCCTGCAAAGGCAAGGAGACTCCCCTGCAGCTGTGGTTGACATCCAAAGTGAACCCCGGGACATAATGCAGGGAGCCAGCCGCATCTGTTGCAGCTCCTTTTACTTTATTCTAAATCAGCATTTTTCTCCTAAATGAAGTATCTCCAAGAAAAAAAAAAGTTTTGTGTTTTAAAGACATTAAATAATTATACCTAAATATCATGGAATCCGAGTGAATTCTGTTTCGACACTAACTTCTTCATGAATAAATTGTCCGTCTTCAGTAGATGGCATAGTGTCAGCTAAGTGAGAAATGCATCTGAGTCCCCATGTATATTTGAGACATTATATGAGATCCAAAGTATGACCAACATGTTGGAATAGTCAGAATTAATATAACAACATTTAATTATAGCTGTATTTGTTACTCGCTTTATATTGTTTCATTTACAAGAAGGTGTCCGTGTATACACAAAAATTTAATTTTTGTCTTTCCTATTTGGAAACAACCCTGTTTGTGTGAAATGCAAGACTGAAATTATATATATATTATCTGGGCATAATGTTAGATGAATGGTCAGCTGGCAAAACAGATTTAGTACATTAAGGTGAATCAGGGCTTCTTTGTTTTGTTTTGACATGAGGACATTAAACAGATTGAAAATAAAGTTGGATAAAGCCTGTGGTTGTGTTGTGACCTAGAAGATCATATGCTCAGAGGAAGAATATAATTGATAAACTCTCTAAGGAGCAGCTATTAAAAATAAAACAGACAACAACAAACATTTAAAGTGATGTGCATTTGCATGCAGATTTCCTCGTGAAGGAAATTAAAGTGGAGGGGACAGGAGAAAGGGCAGCAGAGAATGGTAGTGCAGGGAAACCAGGAAAGTCGTAGCAGATGCTAGGCAGAAATACCAAAAAGAGCAGACAGAATCAAACTAGGGATGAAGAGGATCCACGACATGCAAACTGAGTGAAGGGCCCCAGTTCATTTGAGGCTGGACATCCTCCTGAATAACCAAAGAAAAATTACTGTGTCTTCTCACCTGAACAGTGTAATTGCCCCTCATTAGTTTACTGCTCCCTGGTCTCCTTTGGCTCCAAAGTCTTCCAGAATCACAATTCTGATCATGTCTGCTTTTTGCTCAGAAAATGTTCTCTGATTTACCAATTCATCATTATCTAAATTTCTTAAGCAGACATTTAAAGCATGCCACTCTAAGTTGTTAGACTTACTATTTTTATTCTTTGACCTCACTTACCAGTGGCCTAGCCCATTGTGTAGAAATGTAAGGGCTGTGATTTTTTTCAAGCCTTCCAAGTGATTTTAAGGCTTTGTGGTTTTCAAACACAGATTGGTCTAGAGCAAGCTTATCTAGCCCGCTTTATTTTGTTGTTGTTGTTGCTCTGTTTTGTTTTGTTTCCTTTTAGGCTTTTAGCAGCCTGAAGCCATGGCTTTTAGTTTCTGTCTCTAGTGATAAATGGAAAAGAGAGACAAGGATGGGGCTTTTTCCGTGCCCAACCAGAAACAGAAACTAAGAACACATAACTGTATTCTCTCCCTCGGACACCCCTGTTCTGGAGTGAGGCCCAAGAATGCACATTTCTAACATGTTCCCAGATGATGCTGATCTGTTCCATGAGACCTTAACTTGGAGAACCACTCTGTAAACTAAATGATCCAGGCTGGCACTACAATTTCTGCGTTACAGTTTGAGTCAAAGACTGATCACAATGAAAGGTCTTCCTTGCCAACATCACCATTGTGAGTAGGTGTGTTAGTTTAATAACAAGCTCTGAGTCTTCTGGTCAGTTACCATCTTAATATCATAAAATTCCCAACAGTAAGATTTTTGATGCATTTTTATATCCTTTACTGTGTCACAGACTTTGGAAACCCATAAATATCTGTTGGATGGATAAAGGATGGATGGATGGATGGATGGATGGATGGATGGATGGATGGATGGATGGATGGATGGAAGAATGGATGAACAGGTTTAGCAACCAAGAACTGGTTTCAACATGAAACTTAACTTCTTACAAAAAAACTACTCTGGCTTGTGCTATAGAGAAAGGTGGTTTTCCTTCACACAGAAACCTTATTATATAAGCCCATACTCAATATATAAGACCTTTTATTAGATGAAATAACACTACATAGTTAAAGCCCAAGCATCTGGGTATCAATATCCGGGTATTGTGCTCTTTAATAAACAGGGTCTCTCACGAAAGACTTTTTGCTACTTGATTGAGTACAACCGGGGAAATGTCATTTATATCAAGATAAATTGTACATTTTAGTTTGTGAAAGAGCCGCTGGTTGTGTGAAACCAGCAAATCACATCTATTTAATAAATTCCTTTGCAAATGTCTTTTCCTTGAGTTTAAATTTTGCAGCTGCAGCATAATTTGAATGTTTATTCACATTTAGGACAATTATGCTTTCTGGTTTTTTTGCTTTCTTGCATTCAAATGTGTTCATGTGTCAGTGTTGCACATTTTCTCTCTACATCTTTTATCTGCATGCATCATCCCATGATTGGCTTGGTAAATTTTTCCTACTTTTCTTGCTAAAATAACTGTTCCTTCTGTCTGTTTTCTGCCTACTCTTTGATTTATTCCAGAAATTGGGCTCAATGCCTACTTTTAGAGCTCAGTGTGGAATTTATTTTGTATGTTTTTAAACCAAGTTTCCACTTATTTTTTTGTTATGTATTCTGTAGTGCAGTCAACCTCAGAACGCACTCATGAAAAAGCCTGTAATCATATATTAGCATAAATAACAACAACAGATGATAATATGAATGCTTGAAAATTCGTTTTTTTAATGTATCTCATAATTCACTTTTGTAACAGAAAATTAAAATTTTCATTTTATGTTGTGGTTTGCCTAATAGTAAAGCTTAAATATTAATTAAAACATAAATGTCCTAGCCCCAACTTTGTTATTACCTTGCTGTATGTTCTTGGCTAGTCCCTAGGCTTCAGTTACCTCCATTATAAAAAGAAGGGTTTAGGACAAATAACCCCTGGAATCCATTCTAGTGCCTTATCTTGCAATTTCAAGGTACAGATCATATGAAATCCTACCTAAAATCCGACACAAAATTATGAGTGAGTCAATCAGTCCACTAAGGGCACATATTTGAAAATAGAGTTGAAAAGGCAGGATTTGGGATTCAGAAAGACTTGAATTCAAAACTCGGCTCTTTCATTTATTAACTGTGTGAACGTGGCGAATGGACTGAACCACTCTATGTACTTTAGTATCTTCATCTGTAAAATGGGGGCCGTGTTATTACCTGAAAGGTCACTTTAAAGACCAGAGGTAGTGTATAAAATAAATCCGGCATCTGGTAGGAGCTGAACATACATAGCTAGAAGCTGACCAGAATCCCACCACGGTTTTGGAGGTTAATGGAGGTTACTGTATACTCTTCTTTTCCAATATAATTCTACAAGAGTAAGAAACTTTTATTTAGGACTTTAAAAGATGAACACACTTTAGAAAATGTATCCATAATTTAGTCATCTGAGACTGAAAGGCTAGTGGAAAAATTCAGCATTTTTTTTTATCTACACGGGATAGCTCTGGTTCTATACATTGCTGATGGTTTCATGTGTCAAGTCAGGCCTTTTTCATCAAGAGTGATTCCTCAGTGTCAAGCATGAAGTTTGCAAATTACGTTTTGTTTTCTGCCTTGTAATCTAGCTTGGGGAGAAACTAAAATAAAGATTCTTCAAGGCAAAAGTTTAACCTGAATAAATGTTCATATGGTCTCAATTTTTAACTGATTTCAGAATGACTAAAATTATTCATTTTTTTCTTCTCGTTCTCCAAAAAATTATTTTCATAGCCAATTTGCCAGATGCAGCTTTATACCCAGAGGCAAAAGAAATCAAATTTTTGGTCAATAGAAGATTCGTTTACTAAGAGATTCATGCAGATATTGAATACTTTTCTGTTCTGTTTTATGTGTTTTTTAGTTTCAGTTGTCATTTTGATATTGGTTACCCCAGCACTTGTCAGCAGAAATTCAAAGCTGCCTACTTAACAGGAGTAGATCAATAAAGTTTTGCTGGAATATTTCATCAATCTTAGCCCAGGATTTAATCCTGTTGGCTATTTTTCTATTTTAATATTCTATAAATCCTCTCAAGTTAATGTGTTCTGAGATAAATCTTACTATTTCACTATTCTATAGTTTTTATGTCAGAAATAATTTAGAAACTAAAAACTGCTATTGCTATTTGATACCTTGATTTTTTCAGACATCTGTAAGATAGAAAACCTGATTGTAGAATACTGTGTTTATTTGTCATGTCTCAGAGTTCTATCACTATCAGGATGATAATCATACTGATGAGGCTGTCTCAAACCTTATGAGATATAGGTATAGATATTTAAATATATAGACATATTGTGGGGGTGGTGATATTGTTAATTGGGCAACCAAGACCTTCACAATAGAAAAGTTATAGGCAATTATTACTGACATTGGCATTTTTAATAAAATGACCGATTAAGTACTCTCTGAAAGAAACGTAAATGTTATTTTTAGATGATGAAATACTTTCTTCGTAAAATAAGAGTATAATAGAGTTTATTACAAATCACATATTTGAGTATTTGTTTATACTGTAAGAATGTTCAAGGACAACATTTGACTATGCAGTAAAAAGGTGCAACTTGGAAGAAAAGGCACATTGACTGGATTTATTTTCCTTTTGCATATTCTTATCATATGCTAGACATTTTCACCTAAAATTTTTACCTGTCTTATTTATTTAAAGGCTATGTTTAGAGAAACAATGATACCGTGTTAAAAAATAGACATTAGCAAAATTGCATAGTAAGGGAGGTGGAGCAAGATAGCTGGATAGATGCCTCCACTATCATCCTCTCTGCAGGATCACCACATTAAGCGACTATCTGCACAAAAAAAAATCACCTTTATAAGAACTAAAAATCAGGTGAGTGGTCACAGTACCTGGTGTTAACTTCATATCACTAAAAGAGGCACTGAAAAACAGTGTTGAATTGCCTACAGCACCCCTTCCCTGTCTCCCAGCAGGGGCCCTGTGGCTCAGAGAGGAAATCGGTGTGCCTGGGGGGAGGGAGAACACAGTGATTGTGGGACTTTTTGTATAGGAACTCAGTGCTGCCCTCTCACAGTGGAAAGCAATGTGGGACAGAACTTAGCCAGCACTCATGAAGGCAGCACTTAGACTAGTCCTAGCCAGAGGGGAATTGTCTGTCCCAGCAGTCAGAACTCTAATTCTGGCAAGCCTCACCACTGTGGGCTAAAGTGCTCTGGGGTTCTAAATAAACTTAAATGCTAGTCTAGGCCACAAGGACTGCAATTCTGGGGCAAGTCCTGGTGCTGTGCTGGACTCGGAGCCAGTGGGGTTGGCGTGCTCACGATCTAGTCGGACACCAGCTGACACAGCTAAGAAAGTGCTTATGCCACCCCTCCCCCAGTACCAGGCAACACAGCTCACACCCTAAGAGAGACTTCTTCCCTCTGCTTGAGGAGAGGAGAAGGAAGAGTAAAGAGGACTTTGTCTTGCATCTTAGATACCAGCACAACCACAGTAGGCTAGGACACCAGATAGAGTCCTGAGGATCTAGCTACTGCATGACATGTCTAGAGAAAACTTGGGCCAGAAAGGAACCCACTGCCTTGAAGGGAAGGACCCAGTCCTGGCAGGATTCATCACTTGATGAGTAAAGAGCCTTTGAGCCCTGAATATTCAACCGTCACAGCCAGGCAGCACTTGCCATGGGCCTTGGTTGTGACTCAGAGCCATGCTGGATGCACATGTGACCCAATACATCCCCAGTTTGGGTGACTAGGGGTAGAGACCATTTCTGCTTGTGAAAATGAGAGGGGAAAGTAAAGTGGACTTTGTCTTGCACCATAGGTACTAGCTTGCTCACAGTGGAGTAGAGCACCAAGCAGGCTTGGGGTACCCAGTACCAGGCCTTGTCTCTTGACTGGCATTTCTGGACCTTCCCTGGGCCAGAGGGGAACCTGCTGCCCTGAAGAGTGAGTCCCAGGCCTGGCAGCACTCACCACAAGCTAACTCAAGAGCCCTTGGACCTTGAGTGACCACCAGCAGTACCCTGGCAGTACTCATCACGGGCCTTGGGCAGTGGTGGCCATGGAGAGAGGTTCTTCTGCTTGTGGAAAAGGGAGGGAACAGTGGGAAGGACTTTGACTTGTGAGTACCAGCTCAGCTGCAGTACAATAGGGCATCAGGTTGATTTCTAAAGTATCTGACTCCAGGCCCTGGCTCCTGGATTGTGTCCCTAGACCTCCCCAGGACAAAGGGGAACTTGCCATCCTGAAGGGTAGGATATGAGCCTAGCTGGCTTTGCTGCCTCCTGATTGTAGAGCCCTAGGGCCTTGAGCAAATATACGTGGTAGCCAGGCAGTGGTTAGTGCGGGCCTTGGGTGAGACCCAGTACCATGCTGGCTTCAGGTCTGACCCAGCACAGTCCCAGTGGTGGTGGCGGCCACAGGTGAGCTTGTGTCACCTCTCTCCCAGCTCCAGGCAGCTCAGCACAGAGAAAGACTCTGTTTGTTTGGGAGAAAGTAAGAGAGGAGAACAAGAGTCTTTGCCTGGCAATCTAGAAAATTTTTCCCGATCTTCTCCGAGACCACCAAGGCAGCACCTCTGTGATTCTGCAAGAGCAGAATCACCTCACAGCATTGCTGGGCTTGGGGTACCGCCTAATACAGATATGCCCATAGTGACAGAAAAACTTAGATCATAATACTCAAATTTATGAATACCAATACCTGGAGAGCATTCCAAAGGACAGGTACAAACAAGCCTTTTAATCCTGTTGGCTATTTTTCTATTTTAATATTCTATAAATCTTCTCAAGTTAGTGTGTTCTGAGATAAATCTTAACTATTTTGCCGTTCTATACTTTTTATGTCAGAAATAATTTAGAAGCTAGAAACTTCTATTGCTATTTGATAACTTGAATTTTTCAGACATCTGTAAGATACTAAAATCTATTTGTGGAATACGTGTTTATTTTTCATGTCTCAGAGACCTATCACTATCAAGATGAGAATCTTACAGATGAGGCTGTCTCAAGCCTTATGAGATACAGACAGATATAGATATGTAGATATATTGTGTTGGGTGGTAATGTTGTTAATTGGACTACCCAGGCCTTCACAATAGAAGAGTTATTTCTTCATGGGCCATTATTACTAATATTGGCATTTTTAATAAAATAACATTTTAACTACTCTCTGAAAGAAGCATAAATGTTATTTTTGGATGATAGAATAATTTCCTTAGAAAACAGATTACAATAGTATAATAGAGTTTATTATGACTTACAATTTTTGAGTATTTGTTTAAATGGTAAGAATGTCCAAGGACAACATTTGACTATGCAATAAAAAGATGCAACTTGACAAGAATTATTTTAAAAAAGGACTGTGAAGACTACAATAAGTACTTAATTCTTCAATGCTCAGACACCAAGGAACAACCACAAACATCAAGACCATCCAGGAATACATGACAGCACTGAATGAACTAAATAAGTCACCAGGGACCAATCCTAGAGATACAGAGATATGTGACCTTTCAAACAGAGAATTCAAAATAGCTGTTTTGAGGAAACTCAACAAATTTCAAGATAAAACAGAGAAGGAATTTAGAATACCATCAGATACATTTAACAAAGAGACTGAAATCATTAAAAGAGAATCAAACAGAAATTCTGGAGTTGAAAAGTGCAATTGACATACTGAAGAATGCATCAGAGTCTCTTACCAGCAGAATTGATCAAGCAGAAGAAAGAATTAGTGAGATTGAGGACAGGCTATTTGAAAATAGACAGTCAGAAAGGACAAAAGAAAAATGAATGCAGGTGATGTTTAAACACCTAAAAGTGTGGTGATACCAGTACTCAAAGTATGGTTTCATGGAGATCTCCAAGATTTTTCAGGGAGTCCAGAAGGTCAAAACTGTTTTTATAATATTAAGACTTTAAGACTTCATTTGCCAAAACTTTCATACTTAATGAGCACCTAGTGGAGTTTTCCAGAGGCTACATGACATGGAATGATGTCATGTAAAAGTGGAATGCATGCTTGTGTATTCTTCTGTTTTCCAGGGTTTTCTAAAGTAGTAGGTTTGGGCTATAAACAAATTCATTTTCAAAGGTTATCTCAGATCATTTTCAGAACTTCTACATGTCCTTATTAGCCATCTTTGGTGTGCCTACTTAGTCTCTGTAACCTTATTTTCACCTAATAAATTATTCATTTGAAATCTTGGGAAAAACTGAATAAAAAAGAATGAAGTATACCTACAAGATCTAGAAAATAGCCTCAAAAAAGAAAATCTAAGAGTTATCAGCCTTAAAGAGAAGACAGATATAGAAATCAAGGTCGAAAGTTTATTCAAAGGGATAATAACAGAGAACTTCCCAAACATAGAGAAAGGTATAAATATTCGAGTACAAGAAGCATATAGAACACCAAGCAGATTTAATCCAAAGAAGACTACCTCAAGACCTTTAGTAGTCAAACTTCCAAAGGTCAAGGATAATGAAAGGATCCTAAAAGCCCCAAGAGAAAAAAACAAATAACATGCAATGGATCTCCAATATATCTGGCAGCAGACTTCTCAGTGGAAACCTTATAGGCCAGGAGAGAGTGGCATGACATATTTAAAGTGCTGAAGGAAAAATATTTTTATTCTAGAATAATATGTCCAGCAAAAATATCCTTCAAATATGAAGGAGAAATACTTTTCGAGAACAACAGAAGACAAAGGATTTTATCACCAGACCTGTCTTACAAGAAATGCTAAAGGGAGTACTTTAATCCAAAAGAAAAGGACTTTGATGAGCAACAATAAATCACCTGAAGGTGCAAAACTCACCAGTAAAAGTAAGTACACAGAAAAACACAGAATATTACAACACTGTGGTGTTGTAAATTGTGGTGTATAAACTATTCGTATCTTGACTAGAAAGACTAAGAGATGAACCAATCAAAAAATAACCACTACAACAACTTTTCAAGATATAGACAGTAGAATAAGATATAAATAGAAACAAGAAAATTTAAAAGTGGGGGGACAAAGTTAAAGTGTAGAGTTTTTATTCATTTTCTCTTTGCTTATTTGTAAGATTCTTTGTTTATACAATCAGTGTTAAGTTGTCATCAGTTTAAAATAATGGGTTACAAGATATTTGCAAGCCTCATGGTAACCTCAAAACAAAAAGCATACAACAAATACACAAAATAAAAAGCAAGAAATTAAAAAATAAAAAATAACACCAGAGAAATTCACCTTCACTGAAAGGAAGACAGGAAAAAAAGAAAGAAGCAAGAAATGATCACAAAACACCCAGAACACAGGTAACAAAATGGCAAGAGTAAGTCCTTACTTATCAATAATAACATTGAAAGTAAATGGATTTAACTTGCCAGTCAAAAGACAGAGTGGCTGAATGGATAAAAGACAAGACCCATTATCTGTTGCCTACTAAGAAAATATTTCACCTCTAAAGACACACATAGACTAAAATAAAGGGATGGGAAAAGATATTCCATGCAAATGGAATCTAAAAAAGTACAGGAGTAGCTATAGTTATATCAAAATAGCTTTCAAGACAAAAAGCTCTAAAAAGAAATAAAGAAGGTTATTATTTAATCATAAAGGGTTCAATTCAGCAAGAGGATGTAATGATTATAAATACACTTACACCCAACACTGGAGCACCCATGTATAAAGTAAATATTATTAAAGAGAGAGATGGAATCCAATAAAATAATAACTGGAGATTTCAGCACCCCACTTTCAGCATTGGACAGATCATTCAGACAGAAAATCTACAAAGAAACATTGGACTTAATCTGTTGTGTAGACTAATTGGACCTAATAGATATTTATAGAACATTTCATCCAATGGCTGGCAGAATAAACATTCTCCTCCTCAGCACATGGATCATTATCAAGGATAGACCATTTGTTAAGCCACAAAGCAAGTCTTAAAACATCAAGAAAATTGAAATTATATCAAGTATCCTCTCACCACAGTTGCGTAAAACTAGAAATCAATAACGAGGAACTTTGGAAACTATGCAAAGACATGTAAATTCCAATATATGCCCCCGAATGACCAGTGGGTCATGAAGAAATTGAGAAGAAAATTTAAATATGTCGTGAAACAAATGATAATGGAAACACAACGTATGAAAGCCTATGTGATACAGCGAAAGCAGCGCTAAAAGGAAAGTTTATAGCTATAAATGCCTACATTAAAAAGTAGAAAAAACTACAAATAACCTAATGATGCAGCTTAAAAAACTAGAAAAGTGAGAGCAAACCAAACCCAAGATTAGTATAAGAAAAGAAATAATAAAGATCAAAGCAGAAATAAATTGAAACAAAACAATACAAAATACCAATGAAAGGAAAGTTGCTTTTATAAAAATATAAACAAAATCAATAAACATTTAGCTAGACTAAGAATAAAAGAGAGAAGACCCAAATAAATAGAATCAGAGATGGAAAAATACATTACAACCAATACAGCAGAAATTTAAAGGATCGTTAGAGACTACTATGAGCAACTGTATGTCAATAAATTGGAAAACCTAGAAGACATGGATACATTTCTAGACACATACAACCTACTAATATTGAACCATGAAGAATTTCAAAACCTGAACCAGACCAATAACAACTAATGAGATCAAAGCTGTAATAAAAATTCTCCTAGAAATGAAAAGCCCAAGACCCAGTGGTTTCACTGATGAATTTTAACAAACATACAAAGAAGAACTAATACCAATCTTACTGAAACTCTGCTGAAAAATAGAGGAAGAACAAATATGTCTAAATTCATTCTACAAGGCCAGTATTACTCTGATACCAAAACCAGACAAGGACACATCAAAGAAAAGGAAACTACTGGTCAATATCCCTTATAAATACTAATACAAAAATCCTCACTGAAATGCTAGCAATCCAAACTCAAAAACATGAAAAAGATCATTTATCATGACTGAGTGAGATTTATTCCAGGGATGCTTCAACATATGCAGATGAATCAGTCAACATATCAATAGAAATATTTGCCCAAATAGTGTCTTAATATAAAGAGAATTAAGGACAAAAACCTTATGATCATTTCAACTGATGCTGAAAAAGCTTTTGATAAAATCTAACATCACTTTGCGATTAAAAAAGAAAAACCTTCAAAAAAGTGGGTGTAGAAGGAACATACCTCAACACAATAAAAGGTGTGTACGACAGACCCACACCTAGTATTATACTGAATGAGGAAAAAGGAAAAGCCTTTCCTTTAAGATCTGAAGCAAGAATAGGATGCCCACTTTTCACCACCGTTATTCAACATATTACTGGAAGTCCTAGCTAAAGCAGTCAGACAAGAGAAGGAAATAAAGGACATCCAAATTGGAAAGAAAGAAGTCAAATTATCTATGTTTGCAGATCATATGATCTTATATGTGGGAAAGCCTAAAGACTCCTCCAAAAAACTATTACAACTGATAAATTCAGTAACGTTGCAGGGTACAAAATCAACATAAAAAATCCGTAGCATTTCTATATGCCAACAGCAAACAATCTGAAAAAGAAATCAGAAAAGTAATCCCTGTTGCAAGTGACAGTAAACACCTAGGAAATAACCAATGAATTTTTAGATCTCTATGATGAAACCTATAAAACACTGATGAAAGAATTTAGGAGAATACAAAACAATGCAAGAATATTCCATGTTCATAGGATGGAAGAATCAACATTATTAAAATGTCCATACTATCCAAAGCAATCTACGGACTCAGTGCAATCCTTATCAAAATACCAAAGATATTCTTCACAGAAATAGAAGAAACAATCCTAAAATTTATATGAAATCACAAAAGACCCAGAATACCAAAGCTGTCTTGAGCAAAAAGAACAAAGCTGGAGGAATCACATTACCTGACTTCAAATTTTACAACAAAGCTACAGTAACCAAAACAGCATTTTACTGGCATAAAAACAGACACATAGACCAATGGAACAGAATGGGGAACCCACAAAACAAATCCACTTATCAACAGTGAATTCATACCTTAAAACAAAGGTACCAAGAACATATATTGGAGATAGAACAGTCTCTTCAATAAATGGTGCTGGGAAAACTGGATATCCATATGCAGAAGAATAAAACAAGACCCCTACCTCTTGGCATATACAAAGACTGGATTAAGAAAATGTGGCACATATACACCATGGAATACTATGCAGCCATAAAAAATGATGAGTTCATGTCCTTTGTAGGTACATGGATGAAACTGGAAACCATCATTCTCAGCAAACTATCGCAAGGACGAAAAACCAAACACCGCATGTTCTCACTCATAGGTGGGAATTCAACAATGAGAACACATGGACACAGGAAGGGGAACATCACACACTGGGGCCTGTTGTGGAGTGGGGGAAGGGGGGAGGGATAGCATTAGGAGATATACCTAATGTTAAATGACGAGTTAATGGGTGCAGCACACCAACATGGCACATGTATACATATGTAACTAACCTGCACGTTGTGCACATGTACCCTAAAACTTAAAGTATAATAAAAAAACCACATCAAAATTGAATAAAAACTGAAATATAAGACCTCAAACTATAAAGCTACTGCGAAAAGCTTGGGGAAACTCTCTAGAATATTGGGCTGAGCAAATATTTCTTGTGTAATATGCCACAAATACAGGTAACCAAAGCAAAAATGAAAAAATAGGACATATCAAGTTAAAAAGCTGCTGTACAGCAAAGGAGACAATCAACAAAGTGAAGAGACAACCCACAGAATGGGAGAAAATGTTTGCAACTATCCATTGGACAAGGAATTAATAACAAGAATATATAAGGAGCTCAAGCAAATCTATAGGAAAATATCTAATAATGCAATTTAAAAATATGCAAAATATCTGAATAGACACTTCTTAAAACAAGACATACAAATACCAAACAGATATATGAGAAGGTGCTCACCATCATTGATCATTAGAGAAATGCAAATCAAAGCTATAATGAGATACCATCTTACCCTAGTTAAAACTGCTTTTATCCAAAAGACAGATAATAACAAATGCTGGTGAGGATGTGGGGAAAAGGGAAACCAGTGCTGGAGGGAATGTACATTCGTACAACCACTGTGGAGAACAGTTTGGAGGTTCTTCAAAAAACTGAAAATAGAGCTATCATACAATCCCACAATCTCACTGCTAGGTATATATCCAAAAGAAAATAAATCAGTATATTGAAGAGTTGTCTGCACTCTCAAGTTTTTTGCAGCACTACTCACAATAACCAAGATTTGGAATCTACCTAATTGTCCATCAACAGACAAACGGATAAAGAAAATGTGGTATGTCGCATGTTCTCACTCATAGGTGGACATTGAACAATGAGAACACTTCGACACAGGATGGGGAACATCACACATCGGGCCTGTCATGAGGTGGGGGGAGGGGGAGGGATAGCATTAGGAGATATACCTAATGTAAATGACCAGTTAATGGGTGCAGCACACCAACATGGCACAGGTATACATATGTAACAAACCTGCATGTTGTGCACATGTACCCTAGAACTTAAAGTATAATAATAAAAAATAATAAGAAGAATAATAATAAAAGAAAATGTGGTAGGTATACATTATGGAATACTATTCAGCCGTAAAAAAAAAAAAAAAAAGAATCAGATTCTCTCATTTACAACAACATGGATAGAACTGGAGGTCATTGTGTTAAGTGAAATAAGCCAAGCACAGAAACACAAACTTCACATATTCTCACTTATTTGTGGGAACTATAGATTAAGACAACTGAACTAATGGAGATAGAGAGTAGAACAATGGTTACCAGTGGCTGGGAAGTGTAGTGGGGAGTGGAGGATGAGAGATAGTTAATGGGTGCAAAAATATAGTTAGATAAAATGAATAACACTATCAAGCTAAACTTAGAAGAAAATAATTCAAGCCAAAAGTTAGAAGATTTAAGCAGTTACTAAATGTTTAAATAGCAAAGGCAAAGCAAGAATTACATAGTCTGAATTACTGCCT
This sequence comes from Homo sapiens, assembly GCF_000001405.40. Lineage (NCBI taxonomy): Eukaryota > Metazoa > Chordata > Mammalia > Primates > Hominidae > Homo > Homo sapiens. The sequence continues at coordinate 4,135,423 of NC_000018.10, read as the reverse complement.
TAAATTAATTCCCATTCATAACTCAGACCTGACTTATTGACCATGTTTAGGGCCTATGTATTAAATAGGAGGGCATCTACTAGTACTTCCTGGTCACATCAAACCCTTTATTTCCAAAACAACACAAAAACACCCCCTTTCATCTGCTCCCCCCTCTTCTACTGTTTGCTGTCTCAGTCTATGGCACCTCTACCCACCCACCCAGTTGCATAAGTTAGGAACCTGGGAGTCATCTATGAAATCTCCTTCACCCCTTACCTGTGATAAACTTGAATACATTTCTTGAATGAAGTACCACATTAACCGTAATATTTTAATGCCCAATTTGTCATATGGTTATAGTCAGAGAGAGTTTGGAGATCAAACACTACGTACTCTGCTGGTAGTTTCTACTGTGTTTCAGTTTCCGGCCACACTATTCAAATTCCTATGTAAAATTCTGTGGGGCTTTTTGCATTTTCTTGGTGGCGGTTTTGGTGTTGAGCCTGAATACATTCTTGGAAGATCCACTGTAGAACAGCTGGGCTGCTTTTCCTCTCTAGGAAGGCATTGTGTGTGTTGACAAATACAGCGTGTTGGTGCACATGCTCTCAGCAGTATCGCCCTCTTTAATTATGTCCCCTGGGGAAAAAAAATCATGTCCTGGCAAGGCAGCTTTCCTAATAAAAGGCTTCCTGGGTCTTCGGTAATAAGAAATTCAAATGTTTCAACCTAATATTTATTGTGGGGTTTAACTGGGCATTTTAATCTCCTTTGGGAATCAACAAGCTCTAAATGTTACACATGAGAAAACATTTCCTGAGGGACACAAGGAGGGTTTCTCACATTTTGATCCATTTTTATTTAAGAAAAATTACTGGTAAATAACATATGCATTGGTATTAAAAGCTTGAATGAATTATCTCTGCCTCGACTTTGAAATTCCTGCTTTGTTACTGACATTTGTATTATCATTATTTTTCACTCAAATTTATTTCTAGGTATGGAAAATTCTGCCTAGTTTGAATATAGGGGAAGGTGCAGGTAAACTGGAGACCTAAAGTCCAATAGAATCTTAAGAGTAAGATTAACCAAGTCCCCCCAACCTCCCGCCCCAGGGAGGCAGTTAATAGAAAAAGAGAAGGATTGTGGCTTGAAATCCAGGGAAGGCTGTTCTTTAGGGGGCAGGAGAAGAAGGAATTAGCTGGGGAGGATGCAAAGAGAGACAGGAGAACACGGGTGTTTCTTGGCATGAAGGCTAAAAGTATTAATAATGTTAACAGGATTCAGACTAGGAAATTTCGTTAACATGGTAATGTCATAATTTTAAATCTAGAAATTTCTATCTTTTGAATATGGCATCTATTTTATAAATTTGTATAATTATGCATCATGAAATTATAAATTCAATCATCCCATCTCACCTACCTGACTTCTCCTTTTTTTTTTAGGACCACTATTATCTCAATGTCAAAATCTTTGGGTCATCCTCGATTTATTCTTTCTCCTCTACTTGTCCAGCCTCTCACTAGGTCTTGGTTGTTTTTCCCCAAGTCCTTTTAAATCCCTGCCTTCCTAACATCCTCTCGACCAGCCACCATCCTCACGCAGGACCTCACTGTTAGTGCCTCACCCACGAACTTCACTCCAAAATTCCATTTTGCAAGCAAGCCCAAAATACTGTTTCTGACATGTTTTTAATAGTATTTGTTGAATCCTTCCGTACCAGACACTATGCTAAGTGTGCTATTTCATTTAATTCCTATAACCCATTTTACACTTTGCAAATGAGCAAATTGATCTCTAGAGAGTCTGAATAACTCACCCAAGCAACTAAGTAGAAAAGTGTGTCTAACTCCAAAACCAGAGCCCTTAGCCACTGTGGCATAATACTTCCTGTGGCCATGTATAAAAGAGACGATGGTGACCAGACTCCAGGAGATAAAGCTGGGTAAATTAGGATCAGGGTTGTAAAAGATCCCATTAATTTCACCCAATGGACCAACATTTATTCAAGGCTTTTAAGCAGGGACTGGAGAAACAGGCACATGATCAGATTTTATTTTACTAAATAGTTCTGATAGGCAAATGGTGAATGGATTAGATGGACTTGAATCTGAGGCAACCCTTGTACCTCTGGTGTTGGGGCAGTGAATCGTTGGCACTCATGAGCCCTGTTGGAAGCCCTTGACTTAGCATGTGCTGTGCTCTCCTCATGGCATGTTCTTACTGGATTTCTCTGTCTCCCAAACCTCCTTCAAGGCACTTCTCTATTGTCACCTTCCTGGGGGAGGCTGAGTCTCTCCTCCACACTCATGCAGCCTCTACTCAAAGCGCTTAGGGTGTTGCAAGCCTGTCATGTTGCAGCCCGTTGTGCAGTGATTCTCACAAAATCTTGCTGAAACAGTTCTACCCCCATTTCAAAGATGAAGAAAGTAAGTCTCACAGAGTTGATGTGACTTGCCTCTCTAGATTGTATCTGAAGTATCCTTGCATTACCAATGCTGGTAACTTGCAAATGCTCAATAAATGTGTAACAAGTACATTTAATTACCTTTACCTGTTAGTATGTTTTATTTTATTAAAGCTCCTGGATAACAGGAATTATGCTTTTGAAGCTTTCGTAATACCCAGCAACATGTATGGCACGCAGCAAATGAAATTACTTGATTCCTTTAACAGATTTTCATTTTCTGTTGTTTTCCTCTTTTCATTTTGAATACGATACTTTAGAGTAGAATTTTAAGTGGGAACTCTTTTGCCAGAAATCAGCAGGACACCAGGCTCTCTTGGAAGACCATTTCTTTTGTAGGATGATATGATGCTTATATGTTAGACAACTATTGTACCTGGCAGAATGAAAGTGCAGGTGGAAATAGGGTTGTCAACTTTTATTCTCACAATACCTTATAATATAGGTATTATTTTCTCCCCATTTTACCAATGACCAAGAAAGACACAGAAAGGTTAAGTAATTTCCCCTAGGGTCACACAGCTAGAAAGTGGCAGAGCTATAATTTGAACCCATAGACACCATAGTTTAGAGTTTATGTTCATTCACTCAATTAATAAGCGTTTTATGCCCTAATATAGGCCAATCATGAATTTACCCTGTAATAGATGGTCAATGAATGTGTACTTAGTGATTATACAATGTGAGTGCTTAGTCAGGGTCTTCACTAAATGATATATAAAAGTAGATATATGGCTTAGTATGGTTGAATCATTTCAGTGAAAAGAATGAATTGTCTAAAGCATCCATTTTTAGTTTTCAGATTTTACATGCTGTACCAATTCATCCTCAATTAAAAGAAACCAATTGCAAAGTGACTAGGAAATAGTCAATTATTGTTTTAGCTGCCAAGCTTCAAGAATTAGCATTCTAGAATTTACAAAAATGTTAAGCCAGGAAAAAAAAAAGTCATAAAACACCATTTCAACCGCTTTTGAAATTCTGCCAGATACTAGTAATTGTATTATAATTTAAATTTTGGAAACTTAGAATTTTAGAGTTGGATGGGAACTTTGGAATCATCTGTGCCAGCTGCGTACCTCATGCCAGAAGCATTCATACAACATTTTAAAAATAAGATCTTTGACAATGTTCTTTTAACATTTGCACAGTCAATAGAAACAGTTATAGATTTCTTTACGCTATCACTTAAATTTGTGCCTATGGCTAGTAAAATACGATAACCTCTAGCTAATCCAATCCAGCAGTTTCTTGTCACCCTTTCCTGGCTCTTTCTCTTGCCCACGTTTGAGAAATTGGCTTGATATTTTGGAGTGATTCTTCTAGATATTATTGAGCATTGTCCTCTAGTCCTCTAAAGCAGGAGTCAGCGGACCTCATCTCGTGGATCAAATCTGGCCCATCTCCTGTTACTGTAAATAAAGCTTTACTGAGACACAGCCACACCTGTTCTCTTATGTATTGTCTGTGGCTGCTTTTGTTCTAGAAAAGCCAAGTAGGGTACTGGCAACAGAGGAAGTATGGCCCTTAGAGCCATTTACTCTCTGGCCCTTTGAGAAAAAGCTTTCTAACCTGTGCTTTAAAGTATTACAGTTCTTCGCATGTTTTACTTTTAAATATCACTATTTCTTATTCCATTTGTCATGTGGAATAAAATGATTGTGATGGCCTGAATGACATGAGCCCACACATGGTTTGACTTTCTTCTAATGTTTAGTAATTAACTGTTCTTGCTCTCTCTCTTACACGTGCTTGCACGCACACACACACACACGCCCACGTTTTTTTCCTGAAGCTCATAAACTGGAGACAATAACGGTCTTTGTTTCTTTCTGTGAATGTCTGAATGTCTGCAGTTATCTTGGGATATAAATAGTTGCATAATATATTTCTGAAAAAAAAGACACTGTAATGCTGTTTGTGATCATAAAAGACATTGTTTATCAATATTACATGTGTTTATGGCTCTGGTTTTTTTAATACAATTATATGCAAATAGTCCCTTCTTGGGTAAATCCTTGTCATATTTTCCTGCAATTCCCCCTGCTGGCCACATCCTCGCCAATCAGAGTGGATGATTTTCTCACAGTTTTTGCAACAGGCCAACTTCTTGCTAGGCATTCTCTGGTTGTTTTCCTGCCTCCTCTGTCCTCCATTAAAAGATCTTTGCCAAAATGTCACCTTCTCAGAACAGCCTTCCCTTACCTGTAACGGCTCCCTCGGCTCTTTCTCTGTGATGACCCTGACATTAGTCGCAATGTGCCGCTCTCTTGTGGTCCGTGTTCATGTTCTGTGTGTATGTGTGTGCGATGGGAGGGTGTGGTCCTGCCCCTTCTACTGGAATGTAAACTTCACAAGAACAAGGACTGAATCTGTCTTCCTCACCACTGTCTTCCTAGATTCTAATATTGTAAAGCATTTAGAAAACAGAAAGTGGCACATAAATGACAAGTGATTCAATAAATAAATATAAAATAAATGAATGTCCTGAACTTACAAGTGTTGAAATGGTAAGAGTTTCTAATCACATCTAGATGTCACTGGGATCTTCACTCAATTTTGCTGATGTCACTTACACATTCACTTACTAATCCATCACTTACTATTAAATAATCACTATTCCAGGTACTATCTGTGTTCGTGTGTTCCTTTCTTTCTTCACTTGAGGTAATATGAGTATATTGGTATCATCAGTGCCTCTGGAATTTACTCATTCTGAAAATTTGGGAAATAGGAGATAGTTACCTGTCTGTATAACTGAAAAGGTTTTGTTAGAGTACATGAAACTTTTACTCTAGAACAAGAACAGCTTGAAAAACCAACACGGAAGGAAAATATTTAATGTTCTTATAATAAAACATGTAATGATGTTCTTGCAGTGAAATTGAACAGACTATGATCATTTAAATCACAATGTTCTGGAAGGTTTGGACATGGTGAAAAGCTGGTCAAATGAGGGCACCATTAAGTTTTTCTAAGAAAATATAATGCTTCTGTTCAGCATGCTCCGGACAATGCCCAGAATGTCCCATTTAGATATGTCATCAATAGCTAAGGATAGTACTGATTATGTTGCATTCATGTGAAATCTAGTTCTTTACCAGGTGACCAAAACACTTTGAGACATTATTTTATATATTCCTGTTATTCCTTCAAATTAACTATTTTAGCAAGAAGAGATTCTTTGCCTAAGGAATCAGAGTCCGTTCATGGCACAGCTGTAGACAGAATCCCATTGTCCTAATGCTCTGAAGAAAGCCAGTACTAAATTGGCGTGGGTAGGTTGCTCAGGAAAGCAGAATGGTCAGGTGGAATTTAAAACAGTCCACAACTTCACATTTATCCTTCCTCATCTTCCAGTAACCCAAAGCCTCAGGAAAAGTCGCAGTGTTCCTTGTAGTCTTAGAAAAGCACATATCTACAAGAAAGCAGATTGGCCTGTGAGGATGATGAACCAGTGCTTCTGACAAGTTTCATTCTATGACGCACCACGATTTCCCACCCTCTCCTTCATGATGAAGGAAAGATAGAGGAGCTGCCTGATGTGGCCCAATACAATTTTTAATGAAAAGACAATGCTGAGATACTGCATTACCATAGTGTAGTCCGGACAGCCATATGCTTGCCCAAACTATTATATGTGTGTGTAATACTTGAATTTAGATTGGAAATTGGAAGCTCCTTATGGGTTTCTCTTAATCTTTAAAGGTGCTACCCGTCTTCATTGCCAAATATCATTACGTTAGTTTTTCTCTCTGTGGAATTTATCAAAAGGATTCTTTTATTTTCTTGTGCTTCATGCAGTGAGCACTAATTTAGCTGTCACATTTCGGTAGCCCCTCTATTATGATTTTAATAATTAGGTGTAAATAATACAATTGTACTTATAGATGGCCTTTGACTGCAAATGCCCCTTGCCCCTCCCTTCCTTACCAAACCAAAAAAACTTCTGTTCACTCTATAGCCTTTGTTATTGTTATGAACTTAGCCTTAACTTATTCTCGAATACTGAGCACAACCTTTAGAAGGAAAATTTCCAGGCATTTCAGGAAAACTACAAGTTAAAAAAAAAATGCCGGTGTTTACCAGCAGTTAGTTGTTCAGTCAAGGTCTTCAGAGTAGCGTAATCTTCAGTGATGCAAAATGTCATATGGAAAGTCAGGAGATCTTGTGTTGGCTTCTGTCGTTCACTCTCATCTTGGGCATGTATTTTTCTCTCCATTGGTAAATGTGGTCCAGCCTTGGAGGTCTGGGGTATTAACTTGGATCCTCGCTGATAGCATGCTCCTTGGTCCTGCTTCTTCAGGCCAGTATTACTTTGTAAGGACCCGTGTCTCTCTGTAGGAACTTAGCAGTTGGAGATGTTTCCATGGTTCATGCCTTCCTGTGTACTGGGGGCTTTCTTTTCTGCTCATTTGAATCCCATAGGAAATTGTAAAGCATTTAGAAAACAAAAAGTGACACATAAATGTCAAGTAATATAATCACATTTTCACGTGTGGAATCAGCAGTTGCAGGAGATACATGCAGTCATTCCTTGGTATCAGAGGGGAATTGGCAACAAGCATGGCCTTGGATCCCAAAATCCACAGATGCTCAAGTCTCTTGTATAAAATGATGTAGTATTTGCATATAGCCTACTCACATCCCCCCGGTATACTTTAAATCATCTCTAGATTACTTATAGTACATAGTACAATGTAAATCTTATGTAAGTAATTGTTATACTGTATTGTTTAGAGAATAATAACAAGAAAAAAAAGTCTGTATCTGGTCAGTACAGATGCAATTTTTTTCCTGAATGTTTTTAATTGGTAGTTGATTGTATCCACGGATGTTGAACCCACAGATATGAAGGACCAACCATGATTTTCTCTAGTGACATAGAATGCTGTTACTGAACTTAGTGCTGTTATTGAGGGGAAATATTGTGTAACTAACAAAGGAAGAAATATCCCATAAAAAACAAGATTTATGTCAAACTCAAAATGCTTTTTGAAAAAGCTCAGTCTTACTGTGGACTATTGTAGTCAGTGATTTCTTTTGACACATGAACCTGTTGCATAGTGTTGAACCATGTAAAATGAATGTTTTACATGTGTTTCTTTTCACAGTGATTGGATAATTTAATTGAATAAGCCAAGAAATTACATATGAAAGCTTCACACAGTTTGTGGCATACCTGGGACAAATATTTTTAAATTTCCTGTGTTTCAGGCCTTATTTTCTGAGGTCTTAATTCACCATTACATTAGATGACAAATTAGCAATAAAATAGTATTTTAGTATGTTTTTCTATTTTGTAGCAAATGTATGATTCTTACAATTATGCTGAGTTATGTTTTTCAGATAATATATTTTATTTTGAAAAATCATTATCAAGTCAACTGCTGGGAAATACACTAGTAAAGTAGCCCCAATTTTGCCTTGTGAAATCAATTGACTTTTTTCTTTCATCAATGGATCAACTAAATAAATGCTTCCAGATGTATTCTTCTGAATTTGAAATCTTCCTTTTCTTTTCTCTTCTCTCTTTCCTACATTGTATTTTTGTACCTCTTCATTTTTGCAGTAAAATGACTAATGATTACCAAAAAATGCAAGTAGTCAATACCCTGATAGGGTGGAAAAAAGAGACTAAATCATGTTTTTTCCCCTTTGGAAAAATAGTTATTCTTTTAAAAGTGTATTATTGACTGCTAATCTATTTTCTCAGCCAGCCGGTACCACACCCTACTTTGAGAAGGGTGTGAAGGTGCATGCTGGCTTTTGAATAATCTCAAATCATGCATAGTAGCTCCTGCTGATGTTCAGAACTGCCACCTTGCTTACAGGTTCAACTCTGGTGGCTGCTTCCAGTTCCTCTTCTGAAATGATATAGTTATTCTTGGAAATTTTCAACTGATATTACAGTGTCATAAGCCAAATGATCAGGGATACAAAATATGATTATGCAAATCTGATCTTAAGGCAGAACTGAAGGGTTAGTGCTATAAATGAAGTGAAGGAAATTCATCTTCTGGAGATACTGTCATGCCACCTTTTGCTATTTCCTGTAGGATGTTCTCATTTCCCTTGAGGGAGAAAGGTTTCATTAATCTGGGACAGCTGTCTGAAGAGGTTTTATCCTTTTTAGAAGTTGCCTTTGAAAAGTGTCTTTGATATCTACGTTTTTGGGTTTCTGTGATTTAAAAATAAAAATCTTGAAGCACCATATGTAACCACTGTTAGAGTAATGAGATTGCTGCTGTGAGGTTGCACCACAGACTTGTGGCAGGTCAGGGGAAAAGCCATTTTATGATGCTAAGCACCTATAAATTTCTAAAGGGTTCTTCCAAGAAAAAAAGCATTCTCATTTCTTTAGAACTATAAATGCAGGGCTAATATATCTACCTGCATATAAACATATATTTACCCTGTATGTGTGTATATGTGACACATACACACATGTATGCATACTCCATTTATACAACGATATAAAGCAAATAGGTATAGAGATGTTTAAAAATGTGCTGGGCAAGTATTTTAAACTGTGCATTTGTGCATGATATTGAACAGGTTAATTCGGGCTAGATGGCAAACAAGCTTTGTATTTTCCTGAGAGATGTGATCTTAGAAGTTGTCCCTTTGTAATTTTGAGCGAATGAGTTGGTGCACTGCTGAGTTGACTATTGCTATCTCTGCACTTAAGGGCAATATAAAATCAGCTCTGAGACAAAGTGTTTAATAATATAGAGAGGTCTGCTATATCCATCTTTGCAGTAGCTTTTATTTATTTTTTAATGTGATCCCCCTACCCCTACCCATGAGAGGACTCACTTACAAAAAGCTACAGCTGTGTCCCTGCTCGGTGCAGGCTGCCTTGGCCAGGTGCTTCAAATTGCAAGCTTCCATCTATGAGCCTGAGTCCAGCTGTGCTGGGATTGATTCCTGCCACACAGGAAAGTAAAGGGGAAGCCTGAACTAGGTCAGAAAACTGCCTTGCTCATCAAGTCTCACCCACTGCGGCTTGTGCCCTTAGTTTTTTGTTTCTCTGTGATTCCCTGTTCCTGTGGCTCCAGTCACTCTGGCCCTGGAAATGTTCGTAGCAGCCACCTGTGAACCCAGTGCCCTGCTCTAATTTTAGGACAAATTTTTGGCCTGAGACCAAGACATAAAAACAGTAAATCTCTGGCCAAGAAACAGGTCCAGGTGTATCTAGTTTCACTGCTTTGTCAACTTCAATCTAGTTTCTTCAACGTCCGTTACTTTCCCCTGTGATTAGAGTTTGTGCCCTTTGTCCTAATACACACCTTCCTGGATTTGTTTTTGTTTTTCGTTTGTTTGTTTTTGTTTGTTTGTTTTAAGTGCACAGCTCAGCCTTCCTGGGGTTACCACACTTCCCTGGCCCTGACCATGTCTCATGCAGACCTGCCTCTTGAGTCTCCACTATTCCAGCCCTATGTCTACACAGATAGACACTGAGTCTGGGGCTTTTTGCCAATATTGCTTGAGTCTGCAATCCACAGCAACACAATGTGAGGCCAGCCTGTTGTCCCTAATGATGGGAATGCTTCTCTCCTTTGTCTGGTGAATTGCTCTGCATCTGTTATGACTCAGCTCAGGCATCCATTCTCCAGGGAGCCTTCTCTGGCCTCCTCCTGTAGCCCCCCCACTTCCTACTGCTAGGCTGGGCTGGAGGCCCTTTCACTGTGCCCTCATGATGACCTGTGCACATTTCAAACATATGCACTGCTGTGTATTGTAATTGTCCATTTACATATCCATCACCCATAAGCACCCCTCTTCACTCATCTGTGTGCCTCCCAGTGCCTGGCATAATGCCTGGTACTGTGCTTTTTAAATGTTTCTATGCACTAAGTCTACAATAAGTGACCCCTTGCCTTGCTCCTATATACTGATACCTAAGCTTCATCCAACTCTATCACTGGCCTTTGCTGGCCATTGTCATACTGAGGCTATGACATTTGCCCACCAACCTGGACCCCATGCTTGCTTGCCATGCTCGAGGCCCTGATTCCGGGGTACCTAGTCTTGCCCATGAACTCTGGCTAGTGGTGGATGGTCTCCAGGAAGGCCTGTCAAAGTTTCTACTGCTGGTAACAATGGCTAAAATCCTGGGATGTATGCATGGCCTTTCTCTGTTTCAGGCTAGGAAATAGCCCATATCAAGAGAATGTGATTCTCATGAACTCTGAACCCTGGAGAGAAAACACCAAGCATGTAAACCTTCCTCCTTAATAGGAAAATAAAAAGTATTGAATGAGTCAATACTTTTATTCCTCCTTAATAGAAAATACAAAGTATTGAATGAATCATTTTTAACACTTTTAATGGTGACTAATGAAATAGCAAAATATTTTATGGTGAAGGATTTCTGAAAACAAGGCCATTGTTTCAAATTGAGCTGATAGTGTCAGTGGAGACCCAAGCTCTGCTTGAGGCCAAAGCTGTTCCGTATCTTACGAGCCAGAGGCCCTGGCCTGTCATTATGTGTCTAGATTCTGAGCCCAAACTGCTGAGATCTTTCTTTCTTCATCTACTCCAAAATTCAACATTCTAAGCTATTTACAGTTGGTGAGAGATATAATGACTTTTAGAGGCATGAGGATTATTCGAACATTTTTTCCCAATAATATTAAATTCTGGTAATATTCATTTTGGAGGTGTAGGGGTGGAGAAATTCCACCTCCATCCTTCTAGGGTCCTGGCTGAGTTTGAGAGTGAAATTGACATAACATAGATTCATAGGAGAAAGCATATTACAAGTTTTTCTTGGCACAGGAGCTCTCAGGAAGAAATGAAGACCCCAAGAAGCAATGTCAGATACTCATATGTCAGATTGGACAAAGAGCAGTCAGTTGTGAAGAAAACAACCAAATTATGTGGGGAGCCTTAGTGGACAGGAGTTAGTTCAGCAATATCTGTTCAGAATTCTCTTGCGATTGACTTTCCATCCTTGATGATAAGAATATTGCTTCCTCTAGGAGCGCATCTTTAACATGGGAATTTCACCTTCTGCTTTTAAGAAACACCAAGAATCTCAGAGTGATCTTTTCACACCTGCTGATGTTCATGTGGCATTGACTTAAATGGTGAATATGCCAGAATAGTGCATTTTAACCCCTCCAGGGGCAAAACCAACCCACACATTGTTACCAGAAACCCGCCTTATAAACAGTATTCTGTTTTGCCCAAAGTCCCTGAGAAGTTGAGTGTAGATTAAGACCCTGAGGAAGGGAGAGGAGGGCCCTCCGCTTTTTGTATTCGCAGGGCAATTGCTGGCGCCGTTCCATTGCAGTTTCCACAACTCATGGGTTATGCTCTGTTCGTTCAGCAGCTCCAGTGACTTCCCTCTTGATTGAAGAGTAGATCAGCATTTCTAATTGTTCTGCCCAGCTGGGCATGTAGGGTCATTTAGTCATATTAGGTAAGCATTACTTAAGATGGTCACTTTTTATGTTCCTGAACATTGTTTCTGTCCCACAGTCCGAGTATATTTCCACGAGTAGACTTTATTGGGCCCTTCCTTTCTTCCTCCCTCCCTCTCCTCTGTGCATCCTTATGCATGTAATTATGGAGGGTCTCCTATGGCCCTGAGAGTGTATATTGTCCCAGTTCTACCTACTGGAAACAGTTTCCTCGGCCTACATTTAACTTAGCAGTCAAACTGATCCCCCTTTCTCCTTTCCTGCACCTGGAATGCAGGAAGTGAACTGGCCCAGAGTCCAGGCTCCCTGGTCACTAAAACTCCCCTGACTCCACCCCTCCTTCCCACCACCCACCTACATAGGCTGGTGCTTCCCTCCTCCCATCTTGTCCGTTGATGCCCATGAGGGAGAAAGAGCTGGAAGGATACTAAGTTTCCAATTCTATATTTACTAATACTACCCTGAATGCAAACACAAGGTTTCTGAAGCAGAACAGATTAATTATCACTACTTATACAATAATTTCCACTCCAGATCCCTTTAGCCCCAGTTCTTACCCTTGGGGCAATGGAGTGAGAAGCAAATAGGGTCCACTGTAGGCAAGAAATCCCCCAAAGATGAACCTGGGTAGTTATATAGGAGAGGGACAGCCATCTCCCCTTCCCTCCTGAAAGAGAAGGGAGAACCTTTGCTCTTTGGCAAGGATCCTGAGTTCCTATTCTTAGCCTTTGGAATGCAAATAAATCTCTCCAAGGAGTAGACAAAGTCTCGCCTCTCCAGCTTTACAACCTTAGGATGTCTCCATGGTCTCAGGTCTCATTCTCCCCTTGAAATGAAAATACAAATACTTACCTCCAGGGAGGTAGATCTCTCTGGATGGTCTCTTACCATCTAATCAATCATCATTTAACTGGCAGGCTTGCCTTTTAGCTCAGGTCCTAGAATTTAGTACAATTAGTTTAGAAAGTCCTAACAGTGCAAAAAACGTAAAAACATTTTCACTACAGTTCCACAGGGACTTGCCAGCTTGAGGTTAGACCTCATGACTAACCTGTTCTGGAACAATAGCTTCATGTATTTCTCCCGCATCACCCCCTCAAAATAAGAAAGCGAAAACACAGTAATCGTGGCGGAAAAGGCCTTTCTTGGGAATTACAGAATAAGATTTCAGTCTGAAATGGACACAACTACTTAGCTAAGGACTAAAGTGAACTATCATTTAAGTTTTCGCCTGCATGTGATGACTGAACTGTAACCATGCATTTGCTTTTTGGTTTAATATTTTTCCCCTCCTATAACCCCTCCTGCTATAACATTTGTCTTTTCCTGGTTATAAATACACTGAAAGCAAAGGTTGTGTCTATGCAACTTTCTCTATGGAGCTGCTACTACACCATCACAGGCATAGGGTTTGCCATACATATTTTTGGATCATGATAGAGCCCTTGTCTAGCCTGCTCACTTCCACATGATTGCATTCCCTCTAATACTAAAGCATAGTATTTAAACTCACAGATGCTGGAGTCAGACAACCTTGGTTCAACTCCCAGTTTTGCCTGACTTAGGATTTAGTTTCCTCACCTTTAAAAAGAAGATAATACTAATACCTACTTTCTAAGTTTGTCATGGGTATTAAATGAGATAATACATGTTAGTTTCTTAGAGGAGCTGACACACAGCAAACTCTCAGTAAATGTTGGTCATCATTATATTCCTACTGTTAAAGAAAAAATTATTCAATGGTACTTGTTAAAGCATGATAAGGAAAATTTTATTCAGGACTATCACGATGGGTACAGGGACCACTGCAACAGGGTCTTGCAGTAGGGGAGAGAGATTGGGCACAACTCTGAGTATGGCATGAGCAAGTGGGAATTAGCAGTCAAGGGGCAGGGTAGGGGTCAGTGGATGGGAAATTGCTAGGAAGAAACATCAGGAGTAAGGGGGATTCTGGCTAAATTGACCTAACAGGATTCTTGATGAAGGCAGGCCAGGATAACCAGACATCACCTGGGGGATGGTGGAGGATGAGGAACCTGATCAGAATCGAGAGTGATCAGATGTTGAGGACGGGGGGTGAGGGGTTCTTGCCAAAGTGACTTAGCAGGGTTCTTTGCTAAAAGTAGATTTTACAAGGAAGTGCCTGGATGGGCCTAGGAGAAGGTTCAGAAGCCTACATAAAGTCTGGCCAACCAAAGATGCTTTGTCCCTTCATCCTCTTGCCCATCCTGACTTCCACAGCATTACCTCCTCTACATCAATCTATCCTTGAGTTCCTGCACACCCTTTCCTGTCTCAGGGATTCTGCTCTTGCTGTTTCCTCTGTCTGGAATGTTCTTCTCACAGTCAGTTCCTTCTCACTCTCAGGTCTTAAAACAGGTCTTTCCTAATGGCCTAACTGGCATGGCCCAATCTCTATCCCACCTCACACACCCCAACTTGCACCCCCACTCTAGACAAGTTCTGTCACGTGAACCAGTGTCCGTCTTGCCTAACAGCCACCATAACCAGAACTCATCTTGCATTTGTTTATGCATTCACTGTCTGTGCCCACCTCCTCCAACCACCACCATGAGAATGTGGGTACTGAGAACAGGGTCTGTGTCTACCTTGTTCTCTGCTATATCCCTGTAGCTAGCCTAGCCCAGTATCTAGCCTAGTAACGAAGTGCCTAGCCTACTGTAGGCATTCGGTAAATATTTGGTGAATTAATAAAAGAAAGAAAAAGAAAGAGGAGAGAAGGAGGGAGGGAGAGGGAGAGAGAGAAAGAGAAAGGGAGGAGGATGGCAGGACGGAGGGAGGGAGAAGGGAAGGAAGGGAAGGAAGGAAAGAAGGAAAGGCAGACATTACAATCGGTTTGTTTGCATGACTGAGTACTTTTAATTTAGAAGAAAAAGAAACAGTGGAAATGGTGGGCAATTACTCTGCCATATTTTGATCTGTTCTCTTGTCAGGCGAAACCTATAGACCTCCCTAGCTGCTTTGAGCACCAATCTCGTTCTTACCTGTCTATCATTGCTTCACTGACATTGCAGATTTTATGATTACAAGCTATGTCTCAGTGGTTCACATCAAGATCAAACTGTGGACAATGGTTATGAAAAGCCACGAGTGATGTGCAATTCACTTTTTCCTATTGGCTTTCTGTCATGCTGCGGATTAGATACAGAACTCATGTTGTCTGATTGTTTCCTTTAGGATGAAGGATTTAACTTCAGCCTTTCCACCAGTCAGTGACGCCATCTGATGACCTGTAGAAATTTAATTGGGCACTCTGATATATTTAGTAGCAGCTCACTGCTTTTTTTAACAGTTGCTAACATAAATGTCTGAACAACTAGGAGCTTTATAAGTGTTTTTCAAACAAGGGATGGTTTTTAAAGGTCTCCTAATAAATAGCATTATAATTAATCTTCACTAATTTTCAGTCATAATAAATATTCATTTTCAAAGTAGTGATTGTATTGAAAAGAATCCTTCAGTTAAATGATAAATTGTAATTCAGCAGTCCCTTTTATTAATTCAGCCAGCCCCCTCTGCTGTTAAAAGGTTGTTTCTCTTTTTCACTTTCAATGGCTTTTTTTAAACCTCAAAGAGATACTTAAAATTCAGTCATTGTATCAAATAAATAGGTGCCTATGTCAAGTAATTTTGCCAGTGAGAATATTTATGTATCCAAATGATGTCTCATTTCATAGGAAATCTTATCAAAAGCACAAGTTTCATCGCATTGTTACTAAATTAAAATATAGAAACAGAAAATTTCCAGATTAATAGTGATCCACATCTTTGTGGGTAGATAAGCTCCTACTCCAGACATAAAATAAGCAGATTTTTTTTTAAAGAGTGCTTTTGTCTAATTCACTCTTTTTAGCTTGGAAGAGTTGGAAGTCTGGAGCCCTGATTCTAGTCCTAGCTCTGCCAGAACAACCTGTGTGCCTTCGGCTGTCATCCTCACCGTATTCCGTATTGCTAAACACATTCCAGTCACTTCCCAATGAGGACAAAGTGCTATTATCATTTCAATAGCATTGTGAAACAATAGAGTGCTGTTCAAATGCAGATCGATCTGAGTGAGGATTAGCTCTTTGCTCTGTCCTGCAGTGCACTAATTATTGGTGGCTCTGTTATTTAAAATACTGAGATAGGCTGAGTGCAGTGGCTCACACCTGTAATCCCAGCACTTTGGAAGGCTGAGGAGGGAGGATTGCCTGAGCCCAGGAGTTCAAGAAGAGCCCGTGAGACATAGTGAGAACCCATCTCTACAAAAAGAAAAGGAAAATTAACCAGACATGGTGGCACATGCCTATAGTCCCAGCTGCAGGGGAGGCTGAGGCGGGAGGATCACTTGAGCCCAGAAGTTCGAGGCTATAGTGTACTGTGATCATGCCACTGCACTCTAGCCTGGACCACAAAGTGAGACCCCATCTCAAAAAAAATAAAATAAAATACTGAGATAAGGGTATTAGTATATAAAACATATAGAGAAGTAATAGAAGAGAAAATTTTCGTTGTGAAAAAATGTATACCCAAAGGTAGGAGTCGTTATTTGTGTTATTTGAATTATTTATAACGCAAAGGGAAAGATGACTCCAGAGAAGAGTGAAGAGTCCCTCAGAATCTCTCCCCAGTAAACATCCATTTATCAGGAGGAAAGCATTTTTTAAAAACATAGTTTTTTAAAGAGAATTATCCTAAAGTAAATAGGGTAATATTCATTCAAGAAAATGAGAAAATCAGCTAAATCTCATTAAGACAGGGGTCTGTGGCATTTCAGTCATGACCCTTACCTTCCACCCCAAGCTTAGGGAAACTGATTGAGGAGCTCTAATCCAGGGAGATGCAACCAAGAAAATGAGACTCTTCCCACCACCACCCCAGCTCCCCAGCTCCCCAGCCTGGGGCTACAGTTTCACCATGGGAGGAATGGGCTGACAGAGTTTCTCATCTTCCAGCCCCATTTTACAGAAATTCCATTGTAGGCGGGGGTGACTAAGAGGCCCAGGATTCCTTTCCTCCACCTAACTTCTATTCGTAGGACTGAAGCTTTTCCCCAGGCATAGCTAGGAGAGAATAGTGAGGCCCTGATCACCTTCATCCCAGCTCACTTCTAAGGCTGAGGCTCCATACAAGGAAAGGCAAGCCAGGAAGGTACAGGCCACACACACTCCGTACCTGCTGGCGGAGCAGGATGTCACTCTGGGACAAGAGTGGGTTCTACCCCCAGCTCTTGTGCAGTGGAACAGAAGTGCTGCTCAGGAAGAGGCAGGCCAAAGAGGCAGATCTCAGGGACGAAGAACTCCACAGCTCGGCCTGCAGGGGCTGGCTTTATTTGGAATGGAGCGTGGAGAATTCCATGCTTAAGGACATTGTCAAAAGCAATGAGCATCTTGTTGGAGAGCAATTCAGAAGGCACTCATAGCTCCATGGTGCAAGCTACCACATGCAAAATGGCAGAGCAATCAGAAGTGTAACAGGGTACAATGGAAAGACCACCAAGAAGAACCCTCCTGGGATGCCACATAACCCTGGCGGTCATGAAGGCTGTGTGCAGTGCAAGGCTGTACCTAGCAATAGTCAGAAGCAATCAGAGCTAGATGTGGGCAGATTTGAAAACACCACTAAACCACATACGGAATAATCCACAAAGGGCAGAAGCCTCACTGGCACTAGAGGCTTAAGCACAAACTTCACCACAGCTGGCTGAACTGACCCAGAGGCAACTCCTAGGAAAGCAGGCTTAAGAAGAAAAACCATGCTGATCCCTGGCAGCCTGAAAGTCCCTGTACACACCCAAGACTGTGCCTTCTCCAGAGTGATGGGAGAAGAAAAATCCAAGCTAGTAGTCCGTCACAAAATGTGAAGGCAAACACATAATTATTTAAATTGCAATAGCAGCCTCCAAGCCACAAACACATCCAAGGTAAAGAGTAAAAGTAGAACTGGCTAAGCGGTCTTAAGCACAATCTATGACCAGTGATTTTATGCTGACCCGGAGAAATCTCTACATAGCCAGGCTCAAAGATATAAACACGAGGCTGCACACTGTGTGGGAAATAGAGTTTAAGTCATCAAAGCGTAAATAAATTGGCCAAGACAACAACATCAACCCCCTGGGGTGGAGGAGGGGCAATCAATAAGCAGTGTTGCTACAATGTATTATGCAAAAGTTCCAGTTTTCAATGAAACAATTACAAGACATGCAAAGAAATAGGAAAATGTGACCCTGTATTAATTTGCTAGGGACACCATAACAAAGTACTACAGACTATGTGGCTTAAACAATAGAAATTTATTTTCTCAAAATTCTGGATGCTAGAAGTCTAAGATCAAGATGTAAGCAGTGTTGGTTTCTTTTGAGCCCTCTCTCCTTAACTTGTAGATGGCCACCTCCCTCCACGTGGTCTTCACATGCTGTCTTCACGTGATCTTCCCTTTGTGTGTGTATCTAATCTCCTCTTTTTGGAAGGACACCAGTGGTATTCCATTAGGGCCCACTCATATGACCTCATTTTACCTAATTACCTCTTTGAAAGGCCCTGTCTCCAAATACAGTCACATTCTGAGATATTGGAGGTTAGGACTTCAATCTGTGAATTTTGGGGAGAAACACTTCATCCCATAACATATTCAGCTCATAGTAGATACACAGACAGAAGAAAGGCAGGGAATAGAAACTGCTTTTGAAGGAGCCTAAATAATTGACTTAGCAGACAATGACATCACACATTTTAAATAAGTTCAGAGAACTGAATGAGATCATGTCTAAAGAATTAAAGAAAATGTATGATAACAATATCTAATCAAATAGAAAATGCCAGTAAAAGAGAAATTATTTTTAAAGGTACCAAATGAAAATTCTGAATTTGAAAAGTACAAAAATATAAATAAAACAATGACTAAAGGGTCTCGAGAGACAGTCTGAGCTGGTAGAAGAAAGAAACTGACCTTGAAGAAGATCAGTAGAGATTATGTAATCCAAAAGAGAAAAAAAAGAATGAGGAAAAATAAACAGTGCCTGAAAGAATAGAGTGGAACACCATTCAGTGTACCAGTTTATGCATAATAGAAGTGCCAGAAGGAGAAGAGAAAGAGAAAGGAGCAGAAAAAAATATTCAAGGAAACAATGTCTGAAAAATTCCTAAATATGATGAAAAGCATTTTTCTACAGAGTCAAGAAGCTCAATAAACTCCAAGTAGGAGAAATACAAAGAAATTCACGCTCGGACACATTATAGTCAAAATGTAGAAGGAGAAAACAGCAAGAAAGAAATGACTCACCACTTGCAAGGGAATCTCAAAAAGATTAACAATTGTCTTCTTATTAGAAATATTGGAGGCAATGGTATGACATATTTGAAGTGCTAAAAAGTAAAAAAGGTCAACAAGAATCTACCAAAATTATCTTTGAAAAATGAAGGCAAAATAAAAACATTCTGAGATACACAAATGCTGTTTGTTAACCCCCTTACAAGAAATACTAAAGAGAGTTTTTAAGACTAAAAGCAAACCACACCAGAGAATAATTTGAATCTGCACGAGAAAAGAAAGAGTGCTAATAAAGGTAATGATGTAGGTCAGTAAGAAAGACAGTGTAATTGAATATTCATTCCCCTTTCTTCTCTAAACTGATTTAAAGGACAAATTGCACAAAAATATGTGTATCATTATATTAGTGAGTTTATAATATATAGAAATTTAATATTTTTGACAAAAACAGTGCAGAGAAGGTTGGTAGGAGCAAAACTATATCACAGTAAGAAAATGACACCAGATGGGCTGGGCGCGGTGGCTTACGCCTGTAATCCCAGCACTTTGGGAGGTCAGGAAATTGAGACCATCCTGGCTAACACGGTGAAACCCCGTCTGTACTAAAAATACAAAAAAATTAGCCAGGCGTTGTGGCAGGCGCCTGTAGTCCCAGCTACTCCGGAGGCTGAGGCAGGAGGATGGCGTGAACCCCGGAGGCAGAGCTTGCGGTGAGCCGAGATCTCGCCACTGCACTCCAGCCTGGGCAACAGAGCAAGACTCCGTCTCAAAAAAAAAGAAAGAAAGAAAGAAAGGAAGAAAATGACACTAGATGGTAGTTCAAATCCACAGAAAGAAATGAATTGTAAACAGTATATAATAAGGTTAATACAGCAAACTATATAAATACGTACTTCCTCTTCTTTCTTTTCTCAGTTTTGTTAAAAAAAAAAAAACATAAGATTATGTAAAATTATAACAATGTATTTTTTGGTTTGTAACATATTTAGCTCAATATACACAACATTAATAGTACCCAAAAGAGGGGAAAGGAATAGACACATATATGAGTAAAATTTCTTTATTTTGTTGGAATGAATTTTATATAAATCTGAAGTCGATTTTGATAAGACATGCATGGTAAGCACTAGAGACATCACTAAGAGAATAATGCATATATTATTTAAAGATCATTAAGATAAGTTAAATAAATATCACACTAGAAAATATTTGCTTAACACTAAACAAGGCAGTAAAGAAGAAAGGAATGAAACAAACATGAGACATACAGAAAACAATGACAAAACAAATAAAAACAATGACAGATTAAATCTAAGTATTACAATAAAATATTAAATATGTACAATCCAATCAAAAGGCAGAGACTATCAGACTGGAAAAATAACAAAGCCCAACTATATACTCTCTACAGGACACATTTTACATTCAAATATACAAGTAGGTTGAAAGTAAAATGATAGAAAAAGATATACCATGCAAACAGAAACCTTAAAAGAGCTAGAGTGGCCATATAAATATGAGACGACATACATAAACTAAGAAACAAAAATATTGCTAGAGATAATGGGAAATATTTCATAAAGATAACAGGGTTAATCCACAAGGAGAATATAACAATTATAAACATATATGCAGAAGTCATACCCAGAGCAACCAGACACGAAAAAAGAAATAAAAGACATCTAAATAGGAAAAGAAGAAGTCAAACTATCTCTCTTCACTGACGATAAGATCCTATACCTACAAAACTCTAAAGACTTCATCAAAAACCTCCTGAAACTGTTAAACAACTTCAGTGAAGTTTCAGGATACAAAATCAATGTACCAAAATCAGTAGCATTTCTATACACCAGTAGCATTCAAGCAGAGAGCCAAATCAAGAAAGCAATCCCATTTACAATTGTCACAAAAAATAATAATAAAGTAAAATATCTAGGAATACAGCTAACCAAGGAGGTGAAAGATCTCTACAAGGAGAGCTACAAAATACTGCTGAAAGAAATCACAGATGTCACAAGCAAATGGAAAAACATTCCATGCTCATGTATTGGAAGTATCAATATCATTAAAACAATCTGTAGATTCAACACTATTCCTATCAAACTAATATCATTTTCACAGAATTAGACAAAAAACCATTCTAAAATTCATATGGAACCAAAAAAAAAATTATCCAAAGCAATTCTAAGCAAACCAAAAAAAAAAAAAAAAAAAAGCCAGAGGCATCACATTACTCAACTTCAAACTATACTATAAGGCTACAATAATTAAAACAGCATGGTACTGGCAAAAAAACAGACACATAGACCAATGGAACAGAATAGAAAACCTAGTAATAGAGCCACAGAGCTACAGACATCTGATCTTTGACAAAGTCAATAAAAATAAGCAGTGGGAAAAGGACTCACTATTCAATAAATGGTGCTGGAATAGCTGGCTAGCCATTTGCAAAAGGATGAAACTAGACCCCTATGTTTCACCATATACGAAAATTAATTCCAGATGGATTATAGATTTAAATATAAGATTTCAGACTTTTATTCTAGAATAAAAGCTAGGAAACACCATCCTGGACTTCTGCCTTGAGAAAGAATTTACGACTAAGTTCTCAAAAGCAGATGCAACTAAAACCAAAATTGGTAAGAGGGAACTAATTAAAGAGTTTCTGTACAGCCATACAAACTATCAGTAGAGTAAACAGATAACCTACAGAATGGGAGAAAATATTTGCAAACTATGCATATGACAAAGGTCTAATACCCAGAATCTAAAAGGAATTTAAACAACTGAACAAGCCAGAAAATAATAATAATAACCCCATTAAAAATGTTCATGTCAAAAGACATGAACAGACACTTCTCAAAAGAAGATTCACAAACGGTCAACAAACTTTCGAAAAAAGTTCAACATCACTAATCATCAGGGAATGAAAATCAAAACCACAATGAGATACCATCTCACACCATTCAGAATGATTATTACTAAAAAGTCCAAAAACAGCAGATGCTGGTGAGACTGAAAAGAAAAGAGAATGCTTAGACACTGTTGGTGGAAATGTAAATTATTTCAGTCACTGTGGAAAGCAGTTTGGAGATTTCTCAAATAATTTAAAACGGAACTACCATTCAACCCAGCAATCCCGTAACTGAATATATATCCAGTGGAAAATAAATTGTTCTACTAAAAAGACACGTGTTCATATGTTCATCACAACACTATTTACAATAGCGAAGACATGGACTCAACCTAGTTGCCCATCAGCAATGGATTGGATAAAGGAAATGTGGTACATACATACCACAGAATACTACATAGCTATAAAAAAAAGAATAAAATCATGTCCTTTGCAGCAACATGGATTCAGCTAAAGGCCAATACCCTAAGCAAATTAACACGGGAACAGAAAATGAAATACTACATGTTCTCAATTTTAACTGGGAGCTAAATATTGGATACACATGGATATAAAGATAGCAAAAATGGACACTGGTGACTACTGGAGAGGGGAGAGAGGTGAGGGGCAAGAGCTGAAAAAGTAACTATTGGGTACCATGCTTAGTGATGGGATAAATTGTACCCCAAACCTCAGCATCACACAATATTCCCAGGTAACAAACCTGCACATGTATACCCTAAATCTAAGATAAAAGTTGAAAATATATGCTATACTGCACCTAACAATGCAACCCCAAAATACAACAACAGCAATTGACAGAACTGAAGGGAGAAATGGATAATTCAACAATAATAAATGTTTCAGCACCCTACTTTCCATAATGAATAGAATTACTAGACAGTAGATAAACAAGGAAATCAAAAACTCGAACAGTATAAACTAACAAGATCTAACAGACATCTATAGAATCCTCCACCCAACAGCAACAGAATATTCTTCTGAAGTACACATGAAACATTTTCCAAGGTAGACCATATAGGAGTCCATAGACAAGCCTCAATAAATTCAAAGAAATTAAAATAATAAAAAATTATTTTTTCTTACCACAACAGAATTAAATTAGAAATCAACAACAGAAAAAAATGGGGAAATTCTCAAGTATGTGGAAATTACCCAACGCATCCTAAATAACTAATGAGTCAAAGACAGAAGTCACAAGGGAAATTAGAAAGAAATGAAAATTAAAGTACAACGTACCAAAATGTATGGATTGTAGCTAAAGCAGTGATCACAGGGAAGTTTGTAGCTGTAAGTGCCTACATTAAAAAAGAAGAAAGATCTCAAATAAATAACCATCTTCCATCTTAAGATGCTAGGAAAAAAACTAAAGTTAAAGCAAATATAAATAATAATTATTATTATTATGTTATTTTATTACAGAATAAATAAAAAACAAAAACAAAAGAGAAAAATCAATAAAACAAAAAATTTATTATTTGAAAACATCAACAAAGCTGGCATCCCTTTAGTTAGACTGACCGAAAGAAGAAAGATGAGATTCACATTACCAAAATCAGGAATGAAAAAGTGAACAGCACTACCCATCTTACAAAAATAAAAAGGATTATAAAGAAACATTATATAATAATGTGTGCCCACAAATTAGATAACTTAGATGAAATGGACAAATTCCTAGAAAAACACGAATTATCAGACAAAGAGAAAATCTAAATCGACCTATAAGAGACTGAATCACTAATTTAAAAACTGCAACTTAAAAAATTGAATTAGTAATTTTTACATTTTCCATAAAGAAAATCCATAGTTCAGATGACTTCACTGATAAGTTATTCCAGAAATTTTATTATGAAGAATGAATACCAATCCTTTGTAAAGTCTTCTTAATAATAGGAGAGGAGAGAAAACACTTCCTAACTTATTCTATGATGCCAGCGTTTTGCTAATATCAAAACCAGGCAAAGACATCTCAAGGAAAAAAACAACAAAACTCTGCAGACTAATATCCCTTATGAATATAGACATGAAAATCTTCAACAAAACACTAGCAAACTGAATCAAGCAACATAGAAAAAGGATTATTCACCTTGACCTAATGGGATTTATTTCAGAAATGTGAGGTTGGTTCAGCATTCAAAACTCAAATAATGTAATACATCATATCAATACAACAGAAAAAAACTCAGAAGATCATCTTAATAGACACAGAAAAAGTATATGACGAAATTCTACAGCCCTTCACGATAAAAACCGACAAACTGGGAATGGAAGGCAGCTTCCTCCACTTGATACAGAGCACCTAGAAAAAAACCACGGCTAATATCATAACCTTTAGATGAGATCAGCTTCATGAAATGAAGAGAGCTTCATTTGCATTTGGGAGGAAAAAGGATTTGTAAGTCGATAGGACTTTTGGAAGAAGAGCCCGCCTGGGACAGGGAGCATGGTGCTGTTGGCCAGTGAGGCAAGATGGGCAGTCAGAAAATCCCAGGAATCTCAGGGGACTTTCTGAGCAATAGTAGAGGAATAAAAGTAAATTAACAAAATGTGCAAAGAGTGAAAAATATAAAAAGCAAACTATTTCCAAATATTCTCCCAGATAGCCCTACTCAATAAAAAATAAGGAGTAAAATTTTCTTTTGTTCCCAGAATCCTGATCTCTTTTACTATTACTACTATAATTCATTTTCATTATGGGCTGATCAAACCCACAGGGAACCCAGAAACCTAACCAGCATTTTCCCCAAAATATAGTATCTCTAGGACTAGGCTCTAAACAATTGACTGAAAAGTAAACTATGGGGACCTGATATATTCATAACTTGGAAACTGCCTGTGCACAGTATTTTTTATGGATGATTTGTTTTCCTAATTATGATTTGTTAAGCTTAATTCTATAGTCAGTTACCATTCCATGAGTACACACTGGGGGGATTAATGGCTTAAGAGTAATCCATATTACCAAGGATATAGACAGTCACGCACCACATAATGATGCTCAGTCAACAATGGTATACATATAGGATAGTGGTCCCATAAGACTATAACAATGTATTTTACTGTACTTTTTCTTTGTTTCAATATGTTTAAATAACACAAATACTTACCATTGTTACATTTGCCTACAGCATCTAGTACAGTCACATGCTGCACAGCTTTGCAGCCTGGGAGCAATATGCTATACCGTATAGTCTAGGTGTTTAGTAGGCTAGGTCATCCAGGTCTGTGTAAATAAATTCTGTAATATTCACACAATGACAGATTTGGATAGCAACACATTTCTCAGAAGGTATCCCCATCGTTAAGCAATGCATGACTGTGTATCTGTGTATCCTTTTTTTTTGGAGACGAGAGAAATCTTCTACACATGTGAAACATATATGTATGTATACACACAATATAGATAATATGAATATATATATTTCACATTTCAAGACTTGAGTCCTGTCCCCACAAAAAACAAATAAACAAACAAACAAAAAAACACCTAGAAAAGGAAAATCGAACCCAAATCTTGCTTCTTAGGAGAAATTAAGCAAGAAAGACGTAAAGAAGAATGATTTAAAATAAAAAAAAATATGGGGGAAATAGTTTGAGTTAGGATTAATGGTGATTACATTCATTAAAGTTAGATCTGGACAAGTTTTGAACTTGGTATAGGCTGGAGTCCTAGAGATTCTAGGAGTGAATGAGGAAGGAGAGGACCTGGTTCAGGAGCAGGGGCTCAGGAAAGCCCCCACTGGTGTATATTTGGTGATTGTTTCATCAAGTTGGAAAGAACCTTCCTTCCAGCATCAAGAGCTGAAAAAAAATACAGGTCTCCAAGTAGTGAAGCAGGAGCTCCAAAGCCAATGGACACTTTAGCCTTCTCTGAACACTACAGTAACCATGGAATGTTTTAATTCCAGTCACCCTGTGAAGTGCAGAATTCTAAGAGTGGCCTAATGCCCCACGCTGATGTACAATTCCCTCCTTTTGAGTGTGGGTGGAACCTCTGAAGATGAGGAGATATCACTCCCTTAATTATGTTATGTTAAATGGCAAAAAGTTGATTATTTTAGTGGGCCTAATATAATTACATGAGCCTTTTAAAAGCTGGCATAGGTGTGCTTTGGCAAAATGATCTGATCATCAAGTGATATAGCTTAGTTAGTCCACACACAACCACTTCCCCAAAGGACACCCCGAGTGCCAGTTGCGGATGGCACCAGATATCAGTTACAAGCTGGACCTGGAATTAGCACATCCTTCCCACAATATAATCATTTCCAGGTCATGAGCCACACTTCTCAAATAGGAGCTCACTGTTTAATGAAGTAACTCACTCCCATTTAGACAGCTCCAAACATTACGGAGTTCTTTCGTGTCTCCTTAGAACTTATACCTGTTGTACTATTTGTAAAACAAATACAATTTTATACTGTAAGAGCTGTGTCAAAGAAGTTCATTCTTTCATGTGACAGCCCTTCCATTATTTGGAGGTAGAAATAGGTTTCTCCTAAGTGTGCCTGAGCCCTTTCTCCTTCTACTGGAAATATTCCAGGCTACACTGTTGTTTAAAGCTAACACCAAACCCCAGATGTGTCTGACCTGTACCAAGTAGAAGATACTTCCTTCCTCACTGTTAGCACCTTTATTAAATGCTGCCTAAAGTTGCTTTAAAATATTTAGCTGTTATATCACATGATGAAATCATTTTCATATAACAGGAAGTCATTTCCAATCTTGTTTTGCATATATACAAATAATTTATTAGCTAATGCTAATAAATAAAATTTTCAAATAGGACAAATACAAGATGTTACTGGTTTTTTTTTTATTGTGTAATACAGGGTATGGGAGAAATGATAATACCTTTTCCTCATCCAATTACAGGTTCATGGCTGAGACCCCTATAACAAAAGAGAGATGAACAAGAGCAAAACATACAGACTTATTTAATATAAATTTTACCTGACGTAGGAGCCTTCAGAAAGGAGACCCAAAGCCCCAGGAAAAACTGTATTTGTATTGACAGTCACACAGTAGTGTGATTGGAGGACCAATGGGTGTGATCTAATGGTGATAAGCTGGGGGAACTGAACAAGGCCTGTCTGTTTGGATTCTTCATGTCCTCTCTGTGTGACATTCCTTTCTTCAGGGTATGAGGGTTATTATGGGAGGAGAGAGGTAGATGGTCAGAGAGTGGTCTTCCTGTGTTTTATGACCTACTTCAGGGAAGAAGGTATGAAGGGAATTCTAGCTTCTATGGCCCACTTCAGGGGAGTCAGGGGACAGAAGAATGTCAGTTTCTATGATCTGCTTCAGGAGAGAGGGAATAGGAGAAAGTCAGAGATGTCCCTGCTTCCACTGTTTTCTCAAGTTACTCAGTATGCCTAGGGGCTATATTTTGAGGTAGCATTTTCTGCACCCCATCTATAGATTTTTCAATTCTTAGAGTAAATAAACAAAAACCAAGATTTTTCTTCGGACCTGAAACACTAAAAGAAAAATCTAGAAAGAAAATCAGACACACAAACACCAAATGGAAGAATAAAAAACTTAAAAGGAAATAGAATCTGGCAATCAAATAATGTTGCTTTGACTCTCATTTTAGCTAAAAAGCAAGCGAGTTTCAATATTACTATTCATTACATTACATTCATTTCTATCGTAGAGAGATAAATCAATTTATTTTTAACAGCTTTGTTAAGAAATAATTTACACATCACTCAGTTCACCAATTTAAAATGTGTAGTTCAACGGTTTTTGGTATATTTATTAGCAGTGCTACGCAACCATCACTACAGCCTAAATATTAAAACCTTTCAATTTCATCCCCCCAGAAAGAAACCCTGAAATCCCTTTTTTCATAATGGTGAGGCAGAAGGCATTGTAATCCATTCTGGGTCATGGGGAACAAGTACATTGGGAAGCAGGATAGGGAAAGGGGAGCCAGACGTAGCTAGAGGAGGGTCGGTATTCTTCATCGATCGCACGGGCTTCCTGTGCTTCTACTAAAAGACAGCTTCCAGACGGCTTTCCCTAGTAAATTTCGCCGGTGGAAAATTCACTGTGTGATTCCATTTAAGCCTCATGGGAGTGTCAGGCCTTATAGAAAGGCTGAATTGTGAATCACATTCCACTACAGCTTTCTCCCTTTCCTTTCAAAAGGAGTTCAGGCTGAAGTAGAATCTAAGCACCATGTGTGTTTTGCTTCAGCAAAGAGGCAATTGTAATCCAGCGGCGCTGTGTTTTAGCTAGGCAGTTTTAAAACAAATACTTGCATTGGGTTGCTTTTATTAAGCCGCGTGGCTTTCTTTCTCTTTCAGAGACCAAAGTGTTAAAGTAAATCTAGTGCATTTTATTTTAAACGATCAGAATGTGACGAGAACGTTCATTGGCATGAAACAACTATAACAAAATCCACAAATCTTTTCCTTTCTGAGAATTATACACTCCGGATTGATCTAAGAATTGACTGAAATTGGCACACTGGACAGCTCTGTATTCGGGTCTCTCCTGCCTCATCCCTGCCACAGTTTGGGTGAATCTGGATGTCTTGACACTGGACACATCAAATACTAAAGTGGATATATTATTCTGATATTAAAAGCTTTGGTGAAAGTCCTCCTTCAAAAATGCTATTCTTCTACGTACAACTTTTCTGAAGAAACAAAGGAAAACACAGCTTCTGGTTTGTGTTTTGGTCTGAGAAGACAGGCAGCGCCTTGCTTTGTGAAGTTCTGTTCCTCTGTTCTGCCCTCTGCCGGCTGAAGGAAGTACTACTGGCACTTCGTGAGTTGCATTTATGCATTTATTTTAGCAAACCTGGGCACATTTTCTGACCTGCACAGTTAAAACAGCTAAACGCAATGCAGTGGTCAAACTTAAAATTACCAAAGGCAAATACAATTTCTTCTACCCACTCCTCGCCCTAGCCTCGTCCTACACCCACGGAATGTGGAAAGGTGATGCATGCAGGGCTGGGGGCATGACAGCTGATTGTGCAGCCTGCCTTTCTGCCAATGAAATACTAGCGTAATGATTGGAAAAGGGGTGAATTTCCAAGGGCAGAAGTTTCCCTTGGAGGTCTCAGGACTAGAACCCGGGCTTCTGTGTGAGCTACAGCCACATCGTAGGTTTCTTGGCACTGAACGTGCTGTTTTGTGGCCCTTATCCTCTGAGTTGAGATGAGCAATCTTTTCCTGGCCATGTATTGTCTCTGAGCTAGAGACAGTTACCAACTGCTACTTCTTAAAACAAAACAAAACAAAAACCTTTTTTAAAAATTAAGCAGTTTTTAGTTTAATTGCAACTTTTTTTTTTTTTTTTTTTTTTTTTTTTGAGACGGACCCTCGCTCTGTCGCCCAGGCTGGAGTGCAGTGGCGCGATCTCGGTTCACTGCAAGCTCCGCCTCCCGGGTTCACGCCATTCTCCTGCCTCGGCCTCCCGAGTAGCTGGGACTACAGGTGCCCGCCACCACGCCCGGCTAATTTTTTTTGTATTTTTAGTAGAGACGGGGTTTCACCGTGTTAGCCAGGATGGTCTCGATCTCCTGACCTCATGATCCGCCCACCTCGGCCTCCCAAAGTGCTGGGATTACAGGCGTGAGCCACCGCGCCCGGCCTAATTACAACTTTTAAGGCCTCCTTTTCTCCTGATTTTTGGATATCAGAGATAAAAAAGCAACAAACATTTGTAGAAATAGATCGCATTTAAATTACTTTAAATAGCAATACATTTCTGCCATTTACATGTTTCTTTGGGTTAACCCAAAAGTTCAAAGGTTATATCAAAATTTATAAGTTGAAGTAAATACATGTTATTCACAAACTCAACGATAAGTGAGTATAATATGAATTTAAGTAGTGTTGCTAAAAATATCAGAAGTAATGTGAAGTGAGATTTAGACTAAATTTACAGTTTAATTTACAATGGTCTTTCCACCTCTGAAATAAAAGACTTTTATTTCACTTTGATATTATTAAGTTACATTGGTTTTCCTTTCCCCAAAGAAATGGCATTTAAAATTCCTGGGCATGTGTGCACGGAGGACTTTGCTGCTAACTTGCATAGAGGAAAGCACACTAAGCGTGGCCTTGAACACAGGCTGGCATACTTCAGTGCCCCGTGGACTCAATTCATGCCACTTCCTGAGCATCCATCCCTGACTGCTCGTCTTGCTTTGAGAACACTCGGTACACATCTCACTAAAGCCTGGTCTCAGTGGATTATGCACCGTGTGAGTGCTTCTCTCCACTCCTCTCAGGGCTTCTTTTATGCAGTGGACCTTGTTTGACTCATCTCTGTGTCCTGGCAGCCAGCACAGTGCCTAGCCCCAGCATGTGTGCATGTGTGTGTGTGTGCGTGTTTCAATCCTTGTACACTGAATGAGTAAATGTGGTTCAGGCACTAGGCATTTCCATTGTCTGTTTGATGGTTGCATTTGCTCAAAGTTAACATGAAGGAATACAGGAAGATCAGACAAACTTAATAGAATTTTGACTTTTAAATAATTGACAGAACTATAAAGACTTGTGCCTTATGCTGTACTATTTGAACTCGAGAAGAGAAGAACATTGGTTGAGTCACCAGGACCAACCCCTTCTTATTATATTCTTATTTTCTAGTATGTATTCTGGAATGAGAAAGAGAGAGACAGAGACAGAGAAGAGATGTATACTATACGTAATCTGCATTCAAAAAACAGAACGTGTCTCAAGAAGAACGTGATCAGAAAAGCATTATATTTGAAGACTTTCAAAGATAGAAAAGCATAAGCCAGAAACGATCAAAATGAAAAAATAAACAATACTAGAGTTGGAGCAATAAATCAAAACCTGATTTCTTAAACTAACCAGGAAAATTGACAAATCCTTGGCAAGGTTGATCAAAGGGGAAAAAAGAAATGCTACAAATAAGTGATGTTAGCAGTGAGAAAAGGGACATAATTACAGATAAATGTATGGGATATAGCTACAGTTATATAATCCCTGATATACTCAGGGATTCAAGAAAGCATGAGAATATTTTGTACACATCTGAAAATTGTAGACACAACTATTAGCTTTCAAAAATATATACATTACCAAAATTCGCTAAAATAATAGAATATTTCAAGACAATAATAATCACAGAAGAAGATAAGGTGGTCAAAAATCTATCTCTAAAATAAGCATGAAATTCAGAAAATGTTAGGTGATTTCTACTGAATCTTTAAGAAACAAATAATTTTTATATTCTGAAACTACATCCAGGTAGTAGAAAAAGACTGCAATTATCTTAACTAGAAATAGAAATTAGACTGGAATTAGAAAAGGCTAACAAAACTCTGATACCAAATTAGATTAAAGAATACACACAGACAAGGAAAACTGGAAGTCAGTCTCACTTGTAAATGTGGATGTAAAACTCCTAAATAAACTATTAGGAATTAAAATTATAAGAATGACTCTAAAGCATTAAAAATGTGGACAAAGTGCCATTTATATGAACTATGTGTAGCTAGTTCAATTTAGCATATCAATTTTTTTATCTATGTTAACAAATGAAAGAAAAAATGTATTATTTGATTCTGAAAAAATATTTAATACAAAACCTACTTGATTTTCAAAGAAATAGCAAACAATAGACAAAACTTCTATCTTGCTGTGAATAGCAAGCATCATAATCAATGGTAAGACATTAAGTGCTTATCAATAAAAGTTAGGAACAAGATATGTTTACCTGTTATCTCAGGTATTATTCAATACTATAATTCCTAGTCACTACAGTTAATTCAAAACGTGTAGTGGGGTGACAGGAGAAAACTTCTATTATTTAAGATATTATTATCTATGTAGGACTAATAAAAGATTTAATCAAGTTGGCCAGAATAAAAATTAATAAGCAAACACAAATGGTTTTTCTTGTACACTACCCTACCAATTAGATTTTTTTAGTGCTCTTTACCATAGTAACCAATATCATCAAACAGCTGGAAATAAATATACAAAGAAAAATATAAAACCTATTGAAGACAACTATTAAACTTTTGTGATATATTATACATAGAAGCCCTGAGTACACAGAAAAATACACCAAGCTCCTGAACAAGATACCAGTTCCTCTACAGTTATGATATGAAATTAATACAGTTCTGATCAAAGGGCCAGAAAGTGTTTCCATCAGTTCTAAAATGCTGACCTAAAAATGTATCTAAAAGAGGAAACATGAAAGAAGAGCCAAGAAATCTGAGGAAGAAGAAAGGGAAAAAAACTACAGAATATGGAAACACTTTCTCCGCCAAGTATCAAAACATACTGTTAGCCCCAGAAGAAGCAGAAAAGGAGTACACACTTGCAGGCCCTGCAGGTCCCAGAGAGACAGGGCAAGAACTCCATGTTCTCAATCACATAAATCACTTTTCTTCCCAAGGGAAGGAGAGAGTTAGTATGGGAGAGAGAAGTGGGAATTCCCCACTAGGAAACATGGGACTGAGTAATAAAGTTTCTCTAACACAAAGAATAAAGTTAAAGAAATTAAAACACTAATGTTGGCACAGGAATAAACATACTGCTTATGAGAATAGAAATAAATACCAAAATACATTCAAGTATGTGTAGATATTTATACATAATAAAAAAACTATGTCAGTGTGATCATTTCAGCTATAAGTAACAGAAAACCTAATTCATATTAGCTCCAAAATTAAAGAGAACTTGTTAACTCAGATTATGAAAAATCTGAAGGGAGATGAAGGAAGCGACTTCATTTTCATGGAGTAAGTAGGGCTTACTCCAGGGGCCTTGAAACATCACCAGTGATCCTGTGTCTGCCTTTTGTCTGCTCCATTTTGTAGGATGTTGCTTTTATTCTATAGCTGAGTCTTCTCATAGGTGCTCAAGGGCTTTTTCCTTTACATCCAGCACAAAAGAGATCATTTCTGTCTCAGCATTTCAAACAATTTCCCAGAGTTCAGTCTAGTTGGCTTAAAGCATATGCCTAAACCCAATATGGCTCTTGTAATAAAATGACTAAAGTTTATAAACCCACCTCGAATCCTGAGTATGAATTCCATTTACACAAACCATAAGGCCAATGCCAAGACAAAAATCGTTTCTCAAAAGAAAATGCGTAGTACTGTTTCCAGAAAGTGACACAATAGATACTTAATCACCAGAATGACAGAGGTCCCCTACTGGAGTCCTTTAGAACAGTTGGGGAAAGAAAGAAAAGTTGAACATCTATTTTGGGTAAAAAGTTTACTCCTTCATCAGATTATTTTCAAAATTTCTTATACATTGGTATATGTTAAAGCAGTCCTTTTAAAGCATATATATATGGCTCCCTTTAATACACAGAAGACTGCTTTAATGCTTTAATATATACCAATGCACCTGAAATTTTAATACACAAAAGACTGCTTTAATGTTTTATATATCTATAACTGCTTGTATATGTATAAATGCATACATATATGCATTATACACACATATGTAATATATATGAATATAGATCTGTAACTGCTTATATATGTACAAATGCATATGGATTTATACATATATAGGCAGTTACAGATCTATATTCATGTATATTATATATGTGTGTATAATTATTAAATATATACATATATTGGCATTAGGAAACACTGGAAGGTTAAAAAATAAATTAATTTCAATGGTTACATATAGTGGCAAGGGAGAAATAGAATAAAGTCAGAGTTGGCAGCAAGACTGCAGTACACAGGTATACCTCATTTTATTGCACGTCACTTTTTTATGCTTGGCAGAAATTGTGTTTTGTTGCAAATTGAAGGTTTGTGGCAACCCTGCGTTATGCGAGTCTATCAGTGCTATTTTTCTAATAGCATGTGCCTACTTTGTGTCTCTGTATCACATTTTGCTAATTCTCACAATTATATTTTCAACTTTTTCATGAGTATGTTATCTATTGTAGTGATCTTTGATCAGTGATCTTTGATGCTACTATTATAATTGTTTTGAGATGTCATGAACTGCACCCATATAAGGCAGCAAACTTAATCAATAAGTGTGTGTGTTCGGACTCCTCCATTCACCAGCTATTCTCATGCCTCTTCTCATGCCTTCATATTTCCGGAGACACAGCAATACTGAAATTAAACCAATTAGTAATCCCACAGTGGCCTCTAAGCGTGCAAGTGAAAGGAAGAGTTGCACGTCTCTCACTTTAAACCAAAAGCTAGAAATGATTAAGCTTAGTGAGGAAGCCACGTAAAAAGCTGAGGTAGGCCAAAAGCTAGGCCTCTTGCACCAAAAAGTTAGCCAAGTTGTGAATGCAAAGGAAGAATTCTTGAAGGAAATTAAAAGTGCTGCCCCAGTAAATGCACAAGCATTAAGAAAGTGCAATGGCGTTACTGATAATATAGAAAAAGTTCGAGTGGTCTGGGTAGAAGATCAAACCAGCCACAACATTCCCTTAAGCCAAAGCCTAAACCAAAGCAAGGCCCTGACTCTCTTCAATTCTATAAAGGCTGAAAGAGATGAGAAAGATGCAGAAGAAAAGTTTGAAGCTAGCAGAGGCTGGTTCATCAGGTTTAAGGAAAGAAGCTGTCTTTCTAACATAAAAGTGAAAGTGAAGCAGCAAGTGGTGATGGAGAAGCTGCAACAAGTTATCCAGAAGATTTAGCTAAAGTCACTAGTGAAGGTGGCTACAGTAAACCACAGATTTGAAATGTAGGTGAAACAGCATTGTATAGGAAGAAAATGCCATCTAGGCCTTTCAGAGCTAAAGGGGAGAAGTCAATGCCTGGTTTCAAAGCTTCAAAGGACAGGCTGACTCTCTTGTTAGGGGCTAATGCAGCTGGTGACTTTAAGTTGAAGCCAATGCGCATTTACTATTCTGAATATCTTAAGGCCTTTAAGAGGTAGGCTAAATCTGCTTTTCCTGTGCTCAATAAATGGAACAACAAGCTTGGATGGAAGCATATCTGATTACAACATGGCTTACTGAATATTTCAAGCCCACTGTTGAGACCTACTGCTCAGAAGAAAAAAGATGTTTTTTCAAATATTACTGTTCATTGACAATGTCCCTGTTCACCCAAGAGCTCTGATGGAGCTATACAGGGAGATCAATATTGTTTTCATGCCTGTTAACACAATATCCATGCTGTAGCCCAATAGATCAAGGACTAATTTTGACTTCCAAGTCTTATTATTTAAGAAATACATTTTGTAAGGCTATAGCTGCCATAGATAGTGATTCCTCTGATGGATTTTGTCAAGGTCCATTAAGAAACCTTCTGGAAATAATTAATTATTCTAGATGCTATTAAGAATATTCACCAGCCTGGGCAGCATGGCAAGACTCCATCTTTACAAAAAGTGAAATAAATTAGCCAGGCATGGTGGCATACACCTGTAGTCCCAGCACTTTGGGAGGCCAAGGTGGGAGGATCACTTGAGGCCAGGAGTTTAAGACCAGCATAGACAACATACCCAGACCCAAGATTTCATCTCTAAACACAAAAAAGAGAAAGAAATTTACTTGCATGTGGCAGCACACACCTGTAGTCCCAGCTACTAGGGAGGCTGAGGCAGAAGGATAGCTTCAGCCCAGGAATTCAAGGCTGCAGTGAGCCATGATTGCACCACTGCACTCCAGGCTGAGTGACAGTGCAAGACCTCAACTCTAAAAAAAAAAAAAAAAAAGTAAAAAAAGAAAAGAAATTGCCACAACCACACCAACCTTCAGCAACCACCACCCTGATCATCAGCAGCCACCAACATTGAGGTAAAACCCTTCACCGCAAAAAGATTACAACTCCCTGAAGGCTCAGATGATCATTAGCATTTTTAGCAATAAAGTATTTTTAATTAAGGTTCACATATTATTTTTAAGACAATATGCTGTTTCACATTCAATAAACTACAGTGCAGTGTACACATAACTCTTACACGCATTGGGAAACTGAAAAAAATCATGTGACTTTCTTTATTGCTGTGGTCCAGAACCAAACCCGCACTATCTCCAAGGTATGCCTGTAAAAAGATAGACAGACAGACAGATAGATAGATAGATAGATAGATAGATAGATAGATAGATAGATAGATAGATGATAGACAGATAGATAGATAGATAGACAGACAGACAGACAGACAGACAGACAGACAGATCTATTTTCAAGTTCCAGGCTCTCTGGGAAGCAGCTGAGGTGTAGAAATAATATAATGGGTAAAATTTGTTAAGACTTTAGAATATGCCAATTACTTAAGTGCTTTATGTCATCTAATTCTTACAACAAAACTAGAAGATAGTTTTGAGGTGGAAGAATCAGTTGAGCCTGGGAGGTCAAGGTATGGATGGGAAATGCAGCTTAGAGGAATTGAAGTAACTTATGTAAAGTTACAGAGCTAACAACTTAAGCAAGTAAATCCAAAGCTGGTCTGATAACAAACCCAGTGCTTGTAAGGGTACTAGGAGTCCAAACCTTAGGTTCATGTTCAGACTTCTGGACTTAGGATTTTACACAACTTACTTAAACTATCTGACTTGCCCATATGTCTAAAGATCTCAAACAAAATAATAAATATAAAAGGGCTTTTTAAAGTGTAAAGTACCATGCAAATATCTGCTGCCCTCTGGATATTTATACCTGAACATTTTACCTTTCTACAATCTCAGTGCACTTAAAATTGCATTTTA
This sequence comes from Homo sapiens, assembly GCF_000001405.40. NCBI lineage: Eukaryota > Metazoa > Chordata > Mammalia > Primates > Hominidae > Homo > Homo sapiens. The sequence continues at coordinate 4,098,708 of NC_000018.10, read as the reverse complement.
TTTTGTCCTTATTCTTTCTTCCACTGCCATCCCCAATAATTTCCTCCTTTTTTCCATATTTCTATTGGCGGTTTTCTCAATAGCTTAAAATGTTGCAATATCTTAAACTAGTCTTTCTCCGTTGCCCCTATTTAATCTCCATTTCCCATTTGTTCTTTCTTTAAGTCAGCTTTGCTTCTCCTTTCCTTTTACCTAACTCTTCACCACAGCTGTTCTCCAATCCTAATCACTGCAGCCCTGGACTGGTGAAACAGCCTCCTCTCCTATCTTACCCACTGCATTATCTCCTGGGGTATAAAAGCCTTATTTTACTTTTTTTATATCACTCAGTGACTTATAATAAATATTTGTTGATTGATTTATTCTGTGAAGACATTTAACCTTTTCCCCATATTTTGTAACTTAAATACTCATGTTCTCTGTAGATTTTAATAGACAATATCTTCTTGTATTTTTATGTACTTTAATTTGACTGCTGGTATGAAATCTGCAACCAGCTGGGCACGGTAGCTCCTGCCTGTAATCCCAGCAGTTTGGGAGGCCGAGACAGGAGGATCACTTGAGCCCAAGAGGTGGAGACCAGCCTAGGCAACATGGCAAAATCCCGTCTCTACAAATACAAAAGAGATTAGCCAGGCATAGTGGCGTGGGCCTGTAGCCCCAGCTACTCAGAAGGCTGAGGTGGGAGGATCGATTGAGTCCCAGAGATCAAGGCTGCAGTAGGCCAAGATTGTGCCACTTCACTCCAGCTTGAGTGACAGAGTGAGATCCTGTCTCAAAAAAAGAAAAAGGAAAAGAATCTGCAGCCATCAATTATATGAGAGATTAAAATTATGCTGAATGATTAGTATCAACTTCCTCCTTCGTAGAAAAATATCCCACTATATTTGTTGACATTCAATGGTTTCTGACATCCTGTGGGAAAGTATATCTATCTGAATATTTTTGTCGAAACATTTAAAACTTTTGTTTTTAGCAAGTTAAGAAGCTCTGCTGTATGATGCAGCAAAAGTAGAACCAAGAAAATTGTTTTGTGTGCTAGAGTTCTTAACTGGGATTTATCTGTATTGGTTCCGTTCAGAATATAACTATCTGTTGCACTGCCATTGCATGAAAAGCATGTGGCTGGAATTTTAGGGAATACACGGATAAATCAGCCTAAACTCCTACCTGTGAGGTGTCTGGAGGCAGAAGGGAAGGAAAAATGGAGGATGACTACATCCACATTGCAGGAAGCTATAGTTCTCAGTACCACGTGGTGAGCACTTTTGACAAAGTACAGTGGGGCTTGCAAAGACCAAGAGATTACATTTGATGGGGAAATTATGATTGGCATCCTGGAGAAGGTAGAATTTAAATCTGCTGAGACAGATGTAAATGGGGAAGATGGAAAGTGCCAGGGGCAGTAAGGACAGCTCTGAGGCAGAAAAGAACAGAGCAAGTTCAAGGAAACAATCAGATCCCCACCACGGACTGAGCATAATGCAGTAGACTAGTGAGAGGTTGGGACGAAGTCCTGATCCCTGTACCAGAATTATTTGAATCCCAAGGCAAGAAGGTGGTCCTTAATGTGGTAAACAATTGGAGCCTTTGAAAGTGTTTGTTCAATTGAATAATATATGTGGGTCTGTGCTGCAGAAAGATTAATCTGGAAACAAAACAGAAGATAAGCTGGATTTGAAAGAGAGAGGAGACCCCTGTAAGAATAATGATGACAAAAATATACCGACCAACACTTACACAATGTTTACTTTGTGCCAGACACTAATCTAAGTACTTTCATTAACTTAATTCATGTAATCTTTACAACTTTGCCAGGTACCATTGTTAGCTCAGTTTTATAGTTAGGTAAACTGAAATACAGGAGGGTTAAGTAACTTGCTCAGCCTTCACAGCTAGTAAATGGACAAGCCAGGACGTTAACCCAGGCAGCCTATAAAAAAGCTTCTGCTTCAGTCCAGCAGACACAGATTTTAAACATAGCTGTGAGTCACGTCACGAGAAGGTTGTCTGAGGACTCTGAACCTATTCGGCTCCATTCTCCCTTGAGATCTAAGAGGACAAATCTGGCAGCATCCTAAAGAACTGGGAGGGTCCAAAGGAAATATAGGTCAGTTGACTCACTCTTCATTCAGGGATGAGATAAATGAAACCTATGAAAAGATTCCAGGGGAAAAAAAAAAAAGAATGGCAAAAAGTACCTTAAGCAAAGGAAAAAGCATATCTGTGAAAAGGACATATAGCAGATGAGAAATATATACAGGTTTTTCTGATAAAATATGGTGGGTTTACATTTTCACAGGCCATGACAAAGCCTATGTGAGAGAAATAGCTTCTTTACTTTTCTATAACCTGCTTTGATTCTTTTCTAGATTCCACATTCTGGCCAGGCGCAGTGGCTCACGCCTGTAATCCCAGCACTTTGGGAGGCCGAGGTGGGAGGATCACTTGAAGCCAGGAGTTCGAGACCTGCCTGGCCAATATGGTGAAACCCCATATCTTAAAAAATACAAAAAATAGCCAAGCGTAGTGGCACACACCTGCAATCCCAGCTACTTGGGAGGCTGAAGCAGGAGAATCACTTGAACCCAGAAGGCGGAGACTGCAGTGAGCTGAGATCACCACACTGCATTCCAGCCTGGCCGACAAAGCGAGACTTTGTCTCAAAAACAAATCCCCAAAAACATAGATTCCACATTCTGCCTAAAGGTAAAAAATAATCATCATCATCTCAGGCAGTTTCAGGTAAACACAGGCTCTTTAGAATTTGTTTCTGCTGATCGATTCAGGTTTAAATTAAATCACTTCGAAGATTCCGCCTACCCCTCCTTCTTTCTAAGGAGGCACTTATGTTCTCGGGGTGGAGAAATCTGATGTAGCTTCATGGCATTGGAGAGAAGTCAAATCTGAAGTTGTTTCCCTTTCCTTCTTGTCTTTATTCATCAATGTGTATCCCAATTGGCATCTAGTGTGTTATATTATGTCGTTTCCAGTTGAAGGTTGATGTCAAATTCCACAGACACACCCTGTCACCATCATGATGCAGCCCCTCCAGGGCCACCAGCCCTATCTGTCTTTCTGGCCCTGACTTGGGGCACAAGAAATTTCTTATGTTCTCGGGAAGATGTCTTAGGTCTTCTTTACTTGATCATCTCTTACTATCTTGTCTCCTATATTCTTTATATAACCTGTTAGCAAGAAAAGAATTCTCTACAAGGTTAGAAAGCACCCCTGGAAAAGGAAGTACAATTTGTCCTGTTTCCAGATCACTAGAACTCTTTAGGGGTTCTTTTGTTCACCCAGACGTCTCATGGGGATACATCTATGTCTAAAAGCATCCAAGCCTAAGCTTTTCCCCTCTATAAATCTCCCTCTCAGCCAAGTGAAAAAATGTGTACCTGATTGGGGAAGGTGGCCAGTGTCTCTGTTTATTCTCTTTCCAAAACTTTGTTAATGGCACAAATTTATGAAACCGGAAAAAAAATCTCTTTCAAAAGTCCCACTCTTGCCATATCTTGTCTTGGTTTTAAGACTTTTGTCTTTTCTGAGTTTTAGAGCTGGTCCCCTCTTGAGGCAAAAGGAAATTTCAAATGCTCTCAGGAAGATATCTCAGGTCCTCTTTACTTGGTCATCCAAGCAAGATTCTGAATCTTGCTTTTTATATTAGGTTGAAGGTGATACTGCTGACTGAATGAACGGGAAGAAGGGCATGGAGGAGTGCACCCTTGTTTTATTATTTAAAATGTAATCCTACTAAAAAGATAGGAAAGGTAAGTCTAAACAAAATTGCAGATATCAAGAAAAAATAGGCAACCAGGTGCAGTGGCTCATGCCTGTAATCCCAGCACTTTGGGAGGCCAAGGTGGGTGGATCACCTGAGGTCAGGAGTTCAAGACCAGCCTGGCCAACATGATGAAACCGCATCTCTACTAAAAATGCAAAAACTAGCCAGGCATGGTGGCGCATGCCTGTAGTCCCAGCTACTTGGGAGGTTGAGGCAGGAGAATCCCTTGAACCCAGGAGGCAGAGGTTGCAGTGAGCTGAGATCACACCACTGCACTCTAGCCTGGGTGACAAAACAAGACAAAAAAAAAAAAAAAAGAAAGAGAAAGGAAGGAAGGAAGGAAGATAAAATATATAAAAATCAAAATATAAATATAAAAACTGAATTTATTTAAGGCAATAAGAAAAGAATCAATTCTACAGAAAACAATATACATGATATAGGACACAAACAAGAAAAGTTCATTAGAACACAGACTATATAGAGATAACAACTGAAATGCAAGATAAAGATACAGAAAATTAATTTTAAATTAACAATCAATGTTATACATAACCGTGTACCATAAAGGCATTTTCAATAAAATCAGAAATGTGACAAAAATTACCATCTTCACTATTTTTATTGCTTCCAAAAGTTCTGACCATGACAATAAAAGGAAAGAGATAAGATTAATATGTAAACAGCTAAGAGATAAAACTAAGGAACAAAGAAAAATTAAGAAAAATCTCTTTGAATTAATGTCAATTTTAGAAGTCCCACATAATACATATCAGTATTTTTTTTAATTCCAGTCATTACAGTAGATGACATAATTGGAGGCTGGGTTGATTCATAAAGGATGTAAAAATCATAAAATACTAAGGAAGAATCCTAACAACAATGATGTCAGAACCACATGAAGAAAATTATAAAAGTTCACTTTGTGCTCTTAAAAAATTTAAATAAGTGGAGCGTCTTAAATTAAATTGAAGTTTAAAAGCAAGAGGTCAGGATATGAGGTTGAAAAGTCTGGGAACATTAGCATGTCAAAAGCGTGAGGGAGAGAAGAGAGGCTCATCAGAATTAGAACCAGAAGAGTATAGCTTCACAGAAGCCACAGGAAGCAGGGGTGCAATGAGACCAAGAGAGATAAAAACAGGAAAAAAGCCATCAAATTTTATAATAAAAAGCAGACAAGGTGATTGCTTGTAGAGGAAGAGAACAGCTACCATGCCCCTAACTATTCAGTGAGTAACAGACACACAAAAACAAAACAAACTCTGCTACTATAGAGTTTTCCAACTTATACCTCCTTATTGTACAAAGTTGGAGAAGTATATCAAAGACCTTTTTTTTTTTGATTAATGTTTAGGTTCAGAGATTGGATTTAACTTTTGTTTTCATATGCACTTATGAAATAACCTTCTTGTCCAAATGAGGAATTCTTCCTTTCAGACAAAACGCAAAATCCACTTCTTAAATATTTTTAAGAGACTAGTAGGCTTCCCATATTCTCATCTGGTTTCCAATGTTAAATCAGCATTTGGTCCCTCTGGTTCCCCACAGAACCTAGTTCAGATAAAGAACATTAAGAAATTCCTATTTCCTTCTTCCCGTTACTGGGAAAAAGCTCAAAGCCTAGATAGAGTCACATTGGGTTTTTCCTTTTTTTAATTATCCCTGTTTTCTTCCTTAAAATATTCTTATTCAATAGTTGTAATGTAGCCTTCACTTTTCTAAGCTGTGTTTTTGAAAGGAAACATCAACCACATTGCATGCACATACATACATACATACACATACAATACATATAATTGAACAAATTGCCACTTCCACCAAGGCTAAGGAAAAGCAAGATAAACTACCATGTCATAAATGTTCTTAAACCCATCAAAGAGCTGAGGTCACACGTAAACAAGTAGCCTGAAATCCTAAGAAAGACAAGCTCCTCCAGGACGATGTGGGTTGTGAGCACTGGAGGAAGAGGCATCAGGCTCCATACAGTTAAAAGAAGAAATCAGCTAAACCTTTTAACAAATTGCTAAAGGCCAAGTGTAGGCTAGTGTGTGGGTGCAGAACCCCAGAAGCTGCAGGCACAAAGGGAACTCCTACCCAGTCACAGGCTCTTTTCCACAGACCTTTACTGGGTGCCCACGAGAAGGATCAAGGACAGAGCTGGAGACAGGACAGAGCCTCTCTAGGTGGTGTGAGCCTGGAGGATGGGCCACTTCAGGAAAAATATTAAGCACCATCTGGCCTGCCCCTGTTATGGAACAAAAGCCTTAAGCCGATAGAGAAGGAGCAGCAAATCGTGCTGCCCCTAGGCACAAGTATGACCCATTTTGGTTAAGGAAAGAATACAAGGAAAAAAAACAATCTCCATACCTGGGTGAGGGGTACAAAAGAGTCCTAAGTCCGAGATCCTACACCAATACCATTAGATGTCTCCTACCACAAGGGGATGGACGAGAAACCATCTCTCATGGGAGATCTACCAGATGCAAGGCAGAATTTGGTTGACACTGGGAGGAGGGGCAGGATCACAGAGCAAGCCCCACTCCTAAGATCCAGACACACAGGGCCTCCCTAAGACTATTGGGGGGCCAGGACAATGGAAAACCTCTTCGCTGCTCCACTCCCGTCGGCCTTATAAGCACCAGGTAACAAGCAATGGCACTCTACTTCTGAGTGGGGAGAGCAAGGAAGAGCTCCCTGTGTGTTGCAGACACTCAAAGAAAGCAGAAAGCTGAGGGTGGAGCAGGGACATTGAGACACGCCCTTTGATACCATAGCCCCCACCTACACACAAGGTAGCACTAGAGGAATTTGAAGCTAGTAATATACTGAGGTTAACCATAGCAATAACAAAACCCAAACCCAGCTCAACTTCTAACTAGATTGACCAACTCCAGCACTGTAGGCCTACTAAAAGAAGTGTGCCGTTTCCAGACATAGATACTATTTATCTTAGCCCATACTGTCCTATCCTTGATATTTGTGATTCATTAAAAAATTATGAGATGTACAAAAAAGCATGTGGAAAAAAAAAAACATGATCAAGAGGCAAAATTATCAACTAGACTCAAATATGACCTAGATATTGGAACTATCAAGCAGAGAAGTTAAAATGACCATGTTTAATATGTTAAAGGATCCATTGGAAAAGCTGAGTAACAGTCCTGAACAGATACGGAATTTCACAGAGAGATGTTGACTGTAACAAAAAATCAATTGGAAATGCTATGAAAAAGAAACAGCAACAAACATGAACAGTGTCCTTGATGGGCTTATCAGTAGAGTCAGCACAGTCGTGGAAAGAATCAATGAACTTAATAGGTCAATAGATATTACCCACCTGAAAGAAAAGAGTAAAAAAGGAGATGAAGACAGAACAGAGTATTGAAGAGCTGTTAAACAATATCAAATGATTGAATATATGTATAATTGAAATGTGAGACAGAATATAAAGAGAAAATAAGGTAGAAGTATTTTAAGATGGAATTGTTGAGAATTTTCCAAATATAATGAAAGAATCAAAGCAAGAATCCAATACACTCATAAAACCTCAAAGAATATAAATAGAAAAAGAAATCCACACACCTACACACCATATTCAAATAGCTGAAGTCCAAAGATCAGACATCTTAGATTCAGAAGAATAAAGATGAGAATTTTATTTTATTTTATTTCATTTCATTTTATTTCTGGGATACATGTGCAGAACATGCAGGTTTGTTACATAGGCAAACATGAGCCACTGTAGGTTATTGAACCTATCAACCCATCACCTAGGTATTAAGCCCTGCATGCATTAGCTATTTGTCCTGATGCTCTCCCTACCCCCACCCCAACAATAGGCCCCAGTATATGTTGTTCCCCTCCCTGTGTCCATGTGTTCTCATTGTTCAGCTCCCACTTTTGAATGAGAACACGCAGTGTTTGCTTTTCTGTTCTTGTGTTAGTTTGCTGAGGATAAGGACTCCCAGCTCCATCCATGTCCCTGCAAAGGATGTGGTCTCATTCTTTTTTATGGCTGCATAGTATTCCATGGTGTATATGTACCACATTTTCTTTATCCGGTCTATCGTTGATGGACATTTGGATTGATTCCATGTCTTTGCTATTGTGAATAGCGCTGCCATGAACATACATGTGCATGTGTCTTTATGATAGAATGATTCATATTCCTTTGGGTATATACCCAGTGATGGGATTGCTGGGTCAGATGGTATTTCTGGTTCTAGATCTTTGAGAAATCGCCACACTTTTCCACAGTGATTAAAGTAATTTACATTCCCACCAGTGGTGTAAAAGCGTTCCTATTTCTTCACAGCTTTGCCAGCGTCTATTGTTTCTTGACTTTTTAATAATTGCCATTCTAACTGGCATGAGATGGTATCTCATTGCGGTTTTAATTTGCATTTCTCTAATGAACAGGGATGTTGAGCTTCTTTTCATATGTTTGTTAGCTACGTAAATGTCTTCTTTGAAGAAGTGTCTGTACATGTCCTTTGCCCGCTTTTTGATGGGGTGGTTTTTTTCTTGTAAATGTGTTTAAGTTCCTTGTAGATTCTGGATATTAGACCTTTGTCAGATGAATAGATTGCAAAAATTTTCTCCCATTCCATAGGTTGTCTGTTCACTCTGATGATAGTTTCTTTTGTTGTGCCAAAGCTCTTTAGTTTAATTAGGTCCCATTTGTCAATTTTTGCTTTTGTTGCAATTGCTTTTGATGTTTTTGTCATGAAATACTTGCCCGTGCCTATGTCCTGAATAGTATTGCCTACATTTTCTTCCAAGGTTTTTATAGTTTGGGATTTACATTTAAGTCTTTAATCTATCTTGAGTTAATTTTTGTTTAAGATGTAAGGAAGGGGTCCAGTTTCTTTCTTTTTTTTTAGACGGAGTCCCCCTCTATCACCCAGGCTGGAGTGCAGCGGCGCGATCTTGGCTCACTGCAAACTCCGCCTCCCGGGTTCACGCCATTCTCCTGCCTCAGTCTCCTGAGTAGCTGAGACCACAGGAGCCCGCCACCGCACCTGGCTAATTTTTTGTGTTTTTAGTAGAGACGGGGTTTCACCGTGTTAGCCAGGATGGTCTCGATCTCCTGACCTCGTGATCCGCCCGCCTCGGCCTCCCAAAGTGCTGGGACTACAGGCGTGAGCCACCGTGCCCGGCCAGGAAGAGGTCCGGTTTCAATTTTCTACATATGGCTAGCCAGTTTTCCCAGCACCATTTATTAAATAAAGAATCCTTTCTCCATTGCTTGTTTTTGTCAGGTTTGTTGAAGATCAGACGTTTGTAAATGTGTGGTATTATTTCTGTTCCATTGGTCTATGTGTCAGTTTTGATACCAGTACCATGCTGTTTGGTTACTGTAGCCTTGTAGCAGAGTTTGAAATCAGATGGTGGGATGGCTTCAGCTTTGTTTTTTTTGCTTAGGATTGTCTTGGCTATATGGGCCCTTTTTTGGTTCCATATGAATTTTAAAGTAGTTTTTTGTAATTCTACGAAGAATGTCAATGGTAGTTTAAGGGAATAGCATTGAATCTGTAAATTACTTTGGGCAGTATGGCCATTTTCACAATATTTATTCTTCCTATCCATGAGCATGGAATGTTTTTCCATTTGTTTCTGTCCTCTTTTATTTCCTTGAGGAGTGATTTGTAGTTGTCCTCGAAGAGATCCTTCACATCCCTTGTAAGTTGTATTCCTAGGTATTTTATTCTCTTTGTAGCATTTGCGAATGTGAGTTCATTCATGATTTGGCTCTCTGTTTGTCTATTGTTGGTGTATAGGAATGCTTGAGATTTTTGCACATTGATTTTGTATCCTGAGACTTTGCTGAAGTTGCTTATCAGCTTAAGGAGCTTTAGGGCTGAGATGATGGGGTTTTCTAGATATAGGATCATGTTATCTGCAAACAGAGGCAGTTTGACTTCTTCTCTTCCTATTTAAATACGCTTTATTGCTTTCTCTTGCCTGCTTGCGCTGGCCAAAACTTCCAACACTATGTTGAATAGGAGTGGTGAGAGAGGGCATCCTTGTCTTGTGCCAGTTTTCAAGGGGAATGCTTCCAGCTTTTGCCCATTCAGTATGATATTGGCTGTGGGTTTGTCATAAATGGCTCTTGTTATTTTGAGATATGTCCCTTCCATACCTAGTTTATTGAGAGTTTTTTTAACATGAAGGAATGTTGAATTTTATTAAAGGCCTTTTCCGTGTCTATTGAGATAATCATATGGTTTGACATCTTCAGACGGCTGGAGGAAAAAAATCAACTCAGAATTCAGGTTAAAAACCTCCCAAAACCACAGCAAATAATAACTTTTTCAAACAAATGAAAGGTAAGAGAATTTACTGCCAGCAGACAGTGCTACAAGAATGGTTAAAGGCACTCATTAGGCAGAAACAATCTATAACAGAAACTTGGATCCTCAAAAAGAAATGGGAAAGTTGAAGATATGTATGTTTGTAAATGTATACAGACACACACACACACACACACACACAAAGGAAAATTATGTGAGGGTAAATAAAAAGACTCCTTTCTTAATGTTTAGTCATGCTATGAGATAGTTGACTGTCTAAAGGAAAAGTAGTAGCATTGTGTTGCTGGTTTATAGCATATGTAAAGGTAAAATTTTTGACAACAGCAGCACAAAAGATCAGAGAGAAACACTGGAAGTATATTGGTGTGAGACTCCTACCTTATATATAAAGCAGAATAAAATTATTCAAGGATAAACTACAAATAATGATGAAAGTATATCATAAATGCAATAGGAAAAAATCCATATTTAAAATTTAATTTAATTTAAAATTAAAATAGGAAATGTTTTCTATAGGAAAAAAATAAATGTTTAAGAAACATAAACAAGAGATCAATAGTTGAGGAAAAATAGAATGATAAAAATTATTTAATTAAAAAAACAGAAAAAGAGGGAAAGGGGAAAGATTAACAAACAGAACAAATAGAAGACAGCTAGCCAGATGTTAGATTTTAGTCTAAACATAGCAGTGACACAGATGTCAATGGTCTCAACATAACAAATCAAGACAGATCATGTCAACTCAAACAAAGCAAAGCCCAACTACACAGTTCACATGAAACCCATTTTAAAATAAAGAACTAGGTTAAGAGTAAAAGGATGAAAATATGTATATATGTCATTTAAATATATATAGCATATAAATGTAAAAAAATACACCATGTAAATGTTAATTAAAAGAAATATATATGCCAAGACCAGCTCTGTCATGGAGACCCTAACCCAGTGGCACTAGAGGAATTAAAGACACACATGCAGAAATATAGAGTTGTGGAGTGGGAAATCAGGGGTCTCACAGCCTTCAGAGCTGAGAGCCTTGAACAGAGATTTACCCACATATTTATTGACAGCAAGCCAGTCATAAGATTTACTAAAAGTATTCCTTACAGGAAATAAAGGGATGGGCTGAAATAAAGGGATGGGTCTGGCTAGTTATCTGCAGTAGGAGCATGTCCTTAAGGCACAGATCGCTCATGCTATTGTTTGTGGTTTAAGAACACCTTAAGCAGTTTTCCGCCCTGGGTGGGCCAGGTGTTCCTTGCCCTCATTCTGGTAAACCTGTTGTGGGCATCAAGGCCATCATAAGCATGTCACAGTGCTGCAGAGATTTTGTTTATGGCCAGTTTTGGGGCCAGTTTATGGACAGATTTGGGGGCCTGTTCCCAACATATATATAACCACTGGAGCATTCGATAATCTCCACCTTTCAAATAAATGAATTTGGCAGAAACAACCTTCTTCTGAGATATATATATGTCTCAGAATGTGTGTGTGTATATATATATAGCACATATATACATATATACATATATGTATATATAAGTGTGTGTATATATATATGTGTTTGTGTATATATATATATCTCAGACAAGGTAGACTTCAGAACTAAAATATTAATGAAGATGCAGAAGAGTATTAAATAATGATGTGTATGCACCTAACAACACATCTTCAAAACACATAAAGCAAAAACTAATAGAACTAAAAGGAGATATAAACAAATCCACAATTATAATGGAAATTTTAACACTTCTCTCTCAGTAAGTAATAGAACTAGTAGAAAGAAAATCAATAAGGATATAGAACTTAACAACACAATCAACAAACTTGACCTGACTTAAAAAGAATATACATTCTTTTTAAGTGCATATGGAGCATTCACCAAGAGAGATCATATTGTAGGCTATAAAACAAACTTCAACAAATTTAAAAGAATTAGAAACATACAAGGTATAGTCTCAGACCACGATGGAATTAAATCGGATTAAAAAAACAAAAACAGAAAAATTTCCTAATATCTTAAAATTAAATAACACAGTGCTGAGTAACCCATTAAAAAGTCACAATGGGAATTTAAAAATCATTTTCAGTGGAATTAAAATGAGAACACAACATATCGAAACTTGTGGGAGACACAGCTAAAGCAGTGCTTGTAGGAAAATTTATAGCATTATATGCTGATGTGAATTGAATAAGTTTTCAGTCAACTTAGTTAGCTAAAGTAATTAGTAATAATGCCGTTTTTATTTAGCACCTTCCGGTTTAGAGCACAGTTTTTTTCATACTTTGTTATTAGGTCTTTACACAGAGGTAATGAAGACGAGGGGAGCAATTGAATGACTAAATCTAAACCAGCTTTAGTGCTCTTTTGGGATGCCTTTTGAACCTTCTTTTTCTCAAATTTGATCCAGCAGCTTCCCAAAGTCCTTCATCACCCCACTCCCGTCCTACCACATGCTTATCCTGCTCTGTTCCCATGTCAAAACTTTATCACAGCTCAGATTGTCCCCACACCAGAAAGAAGCAGAGTTGGACATTCTATAATCTTCACCTTTCAAATACATGAAAGGTAGTTATTTGACACGAACAACCTCTTTTTCTGTTTCTGCCCAGTTTAGGTCTTATTTATGTTACCAATTTATTAAGTCAAACCAAGTTGAGAGCAAAGTCAATAATCACTTTCAAAAGAAGTTCCCACAGTAAGCAAAATAGAGATAATTGAAAAATCAAAAGGAAATGAAAATAGAAAGAGCTGTGAAACATTGGAAGAAGAGGGAGTTAGGTCAGAGACAGCAGCAGAACTATAACTTCAGATTGTTTGACTGGACCGGATAATTGTGTTCTGAGGTTATCTAAAGAAATTCCTCTGTGTTTAAAGGGGAAAAATACATTTTGTTTCCTTCTGGGACAAAGACGGAACTCAAGCAGGGTGAGTTGTCAACAAGAAGTCCTGTGATTTGGAAGCTGCATCAAAGGAACACAGACTTGTAAAGTTTGTAAAACAGATATTGGCAGTTAGAAGGTTTTGCTCTCAAAGTATTTCCTTTCCCTGGGTCAGTCCAGTCTATTTCTAAAAATACTGTGTGACAACTCTGGATGTAGACTAGATCTAAACTTAGTCTTGCCCAAAATGTAAAGAAAGTTTCTCCTGTGGTAAGAAGGGAATAAAGGCTTCCTAGGTAACAAACTTCTGACTTAAGCAGGTTTTGCTGAAAACTTAAGCAGGTTTTGCTGAAAAGGAAGCAGATTCCTCAGTGAAGATATTAGCATGTAAGTGAATCAGATGCTAATGCATATAATCACTGCTTGGTAGAAATAATCAAACCCCAAGACCACCCACATTTTTTTTCTGCCTTGGTGACTTGTCTGTGCAGTAAATAATTAGCTTCCTGATTTTTTAAAAAGGCTGACAATTAGATTCTGCAAATAGTATTTCCCCTTACCTTTTTTATTTACCCACTTAATTCTACCATTCAGTTGCACCAAGACTGCCTGTCCTGCCTCGGTCATTTTCTTTTGGTATATATAAAATAATATAGAATAATCCATTCTATTTTCATGCCACAGAAGTACAGAAAACCTCCCTGGTTCATAGACTTGCAGTCTGCAGTTTTGAGTGTGTGATGTCTTCCCCATTAACCATCCTGGACGATGCCTGCTCCTTGCAGCATGCTCTCTTTGATTTAGAGTCAATCATAAACAACAAAACTTAAACAGAATAAAATGTAGGGGAGGAAAGGCTTTCCTTCACTCTTCCTAGGGTCCCTTGGCTGGGTCTAAAAATCAAACTGACAAAGACAGATTGATAGGAGAAAAGCATGCTAATATATTTAATAAGTGTTGCATGACATGGGAGTCTTTATCAGGAAATGAAAGCCCAAAGAAATAAGTAACCCCATGTATTTTTATGCTAAGTTTGGTAAATAAGTAGATAATCGTGGAGAAGTAAGATTAGACAAAGGGAGAATGATCTCATGGCAATAAACTGGAGGGAACTGAGCAAGGCCTGTTTGTGCAGATTCTTCTGTGTCCCTGAGTCTTAGAGATAACGATGCTCCTGTCCTGTGGGTATAGGGTGGACACCTTTCACACGAGGGTCATAGGAGAGAAAGAGAAAGGGGTAGGAGAAGGTCAGAGAGACTTTCCTGCTTCTGTGCTTTTCTCAAATTCTTTCAGCTTAAAATATTAAGTATGCCAAGAGGCTATTATCTGGCCCTTGTTCTGAGCCCTGTCGAAAACAAATCTAAATTTTTAACAATGGAAAGATTGTTAAATGAGTTATGGTAAACAATCATTTTTCCTATAAGGAAAATCCTTAGTATAGTTAAATTAAAAGAGAAAAACCTACAGGATTCAAATTCAAATCGTGAATGCTACTATAACCACTGCGTGCTGCAAGTCATTATGCTAAGACACCAGGTTGCAGCAGAGAAGGAAGTTTAATCACAGGGCTGCTCAAACAGGAGATGGGAGGAAACCTCAAGTCCATCTTTTTGAGGAGTTTGGGGGCTAGGATTTTTAAGGGTTTTGGGAGATTGTTCCCACTCCATCCCGCTTCTGGCTCCCATCCATCTTCTGGAGCTACTTCCACCACTCAATAAAACCTTGCACTCATTCTCCAAGCCCCCGTGTGATCCGATTTTTCCAGTACACTAAGGCAAGAACCCCGGGAAACAGAAAGCCCTCTGTCCTAGAGATAAGGCAGAGGGTCTCATTGAGCTAATTAACATAAGCCACCTGCTGACGGCCAAGCTGAAAGAGCACCCTGTAACACTTGCCTACTGGGGCCTCGGGAGCTGTCAACACTCAACCCTAGATGCTACCATGGGGTCAGAGCCCACGCTCCCCATGACCTGCTCATCTGCATGCTCCCCCTAGGAATTTTAACTCTAGGGCACGAAAGAAGCAAGCCACACCCCATCACATGCCCTGCACGGAGGAAAAGGGAACTTTTCTAGTTTCACGAAGTAACTTTCAGCAACAAGGAAATGGATCAAAGTACAGCATGATTAATGCTTCATTATATTTCTGTCCAAATTCTTGGTAACCATGTAAGAATGGCTTCACTATGATTCCAATTAGAGAGTTGATAGATATCAGTAGAAATAAAAATATATACTGACGCATATATAAATGTACTTTAAAATGATATGTACCAAAATGTTTTCTCTACTTGGTTAATTACATGTAATTTTTTTCATATTTTCTGCAGGAAACATTCATTACTTTTATAATAAAGAAAAAGACACACTGTTTTTATAGAAAGAGGAAGATGAGAATGAAGTAGAAGTGCTTTGTCCCTAATGTAACCAGCAGAAATTAAAACAAAATATTACAAAACAAAACAAAATTAAAGTCATTTGGTCAAAAACCAAAACAGCAGAATTTATAAGATCAAATCCCTGTTAGTGCATTAATCCTTACAAACACTTATGTGGAATAATTGGGGTGTTCCTTCTTTGAACAACTTTCTACTCTACCCCCTACCAATAGTAGGAATCACATGTATATTTATCTCTTCATTAGCAGAAATGATCAGAATTTCTGACTTTTGAGTTTGAAACCTTTGGGGGATCATAGCCTGAAACGGCCATGGCAGTGAAGGGAGCTACATAACTAGCAAGGCCCCGTGCAAAATGAAAAGGCGGGGACCCTTACTCAAAAATTGTTAAGGATTTCAGGGTAGCTACAGCAGAGCATTAAACCAAGCTTGGGGTCCATGTGCATTACAGCAAACACATGGGGCCCCATGTGACTGAGCAGCGGCACGTCAATGAAGCCAGCCTTAGCAAAGAAGCCAGACAGACCTCAACTGGAATCTTTCTTGTTCTGACACCAGTTGCCTGAATTTCACAACTTACTTAACCTGTCAGTCCCTCAGTTTCCCTATCTGCAAAAATGGAGTGTAGGGGCCAAAGGAAAACTTCCCCTTCATCCTAAGGGTTACTGAAAAATCAGCTCAAAAAGGCAGGTTAATAGGAGAAAAGATATGCAAATTTACTAGCATGCATGGTGGGTGGATCGCTGAATGATTACCCCCACCATGGAATGGGGTACTGATGGTTATACACCCTTCTTTTTTTTTTTTTTTTTTTTTTTTGAGACAAAGTCTCACTCTGTCACCCAGACTGGAGTGCAGTGGCACAATCTCAACTCACTGCAACCTCTGCCTCCCAGGTTCAAGTGATTCTTGGGCCTCAGCCTCCCGAGTAGCTGGGATTACAGGTGTGCGCCACCATGTCTGGCAAATTTTTTTTTTTTTTTTTTTTGAGATGGAGTCTTGTTCTGTCGCCCAGGCTGGAGTGCAATGGTGCAATCTCGGCTCACTGCAACCTCCCCCTCCCAGGTTCAAGGAATTCTCCTGCCTCAGCCTCCCAAGTAACTGGGATTACAGGCATACACTGCCACGCCCAGCTAATTTTTTTGTATTTTAGTAGAGGCAGGATTTCACCATTTTGCCCAGGCTGGTCTTGAACTCCTGAGCTCAGGCAATCCACTCGCCTTAGCCTCCCAAGGTGCTAGGAGTACAGGTGTGAGCCACTGCACCCAGCCTTTTTGTATTTTTAATAGAGACAGTATTTCACCATGTTGGCCAGGCTGGTCTCAAACATCTGACCTCAGGTGATCCGCCCACCTCAGCCTCCCATAGTGCTGGGATTACAGGTGTGAGCCACTGAGCCAGGCCTCTATACCCTTCTTCTTAAGGAAAAGGGAAATGGGAAAGTGTGAATGATTTTAGGAGCATAGTAAATGATTTTTAGGGAAAAATGACTGGACTTGAAGAATATACAATGGCCTGGGACAAAGTCTGTTGGGCCCACAGAGCAGACAACAGCTGCTAAATGATTCTCTTTAAAATACCAAATGGGACCAAAACAGAAGGCAATGGTTGATGACAAGTTTGTCCTGGTGCATTGACAGACTTCAGTCTTTCTTCCTCCAATATGAGTTAAGTTAATGAAAACTCAGGGAAGGGATCAAGGTAATTGTTGGCTTCTTTGGCAGGTCTGGACTATAAGCAGATGAGACAACTTCATCCCTTACTTTGCGAGAGAGAGAGGATTGAAAGGTGGGTGAGGGATGGGTCAGAGAGACCTTGTGACTTCTTCAGTTCAGCATGTCAAAGCACCATATTTTGGGGTATCAGTTTCTGAGCCCCAACAGGAGGCACACTATAGGAGTCTTATACAAACAGAGTAAGAAGTATAAGAAAATTCCTCTTTTTCACTTGGCCCCTCTGAAGGTTTGTTGGAAGGTCAACTGACAAAGGCAGATTACTTTTTTTTTTTTTTCCTGAGACGGAGTTTCACTCCTTTTGCCCAGGCTGGAGTGCAATGGCACAATCTCGGCTCACCACAACCTCCGCCGCCTGGGTTCAAGCAATTCTCCAAGGCAGATTAATTTTTTAAAAGAAAAGGCATTCAGCTGGGCACAGTGGCTCACACTTCTAATCCCAACACTTTGGGAGGCTGAGGCGGGTGGATCACCTGAGGTCAGGAGTTCGAGACCAGCCTGGCCAACACGGGAAACCCCATCTCTTCTAAAAATACAAAAATTATCTGGGCGTGGTGGTGCATGCCTGTAATCCCAGCTACTCGGGAGGCTGAGGCAGGAGAATCACTTGAACCAGGGAGGCGGAGGTTGCAGTGAGCCAAGATTGCGCCATTGCACTCCAGCCTGGGCTACAAGAGCAAAACTTCATCTCAAAAAAAAAAAAAAAGGGCATTCAAATCTATTAACATGCATCGGGGAGAACAACAGGGTGATGAATTCCCCTCATGGGGCTCAGAAGCTTATATATCACCTTGAGGTTACAGAAAGAATGGTGGCTCACAGGATGAGCAAAAACAGCCTATAGTAGTAAATCGGGTTATCGCGGCAAGACAGGTTATGGGAGGGAGAGAAGAGGAGGCCTGGCTAGCAAAGGGGGTCTTGTTCTATAGATGAAACTTCCCAGGGAGCAGCCCGCAGAAAGAAGAGATGGTAAATGTTTCTTTTAGACCTTTAAAGGTATCAGACTCTGTTAATCTTTTCCTAGATCCAAACAAGGCCTCAGAGAAAGCCTGGCTGCATCAATGCAGATTCTCTACAGATGCAGATCTCTGCCCAACAGAGAGCTTTGCAGCTATTATCATGTTTCCAGCCCTTCCTGAATAGCCATTTTGAAATATGTCAAAGAACTATATTTTGGGGTGAAATATTTTTATTTTCTCCAACAGAAAATAAGAAAAACAAACATTCTAAAAGGTCCTGCTCATTTCTTTAATTTATATTTAACTTTATCATTAATAAAATGATAGCGTTATCATTAAGAAATGATTTATTAGTTATCACTGATAAAATTTCATTAAGACCCATAGTGTAGCACAGTGAAATAAAATTTAACATTAAATCATGGTTCCCCAGAAGCAAATTTTATAAAGGAAAGCACTGCAATATGTCTATTTTTAGGCATAAAGAACTCTGAATCTGTTGTTCCTTCCCTCACTTCATATTCTTGGTAAATAGGAACATAGCTCTTTCACTAGACGTCATCAAGCTAGATGTCAGACTCTGGGATGAAACCCAGAAATTTCACTGTTAACAAGCTAGTGATTCTTATCCATGTTAAAGTTAGACAGCCACACCCATATAACATCTATCTAATCATGTGGGAATAGATGAAAGATGAGTGATTTAGTAAGACCCCGAATGTATAAGGAAGAGCTTGCTTTCTGCTTCTTTTCTCTCTCCTTGACAAGGCAAGTCTATTGCTACTCCTAGGATGTAAGCAGGATTTTTCCCCCTTAACTCAAGCACCAGATCCTGAATCTGGAGAAAAGCAAACCTGAAGTGGTCACTGGGGTTGTATCTATGGGAAGAACTTACCCTCCACATACACACACTGATTTTCTTTTATATATATATATATATATATATTTAATTTCAATAGCTTTTGGTGTACACATGGTTTTTGGTCACATGAATGAACTGCATAGAGGTGAAGTCTGAGATTGTGGTGCACCTGTCACCCAAGCAGTGTACGCTGTACCCAACAGGTAGTTTTTTATCTCTTACCTTCTCCCACCCTCCCCACTTCTGAGTCTCCAGTGCCCATTATGCCACTCGCTATGCCTTTGTGTACCCATAGCTTAGCTCCTACTTATAAGTGAGAATACAGGGTATTTGGTTTTCCATTCCTGAGTTACTTTGCTTAGAATAATAGCCTCCAACTCCATCCAAATTGCTGAAAAAGATATTATTTTATTCTTTGTATGCTGACTAGTATTCCATGGTGTGTGTGTGTGTGTGTGTGTGTGTGTGTGTGTGTGTGTGTGTGTGTGACATTTTCTTTATCTACTCATTGGCTGATGGGCACTTTGCAATGGTGAATTGCTCACATTGCTTTTCTGTCTCTCCTTGTCCCCAGCTCTCCACAAGCCAATGGATGCTGAGTGGACAGCATATGCCTAATGAGGCCAGCAGCTTAGGCCTGCCCCATCTATGCTGGGCTATCCTTAAATTTATGTGGGAAGTCCGTGCTCTGATCACCCACCACCAGCGTGGGCTGGACTTCAGGTGTCTTCTGCCAATGATAATGGTTTTTTCTTCATCAAACCACACTTCTTCATCTAAGGGTTATGAACAAGAGTATCTATTTGTAAAACAGTCAAAGTTTGGGAATGTAAACTGTGGCCATAAAATAGAAAAAAAAATGCTAACTAGTCCATAATGGGGACTGAATCTGTGGTCTTTTTATCATTATCACAGGGCTATAAGCCTGAGATTGGCAAACCATGTTTCACTTAAGAATCCTCAAGTTTCAAGGAAACATGGACTCATTGATATATCCATTCATACCTCCCGTCTTCCTCCCTTGAAACCTGCATTCTCCCACCCAAGAAACATGATTGAATACCAGGTTTCCAGATCGTGTAAAGTTACTTCAGAGTAAGTTAGATAGATGACCAGTGTTTTGTAAAACTGTAGCACTCACACTGATATATGAGTTTATGGAACCTCTTTGTTCATTTTTTATCTAAACAATGGAGGTTTTGAGGATTTAATTTTGTCTGATGTGTGAAGTGTCTAGTGCCTAATTTCACATTGATTCTTTCAGCTGCTCTGCACTTTGTTAGCACTCATTTCAAGAGTAACCATGGAGAGCTATTAAAAACGTCCATTCCTAGGTCCCTCGCCGGAGATTCTCTGTGTGCTTTATGGTCATTTGTCTTACACTTGGCCATCTATTCGGTGATTTCTATTTAAATATAAATGTGTGTAACTTCCAAAAGCTTGAAAATGTGTCAAGGGTTTTCTGAGTCACATTGGCTGTTCCAATGTGGTCCTGCCTGTCTCAGTTATTGATTGTAGGTGCTTAAGTCTCTCAATATTTTAGTGTTACTGTTATCAGTTGTACAGAATAATCTTTCTAGAAGGATATGTATGAAGATAGTAAAGATTCGATCCCATTGTAACTCTGCTAAAACTCTAAAGCTTTAGTAACTTATTTCCCTGAGAAGAGGTCCCCTTTACCCATGGAGTATCTGTCGTTTACAATGAATAGAAAAAAACTCTTAACCTTGTAAACCCCATGACATTTTCCACAGCAGTCAGACTGGTCCCCATTGTCTAGGCCATATTCCACCAGAGGCTTCAGCATTCTGCCTATTTACACAGCCTGTTTAAATTCCTATGAAGCAAACTGGCACTTTCTATGGTTCAGAGCTCTTGAGTACCGAGTGCCTTCCTTCACAGAATGCTTAAATGACATGCAAAGATTTCCTAATAGTTTGTTTAAATTTACATAGGGATTTGGGGCCTGTATACTCCTGTCTTAATCCATCTGGTGTTGCTATAAAGGAATCCCTGAGGCTAGGTAATTTATTTTTAAAACAGTTTATTTTACCCATAATTCTAATATCTGGGAAAGTTCAAGATTGGGCATCTGCATCTGGTGATGGCCACAGGCTGCTTCTGCTTGTGGCAGAGGGGGAGAGAAGCCAGTAATATGCAGAGATCACACAGCAAGAGAGGAAGCAGGGTGGGTCAGGCGGGCAGGAGGATCTTTTAACAATCAACTCTTATAGGAACTAATAGAGTGAGAAGTCACTCACAGCTCCCCACCCCTGCCCTCCGCCACAAGGAGGGCATTAATCTATTCATGTGGTTCCACCCCCATGGCCCAGACACCTTCCACTGAGCACCACCTCTGACACTGGGGACCAAATTTCAGTAGGAGGTTTGGTGGGGACAAACAAACCATATCCAAACAATAGCAACTCCTAAATGGCTGTTTCTCCTAGTATCACTTCAAGATTTAGGAAGTTAAACATGAAAGTGAAAATTGATTTCAAGTATGGCTCTTCTCTACTTAGAGTTAACACCTTTTAAATTGGTGTCACCAAAAAAATCACTGGGTATTTTACTTGTTTGTTGAATCTCCTTTCCTTAATGTATTTATATTAACTATGCATTTAGATGATAAAATACTGAAAGGACAAGATCTGATTGTTTAACCATGACCCTTTGGGTAGCATAGAGTGAAGGTCATTCATTTATAAATTAACTCGACTGATGCACACTGGAACCCTTCTCTGAGCAGAACAGGTCCCTGCTCTAGTAGAGCTCAGCCTTGCGAAGTAACAAACATTGAGCCAACAAGTACTTAACATATAATAACAAATGGTGATAAATACTATAAAGAGGCCAGGCACCGTGGTTTACGCCTGTAATCCCAGCAACTTTGGGAGGCCGAGGCAGGTGGATCACTTGAGGTCAGGAGTTCAAAACCAGCCTGGCCAACATGGTGAAACTCTGTCTCTACTAAAAATATAAAAATTAGCCAGGTGTGGTGGTATGCACCTGTAATCCCAGCTACTCGGGAGGTTGAGGCAGGGGAATCGCTTGAACCCTGGAGGTGGAGGTTGCAGTGAGCCGAGATCACGCCACTGCACTCCAGTCTGGGCAACAGAGCAAGATGCTGCCTCAAGAAAAATAATAATAATAATACTATAAAGAAAGAAAACAGAGTGTTGTGAGAAAAATGGGAAAACAGTTTATATAATGATGAGATTAAAGTATTTAAATCAAAGCACTAGACCCTAGGCTTTAGTAATGATCCTAAATGCTAGTTTGCCTCCAAATATAGGATGCAAACCCTTTATTTTCCAAAATGTAATTCTTTTGCATTAGGGATTTTCATTTATTTTTCTCTACTTTGCTTATCAATATCTAATTTTAGTCAATTCCATACATAAAAATATAGTTCCTGTACTTAAAAGGTGTGGATTAGGTTTTGAATGCCTTGGTAGAAGAAGCTTTTATTCTACCTGTGTTTAACTCAGTTCTAGCAAGTTTATGCCAGATTTAATCAAATGTACTTGCTACAATAAGCTCTTTCCATGGCATATAATTTTTTTAAATAAAATATATGGTGTGTTTTTAAGGAGAAAAGAAAAACAGCACATTGGGAGGAAACTAAACTGAGCTGAGAACCAATAAATGAAGTTTCAGCTCTCTCTTCTGCATTTCCAAACTGTGTGGCCTCACTTCAATGAGTTGTATACTTATTTTTGAGGAAATGCAATAGGCATTGGCAGACAGAGAGCGAGAAAGGGAGAGGGAGAGGGAGAGCGACCAAGAGTTAACTGCAAAAGAGCCCTAGAGCTATAGCGGATCCAGGACTGACAATAAGCTCCATGATTCAATTTCAGACAACAGATTCTGATAAAACAACAACAACAACTTTAGATTCTTCTTTAAATAATCAGCATTTCTCTTGTAAAGCAATAAACTCATGTCGTATTTAAATACAAGTGAACAAAGAACAACTCTATAACGAGAAACAGTGCTTGCCTTGTTGGAAAGAAATACCAAAGTTGAATGTATTGTTGTCTCACTTATTGTTATTATTAATACTTACGCTCTAGATAATTAAATAGCATTCTCTGCCTGTTGTTGTTTTCTAGCCTAATAATGCCAGACAAAACCAGCTGTCTCTAAGTTTTGTTCAATGAGGTCTTGTCACTAAATGTTGACCATCCATATTTTAGGCACAGTGCACCTGTGACTTAAATAATCAAACTAATTGGGACCCAACCACATTTTTCCTATGTAAATGTAGCTGTAGGGAAATATGGGTGCTTTCAAATGGGGTACAGTAGCTAAAATATTCTCTAGTTATTGGATATACCATTTATTTCTCTTCCAGTTGGTTGCATGATTTTTTAAAATTTTGTTGGGTCTAAGAAAAGAAAGAGAAAGTGTTATATTTGCTTTCTCCCTATTTCTTTTTACACTGTAGAGAAAGGTTGACCCAGTCACAACTCAGAAGAATAGAACTAGCTATCGTATTAAAGTGTTTGAAGATTTCTTGCTGTTACTCACCAGCACAAGATAGCATTGAAATAAGAATGCATATCTGGAGAAACTGTTGCCACTGATTTCTTAAAAAATGTAATGATGCTAAAAAAGCATTTTAATGTCAAGTGGCTGCCCCCATGAAGTAAACAAGAGGAAAATCCTATTGGTGAATTTCAGTGGTTCTAAAGTAGAAAAGGCATAAGTCATTTTACTGTCAAGAAAACTAATGAGACAAAAGCTTTGACCTTCAAAAGTTTAGATTAATGGAAAAAGGAAAGTGTTGCAAGCAAGAAACAAAGTTTCTTTACTAGAATCTGGAAGTTTTAATATTCTGATTTGTCCTGTGTGTGTTAGGCATGGTGATTCATCCATTTCTTCAGTAAACACTTTCTGAGTGCTGACTGTATTCCAGTATGAGATGTATTCATTCTCCAGTGAAAACTTACATTTACATTTTTGGGACAAGAAAGAACAAGTTTGAGATTACAATCGGTCTTTATCTGAGGTCTTCAGAAAACTGCATGTTGTGTTTGTTCATTTAGGAGTTTACGGTATTGGTTAAACTGTATGATCGTAGATGAGCTATGATTTGACACCATAAATAAAATGTTAACAACAACAAAAACAGCAACAAAAACTCATTGGACCTGGGTAGAAAAGGCAGTTGGCATGATGACATAAGTGGCTGAACGATTTTTAAATTCTTTATATTAACATTGTTAAGCTTTTGGCAATTGATTTGCCTTCCAAATTTAAGATTAACATTAAAATGAGTTTCTAGGGGTCATGCTGAAATTACAGAAAATCTAGAAATATAAAACAATTATTTCTGCAATAATAGATTCTCCCTCCCTCATTTCCTTCTAAAAATTTTCATTTTTATGAAAATTTAAGTGAGAGAACCTTGCTGCACTCCTTCAAGCCCTTAGATGATGTATAATCAAAATAGTGTGTCTAGCTAGAGTATGAGAGGTAGAACCTAAGAAATAATATATCCATCCAATAATCTATGCCAAAAAAATTTACTGATGCACAAAGACATGAATATACTTACCCAAGTTTAGGTAGTTAGTAGAACTAAGTCTAGAATCCATTTATATCGCCTCCTAGTTTATTGGTCTTTATTCTACATAAAACATTTTCATCTACTGTATGCATATGTCTTGAGTATGTCAAGCTTTATAAAGTATTGTGGAGAAAGATGAATTTCACTTATTTTCTTCAAAACCATCTATCCCTATGAATAAGGTTATCTGCTCATATATAGGCTATGAAGAATGTTCTCCA
The DNA here is from genome assembly GCF_000001405.40 of Homo sapiens. Lineage (NCBI taxonomy): Eukaryota > Metazoa > Chordata > Mammalia > Primates > Hominidae > Homo > Homo sapiens. The sequence continues at coordinate 4,073,979 of NC_000018.10, read as the reverse complement.
ATGTCTTCATCTTCACTTCATGCTTTTTGTTGAAAATATTGACCTTGTTTCATTCCTTTTATTTTCATTTTATCTATTTTAAAAAGTCTTAATTGGTTGTTTGTGGTATTTAAATTATCAGAGTTTAAATAGTTAGCTAAACAAAGCTTTACTATGAATAATCTGACTTTCATTGACTCATTTGACTAAGGATCTCCAAAATAGGGTGATGATATCTAAATATCTTCTCCTATCAGTGTCAAATTTTTTTCTATTTCTTATTGAGCAGCTAATTTATTTTTTAAAAAACATTCATTGGAAATTAATCAAGTTTCTATCCACTTAGTTTTTTGTAGGTAAAGAACCTCTGCTTATTTATTTCTGCCTAACATTAAAATAAGGTCACTTTGATTTATGCATTAAACCACTTTTATCAGAACTCTTAGATATGCTTCTACCTCTTTTTTCCCCCTTCATTATCCTCCGATAGCACTGCCTGAAGGTGACTTCCCTGATTTGAAAATGTAAAGCCAGAAGATTAAAATGAATTCATGTACTCTCTGGAAGAACGTGCTGTTGATAGAGCATTTTAATATCTTAGTTCTCTTCTTACTAAAGTGTGAACTCCTAATTCCATTTTCCTCTTAGATAAACAGCTGTGTGTGCTAGGGCTTGCGTAGATTTTTACCTTAGAGTCTATTTTGCATGAGAAACTGGGATTTACGAAGCCCTGCTCTTTTTCAAAAAATTGGTTATGAGTTAAGAGCCTGGTTACTCAGACTTCTACAGGTAACAGCACAGATGTAAGGGAGGAAGCCTAGTAAGCAGGCTGATGTCATCCCGTTTTTCTAAGCTCTTTTCTTTCCACAGTTTATACTTCTCCTCTTTCCCATCCCATCTTAATCTCCTTGGTGTGTGTCCATGATTATGTGCCACTGTTTCAGTTGAGGAAACTAAGAGTCAGGGAAGATGAGCTTGCATGCAGTCACACTGTTTGTAATGGGGAGTCCAGATTCTAAATCCAAGTAGACTTACTCTGAAGTCCACGTTCTTACTCCAACATTACTAACTCCGGGACCCTATGCAACTTACTTAAATTATCTTGCCTTTGTCTCTTTATCTGTCAAATCAAGGTGTAATAATAATACCTTCTTCATGAGGCTGTTGAGATAGTTGAGTTAATACTTATCTATAACTCATAACATTAAAAGTGGTTACAAAAGATAATGAAGGTCTGGCTTGGTGGCTCACACCTGTAATCCCAGCACTTTGGGAGGCCGAGGTGGGTGGATCACTTGAGGTCAGGAGTTCAAGACCAGCGTGGCCAACATGGCAAAACCCTGGCTCTACTAAAAATACAAAAATTAGCTGCGTGCAGTGGCATGCAGCCATAATTCCAGCTACTCTGGAGGCTGAGGCAGAAGAATCACTTGAAACCCGGAGGTGGAGGTTGCAGTGAGCCAAGATTGCACCACTGCACTCCAGCCTGGGCAACAGAGATGACTCCGTCTCAAAAAAAAAAAAAAGATAATGATGTTGAAAATGATGATGATGTTGATCATGATGATGATGATGATAATGAAAATGATGATGCTGATGAAAATGAAGATGAAAGACTGATTTCTAATAGGACTGATACATTGACTATTTAGGACACATCACATCTAAGAGAAGCCAATCTCAATCTATGAAAAAAAAAAAAGTTTCATCATTACCAGTGAAGTCAGATTTCAACTAAAAATGCAGCGAAGGTCTTTTTTTGTGCCCCTAAATTATCTGGGCTCCTTAAAGTAATTCTTCTAAGAGAAAGTCTTCAGAAAAACATAGACTCCAAGTTTTTGCTTTATACTGCTTAACATCTACACAGAACCGATGCTACCTGTTTAATATTCACCATTAGCAGTACTGCGGCCTCCAACACAGACACACACAGCATATGTCCTCAGCCTCTACAAGGCAGCCACAGGAACCAAGAGATAATTAAAATTTAGACACACATATATGAGCACATTCATTATATTCTGTATTTTAAAAGTACTTTTCAGTGGGGAAAGTGACCATAAGTCTAACTGAAACTCCTCTCTTGAAGTACAGCTCTGAGGGGGCTGCAATATACTTAGGAACAATGGGAACTTTGAATTAACAAAGTTGAAATTCTCTCTGTAATGATGAATGGGTATTTGAACAGAGTTAGAAAATCATAATGACAGGCTGCAAGTAAGAAGGCTCTCATTGTCTCTTCCACCTCTCCTTCGAGACAATTCAGACAACCAGACCCATCCTTTTGGACCTATTACAATGTCAGAGACAAACTTTTCTTGCAGTAAGGGATTTCAGAATAGTGTCATTATCGTACATTGTGAAAGAGTAAGCACTAATATAATGGGACTATTATTAGAGGTAATTCTACCTTAGAATGCGGTGATGGCTGTGTAGTTTTCCTGAGACGACGCTGACAAATGTTTCTTGGGAACTGTGGGAGAGGGCACTGCCCTGGGAAGTCGGAGATTTGGTTAGTTGTGCTTGAAATCATTAAAGGAAATTATAAAGCATTTTGAATAGCAAATCGATCACCGAGCAGAACTTAAGATAATTACATTTATCATTTTGATGTGCATATTATTATTTCCTATGAAAAGTTGGTTATATTAATATTTAATTTTCCCAAAGAAAGATTCCAATCCAGACCACAGATTTCTCAATAATTTGGGTTTTTCAATAAATATTTTAGTTAAATATTTGAATACACACACACACACACATGTATATCTTTATATAAAGTTTTAGCTTTTAAATTTATATTTTCCCATTTCTAAAAATCAATTCTAAGGAAATAAGTCAAATATTTATTTCATAGTTATAGAATTATATATAATAGTGAACATGTAAATATCTTGAATAGACAAAAATAATTATTTACTCTGTCTCCTACATTTGCTTAGATTATCTCTGATTGAAAAATCACATTTCTCATAAGTTACTAGGGGCTCCAAAGAAGCAAATCTCAGTTGAGTAGAGATGAAAATAAAGGTTGCCTTAAGACAGCACCAGCTTTTGAGATGGGGCCAGTTTCTGATGATTCTTATGTCCACTAAAATCTGAGAAATAATGAATTAATACTCACTTTTTTATTTTTTAATAGAATATGATAGATTTCTGAGAGGCATGTATTAAATTCTCTCAACACGACTTTTAACTTCTTATACGTATTGTTTTTACTTCATATAATTAAAGAGCTCTTTCTTGTTTACGTTTATGATTATTATATCTTTGTGGATCCAACCTTTTTATCCATATGGAAATGCTTCTTTTAGCCCTGTTTAAGGCTCCTTGCCATGAATTCTATTTTATCTTATATTAATACATAATTAATTAATAAAATAAAGAGAGTTGCTTTTCTGACTGCTGTTTCTCTTAGCATAGATCTTGGAAAATGAAGAACTGTTTTATAGTTATCATATATGGGAAAACCTTATGCAAAAAAAATATACTTTTATAAGTAACTTTTATATAACTTCTTTTTACTTGAATTTTCCAAAACCGATATTCTCTTTTCAGATGTTGATTAATCAGTGTGAGTTTCCGTGGTGTAATAGTGAGCACTCTGGACTCTGAATCCAGAGGTTGATTAATCATAAAAAAAAGATTTCTGTGGAGGTACCAAAAAACTCTAGTATTTAGCTGTTGTGAAAAAAGTTGGGTAGAAAATGCAGAATTAGGCCAGATGCGGTGACTCATGCTTGTAATCCCAGCACTTTGGGAGGCTGAGGTGGGCAGATGACCTGAGGTCAAGAGTTCAGGACCAACGTAGCCAACATGATGAAACCCTATCTCTACTAAAAATACAAAAATTAGCCAGGCGTAATGGCAGGTACCTGTAATCCCTGCTACGCAGGAGGCCAAGGCAAGAGAATTGCTTGAACCCAGGAGGTGGAGGTTTCAGTGAGATGAGATCATACCACTGCACTCCAGCCTAGACGACAGAGCAAGACCCTGTCTCAAAAAAAAAAAAGAAAGAAAGAAAAAGAAAATATGGATTAAGCCTTTGTCTGTTGTCTCAGTTTGAATTAAAAGTAGTGAAGATAACTATTCTAAAATGTGAGAACTAGAAATTTTGATTTGCATTAAACATGCTAACATAGTCACAGATTAGGGCACCTCATGAGAAACAAATGAAGAGATAAATTGGCCAGTGTATTAGTCCGTTGTCACATTGCTGTGAAGAAATACCTGAGACTGGGTAATTTATTTTAAAAAGAGGTTTAATTGGCTCACGTTCTGCAAACGGTATGGGAAGCGTGATGCTGGCATCTGCTCAGCTTCTGGGGAAGCCTCAGGAAACTTACAATCATGGCAGAAGGTGAAGAGGCAGTGGGCATGTCACATGGCCAGAGCAAGAGCAAGCGAGAGCATGGGGGAGGTGCCACACACTTTTAAAACGCAGATTTCACGAAAAGTCATCCACTGTCTCGAGGACAATACCAAGGGGGATGGTGCCAAACCATTCATTAGAAACCTGCCTCCATGATCTAATCACCTCCCACCAGGCCCCACCTTCAACATCGGGGATTACAATTTGACATGAGATTTTGTGACGACACATCCAAACCGTATCAGTCAGTATGACTTGCACTTTACAACAAAGAATCATCAATCCCCAAGGCATGATTTTCAATGTAATTTACAATGATATGTGAGGGACCCCAATTCTCATCCTTACTCTCATTCACTTAATCAAGAAATACTTATTAAGTACTGACTATGAACCAAGTGCTTTGAATACTTTATATCACTGAGAATTTCAAGGAAAAAATGCCTTTGCTGTGGAAGAACTTACACTTTAGTAGGATAAAAATAATTACCATTTCTTAAGCACAGTCATGATTGTGCTGCATGCCAGGTAATATCTATCTATATACTCTCAGAGCAATCATAAAATGTAAATAGCTCTAACCCCAAAAGGACATTGAAACTGAGAAGGCTAAGTAACTCAATGAAGGCCATGTAGCAAAATACTAAAGTAAGCCTATCTGACTCCAGAACTCCTAGCCTTGCCACTAAGCAGCACTTCTTCCACATTAAGCTCTACTAATAATCAGAGAGACAACAAGCCTGCAAGTCACTTAATTTCTGTTGTCTCTGTTTCCTCACCTGTACGCGTGGACATCGGATTGGATGTTTTCTAAGGTGCTCCCCAGTTCCTGGCTTTTACACATTTGACATGTTCACTGTAGTTTTACCAACACACAGCAGATGGCAGTACAGAGCAAGAACCGGCTAACCTAGCTGCTTCTCTTCAGGTCCCTATGATTCCAAAAATAATGATTTCTCTTCATTTCTATTATTTATTAGGTATTACATAGTCACTACAAATGTAAAAACATTTTTATACAATAATGTATACTATAAAGCATATTTTATGCGTTAAAAATGCATAGTTATGCATCATGTTTATTAATATCCAAAAATAATCTAAACATCTAAATCAGTTCATGATATTGTTGGTATATTAAATATCACAAAATCAGAAGACTAAAGTTATGGTTTCCAAATGTAAATATATGGAAAAATATATGACATTAATATATAGTATATATCATTATATATAATATGCATAAATATGCCTACGTACATAAACATATGTAACATTATAATATAGTTTAAAATTTATGCCAAAACACAAAGTGTATTATTTATTCATTCATTCAATATTTATTGAGCAACTACTGAGTAAGTCACTATTACAAGCCTAGAGATACAGTAGTAAAGAACTAATCCTCCCCTCATCAAGCCCATATTGCATTGAGGAGGCAATGATTGAATAAAAAGAGAGAAGATTAGTGTGTATATAGTATGCCATATGGTAATAAATGCAAAGGAGAAACAAAACAGAGAAAAGGAATATGTCTAAATGAGAAGGAGGGTGTGCTTTGATCATTTTATATATATAAGTGTAATACATATTATGTACACTATGTGTGTCAATGGAAACAGTCAAACTCTGTAAAATATTTGAGGTTGATTCTGGCCAAATATGAGTGACCAGGGCCCAAGGCACAGTCTCAAGAGGTCCTAAGACCATACAACCAAGGTGGTTGGTCTACAGTTTGGTTTTATATGTTGTAGTAAGACATAAGTCAATACATGTAAGGTGTACATTGATTCGGTCAGGAAAGGGGGGACAACTAGAAGTGAAGGGAGGAGGTTCTAGGTCATAAGTGGATTCAAAGATTTTCTAATTGGCAATTGCTTGAAGGGGTTAAGTTATTAATATTATCTAAAGACCTGGAATCAATAGAAGAGAGTGTCTGGGTTAAGATAAGGGGTTGTGTTATGCAGGTGAAGCCTCCAGGTAGCAGGTTTCAGAGAGAATAGGTCATAAAAGTTTCTTATCAGACTTAAAAAAAAAAAATGCCAAACTCTCAGTTAATTCTCTCCTGGGTTATGTTAGTATCTTATTGCTACAAAGAGTCTGCTTTGGCAGTCTCAAGATGTCTGTTTTAATGTTAACGCTGGTCAACTGTGCCTGAATTCCAAAGGGAGAAGTATATAATGAGGTATGTCCAACCCCTAACTCCCACTTCCCATTGTGGCTTTAACTACTTTTCCTTCCTTCCTTCCTTCCTTCCTCCCTCCCTCCTTTCCTCCCTTCCTTTCTTTCTTTTTTACTTTTATTTAAGTTCAGGGGTACAAGTGCCCATTTGTTACACAGGTAAATTTGTGTCATGGGTGTCTGTTGTATGGATTATTTCATCACTCAGGTATTAAGCCCCGTACACATTAGTTGTTTTTCTTGATCCTCTTCCTCCTCCCAACCTCCACCTTCAGGTAAGGCCCAGTGTCTGTTGTTCCCCACTATGTGTCCATGTGTTCTCATCATTTAGCTCCCACTTATAAGTGAGAGCATGTGGTATTTGGTTTTCTCTTCCTATGTTAATTTGCTAAGGATAATGGCACCCTGCTCCGTCCACGTCCCTGCAAAGGACATGATCTCATTCTTTTGTATGGCTGCATAGTATTCCATGGTGTATATGTACCACATTTTCTTTATCCAGTCTATCATTGATGAGCATTTAGATTGATTGCATGTCTTTGCTATTGTGAATAGTGCTGCAATGAACATTCACATGCATGTGTTTTTCTGGTAGAATGATTTATATTCCTTTAAGTATATACCCAGTAATGGAATTGCTTGGTTGAATGGCATTTCTGTCCTTAGGTCATTGAGGAATTACCACACTGTCCTCCACAATGGCTACATTAATTTACACCCCCCCAACAGTGTAAAAGTCTTCCTTTTTCTCCACAATCTTGCCAGCATCTGTTATTTTTTGACTTTTTAATAATAACCATCCTGACTGGTGTGAGATGGTATCTCACGGTTCTGATTTGATTCACATTTCTCTAATAATCAGTAATGTTGAGGTATTTTTCATATGCTTGTTGGCTCCATATATGTCTTCTTTTGAAAAGTGTCTAATCATGTCTTTTGCCCACTTTTTAATGGGGTTGTTTTTTTCTTGTAAATTTGTTTAAGTTCTTTGTAGATGCTGGATATTAGACCTTGTCAGATGCATAGATTGCGAAACTTTTCCCTATTTTGTAGGTTGTCTGTTTACTCTGTTGATAGTTTTATTTTTTCATTTTTATTTTTTTGCTGTACAGAAGCTCTCTAGTTTAATTAGAACATATTTGTCTACTTTTGCTTTTGTTGCAATTGCTTTTGGCATCTTCATCATGAAATCTTTGACTGTGCCTATGTCCTGAATGGTATTGCCTAGGTTGTCTTCCAGGGTTTTTATGATCTTGGATTTTACATTTAAATCCTTAATCCATCTTGAGTTGATTTTTGTGTATAGTGTAAGGAAGAGGTTCAGTTTTAGTCTTCTGCATATGGCTAGCCAGTTATCCCAACACCATTTAAGAGTATCCTTTCCCCATTGCCTGTTTTTATCAGGTTTGTAGAAGATCAGATACTTGTAGGTGTGTGGTCATATTTCTGACTTCTCTATGCTGTTCCCTTGGTCTATGTGTCTGTTTTGTACTAGCACCATGCTGTTTTGATTACTGTAGCTTTGTAGTATAGTTTGAAGTTGGGGAGCTTGATGCCTTCAGCTTTGTTCTTTTTGCTTAGGATTGGCTGGCTGTTCAAGCCCTTTTTTTGTTCCATGTGAATTTAATTTTTTTTTCTAGTTCTGCAAAGAATGTCAGTGGTAGTTTAATGGGGATAGCATTGAATTTATAAATTGCTTTGGAGAGTATGACCATTTTAATGACATTGATTTTTCCTATCCATGAGCATGGAATGTTTTTTCATTTGTTTGTGTCATCTCTGATTTATTTGAGCAGTGCTTTGTAGTTTTGCTTATATAAATCTTTCACCTCCCTAGTTAGCTGTATTCCCAAGTATTTTATTTTTTTGTGGCTACTGTGAATGGGAATTCATTCCTGATTTGGCTCTCAGCTTGGCTGTTGTTGGTGTATAGAAATGCTAGTGATTTTTGCACATTAATTTTGTATCCTGAAATTTTGCTGAAGTTGTTTAGCAGCTTAAGAGGCTTTTGGGCTGAGACTATGGGGTTTTCTAGAAATAGGATCATGTCATCTGCAAGCAGGGATAGTTTGACTTCTTCTCTTACTATTTAAATGCCCTTTATTTCTCTCTCTTGCCTGATTTCCCTGGCCAGAACACTACGTTGAATAGGAGTGATGAGAGAGGGCATCCTTGTCTTGTGCCGGTTTTCAAGGGAAATGCTTCTAGATTTTGCCCATTCAGTATAATGTTAACTATGAGTTTATTATATATGTTGCTTATTATGTTGAGGTATTCCTTCAGTACCTAGTTTATTGAGATTTTTTTTAACATGAATGGATGTTGAATTTTATCAAAAGACGTTTCTGCATCTATTGAGATAATCATGTGGTTTTTGTCTTTAGTTCTGTTTATATGATGAACCACATTTATTGATTTGCATATGTTAAGCCAGCCTTGCATCATGGGGATGAAGCCTACTTGATTGTGGTGGATAACCTTTTTGATGTGCTTCTAGATTTGATTTTTCAGTATTTTGTTGAGGATTTTTGCATCAATGTTCTTCAAGGATATTTTCCTGAAGTTTTCTTTTTTTGTTGTATCTTTGCCAGGTTTTGGTATCAGGGTGATGCCTACTTCAGGGAGGATCCCTCCTTATTAATTTTTTGGAACAGTTTTAGTAGGAATATACTGGCTCTTCTTTGTACATCTGTTAGAATTCATCTGTGAATCCATCCAGTCCTGGGCTTTTTTTTATTGGTAGGCTATTTATTACTACTTCAGTCAGAACTGATTATGAGTCTGTTCAGGGATTCGGTTTCTTCCTGGTTCAGTCTAGGGAGGGTGTCTGTGTCCATGAATTTATCCATTTCTTCTAGATTTTCTAAGTTATGTGCATAAAGGTGTTCATAATAGTCTCTGATGGCTGTTTCTATTTCTGTGGGGTCAGTGGTGATGTCCCCCTTATCATTTCTGATTGTGTTCATTTGAATCATCTCTCTTTTTTTCTTTGTTGGTCTCGCTAGCAGTCTATTGTATTAATTTTTTCAAGAAAAATCTCGTGGATTCATTGATCTTTTGAATGGTTTTTCATGTGTCTCTATCTCTTTCACTGAACTAGTTTTTCAAATTAACTTTGGAATGTCCTTGGCTGAGAAGAGGGGTCCCTTCAGTTGGTTGAGGGGCTTAGAATTTTATTTTTGATCTACATATATATATAGTTTTGTGATAAGAACTGATTGGAGGGTGTAAAAGATATATGAGATACTGTCCTTCTAATTTAAATGAGAATTCATTAGTGGAAAAAAAAAGACAAAACCTAAGTAGTAGATTATATGGTACAGATGATTTCTCTAGAATATCAGATCAATGACAACAAAGCTTTTGACTGATGATGCCAGATGCTAAAAGACTGAGTAAGTTTTAGATCCAGGAGGACATGCCAGGTGGGTGAAACTACATTAGGAAACACTTGGATTTGAGAATGAATTGTGGGGGCCATAGGCTCTCAGCCCCTTAAAGATTCACTAAAAATTGCTGACATGAGGTGGATTGATTAATAGAAAAATGGGCTACAAATTTATTTAATATGCATACATGGGAGCCTTCAGAATGAAGACCCAACTACCTAATGAGTTACAGAAACCACCCTGAGACCATGTAAAGAATGCAGCCTCAGAGCCTGGCCAGAAACAGGTAAATCAGCTTTAGTGGCAACAGGTTAAGAGAGAAAGGAAGGAAGAAGCTTGGGTAGCAAGGTGGCCTTGTTATGTAGATGAAGGCTCCCTTAGTGAGAATAGATAGTAAATGTTTCTTTTCAGATTTTTATAGGTATAAAACTCTTTATCTCTCCTAGATCTGAGGAAAGGCATGGAAGGTAGAGGGGGTATGACTGCATTAATGGAGATTCTCTAAAAATGCAAATTTGCCCCACTTAAGACAGCCTTGTAAGGCCACTTCTGTCAGGGTGGCCAACCAATAGCTGTTTCAAAATATGTCAAAAAATATATTTTGGGGTAAAATATTTTAATTTCCTTCAGAATAAAAGATCCTCTCTTCTGTATCTTATATAGTCAGATAAATAAGAGACTTTCCTGCTAGCTTCATTGCCTTAGCCAAGCTTATCTGCAGACTTTTGAGCTCAAAATGTAGTTATTCCTGGATAGCAATGGAAACAAAACCCTTCATAGATTGTAGTAAACTCCAATATTGAATATATTGATAGGAGAATATGTGTAACATTGCTTCAGTGACTTTACTGTATTATATATGCTAGCCATTTATCGCCTCTCATTAGAGAAGTTCTACTCTGTATCTGTTACCAAGAAAAACTCTCCTTTTGGATACCAAGCTTTTTTATAAAGTATAGGCTCTGAGTCCCAAATTTTCCATTAATGTTTTTAGCCAATTTATTTGTCTAAACATAAAAAAAGCATTAATACACCTGGATGATGTTTTCAAAGGAATATATATAATGTATTTTTGTGTGTGTATATGTTAGAAGCAATGAAATCTTTAATATTGAGAGAATGGTATCCCTCACTAAGGATTATATGGAGCTTGATGGCCCATCCCTCTTGTTTCTTCTAAGCTGTAGCCAGTGATCACTGGTTGGTTCACAGTAAGAAACAGGGTCAGTCTAAATTGCAGGGAAAAAAAAGAAAGTTAAAACAATTGATGGGACTAGAATCTAATAACAGGTATACTATAGTTCTTGAAACATAATTTTTCTCTCCCATTCTCATTTTTATTAAAAACAAATCATAATGAGACTGATTTGTTTGCAAAATAAACTTTAGTCTTATTACACTTGGCCTGATTATTTGCATGAAGCACGGCAAAAATAATTATTTGCCATATAAGTTTCTTTTTAAATTGGCTTTGATGGAACTTCATTCCATAAGAAATCTCAGATAATAACTTTTAAAGCCTTAAGCCCAGCCATAGGTTTGTGCCATCAAATACATGTATGAGTTGGGTAAGCTTCTCTCCTCAAGGTCCCAAGATAACTTGGAGCTCCTGGGCCTGTCAGAAAGTGACATTCTTTACTTACCACAAATCAGGTACCCTGTACACGGACTGTGTAGATGAGGTATGAGGCCAGTTTTCCCAAGGGGCTTTTATTGGCTTGATAAGTCAAATTTGATTGCTTAAAGGAAAGCATGCCATTCCAGTTAAAGCCCTGGTAAAATAACCAGTTTCTCCAATTGTGTCCTGTTGTGAAAGAAAACAGATTCTTACTGCGCTTAGGCAAATCACTATATTGCCGTAAGTTAAGAATACTCACAAATAGTTTCCAAATTTTGGAGTACTCAGGTAGAAAGAAATATGCTCCAAATTTTGTTTAGAAGAATACACTTTCTGAAAAACAAAGGATCAGCAATATTTTAAACAAAAAGTCACACAAGGATTACTTTGGCTACTTAATTCTTGTTTTGCTTGATATTTATGAACACATTAGTTTTCCAAAAGAGTGATAGAAGTTCTTTCCTCTCCATTTTAATGTCACAATCTCTAAAGTTATCAGCATCCTGCATTTAAGAGCACCTGTTACAGTCCTATAGGTGATTATAAAACCATCTTTTCAAGAGGATTAAAACAAGACAAAAACTGTCTGTGGATGACAAAAAGTCCTAGGGAAGCCACAGTCAAAGACACAGCTGATAGAAAATTTGTTACCTCTGTGGCACACATAATTTACTGTAACAATTATAATTATTACTGATAACATATACTAAGTCATATCAGAATTATAGAAGTTTTGCATAATTTTGGAATACATACCAGTAACACACTTATACAAATACCATCCAAAGAAATCCAAATTGTACCTTTGCATGAAAGCACCATGGATGTTAAACCCAATTCTTAGTAAAACCTTATAGACAAATGTATCTAATCTTAGTCAGTTTGACCATAAGATAAGATTTTTATAAACCTTTTATAATCTTTTACAATTTTCTGTTAAAGAGCAGAACAGTGATCTCAAAAAAAATGTTGTACTTTTATTCCAATGTTCAATTTATGGGTAAACTGAATAATACCCCTTTAAATTTAGCTAATATGTTCACACACAGATTTTTATAAGATTAATCTTTCACAAACCTTCCACAACTTCCTCAAACCTTCAGCTTTATCCTATCTAACTTAAAACAATCCTTTAACCCTCTAAACTAGGCAAAAAAATTCACATTCCCATGTATTCTTATAATCTTTTACAAAAAGCACATTCTAATTTCCTTACATGCCCTGCATGTAAAATTATTTTTCCAGTAGTCTCAAGTACATGTTACACTGTTAACTCTTGGCAACTTTTACTTTTGGTGAAAACTTGGTAAGTAGGCAATTCTAATTATGTATTAGGTGTGAAGACTAGGACACCAGATAGAAGTGAAGATAAGGTCTGACTCTGTCCAGCATAGCTAGAGGGCATGGCTAGCTTTATATGTCCCCAGGCCTTACCGAGGTTTAAAGAAGGCAAGTTGTACAGTTAAGAGTCGTAGTAGCACTTCATGATGCATTTAGTAGGCCTAATAACCTTTAAATTTTACCACATTTCTTTCATAAATTTCCTTTCATGAATTTTCTCATGACTTACATAGATCATATACAACATGCTTGGACTTTCTGACTTCTCCAAAACATCTTTCTTTTTCAAATAACCAGTCATTTTGCTTTAGGACAAGAATTTACCATACAAGATCCTTTATCATAGAAAATATTTTTATTTATAATCTTCCTTACGAGAAATACTTATTTACCTTGATAACTTTTGAATGAGATAAGTCATTTTCCTTCTGTGAGGAAGTTGTTTGTACTGCAAGTTGTTGTGCAAGTTCTGTGAAGGGGGAGCAAAATGAGGAAGTTATGTACATACTGTAGAAGCTATTCTTCCTCAAGATATTGCTCAGTTTGATTTTCACTAGAGCTTGTCTGAATAATTGTGGGCTATTTTTAAACCTCCGAGGCAGGACTGTCGAGGTTAAAGTTGCAGGTTGAAGATTTAGGTATCTTTCCAGGAGAAATAGGGCTATCAGAGAGAAAGATGAATTCAGAGGTTGGTAAATATTAAGCAGGTACCCATCTTGGGAAGTATATTTTTACCCTAAAGCAGTGTTAACCTTTTCTTTTAGAGGGAGGGGGTGCCATTTGCCCCATTACCCAACAGGATTTGGAGGAGAGTTGCTCAGAGGAGACTAGCACAGAGTAGGCAGCCCTTGAACTCAAGAGAGAAATTTATCATTTTACTTCCCAACTCCAGAGTTGCCCTTGGCTTTATCCCATTAATGACAATGTCTGATTTGGAAGCCAGCTAGAGCAGAGAGACCCTTCATCTTAAGGACATCAAGGATTGGGATTCTGTCCTGGAGACCCTTTGGCCTTAAGGGAAGTACTGTTTCCAGTGGCAGAGCTTGTAACAGAGGGAGCAAGTTGTGCGGGGCTTTTTCCCACTAATTCCATTGGGGCAGTTTGCCTTCCAGTGGCCTGGCTTCTAGCACCAGTGGCCATTACCTGGGAGGGTATTCTGAGGGCATCCTGGAGGGGGCCGGACAACTTCTAAAGCAGCCAGTAGTTGAGCCTGCCTCTGCATCTTGCATTTCTCTTTCTCCTTAGCCCTGTCCTCCTTGTTCTAATCTCAGTTATAAAAGACTGAAGAAGCTAATTTGAGGATTTCCTGTCTAAGGGCACGAGTTCTAAGGCTGATTTTTGTAATTTTCTTCCAGTCTGTTTATTTATTTATTTATTTATTTATTTTTGAGATGGAGTTTTGCTCCTGTTGTCCAGGCTGGAGTACAATGGCACGATCTTGGCTCACCATAACCTCCACCTTCCAGGTTCAAGTGATTCTCCTGCCTCAGCCTCCCGAGTAGCTGGGATTACAGGCATGCACCACCACACCCAGCTAATTTTGTATTTTTAGTAGAGACAGGGTTTCTCCATGTTGGTTAGGTTGGCCTCAAACTCCTGACCTCAGGTGATCCACCTGTCTTGGCCTCCCAAAGTGCCAGGTGCGGCGGCTCATGCCTTCTAGTTTATTTTTAGGCCAAACAGTGTTACAAAAGAAAGCTAGTTTTTTTTTGTTTTAAGGTTTGGGGAAATCAAACTTTTCCCAATTCTTGGGGATGCATCCAAGGGGAGTGTCCTGAGTATGGAGACACAGTTACCCATGTGCAAAGAAAGAAAAGGGGAGAAAAAAAAGGAAAAGGAACAAGGGCAGCCCTCTTATTTCCCTATCCTGAACAGGGCAGCCCCCATTCATCTTTAGGATTCTGGAATGAACCAGTCTTACCATGGACCCTTGGTCCCATCTTGCCACAATTACAGAGGAGGCAATGGAGCACACAGAGGGCCCCCTATTCATCCTTGGGGTTTTGAAATGTACTGGTCTTACCACTGCCCTTACCTGTGTACCCCTAACCCTGCCTGCATCTCTGTTCTCATGGTAATCTGTTAGCCTCAGACTAGCCTTCATCTCTGTCCTGTGGGTCTCTTGAGCCTTTGGCCTTGGGCCAGCCTATGTCCTTGTCTCCATGACCTTATGGTGACTCTCACTCAGAGCATTTTAGCAACAAAATGATTGTCTCTTTTCTCAGATTCCCAATTTCCCATGTTCTTTAAGTAGACAGGAGGCCTGTTTTGCAGCTAGCTGCTGCAAGAATCTAGACTCCTCTCCCTTTGAATAAGACCTTGAAGGTCTCAAGGCATATTGAAAAGGGCATGGACATTATTAGAGAAACGGAGGCTACAGGAGGAAGTGGGAGAAAACAAGAGGAATACTCATGGAAAGCCTTTATATGTTGGATTCAAGAGAGGAATGTTCATTTGCCCTCTTGACATAAAGAAGGAACTTCTGGAGGACTTGAGGATTGGGGTAAGTGCTCATAAATGGTAAAGAAAGAATTTTCCCTCCTCCCAAAGGGGTGCTAATTCAAAAAAAGCAAGTAGGCAGGGCCCTTAAAAGGCTACAGAGTAAGGCCCTGTGCAGGCAGAAAAACTGCTTCAAAAGCCACTGAAAAACTTGGCCCTGGGGCATAGCAGGAACAAAAAGTATATGGTAAATCATAAGGAGCTGGCAGAGTTAGGGTTCCAATTAGTGTCTGTCCTGGCAATGAGCCAACAGACATATGAAAGGGAGTCTATTTCTTTGCTGCTACACAAATGCAACAAGAGCCCCGGGCACACAAATAACAGGGAGTGTGTCTTTACATGTGAAATTAAAACAGAGAAGAGACAGATTTGTTCCCAATGTGGACTGTCTGGCAGGTGTGCAAGGCCATTTCAAATATACACAGAGAAAACAGGAGAATAGGCTGTGTGGGTTTTTGGGAAAGAGCTGATTTTAGTTGAAAAAGCAGAGGAAACCCCAGGCATTGCATGGTCTCAGGCTTTAACCCTACTACTCTCATAAGCCTCCTGTCCCAGAGGGCCATAAGTGCCTCAGGTCTACTTAGTGCAGACTCCAGGGTTCTTCCTTCCTCCACAAGCCACCCATCAGAGTGAACCGAGAGATCAGCCAGGAGGAGCAGAGCCTCTATGGCTGAGAGGAATCATCCCTACTAGTTGGTTAGTAAGCACAATAGTGAAAGGGGAGGAGAAAATCATGTACAGGGGTTGAACACATCCAGCTAAGGAAGGCAAGTCATAGAGGTGTCTTAACACTGGGTGACATATCCAAGTCACAGTGCCAAAGTATGATAGCAGCGGCGAATCCATACAGGTCTGAAGCATACTTGATTCTTGCCTCCTCCGAATAAAGAATTTGACTAAGGAGCATAAAGCAGAGAGAGAAAGAGAGAGACCAAGACAAATTTTAGAGCAGGAATGAAAGTTTATTAAAAAGTTTTACAGCAAGAAAGAAAGGAAGTAAAGTACACTTGGAAGAGGGCCAAGCAGGCAACTTGAGAGATTCACGTGCATGGTTTGACCTTTGACTTGGAGTCTTATACATTGGCAGGCTTCTGGGGGATTGCGATCCTTCTCCCCTGATTCTTCCGTTAGGGTGGGCTGTCCACATGCGCAGTGGCCTTCCAGCACTTGGGAGGGGCTGCACACACAGTGTGTTTACTGGAGTTGTACACATGCTCACTTGAGGTGTTTTTCCCTTACCAATAAAGTGTTCCTACAAGGTCATATACCAGTTAAAGCCTGCCATTTTGCCTCTTAATGCATGCTTGGGTGTACTTCAACTCCTGAGATCTTATCGAGAAGTTGCTGATCACCAGTTTCAGGAGTTTTCTGTCTATTGGGAGACTGCCTTTCCCTGGTGCTGGCTGCCATCAATTATTATTTCAGAGACAGTTTAAAAACTGCCTAACCATCAGACCATCACCTGATGGTCACCTGACATTGCTGGTGGCAGGAGCCCCTCTCCTGCCCTGCTCATGTCTGTCTAACTACCTGCTGTAATGTGTGTGTGTGTGTGTGTGTGTGTGTGTGTGTGTGTGTGTGTGTGTGTGTGTGTGTATGTATGGTCAGTTGCTAATAAATGCAAATGAGAAAAAAAGAAAGCTCCTAGTTATCTTCTCCAGTCTGCTACCAAATTTATCCCACAATGAGTCTAGTTATCATCCGGATGTGCTTGTGGATTAGAAAGATGCTAAAGTGCATTGGTCTTAGATTCATCTAGAAAATCCTTTGAAAATAAAAGGGCTCTGTAGATTCATTAGAGGTACTTTCCTGGGGTCAGTCTGAATATCTGAAACCAAATCAGTCCCCCAGGTATTTTTTAGTGTATGTCTCAATTCCTAGGTGGCTCCTAGGGTCTTAACCTCTTTGGAATTCTCCAGACTATATAAGACCTCAGACCACAGCCTGAGAGGACAGGACTTACTTTGGTTTCAGTGATGAAGTAACAGTCCTTGACTTTTGAGGTTGTTTGCTTATTAGTTCACCACTTGTTAGCTTCCTTTGGAATTGTACTATCCAAGGAAGACCAATGCTAATACAGAATTGACAGGATCTAAAAACCATGTGTTGTAGCCATAAAAATGTACCACCCAGATCTCATGCTGTGGGATCATAACTGTCTGAGGGCTAGTTTCTGGCCATTCTGAATCTACCACATTT
This sequence comes from Homo sapiens, assembly GCF_000001405.40. Classification (NCBI taxonomy): domain Eukaryota; kingdom Metazoa; phylum Chordata; class Mammalia; order Primates; family Hominidae; genus Homo; species Homo sapiens. The sequence continues at coordinate 4,056,401 of NC_000018.10, read as the reverse complement.
ATGTCAAGTTTTGTGTTTTCCCCAGGCCGCTTCTGGCCAGTGACTAAGCACATCAGAAGTATGAAGACAGGCACAGCTAGCAAACAGTGCTAGCGCTCTTAGGAGTGACTTTGGCTTGCAGGCCACCCATCAGCCTGCCCAAACCTTTCTTAGAAACACCTTGCAGTACGAGGATCCTCATTCCTTCCCCCTTTCTTTCATGACAGGATCAGACCTGAGCTTTGGTCTGAAGGCTCCACGGCCTTCTCCTGCCCCCTTCCCCATAGATAACCTGCCTCTCTCACCTCATCATCAGTGTTTGCTTCATGACAGCCCTGAATTTATATACCACATGAATATGTATCTATCTTTAAAGGGAAGATGATCAACCCTCTATTTTTCCCCTTCCCCGCATATATACATCCTTTGTAAAAGTATACACCTCCTCTGTGAGAGTCGTTTTCTTTTATTAACATTGAGAGAATCAGCCGTGGCAACAGTGGAGTGAAGATGACACATCCACCTGCACATCTCACCTTTCTTACTTATGACAGTATAATTCTAAGCAATCTGGAATTTTCTAATATATTTTTCCTAAATTTTTATAGCAGCCCACTTAACTCACACCTCTGATGGCACAGGGACATGGGGGTGGCCCACACACATCTCACCATTCTGTGGCAGCATTAGTACAGTTCACCAAACAGTGCCAGGTCGCTCCCAGGGTACACCACAGAATTACACTTCCCTGCCTTATTTACAGTTAGTCGTGACCCTGGGACTTGCACTGGCCAATAAAATGTAAGCAGAAGTCTCAAGATGGATGTAGCTGGAGGCCATTTCCATAAGCAAACTAATGCAGGAACAACAACAAAAAAAACAAATACTGCATGTTCTCACTTAAGAGTGGGAGCTAAAACATTGAGTACACATGGACGCAAAGAAGAGAACAACAGACGACACCGGGGCCCACTTGAGGGTGGAGCATGGGAGGACAGTGAGGATAAAAAACTACCTATCAGGTTCTGTGCTTATCATCTGGATGATGAAATAATCTGTACACCAAACTCTCACGGTGTGCAATTTACCTATATGGCAAACCAGCACATGTACTCCTGAACCTAAAATTTAAAAGTTAAACAAATGAAAAAGATACATCAGGAGAGCCCACAGAGTCCCCAGTCTCTCTCAACCGCTGTGGTGAACTTGGAAATGCATGTCCAGATGAAACCCTTGCCAGCCTGTGTCCCTCAGTGACCACAGTGACCAGATCCCTGTGCCAACCTCACTGCTCATGTCACATGAGCAGGAACCAAACTTGTATTTGGAATTATTTATCACAGTATGTGCGGACCTATATTTTCCTTGACTAAAAATCTCCTTGAGAACGGAAAACATACCATCAACTTTCTGCTCCCAAAGCACGCAAAATAATACCTCAGTTTAAATACTTAATAAAGATGATCTAAATCATAAAATTTGATCTCAACTTGATTCAAAGTTTTGGTGCTTGCCTCCTAAATATAAAAAGGGAATTTTCTCTTAATCATTCTAGGAGCATGCATTTTCTAAAGCCAGTGCTCAAGTATACACTGAAGAAAATGTTATTTTCAGTGAGTAATATGTAATTAAAGAAAGAATGCTATGAAAGGTTTGATATTGTGGCTAAAAACTTAACCACCTTTAAATGTTACCAAATATGAACAATCTCAATTTAGATTAGCACCTGTAGCATTGTCATCTTGGTGTGTTTGGGTCTTGTACCTTCAGTATAATTTCTGAGAAAAACTCCAATTGAAAAGAGTTGATAAAGTTACAGGGAATTTTCCATTCACTAAATTCACCTTAATACTTACACCAACGTGTCCTGCTCTTCCTAAAGGAATGGCACATCCCTGTTGTCTGTCTATGTGTACTGTTGTGTAGTTATGATTTATACTTGTGGATTTTCTAGAACTATTTATATGGAGCTATTAAATGAACTGTGATCTTATCCATGCAGAACAATGATTCTTTTCAACTTGGAAGAAATATGCACTTTTCAAAACAGACTAATGGTTTACTTTGCCATGCTGAGAAGGATTTCATTAAAATTATTGAGAAAAAAAATCAATTCTAAAAGAGCCCACATCATAGGAGATTTGGGGGTGTTTTTCCTCCCTGCCGATATACTATCTATCCCTCATGGGGCTCCCATGGTGACAAGTTCATAATGCTACCACCAATAAAGCTTCAGAGAATACATATTCAGACCTAAAAGATCAGGGAGCGAGTGAGAATCATGAGAGAAAGTTCTCCATTCTACAAAACTAGTGACAAAGTCACCTGACAGCAAATGGCACAGAAGTATCAGGTGGCAGTCACACTGCCCTTTGACCTCACCCCTCATGATTGTCAGGTTGCTCTCTGCTTAATAGAATTAAAGAGTTATAAGACCAGTTTTTAGATTTCTGGAATACCCTTGCTTCAAGTATTCAAGAAACTATAAAATAACTGTTAAGGTTTATCTGCATGAACAGAATCCACATTTTAAAAATGAGAAATTTCATATTTTAAATACTTTTAATTATATGATACCAAATACTGGATTTTACCCATAATTCCAGAAACAAGGTGTATTAGTCCATTCTCACATTGGTATAAAGAACTACCTGAGTAGTTTATAAACTACCTGGGTAATTTATAAAGATAAGAGGTTTAATTGGCTCACGGTTCTGCAGGCTGTACAGGAAACGTGGCTGGGAAGATCTCAGGAAATTTTCAATCATGGTGAAAGGTGAAGGGGAAGCAGGCACCTCTTCACATAGCGAAGCAGGAAAGATAGAGCAAAGGGGGAGGTGCTATGTACTTCCAAACAACCAGATCTCATGAGAACTCTAATTCAACATGAGTTTCATATAGTGATACTCTTTGGCTGTGTCCCCACCCAAATCTTCTCTTGAATTGCAGTTCCCATAATCTTCACATGTCATGGGAGGGACTCAGTGGGAGGTAATTGCATCATGGGGGCAGTTACCTTCCAATCTGTTCTTGTGATAGTGAGTGAGTTCTCACAAGACCTGATGGTTATATAAGGGACTTTGGCCCCCTTCACTCTGCACTTCTCCTTGCTGCTGCTATGTGAAGAAGGACATGTTTTCTTCCCCATCTACCATGATTATAAGTTTCCTGAGGCCTCACCAGCCATGCTAAACTGTGAGTCAATTAAACCTTTTTCCAATATAAATTAACCAGTCTCAGGTATGCCTTTATTAGCAGTGTGAGAACAGATTAATATAGTAAATTGGTACTGCAGACAGTAGGGCGTTGCTGTAAAGATACTTGAAAATGTGGAAGCGACTTTGGAACTGGGTAACAGGCAGAGGTTGAAACAGTTTAGAGGACTCAGAAGACAGGAAAATGTGGGAAAGTTTGGAACTCCCTAGAGACTTATTGAATGGCTTTGACCAAAATGCTGATAGCGATATGGACAGTGAAGTCCAGACTGAGGTGGTCTCAGATGGAGATGAGGAACTGGAGCAGTGGTGATTCCAGCAATGCTTTAGCAAAGAGACTGGTGGCTTTTTGCCTCCACCCTATAGATAAGTGAAACTTTGAATTTTAGAGAGATGATATGGGATATCTGGGGAAAGAAACTTCTAAGTGGCAAAGCCTTCAAGAAGAAGCAGAGCATAAAAGTTTGGAAAATTTGCAGCCTGATGATGCAATAGAAAATAAAAACCCATTTACTAGGGAGAAATTCAAGCCAGCTGCAGAAATTCACATAAGTAATGAGGAGTCAAATGTTAATCACCAAACAATGGGGAAAATGTCTCCAGGGCATGTCAGAGACCTTCACAGCAGTCCCTCCCGTCACAGGCCTGGAGGACTAGGAGAGAAAAATGGTTTTGCAGGCTGGGTCCAGGGCCCCCCATGCTGTGCCCAGCCTCGGGACTGTGTCCCAGCCACTCCAGCCATGGCTATAAGGGGCCAAGTTACAGCTCAAGACATTGTTTCAGAGGGTGCAAGCCCCCCAGCCTTGGCAACATCCACATAGTGTTGGTCCTGTGGGTGCGCAGAAGACAAAACTTGAAGTTTGGGAATCTCCACCTAGATTTCAAAGGACATATGGAAATGCCTGGATATCCAAGCAGAAGTTTACTGCAGGGGCAGATCCCTCAGGAGAATCTTTGCTAGGGCAATGTAGAAGGGAAATGTGGGGTTAGAGTCCCCACAGAGTCACCAGTGGGACACTGCCTAGTGGAGCTGTGAGAAGAAGGCCACCATCCTCCAGACTCCCAAATGGTGGATCCACCAACAGCTTGAATTGTATGCCTGGAAGAGCTGCAGACACTCAATGCCAGCCCATGAAAGCAGCCAGGATGGGAGCTGTACCCTGCAAAGCCACAGGGGCAGAGCTGCCCAAGGCCATGGGAGCCCACTCTTTCATCACCGTGACCTGGATGTGAGACATGGAGTCAAAGAAGATCATTTTGGAACTTTAAGGTTTAATGACTGACCTATTGGATTTCAGACTCGCATGGTGCCTATAGCCCCTCTGTTTTGGCCAATTTCTCTTATTTGGAATGGGTGTATTTACCCAATGTCTGTACCCCACTTGTATCTAGGAAGTAACTAACTTGCTTTTGATTTTACAGTCTCATGGGCAGAAGGGACTTGCATTGTCTAGATGAGACTTTGGACTTGGACTTTTGAGTTTATGCTAGAATGAGTTGAGACCTTGAGGGACTGTTGGAAGGGCATCATTGTGTTTGAAATATGAGGACATGAGATTTGGGAGGGGCCAGCGGCAGAATGATATGGTTTTACTGTGTCTCCACCCAAATCTCATCTTGAATTGTAGTTTCCATAATCCCCACATTGTGGGAGGGACCCAGTGGGAAGTAATTTAATCATGGGGGTGGTTACCCTCCATGCTGTTCTTGTGATAGTGAGTGAGTTCTCACAAGATCTTATGGTTTTATAAGGGGCTTTCCCCCCACTTCACTTTGCATTTCTTCTTGCTGCTGCCATGTGAAGAAAGACATGCTTGCTTCCCCTTCTGCCACAATTGTAAGTTCCCTGTGACCTCCCCAGCCATGCTGAACTATGAGTCAATTAAGCCTCTTTCCTTTCTAAATTACCCAGTCTTGAGTATGTCTTTATTAGCAGCAGGAGAACAGATAATACAGGTGGGGACACAGAGCCAAGCCATATCACAAGGTAAATAGAAAAATAGGGTAACTAAGATCCAGGAGTGTGATACACATTTGAATTTTGCCTTGTTTATTAATATCTTAAAACTAACCACCATGGTGGACTTAAGGAGGCTGCCCCCAAAAGAAACAACTGCAGTTTCAAACACACAAACTGTTTGGGAAAATAAAAGTCATAGTGCTATATAAAGAAAAAGGAAGAAGAAACAAGTGACATATAACAACACATTCTGATGACCCTAGTTAAATATGACAACAGATGATAATAGGATGAGGCTTCCCCATGAAGGGTGATGGAGAGGAAAATGCCACAGTAGAACTTCAGTCATGAATCAAAATCTCTAAGTGTTCTTTGGAAAATGTTTCCTGAGCTACCTGCTGTTTTTGTCAGGGTTTAATAATGAGCTCACATCTTTCAAAGATAAGAGGCAAGTGATTTCATCTTTCTACCTCCCCACTTGGATTCATAGATTAAAGTAATAAACAGTTAATGGAATATAAATCAATACTTTAGAGTTCTGTGTGTTATCTTTTGTCTTTTTATAAAACAAGTGACATAAAAGGCTATCCTGTGAGCATTAACCTGTTTAAAAATATAGATGGCAATAACTGGAACTGACGTTCCTAAGATTTTGGAAACTGTGCAAGTTTCCATTGAGTATTAATAACGTGGATAGAAGCCTATATTGACAATAATAAAGCTTAATTTTAGTTTCAGCTCTAGGCTTTGGTAAAACTATTTTAACTTTTATGAACCTTAGTTTTTGTTCCATGAAGTGAGGATGAAAATAATACCTATCCTGCATATACCTCACAGGTATGCTCTGAAGAACAAATAATATCTGTAAATAAAAGTATTTGCATATTTCAAAACCCCATACAAGTCTAGGGGATTATTACGTAAATATGTGTATAATGTTAATGCTTGCTCTCCTGACTTGGAATGATAGCATTTTTTTTCTCCTAAAGTTCTCAAAAAGAGAACTGAAAATACTAGTCTGTTTTGCCTCCACAGAGTAAAGCTGTGTGCACTTAGAGAAACAGGGCAAGACAGAAGTATAGGAACTTGGCATTGCACCCACCCACTTAGGCCAATGCATGAGACAGCGACTTATCACACTTTGTTGTAAATGTTTCTTTAACTTCTGTCTCCCTTGCTAGAGGAGGAATGATATCTGTCTTAGAAACCATTGTTTCTCTACCACTAAGCACAGAGGCTGGCAAAGAGTAAGTTCCTAATAAATGAGAGAAAGAATAAATGAATTAAAGTATGGATGGATGGATGGATGGATGGATGGATGGATGGATGGATGGACCGTTGGATGGATACATAGGTAGATACGTGAATAGACAGATGGATAAATGAGTAGGTAGGTGTTTGGGTAGGTGAGCGGATGGATGGATGGATGGAAAGATGGAAGGGTGGAAAATCCCAGAGGCAATTATGATGATAGTCAAGGGTAAAGTAAAAACCTAGTCTAAGCGCATGATTACAATGGGGTAAGCAGTCCACCAGGCAGTCCACATCTGAGGAGTCTGTCCTTGGGTGGCATGCTGGAGACAGGAACTGACAAGAGCAAGGACTAAGGCAGATGGCCCAGTCCCAGGAGGGAGCTGGAATGCTTAGCAGTTTACCAGAAAAGGAATTCCCTAAGGAAACTGAGGCAAAATCCCAGACTTATAAATTAGAGCCCAGAGGGAAGTCAGGTTCAGAGTATAATTTTTAGAACAGGGATATGGTGGCAGGCTGGACTTGGGCAAGCAGTTAAGGAGCACAGAGGCTCCAGTGTGACGGCCAGCATGAGTGCCTCGGCTGCATGGGAGGAGGAGACGGGAAGCCCCTCAGACAGGACTGGCTCAGCTACTGGGGCAGGGCTAAGTTGGCAGGAGGGCAGCTCCCATGAATGCAGTCACAGAGCCAAATATAACCCAGGCTATGGCTGACATCTGTGTGGCGGGAAGTTCTACGACCAGGCATATAATTTTTTTTTTTTTTTTTTTGAGACAGAGTCTTGCTGTGCTGCCAAGGCTGGAGTGCAGTGGCGTGATCTTGGCTCACTGCAACTTCTGCCTCTTGGGTTCAAGCAATTCTCCTGCCACAGCCTCCCGACTAGCTGGAACTACAGAGATGTGCCACCACACCCAGCTAATTTTTGTGTTTTTAGTAGAGATGGGGTTTCACCATGTTGCCCTGCCTGGTCTCGAACTGCTGACCTCAAGCGATCTGCCTCCCTCGGCCTCCCAAAGTGCCAGGATTACAGGTGTGCACCACTGTGCCCAGCCTCAAATTTTTAATTCTGAAGTGAGAATAAGGGTTACATGTGAACTAATGACTTGCAAAAGATAGAAATATTTGAAAGAACTATACATACAAGTAGTCCTCAGTTGATAATGTATTATACTGAGAAATTGTTGTCTTAGAGATAGTGACAAAAGTCAGCTTTTCTTTTTCATCCCAAAGCAGCCTTTTTCTACTGCTTTTGCCTTGGCAACTAACATTCAGACTTTTCATAATGGCTGGCACTTATAGTCAGAATTGTCCCCATACCCTCCCCAGGTATGGTGAAAGATTGATCTAGTGCAGGCACAAGTTGGTCAGGTCACAGTTTTCAGATTCTCTCAGTCTATCGACATTGTAGGATTTGTTTGTCAAAGAAAAAAATTACCAAAAACCCTCCTTAAGTCTTGTTTAAATTATTACACTGGATGAGTGAGTAGGCACTGAGTGAGTGACAGGCCTTGTCAAGAAAATGCCACTTCTGACCAAAAAAGATTTGGCAAACTGCAAGCTTCATTCTTGATCATGCTGTGAAAAACTCTAAGTAATTTAGAATCAATATGGTACAAGATAAGGATAAAAGGCAAAATTTGAATTTCATTGCTTTCAAATGTCAAGAATGAGCTCTGATGGCTTAGATTAGTGTTTTAATTCTTCATCTTAAATATGAGCAATTACATTTCTTCAAAAACACATTTTTTAAAAATGGCTGAAAAAATGTTTTTATATGCTCTTTGCATTATGTAATTCACAATTCTACATTTAATTTGTTTTTCTAATAATCTGTTCAAATGAACATGGGATAGTCGAGATGAACAACAGTCTCCTTCTAATTCAAAAAGAAGTTTTTAGGACTGGATGCTGTGGATCATGCCTGCAATCCCAGCACTTTGAGAGGCCAAGGCTGGAAGATTGCTTGAGCCCGGGAGTTTGAGACCAGCCTGGCAGTGTAGTGAGACCCCGTCTCTACAAAAAATAAAGAAAAACTTCGCTGGGCATGGTAGCATGCACCTGTGGCCCCAGCTACTTGGGAGGTTGAGGTGGGAGGATCACTGGAACCTGGGAAGACCAGACTGCAGTGAGTTATGACCAAACCACTGTACTCCAACCAGGGCAACAGAGCAACCCCATCTCTAAAAACTAAAAAATAAGTTTTTACTTTCTCATTAAACCTCAATGATCTAATGGAAGAAGCCATTTTACAGGTGATAAGCAGATTCATGGACCATATAACAGCTCAATTCTTGATCTGGATAAAGGTGATTGACCAAGGTTTCTTCCTAAAGATAATATGTGTCTTGAGACATCTGATACAAATGGACTAAAAGTAACAACTGAGGCATTCACCCCTGGCTACAACACCTAAGTCACATGGGATTTGGTTTCTAGTTTGTCAACTTATCTTACTATGTATAACCTCTGAAATTATGTTTCATAGCTAAATATTCTTTATTTCATAATTATCTGGTCTGTTTCTTGTATCCATTTATTACTATTGGCTACTTTACATAGAGCTTGATCATGATGCAAGCAAGATGGCGCAATACAATTTTTGGTTATAACTAAGTCTCATTACATTTACCCAAGTAATATTTATACAATATCCTTCCAAAAAATATGTTTTGCATAATAAGCAAATCATTATTCCACTATTTGCCACATACAGATTGATATGTTAATTATGCATGTGTTATTATAGTTAAAGCAAACCATTTTATTTGTCTGAAAATTGCCTGAGAATTTCTTGTAAAGACAGGAAGCTCCGGGAGTGGAATTTAGAAACAGTTACATAGACAACATAAATGTTCTTTTTGCATGGTTCTGCATTCAGAGTAGGGTTAAGCAACATTTGACTCTAATTTTCTTCTGGAAATTCAACATTGAAGTAAGTTATTTGAGTAGGCTGGAAAATATACTTTCCTATAATTCTGTAACAAAAATCTCTAGTTCCAGGATGTGGAGGCAAAGAATAAGGGTCATTAGCATCTCGCTCAGGTCTTATCAATCTGACATCCCAAAATTGTCACATCTCCTGCAGATTTGCACCTTTTATCCTGAGGCCAGCTTAGAGAGCAAAGGTAAAGGCACTGTTGCCTCTAGACATGAACTTCAGACCCATGTATCTATCTCCAGCTATATATGTTCTACAGACACTTCAAACTTAGCCTCTGCAAGGCAGAATTTCCTATCAACCCACAACCTCCGAGGATAAATTGTCCCAATGTATTCACTCCTTTGATTACTAGTGATGTAAGTTTAATCAGTTGTTTATTTTTCTTTCAAAAAACATCTATTGAGAACACTTCAGACACTGAGCTTAGCCAGAGACCTAAGGAGATAATGCCCAAATACTCAGAATTAATATGTCCAGCACGTTTCACAGACCTATATTCTAACACTTAATTATTTGATGATATCTATGGTTTCTTATCAGATTGTGCGCCCCTGGGCATAGTTGAGAACTTCATTTTTGTATCCTAAGAATTGTTTAATCTACCTTTATTGCATGCTAACTAAGATGATATGGAAAGACACCCACTTTTCTTAGGCCAGGAACAGAAGGCCTATTAAATCAGTTATCACCATACTCACCCCAAATGATCCTACTCACTAGTGGTCTATAATTAGGTAAATATTGCTATTATTGGGATTTGGGCAATAGATATTTTGCAATCTATTATGCAATCTTTAGAAGCTCTACCAATAAATAAGTGAACAAGTGTACAACCAACCATAAGAAGTGAATTTTGGCCAAAAAACTGCACGATTTTGTTCATCAGAATTGGAAACTAATCAGCTTACAGGTCAGTTCTGTTCTGGTTAGCCCCTTTGTATAATTGGCAGGTTAATGCCAGATGGGGACATACAGACTGCAGGTAAACTGAAGCTTCTTATGGAATCTGATAATTTTAGTGCTGTAAGATAAACTTGGCTCTTATGAGGTCCTTACTATTCTTAGTAATTTTTTAAAGTAGTGTCTGGTTTTTATCTCTTTTAAGAAGTTTAAAAGAGCCAGATAAGGTGGCTCACACATATAACCCCAGCACTTTGGGAGGCTGAGGTAGGAGGATTGCTTGAGGTTATAGTGAGCTACGATCATACCACTGCACTACAGCCTGGTGACAGAGCAAGATGCTAACTTTAAAAAAAAAAAAAAAAAAAGTTTTAAAGATTAACCTTTTAAACGAAGAATGCCAAATAGTGGTAAAATATACTTGGCGTGATCACCAACAAAAAAAATCTAATTAACATTATATTACTCTATTAATTAAATGGTAGGAGAGAAAAGCAGCAATATGATTATGATAGCAAAAATATGTTGGGTTTTTTTGTTTGTTTGTTTGTTTGAGACCAGGGTCTTGCTCTGTTACCCAGGCTGGAGTGCAGTAGTGACACGATCATGGCTCACTGCAGCCTCAACCTCCCAGGCTCAAGCGATCCGTCCGCCTCACCCTCCCAAGTAACTGGGACTACAGGGGCAAGCTTTTTTTTTTTTTTTTTTTTTTTTTTTTTTTTTGTAGAGATGGGGTCTTTCTATGTTACACAGGCTGTGATCTCTATTTCCAAGAAATGCAAATCTTAGGTAATTCTAGAAATTGGGAGCCAATGATCAAGAATTACTAAAAGATACCAAGGAGTTATCAGTTCCTTTTTCCTTTTATTTTCGGCACATATGAAACTACTTTTTTTATTGGAGAAAGTGAGATGATTAGAAGAGGGTTTCATGGATGGCTCCTAAGGCAAGAAAGGTGAAAGTCGAGGGACAGTGCAGGGCAGTTAAGTTAGTAGGAGATGAGAGTGGCTCGGCGTGGAGGACTGTTGCCCATTAGAACAGACCGTCTCTTAGAAGGGATAAAAATATTATGTTGACCTGGAAAATAAATTTGGGTTAATTATGATTATAACTTGTCTTTAGTTACTCATCTCTGATTGACATTGTTCTTTGGTTTATCTTGGTGTTTGCTGGGTTGTTTCCTCTATGGGAAGAGGAGGTGGTGATATGCAGTGTTCCCCAAGCCTGAAGAATGAAAAAATTCAACAAGACATTTGTAAACATGATCCAGTCGCCTCCCACCAGGCCGCACCTTCAACACTGGGGATTACAATTGACATGAGATTTTGTAGTACTATTTCTTTTACCTGAGGTCAACCTAGGTTTTTGTTTGTTTGTTTGTTTGTTTTGTTTGTTTGTTTTTTGTTTTGTTTTTGGTGAGGGAGTCTTGCTCTGTTGCCCAGGCTAGAATGCAGTGGTGCAACCTCGGCTTACTGCAACCTCTGCCTCCTGGGTTCAAGCAATTCTCCTGCCTCAGCCTCCAGAGTAGCTGGGATTACAGGCGCCCACCACCGTGCCTGGCTAATTTTTGTATTTTTAGTAGAGACAGGGTTTCACCATCTTGGCCAGGCTGGTCTCAAACTCCTGACCTCATGGTCCACCTGCCTCGGCCTCCCAAAGTGCTGGGATTACAGGCGTGAGCCACCATGCCTGGCCGGGATTTGTATTTTTAACAAGTGTGTCTGTTGATTCTCAACACCGGGCAATTTGGAGAAATACCTACTTGGTTTTCTGTGCTGATTTGAGTGTTCAAATTGGAGGACTGTAGAGATGTTCCCCGTGGCTTTTTACTGTTGGAAGTTACACTCCTTTTACGTGAAGCCATAAACAGCATTTAGATGGAGATGACTTGGTGTGAGGTGGCCAGGAGTATAAATATCCCAAAACCCAGACATTAGATAAAGTGATTGAACTTTCCAGGAAAGAGAAACCCAGACTTCTGTAAACACTGTAAAGGAAATATTAATATTACTTGTGTTTTGTATTTTGTGCTTGTCTCCTGGAAGACATTTCATATCCCTGATTTTTAAATTTTTTGAAGTAATTCTAGTTTGCCAGAGGCAAACACAGAATAGAGGAAATGTCTTACATTACCCAATTTGCATTTAGTACTAATTTTAAATACTTTTTAAATGCACAGTTATGACATTGGTCTGTCTTCGTTACACAATGCTAAGATGATGTTCAAAAGTTTTATCAATTTCCCCTCTACATAGTTCTTACTTACTAACACTTGAGAAAATGATAGCATCTCAACACCAAGTGCCTGAATCAGCTTTTTAGTTGTTCTCAATAAGTTTCTGCTGAGATTTGCTGGTCCCGTTGCTCCAATGTATCCTTGAAGGATACCCGTTGCTCCAATGTATCCTTGAAGGATACACACAAAGGGAAACACAGATCACTTCTGTGGATATTCTAAATCGGAACTGTGATTCATAAAATCTTCAGGTGCTTGCTTTCCTGACTTATTAAATCAAACTGGGGATGTTGAAGTATAAAAGAAAAGATGCATCTGTCTTTTCAATGCAGTCTTCAGATATAAAAGGCAAAAATAAATAAATAAATAAATAAGATGTAGGTTACATCTAAATTGATCATCCTTTTGAAATCTTCCATACAAATATTCTCCACCTGGGAATTTTGGCTGAGCTAAATATAACATATGGTTTGTTGAAGAGGTTTTAATATAAATAAATGCTAGTTTTCATCAGAATACAGAAAGACATCTGCCCAGAAACCATGGAATTAGATACTATTATGATTCATACATTTCTGCCTTGACAATTCTGTTTTAATTTCAGACATTTGGTGATTAATTTCAAGCTTGTCATTTTCTACATTTGCATAAGGTCCAGCCAGACTGGCTGTGCAAATGCTTTTTGTTAATTAAATTTGATTGTTTTGCCTATACTGAGTATAGAAATTATATTTACAACAAATATTTCCAATAGAAATTAAGTATGTGCAAATATTACTACAGTAATGAAAATCATATGAGAAGGTCTACTCTTCCCTCTGCTTCTAAAAAAAGAGATCAACAGAAAATTTAAAACCTAAATTACGTCTGAGGACAAATACAAAAACATTTTTTAGTGGTTGGAACATAAAATGTTATATTTTGTTTCAAGTAAATTCAAATCATATAAATGAATCTCTTTTAGAAGAGAAAAATTATCCTATGTTCTGCTGTTAACTATTAATCATATATAAACTTTTAATATTTTAAAGTATTTGGTTTAGCCAAAATGATGATCTTTTGGGGAAACTCGGATGTTTTAATACGGAAACTATTAAAAATTAAAAGAAGTGATATACATCGTTGCTATGAACCATAATTTTATTTCATTTTATTTTACTATTTTATTTTATTTTATTTTGAGACAAAGTCTCGCTCTGTCAGCCAGGCTGGAATGCGGTGGCATGATCTCGGCTTATTGCAACCTTCGCCTCCGAGGTTCAAGCAATTCTCCTGCCTCAGCCTCCCGAACAGCTAGGACTACAGGCGCACGCCACCCCTGACCAGCTAATTTTTTGTATTTTTAGTAGAGACAAGGTTTCACCATATTGGCCAGGCTTGTCTCGAACTCCTGACATCAGGTGATCGGCAGACCTTGGCCTCCCAAAGTGCTGGGATTACAGGTGTGGACAAGCGGTGTCCTGAAGGCTATCTTCATCTTGGTGAAAAATAACTGCCTGTGAATTCTAGTCTTGCAGATACAAACTTGATAAAGTATCAGAAAATATCATGTAATATATTGAAAAGGAATTTAGGAAAGTCTGACGTGCTTTATTAAACCATAAATTTGAAGTAAGTTACATTTGATGGGGAATGAAAAAGAGAATATTACTTCCATTAATCAGGACACTTGAAACATGTGATTTTTGCAAACCTTCCAAGTGACCTGAATGATTGTAATGGTACACTGCAAAATCCATTAACCCAAAACTGTCCAATCTAGTATTATGGGAAGAATGGTAACTCTCTAAGAAAATGAAATGTGGCACATCAATTACAGGATCATGTATTTCTTCTGTTGCTCTTCTTTAAAGGAACACACAATTCTTAGAAACGTGGATGTCATCAAAACATCTCTATAACACAATGGAATGAGAAAATTCTTCTTTATAAAAATCAGCTCAAGTTATTGTTTATTCCATTCCATATCTCTGCCCACAGCCCGGTAGATCAACCCTAGATTTCCCATATTTTCTTTTCAAAAAGATTCACAAAATGAGATATCAGTGCCTTTATTATTAATCTCTTTGTACCTTATATGCCCTTTAATATGTTAAGAATTTATTGTTTAAATCCCTAACAGAGATGAAGAGCAATTGGTCACCATCTTTTGTAGGAAACAGATGTGGTTGTATGGACTTTCCCATGAATCCAACTCCACAGTGGAACTAATGAGTTTTTTCTTGCTACTGGTCCAGGGGCAAGGGTGGGATATTGAAAGAGTGGGATAAGGAAAGTTGTATGAGTGGAAGAACAAGATAGTTCCATCCTTATTCTTTGCTTTGGTTTTGTGGTAATAATTATGCTAATATGAACATGTTTCTTTCGGGAGTATCAGTAAAATACAGAAGATACTTTTAAGTTAGAAATAGGTCAGTTATAAAAGAAAGATGCTCAAACATGAAACATTACCTAAAGAAGACACCAGGACAGGGAATTCAGTAAGCATGTCACATATTGATGTTGCAAATGTTTCTTAACTTTGTAACAATCTGACCTCTGTAACTGTAGCCTGCCTGGGAATATTTTCTACTCCATATTCCTCATTTATGAATAGTGTGACAATCCTATAAAATCACTCAGATAAATGTAGTGTAACATGCTATGATGATGATGATGACATAAATAAGCATCAACCAACTACAAGGAAATAGAACATATTTTACATTGACATCTCCCCACTATTGCATTGCAAAACCAGATTTCTAGATATCAAATTAGTGCAAAAGTAATTGAGGTTCTTGCCATTAAAAGTAATGGCACCAACATAATAGTTGGAGGAACACTTCGGGTGCTGCGTTTGCTCTCTGTTCTAGCTGCTGCTATTGCTTCACCCTGCTGCTTCTGAGTCTGTACCAAGGGCGTGGAAATGAGGACTCCATGTCTGTTCAGGCATTGCTAGATTTCCTCCCTAGGGAGAATCATGTTAATGCCGGGTCTCTCTGGATCAGGCCTGTGGCAGGTTGCTCACTAGCAACCGTGTGTGAGTACTTTCAGCCACAATGATAAAGCTGTTTCTTGACATGGAGAAGTTAAGCAGCCCTTTGCCTTGTTGAAACTTGCCTAAAAAGAACACAATGCTGAAACCCCAAGCCTGCTTTGAGATTCTAGTCCTATGCTTGTAGCAGATTTTCACGTTCACATGTCAGCTTCCAAGACATTGTCTTCCAGAACTTCATCTCCTAAATAATTTGCCATGAGCACCACTTATCAACAAACTGATACCTTGGCTGAAATGAGTCCTCACTCAAATTTTTTAATGGTATGTCAAGATTTGTGTGACAGGGAAAAAAGAGATAGCAAAGAAACTACTAATCACTTACTTCATAGTTTCTACCACATTGTGAAAATGAAATATTTCTTTTTTCTTTCTCTTTACTTGAGCCAAGATAGAAATCTCTCTGCATCCTAGACCTGTTATGGATGAATGTTTCGTAATTGTATAAGAAAGGGCCATCCATTAAATTTAAGTAAACTTCTATTTATCTATTATAAGTTTCATCAACAATAAAATATAGCTGTTTTATAATGACTAGAATTATAATAGCCAACATTAAGTGAGTGTTCACTGGTATACTAGCGTAAGCTGTTTACATATATTAACTTATTTAATCCTCACAACTACATGTGAGGTAATATTTTTACCTCCATTTGATAGATGAGGAGCTTAAAGCAAAAAGAAGCTAAGGAATTTGCCCAGGATCACACAGCGGATGAGTGGTAGAGTTACAATTTGACCCTAGAGAGTCCAAACTCTTAACCATTAGGCTACAGCTGTTCTGCAAGGCATATTATTCTAAAACATCTTTAGAAAACAAGAATAGGTACTGTTTTGCCCAAATTGGGAGTCCTTGAATAGAAGGCTGTTCTATATATTAGCAGAAAGGAATTAAAGCGAAGGAAGGCATTTTTCCAAATTTTTATTGTGTCCTCAACATGGAAATGTATGATGCTGACTCAAAGGTAATTTATCTCAAGTAATAATTAAAGCTATCATTTGCAATGTTGTAAAAAGAACTTTCACACATAGTTCTCTTAATTCTATCAAATTTGATTTAGTAAATACAAGCTAAGTAGCATGGGGGTTAAAAATATTGGTTCTTAATTGTTTTATCACTGCTTTTATTTGTATATTCTTTAACCATCTCAACAAATAAGTTAGTGTTATCACCATCACCATTTTATATTTGAAGAGTCATACTCTAAAAAGGTAAAAGATTAACCCATGCTTACTTTACAAATACAGTAATGAAACATACCTTGCAGGACCACATTCTTCTCATTTTTCTGGCCACAATGTATATTCCCTTTCTATTCTGTCTGCTTTGCCATTGATGTTTGATTTTTTTATATTTTGCTTCACATTTTCTTGCAATTTTCTAGGCATTTATTTGATGGAATAATTAATAGCAAGTTTTCTCTTAGGAAAGAGAAAAAGAGGTTTTCTTCAGCAACATCCACCCTACCCTACCCCAGCATCCATCCTGGACATCTTCTGAAGGAGGACAGAGATGGATGGCAGCTGTACTGCTGAGCCCTAGAGAGTCATTCAGAGACATTCATTGGGTGTCTCCTGTTGGGAAGGTTCTGTGTCAGGCTGTACAGAGGATAGTGGGGCCTGGGTCAGAGAGGGAATAACTATAAATAAGTAAACTATCGTCTCCACCCTCAAGGACGTTGGTGTTGAATATTCTCTTATTCTCTAGAAAAATTAATTTGCATTCCAATTTGTATGAAAAAAATATTTCTAAAAGCTGAGCTGAACTTTTTTTTCTTTCTTGTTTTCGAGGTTGAGGGCTAAGGTAGTAGCGTAAACCCTAGAGTAACTGATCAAGTTAACCCTCTTTTTCCTCGTGCTGCCGTTTTCCTCTGTGTGCTTGTGTGCTTGACCGGAAGGAAGGGGATGGAATGCAACCCTTGTGGCGCCTTGATTTTGACTTAGTGGAATGGATTTCAGACTTCAGGCATCAGAACTGTCAGAGAATAAATGTGTAAGGTTTTAAGGCACCAAGTTTGTGGTAATTTGCAGTACCACAGCCAGAGGAAACGCATACAGCCACTCTGCAGAACTCCTGTACCTCTGGACTGTATCTTTCTTTCTTTACCTGGGGCAAAGATCCCTGTCCAACCTCAGAGGCAGGATGGCAAAAAGAGGAAGAAAAATGAATTACCAAGAGGAAAAATACTCCAGAACATATTTTGAAAATATTTTTTATGTTGTGTCTTGATTATTCCTTCAATATTTGTGGACCGGCTAGATCCTTAACTGCCTTCCTTCTCTCTTTTCACCCTTGCATTTTGTCTATTTTACCTCATACTAAAGAGAATGAGAAGATGTTAAAAATAAACCTACTTTATAGAAGATTTGAAAAATGGAGGGAGATAAAAATTAACACAGAACTATCTGCAAGCGGTTTTCATTCCTGCCTCTCTGTGGCTGCTCTCCTATAGGCTTCTGTTATTGGCTGTGAAATATGAAATGGGTCATCATCCCTAACCCCCCCAGACTGAAGCCCATACATATTACCTTCAAGAGTGTGTGTTTATCTGAATGCATATGAATGTGGGTTATTAAAGGTTACCAATTCTGGCAAAAAGAATGGCATGAAACAATAGGCAGAATCAACTGAATGAGTGAAGTTAATACATGTTTAAATCATTACTTAATGTTGGTTGAAACGTGTTATCAAGTCTTTTGCCTTAATATAGGACTGATTCTCTGCATTGGAACTGTAGCATCTAGGATTAAGAAATCACTCTTTAGAGCCATGAAGAATCATGCCTGTATTGCATGATTACATATCTAGAGTTATTAGAGTGAGCAAATTGATTATAGAAGGACTATCAAAAGAAACTTATGGATATGGCAGTCATGTTTTTGCCTCTGATCACATGGCAGTTAAAAGGTAATTTTTGTTTTTGAGACGGAGTCTCACTCTGTTGCCCAGGCTGGAATGCAGTGGCGTGATCTCAGCTCACTGCAACTTCCGCTTCCTGGGTTCAAGTGATTCTCCAGCCTCAGCCTCCCGAGTAGCTGGGACAACAGGCATGCACCAAGATACCCAGCCAATTTTTGTATCTTTGGTAGAGATGGGGTTTCACTATGTTGGCCAGGCTGGTCTTGAGCTCCTGACCTCAGGTGATCCACCCACTCTGGCCTTCCAAAGTGCTAGTATTACAGGCATGAGCCACCACACCCAGCTGAAAGGTAAATTTAATCTATGTTCCCTGAGTCTAAAAAGTTCTATCCAGAGTTTCAATCTGGGGACACTTGTCTTTGCTGAAGAGCCCCCAAAAGAGAAAAGGCATGGCGCAGCTCAGAACAAAGGGAAAGTAAGAGAAGGGCTCCCATCTTTAATTATAACTGAATAAAAAATCCATGTTCAGATTTGTTACAGTAATATAATATGTATCAATTAATGTGGATTTAACCAAGTCTAAGAAGTTTTAAGATGAAATCTTCACATGATACATACATATAAGTAAGTGAAAGTTAAACTCACTGGTTATGTGCATGAATTGAAAAAATGGCTATCACCTTCTCCACTTTTGCTCATAAACTGGCCATTTTTCTTAGTATAGACTCCATATCCATCTATCCATATTAATAATATTAATTATTAACTTTCTGTAGTCAGCAGCGGAATGATATACTTTGCAAATCAACCCTAAACTGGTGTTCTTTATCCTTCTTATGCATTGACAGTATATTTCCTAACTGACACGTTGCTACTGTTTCTCAACTCTCTTCATCTTCTGAAGTACAACTTTGCCTTCTAGTATTTCAGTGCCAGCCAATTATCACTTCTCACAATCAATGAGCAAAGAGTCTGTGGCACTATACAATATGAACTCTCTTACTAATGAACAGAGAGAAATAGGCTTTACAATTTGCACACTACTCAAAGGAATTTTGTCAGGCAAAAGCAGTTTCATGGCAATTCACTCATATTAAGAAACTGTTGCCAGAGTTTGAAGGATAGAATATACTGAAGAGAAAATAATGCTATTTTTGTTTATTGAATACTTATCCTGTTGGGCTTTATTTTGCTATTGAATTCTATTCTGACTTTTTTTTCTTCATCATTCTTAAGCATGAGAAATTTACAACTCCCCTTCTTTCAGGCCTTCCCCCCCTGAAAAATTCTTAAATCATAATGATTGAATGGTACACAGCTGTGGCTTAAAATGTATACTTTCTGTTAAAAGAGCAAACAAGCTAAATGCATTCTTCATGTCAATATGACAATCTTAAATTCCTGTTGAAAAAGTATTTAGAACGCATGTTCAGTGATGCAAGTAATCACGTGTCTTGGCAAAGAATCTGTGAAGTGACATCCCAGTACTTTGTAAGGATCCTTGAGAAAGAAATACTGATATACAGAAGCAAGAAAAATTCTACTTAAGTTAAATGAACTGTCAAACTTGGGGAAGGGACCACTATGCCAAATTCCAGGTTAAAAAATCTTTTCTAACTATGTTTAATAATGTTAGGACTCAGTTTCTTCATTTTAAATGTAAGAGTTTTAATTAAATGCTCTCCAAGATTCTTCCTAAGTACTGCATTTCAAAATGCAGTGCCTTGTACCTTAGACTGATTTGCATGTCCTCTTCACACCCACTTTGAGTTTTAACACATCTGCTTTTAAAGGATGCTTAAATTGATGGCCAGCTGTGTTTCTCCTAGTATTACCTCATTTCAAGGACTTCTTTTGTACAGTAGTGTGTAATCAGCTTAATAAACATCATTAAAAGCTGTCATAGAACTTGCAAATGGAACTACTAGTTTTAAAGGTATCTGTTCTATCTTTCCATCCCTGAAAATAAATAGCTAAATCATGCCCTTTACCAAATGACATATCTGTGATACCTGTAGGTTTTCCCGGTACTAAGTGTCCTCTTGGACACTTAGTCTTAGTAGACTAAGAATTTATGTCTACTTCTTAGTAGACATAAATCGTAAATATTGAATCGAATGTCACCAAAATTAGACTGATTATGTACTTAGGAACTTTCAAGATAGAACAGAACTGAGTGCTGTATCACAGAATCAGATTAGCCAGTGGACTGAGATTGATCTGGAAAGAGGTGATCCCTTGGTGATTAAGCCAAAGAAAATCAAATCCTAGCCAGAAACCATTAGCAACCGATTAGTGTCAAGTGAGTAGGTGGTTTCATGGTAGCACGAAAGCTTTTTAAGTGCGTAAGTGGCAATTTCCTGTTGTTCTGAGCTCAACGGATTTATTTCAGGAACATTCCTAAAGCTCAGAACCTAGAGAAGTAAAGGTATACGATCTCCTCTCACTTTAGATATTTTTTCCTGTGGAGTAAATAATCAATTTTTGTGTCTTCTCATCCCTGCAGATTTTTAAAAATCCTTTTTTCTCATCAGTAGCCATGGAATGTGAAACATCCCCAAAACATCATATATGACTTATTTTATTTAATGATATTTCAGTATCTTTAATCCTAACTCAGGTATCTTATCTTATAAACTTTATTTGTTTTTGTTTTTGTTGTTGTTTTTGTTTTTTGAGACAAGGTCTTGTTCTGTCCCTAAGGCTGGAGTGCAGTGGCACCATCATAGCTCACTGCAGCCTTGAACTCCCAGGCTCAAGCAGTCCCCCCTTGTGTTCTCAGCCTCCTTAGTAGCTTAGAAATACCATTTGACCCAGCCATCCCATTACTGGGTATATACCCAAAGGATTATAAATCATGCTGCTATAAAGACACATGCACGTGTATGTTTATTGCGGCACTATTCACAATAGCAAAGACTTGGAACCAGCCCAAATGTCCATCCATGATAGACTGGATTAAGAAAATGCGGCACATATACACCATGGAATACTATGCAGCCATAAAAAAGGATGAGTTCACGTTCTTTGCAGGGACATGGATGAAGCTGGAAACCATCATTCTCAGCAAACTATCACAAGGACAGAACAAGAAGACTTTTTTTTTTTTTCAAATGGTGGTAAGAATTAGCATTTAGTGCAGGGGAAAGTAGTTAGAGTCTGTAATTTCAGGCATTTGAAAGTTTACTATGACTGAATTGCTAAATTCATTACACTTGTAATATATTTGTTTCTTTCATGGGCCCACCACAGTGCTAGGCACAAAGGCTACAAAAGTATAAACCTCATGTCTGTACACAAGAAGGCAATGTTAGTGAGACAGGGTTCACCTACAAAGTGAAATAAGTGACGTTCTCTTGAAGTGAGGCCTGTTTTTCCAGAAAGGTGACCAACTTTGCTATAAAGGTGTTGGAAGTAGGAAGCATTCCAACTTCCTACTGAGGAAGGTTATAAAATCTGTAATGCTAGAGATCTTTTCAGGAGCCACCAAATTGACAACTATATATTTGTGAATAGTTTAAAGGTACAGTTTTGCTTACAATAAGGCAACAGGACTAGTTAATTTATAGTTGTGACTTGTGTGGGTTTTTAATGATTTTTATGTTTTTAATGTGATTTTAATGTGATTAATAATATCTTGGCTAAAATGGATACAGTGACAAATAGTATATAAAAATTTGCAGCCGGGCGCAGTGGCTTATGTCCGTAATCCCAGCCCTTTGGGAGGCCAAGGCGGGTGGATCATTTGAAGTCAGGTGTTTGAGACCAGCCTGGCCAACATGGTGAAACCCCATCTCTACTAAAAATACAAAAATTAGCCAGGCGTGGTGGTGGGCGCTTGTAATCCCAGCTACTCGGGAGGCTGAGGCAGGAGAATCGCTTGAACCCAGGAGGCAGAGGTTGCAGTGAGCCGAGATCACGCCACTGCACTCCAGCCTGGGCAACAAGAGCGAAACTCCATCTCAGAAAAAAAAAAAAAAAAAAAGGGCCGGGCGCGGTGGCTCATGCCCCTCATCCCAGCACTTTGGGAGGCGGAGGCGGGCAGATCACGAGGTCCGGAGATGGAGACCATCCTGGCTAACACAGTGAAACCTTGTCTCTACTAAAAATATAAAAATTAGCCAGGCATGGTGGCACGCACCTGTAGTCCCGGCTACTCGGGAGGCTGAGGCAGAGAATCATTTGAACCCGGGAGGCAGAGGTTGCAGTGAGCCGAGATTGCACCATTGCCCTCCAGCCTGGGTGACAGAGCGAGACTCTGTCTCAAAAAAAAAAAAAAAAAGTTGCTAAACTTCAGTGGTAATCAGGGAAGTGCAAAATAAAGGAAGATACCATTTTTCACCCGAATTATTTGGAAAAAAATAATTTAAATTTGATAATAGAAATATTTTGGCAGAGATATAGAAAATGCATATGCTCTACATTGCTGGCAGGAATGTAAATGTGGTGAGCCATTTTTTGGATGACAGTTTGGCCATATTTGAATTTTTAAATTTATTATCCAACAGTTTTATTTCTGAGTATCTGGCCTAGGATACAAAGATGTTCACTGATACATTTCCCATAATAGCAAGCCTTGGTAACACATAAATGTCTATCAATGGGAGAAAACTAAATAACTTATGGTACAACCATTTTATGGAATCCTCTGCAGCCACTGACAAAATTTTAAGTAATTTATATTTCCTAAAATAGAAGGACCTTGAAGACAATCTTGTATGCCAAACAGACCCCAAGCTTTCCAGCTCTGAGTAGGAACTGGCGGGTGATGGTCAAGAGACACGTTAGCCTTATCTGAACTGTTTCAATGTTTTACACATCATATCATATGAAATTAAAAATAATGAATGAAATTAATGAATAAAAATAAAAATGAAATAACTAATGATTAGGGCAGAAACTAGGGAAAGGTTGAGAACTATTATTCTTGTACCTTCCAATCTAATGGAAATATATCATTGATTAAGGACTATTTTATTTAAGAGCTGCACTTGGAAAGAATAAGTTCCTCTGATCCAATATTCATATTCTGTAGCTTACAATAATATTCATTCATTTATTCATGCTTTCTGTCATTAATTCAATGTGTATTTACTTATCCAACACCAACTAAGACCCAGCCACTGTGGATACAAAGGTGACCATAATGTTTGCTATCATCAAGAAGCTTACAGAGACGGAGAGACAGAGACAGAGAGGTTTGCACTCTATTGAGAACAATCCTTAAGATAATTTAAACACTCCTATAGTGGATAGTACAGGATATGATGGGAGTACATGGGCTCAGAAACCTTCCTACTAGCCCCTAAATCCATTCTATACACCTTAAAACTTTGGCTTCCAAGTGACTTGTGTCCAAACGATGTGACATGATCATCCACCCCTGGATTTTAGCCGGCCCTGCTGTAGAAACTCTCTAGGGACAGGCTTTGATTTAGCTGTTTCTGTCTTTGGAGAGAGGTTTCCTCTTTACCTCCTGACCCCAACAATTAGATATAAGGCCAGTCTTCCTCAGAAAGTTTTCAAGGACAAAGAAACCTGGACTTAGCTTTGTTATGTCTTGTTTTCTTATTTTTCTTTTTTTTGATGTTCAAAACTTTATTGGGGAAAAACCAAGGTATCTGTGTGCTTAATGCACTGTTTGCTAATGGTGCACTGTAAAACACTGGTTTTCTCACAATATCAATAGGTAGACTACAGAGATTTTCAGACCCTTTAATTAGTAGTTGCATGATGAATCTCCAAAAGACATCAAAGCTTGTTTTACCTCACATCCCTTAGGTCTGTGGGTGATGCAGCTATTATCAGGCAAATTCAGAAAGCACAGTTTTGGAAATTCTTTTCAAATGTCAGTATGAAAATGTCAGCAATCACCTTCCATTTAAATCAAGTTTTCCTTAGTTACCTTAGGTAAACTACTGTTAATATCACTCATGCCCCATGACCAATATGTTTTTATTATTATTTTATTCCTTGCAATGTGAAGTATCAAAACCGGGAAACTAGAGAAAAGGGATAATTTTGCTTGTTACTCATAATGCTACCTTGTTTATCTGTGTGCATATGTTCACATATGACCATATGTCATATGACCATAGCCACCACATGTGGTTTCATATATGTCAAGAATTTAATATTGTTTCATATGATTTTTCAAAGTTGCTCTGTCATTTTTATCATCATCATTTTAATTGAAGCACTATTTTCTTGTCAGTAATTTATGAATCATTTCCTTACTTGAAAATGTTAGTTTCCTTCCAATCATTTCCTATGGTAAAAACTGCAAAGAACACTTTAACCTTCATTATATTTTCATTATCATCAGACAGATCCCTCAAAGACTCATCCTCCTTTGAAACTGACTATTGGAAAGCTCTTTCATGCACCTTACTGAAGATTACTCTTTAAACTACCCAGCCACCCCTGTGGTTTTAACAAATGGTTCCTTGACAAACACTGTTGCTTATTTCCCATCAACTGCCTCTAAAGGGGCCATAACAGCTCCCTATTGAACCAGTGAGACTGCTTTTGGGCGAACAAAATGAAACGTTGATGGTACCCTTTCCGGGTGCACTTACAGAGGATTTTCATGAGGGGGCCATTATTTTAGTTACAAATTTAGTTGATGGTATAGTCACCAATGTTTTCAGTAGTTTGGTAGAAATATGTTTGTAAATACAATATATATTTTATTGTATCATCTAATAGGAAGCCAACTTTTGATACTGATTAACCAGCTAAAACTCCACCTTCCTTTTTTTTTCAAACCAGACTTTGCTCAACACATAATTTCGTATATCTTCTCCACCAGCAGAAAAAAAATAACTTATACATCTCTTTGTTATTGAACTGACTTATTCAGAAATCAAACTCTGTCAAGTTTTGTCATTCAGACCAATGATTTGTCATGCTGGACCCCTGCTGACTTCAATAGGAATGGCGCCATGTTTGAGAGGCCAAAGAAGAGACCCAGAGCCAGTGAACGAGATATAGGGTTTAATGAGGGGATTTATGTAGGGTGGTCCAGTGGCGATGGGCTGGATAGAACAGCTACCGTTTGTGAAAAGCTTGCAGTAGTTTTTTGTTTTTGTTTTTGTTTTGAGACTGTGTCTTACTCTGTCACCCAGGCTGGAGTGCAGTGGTGCAATCACAGCTCATTGCAACCTCCGCCTCCCCGGGCTCAAGCAATCCTCCCACCTCAGCCTCCTGAGTAGCTGGGACTACAGGCACATGCCACCATACCCAGGTAATTTTTTGTATTTTTGGTAGACAATGGGTTTCACCATGTTGCCCAGGCTGGTCTCGAACTCCTGGGCTCAAGCAGTCTGCCCGCCTCAGCCTCCCAAAGTGCTGGGATTACAGGCATGAGCCACTGCACCCAGCCAAAAGCATACAGTTTACATAGCAATTTCATTTACCACCTTCCAACTAGCTACCTCCACTTGGCAACCTTCACTCAATCCAAAACAAGAGGCCTCAATCCCCTGTATGGCCTCGATTCCATGGGATGGGCTGGAGGTTCAGATGTTCCTCTCTGGAAAAGAATGAATCTCTGGGTTGGCCATTCCTGGATTCCTTAGCTTGGAACTCTGAACACACATTCTTCTTAGCCCATAAGGTCATTCTCAGGGTATACTTCAGTTAAGTTTCTGCTGCCAGGTGCATCTGCCATATATGATTTTCTTAACAAGTATTTATTGAGCACCTATTATTTGCCAGGCAGTATTCTAGCCCTAGGAATACAGTCATGAATAAGACAGACAAAAATATTTTCTGGGCTAAGGCGGGTGGAACACAAGGTCAAGAATTTGAGACCAGCCTGACCAACATGGTGAAACCCCATCTCTACTAAAAATACAAAAATTAACCAGGCATGGTTGCACATGCCTGTGAGATCAGCTATTTGGGAGGCTGAGGCAGGAGAATCGCTTGAATCCAGGAGGTGGACATTGCAGTGAGCCGAGATCGCGCCACTGCTCTCCAGCCTGGGTGACAGAGCGAGACTCCCGTCTCAAAAAATAATAATAATTTCTTAATGGAGTTTACATTCTAGTGGGAGGAGAAAGGCAATAAATAGAATGTGAGAAGGTGATCAATGCTGTAGAGAAAAGAACAAATCAAAGAAAACCAAAAGGAATGCCATGAGTGGAAGGAGGTTGCCAAGTTAAATAGGGCCATCGTGGAGGGCCTTACTGAGAAGGTGATAAATGAGGAAAACCCTGAAGTAGGAGAGACATTAGGGCACACTTGAATTTAAGGGAAGAACCTGCCTGGTGAGAACAACAGCAAGGACCAAGAATTCAATATTATTGGGAATTATGTCTACTAGGAAGACACTGAAATTAGGAATTAGGAAACGTAGGCATTAGGGTGAGCTCCTGGTATATCCACCTGTGTGGGCATTAGCAAGTCACTTAGCATCTCTAGCATTCAGGTATAAAATACAAGGATAGGCCTGGGAAATGGAATCATTTCAGAGTTTCTTGCCCACTCAACTATTTATTTAATAAAAATGGAGTCATTAAGAGGCCGTTAGATGGATGTGGAGGAAAGGGAACCCTTGGTGGGAAGGTAAATTAGTAGAGCCATTATGGAAAGCAATATGGAAGGTCCTCAAAAAATTAAAAATAGAACTACCAGCACTCCCACTACTGGGTATATATTCAAAGGAAATGAAATCAGTATATCAAAGTGATATCTGCATTTTCATGATTATTGCAGCACTATTCATAATAGCCAAGATCTGGAATCAGTCTAAGCATCCATCAGTGGTTGAATGAATAAAGAGAATATGGTATATATACATAGGGAATACCATTCAGCCTTAAGAAGAAGAAAATCTTGTCATTTGCAACATGGATGAACCCACAGGACATTATGCTAAGTGAAATAAGCCAGGCATAGAAAGACAAATACTACATGATCTCACTTACATGTGTAATCTAAAAAAGTCAAACTCTTAGAAGCAGAGAGTAAAAGAGTGGTTACTATGGAGAAGGTGAGGTTTAGAGAAATGATGATCAAATAATATAAAATTTTTGTTGAATGGGAGGAATGACTTCAAGAGCCCTAGTGTCCAACATGGGGACTATTGTTAATGTATTGCATACTTGAAAAAAAATTTAAGTAAAAATGCTACTTGCTTGGAAAAAAACAAAGGGTTAGATGGCATTTAGCACATTTAATTCACAAAGCAGGGAAATAATGTGATGCATTTGAGAAAACTTCCCATCACAAATGCTTACAATAAAAGGGTTCAGTGCTTAAATGTTAAACTTCAGTAGTCTGGAAAATGTAATTACACTGATGCCTCATCTCCTGAAACTGATCAGTGAGGCGTGACTGGATGTGATAAAGGTAAAAAAGATGTAAGGATAACAGATTTCATTTTTTCTTTTAAGTTTTATTTTCTTTTGTATTGACATATTTATATATATTTATGGAATAAGGTATGGTGTTTCAACACATGTATACATTGTATAATCAAGTCAGGGTGAGTAGCACTGTTCATATTAAGCAAGTTTCTGTTTAGTTTGATCATTTCAACATTTGGCGTGATGTGCCCTGTGCCTGCTTTTTTAAAACTGAGATCAGGTAATAACGTATTTGCTGCCACCTGAATGCACAAGCAAGTCAGGAGGCTGATGCCCCCTCAGAGCAGAGCAAGGTAATGCTGCTTTCCACATGTCACTTTTATGGTCTATTATGTGTTTTTGTATTTTTTTATATAAATATGCTTTGCATAGAGTTACAAATAAAAGTAATGAATAGCTATGTAAATACAGAGAGACAGTTCCCTATATATTTACATATTTTGGGTAACCTATGTTAAAATCCCCAAGGCCTCAGATTGTCTTTGCAATAACAGCCCCTCATCTAGGAAAGGAAGAGCTAAGTTTTAGAATCTTCTTGACAATCTTGGGTTTGTTTCTAGATTTTTCTACTTGGTAGCACTTTACAGCCATTTCTAGCAAAGAAGCACACTTTATCTTTCTCCAGATTGAAATGTTTTTTCTTTTCTGTTGAGGTAGGTGACACCACAACTGATTGGTTATCAAGGGCCATTTGAGGAAGACATGCTACTTAAGCAAAACCATCTTGAAGGCACCACAAAGAATGGTTTTAAGGAGCAGCTTAAGTGGAGTAAATCAAATTCAAGGTCACTCATTACTCAAGCTCTCCCTAACACTGCTGAGCTGGAAAGCAAATTATCTGAGTCACCATAATCTGAGGTGTTTTTTATGTTACATTTTGCTATCTCTCTGTTTTTGCAACAACAAAGTTCTAAGTTGATCTCAAATAAATTACAGTTTTATATAACAAGGGAATCTGTGTTAACATAAATGATGGAAATCACTTCTTCCTACAGAGAAGAGAAGGAGTATGAGGGAACTAACATTTTTTGCATCCTGACCATGCCCCAGACTCTGGGCTCACTAGGTAAGTGTGCCGTCTCATTTAATTTCACTAGAGCATATCATTATTCTTTTTTTTTTTTTTTTTTTTTTTTTTTTTTTTTGAGACGGAGTCTTGCTCTGTCACCTAGGCTGGAGTGCAGTGGCAATCTTGGATCACTGCAACCTCCTCCTCCCGGATTCAAACAATCCTCCTGCCTCAGCCTCTCGAGTAGCTGGGATTACAAGCATGCACCACCATGCCCAGCTAATTTTTGTATTTTTAGTAGAGGTGGGGTTTTGCCATTTTGGCCAGGCTAGTCTCGAACTCCTGGCCTCCAGTGATCCTCCCACCTCAGCCTCCCAAAGTGCTGGGATTATAGGCATGAGCCACCACACCAGACCACATTATTTCTATTTTTAAATGGGGAAGCGAGCCTCAGAGACATCACACAAATCAAATGTTAGGATATACCAAAAACCTCCAAAATTTCTGTGCTTTTTCCTAAAAAGCATGCTGACTATCTAGTACCCTATCCTACTGCTATTGTTAATATTCACCTGACATAAAACTCAAGAACAGCACTGTGGCTGCAGTAGAGTCAGGGTAATCCAGGATGTAAGGAGCCTGTCTCTTCTCCCCAGGTGCTCTCTACTTCTGCATAGTGAGGTTATTCAGGCCGAGCCTCCCTTGGGGCTGAGCCACCACCTGTACAATTCCTATCTTAATAACAGCAGCTTAGTGCCTAAACCTTGGAAAGGAACAATCCTGTCAGGCTAAATCAGAAAGTCGCATGCCAATTTATAATTAATTTTGTGAGATATTCCAGGACAAAGACTGTGAAAAGGTTTTTGCATGTCTTTTATGATAACTAGTTTCACTGAATAGACTATTTCATAGCCCAGAAAGTCCCTGTGTGTCCAAAGAATCAGAAATAGAAAATGTGGCACCACTAAAGGATAGTTTCTACTTCACAGATTATGATGTGATCTCCTGATGATTTTTCCAATCTGGAGAACCAGAAATGATTGCTTATACTCAGAGCTCCATCTCATAGATAGTGCTATAGAAAGAAAATTCCTATTCTCTCGACTCTTCTTTTTTTTCACCCTTTGGTAACATCCAACCCCTAAGTACCTGTGTCCTGTGTACCTGTTTGGTCTGTGAATTTTGAGTTTTAAGTATTCCACCCTGAAAAGTGCAAAACCCCTTCTAAACTGGAGCAGAAGAATTTGGCTTCATTATACTTTTAAAGTAGGCTTTGTAAAACCCTTTCTTGCTTCCCGCTCAGAATGGCATTTTAGAATATGGATATCTCACACTGAAAAACCTAGACATCTGTATGACCCTTTTAGTGAAAAATCCACCCACTGACCCCTGGCATGGTTTCAACAGTTCAGAAGCCTTTTTCTAGCACTTCTTAAACTAAATTCAACTTAACCTAACTAGTGACTTTGCATGTTTGTGTGTGTAGATGACAGAGGTCAAGAGGAACCAACTTAAGAACCGTGGTCACCTTTTATAAATGAAAGCATTATTGCTGCCGCAAGAACCTGACAACATTTTGTGATGTGATGCTGTTAATACTATAAGCCTGAAAAGAGTGGGGACTGTCTTGACACTTAGATTCACTTCCTGGGAAGAGAAAACAGATTCTGATTTAATTATCTTATGGCTGTCTATATTTGGCTATTTTAGAGATGAGACTACTTTTATCATAACAAGAGATTGTTTCAAATCAAAGTAACTGTTTTTTAAAAATACCTTCAATATATTCACTTGGCTTTTAAAAATGTCAGTTTGAAGAATCCCTTAGCAGTCATGTAAAACAATTTTATATATGTGTATATATGATATTTATAAATTGTATATATATGGCTTGAATTATTTTCAAAACTTAGTAATTATCAGCAGAAAATAGAACTCAGATGGAAAACAGTAACCTTAGAAGGCAGAGATCTAAACTCTGGAAACTTACAATATGTTTGTTCTGTTAAAAATGACAATGTTATTGTCCAAAAATAAAATGAAAAGGGCCTTTAGAGTCAGAAAACCAGGACTTGGATCAATTGCATGACCGTGGGCCAATCACTTTACCACCCTGAAGAACTGTTGCCTCATTGGAAAAATGGTTATACAGGTTGAGTGTCCCTTATCTGAGATGCTTGGGTCTATAAGTGCTTCAGATTTCAGATTTTTTTGGGTTTTGGAATATTTGCATTCCACTTACCAGATCAGCATCCCAAATCTGAAAATCCAAAATCTGAAAATTTTTGAGTACTGATGTGACACTCAAAAAAAAAATGCTCATTGGAGTATTTTGGATTTCAGATTTTTGGATTTGGGATACTCAACCTGTAATAGCAGTACTCACCTCTTTGAGTTCTTGTATGTTTCAAATGAGCCGTGGGTATGAAATACTCAGTGTAGAGTGCACACACATGACCTTGGACAGGGTCACTCCACCTATGCACACTCAAGGCCTCACACACTCTTTTTTATTTCCTCTACTTGTCTTTCCGCTGCTAAATCCCTAGAACCTAAAATAGTGCTTGCCACTTTATAAGTGCACAAGAAGTACTTATGGGAGGCAGGAGGACAGAGGGCAGGTAGGTGGGTTCTTGTTTTGTCTGATTTCCCCAGTGTCCGAGTCTCCTGCTCTCTGCCTGGTCCCTTCATATTGATGACTTGGTAGCACTGCCTGCCTAAGAACTTGGTTTCTGTTTCACTCCTGGATTACTGTTTCATGAGTCAACCATCTGGCTCTCGAACACCACAGCTCCCCAGCAAGCCCATCACCTTCCCAGGTAAAGTCCATGCTCCTTAGAAGTCACTCCCACCTCTAAGTCTGGCCAGTGTGCCCTTTGATTAGGCACAGCTATACTATGTAAAGGCAAAGGGTGTCATTATCATCATAGTCAGAAAAAGTGAGGGTTGCAGAAGGTGGTAGTCATTAGTAGTCTTTACCCAATATTTCTCCCCCCTTTCTGGGTACATAAAAGAATTGCACTCCCCTGACCCCTTCTAGACAGATGTGGCCACGTGAGTTGCTTTAATGCCAGCTTGTGAGCACGAACAGACATGTCACTCCGAGCATAAGTGTTAAGAGGGGAATTTGCCACGTCCCCTTTGCCTGTCTTGTTGAACTCGGAAGCCAGTTTCCGTGAAAAAGCATTAGTATCACCATTGTGGGGGTAGCACTCCCTTGATCCAGATCAGGAACATGGGGTTCTTCCCAGCTGTGGTGCTCCCTTCCTGTTTAGGCCTCACCGGGAAAGTGGGGATCCTACGAGGATGGGAGATCAGGGTTCCATTCTCAGAAGCTCCAGACTGAAGTGCAACATGACCTCCAAGTCCTGATACTGAGAATCTTTCTGATGCTAATACTTTGTCTTTGACAAGTCATTCATGTATGATTTAAGAAAAGAGCTGAACAATTAATAAGAGGGATGATATTTGTATATACTATCTCAGAGATTACCAAAGAGAGGAGTTTTAATTTGACTTCCAAAGTTTGAGTTGGAATTTTACACTTCTAAATTAGATTTAATAATTTTTCAAAGCTTTTGAAATAATAGGAAATTTACCAAGACCAGAAACCTCAAGTCAATTACATCGAGATAAATGCCAATGAGAGAGGGGAAGAAAAATACATAAACTTTACAAAAAACAGACACTTTCACACAGAGATACACACACAGACATGTGATCCATATATAAACCTTTTCTACTAAGCAGAATAGAAACCAAAATTTTTTTTATTACATTAATAAATAAAAAGAAAAGAGAAACCAGATTCAATGCTAGGCCATTCCAGTTTTGCTCCAGCCTGTGTCTCCTAAACAGCTTCAGGTGACTTCAGTGGTCTTCCATCTCCTATTTGAAAAGCGTGTTGTTGAACTAGATGACACCTACAGCCATGGAATTCAGAAGCCTATTGTCACTTTAAGGTGAGTGGGAACACATTTTGTTCTAGCAAGAAGACCAATTTAAATTAAACTGGAACATTTTGAAAAAAAATAAGCTTATTGATTCACTTGTGCCTGACTCCTTCAAAACATCTTTTGAGTCAGGTTATGACAAGAGACATAAAAATAAAGTTAATAATAACATTGAATGCAAAAATTAGGTTCCAAGAAAGTACAAGAATGCGAATACACTTGCTGAAAGGGAAAACACAGCTGTGATTACATGGCAAATATGGCTGTAGGTTTCTTGAAAGTCAAAGTCAATGCAATAAAGTTTACCCATGACAGTTGTATAGCTTTTAGGAAAGCCCAAAGTTTTCCTAGTGTTAAAAGCCTTTTAAAAAGACTGTCCATATGGTACATTTTTAAAAAGAAAAGAAAGGAGAAAAAGAAAGAAAACCTAAAGAAAAAAAATAAGCAATGTCTCTGAATAGGCAATTCACAGCAAGAGAAACCTAAATGGGTAGTAAATATTAAAAGATGCCCAAACTCTTTCAAAATTAGGAAAATACTAATTAAATCATTGATAAAGTGTCAGTCTATAATCATCAGATTGACAAAAACTAAAAAGTTGCATAACATCAAATGCTGGCGAAGATATATAGAAATGGAATCCCTGATACCTTGCTGGTGAGAATATAATCTAACAGAGCTATTTGGGAAAATAATCTCACTGAGTTTGCTGACATTTAGTGTGGATACACCCAACAATCCACCAATTCTACTGCTAAGGAAAATACTAATTAAATCATTGATAAAGTGTCAGTCTATAATCATCAGATTGACAAAAACTAAAAAGTTGCATAACATCAAATGCTGGTGAAGATATATAGAAATGGAATCCCTGATACCTTGATGGTGAGAATATAATCTAACAGAGCTATTTGGGAAAATAATCTCACTGAGTTTGCTGACATTTAGTGTGGATACACCCAACAATCCACCAATTCTACTGCTAAATATACCCTCCACAAATCACTCAGGTGCTCAAGAATAAGGTGTGTTCATGTTCATGGCAGAGCTATTACTGTTAGTAGACTTACCAATGTATGAATAGCATGGCATATGATGGAATGTAAAAAGCAATCACTTAGACTTATATGTAGCATCGTGAGTAGATCTTTAAAAACAGGGTTGAATAAGAAAAGTTAGAAGATACTTATGCCACAGTATCATCTATGTAAATTAAGCACAGTGAATGCAAAAATTTTTCACATCTTCTCTGTGTGTGTGTGGTGTGTGTGTGTGTGTAAAAGGTAGAATGGATGAACATATATATTATAAATATTATATATTTCATATATATATAATAAAAGCTGACTATGGTTGGAGGGGGCTGTGAGATTAGAGACAGAAGATAATAGAGAACAAAGTAAAACCAAAGTAAATGAAACAAAATAGAAGCATTCTGTGGATTGACGATAATAAAATATCATGCAGTTCACAATCATCTTAAATTTTCTTATCTAAAGTCTATGTTTAAAAAAGTTTTCTGAACATTTAAAAGTTGAGGAAAAAACAAAATTAAGAACATGTGAACAATACTATAAAAACACCAACTCTGTTTGAGAGCCTTCATGAAAGCTCAGCTTGAGTCTCATACAATGTGAACTTACTGTAGTTTTAAAGGATTAGTCTTTCTCACTAGGGGACAGAAAATGTGATAATACCTCCTTACAGTTACTGCAGTTGAGGACAGAACTCATTCATTTGAGTTCTGTGTTAGTCTGTTCTTGTGTTGCTATAAAGAAATACCTGAGAGGCTGGGCACAGTGGCTCACGCCTGTAATCCCAGCACTTTGGGAGGCTGAGACAGGCAGATCACCTTAGGTCAGGAGTTTGAGACCAGCCTGACCAACACGGGGAATCCCTATCTCTACTAAAAATACAAAAATTAGCCTGGCATGGTGGCCCATACCTGCAATCCCAGCTACTTGGGAGGCTGAAGACAGGAGAATTGCTTGAATCCAGGAGGCGGAGGTTGTAGTGAGCCAAGATCGCGCCATTGCACTCCAGCCTGGGCGACAGAGCAAGTCTCGGTCTAAAAAAAGAAAAAAAGAAAGAAAAAGAAAAGAAAAGAAATACCTGAGACCAGGCAATTTTACAAAGAAGAGGAGTTTAATTCTCTTGAGGTTCTGGAGGCTGTACAAGCATGGCACCAGCATCTGCTTGGCTTCTGGGGAGACCTCAGGG
The DNA here is from genome assembly GCF_000001405.40 of Homo sapiens. Classification (NCBI taxonomy): domain Eukaryota; kingdom Metazoa; phylum Chordata; class Mammalia; order Primates; family Hominidae; genus Homo; species Homo sapiens. The sequence goes on along the minus strand of NC_000018.10, from coordinate 4,021,466 downwards.
AGCCTTTACTCATGGCAGAAGGTGAAGCAAGAGTAGGCATGTCACATGGCAAAAGCAGGAGCAAGAGAGAAAGAGAGACAGTGGGAGGTACCACACACTTTTAAGCAACCAGATCTCACAAGAAATCACTCACTGTGTTGAGCACAGCCCCAGGCTATGAAGGACTTGCCCTGATGACCCAAGTACCTCCCACCAGGTGTAACTGCTCCATGGATTCTCCTTGCCTGCTGCCTAGACAGAGCCGATTTATCAAGACAGGGGAATTGCAATAAAGAAAGAGTAATTCACGCAGAGCCGCCTGTACAGGAGACTAGAGTTTTATTATTACTCAAATCAGTCTCCCCCAAAACTTGGGGATCGGAGTTTTTAAGGATAATTTGGCAAGTAGGGGCTCAGGAAGTGGGGAGTGCTGATTGCTTGGGTTGGAGATGAAATCGTAAGGCGCCGAAGTGAGTTTTTCTTGCGGTCTACTATTCATGGGTGGGATTGCCGAGCTGGTTGAACCAGTTTACCAGTCTGGGTGGTGTCAGCTGGTCCATCAGAACAGAACACAGGTTGTGCAAAATAACTCAAGCACTGATCTTAGGGTTTACAACAGTAATGTTATTCCCAGGAGCAATCTGGGGAGGTTCAGACTCTTGCAACCAGAGGCCGTATGGCTCCTAACTGTAATTTCTAATCTTGTAACTAGTTTCTTAGTCCTACAAAGGCCGACTGGTCCCCCGTTAAGAAGGGGATTTATTATCATCTTTGTTTCAAAGTTAAACTATGAACTAAATTCCTTCCCAAGCTTAGTTTGGCCTACACCCAGGAATAAACAAGGACAGCTGAGAGGTTAGAAGCAAGATGGAGTTGGTTAGGTCAGGTCTCTTTCACTGTCATAATTTCCTCAGTTATAATTTTTGCTAAGGCAGTTTCACAGGCTCCACCTCCAACACCAAGGATTATGTTTCAACATGAGATTTAGTGGGGACATATATCCAAACTACATCAAGTCCTAATTTATATGAGGTCCTCCTCCCCAGCCCAGGACCTGGCACATAACGGTTACTCAAGAAGTCTGTAGAATGAATGAATTAACATTTTAAAAGCATAGAATTATTATTCATGTAGCTAAACCTTGGGACGATAAACCAAAAATAAAATTCAAAGGCCCCTCACAACCATCTGAATGTACTTCCTCCTCAGCCAGGCGCTCTAAAATTTAACCTGAAAGACTGGTTCAGGCCATGACAGGAAGTCGGGGGTTGGACATGCCTCACAATACCCCTCCAGCATTAACATCAACACAGACCTTAAGTCTGGTGAGAAACATTTACAGTCTATTCTCTCTGAAGCCTGCTACTTGGAGGCTTCATCTGCACGATAAAACCTAGGTCTCCACAACCCCTACCATAACCCAGACATTCCTTTGTATAGATAAAAACTCAACCAGTTGCCAATCAGAATATGTTTAAATCTACATAAAACGTGAGTTGTCCCACCCTTCCAGATCAAACCAATGTAAATCTTACATGTATTGATGGATGTACTATGTCTCCCTGAAATATATAAAATTATATGCCCTTTATAGGTCATAGAATTTGCTCTTGGTGAAATTTCAGGTTTTGGGAGGGAAGGGGGTGTGTGCGTGTGTATGTGTGTGTGTGTGCGCGCACACGCGCGCGCCTATGTGTCTCGTTTCCTAGATTCCTTGGACAGGCATAGCCAGGTACCCTGGTTAAAGATTGATCCTGCAACACAGAAGAAGTATCTACTTAATAATCTAGTTAAATGATATATTCTAATAATTAGAATAAAATATTTAAATCATTAGAACAAAAAAATTCCCCCAAACAACCTGACTATCTTAAGCTACAGAAACAAATCTGTGAAGTGCCAATAAGTTATATTTGCCTTATATGGACAGAATATTCTTCCCCAAAGACATTGAAGAGTTATAAAGGCAAGTCTGGAAAATACACATTTGCATAATGAAAACGAAAAGGACTTTTCATTTTAAGAAGACTCTTTTGCATAAAAAATTATATCTTGTAAGTATATGAAAATGTGTATTTATAAGCTTTTAATCAGATAAATCTTAAGCGACGGAAGTGTTTATAGGTTAAGTGTCAGAATCTATTTTGGTATGAAGACCACTGAGAAAAGAAGATAAAGCATCTTTGAAATTAACCATATAAGCCCCTGGATAAAATAGATTCTAATTTATATAACTTTATAAAGTAAGGGGCATCTTCTAATGCATAATGTCGGGAAAATGTCTTTGTGATTAGACGGCTGGCTGCAAGATGAGCATGCCCAGACACTCAGAGGAAGAGGAATTGGATCATTAGATGGAGCAGAATAGACTGTGCTCAGAAATGACCTTCGCAAGAATTTTAGATGTTGATTACTGTAGTTGAAAGAGCTCCAAGCAGGAAGAGTCATTAATTTTGAAAAAATTCAGTCAATGATGTTTTTCACTTCTTTCAGCTGCTTCACACAGACTAATTATTTCCTTTTTAAAGCCTTGAGTTTTTCTGTCAAATTCTTATGTATAGAATGATAGCCCTTTCCAAGTGAGTGGGGAACCCTCACTTATTGAACCTTGACCCCCCAAATCGGAGTACCTTTTCCATCTTTCCCCTCTACTTTTGCTGTAAAGCTTAAATTCAGAATTCGAATAATTAAATCTAATGACGAAGTCATAATACAGATATCTAGGCTGAAAGTTCTTCTGCTCTGAGTGGTTTATTATTATAATTCTGTATTTGTCTTCAGCCTTATTTAAATCCCTTCTGATGGAGTTTACATCCACTACTGATCATTCTTCCATCCTAATAACCACTCATTTATTCATTCGACAAATATTTGTTAAATGTCCTTTATATGCAGGTTACATGGGAAGTACTCATTCCTAAATATTTTGTTATTTAAACTTGCCGGTTTTAGCGGATGCTGTAGTTGGCGACCCAGATACTCCTTCAGAGCCAAGGTACTCGTTCTGCCAGCTGCTGGAATTGGTGGCACCTGACAGCTCTCAGCTGTATCCCTTCTGGAAAATTGCCTTTGGCCAAAGGGAGCTGCCTCACACGAGGTCATGCTTCCTCCCTGGGCAGCCCACATCCAATGTCTGGCCACTGCGGGGGATACAAAGACTCATCCCCACTGCTTCAGTTTGGGCCAGTTCTGAAGGGCATCCCAGCTCGGGACTCCAGCGTGCCCCTCCCACCCGATCCTTCTTCCTTCACTGCTGTCATAGTGGTTTTGCCCAGAGCACATCCCAGTGGAACTCCCCACAGATCTCCATCTCACAATCAGACCTCCATGGAAGCAAACCTAAGTCAGAGTAAACCACAGCATCACTTGTCATAGCCAATCTTCACAGTCCCTGCTATTTCTATTAATATAATCGTTGTTAGTATCCAGAGAAACAATGGATATTTTGGTTACCAACCTAACTTAAGGCATGTGAGTGATTTTCTGCGTCCAGATTATACTTAAAGAGAGTGATAAGATTAATGCTGTCTGCTAGTATCTTTTGAAAAGCAAACTGAATCATTAACTGGTCCAACCGAATGTTGCCAATTGATGCCTTCTCCATTGACCAACTTTCTGGAAAAAAAAAAAAAGTATAGCACATTAGGCTTTAGGTAGACTTACTGGTAGATTGTTTCACTAATCGGCAAAGCAAACATTGATAACTGGCAAACCATTCACCTGAGAGTCTTTGTTTGTATTATGCAAATGAACTACTTCCTCTTGTCTCCGCTGTATTCTGCTTACTTATAGTGAAGTTTAAGGCTGAGCCAGGAGAGGGCGAGAGCTCCACCCTGGAGGGCCCTTGCAAGATAAACAGCAGTTTCAGCAGGGGCACTCTTTGCTTTATTTGTAACCTATTGCTACATTGGGTTTCCAGAAATTGTTTACTGATGTTTATTTGTTTGGGAGCATTTTTTGGGTATGTGCTTGAGGAAAATGAGTAAAAATCCAATACCTTTTTCTGTGGTAGAAGATTAAAGACTTTCTTTAACTTTTTTGTTAGAAATAATTATTTTATTTATGCTGAACTCCAGGGAAAACAGGATATGAAGTCCCAAACCATTTCTGCTTTCTTTCTGAGTATTCAGTTTATCAAATATTTATTGAGCATCAAATCTGTATGAGGATTTTACACCCTTGGTGTACACGAGTGAACAAAACAGACACAAGCCCTGCCCTGAGTTCTACTTTCTTTGCTCTACTACCCTGAGGGAGAGAGAAGGAGGAGTGAGGGAAGGATGCAGAGATGATGTGCAACATATTTCCAGGTTTTCTGCACAGGCCTGCTTTTAATTATTCTGTCCTGTTCTAAGAACACATAACTCACTTATTTCCTTAGATTATATGGTCACTTTTATTTTGACTACCCAAACGTGATCTTTGGTGTAAATAAGACTGAAAATTCTCACCTCTTATTCATCTGAAAATATTGCTGGGGAGATGAGGGGCTGAAAGGTGAAGGGAGGGAACTAGTATTTATTGAGCCTTTAGTATACTCCACGTGCTTTACATGACATGCATTTAATCTGCACAGTCAATCTGCAAGCTGGATATGACTTTTATCCCTACTTTATGTATGAGAAAACTGAGACTGAGAGGTTGACTAAATCACTTTGCAGAGATCACACAGGAAGTAAGGCACTGACCCTGAACTGAGCTCAGGAGCCCTGCCTTCTCCCTTGCAGTGCTGACTCCGCTGGAGCCTCGCAGGTAGAAGTATCACACTTCTGGTCTACCAAACTTGTCAGCATACCTAGAGCTTGAGAAAGATTTTTTTTAATTCAAGGAACACTTACGCAGGTCTTGAAACCAGTGTGCTTCAAAATGAACTTGAGCAATAGAGCCTCCTGGGCCTAAGAAATTCAGAAGAAAAGTATTCCAAAGATTTGTGTAATGGTTAAGCCTTCCTTCATGATGATAGCCACAAACTTCCCCAAGGGTAATCTGTTGTGGCTCAGATTCTTCTCTAGAAGCTTCTCCCAAAGAATGTACACAAGGTTTTCTGTGTATCCTACCCATCCAGCCACTTCTCTCCCATATATCTTTGAACTGGGAACAATTCCACACTTAAATAGGGAAGTGTGATGAGAAAAGACTGATGATAACAGGTGAGGCCGCTCACCAGCGGCTGCCTTGGTGGTCTGGGAAACTTGTTTTGGAGAAGTTATTTGAACTAGTAATTTATTTATATTAAAAATGAACAACTCTGAAGACCACTGTAGATTTATATTGCTTTTATATTTTAAAATTTTGTGTTCTTTCTCCTATATAAAATTGAAGGCTAAATATCTGTCTCTAGGGAAAAGAAGTTATTCAGTCATACTGGAAAGGAATATGAAAGGGAAGGCTTGAACTGTAGTTAGATACTTAAATCTGCTGATAGCATGTGTTCATTACTCTTCAGTCTTAAAGTTGGAAAATTAATGAATTTTCTGAAGCCAAAGGAAGGAGAACTTTTGTTTTTCATGGGAGAATTAAAATATCAACATCTATACAATATTATTTGTTTACCTTTATATATCTTGATTTGTTCCACAAAGAATTTGGAGTGGCTTGTAAGAATTGTTAGCTCAACAGTGGGATAGATTGATGGATAGAGATATAAATAAAAATTAGTATCATTGTATGATTTTTGTTATAGTGTGCTATGCAATTGTTGACATTAAGCTGATATTCCTAAAAGCCGAAGCAAAGAGGAATACTGTATATTATGTCACTCATATTTTGTCCTGAAAGAATAAAATTCTTCAGTGAAGCAAAGATTTTCCTGACACTTAGGTCTGACAAGGACATTTTTTCTGATATGTCGTAGCCAGTGTTTTTCAATGACATTCTGACAAAAAAAGTGAAGGCAGGTGTCATGGGAAACTTTTTTAAATTTTCCCTAAAAGCAAACAGGATATAATGACCAAGTCCAACTCAATGGAAGCAATGTTCTGGATACATTAGAAAGTGTGTGGTCAACACACACAGCTTGCTAGTAGACTACCTTAATTTCCAGAGTAAGGATACCAAAATCATAGCCCGTGGCCCAGCAGCTTCCTCACCCCAACTTAGGGTGTGTGGATCCATCATAGAACTCTTTTCTGCTTGGACAAAACTAGGCTCAGATCCATTTCAAAACAGTGCTCTTGGTCTTCACTACCAATTGATTAGAGATGGCAAAAACTGAAGCCTATTTTTCATCATGGACAGAACCCTCTAGGGCGTCAATATGCACTTCAAGAGAGAGCACAGGCCTCTGAAGTTATACACACCATTATCTCTGTAAGTCTCTCTAAGTGTTTTTCCAGCGTGGGACTTCAGAGCTTTCAATCCACAGAAGAGTCACCGTCAGGAATGCATTGACCACACATCCTTTAAACACTTTCTCTTTAATATTTCTGTCAAGAGCTTTCACTAAAAGGTGAGCAGCAAACAGTTCAAAGGCATGTTCTCGCAAGAGTCTGGGCCCAGTGTTCTGTGCTGTTAATAAAAGGCAGGGCCATATGAACTAAAAGATGAAAGCACACCATCCACCGACACACTCTTTAGAACTTAGAGCCTCTCCCAGGCTGGCACCTGGCATCCACCTGCACCTGGTGAGGTTGGGGTAGAACCTCTGCAGGACCAATCAAAAATACTTCCGCAGTGTCTACTGGGTGCCAGAAAATGAGGATATGGTGTTGAACAGGTGCTTGTCCAGAATGGCTCTAGTCTAATATTTACACTATAATTAATAACTATTTGGGTCTTTTTGTTTGTATTTATTTTTATTAATATACAACAGTTGTACATATTTTGGGGGGATATGTGATATTTTGATACCTGCATACAATGTGTAATGATCAAATCAGAGTAATTGAGATATTATCACCCCAAACATTTATCTTTTCTTTGTGTTGGGGACATTACAGTTCTTTGCTTCTAGCTACTTTGAAGTGTACAATAAATTTTTGTTAACTGTAATTTCCCTAGTATTCTATCAAATCTAGGACACATTCCTTTTATCTGACTGTACTTTCATACCCCTTGACCAACATCTCTTCACCCCCACAAATCACTATGTTTGTTATTTGCTGTGAAGGATAAGGATGGCTGGACTTGTCCTTAAAAGTTGGCTAAGTAGGCCGAGGCGGGCAGATCACAAGGTCAAGAGATCGAGACCATCTGGCCAACATGGTGAAACCCCGTCTCTACTAAAAATACAGAAATTAGCTGGGTGTGGTGGTGCGCACCTGTAGTCCCAGCTACTCGGGAGGCTGAGGCAGGAGTATCACTTGAACCTGGGAGGTGGAGGTTGCAGTGAGTCGAGATCATGCCACTCCACTCCAGCCTGGGCGACAAGAGTGAGACTCCATCTCAAAAAAAAAAAAAAAAAAGTGGGCTAAGTATCTTCCAAAACACAAATAAAAGAACAAACATGCTCCTGAAATTCTCACCAACTATACCAAGTATACGGTATTGATTTTCATAGTCTCTTACAGATTGATAGTCATCTTATTAGTTTAGGAATAAATAAATATATTGTTTATATTATGAACTGTTCTCTATTTATCTTGCCAGCTTAGGACTATAGAAATATGTTCGTTATGACTGTGGTCATAAAATGGTTTTTTGGTGGAATTCAGAGAATAGATTACTCAATCATCATAAGTAGATTCATTAAAGTTACTTTTAAATATTTAATAGTTACCATCAGATAAATCCACAAATGGACAACTTTTAAGGAATTCAGTGTTTCATAATTTTACGATTGTTAGAAGCATCCTATTGCAATGGGGACAAAAGTGTGTGGTGGCTGTCATCTGGTGCTTTCTATTTCTCCGGAAGTATGAGAAACCTGCACTGAAAAGAAAAAGAAATGTCAGAGAGTTGAGGAGAATGGAGCATATAGAAATTATTATTGTGATTTGTCCTCTTTACACAAAAGCAGAGAAAGCCTCTGACAACTGCCTACATTGACTAATTTAGTGCTTGAAACTTTTAACCACAAACAGATATCCAAAGTGCACTACCCATTTGAAAGGAAGACTGTAGGGTCAGACTGTCTGGATTTGGGTCCAGCTCCTTCACTTACTAACTGTGTGGACCTGGGCACAGATCAGTTTCCTTACCTGTGTGAGGGAAACCCTGTGCCTCAGTTTCCTTATCTCTATATTGAGGTTAGTAATAGTCCTTACCTTAGAGAGGCTTTTTAAATATTAAATGATTGCGTATGTAAATGCTTATAATAGTACCCGGCAAACAATAAGCAAGCATTTGCAATCATGATTTGAGGTACCCCAACAGCACAAGACACACTAGGGCTAAAACGAACATTCAGAATAAATGACCCCAATGGAAACAGAAAGAATTTTTTTAAATAAGAAAACTTTCAGAAACTACAACTTAATATTACTCAATTAGTTTTCACAGAACATTGAAAGGATATTGCAATCACAATAGAAGAATATAAATAGGGCCGGGACCGGTGGCTCACACCTGCAATCCCAGGACTTTGGGAGGACGAGGCAGGAGGATCGCTTGAGCTCAGGAGTTCAAGACCAGCCTGAGCAACATAATGAGACCCCCTGTCTCTATAAAATAAATTCTTTTTAATTAGCTGGCCATGGTGGCGCATGCCTGTGGTCCCAGCTACTCAGGTGGCTGAGGCAGGAGGATCCTTTGACACCATGAGCCAAGATTGCGCCACTGCAGTCCAGCCTGGGTAACAGAGTAAGACCCTGTCTCAAAAAAAAAAAAAAAGAACAGGAGCAATCTGTTAACAAGATAGTCAAAGAAAATTTATAGAATAAAAAGAAAAAGACAAATGTCAAATACATAGACCAGTTTAAAGGACCCACAGCAGACAGCCTGCTGCTCAGCAATACCAGCTTTCTCTTCCTCTTGTGCCACAGCCAGACTGCATTTCCCAGGCCCCCTCTGTAGCTTGGGGATAGCCAGTGGAACCTGAAAAGGAGTATGTCTCATGCCCAGGCCTGGCTGCTGAAACTGTCCACAGTGCCATTCCGTGTTGTGAGGCTGTGGTGCAGTTATACAGTGGCAGATGTTTTTGCAGTGGCTGGGGGAATCTTTGTGTGGAAGTGGCAGAGGGGGGGATGGCAGGTGGGCAAAGGTGTCAGTCTGAACCATCAGTGCTGCTCTGAGGAGCCTGAACTTTGCCTCGGGCCATGGGGATCCACTAAAGTCTGTGCTATGCGTAGACAGGCGTATAACAAGCAGATGTATTAGAACATTCACTAACTAGAATATTCTGAGAATTTCAGAACATTCACTCCCTTGGCTGGGGGAGGACACTGAAGAGGCCAGGAGAGGTGGGCATGGCACTGAGACTGGAAGCAGTTAGGAGGTTTTGGTAATCACCAGGTGGAAAAGGATTGGGCTTGAATTCAAGCAGTGTTAGAGGGATGAAAGGGAGAGATGGATGCCCAAGGACATTGTAGAGTCAACTGTTCTGTTGGGTGTGGGGAGTTGAGATGCCACAATTAGAAATAAATGTGGATACAGGTCTCATCACATTTGGGGATGCATCATGACTTTGGGTGCTTATGCTCATGGCTGTTATTTTCTCTGAGAAGTTAGAAGATTTTTTTTTAATTTGGTTTTGTGTTGTTGTTGTTGTTGTCGTTTGAGACAGGGTCATGTTCACACCACTGAACTCACCCAGGCTGGAGTTCAGTGGTGTGATCCTGGCTCACTGCAGGCTTGACCTCCTAGGCTCAAAGGAACTTCTCACCTCAGCCTCCCAAGTAGCTGGGACTACAGGTGTGCACCACCACATCCAGCTAATTTTTTTATTTTTATTTTTTGGTAGAGACAAGGTTTCACTATGTTGCCCAGGCTGGTCTTGAACTACTGAGCTCAAGCAATCCTCCTGCCTCAGCCTCCCAAAGTGCTGGGATTACAGACATGAGCCACCATGCCCAGCCCAGAGGACTGTTATCAGCACCCTCTCCACCGCCACATTCTATACTCTGTCCATCCCAAACTATTGGTTATTTCATTTATTGCTGCCCCTGTAGGTACTATTGCTCTGTCTGAAATATGCACATCCCCTTGACAATCTAGAAAGTTTCTAAACAGCCTTTTACCTACATCAAGTCTTCTGGGAAGGCTTCTCTCACTTCAGAAAAGCCTGGCTGCACCCCCCTTGAGCCTTTTCTCTCCCACGCCCTCTCCCTTCCGGTGGCACTTATAAAAGCGGGGTCACCATGCTCACGACCTCTTTACAACTAGACAGAGAGCGTCTGATGGCAGGTAAGGATTTTTTTTTTTTTTTTTTTTTTTTGAGGCGGAATCTTGCTCTGTCTCCCAGGCTAGAGTGCAATGACGCCATCTCGGCTCACTACAACCTCCATCTCCTGGGTTCAAGTGGTTCTCCTGCCTCAGCCTCCCGAGTAGCAGGGATTACAGGGGCACATTACCACGACCGGCTAATTTTTGTATTTTTAGTAGAGACGGGATTTCACCATGTTAGTCGGGCTGGTCTCAAACTTCTGACCTCAGGTGATCTACTCGCCTCGGCCTCCCAAAGTGCTGGGATTACAGGTGTGAGCCACTGTGCCTGGCCGGAGGGATTTTTTTTTTTTCATCCTTGTGTTTCCGATGACTAGCCAAGGGCCTATGATAAATAGGTGCTCAGTAGACATTTGATGAATAAGATAATTCATTAATGAGAATAAGGGACAGGAAAAAGATGCGGATCTTGAAGTAGTAGCATCCCCACCTCCATTCTTATGAGAATAGAGGAGCTAACGAGCAACCCTGAAAGGACCAATAGCATTGAAAATTTGATAAATAAAGTTGAAAGCAAAAAATATATACATTCCACACAGTTGTATGATTCCTATGCTTTTTGTTGCCTCAAATGCTTCATTCTCATGATTCTTTATCTTTTTAAATTTTGTTTATTGATTTTTAGACAGAGTCTCACTGTCACTCAGGCTGGAGCGCAGTGACGCGATCATGGCTCACTGCAGCCTTGACCTCTTAGGCTCAAGCATTCCCCCAACCTCAGCCTCCCAAGTAGCTGGGACCACAGGCTTGTGCCACCACACCCGGCTAGTTTTTTAATATTTTTTTGTAGAGACAGAGTCTTCCCATGTTGTTCAGACTGGTCTTGAACTCATACGCTCTAGCAATCCTCCTGCCTTGGCTTCCCAAAGTGCTGGGATTACAGCACTGAGCCACCGCACCCAGCAATCCTGATGATTCTTAATCTGATTTTACTTTTATTTTATTGTGTTGCCTTCTCAGCAAACACTACACTAAACTGTGTAGCAATCAAAGTAACATCAGATTAAGAATCATCTGATTACAAACTTTTATCTCAATGGAATATTTAGAGAAATGGTGTGTAACCCTGTATCATGTCCTGTGGTAGAGTCTGTTACAAGAAAACAAGACAATTGTGCTCCTTGTGGATCACAGATATGCTCAAGTTCTAGAATAGAATTTGCATGATCTTGTAAGTAGTGCAGATCATGACTTGCCCTCTTTACATCTTTAGTCTTTAGAAATTCAGCCAGATATGGGAGTCTAAGAATCCTTCTAACCTTTGGAGCTCTTCTCTTCTCCTCTACCTCCCTGTCCATACATGATCCAGCTCCATCCTGCTACTGTTCCCTTGGTCCGGTGAGGAGACTCATTCACCTAAAGGTTCCCATTCCTGGGAGGGTGGTGGATGCTGTCATTCTTCAGCTTGAAATCACTACTAAACAAACCCATCCCTACCATGGGAACATGAATCCCATTCATGGCATAACTTCCGTTTGTTATTATGCAAATATTTTCTACTTCCAATAGAGTGAGGAGAGGAAGGAAATACAGCAACAAAGGAGGAAGAGAACCCTATCCTGCCATGGGCATGTTATGACAGATCTGTGTCCTCCAGGAGACTTTAAGTTCATTGAGGGAAAGCACCCCACCTTCTTGCTCCTCTCTATCTCCAGTATCTAGGAGAGTACCAGGCACATTCAGCAATATTGCTGGTTGAGTGAATGAGGAAATGATTGAATAAACAAATGTGTAACAGCAAGGCAATGTTTGCTGCTGCTGTGGTGGTTGTCCCAGTATCGGCTGCAATACAGTAGGAAACATGGATCTCAATGAATGCTTTCTGTAGTTAATGCTATTCATACAAGATTAGTGATGCCAGACGGGAAAGCAGCGACCTGATGATCCGCATCCGCTCATTTGCAGATTGGGTCAGAAGTCAAGAGGAGCATGGAGCGCAAGTGGAGTCTAAAGAGACTCGGTGGCGGCCAGGTGCAGTGGCTCACACCTGTAATCCCAGCACTTCGGGAGGCCGAGGCAGGTGGATCACGAGGTCAGGAGATCGAAACCATCCTGGCTAACATGGTGAAACCCCGTTCTACTAAAAATATAAAAAATTAGCCGGGCATGGTGGCGGGCGCCTTGCAGTTCCAGCTACTCCAAAGGCTGAGGCAGGAGAACGGCGTGAACCCGGGAGGCAGAGCTTGCAGTGAGCCGAGATCGCGCCACCGCACTCCAGCCTGGGCGACGGAGCGAGACTCCGTTTCAAAAACAAAGAGAGAGACTCGGTGGCTGTCACTCCCTTCCCACGTCCTGTAGCAAGGCTTCATCAGCAGCAGCATTTCTTCTTCTTCTTCTACCTTTGAATAATCCAGTTCCCATTTTGTGCATTGGTTTAAAAGTCAGAAAAGTAAAAACGAATACAAAAAAGCAACATATTGAGCACTGAACTACCTAAATCAAAAGCATATGGTAGTTGTATAGGAATTGTTATTTTTTTCCCCGTCACTGGTTTTGGTTTTTCTGCCTTTCATTGTATGAGAATAAAACACTTTCACAGAGCAATTGGAAAGTTCAAAATTGCTAGGCATGAAAAATGATTTTCATTTTTAGACAGATGTGATTTCTTCAGAAGCCATTTATATCCAACTGCTGTGCCTGTCTTTGGGAAATTTAACTTAAAAAAAATTGTAGCCTGATACAAGACACGACAGCTTTCTGTACAGAGCCTTTGCTAAGCCTTCCTGCTTGGATTCAAAGATAATAACTATATGGCCTACAAATACCTTGCGAAAATAGGTATTTTTTGTTTAACTATACCTGAAAAAATATAACTAGATGTGCAGTTTTACAAAGAGATGACAAGTTGATGTTTATTTTACGGAAGAGCTGGACATAATAACTTTGTTGTTGTTACTTGGTGTATATGTGTGTGTGAGTGTGTGTGTGTGTGTGTGTGTGTATATATATATATTTATTTATTTACATATAGGGTTTGGTTCTGTTTGGGGCATCAGGCATCCACTGAGGATCTTGGAATGTATCCCCCATGGATAAGGTGGGGGCTACTGTATGTCATAAAGTTCAGTGGAAAAATCCCAGTGGGTGAGGAGTCCAGACAGAGGAAACAGCCCAGCAGGATTTGTTAGTGACTGATTCCAATTTTAAAAAATAGTTTATGTGATAATTAAGCAAATGAATAGTCATATTTTCCAAATGTGGGTTTTTAGCTTGCCATTGACAGAAAAAGAAGCTGCAAAAAGGGGAACCACTCTTACATGCAAAATAATAATAGAAAGAAATCTCAAGATAACCTAAAAATACAGGCAGGTTGAGTTCCTGAGTGAATGCTGACTAGGATCCATAGTGTTTGCACAATAAGTATTTATAAATCCTTGACATAAGTCACCATGGTATGACCGAATAGCAAGCCAATACACACACACACATTTTCCCTTTTGAGAAAACTTTAGGGTTTTATTCTGATGCCTCATAGCAGTAAAATGGTTTTTTGTTTGTTTGTTTGTTTGTTTGAGATGGAGCCTTGTTCTGTCACCCAGGCTGGAGTGCAGTGATGCAATCTCGGCTCACTGCAAACTCTGCCTCCTGGGTTCAAGTGATTCTCCTGCCTCAGCCTCCCGAGTAGCTGGGATTACAGGTGCCAGCCACCACGCCCGGCTAATTTTTGTATTTTTTAGTAGAGACGGGGTTTTGCCATGTTAGCCAGGCTGGTCTTGAACTCCTGACCTCAGGTAATCTGCCGGCCTCTGCCTCCCAAGTGCTAGGATTACAGGCGTGAGCCACTGCACCCGGCCAGCAATGAAATGATTTTAAGAAAGTAATAAAACAGCACGAGGGGAAACGTGGGGGTTGGAACTCAAATGCTCCCTTAAGGGTCACTCACTCTTCAGCCACTCTTCAGACCTTGGCCTTTCAACCCTTCCAGTCAGCACCTCCTGGAGCTGCCCCAGGAGCAAGAAGCCCTGCCTCTGCCCTGGGCTCCAAAGCCCATAATTATTCCCTGGGAGTCTTTTCGAAATATCTGACTATGATGAAGATAATATGTGTCACCAGGGTTATTCTTGTATTGAGTGCTTAGCATGGGCCAGGCGCTACATTGATAGTTTTAACCTTGTTATCCCATTCACTCCTCACTACAGCCCTATTTCTATACAATTACTGTATGTTTCTTATTCAGTTAAACATTGCACTTCATAGAACACTGCATTGTTCCATGAAGTGTCTGGGTGCAGTGGCTCACACCTGTAATCCCAGCACTTTAGTAGGCCGAGGTAGGAGGATAACTTGAGGCCAGGAGTGCAGCATCAGCCTGGGGAACAGAGTGAGAACTTGTATCTACAGAAAAATTTTTTAAATTAGCCAGGTATGGTGGTAGGTCCCTGTAGTCTCAGCTATTTGAGAGGGTGAGGTAGAAGGATCACTTGAACACTGGGGGTCAAGGATGCAGTGAGCTGTGATCGTGCCACTGCACTCCAGCCTGGGCGACAGAGCAATACCCTGTCTCAAAAAAAAAAAAAAAGCCAGGGGTTGGGTGGGGAACAGAGGCACTAATTTTCCCAGGGACACATAACTCAAAAGGGTTGATAAGTTAGGCTGCTTGCGATAACTATGATTAACCCTCCTCCAACTGTGACTGCAAAAATTCAACAGCTGGAGCACTCTTAGAGTGACCTCTGTTCTTATCAAGAAACAAACAACTTTATACTCGTTGGTGAGAACAGAGTGGTAGTTTTCTTGGGGACAAGGAAAAGAGAGTATTAATGAAGAAATGAGAAATGAAATGGTGCTTCCCATGGAGAGAAGAGAATGCTGGAATTTCAAGTGCTTCTTGGACTTTTTCTAAGAGAAAATTGGAACAACTCATTTTCTGTTCTTTCAAACACAGTTTAGCCCTGCTCTGGCCCTAGAAGACAAACAGGATGCAGGGGCTTTGCTAGTCTCCCATAGTTGCTATTTTCCCTGTAATCAAAATGGCAAGAGAAGAATACTTCATAAAATGAAGATGTGGCAAGAACTTACTGTCCATCATTAGGCATTAAAGATGGGGTAAAAGGAACTAATACTTACAGAAAGCTGAGTAGCATTTCTTGGCCTCAGTGTTGTCATGGTCTAGTGAAATGGACTGAGTGGCACAGGAATACCAATGTAATCAGTAAAAGTGAAGTACAAAGAACTAGACACACAGAGGAGTGAACAACTGTCTCTTGTCTGGAAGCCCAAGGAAATCACCATTTAGAGATTACATATGAACCAAGCCCTCTACAAAAGGGTTCCTAGGCATCCGTGTCAAAAACAGACAGATAAAAAAAAATTACCAATACATTTGATGCAGAACCAAGGTTGAGAACTACTGGAAGAGGTTAGAGAGTGAGAAACTGGATTTTGAAGCTGTAGCTTTTAGGCTCCCTGAGACTATGGAGCACTTGATTGCTGTGGGCCAGGTGTGATGGAGAAGGCTCCTATCAGAGCAGCTGCAATAGGGATGGGAAGGAAGAAACTAAAGACACAGGTGCACTTGACAGGAGGGAGAGGATGCAGAAAGGGACCTGCTAAATTGTGAACTCCCGAGGGTGGGCACTAACCTATCTCTCCATCCCAGAGTACCCAGTACGTGACTCACACAACATGCCAACAGAATAGATACTTGTTGAATAAATAATTGAACTGGGTAAATATATTTTAAAAATTAGGAAAACTGGGCAGCTGGGGAATAGAGTATCACCAAAACACAACAAAGAAATTCAGAAGGAAAGATGTTTAGAGGAAAAAAGTGAATTCAGTCTTAGACCTTTTCAGTTTAAGTAATTAGACATAATAATTTGAAGATTCAAACATCTGAGAAGTCTGTCTAATGTGCAAAAGAAGGTCAAGTCATAGGGCGCTCCTAAATTCCTATATTTTGTCACCCCCTCCTATTTCATTTGTATGTGACCAGGAGACTAAAACATGCATTATGCTCCCAACAGGCTAAATCTCTTCTGGGATCCACTGAATGCCACTAGAGGGTCTGCTCGAGAGAATTCCTGATTGAATGACAACGGCGCTAAGAACAGTAAGTCATGGTTGGGAAGCAGTAAGGGAAGAATGGAGCCCAGATATCCTAAATTAAAATATAAAAGGCTAACGTTATTAGGCATGTACATCTAAATTTCAAAGTAAAAGGCCAACATCCCACTACGCCTCCCGAATCCAGCACATTCCACCTTTCCACCTAACACACGCGCGCACACACACACACACACACACACACACACACACACCCTTCCCTCTGAGGCAATTAATGGACCCAAACTGACTTTTTTATGGAACCATAATATAGAAAGAAATGCCTGTGCCGAAAATGTCAATGCACACAATAATTTATCAGAAATCAATGCTCTATTCTATGTCCCCAAGCTCAACACTAACATTGTAACCTCTTAAATGTGCCTTGTTGTCTGCAGCTTGAATTCCTTTGTGGTTTCACATACGTTATTTGGATGAAGGCTGAAACTCTCACACACTGGTTATTATAGACTGTGCAGTTGAAATTAATAGAATAGAGACGCCCTCTGTCTGATGAGTCACTATTTTTCCTCTTCTGACTCATAGTTTTTCTTTTTTGTTTTTTTCACATTATTGATCAGTGAATAGTCTAGTAATCTAATTCATGTGTATTTCAGGGCTAAAAATGGAACACTAACCTTGAATGGGGAAAGCGGCTGAATGATGTTAACATCCCGGTAAAGAACAGGTTAATTCGGAAGGGAAGGGGGAAGAAGGGACTCCCCGGAGAGCAGGAGGAAGGCAGAGGGCCTCGGGGGTAGCTGTTCCCCGAGTGATTAGGTACTTATATCATGTGCTCTGTCATATCCAGGAAACAGGAAAAGAAAAACAATCACTGGGAAAAATATTAATACCATAGAGAGGAGAAATGTGTTTCAATTACCTCAATTCCTATGATCCTTCATTAGTAATGGAAGATACATCATCCACAATAGAGAAAACATAAGTGCCTCAGAAATATAAAGTTGTCTATTTCTCTGAAGTCAAAACGACAACATTTTTGCTTATAGCAGAAATGTCTACTAACTTACAAATGAACCATCTATAACAATTATTTGTTTAATTATATGACCCTCAGTTACTAACGTGCCCTGGACACTGTAGCTTCTGTGGGTTCCTCAGAAATTATCCTGAATATTATAGTCTGTTAAGCTCTTACATCATACACCAGGACTCAAGTCAGACCATCAGTTCTTTGACACTTCTCTGTCTTCAAATCATCTTACCAAATACCTGACCATCTTCCTTCCTTAGAGCCTGAGGCTGCACCAGTCCTGGCATTCATATAGAGCATTAATACACGCACACAGCGCCTTTATTTTTCTGTGCACAAGTGAAGATAAATACACTTATGAAATTAGCAGTTTATGGTCATTTCCAGCATCCACTTGCTGCTCCCTATCTCTTACATCTCCCTTCCCAGCCCCTCTGCCTTCCTGTATTCTCTCCCTCTATTAAAACAGCCACAGATCTGATGTCATCAGTTTTTCTTTGATGGAGACACTTTCACCCCAAATGCCACCTCTTTCAAACTTTCCCATTCAATACCTTTTATCTCTACCTGTAAAATGAAATACTTTGTTTTCTGTTTAGAGTTGAAAGAATTTCTTAGCTAGACTTTAAGCAGGAATAACAACAAATGCTTTCAAGATAAATCTGTTAACTTCCAAAAAAAAAAAAAAAAACAATGATATTAAGCACCTGAAAAAGAAGATGGGTCCAAAAAGAAATTACATCCTTGGGCTCCTGCCTTCTTTTCTCTCTTTTCTCCTATCCCTTAAATCTCAGTCAGTCACTTCCCAGTCCTGTGCCTGAGGATGTCCAGGTGATCTGGACCCATGGCCAATTCCATGGCACCTTCCCTGTCTCTACCAAGAGCAGAGGATCCAACTACAACCCGGAGGAGGCCTGTTAGAACCAACTGGGAAGCTTTTATCAAACTATTGTTTCCTCCCAGTATATTCCCCCCTCATTTTAATATGTTCCCACGAGGGGTCATGGTTCTCTAAGACTTATCCTCTACCACCCTGGTGAAGAATCAGGGCTCAAAGCTTCTTAGGGGAGGAAAGGAAGGAGAGATGTTTGTGACTGTCCTGTAGCCTAGTAATCACACAGGAGCACTTCAGATGGACAATCCACCTTCAACTGGCCTTGTATCAGCATCCAGAACACTCAAGATAGTGGCAACAAAGAGACACGCAGAGACTTTTCACAGACCGGGAAGGGGAGAGAGAGATAGAGACCTGGCAGTGTAGAAAGACATCAATAGATCCCTGAACTGTGCACATATTCTCTGTTGAGGGCTCAAGTATTAACAACATGCATGGACGTCAATATGACCATGCTGATTAAACAATAGTTGACCCCGGAATAATGTGGCGATTAGGGGAACCAGCCCCAAAGGGTCACAATTCTGTTTAATTTTTGACTCTCCAGAAACGAAACTACTAATAATCTACTATTGACTGGAAGCCTTACTGATAACATCGTCATTGAATACATATGTTGTATGTTATATGTAATATGTATTACATATTGTATTCTTACCATAAAGTAAGCTAGAGGAAAAAAAGTGTTATTAAGAAAATCATAAGCAAGAGAAGATATATTTCATTAACTGGAAGTGGAGTGGGTCATCATAAAGGTCTTTATCCATATCCTCACGTTGAGTAGGCTGATGAGGGAGAAGAGATGGGTCTGGTCTTGCTGTCTCGGGGTGGCAGCAGCCGGGGAGAGGCAGAAGAAAATCTGCATGTAAATGGACCTGTGCCGTTCAAACCTGTGTTCTTCAAAGGTCAACTGTATAGTGCATCAGAAAACGTGTTAACATAGACAGGCAGGTAGATGCTTACTAATAAAGTACAACAGAAATAGACTAAAAGTTTGGTTGCTTAAAGTAATTTAAAAGTTTCGTTGCTAAAATTTTGGTTGCTTAAAGTAATTAGGAAAGTGGTGGCAAGGTGGCATAATTTTTCCACCTCTCCAAATCACCCCATGGAAACAGAGCAACTAAGATAGCAAAAGCAAGACCTCCCAGACAACATCTCCAATAAAGCAGCGGGAAAACACATCCCTATAAACCAAATATGTGTGGGTTGTAATAAACTACTGGTGAGATTAAGACCTGTACAGTGTCTTCAACACATCAGAAGAAATAAAAAGAGGACAAAGGGACTTCTGATGGCCCCAAGAGGCAGAGAAACAAAAACAGTTCACAAGTATTCACTGTAAGGCTTGGTGGGCCACTCTGGGAAGGGCAACTGAAACCCCTAGAGTCCTGCCGCCTCCAACTTGTGGGTGAACCCAAGAGAACCAGCTTGTGCTGGAGGAGCCTGTGCCCCATGGACCCTAAAGGGACCCTTAATAGCCATCTCCTCCACAGCAAAACCCCACATTGAGGAGAAACTACTGGAATAGAATCCAAATTGAGCAGGAAATAGATGATAGGAGCAAAGGAGGCAAAAGAAAGAAGACGCAGATGCAAGTGGAGGGAAGAGCAAAGAGCCAACAGATAGCAGATACATACTTGTAAACACATCCAAAAATAACAGAAAAGGCAGCTCTAAATCTCTAGAGCTAGGAAGCTATCCTGGTTCACTCTCCTAAGAGTACAAGAAAACTCATCTCACTTAAACATTAATAAAGAAAAAAATGGCCATCGAATCTACCATAAAGAAAAATGATTTGAGGAATGTAATGTCTCCGCAGACAATAAAAGCATGCCAGAAAGATTTGCAAACAAAACAGAAGAAAATTTAGCCTAATATTTTAACTCAAGCTGAAAAAAAAGATAGCAGCTTTTAAAGAACAGCATAACCCAGAATTTTAAGAACTCAAAAAGAAGCTAATTTGAAAAAACAAAGACTTCAAAAGGAGTTTATAGAAATAGAAAAATATTAAGAGTTGAAGAAAAAACTTATTCCAAAATTTTAGACTACACTAGAAGAAATAAAATAGTGAATGAACACTGCAGAAAGTTCCTTAAGAAAAATAGAAAAGAAAAGAATGAATATTTTTAAAATAAAAAGATTTAAAACATACATATGAAAATGGCATAGAAAATAGGAATAGGAGAACAAATGAACATATAATAGAAGTTCCTAAAAAAGAAAATCAATGTAATGAAAGAACAAATATTATCAATTATAATTCAAAGACTGCTTTTCTGACATAAAAATACACTTGCCCAACATTTGAAAGGACGTACCTGGTAAAACTGGCCCAGAATGCACTACATATAAACAGTCTACTAAAACTATTGACCTTTAAATAAAAAGAAAAAAGGTTTTTTTGGCACTAGTTAAAAAGTCAATATCCCTTATAAGAGAAGGAAAATCAGATTGTCATCAGACTTTTTGACAGCAATGCTTTGTGCCAGAAGACAATGGTATAAAATATTTCAGAAATATTAAGGAAAGCAGATGTGAGCTAAAGATTTTATAACCAGCAACATTGATCTTTAAATACCATGGTCACAATTCTTAATAAACACACAACAACTCAGGGAGTAATGTTCCTATGAGCCTTTCCTGGGGAATTTATGGAGACCAAGCCTCGGAAAACCAATATGACTAGAGAATCATCGACAATAGAACTGGCGGTGAGCATTAAGTAGACATTTTTTTGTATAACTCATAATGCCTGTAGTTTACGAGGGAGAGAGTACAAAATGTGATGGCCATTTGCTCTATATACAATTAACTGTCAAAAAATGAGGAGGGGCATAAACTGGAAAGAGAATATAAAAAGTAGAATAAGCTCTGTGATTGCCTCAAGGATATCAATGGAGAATAAAAACATATCCGTTGAAAATAGATGCCAGGGAACAGGGGAGAAAGTGAAGAAGGGGTTATTAGCTAATTTCAATTTTATTCATAGTAGGATGAGAAAAGTAAAAATGGGACTAAAGGTATTATTTACAGATATTAATAAAATTATAGATAATATGAAGATGTTAATAAAAAGGGCTCAGAACAAAATAGCACAAACATTTCTAAATACAAAAAGAGGCTGGGTGCAGTGGTTCACACCTGTAATCCCAGCCCTGTGGGAGGCCGAGGTGGGAGGACTGCTTGAGCTCAGGAGTTCAAGACCAGCCTGGGCAACAAAGTGAGAACCCTATTCCCTACAAAAACATTTTTAAATTAGCCAGGCGCAGTGGCATGTGCCTGTAGTCTCAGCTGTTTAGGAGGCTGAGGCAGGACAATCCCTTGAGTCCAGAAGTTTGAGGTTGCAAGGAGCTATGATGGCGCCACTGCACTTTAGCCTAGATGACAGAGCGAGACCCTGTCTCAGAAAGAAAACACAAAACAAAAAGATAATGAGAGAGAGAGAACACATGCGCACAAGCAAATAATGTAGGCAAGTGCTTCTCAGACTCTGTAGTGAAGGGCCACTTTTCCCCCCAATAATTTGTAAGCGACACTTGAAATATACAAAATCATATGCTTGAATTTAGTGGCAATATCAAATTACTTTAAATGTTTCTAAATGTGTTTTGTTGTTGTTGTTGTTTTTGTTACTTTCTATTCACAAGTCATCATAGCTTGGTAGCAAACAGTTCATGGAGCAGCCTTGATATTGACCACATAGGAAAAGAGTAGAAATGTAAGGCAATAAAGATAGAGGTAGTCACGGGTATATAGATGTGACGATGTTTGCATGCTTGTATGGACAGAAATACATGTAACAAATATGACAAAAGTGATGCCAAGCATTTGGATCCTAAAAATAAATTTACTGATTAAATTTACATTTATAAAAATATTTCCAGATTACCTAACAAAGCAAAACCCAACACTCCAGGTTATATACATATAAACTTTTAATAATAATATGTATGTTTCTTTCAGGTGGAGAAAAGTCTGTATAGTATGCTACCAATTATCTAATAAAGGAGACGGGATAAAAAATACAAATATATATCAATTTTGTATAATTTGTATACAAATTATATACAAATATATACTAATGGACATATAAATCACAGCATTTAAAAATAAAATATTTAAAGGTAGAGGAAGGAAATAAGATTGAGGAGACAGGGAGAAAAACTAGACTTGTTTTGTAAATTTGACTCTAGAGTCATGTAAAACTTTGCATTATTACAAAGCAAAATTCAATTTAAAATAAAGTGATTCCTGAATATCAAAAGTAAAATAAGCCTATTGAGCCTGTCTGTCCAGTAGGTGGCAGAACAGCACCAAAGGGACTATTCCCAAGTGACCGTAAAACACAATAATTTGCCTGTTTTAGCGGAATGTTATCATAATGACAAAAACAACTGCAAAGTATCTTAAGCTGATTTTTGTAATCATTTTGCTAGTGGTAGTCTTCTATTTATTCGAGACTGTTGCACATGTGTATTATGAATACAGCAAATGAATAATTATATTCATGTCAATAAAATTTGAAATTTGACAGGGAAAAGGACACTGTGAAAAAAGTCCTCTACTTGAATTTGAATAGGAAACATCATGAATTCATGATGAATATTATTTTATTAAAATACATGTTTTCTAGCTTTGTTCTCTGAAAAGATGGAACGTGCTCAACCCTTCACACACAGATAATGTTCTCTACATACCATTTTCCACTAAAAGGAATCACAGGCTCCCTGAAGAAATAGCTGATTACAGGTCTGTGGAAGGAAGTGTACAAGACGGACCTGGAATATCATAAACGGCTTTGGTGATATCAGAACTCTGCAATTAAGTTAACTCTGCAATGAACTGAGGCACATCAAATATTAACATTCATGAATTCCTAATAATACTGTTAAAATAAAATATTATTGATCATCCTTGGAAAATGCAAGGAAACCAAAATCATTATTTTAAAAACTGGCAAATAAAAGGAAGAGATCAAACATTTTTCCTAACTTCCCTATACATATTATTCCAAGTAACCAAGCAGTTGATGAGATGTTTCTCTTGATAAAAGTACTCCATCTAATAAATGAAGAAGGAATTTTAAAATTTGAGTATTGCCATTTTGCAACCTTTAATGAATTATTGGGTGTAGACAATGGTAATCAATGACTGCCAACATCACAAAAAAGCCACCAGACATATGCTTCTGTATGGAGGTACACACCACCACCTGTGGGGTATTTTGGCCAAAAATTGAACCTCAGTCTGATGATGTACCTGGGTCTACTGTATTCAGTACTAATCCCATGTGGCTACTGAGCATTTGAAATGTGGATAGGCCAAATTGAGATGTTCTGTACACGTAAAATACACACCAGATAGCAAAAACTTAATATGAAAAAAAGATGTAAACTATCTCAATAATTTTTAATATTGACTTTAATATTGACTTAAATTTTAAAATTTAATATGTATGTATGACTACATACATAATATTTGTGACATATTGGGTTAAATAAAATTATATTATTAAAATTAATTTTAATTTTAATGTTTTCTTTTTTTAAATGTGTATTTTAAAATTTTAAATTATATTTGTGGCTCATATTTCTATTGTATGGTGCTGTTCTTAATTCTAACTACAACTTACAGGAAATACACTGGACAGAGGAACATGTTAAATGACACCTTACAGGAAATACACTGGACAGAGGAACATGTTAAGTGACACCAGAAGGATAGAAACAGTAAAACTCAGGCTTTAGAAAACTCTGCAACTTGAGGCCCTCATAAGGACTTTTCTGTCCTCCTTTGACCAAACTGTTTAACCGAGCCTAGGGGTGAGGGGGAGCGACCCAAGCTGGCATCTTTCTCTACGGAGACAGATTTTAGAAAATACTTTTCTTGCCCATGAATTTCTTTTCTGGTTGATTTTTATCATTTTCCCTTTACTTACAAGAAAATAAGATTGCAACCACTCCTGCTAATGATTTAGTAGTTCCTTTTCATTTCAGTTTTTGTAAATTAGGAGATAATTCTAAGAGTTACTAAAGGATGATTTATTTAAGAGAACTACGTCAAATAGCGAATGAGTTATGGGTAACATTAGACGAAAATAACCTTTCCCGTGGGAAAGGTTTCTCGAAGGCATGGATGCAAATATAAAATATTAAAAAAAAATCTAAATAAAGCTTATTTTAAAATATGAAAAAAAAAAAAAAGAAAACTCTGCAACTTATATTTCTAATCCAATTTAATGGTGGAGTCAAAGTTACTAAAAATTTATAAACATGAGCACTGTAATTAATGTGTAGTGTAGTCCTAAACATCAATATCTGCAAAATCATAGATTTGATATCTCAGTTTCATTTTCACTATTGCTCAAATAATGCATAACAATAAAAAGCCTATACATTTGCATTGGCTAAAGTAATTTATCACCAGTGGTATGTGAACTGCACCATGGAAAACAGATATATTTTCAATTTTTCAATCTTTAATAATCTGAAAACTTGATTCTCTCAGTTTATTCAGATAGAGGAATACATAGTTATGATTTCTATACTATTAGCCTTTTTTACCAATATAATTAATTTTAATAATATATTTTGTTTGACATATCTAAATATAAATTTCAACATGTACTAAATATAACAATTATTAATGAGAAATATTACATTCTTTTGGCTTTGTACTAAACATTTGAAATGTGCTGTACATTTTTCACTTATAGCCTATGCAATTAAAATGCTATATTTTTATTAGGAATATTTAATCTAAATAGATATCTTAAAATTTACATTTGAAAAAAATAGATTCAGATACCTAAGTTGTTACAAGCATACGTAAAAGTTTTCAGTGACTGAATTGAGTATCAATCAGTTTTAAAATTTAAATCAGTGAAATTAATTAAAATGAAATGAAAATTTAGAAACTCCATTTCTCAGTCACACTGGCCACATTTCAAGTAGAAAGCCTTTGTTTTTAATTCACTTTGTCCTAAAGCTGCAAGTAGAATTTCTACATCTTATCAGAATTGACTTGTTTAAAATATTTTTCAATTAAAACATAATACAAAGCCACTTAGATATGTAAAATTTAAAAATTCTCCCTTTTCTCTCTTCCATCTTTACTGTTTTCCCCAAATTCGAGATCAAATTAATAAATATATTTAAAATGTTTCTAACTTTAAAAGTTAAGTATTGAATTAGGCTTACTTAGACTTCACTTGTAATACAGTATTTCTTACATGTCTAACATAATAGGTGCTCAAAAATATTAGGTAATTTGTCTCCGTTTATTAGATCAGGAATTATTTAATAGTATCTAAACTTTTACTTTTGCTTTTACCCATTTATGAAAAAAAATCATTCCAGCTTAGCATGCTTTAATATCTTATTGGGATAAATAAATAAATAAGATTAAATATCTAAATAATTTACAGAAAGATATCTTACATTCTCTATAGCAAAACACTGATGAATACAGTGTATATATTGAAAGTAAATCTTGGTGGTTTTTTTTTTTTTACTCACGTTGCACCAAAGCGAGAGAACACTAGGGGGCAGTGTGGTTAGAGCAGAACTCTCAAGAGGCTTGGAAAGGTGCGCTGAAATCACCAACAGCTGGTGCGATAAATGGGGTCTAATAGCAAGAAAAGAATGCATTCGTTTAACTTTACTTTGTGAAGTTACGTGGCCCACATGCATATTATTCACAAGGTCTTGGAAGAGACGCTTTGTTCAAACCCTGAGCCCATAAGTTTAGGGACAAGCTCTTCCTGGAAAGGTCTTTCTTACGGAATTTTCTGTCCCGAAGAAGATACAAAAGAGTAGAGCATTGCCAGAGAGTAACAATTCATAAATACTAACCCCAAGTGCCAGTATAATATTTAGTTCCTACCTCATTTTAACCTTCACTTGTATCCACCATTCCTTCTATTTTCTTCTATTCACCCGGGCTTCTTTGCAGCACAGTCATTTTAAGAATATTCTGAGAGCATCTTAGCTCTCACTCCATTTCAGCTCAGTGAATTCTAAGGCAACAAAAGTGTATTAAGTAATTAATCCATAATGCCAGCCACTACCTAAAAAAAGGATAAGGCCAAAGCTAAAAAAAAAAAAAATCAAAAGCTAGGAAAACTTATTAACATTTTCTAAAATTACATTGTTGTTGCCTATTTTAAGGGCATGAGTAGTGACTTTATGCTACATTTTGCAAAAAGTATTGAGCATAATCTATAGATACTTAATGTATGATGAGGTAAACATTTACACCTCAGACTCAGAACAGGCAGACAGCTAAGTTCTCTCGCTTTTTAAATATGCAATGAATTTTCTAATAGTCAAGTAACAAATCTATTTCTCTTTTAGAAAATTAGAATCTATATGTATTAAAGAGCTGTGCTCCAAATTGTGAGTCTGGCCTACTTAAATTTGAATAAATCATTCTAGAGAGTTGACATTATTTAGTTTTGAACAATTCTTGAAGTCTTTTTGGACTTTATAATTTAGCAGCAGGTGGTTCTGGTCATTTTAAAAGTCCGTGATTAATGTAACTAATCCTAGTTAGTGTTTAGTCATCTCTTCAGATCTTTTGTACCTGGAATTTCTAGAGCCTATTTGCCTGAAATTGTATAAATAATAAATGGTTTGCTGTCCTCTATATAGTGGCAAGCATCCAGGTTTCTGCAACTCGAAATTTCAGCTCCTCTCAGCTTCTATCAGGTTTGAGATATTTTTAGCCGCACTCTGTCAGTCAGAATCCCATGAAAGAGAATCCCATTAAGAGAGTTGAGGTGAATTTAGAGAAGGGTCTGTTTATAGAGCAGGGAGCAGGGTTAAGAAAATACAGCCAGAGAGGCCGAGGTACCCAGAGACAAGCACAGTGGGAAGCCCTCGCCACTCTAGGCCTGAAGAGTCAGATGAAGGGAAGGAACGGGGTCCCCAAGCCTATGGGCACTAGAGCTGTGGACAGGCTGCCATCGCAGAGGGGCAGATTGCTGCTGAAACACCAGCACAGGGAGGAAGTGGCACAGAAGGACCCAGAGCTGTCTCCCCCACCCTCGGCACCCCAGCCAGGGCCTTGCCTGGATCACCCGGTGCCAGGCAGGGAAAAGCCAAGCACTGGGGAAGGTGGCCTAGGAAAGGGAGGGTCACAGGCCACTGAACATTCTCACTCTTAATAAACAGAGTTTTACGCTTCAAGGGGGTCTCTGTGGTTCTTCTCTCCTTATCTTTTTACTTCACTCACCACATTCTTACCAAACCAAAAGGAAAACAACAGTGGAGGGAAAGTCTTACACATGTCAGGCTTTTAGACAGAACCTTTTATTCCTCATCTCATATATATTTTCTGCTCTATAAAAAACTAAAACTTTATCTTCTCAACATCTCGCTATGATAAGCTTTTAAGTGGGTCTTAAGCCCACTTAAAAGATGCTGCACCCTGATTTTGTTGCTGCACCCTGATTTGGGGAAGCTTGGTCAGTGATCCCATGAGAAGGGAAACTATGAGAGATTCATTCTCTCCTGAATCGCTTAGGAGGTCCCATTAAAGCCCCTGCTAAACTCGTCATCCCCAGTCTGGACCACGTTTGGTTAATTTCCAGTTTTTCCTTTCCTTGCAATAACCTGCTTGAAACTCCACCAGGGAAAATAAATAATAATTCAAATGCAAAACGCGTTGTCACTTTTATAAAATATTGCTCTCCTTGCCCCACCCTCACCCCCTCCCTTTCTCCCCTTCATGATTTTTACTGAAAGGAGGAAAGACAAGGAAATCTCAATGGTTTCATTCTTAGCACACATTCTAAGTCTGTCATTAAATGACCGCTGATTTTGTCACATACATATGGACAAAACTCTGTAAGAAAGCAATTGATTAAAATCAATGAGAATTTGCTGCGCTGAAATGGAATCAGTGAATAAAAATTTATTCTGTTTCTTTTCTTTTTTCTAAGAGTCCTCTCCATTATTCAAAAGAAGCCTGTCTTATCCTGTTTCCAAACTCCTTTTCCTTTTCTTTCCCCTATGCTGTTGATTTCCTACCTTCTTCCCACGTGAGTCGCCGGTGCAAGAGGGGGGTTCCTGCTTGGGTACCCACATCAGTAGGTTTTGTCTCCTCATCTGCTTGTCTTCTGAAGATAAATCGTTGGCAGAACTGAAAAAAAAAAATCATGGAATGGCTTTTTTACATTTCTGCCAGGGGGAGGCTATTTTGTAATCTTTTTGCAGCCTTCCTGTGCACAACCCAATCCCAAGCTGACTTGATTATCTCCTTAACTGTTAAGAGCAAAATTTAAAACTGGATTTTGTTACCTGCCCCAGGAGCAGATGCTACATTGCTGAGGTGTCTTGTGAATTGCCAGCGTTCCTTTTCTTTTACAGACAGGTCTTAAAGGTCTTCCAGGGACCCCCTATTAGCCAAATAACCTTGATAGTTATTACAGAGAAATTGTAATTCTTTTTGAAAGTATTTGTACACTCATCCATGCCAATATTTATAGATCAGTTGATTTTTCCAGGTTGTGTAAGTTGCTAACAATGGAACTCCATTTATTTATTTATTTATTTAGAGACAGGGTCTGGCTCTGTCACCAGGCTGGAGTACAGTGGCATAATCACGGCTCACTGCAGCCTCTGCCTCTCAGGCTCAAGTGATCCTCCCGCCTTAGCCTCCCAGTTAGCTGAGACCACAGTTGTGCACCACCACACCTGGCTAATTTTTGTAATTTTTGTAGAAAACAGATTTCACCATGTTGCTCAGGCTGGTCTGGAACTCCTGGACTCAAGCATTCCACCCGCCTCAGCCTCCCAAAGTGTTGGGATTACAGGCGTAAACCACCGTACCCAGCTGAGACTCCATTTAAATAGGTGGCTTTTATGTGAATTATTAATTTTGATAAAGAGAAGAGAAAAGCTGATAGATCAGTGTTTAAAAATCATTTTATGAACTAAGTTCAAAAGAACAACTAGGGCCTGCAGACTTCCCTACTTTACAAAGTAGTGGCCTGGCCAAGGATGTTCCAAACAAGAAATCTTTTCAAACGTGCTTTAAATCATTAAAATAGGGGACCAATATGAGTAAACCAATATAATGAGGCAAACTAAGTAGGAGATTTTTAATGAACATTTTCAAGGCACAGGGAAAGAAGCCACAAAGAGTAACAGCATTTTTCTGCACATACTGTCTTATGAATCTAGATTCATCTTGTTTATTGTGGAACTATGTGATTGGGTTAGCCATCAGGGGAGAGAAGTACTTTATGATGTAAAAGCTGAGTCTCCAGAGATAAAAATCTCTTCAATTTGTCATTTTTCAAAATATCACAAAGAATCCATGTTTCCGTGGTCTTCGATAAAGAAAGCGTGTCAAGGCAAGATATACACAAAAAAATAAATCAAAGTGGTTAGTTACAATGGGATAAGCAACAGCTACACTGAAAAATTCTATATGTAATGCAGTTTTCTTTTTGTGTGGAAAAGAGTAGGACAAGATATGAGATTCCTGGTCTGGAGAGTGGGTGAGATATTAACATATTAAAGCAGGAATGTCTGAAACATGCATTGTGTATTTTCCACTGTCTCAGCCCAAATCAGGCATAGCTCTGGGGAGAAGGGAGAAGGGCAATACCAACCAGAAAGTATCTCTGTGATTCTTCAGGCTGCTTGGGCAGTCAGCCTCCAGAAGAGACCCCACTCAAATCTGGGTCATCCAGGCACACTGGCCACTCACCACCTCTGCGGTGTTATTTCAAGGATGCTAACCCCAAGGTTCCCACCACTGCCACTGGCCAATATCTGAAATTCCCCTGACAAAGCTTCCTCATTAGCATAAGGTTTGGACTCCTGAAATGAACCAACCATGTCTCTTAAACTTTTCCTTGAACTCTATCCCCCCACCGGAAATACAGAGAGATGAGTAAATACAAATATATAAGAATTCTATTTAATTCTAATCATTTCAATATTTACTGAAAAAGTCTGAGCAAGACATCAGTAAAAAACTATAAAATCTCAGAATGGGCTTGTGCTTTAGAGATACAGGAAATGAGGTCTTTTGTTTTTTGTTTTTTTATATTAATATTTACTTTATTAGAAATTAAAACAAATTTTAAAAAAATTTGAAAAATTACCTATAAAGTTTTATGCTGATTACCTGGGTGACAAAATTATCTATACACCAAACCCCTGTGACACACAATTTACTCATGTAACAAACCTGCTCATGTACCCCTTGAACCTAAAATAAAAGTTGGAAAGGAAAACTAATAACTCCATTAAATCTTCACATAAATAACATACATTTTAGAAAAAAAATAACCATTTTGCCAAAAAAAAGTGAGTGGTTTTATTTTACATTTTTATAACTAATAACTGGTTTAATAGAAGGCAGCTAAATTCCTATATCTGCCTCTTTATTCACTCTGTTGCATGTACTATGTTGTCTTGGTCAAACTGTAGAAGGCAAATCTGGCTTTACATACATATATAATGTGAGAAAGGAGGAGTATTTAATAGCACATATATTTCTGGTTATTCTTCTTTTAATACTCAACCAAAACTCAACAAGTAGTAATTTCTTTTTATTATTATTATTATTATTATTATTATTATTATTATATTTTAAGTTTTAGGGTACATGTGCACAACGTGCAGGTTTGTTACATATGTATACATGTGCCATGTTGGTGTGTTGCACCCATTAACTCGTCATTTAGCATTAGGTATATCTCCTAATGCTATCCCTCCCCCCTCCCCCACCCCACAACAGTCCCCAGAGTGTGATGTTCCCCTTCCTGTGTCCATGTGTTCTCATTGTTCGATTCCCACCTATGAGTGAGAACATGTGGTGTTTGGTTTTTTTGTCCTTGTGATAGTTTTCTGAGAATGATGGTTTCCAGCTTCATCCATGTCCCTGCAAAGGACATGAACTCATCATTTTTTATGGCTGCATAGTATTCCATGGTGTATATGTGCCACATTTTCTTAATCCAGTCTATCATTGTTGGACATTTGGGTTGGTTCCAAGTCTTTGCTATTGTGAATAGTGCCGCAATAAACATACACGTGCATGTGTCTTTATAGCAGCATGATTTATAATCCTTTGGGTATATACCCAGTAATGGGATGGCTGGGTCAAATGGTATTTCTAGTTCTAGATCCCTGAGGAATCACCACACCGACTTCCACAATGGTTGAACTAGTTTACAGTCCCACCAACAGTGTAAAAGTGTTCCTATTTCTCCACATCCTCTCCAGCACCTGTTGTTTCCTGACTTTTTAATGATCGCCATTCTAACTGTTGTGAGATGGTATCTCATTGTGGTTTTGATTTGCATTTCTCTGATGGCCAGTGATGATGAGCATTTTTTCATGTGTCTTTTGGCTGCATAAATGTCTTCTTTTGAGAAGTGTCTGTTCATATCCTTCACCCACTTTTTGATGGGGTTGTTTGTTTTTTTCTTGTAAATTTGTTTGAGTTCATTGTAGATTCTGGATATTAGCCCTTTGTCAGATGAGTAGGTTAAAAAATTTTCTCCCATTCTGTAGGTTGCCTGTTCACTCTGATGGTGGTTTCTTTTGCTGTGCAGAAGCTCTTTAGTTTGGTCCTTTGTTTTTTAACTTCAAATCAAGACTGACAAGTTAACATTTGTTTGGGGGATCATTAACACAAACTAGTTGAAGTCTTGGATGGATGGTTAATGCTGAATAAAGCTCATCTGTTCAAGCTACACATCCTGTTTGGATTCATTTGTCATCCCTGACGAGTTATCATACAATGGCTGTGTGGATACAGCCTCAGTGTGGACACCTCAGTGGACAGGAAGTCTTCCTTCTCTTCATTGACACACAGCCTCCTGAGCCTGCCACTTACCAGCTCTGTTCCTGCCCGTAAAGGCTACAGGAATTAGTGGAATCCCTCTCTCCTGTGCTTTGCCACTTTATTAAAACACAGGAACCCTCAGAACCTTCTCCTTCTCATCCCATGCAGCTTTACTTTCTCACATGATATAGTTTCCATTTCCCAACTCTGCTGGACTCACTAAGAAAAGACAGTGCCGTCCACCAGCAAGGACGCAAGCTAGGCTGCTCCAGGGAACTGGGTAACCATGGCCAGCAACTCCCTTCCCTCCAGGAGCATAGGGACCGGGTCCTGGGAGGGAGAAGCAAAAGTCCCGAGCAACCCATTGCCTCGGAAGTGCAGCAGTGGAGGCAGGAGGGAGCAGCCGGGCCTGTGATGCCTGCCATAACCTCATGTTCTGGAAAAGGACAGTGACGAGGAATTCATGCTCAGATTTGCATTCAGCTGTTTATCCCAGTTAAGCCACGGCAGTCAGGAGCTGGAGCTCAGGAAATGTCTGAGCACATTTACAGCTACCCAGCGCCACAGCCGCGGACTGGCATTAGAAACTGATTTCCAGGTTTGGTTGAAAGTGAAGAAACAAACATTATAAGCTAGGGGTCCCCAGCCCCCAGGCCACAGACTGGTACTGGTACAGTACACAGTGCATCTTTCAGACATCCTGCAGTACGGGTCCGTGGCCTGTTAGGAACCGGGCTGCATCGCAGGTGAGTGGAAGCTTCATCTCTATTTGCAGCCGCTCCCCATCATTTGCATCACTGCCTGAGCTCCACTTCCTGTCAGATCAGCAGCAGCATTAAATTATCATGGGAGCGCCAACCCTATTGTGAACTGTGCATGCAAGGGATCTAGGTTGCCCGCTCCTTATGAGAATCTAATGCCTGATGATCCAAGGTGGAGCTGAGGCAGTGATGCAATCACTGGGGAGTGGCTGCAAATACAGATTAACATTAGCAGAGAGGTTTAACTGTGCAGAGACCATAATAAGTCAATCGCTTACAGACGCACATCAAAATCCTATCAGTGAGCGGCAAGTGACAATTAAGCTGCCTCTGGTGGTAGGCTTTATAGTGGCAAGTGAGTTGAGGTACTTCAATTGTATAGCTGCATCTAGTGTCCTGAAATGTATGTTTGAGAGAACTTCAAATCCCCATAGGTTCTGGGTTAAAGTCAAGGCGGAATATCCTGAGATTGCAGTGACAGCAACCAAAATGAGATTATAGAGTGAAGTGGACATAAGCAACACTTATATCACTGTCTCCCATCACCCCCAGATGGGACCATCTAGTTGCAGGAAAACAAACTCAGGGCTCCCATTGATTCTACCTTATGGTGAGTTGTACAATTATTCCACTACATATTACAATGTAATAATAGAAATAAAGTGCACAATAAATGTAATGGGCTTGAATCATCCCGAAACCATCCCCCGCCCTGGTCCATAGAAAAATTGTCTTCCATGAAACCAGTCCCTGGTGCCAAAAAGGTTGGGCACCACTGGTATAAGCCACAGAGAAAGTACATACATAGTCTAATGTATAATTTATAAAGTATAGCACATACTCTTAGTCTAATGATTTCAAGATGAAATCCAAAAGTTAAAGACAAAACGCTCTTTAAAATATGCATAGAAATCTGTAATTGGAGCATATAAGAAAGACAATATCATGATTACATTTCATTAAATAGTCATTGTAGGAATGTTAGCTTTGAATAAATTATAACCTCAAATGTATCTAAGAAAATTATAAAAGTGAAAATAAATATCTCTGAACATACACTTTTTAGACTTTAATAACTAAAAATAATTATAATATAGGCATAGTTCTGTGGGTGAAGTGAGTTCGAATACGCAAAGCACTTGGAACGATGCCTGGTACCGAGTAGACCCAATGTAGCTATTTGCTTTTGGTAGACAGATGCCATTCTTTTTGTTAATCACAGTTATAATTGAATTTTAGAATTTTTAAATAGGACGAAAGATTAGTGCCCATTGAAGCCAGTGGGTTTTTTGTTTTCCAAACTTTTTTTTGGTAGCAAAATTCAGTTTTCAAAATCCTTTCTCCAAACAATCGAGGAAATGGGGACCTCAGTGAGTAGGCCTGGAAGAGGAGCTGCTCTGCAGGAAGTGGGGCCAGATTTCTATCTATTAGCAATCTCCCCTTGAGGCAACTTTGGAACCCAGTCTGAACACTAAGCCAAGGCACTCTACCATTTGACAGATGAGGAAAATAAACCCTAGGGAGGTAAATAAACCTAGGGAGGTAAATGCTCTCATTCTCAAAGCTAGCACAGTCAGATTGTTTTCCAGAAAATAATTAATACCTAACATACCTGGAAACGAGCGCTATTTGCAGGGTGATAGTCAAGTTATTAAACCAGTGTCCAATCAAAATGGCTCTGCGTAGTCAGAGCCTCGTCCTGTGTCGAGCATTAACTTTTCAGTTGCTAAATCATAGGACATTTTTGTGGGAGGCAGGGTGTCACCATTGAAGGGTCCAGTATCCGGGGAGCTCAGGACAATAGGTAATTACCAACTGGTATAAAAGTGATTTTAACAAGGTACAATCATACCAGATGGGTAACAGCTAAATGTCAGCCCTGGGCGTTTGAAGATGTCCTCCGCAGGCTAGAAAAAAATCCACGTTGGATTGGAATCCTGCTGAGAATAGCTACACTATAATTGGAACTCTGGAGACTGTATCTGTTCCTTCTCATTTGGTCTTTCTAGAAATCAAAGTTCTCCTCTGGACTCTTCCAAAACATTTAGACATTTACTGGCTTCCAAAAGAAGGAACTCATGGTGATATTGACCATTTTTAAAGAAAATAAAAGCATGAAGCCGAGCATGGTAGTACACACTTGGAATCCCACATATTTGGAAGACTGAGGCTAGAAGATTGCTTGAGGCCAGAAGTTCGAGACCAGCCTGAGCAACATGGCAAGACCCCATCTTTAAAAAAAAAAAAAAGTTAAATCAAAATAAAATTTTAAAAAGATGCGAGTGGTTGCTTTGTATTTATCGTTCAAAATAAGTTGAAGGATAGAAAATGATAGCTGAATGCCACTAATTGTAGAAGTTGATCTGTGTTTCCATCTTAACAAAAGGATTTGTAAGAATACTTGTCATTTGCTTACACTTATTAAAATAAATGGCTTCTACCAGCAGTCTTGACGCAGACTATCCACCTGCATAAGAAACGGGCGATGGTGACAGAAGGAAAAAAAAGAACAAAGCCCTGCCGGGTGCCCCAGTGGGAGAATTGGTATGTTGGATTTGAATGGGAAGAGGGAGGATGTTCCAGAGGTGTGTGGGGAGAGATGGGAATAGAAAATGAAGGACTGTGTTGTTATAAGAACAAGCAAAGCATATACAGACAGCTTATGAATTTGCGCTAGGATGACTTTCCGCTACATCATGGAGTTTAGATTCCCCATGTCAAAGGCAGATCTGTATCTCTTTTGTATTCCAGAAAAGTATTTGCACATCACTTTTCTGGCTCTTGGGGGAGGGAGAGAGGCATGGGAGAAAATTCATTTAAGTGTATGCCTTAAAATGAAGTGCATTTGGCTAATGAGTAAGCAGCTGTTTAGTTAAGCAAATGACTCATACTGGGGTATTTATAGAGCACAACTATTTTTCAAGCCTGTACAAATTTAAAAGAAAGAAGTTTCCCTATAACCCCAAAGCAGATGTTTCTACATTTATGAACAAAGCACTACTGAACAGTAAGCCCGTCCTTCAGGTTTATCAATGCATCTATTAAAACATATGTTAGTCTTCCTAGGAAGTATATATCTCTTCATTGAACAGAGAACACTTATAGAGTATTTATTTTGTTCTATGTTAAAAAAAAAAAAAAAGTAAGTCGAAGGCCCAGGCTTTAAGAAGTAAAGTCTGATCAGAAAGTTATATCATCTGCCCAAAAAATATAGCTAATAATGAAAAGTGAGATTCAAAATTGACAACCACAGGAGTGCCATGAGCTGTAATTAGCTTAACTTTTTATTTGCTTGTAACTTAATAGCCAATATTTTTTCAGAGCTTAGTATGAGCCAGGCCTGGAGCATTTGAGTCCTCTTGTTGAAAAAGTATGTTTTACAAAAAGACTTTAAAATGAAACTGAAAGCAATAACATAAATCACATCAGGAAGAGAGGGAGACAGTATGACACTGGGGATCACATGTGGCTCAGAGGTTCTTGCTAATCAAGGTAGAAAGGGGATCAGGATATGTTAGAGGAACTCAAGGAGGCAGATGCATGTGGCTGGTATCTTTGAATAAGGGTTCACACAGTCATGAGATGTGAAATTACCTTTAAAGAATGGGTTAGGATTAGATAAATGCAAGTGATTTCCAAGAAGGGACAATGGCTTTAACAAAAACAATGAGGGTGGAAATAAGACATAGCTCCTCACTGAGTGAATACAAGGCATGGTTGGGATGGGTCAATAAACCTGTCTGAATGGAGGACACAGGCAGGGGACAATGGTGAAGATTGGTCAGGAATCAAATATGCCAGGGCCTTCAGAACCGGCTGAGCTCTGTGGGCAAAATAAAGACCCAAACACCGAGATGGATTAACAGGGGAAAGATGAACCTGGGCTGGTGAGACATGCATGCAACAAGGTAGGACTAGGGGCAGGGGATTCAATTAGGAGTTGATTGTGGACTGGCCTAACATAAATAGGCCTCAACCAAGGTCGAGGCAGAGAAAATGCCAAAGAAGTGAAAATGAAGGAATGGCAAGGAAAGGGGATGACTGCTTGGCTGTGAGAAGCATTGGGAAAGAACATTAAAGATGGCTTTAGAGTCGCCAGCCTGGGTGACAGGGTGAATGTGAGAGGAGTACATCAGTCTCATCAGAGGAGGAATTATTTTAGACACCTGGAGCTTAGAGTGCTGTCAGAACAGACAAGTGAAGCAGTCTCAAGGCAGCCAAAAATGTGCAACTGAGACTTAGTCAGTGCAGACTTGGGATTTCCATTTGAATGATCTAGCACAGGGCAGACTTGGGGTAATTGAGGTGATATGACCTCTGAGACATTGTAGAGACTGAAGCCATCCTGAGTCAGGGGAGACCACTGAAGGGACCTGCCCTCACAAGGGATTTTGGTTTTCTTAGGTCACCATGAGAAGGGACCACAAACTGGCAGCTGAAACAACAGAAATTGATGTCCTGACAGTTCTGGAGGCTGAAGTCCGAGATCAAGGTGTAGGCAGATTAAGAAAAATGATTAAGATCCTGTGTGCTTTGTCTTAGGATTTTCTGATTATTTTTTTCTCTTTCAAAAGACTGCAAATTGGAGAAGTTTCAGAAGCTTTTCCATTCCGTGAGGATCTTTTATTTTCTTTTATCTGTCCCCAAGAGCCTCTTTTTTTCTTCTTCCCATTATTTCTGACCAGATAGGCTCTCTGTGCCTGTTTTTTGTTGGGAAAGAAACCTCTACCACAAGTTGCAGTTTCATGTTCCCGGGGAGCATTTCAGTGGTAACTCAGTCATTATAGGGGTGTTGTCT
This sequence comes from Homo sapiens, assembly GCF_000001405.40. Lineage (NCBI taxonomy): Eukaryota > Metazoa > Chordata > Mammalia > Primates > Hominidae > Homo > Homo sapiens. The sequence goes on along the minus strand of NC_000018.10, from coordinate 3,983,865 downwards.
AAGAACTTGCCTAGCTGCAATGGTCCTGCTGATTCTGTTATCTCTTTAAACAATGCGGTAGACGTTAGAATGGGCTGATGATTTATTTTCCCATTCTGGCAAGTTTTACAAGTGCTTCTTTCATAATAGGAGAGTCTTTTTTAAACGGGGGTAATTTAGATTTGTTTGTTCTTGGAAGGAGGGTGGGGTATGAGGAATGCCATAATCTTACATTATGGTATTAATCATTCTTTGTTCAGTTTGTTCTTTTACAGGTTTAATCTTGCATTCAGTTTTGATAGAGAACATAAAGCATTTTTTTAACCTAATGATGTCTCAAGTAGCGGTGGTACTTGAGATGGCTCATTTTGTACATTACTTCATGGAAAATAGATTCTTGGCACCCCCAACAACTAGTGTGAGCTGGCAAGCCACAGATCCTTGGAGGTTCAGCTGCTTCCTCTGTTAAAAGCAGATACTGACACATAGTGAGTACATCAGGCAAATGAGCTTTATTTGGGGAATGTTGAATTTAGGGTCCTGTTAGAACATACAAATAAATTTGTCCTTATAGCACTGTTTTGAGATTATATAAGTACCTGGCATAATTAAGTAATGGCAATCACTATAATTATCATTATTAATTCAAGGTACCTTTTTCTTTTTCCTGATGGATAACCCTTACATTCTTACAAATACTAAATTAATGAATAAGAAAAAATGTGCATATAATTTTGCTTTGAAATTTCAAATAAGGAAAAATAAATCTAAAAAATAAATATTTTCTATATTCCTTTGACTCTGAAGAACCACCCAAAAGAACCCTCTAATAAGTATGCATCTAATATTTTCTATAAGCAAGTTTTTTGGGAACCTTTGTTCCTGATATGTTATTATAATTCCTCAGATACAAGCAATAGTGAAACCACTTTACTCTTTAATCATCATATGAAGGTTTTAGTAATTATAGAAAATGACACTTAAGAAAAAAATTCAAAACAAATTTCATAAGATATCTAAGCAATGATGGTTCATGTTTTGATTTTCCACCATTCCATCACATTCTCAATTCAAATTTGTAAGTAATTATTAATTACCTAAGTCTGCGACTCACGGTGCTAGAATGTTGTAGAATATACCAACCAGTACAAAATGGGCTTCTTGCCATCACTGAGCTTCCAAACCAGCTGGAGAGAAAAGACTTAATGATGAGGAGAAGAAGGGCTATAAATGGAATGAATGTCTTAAGGGCTTACCATGTGTCAGGCATGTAGATAATAAGAACTGATCACAGGCTATCCCATGGAAACCTCACCACGTCTCTGAGAGGTACCCCCATTGATGTTCAGAGAAGTTAATTACCAGCACCAAATCACAAGTCTGTCTGTCCTGCTCCAAAAGCAAATGCATTTTCTATATTATAGAAAATAATATAGAAAATATTAATTGCAAAGTTAATCATTCACATTGTATCTTGTCACTTCCGTGTCATGGAGCACAAGTGTGTGTATTGAGTCAAAGGTGATCTGAAGAAGGCACACGTCCATGTATAAGTGTGCCGAAGTAGCTGAGATATGTACATGACGTGGAGACAGTGTGACTTTTAGAGATAAACATTTTAATGACAACAAAACCTGCATCCTGAAAAGCAAGGTGAAAATCACAGTGAAAAATGGTTAAGATCCTGTATGCTTTGCCTTAGGATTTTCTGATTTTTTTCTTTCAAAAGACTACAAACTGGAGAAGTTTCAGAAGTGTTTCCATTCCATGAAGATCTTTTATTTTATTTTATCTGCCCCAAGAGCCTCTTTTTTTCTTCTTCCTATTATTTCTGACCAGATATGCTCTCTGTGCATTATTTTTTATTAGAAAATGCATTTTACTTTTACCCATCAGGAAAAGAAAGTTAAATAGTAACCAATAATATAATATAAAAAGTAGTCAAGATAACTACAGAAGAGTTGTCATAAGACATTAGCAATGAAAAGTATGTGTTGTAGGAGATCAGAGGAGGGAAGAATCACTAGATTAGGATGATTGAGGAAATTCCTGTGAAAGAGAATCCATCACTATATTTCATATACATATAGATGGTACAGTATACCATAAATTCTCTATTATCCAGTTCAGGCCATCCTGGGACACCCTGAAAATAGTCAATCAGTCCTTTATTTCAATCTCAAGCATTTTGTCCCAAGCCATGCAGAATCTGAAGGGCATTGGAGATTTAGTGAGAGTTTTTCTCACCTAGTCTACTCTTTCTCTTGATTGTCCCCAGTGCCCTGTTCTTAGTTATAGAGCCTTCTGGGGCATCACCTGCCATCCCTTTGCCTTGGGCAGAGAACATTCCCCAGAAACTCTGCTCTTCCTTCCCTCCCTCTAAGATCCTTAAATCTTTTTGCAACCTTTTAACTCCCTCACCTCACAGCCCTGCCTCCTACATGTATGGCCCTAGCAGGAGCTGTGGTCTCCGCCAGGTCTGAATCCTCATGGGTCGGGATGAGGACGGAAGCCTCAAGAGTGCAGCATCAGAAGATACTCCTACTTCACGTGTGGGCACACAAATCTTTAGTCACTTCTCCCTGTGCTGAGTTGTGCTGAAGTGTGTCCTTTTCCTTGCTAGCTTTGAATCAAATCACAAAAGGTGACAGTGGAGCAAGTGCAGAGGAAAACTGAGTGTTCTCATCAATAAAATACCCTTTCGTCTGATGGGGGCAAATATCCGGCATTCTGCCCGTATGAAAATACAGGTCTTTGGAGACAAACAATCCTACTTTTTAAATTCTCTCGCATTTTGAAGTTCCACTCTTTCCAATGTATTTGCTAACCATGCATTCTTTAAAAATGAGAATCTATATGAAAAAGAACTAGATCTTGTCTTTAAAAAGTGACCTTAGGGCATAAGTCCAAGAGATCTATTGAACAAGATGGTGACTATAGTTAATAAAGATGCATTGTATACTTGAAAATTGCTACAAGAGTAGAATTTTAAGTATTCTCACCGCAAATAAATGGCAAATCTATAAGGTAATAGATATGTTAATTAGCTTGATATATGTATATGAATATATGATACGTGTATGCATGTTTCAAAACATCATGTTGTATACCACAAATATATACAATATTTATTTTTCAATTCAAAAAATAAATAAATTTGTAAAAAGCGACCTGCAAAAATGGTCAGTAATAAGCATATGGACAAACTATCGGGACCCTAGAGAGAGAACAGTGCAGTGAAAATTGCTGAGCGTTTTGGTTTTTTTCCTTTCCGGAAAGGAGTAGGAAAGCTATGTGGCAGAAACACCTGTACATCTAAGCAAAGCTCTGGTATTCAGCTAGGAATTAGGAGATGCCCTTCCTTTTGCAAACACATTTAAATCACATTGAACAAAATTACTATGGGTAAAGATGAATATCCCACTTCATTTTGGACACAAATTATTATAATGCCGTAAGCACTTTCTGCTCCTGCTCATCAAGTGCAGCTGCAAAGTCTGGTGTCTCTCCTGTGGCAGAGCCGTCTTCCTCTATGCTCCAGTTTGGAACTGGGCTGCTCCTCCCAGGTCCTGCCGCCTCCACCCAGCCAAGACTCACTTGAGGCCGTAGGTTCTGCCTCCAGATAGGCCGCGATGCCTGAGATCAGACCCCTGCAGCCTCTCCTCTTCTCCTTCCTCACCATCTCTATCTCCCATTATCTTTTTTGTTTTTTACTTTTTACTTTTTTTGTTTATTTATTTATTTATTTTTTGAGATGAAGTCTCGCTTTGTCACTCAGGCTGGAGCGCAATGGCACTATCTTGGCTTACTGTAACAACCACCTCCCACGTAAAAGCAATTCTCCTGTCTCAACCTCCCAAGTAGCTGGGATTACAGGTGCCTGCCACCACGCCTGGCTAATTTTTGTATTTTTAGTAGAGATGGAGTTTCACCATGTTGGCCAGGCTGGTCTCGAACTCCTGACCTCAAGTGATCCACCTGCCTCGGCTTCCCAAAGTGCTGGGATTACAGGCGTGAGCCACCGCGCCCAGCTATATTTTTACTTTTAATTGACAAATAATAATTGTGTGTATTTGTGGGGTACAGTGTGATGTTTTGATCTATGTATACATCATAGAAGGATTCAGTCAAGCTAATTAACATACCTGTCATCTCCCAATTTATCATTTTTTGTGGTAAGAACATTAAAAATGTATTTTAGCAATATTGAAATAAACATTATGCTTAACTGTGGTTACCATGCAGGATAACAGTTGCAGTGTAATAGTCCAACTGAAACTTTGTACACTTTTACCAACATCTTTTCTTTCCCTATCTCTTCGTCTCCTCTCTAGCCTCACCTCAGATAACCAAATTTCTACTTTTTCTTTCTAAGAGATACGCTTTTCAAAAATCCACGTGAGTTAATACAGTACAGTCATGTGTCAATCATGGGAGTACATTCTGAGAAATGCATCATTAGGCGAAAACACTGAGTGAACATTATAGAGTGCAACCCTAGATGGTACAGCCTACCCCACAACTAGACTATATGGTATAGCACATTGCTACTAGGCTGCAAACCTGTACACATGGTACTGTGCTGAAGACTGTAGGCAGGTGTAACACCACGGTAAATATTTGTGCATCTAAACATAGAAAAAAAATGGTAAAAATAGGGCTCTATAGTCTTATGGGACTGCCACTGTACATGCAATGCAGTCTGTGGTTGACCGAAACATTATTATGTGGTGCATGACCATAGTGGTTTTTCTGTGCGTGGCTTATTTCATTTAGCATAATGTCATCCAAGTTCATCCATGTTGTGCAAATGACAGCATTTTCTTCTTTTTATGGCTTTGTAGTGTTCCATTGTTTATATATACCACATTTTATTTATTCATTTATCTGTTGATGGACAGATAGGTATGTCTTTATTACTCAATGTGGTCATTTCACCAGAGAGGTGGATTTACCTACGTACACTTTCCACGTACTCTTCATTTAATTCTTCCTCTAAAACCTCACTAATACTGTTCCCCCTCCTCTGCCTCTGTCCATCAAGATCTGTCCTATACAACATAGTAAATTCCAAGTGGAAGAAGTTAAGTGTGCAACGTCAACCCATAAAAAAACTAGGGGGAAAATTGAATCGCCTTCGAAAGTTCTAGAGTGGGAAGAGCTTTGGAACAATAGAAGAAACCATAAAAGTAAGAATCAGGCTCTCTGCTCCTCCCATTTGACAGACAGCTACATATTCTTATGCAGAACCAGCCATGTCCCTGAGACACCATGGTGAAGGTGAAGGCCAGAGTAAACGAACTTGGTCGTGTTGGGCACCTGGTCACCGGAACTGCTTTTCACTCTGGTAAAGTGGATATTGTCACCATCGGTTACCCGTTCATTGACCTCAACGACATGGTCTGCATGTCCCAGTATGATTCCACCCATGGCTAATTCCACAGCACTGTCAAGACTGAGAATGGGAAGCTTGTCATCAATGGAAACTGCATCACTCATCATCCAAGGCGAGATCCCACGAAAATTAAATGAGATGATGCTGGCACTGAGTACGTTGTGGAGTCCACTGGTGTCTTCATGACCATGGAGAAGGCTGAGGCTCACTTGCAGGGGGTACCAAAAGGGTCATCACCTCTGCCCCCTCTGCTGATGGGCATGAACGATGAGAAGTATGAAAACAGCCTCAAGATCATCGGCAACGCCTCCTGTGCCACCAAGGGCTTTGCCCCCCACCAGCCAAGGTCATCCATGACAACTTTGGAATCGTGGAAGGACTCATGGCCATGGTCCACGCCATTACTGCCACCCAGAAAACTGTGGATGGCCCCTCCAAGAAACTGGCATGACAGCCACGGGGCTCTCCAGAACATCATCCCTGCATCTACTGGTGCTACCAAGGCTGTAGGCAAAGTCATCCTGGAGCTGAATAGAAAGCTTACTGGCATGGCCTTCCTTGTCTCCACCACCAACGTGTTGGTCATGGACCTGACCTGCCAGATATGATGACATCAGGAAGGTGGTGAAGCAGGCATCAGAGGGGACCCTTGAGGGCATCCTGGGCTACACTGAGCACCAGGTTGTCGCCTCTGACTTTAACAGCATCACCCACTCTTCCACCTTCAAAGCTGGGGTGGGCATTGCCCTCAACAACCACTTTGTCAAGCTTATTTCCTGGTATGAGAATGAATTTGGCTACAGCAACAGGGTAGTAGACCTTATGGTCCACATGGCCTCCAAAGGCAGCAGCTAGCTGGACACCAGCCCCAGCGAGAGCACAAGAGGAAGAGAGAGGGGGAGTCCCTGCCGCACTCAGTCCTCCACAACACTGAGACTCTCCCCTCCTCACAGTTTCCATGCAGACCCCCTGAAGAGGGTGAGACCTAGGGGAGCCCTACCTCATTGTGTACATCAATAAAGTCCCCTGTACTCAGCAAAAAAAAAAAAAAAAAAAACACAGAATAAACATAATTCATTAACTGACATTTCAGCATTTTAGTACAGTTTAAAAATAATAAGGCCGGGCAAAGTGACTCACACCTGTAATCCCAGCACTTTGAGAGGCCAAGGCAGGCAGATCACTGGAGCTCAGGAGTTCGATACCAGCCTGGGCAACATGGGAAAACCCCGTCTCTACTAAAAATACAAAAATTAGCTGGGAGTGGTGGCACATGCCTGTGGTCCCAGCTACTTGGGAGCCTGAGGCAGAATTGCTTGAGCCTGGGAGGCAGAGGTTGCAGTGAGCCGAGATGGCACCACTGCACTCTAGCCTGGGCGACAGAGTGAGACTCTGTCTTAAAAATGAATAAAAATAAATAAATAAAATGAGAAGAATCAATCAAAGCTATTAACAAATCAGCAGAAATTCTGTCAAGACAATTTTTTAAAGAGATTGTATAGCTACTAAAGAATCGTATTGAAACCTGTTAACAATTTAACCTTACCTGTAATCTAAGAGAAATGCAAATCTAAATCATGAGATATATTTTTTCTATTAAATTAACAGATTTAAAAAATGATATGACCTAATCTTTGATGAGGGCATGATGAGAATAGTACCTTTATAACTTGCTGATAACGTTATAATTTAATACAGAGTTTTTGAAAATCAATTTGTCTTGTATATTAAATGCTAAAAATAGATTCATGCCTTTAACTCCATGATTTCATTACAGGACATTCTCCTAAGAAAATAATGTAAAAAGTCATAAATACAAAGTTATAAGTACAAATAATTTAACCTCAAATTATTTTCCAAATCAAAAAGAAATGAACAGAGTAATTTTCTCTTGACATAGGTATAGATTTAAAAATTACAAAGACTGCCCAGTAACATGAAGAAAATTAATACTATATAAAAATATGCAGGGAACAGAGAACACCAGAAGAAAACATAGCAGTGGTAAGCTAGGGTGCTGAGAATTATGGGTGATGTTTATTTCATTTTTTCTATTCTCTATATTTTCCTTAATGCATTTGTTATTATGGTAATATGTATAACATAAAATTCACCCTTTTAACCACTTTTTTTTGAGACAGAGTTTTGCTCTTGTTGCCCAGGCTGGAGTGCAGTGCAACCTCTGCCTCCCGGGTTCAAGCGATTCTCCTTCCTCAGCCTCCCAAAGAGCTGGGATTACAGGCATGCACCACCACACCTGGCTAATTATCGTTATTATTATTATTATTATTATTATTATTGTATTTTTAGTAGAGACGGGTTTCTCCATGTTGGTCAGGCTGGTCTCAAACTCCCGACCTTAGGTGATCCAACCACCTCAGCCTCTCAAAGTGCTGGGATTACAGGCATGAGCCACTGCCCTCGGCCTTAACCACTTTTTAAGTGTACAGTTTAGTGGCATTAAGTATTTCACATTGTTGTACAACCGTCACCACCATCCATCTCCAGAACCTGTTCGTCTTCCCAAGTGGAAACTCTGCACCCCTTAAACACTGACTTCCCATTCCCTCTCCCCCAGGCCATGGTAACCACTATTCTACTTTCTGACTCTATGAATTTGATTTCTCTAGGTACCTCATGTAAATTAAATTATACAATATTTGTGTTTTTGTGACTGGCTTATTTCACTTTGCACAATGTCTTTGAGGTTCATCCATGTCGTAGGATGTGTCAGAATTTCCTGGCTTTTTAAGGCTAAATAATATTCTATTCTATATGTACATCACATTTTGTATCCATTCATTCTTCTTAGGGCACTTGGGTTGCTTCACTTTTTGGCTACTGTAAATAATGCTGCCATGAGCATGGGTGTACCAATATCTGTTTGAGTCCCTAGTTTCTATTTTTTGCAGTATATACCCATAGTGGGATTGCTGGATCATACGGTAATTCTGTGTTTAATTTTTTTAACAACCACCAAGCCATTTTCCACAGTGAGTGCGTTCAAGGGTTCCAATTTCTCCACATCTTTGCCAACACTCACTTTCTGTTTCTTTCAATAATAACCATCCTAACAGGTGTGAAGCGGTATCTCACTGTGGTTTTGATTTGCGTTGCCCTAATGATTAGTGATGTTGAACATCTTTTCATGTATTGATGGGCCACTTGCATATCCTGTTTGGAGAAAGGTCCATTCAATTTCCTTGCCCATTTTTGATGGGGATGTTTGTTTTGTTAGTGAGTTGTATGAAGTGTTTGTTTTGCATATGTATTTATATATATAATTTTTATTTTTAATTGTAATTAAAAAACACATAAAAGTAACCATCCTTACTTTCTTTGAGTGTACAGTTCAATAGTGTTAAGTACCTTCACATTGTGGTGCAACAGATCTCCAGAAATCTTCATCTTGCAAAACTGAAACTCTGTACCCATTAAATAACAACTCCCCATTTATTTCCCCTTGCCCAGCCCCTGGCAATCACCATTCCACTTTCTGTGTCTACGAATTTGACTACTTTAGTTACCTCATATAAGTAGAATCATACAGGATTTGCCTTTTTGAGACTGATTAATTTTTATTTTTATTTTTTTTTTATGTCCTCAAGGTTTATCCATGTTGTACTATATGACAGGATTTCCTACCTATGTAAGACTGAATAATATTCCATGCTATGTATTGCTTTTATATTTTTTATTTATAAATTGTAAAATACTACTCATCGGTGTGAGTCTTATACTGTCCTCTTCCCTGTTTCAATCACCTAAAACCTCCTTTTTATGTTAGGTCTTTTGACATTGAATGTTTTCAATGTCATACTCCCATTTACCTGATTAATAATAAGTTCTTTATGTTTCACTTTTAACCAAAGCAGGAACACCAGGGCAATTAGTCCAGTAAAGAAGAAAAGCAAACAGTGGCCATGCTGAGAGTGAAGCAAACCCATGATATATTCATGGAAAAGCTGGACTTTTTCTCTCCTCAGAAAGTGAGATCTTTTTGTGTGAAGAACTATTGAAATCTGAAGCTTCCCTTAGGAAGTTAAAAGTTCTTTTGAAAATATTTAAAAGCCCTGAATTAAAAGATCTTAATACAGTCACACATGCAATACAACTACATTTAGGTCACGGATGAATTGCCTGTAGGACGGTGGTCCCATAAGATTATAATAATGTGTTTTCGAGATCAGGAGATTGAGACTATCCTGGCCAACATGGTGAAACCCAGTCTCTACTAAAATACAAAAAAATTAGCCAGGTGTCGTGGTGGGCACCTGTGATCCCAGCTACTCGGGAGGCTGAGGCAGGGGACTCACTTGAACCCAGGAGGCGGAGGTTGCAGTGAGCCGAGATTGCGCCACTGCACTCCAGCCTGGCGAGGGAGTGAGACTCCTTCTCAAAAAAAAAAAAAATAAAAAGTGTCTTTACTGTGCCTTTTCTATGTTTAGATAGGTTAGATACACAAATACTTCCCACGGTGTTACAATTGCCTACAGTATTCAGGACAGTCACGTGCTGTGCAGATCTGTAGCCTAGGAGCGATGGGCTCTAGCATATAGCCTGAGAGTGTGGTAGGCTATGCCGTCTAGGTCCATCTAAGTCCACTCTGCATTCACACAAGGACAACAGCAGCACATGTTCTCAGAACATATCCTCATTGTTCAACTGTGCATGACTCTACAGTATTATCTTCTCCTGTGTTTTCCTTGTGAACCCTCAGCTGGTTAACATGGATCCCGAGCCCTGGGCCTTCCCCGGAACTTTCTAGCCTAGATTTAGTTTGTCAGGTTTCAGAAAGAATAAAATTATCTAAAATTGAGGGAAAAAAATTGGCAGGCAATTTGGAAAAGACTCTCAGTTGGCCTGCCAACAACACTGGCAGAAGAAATGTAGTCGAGTTAGAATCCTTCCAGCATGTTCCCTAGGGGATGCTCACACAGGAACCACAGGTGAAATAGGGAAGTCCCTGGCTCCTAAAGCCTAAGCAGGAACCATATACTCCACCACTCCCCTCCTGAAGTGAAATTGAGTCCCAAACCAGGAGTAACAGGAGCACAAAGGTGACGGAGCTCATACAAACTGAGATGAATTGCAGCTTCCAGGACGGAAATGACTAGTAGCTTATTATTTGTCATTGGCTCCAGATAAATCTTACAACCTGATTAAAAGCAAATGTATTGACTTTTTTTTTTTTTTTTTTTGGCTATGGCTATTCTGACTATTCTCTTTTACTGAAAATGGTTTTTTTCTAATTAGATAGCAGCAGCCTGAAGGTAGGACCATCTTAGTTTCTGTGTTCCTTATAGAATCTAGGAAATTATTTTGTACATTGTAAGTATTCAATAAAGATTGGATTACTCAACTTGAATAAAAACAAGCAGATGATAATACCTTAATAGTCCCAGAATTAAGTTTCTTTGGACAGTGATTTGTTGATATTTTTAAATTAGCTATTAGACACAACACCCTGCAGCAAAAAGGCTTTGCTTACTTGAGCTCACGCTTGTTATCCTTTTGGAGTCTGAAGCCTAATTAATGTAGAATAGAGCCTCTTTTAGAATAAAAGTCCTCTGCCCTATGGGCTTATTCTTTGGGTCTCTAAACACAGATTGGGGAACAGAAAAGAAAGTCTTTTGGCTTCAGGCTAGGGATAGGCACCTCCCCGCCCATCTGCCTCTCAGTGTTGCTGGCCAGGGCAGGGGGAGCTAGTGTGATTTGCCCAAACCTCCCTCCCTGAGGTGTCATGTTGCTGTGATGGTGTCACAGGAGTCTCAGGAAAGCTGAGAGCTCAACATAACAAAGTTCCTACGTGGACAGTGGTGCTCAATAGTTGCTTCTTAAAAAATAGATTAGTTAGGACTATCGGATGCCAGGGACTGAATCTAGTCACTTAATAATCAGGTTCCCACAGATCTACTTATCTATATCCCAAACACTGTATAATTCTAAAACTATGAGAAAGAAAGAAAGAGAGAGAGAGAGAGTGTGTGTGTGTGTGACTCAACTGCCTCAAACACACCAAGGAAACATGTTTGAATATAAATAACTGAAGACAGAAAAGACAGAATGAATCAACCAGAGGACTAGGGAGAGTTATATATAAACTGATATAGATAGATATAATTTTTTAAAATTATTTTTAAATAGAGACGGAATTTTGCCATGTTGCCCAGGCTGGTCTCGAACTCCGGGCTTCAAGTGATCCTCCAACCTTGGCCTCCAGAAATGCTGGGATAACAGGCATGAGCCACCATGCCCGGCCTAGTGATATAATTTTTTTTTATATAGGCCTTGAGGTGTTGTATTTTTTATAAGAGGTATTATATAGTTTATAAACTCATAAAAAATTTAAAAACAAGGTAAACTGTAATATTTTAATTGAAAACACTTCTTTAGTTATATCCTTGAAAACTGAAACCTTACACATTACAGGATTGTTATCTTGTTAGTTGGACACCGTTAAATGACCAAAGCTATTCATGGTCTCCTGATGAGAACCCAAGTAAAGAGTCTTCCCTTAGTTAATTCACAGGATCCTCCCTTACTCAACTGGACCAGCACTTTACAGTTGCATAAAACCCTGGTTTTGAGTTTTTCTTGTCCCTCAATATTCACTAAGGCTGTCATGAAAATTATTATGCTTATTAAAATAAAACTCCATGGATTGCTTAATGAAAGATACTTAAGAATTTGCCAGGTTTAAGTTTTATTGCTATTTAGAGAACAAGATTTTCTAAACCTATTGCCCTGTGACTCTTCAAAACCATCAGCCAGGAATTCTTTTTGGATACACTGATATTTCTCTATGTTATCCTTAGTACAGCTTAGCTTACCAAAGGATAGATGGACAAAAGAGTCTTAAAAGTTAAGTCTTGGAACAATATAAAATGCAGTCTGCAAACACTTGGGGGTGCATCATACCAGTCAATTACACATACCAATACTTTTTTAGAAAAAACAAAAGAATAGAATAGGCAAAATACATTGGACTTATTTACAAAACATGTTTCAGGTATACATGCACACATATGTGATATTATGTCATATATATGTTAGCATACATTTTATAAATGTCTTATGTATGTATTTCCCTGTATATATACTGGTTAGGATGTAAAATTTGTTACCATCGGTAGCAGTCAAAAAAAATGTTAAGCCACTGATTTAGAGGACTTAATTCTAAACTAATGGAAAGCAGTTAGCATGAAAAGAACTCCTACCTCTGAAAAGAAATAATAGAAACTACCATCACAAACTGGTCAACAATTTACTGCAAAGTTCTTGCCAGAGGCCAGAGTCTGGTTCATTCTCTAGGTCAATGCTACAGACTGAAAGCTGGGTGGAGAAAAGCGACCTTGAGGTTGTGCTGTAGCTACCGAAAGAAGGCAGGCAGAGGGAGCTGTTCTTTGGTTGCAATAACCTGGAATAGATGTGGGGTGCTAGAGGGGGACAGATGTGAAACTGGAAGGTGGTTCCAGCTGTCTCAATGCTTGATTAGGCCTTAAATCTCTATTCCAGCATTTCCCACTTCTGGAAATAAATGCATACCTAGCCCAGAGACAAGGGTGGAAGCAGACCTCATAGGCCCAGGATGCAGGGCTCCTATGGGGACCTCAGAACTAGGGCAGGGGCTTATATTTTATTCTTGAATCCCAGTTGATATTAAAGTGGATTTCAGTTCAATTAGGGGGAAGAAACCCTTTTGCTTCCAGATTTTTAATGTTAATATTAATGTCAAGATATCTCTAATATGATTTAGTAATAACATATCCTTCATTCTAAATTTAGTACCTGTTTGAGAATTAATTGATTAAAAACTAAGAGTGAAACTGTATTACTATTTTGCAGTCTAATATGGGGCAAGATGTTTATCTTCTTTGTTTCTCTTTATTTTTTAGATTTTCTAGAAGATGTACTTCTTGATGAGGCCAACATTTCTCTCTCATGTCCCACACATTTCTATTATATATTTGCTGTAATTTGTAGCACTCACATTTGTTGTAAAATCGCTTTTGACAGTGTATTTGAGTTAAAGTACAAAGGTTCATTACCAAAGCTCTCTTTCTTTGGAGAGCTTTTTATTATTAGTGCTACAAAATTGATCCTAATGGCTTCAATAAGAATACTGGGATGAAATTGTTTTATTTTCTTTTCCTTTGTTTCTAGTTGTCATATTGTCATGGAACTCCGAGGTTTGAAAATATGCAAAGAATTCATCTCATTTATTCTCTATGAGATTTAAAACTAAAACTCTGATTATTTAGCCAAAATAAAATTCAATAAAATCATATTTTTATATGAAAGAAGAGAATGATGACAAGGGAAATTGCAGGAGTACAATGGTAGTCAACTCATCTTAAATTTTGCATTTTCATTTTTGTAATACGTTTGCTTCATGTTGCTCTGGAAAACTGTGTTCTGTTGCTTTACCTACAAAGACAAACATTAATCAAACTTACCACTAGTATTAAGCACTGATTAAACACCCACATCGTAACACAACAAATCTGCTGACTTCTGTTCGTGTGCTTTCCATCTTAACACACAGACACAGACAGGACTGATAGTCTTAAGAAGGCCCTTTATCAGAAGTATTTAATCCTAGAGTCTTTTCCTTTACATATTCTATTCAAGAAAGGCCCTTTACGTGAAACACATTAAAAAATTATATAAGGATCATCGCTGGCTAGAGCCTCCTTAACTGCAAGCTGACAGACATAGAATAGTTGGCAGAAGGAAGCTGGCACTCTTATTAAGGGCCTAATTTTGATTTTGCATAATCTGTGGATAGTCACTACTAAAATAAAATACTGAAGAGCTGCATCTGTGCTAATTTCTTTGGTAGGATTTTTTTTAAGAATAGACCGAAATCGTGAAACTGCTATAACTTGGGCCACAGTTTTTCTGCAAGGACAGGTACTTCTACTTTTTTCTGGATCTCTTTTACAAATAAGGTCTTAAACCACTGTCTTTCTGTGTATATCTATTTTGTTTCGAGAACAAGCACCCTTTTCTCTTTAATATTCTTTTCCTACGGCTAGAATGGGTCAGCGGTGTAATACACTCAGTCAACGCCTAATTGAGTAAAATGTGACAGAACGTTTTGCAAAAACCAGTGGTAACCGTAGGAGACCTCACTGTTTTTCTCTGCCACTTAGTCTTCAAGAAGGAATGACTAAAAGTTGTATTTCTTTTCAGATGACAATTATTGGTGTGTTGATTGACTACATGATCATTAGTGAGATTTCTAGTATATTGTTTTTAATAGAATTGCTGTAAAATTTGGCAGATGGAAGTTCGCATAGTTTGACCTGGAAAGTTGAACTACTTCAATCTTCAAATTTTTCCTTGTAAACTCTTTCATAGTAGCAAAATAATCATAATTTTCTTTGAATATTGTTAAGGAAAATAGTATTTCTCTTTCAGAATATACATCCTATGTCCCCAGTGCTGTTCATTCATTAGTTAACTTCTTTCCTTTGTTGTCTCGCTGGTCTCTTGCCACCTGCAAAATGTCTTTTAAAAGAAAGTTGGAGAAAGAATGCCGTGTCATTTTTCTTCAAAAGAAATCAATAGTTTTGTTTGTTACCAGGTCCTCTTAATTATATTTCTCTTCTTGTTGCTAATTATTTTGATTATTAGTTCCACATAGCTGGGCAGGGACAAGGAAGAAAAAAATAAACCTCCCTTGCATGGTATTACTTATTAGCTGTTCCAATAAAAGTTTGATTGGGTATGATGATTCACAGTTTTCAGGAAAGGCATTTTCTTTGAATTTCAATTACCTCCACTTGTTCTAAATAATATTTGCACAAATAATTGAATATTGGTTTGAAATCAGCCTCCAAATATTACTGTGTTCTCTCTAAAACTTCATCAAACTGTGATCTGTCTTTTGAAAGCCAGGAATACAAATATAAAGATGTTAACTATTTAAAACTTCCGTGATGGTCTGTTTGGGTAAAGAGATTGCACAAAATATGTTTTTCAGTAACTTTCTGTGTTTTCAAGTTTTTTTTAAGGTGTATAGTTAGCCATTTTATTCAGCAGGTCTTAGTTGAGTGCCTGCCATGAGCTAATGACACACTGATTAATAGGGATAGAAAGGGAACAAGATAGACAAGTGCTAGAAATTTTACTGCATAAAATAAAAAGTGGAGATCAATAGCTGCGTAAAAATGATGTGAAATTGGGGTAAGATCTAGCGTTGCCTTTTAAGATGAAAGAGTATCTTAGCATATTTAAATATTAAAGGAAAGATACTAAGGGTCAGTGAAGGATTTAAGATACAGGAGAAAGAAGTGGGGCAGGGTGAGGTCCCAGTAAATTTATGCTCAGATTAGAGCAGTTATGTCTCCTTCATCTAAACATGATCAAAAGCAGAAAGATGTGATAGAGCTAGTTACATATTCTGGATTAGTGTCAGGAAGTTTTTCCAATAACTTATTTTATCTGTGAAGAGTAAGCAGTAAGATGATTTATTGGTAGTGATAAGCAAATGGACAAATGAAATGTTCAAAACAGCCACAAGGAGAATGTGAAGGAGTCCTAAGAAGGGAAGTATGGCTTGCCTCTCGGTGTTAGGTGTCCAGTGCAGCTGAGAGGCACACATTTATCCTATATGTGTGTGTGGGGATCAATCTGCATAGTTGGGTGATTTTCTCAGAAGCCCTTAACAGTTATACTTAGTTGTGGAAATACATAAACTCGAATTTTTAAAAATAGCTCCACATAGTCTGAAGCCAAAAGTAGAGTCAAATGCTCTTTAAGACAAAATAACCAAGTATGGGCTTCAGAAATGAAACAGAGAGTGATCAATACTACCATTACATCTGTTTTACACTTTCTCTTTAGAGACTATAATGTTTAAATGGAGCTTAAATGACAGCTCTGCAGAGGACAGCCTGCTCTCCTCCTTACCAGTGGTTCTCAAATTTCAGCCGGCATCAGTCACCTGCAGGGATTGTTAAAACTCAGGTTCCTGGGCCTCAACCCCAGAGTCTGGGATTCAGTAGGTCTGGGGTGAAGCCCTAGAATTTGCATTTTTAATGAGTTCCCAGGTTCTGCAGAGTCTGTTGATCGCAGTACCACATCTTGAGAATCACTGTTCTAAATAAAACTCTGCAATGCCAGGACAAATATCTGCAAAGGTTAAAGTCACTGTGAGCTCATCAGTTCATAATCTATTTCTCATTCCTTGCTGATTCGCTCAGTGCCTACCACAGTGCCTGGCAGTGCCTGGCTGGAGCCCAGCGACTGTTTTGAGGAAGAAAGATAAGTTAGTATTTATGGAATGCCCTCTACAATGTGGTAGGCACATTCCCTCCACCAATGTAGACAGGCACTGCCATATTTACACAGACATATTAAAATAAGATTAGTCACTCAGCAGTTTGAGCCAGTGGACTAGTCCTTCCTTTTTAAACTACTCTCTTCTCCAGGTTCTGGACTACCTCACCTCCTGGTTTCCCTTCTGCTTCACTGGCCACTTCTCTTAGAAAACCTGGCTTTCTCCTCCTCCTCCTCCTCTCTTGGACCTCAGAACATTGAATGCCCCAAGCAGCTCTTTTCCTGATGACCTTCTCCTCTATTCCTAGATGATCTCATTTAGTCCCAAGGTTTCAGATAACATCAACATGCTGATGTCATCCAAATCTGTTATCTCTAGCTCAGACGTCCCCTCTCACCTCATACTCGTTAATCCAGCTGCCAACTCGGCCTCTCCACTTGAATATCTAATAAACATCTCCAATGTAACAGGTCCAAAACAAAATCCTCACTTACCTCAAGCCTACTTCTGTCCCGTCTTTCCTGCCTCAGTAGATATCATCCCCATATATCAGTTGCTTAAGCCAAAAACTTAAGCATTGTCTTGGATTTCTTTTTTGTGCTATCTTTCCAAAACCCCTTTGATCAGTTTTGGCTCCCAAACAGTTTCTAGTCCGATTTTTTTTAGTATCTCATCTTCTGCAACCAGAGATTTTCTCATCCCCTAATCCATGGCAATAGCTTCATAATTCATTCCTCAGTTCCCACTCTTACCTCCAATGGTTCATTCTCCACTGAGCAGCTGGAGTGATTTTGTGGTAGGGTGAATTAGATCATAACAGTTCCGTGGTTAAAACCTGCTAAAGCCTTCCCCCCAACAAATAGAACCAAATCCAAACTTCTTAAGGCAAATAGAGCACTACTTCTCCATCCTCATCTCCTACTACTTCCCCACCCACCAAGCCCTGTGAAACTCCAGCCACCCTGGCCCCCTTTCTCCTTCTTGAACATAACAAGCTTCTCCAGCCTCTGAGCTTTCACCCTTTCTAGCTGCTGTTCCCTGTAGTGCTCCCCTCCAACCGCATTAGCGAATGTGGTTTCTACCACCCTATCATTCTGTGTCCCATTTTTATTTTTTTCAGGGCACTTATTATTTAAAATTATTCATATGGTTGTTTACTTAAGTATTTGTCTGTATCTGACAACTACATTGTTAACTCCAAGCAGGCAGGCAGAGATTTTGTCTTCTTAATAGCTGTACTCTATTTTTTTTTTTTTTTTTTGACATGGAGTCTTACCCGGTCGCCCAGTGCAGTGGTAGGATCTCGGCTCACGGCAACCTCCGCCTCCCGGGTTCAAGCAATTCTCCTGCCTCAGCCTCCTGAGTAGCTGGGATTACAGGTGCATGCCATCACGCCTGGATAATTTTTGTATTTTTAGTAGAGATGGGGTTTCGCCATGTTAGCCAGGCTTGTCTCGAACTCCTGACCTCAGGTAATCAGCCCACCTCGGCCTCCCAAAATGCTGGGATTACAGATGTGAGTCACCGTGCCTGGCCTGTACTCTATTATTTAGAACAGTACTTGCAGGGTAGTAGACACACACACAAGCATGTTTGTTGAGTGGAGGAACTTTAAATCTATTGTTCTTTCTACAACACTATATTGATGCCTCTTTAGGTATTATGTTATGATTTGATCACAACCTACTCCAGTATCTAGATAATGGGTTGTTCCAATCAGTGACAAATTCATACATTTAAATCTGTTCTTAAATCCCAAAAGCCAAAATTTCCAAAAACAGATGGCTTGAGCTGCTAAGCCTTTGTCTTTATGTTGTTCTTAAGATTTATTTTGGATCCACCACCATAGATTATGGTTTTAAGTCAACCTTGTCTGGCTACTTATTTTTTGCAAAACATTAGAAACTCAGTCAAGTCTTTCATTCAGGTCCTCCAGAATATCCTTCACTTTAACTTAAGAATTAGTCCAAGTGCCCATATTGACATTTTGACAGTGATTCTAGGCTTTGTGGTGTTGTTCAGTGTTTTGTGTTACAAATGTAGGCCACAGAAAAGAAATAAAGTGAATCCATGCCTCTATTTGTTTACAAAGATCTCTTTGTTTACAAAGAGATCTTTTCACCTTTGAAATTCTATCACTATAGCCTTAAAAACAACAGGAATCACCCTCTGGCCAGGTGGTTAGGATTTGAAATGTCTTTGTATTCTTTTTTAAATTGGAGTTCACGTAAATTTGGTGACATTTCCTACTGTGGCTAAGTCTCTTAGTAGAATCTTTTATAAGCATGCAAGAGTAAGAGCAAGATTTGTTCATCCCAATCAAAACCAAAGTGAGACTCCCTTGTTCCCAGGGCAAACTCTCTTTGTCCACAGTTTGCACTTTCTCCTTCTCCTGTTTTTGTGCCACCTCTTAAAAACCCTTGATTGATAACATGCTTCGCTGGTTAAAGCACACCTGGTATTCTAGTAACTCCTGAAACACTAAGTGGCTACCATGTATCATTGCTATGTTAGGCCTTCGTGTATAGAAGTTTATCAAGGTTCTTCTTGCTGATACCCCCTTTTCCTTCAAGGCTCTTCCTCATCAGCCCACTCTTCAGTAGCGGTGCTCCTGGGGATTTCATCCACTGCAGCGACAACTCCTAGCGAAGATTCCCATCTCGTATCTCCAGCCTTATGCCCTTTTCCCAGCATTGCTCACTCTGTCATCTATTTATTGAACATGTGGACAGTCCAGGAACATCTCAAACACTGCAAATGCAAAACCAAACTCGTTGTCTTCTCACCACCTCTGCCGTATTCACGCAGACTCTTTTCTCCTTCTACAGCTTCCCAGTTCACATCATTAACAGGACAACTATTGGCCCATTTTCCCAAGGTGGAAACATTGAATTTTTTCCTGGGCCTTTTTCTGCCTTTCCACTAATGATAAATAGATCCCTAAATCACATAAATTCTGCCAAAGAAATTTACCTCTGGTGTTCTTCCTGTCTGCACTGCCCCTTTTTTAAAGAGTGTAAATTATCTTACACTTTTGTGTTTTATGCTGAGATTTGAGAATAAATAGGGAGTGTGTATACATATCCAGCTCATCATCTTAACCCACTCCTCCTAATTTTATCTTAGGAATGACGCCTCCTGCAGTGTAGAACAATAGAAATATAACCCAAGCCACGTATACGATTTTAAATTTTCCAGTAGCAACATTATAGAAATAAAAAGAAAGAAATGAAATGAACTTTAATGCTATGTTTAAGCCAATGCATCCAAAATATTAAAATTTCAAACTTTAATTGGTATTTACATTATTCTTAAGGGCTTTACCTTCCTTTTTCTTTGTACAAAGTCTTCGAAATCTAGGGCTCAATGGTCACATGTGGCCAGTGGCTGTCACAGCAGATAGCCTAGGTGTTGGACGTGAGCTGAAGGGGCTTACACTAGAGATCCCATAGAAGATACACCTACAGCCTTGGTGAGGGACAAGGGCATATATCAAGGTACTTGCAATGGAAACAAAGAATCAATCCATAATCACACTGAAAATATGAAGCAGAGAACCAGAAGGCAAATGTAATCCAATTAAGTATAAAATTGCACTAAAAAAAAAAAAAAAAAAAACAGCCCAAAGTACACAGAAGAGAATGGAGCTTCAAAGGTAAAGGATAAAAACAAACCACAGCCCAGGAGAGAAGCTCAGAGACAAACTGTACAAGAAAGGGACCTGGGGCAAATGTGTCAGTAATTAGGAGGTGGTCTTGGAAGAGCAGGGTAGCCTGGGCACCTCATCCTCATGCACATTTGAGTCCAGGCAGCTGCACACTTTCCTTCAGCCTCACAAGGCCCAGCAACTGTGCTCTCAACAAAGGAAAAGCTCTTCTGCTGGTTTATATTTATGAGAAGCAGAGTAGAACCCTGGGGGGTGAGGGGGGCAATGAAATGGAGCCTTTGGAGCTGGAACTGGCCCAGCTTCAGGTGAAGCCTCCAAGTGGGTATTCTGAAGTGAGGACTGTAACAAGAGAGGCCAAGAAGGCTATGTTCCAGTTAAGGAAAAATCCCCTCTGGCACCCCCAAAGCAAAGCAGTCTCCCCCATCCTGCTCTCCCCACAATTATAGAAGGCAGACAGAAGAGATCAAGATGCACATGAATAGAAAACAGCACTTCTCATTTGGATTGAGGAAATTTTCAGTCTTCAACCAGTCCTTCAACATGAGCATGAATAGATAACTGAGAATCACCAAACTTTGAAAGAACACCAACACCTACAAGAAGCATCAAATCAACAAACTGAAGAACTAACTCACCCCAAGGAGACCTTGTCAACAGAAAAAAAAGCAAAGACAATTTTCAGATAAGCATAATAACCAAAGAAATGTAATCATTTTGTCCTCAAATATTCAATAAAATAAGACCAAGCCACTCTTTTTAAAACTCCTGGGAGATACACGCTGTCAGTCCAAAGCAAAATGCATACAACTAAAGAATAAATGTCCTGGAAGGATTCCTAAAAATATCATGAAAACAAGCATAGGGATGGAAAGAATGGGAAGAGTGATGTAGGAATGATGGATAGAGCCAAACCTCAAACGTCTATCAAATAGGAATTTCAGAAGAAAAGAACAAAAAATGGAAGAGGGAAAATACTGACCAAATTAAAAGAAAATTTCCCTGAAGTACACAGCTTGGTAAATGTTCAGAATATTTACATATAAATAAATATATGAATATATAAAGGTTCCAGGCTGCAGGGAGAAGTGAACACAGATTACTTACAAGGGAATGAGGAGCAGGTAGGATGAGATGTTTCATCGCAATTCATTCTACACACCAGCAGTCATTGGATCAATTCTCCCAAGTGCTCAGGGAAAATGAATACTAGTTTGTTACCAGTTCAAACTCAAATTTAATGTGAAGAAACGATGAGTGATTGGACAAAGTTTACCCGATGACGTCCTTTCTGAAAGAATAACTAGGGAATTTATTTCAGCAAATGAATCCAAAAAAGAAGGACTGCAGATATTAAAAGTGGTAGCAAACAAAAATTCTTACCACTGAGACGTAACTGCCTGATTGTGCATCATATATATTTTTTTAATCTCAAGCAAAAATTCCCAGATCTTTTTGAGAATCAATATCCTAAGGTAATATCTTCTACTGTCTTGTACCAAAGAAAGATCAAAGTGTTGCCCATGACCTGTTAATACACGGCGAAGGGATCCTTTACTGTATGTGACTCAGAGTCCAAGAACCTGGTCAATCATGTTAGCATCCTGCATCCAGTCCTCCCTGAAACCTGAGCAACCCAAGCCACTGTCCTGTGCCCTGTGTCAGAAGACCCCTCTGTGGCTTTCCTCTGTCCATGCCCCTCACAGCAGCATGATGAGTCTGCAGGCCCCCAAGCCCATGCTTCCCCTTGCCCCACTTGTGGGCCATGCTCCAGGTACCTGGGATGGTAGAATTCCCAGTCAGTTGGCCCTGAGGCCCCTTCCAAGGCCTGCAAAGCTGTTCTCCAGGTCTGCCCTCCCACTGCTGACCAGGCATCAGTGTGTGCCCTCCTTGGATGAAGGATGGCCAAGGAGTGAGGTTTTGCTGGGAGGAGGGAGTGATGGACAAAACCTGGACACACTCGCTGGTGCCCTTGTGTATCCTGCTCATGGTATGGTGTGGATCCAGGTGTGGGAAGAGAAATGGGTGGGGCAGAGGGCCAGGACCTTTCATTTGTATTCCCGTCCTAAGTCCTGAAAATGTCAGGGACTGGCCTGCTCTCATCTTTGACAGAGCAAGAAAGACGGGGAGGAGGGAGAGAATTCAGTACAGAAAGAAGTGGGATTGCAAAAAGGCTTCAGAAAAAAGCCAACCAGACATAGCAATTGGAGGAGGAAAAGGTGGGAGCTTTTGAAGTGTTGGAGGTTTCCTGCAGTAAGTACCAGAAAACCTAGCTACAAATGGCCCAAAGGAGGTGTGTACCCACTGTCACTCATACCGCAGGAGAGAGGCCTCAGGATGCTCCCTTCCTTGCTCAGTGAACTCCTCAGGGCTCCGGAGCCCTTCTGTCTTCCCTCTCTGTGTCTGAGGTTAGTGTGCGGCTTGGCCTCTGTGGCCTGCTCCCCCAGCGGCCCAGGGCGACTCGTAGTTCTGGGTGATGCCCCCAGGCCACAGTGTCCAGAAGCAGGAAGAGAACAAGCCAGCCTCGTGTCTCTTTTCCAGAGTAAGAAAACCTCCTGGACTCCCCCTAACCCCAGGTCTCATTTGTCAGAACCAATCACTGGCCAGAAGAAGTTCATTTCCCATGTACCAGGATTCACTAATACAAGGTCAGCCGTGACACCATGAGGGCCAGTCAACTCCAAGGCCCAGGCCACCTGGACACTGCACAGAATCGAGCTTCCCACAACTGCAAGAGGGGGCCTGGCTGGGGAGCAGGCACCTGCAGGGAGCAAGGCTAGAGGCGCCGAGGACTGAACCTCACAGTGGTTCTCAAAGTGTGGTCCCCAGACTAACAGCCTCGGCTTCACCTGGGAACTCACTAGAAATGCAAATTCTTCGCCTTCACCCCGGATGTCTAGAATCAGAAACTCTGGAGGTACGGCACAGCAATTTAGGTTTCAAGTTTTTGTTTCTTTATGTTATTATTTTTTTAGAGATGGGGGTCTCCGCTCTGTCACCCAGGCTGGAGTGCAGTGGCACAATCATAGCCGCAGCCTCAAACTCCTGGGCTTCCCCCATCAACCCCCTCTTCCCCAACCCCCATTAGCTGGGACTATAGGTACAGGCCACCATGCCTGGCTAAAGCAATTTAAGTTGTAAGAAGCCCTCCAGGAGAGGCACTCTATAAAGTGTGGGAACCGCTGGCTTCCCCGACCTCCTTCTCTTAGGGGTCAGAGTGCAATGAATCAGCAAAGGAGACACAAGAAGAGACCTAGCAGACAATAGGAAAAGGCACCTAAGGTGGGGAAGCAGCAAGGAGTCAGCAACAGCAAATGCAATGAAAAAGCCTTGTGTTTTATTTAAAGAGCTGATCAGGGATAGGAAATTGAGAAATGAAACGTAAAGTGGTTACAATTCAAGTGAAGAGTTTTCAAGGGAGTGCTGTGCATGTTTCAAGGCAGAGAAAAAGAATCCAGTGGAAAGTTAAAGATACTGGAGATAATACTCAGGGGAGGATTTTCCTGAGGTCTGTGAAGGGAGAGACGCTAGACCTCACTTTCCAATGTATTATCTACTGGTCATGTGCAGCTGTTGAGCTCTTGAAAAGAAGCTTGTCTGAATTGAAATGTGATGTAAGTGTAAAAGGCACACTTCATTCCAAGCCTTAGTGTAAAAAGAGACGGTGTAAAATAACCCATTAATAATTGTATATTGATTACATGTTGAAATAATAATACATTTAGATGCATCGGGTTACATAAAATATATTAGTAACATTAATTTCACCACTTTTTTTCTTTTTTCTTTCTTCAGTGTAACTACTGGAAAATTTGCAGTTATGCTTGTGACTCCCATTGTGCTTCTTTCTTTCTTTCTTTCTTTCTTTTTTTTTGAGACAGAGTCTCGCTCTGTCACCCAGGCTGGAGTGCAGTGGTATGAACTCAGCTCCCCGCAACCTCCACCTCCCGGGTTCAAGCGATTCTGCCTCAGCCTCCCAAGCAGCTGGGATCACAGACACGCGACACCACGTCCGGCTACTTTTTGTATTTTTAGGGGAGATATGGTTTCATCATGTTGGTCAGGCTGGTCTCGGACTCCTGACCTCAAGTGATCTGCCCACCTCGGCCTTCCAAAGTGCTGGGATTACAGACATGCGCCACCACGCCCGGCCCCAATTGTGTTTCTGATTAAGAGCTCTGGTCTAAACCACAAGAAAGTCTAATAGGTTTGAAGAAAAACTGTGCAAAAGAGAGTGTAGACGTTTCAGGTAAACAAAAGGACCTAAAGACAAGGTCAGGTACAGCTCTTTAAAGATTCCTCTCGCTAAAATTGAGTCTTAAAATATTGAGCAGAAATATTTCTGCCTCTTTCAAAAAAAAAACTGAGGCGATTATAAGGATGTAGAAGTTAGCCTACTGGCTACTAATTTAATACTGACAAGAAGAGCTGTGTTCATTGAATGAGAATATAATGTGGTGCTGAAATTTCATCTGTGCTTGAAAGAAATCTTTCAACTAGGTTGGACACAAACTTTTGGTGGGTAGAAGCAGCAAAGTGACCCAACATCACACTTTGCTTTTTTGGTTTCATGCTTGAAAGGGGAAGGTTCGAGGTCTAAGAATAAGATAACTAGAAGCCTTCCTTGAGATATTACAGGCAGTCCACTTCAGAAATGCATCAAATGTCAAAGCACAGGACTTGCTTGGGAAAAATCTGGCACCACAGACTAAAGTCAAACGGGAGGACGATGCTCACCTGGGGCTTTAACTACTGGCTACTCATCAGCTCCTGAGAAGCTGTCAGTGAGAAGTTCCTCCCAATGCCTGGAGGCAGTCCAGGTAAGAGGAATAATGCTGCAGGAAGCATCCTGTTTATAACTCCAGATTCTCAAATACCAGAAAACCTGCCACAAAGCCTTTTTTTTTTTTTTTTTGTAAAGAGGATTAAACTCTCTAAGGCCTTCTGTTTCTCAAACTGTGAACTCTCTTCATTGCCTTTAATGAATCTTTCATTTGTTTTCTTGGCCAATCTTGAGTACTTGACTTAGCCAGAAGACTTCTTGTTCATACTGTCCTCTTTTTTTTTTTTTTTTTTTGCTTATCCTAATTTGCAATCTCTCTTCACAATAGTATTGAAGTCCCAGCTGTCATATGAGACTGTCCCCAAAGTCCTGCTTCTTCTACCTCCTTATCATGCATACATAACTTCCTTATTGTAGTTGTTTTTAAAAGTATGGACTAAGGCCAAGTGCACTGGCTCACACCTGTAATCCCAGCACTTTGGGATTACAGGCATACATAACCCCTGCTTCCATATTATAGTTGCTGTTTTTAAAAGTATGTAATAAGGCCCAGAGTGATGGCTTATGCCTGTAATCCCAGCACTTTGAGAGGCCGAGGCGGGCAGATCTGCCCACTTCGAACCACCTGAGGTCAGGAGTTCGAGACCAGCCTGGCCAACATAGTGAAACCCTGTCTCTACTAAAAATACAAAGATTAGCTGGGCATGGTAGTGGACACCTGTAATCCCAGCTATTCAGGAGGCTGAGGCATGAGAATTTCTTGAACCTGGGAGGCAGAGGTTGCAGTGAGCCGAGATCACACCATTGCACTCCAGCCTGGGCAACAAGAGTGAAACTCCATCTCAAAAAAAAAAAAAAAAGTATGGAATAGGGAAGAATGTAAAAATGACTCCACTGAACAAGGTACCTTTATCAAATACACACTTTAGGATTCCCATACTGGGCTCCATATAATTTAATATGCAAGAGAGATGAATGACTAAGATAGAAATTCCTTCAATTTCTATCAACTATGAATTTGAGTGATTTGCTACAATGACAATAGCTTTTAATCATCAATGATTTTAAATTATTTAGTAAGTAAATAATAAAGTAATAAAATAATCTTGAAGCAGAAAATGTAATTTTTTTTCAAGATTAATTTATAGTAAATAGAAAGGGATTAGTAGTGTGGATATTAACAAATGTCTAACGATTTTAAAAATATCTAAGATACATGTAAAATCTATGTGGTTAATCAGTCAGTTAGAACGTGTCATCCCCTGAATGTAAGTGTATTAATTTCCTAGTGCTGCTATAACAAATTACCACAAGCTTAGTGGCTTAAAACAACATAAGTTTGTCATTCCACAGTTCCAGAGGTCAGAAATTCAAAAGAGGTTTCACTGGGCTGTCAGTTAAGGTGTCCACAGGGCTGTGTTCCTTTACAGGCTCTAGGGGAGGGCTTTTCCCTTGCCTTTTCCCTTACAGGCTTCCAGGGGCCACCAGCATTCCTTGGCTCCTGGCTCCTTCTTCCATCTCCAAACTCAGCAGCAAAGCATCTTCAAATCAGTCTCTGGCTCTGACTCTCTTGTTCTTCTCTTTCTCTTATAAGAACTCTGATAATTACATTGGCCCACATGGATCGTCCAGGATAATCTCCACATCTCGAGATTAACTTAATCCCCTCTGCAAAGTCCCTGTTGCCATGTAAAGTAAATATTCACAGGTCCTGGGGATTAGAACATGAATGTCTTGGGGGACCATTATTTTGTCTATTGCAGTTTCAAATCCTGGAAAAGAGATGAGTAAATAAGAAATGTTGGCAGAGTGTGGTGGCTCATGCCTGTAATCCCGGCACTTTGGGAGGCTGAGGCAAGTGGACTACTTGAGCCCAGGAGTTTGAGACAAGCCTGGGCAACATAGTAAGACCCCATCTCTACAAAAAAATACAAAAATTAGCCAGGTGTGGTTGTGTGCACCTATAGTCCCAGCTATTCAGGAGGCTGAGGTAGAAGGATCACTTGAGCCCAGGAGGCTGAGGTGGCAGTGAGCTGAGATTGCATCACTGCACTCCATCCAGCCTGGGTGACAGAGCGAGACCCTGTCTAAAAGAAAAGGAAAAATAGGCCGGGCGTGGTGGTTCACTTCTATAATCCCAGCACTTTGGGAGGCCAAGGCGGGTGGATCACGAGGTCAGGAGATTGAGACCATCCTGGCTAACACGGCGAAAACCCATCTCTACTAAAAATACAAAAAGTTAGCTGGGCATGGTGGCGGGTGACTGTAGTCCCAGCTACTGGGGAGGCTGAGGCAGGAGAATGGCGTGAACCCGGGAGGCGGAGCTTGCAGTGAGCCAGATCACGCCACTGCACTCCAGCCTGGGCGACAGAGCGAGACTCCGTCTCAAAAAAAAAGGAAAAAAAAATGTTAAAGGGATTCTTTCAGGGTGAAACATCTTCCTTTCATCTTCATTTTTAACAGACATTTTCTTCGGTATAGATTTCCAGATTTAAAAACGGATCTTCTCACTTTCATTGCTCCTGTGAGCAATCTACCACCATTTTAATGTGTTCCTCTATGAAGAACACCTTCTTTCCCTGGCTGCCTTTAAGATTTTTATCTTTATCGCTGCCTTTATACAGTTTGATTGTGATGTGCCTTTGTGCAATTTTCCTCATATTTCACATGTTTGGAGTTCACTGAGCTTCTTAGATTGGTAGATATATAGTTTTCATCAAATTTCAACCATTATTTCTTCTTATGTCCCTTTCAGAAACTTCAGTTGTATACATATATTAGTCTGCTTAACATTATCTCACAGCTCACCAATGTATTTTTGTTCATTTTTGAGGAATTGTTCTTTTTTCTATGTGTTTTATTTTGGAAAGTTTCTGTTTCTATGTCTTCAGGTTCACTAATCTTTTCTTCTGCCATGTCTAATCTAGCATTAATGTTACCTAGTGTATTTATTATTGCACACATACTAGTTTTCTCTCTAGATGTTCAATTGGGTGTCTTTTATATCTTTCATGTCTCTACCTAACTTTTTTTTTTTTTTGAGACGGAGTTTCACTCTTTTTGCCCAGGGTGGAGTGCAATGGCACGATCTCGGCTCACCACAACCTCTACCTCCTGGGTTCAAGTGATTCTCCTGCCTCAGCCTCCCGAGTAGCTGGTATTACAGGCATGCACCACCACATCCGGCTGATTTTTTTGTATTTTTAGTAGAGGCGGGGTTTCTCCATGTTGGTCAGGCTAGCCTCGAACTCCTGACCTCAGGTGATCTACCCGCCTCGGCCTCCCAAAGTGCTGGGATTACAGGCATGAGCCACGGCGCCCGGCCTGTCTCTACCTAACTTTTTGATTGATGGGCAGACATTGTGAATTTTACCTTGTCAGGTACTGGATATTTTTGTATTCCTATAAATATTCTTATGTTTTGTTCTGATACAGTTAAGTCCCTTGGAAAGAGCTTGATCTTTTTGGGTCTTGCTTTTATGATTTGTTAGACAAGTCCGGAGCATGCCCAATATAAGGCTAGTAATTCCCCACTTACTAAAACAAGAGGTCTTTGAGCACACTACCCATTGCCCCATAAACTCTGAGTTTTTCCAGGCAGCCTGGTAGGAATAGGCACTCTTCCTATCTCTGCAAGGACACCAAGCACTGTTCTCTAATCTTTTCTGATGTTCCTTCCCCCCCGCAGCCTGGAGTAATTTCTTCACATGCATTTGCCGGTTGGATCCTCTGCGGATCCCCAGGCAGCTCTCTTCTCTTTGGTGCTCTGTCCTGAGAATTCCAGCTGCCTTTATCTCCTTGCACTCTCCTCCCTGTCTTCTAAATTCAGAGAGTCTGCGCGCTGCAACTTTATGAAGTAAGCAGGGGCAATTTGGGGGCTTATCTTATTTGTTTCCCATCTGTCAGTGATCACTGTCCCTTCATTGTCCGCATGTCCAGTGTTTTGCAAACAGTTATATCATATGTTTTGTCTGGTGTTTTTGGTTGTTTCAGGCGTGAGGTAAATCTGCCCCTCGTAACACTGTCTTAGGAAGAAGTATCTCATCCCTTTAGTGATTTATAGACCCTTTGAAAAGTTCCTAATCTTGTATTTATCATCATCTGAAAAGGCTCCTTCACTTGTTTCTTATAGATAATTCTGAGACTTTCCCTTTATTTGAACACAATGCTGTGGCACTGGAGAGATAAGTCACATAACTTTTTGCTTAAAAAATAATTAAGTGTGACTGACACCTTCTTGTGTGAAATAGTTTTATTATTTTACTTACTAGTAAAAATATTGTTTAATGTTCATTGAAGTACATTCAGTTTCATCCTTCACACATCCTATTACTCGTCTTCAAATGTGTCAATTAAAATAAGATCTGTTCACACCACTTAACATCAAAAATCCTGTTTTGGCAGCTTAGTATCAGAGCTTCTGAAATCCCTGTGGGGCCTTTTATTTTTGTCCCTCAAGTGGAATCCCATGAACATAGTTCTAATTTATTATGAAATGAGAAATATTTTTAAGATAATATGTTTTTAGGAAGATAACTTTAAAAAAATACTTGATCTCTTAATTCTTGAAGTCTTTATCTTTTCCACATTTGACCATTTCCTTTATTAAAATAAAAATACCTTCTTACTTTGAATGATAAACAATTGTCTATAACTTTTATATATTAAGAGAAAACCCAAATATCAATATTTACCTAATATTAAAAGCAAGTGATGAAATATTCCTTATAACAGTAATGTTAGAAGTGATTTCCCTTCCTCAGGACAATCCGATGGTGATGATGATAAAGAGCTCCAAGCACAAGGCCTCAGATGGAACAACTTTATCCAAGCCATGGAATCTCTCCGGCCATTTTTTCCCATCTTACTAGTTTAGAGATGCCATAAAAGATTAGAGTATGTTTCAGACTGATTGAAATATCAGATGCCATACCATCATCCTTTAAGCATCACTATTTTAATGGTGAAAATATTTCCATTTAAAAACACTATGGAAATTTGTCAAAGAACTAAAAATAGAACAACCATTCAATTCAGCAATCCAAAAACTACTGGGTATATAACCAAAGAGAAAGAAATCATTATATCAAAAATATACTTGCACTTATATGTTTATCTCAGCGCTAATCACAATAGCAAAGATATGGAATCAACCTAAGTGTCCATCAACAGATTATTGGATAAAGAAAATGTAGTGTACATATATATGATGGAATACTACTCAGCCATAAAAAAGAATGAAATCATGTCTTTTACAGCAACATGGATGGAGCTGGGGGCCATTATCCTAAGTGAAATATCTCAGAAACACAAAGTTAAATACCACTTGTTCTCACTTACAAATTAGTGCTAAACAAAGGGCACACATACACATATCGAATGAAATAATAAACACTGGAGACTATAAAAGGTGGCAGGGTGGGAGGGGGACTGAGTGTTGAAAATTACCTATTGCATGCAATGGTCACTATTTGGGTGATGGGTATGCTGAAGGCCCAGACTCCACCACTATACAATATATGCATGTAAGAAACCTATGCTTATACCCCCTAAACTTATAGGAATTTAAAAATATTTTCCCTTTGGAAAATACAGAGCAGAACTCTGGGACACACCATTTCAGGAGCTAAAGAATAAGTTACTCAAAAATCTGAGGTAAAGCAATTTCTCAGGACAATTAACTTTTGAAAAATTTAGGCTGCTTTCTGTTTTGCATATTCGATATACAACTAATAAACTTAGAGATGGCTTTCAGTCTTCCAAGGGCAGAACACAGAGTCTAGCCCTGGTAGGAACTTAGGAAAAGAAGCAGATGAATCCTTCAGTAGTTAAGAGGAAAAATGGCCCTGGACATCAAGAAGGTGGCATGTAGCCATCCGTCCTGGGTGGGTGAAAGAGATTCCAAGTGCTTATTTACTTATTGTAAACTCTCTCCTGCCTATAATTGTTTTCCATTGCTTCTGATTCTGTAGCAATAAAGACAACTGTTCAGTACCCTCTAACATCTTTCATACACTTATTTCATTCAATAGACATCTTTCTTTATGCAAGATAATCTCATTGAAGCTTGACCAATGAGTATATGTTCAGTTAAATGATTAACATTTACCCTTTTCTCTCCACTTACCATGGTTTTGTTCCTACCCTCAGCATGCTCTTCTGTGTCACCCCTTGGCTCAATAGCAACACTAGGCTAAGTGGGGCTGAGGCTACAGGTTTGTGGCCATGATCAACCAGTTCACCCAAGTGGGAAATCAACCCTTTGCCGTGGTCCGATGCCACCCTGTTATCTCCATTCAGGCACCTGGTTAATGCAAATCACTAGGGGGAGTGGTCAATAGTGTGAAGTTAAAACAGCCTTCGTCCTCAGTGGGAATCCTCCCCCCAAGAGTATAGGGTTGGTCCCAATGAGCCAGAGTACCATTATATGACACATCCTAATAAAGAGCTAAGGAGATTAAAGCGAACTTCCTTGATATTTTCCCATCTGGCATTAAAAGATAAAAGCAGTAAAAAATCATCCCTCAGGAGGGGAAATGCTTTTTTCTTCCCCAAACTGTATGATCTGAGTCATGTTAATTAACTTCAGTCAAATGCTCCTACGCATAGTTTTAGAATCCATCTTATAAACCGACTAATCACTAGCAAGAATGTAATATAACATTCCTAACTATCTCTCTATTATAGAAATTTCTCTACGTTTTTCTACCATCCTGTGTTTTCCATAAAATGTCTTAATAATTCTAATAACCTAAATCTTCAGTAAAACTGATACTCAGTTAATAGGTTGTATTAGTCCATTTTCACACTGCTATAAAGATACTACCCGAGACTGGGTAATTTATAAACAAAAAAGGTTTAATCGACTCACAGTTCTGCATGGCTGGAGAAGCCTCAGGAAACTTACGATCATGGCATAAGGGGAAGCAGGTACTCTCTTCACAAAGCAACAAGAGAGAAAAAAATGTGTGAAGGGGGAAGAGCTCCTTATAAAACCATCAGATCTCTTAAGAACTTGCTCACTATCATGGAGAACAGCATGGGGGAACCGCTCCCATATTCCAATCACCTCCCACCAGGTCCCTCTCCCAACACGTAGGAATTACAATTCAGATTACAATTCAAGATGAGATTTAGATAAAGACACAGCCAAACCATATAATAGGCCAACTCAACTTTTCTTCTCTGTAAACCAGAGTTTCTTGAAATTACAAAAAAATTTAGTGGATACATTTGAAATTAAATTCAGCTGAAGAGCTGGACCAATCAATAAATAAATAAATCAAACAAAAGGAAAAATGAAGAACCAGTACATCATTTTCAAATTACTTTGACAGCTATTGTCCAAAAGTTTTCTATTTATCCATCAAGAGACACCTTTACACTATAATTACACATCAACCATTTAAGAATTAGAAGATATGAACTTAAATATATTAGAAGATTCCTTCCCCAGAAGTATTTTGATGTATGTGTTTGTATATGTGTGTAATGTGAGGTTAGTACTGAAAATGCAGAACCACTGCAAAACCACTGTCACGTTTTAACTTGCTAATTTTGTTCTGGTTAGAATGTTAATGCTTAAATCAGCTCTAGATCAATTGCATTAGTCTTACACCATGGGGCAAACATGTAGGAACTAAATGAGTTTTCTTCCATTGTTGTCTAGGCTCTGCTGACCCCAAAACATTGACTTTTTAAATAGGAAGTGCAGAAAAGGTAACTTCTGAGCTGAATGATGATTTGCCTTCATGTGCTGTTTAAGGGACACTTTCTCATCTGTTCTCTCAGGTTTGGACTCTCCTCCAGTCTTGTCATTCCTTGACCATAGATAACTGTCAGCCCGTATAGTTCATTCATATCAATACCTATATTTTTTCTTTAAATTGCTGACCTATCAAAATTCTCTTTCAGTTTTATTGTAACACTACAATTAGAATACACAATAAAAAACAGTCCCTTCTAAGGGCTGGTAAAAAATCAGATAATCTTTGCCAGGTGAGTCTGCCTCAGACTAGGGTAAATGGAAGCAGCGTTCAGAAAAGCTGTGGAGCACTCCCAGCAGATATCAGGGCTGGTTCCAGTGCCATCACCACTTCTGAAGCTTGAGAAGTTCTGTTCTCAATGAATGTTCATCATTCATTCATTCATTCATTCACTCATTTGACTGGTTTGCACTGAGTATTTAGCATGTGCTATTCACAAGGAAAATAGTCATAAGCAACATTGGAAACAGTCCTTGCCCTCAGGAGGCTTGCTCTGTCATGGGAAAGAAAGATGCTAATCCAATAATCTAGCAAAGAAGTACAGACTTCAGTGTGATATGTGCTTCTGAGGTTAGGCCTGGTACTGGCACACTCTGTTGTTCCAGAGGGGATTTGACTCCATGAAGAGGTGCTAACTGGCTCAAGATTTGAAGGATGAGAGGTGTTAACCAGGTAGGAGAGAAAACATCATTCCAGCAGGAAGTATATGTGTGTGAACATATTCCTTACTTTGAAACCAGCAAAGATGGTTGCACAACTCTCCACAAATAATGAAATACTGGCTCTGCCTCTTTTTTTGGAGTTTCTGTCATAATTAACTCATTTTGTGGGATTTTTAGGGGTACTCAAGCTATTATTCTTTAAGTGGTAAATCCAATAGGCAAAGAGCCTAGATCAGATTGTTCTTGAACATGGAGATGTTTAGTTGGTATGAAAAAATCTCAGTAATATAGAACTCACTTCTCACTGTGCCTTCAAATCTCAGATATTGTTAAAAGGCTGCATCTATTCTAATGTTTTTCCTAGCACCTACCATCTGTGTTTTGGGATTTATATAAATGAATTTGTGTTCCTTAAAGAAACAAAATATCATGTGGACTAAAAAAGGTGTAGACAGGTGGTCTTCAATAAGATATATTTTTCCAGTGTGATTTATGCTATTTGGTGTAATCATTACTAACATCTCACCCATATTATAAATGATCTTCTTAGAAAATAACAGATTTTTAGAACAAAATATAAGCTTGTGTTTGTGTCAAATATTTTGCTTATGTGATGTTAAATACAATTGCACATTATATTGGGTCAACTATATACAACCAGTCCAGACATAACTCAGAGAGGATGTCCTGCATCGACAAAGAGGCGCTCTGCTGGTGAAATTTCCTATAGTAAAATAATGGGGATATAACAGCCAGGGTCCTGTGAGGAAGGCAGAACCCACATCACGTGATTTAAGAGAAGGAATTGTTACCAAGATGGTGGGAAGGGCTAGAAAACAGATTAGCAGCAGGAAGCCTACACAACCTAGACCTGTGGTGTGAAGTCACAGGGAAAAGGTACCCAGAACCCAGAGCCACAGCTGGGTCCTGAGACCACTGAAGCCCCAGGTCCGGAGCTACAAAGAGATGGAGCCACTTGAGGCAGAGCAGAAGAAACACCCTGACTTCTCTCTTGCTCCCACCAAGCCTCCCACTGAAGGACAAACAAGTTACTATCTAATTTTTTGAACCTAACTCAAGCCAATTGTAAGGGAGGCTGGGAAATACAGTTTGCAGTGAGCCCTTTGGTAAGGGCAAGAAAGAGATCAGAGCCAAGAGACAGATGTATGACACAGAGCCAGCAAAGTATTGCTGAATGA
This sequence comes from Homo sapiens, assembly GCF_000001405.40. Classification (NCBI taxonomy): domain Eukaryota; kingdom Metazoa; phylum Chordata; class Mammalia; order Primates; family Hominidae; genus Homo; species Homo sapiens. The sequence continues at coordinate 3,949,127 of NC_000018.10, read as the reverse complement.
TATCATGTATGAAGGTCCAGGGCCCTGTGTTATTGGTGCCTCTTTTTCTTAAACTTTTCTTCATAACAATATTCTTCCTGAAAGCCTTTTTTATGGGAAACATATTCCTTTTTTATTATGAAAGAATTATTGATAATTTCTGTTTAGGTTTATAATGATGTAGTTTTTCTTAGTCCATATTTTTATTTATTTTTTTAAAATTTTTTATTTCCACAGGTTTTTGGGGAACAGGTGGTATTTGGTTACATGAGTAAGTTCTTTGGGGTGATTTGTGAGATTTTGGTGCACCCATCACCCGAGCAGTATACACTGAACCCAATTTGTCTTCTTTTATTCCTCACTCCCTTCCCACCCTTTCCCCTGAGTCCCCCAAGTCCATTGTATCATTCTTATGCTTCATAGCCTAGCTTCCACTTATGACTGAGAGCATTCCTGAGTTACATCACTTAGAATAATAGTCTGCAGTCCCATCCAGGTTGCTGCAAATGCCATTGATTCATTCCTTTTTATGCTGAAAGTCATTTTTAACTATTCCTTACTGAATGTGTTGTTTCTTCCTAATAGACTTTCACCAACCTAGGCATGCGTGCTTGGCTCTTACCCTGTACAAGACAACACGCTAGATCCACTTATCTGCAGTGCTGGAGAGAGGCAGGCAGTAGGAAGGAGATCGTCACAGGCATATGCAGAGGAAGAATTCTGTGAAACCCTAACAGCAGGTGACAAACCTGCCACTTTGCATGAATTTTCAATAGTGGAAAAAGGAAGGGGGATCCAGCATCTAGTGAGCTGAGTAACTGGCAGTGTGCTTGACTCACTGTGGCCCCTACCTTCTCTGGCATCATTCACAGCAAGAGAAGCTCTTGGCAAGACAAGAGCAGGACAAGCTCTTGGCAAATTGATGAGGTTGCCATCAACTGGATGTCTTTGGCCTGGAAAAGATCTTCAGCCTCTGCCTTCCAAAGCACTAGCTGGGTCTTGCCTGGCCTTGGTTATCTCCCTTCAGTTGGTCTCTTCTGTGTTCCTAACGAAGCCCCAGCAGATTGGATGTATGGGAGTGTACTTTGCTTCCTGAGCCTACCATTTTGGGGATGTGCATTCAATTACCTTTTGCTTTGAGCTACAGGCCCAACTCCTCCTCACTTCTTTCACCCACAACTACCTCTATTTCCTGAGATGCACCCACCAACACCACCACTATTTGGAACAGAGACAAGATGTATTACAAATCTTAACTCACTCAAAAATCAGGTAGTAACTTGTTTGCCTTTGAGGCCCTGATCTCCTGGATTCTTCTATTAATATAAAAGGATCTCTGAGATCATGGCTTGTTGTAGTAGCACTTTCCATTTTAACATTATATTCTCCAACCGGTAAGATTAGCTAGTAAGGAAATGTGATATAGGGCAAGTTCTTTTCTGCAGGGGGAGTGTGACCAAATGAGCTCACAAATGGTAGTGAAATTGGGGTGGGGGGAGTCCCCTTAAACCTCAAAGTGTGGTAAAGCATGTAAAGTATTTTCAACGTCTTACAGAAGTCACTGAGCATTTCCTTTAACATACGTATGTGTATCTTAGTTTAGAACAGAGTTGGTCTGACTGAGAACTGGGACTAAGTGAGTGGTTGATGCCCAGAGTGCAGAGTAATGAAGACCAGTGTCTATGTGAAACAAGAGAAAGATGGATTGTATCAAAACAGCATGTAGAGGCAGAGATTGAGGGGACAGGGAGAGGTAGACATCTACCATTTTGGAAGAGATAAGCCAGACAAGGGCTGAGAACAGCCTAGTGTCAGCACCATGATCAGACAAGCCTAGTTTGTGGTTAAGGTAACTAAAGAGATAAGAAACGGAAAGAACTTGGAAGTATCGGCTCAGTGCTTTGAACACATAAAGAGAGTTCTTTCTGTTTCTTGGTAGGAACAATCCCCTAAAAAGATCTTAGGTTGTAAAAAACACTGGTCTATACCCAACCCAATGTGTGTAGGCTGGAATGCAGTGGTTGTGTGTAGCCTAGGAAAAAACGGTGGGTTTAGGGATTGCAGGGAGTGGAGCATTGGGAAAGTCAAGACGTCTCTCTCCTCTCTAGCTGCCTTCATTACTGTTGAACACCCATTCAAAGAATAAAACAAGGAGCTTTATCCCAATAATCATGTAAGTCTCCCCCCTAAAATATCAAGAACTTAGTGGAAAATCCTACAAATGTATCTTCAAATTAAAGCAGTAAGTTCTAAAAGCATCACGTCAAGGTTTAAATGAAATGAGATGAATGCAATTTATCAGTTTTTTTCTTTCAATCAAAATTCAAGGTGAATTTTAGCAGTGACTCAGATCATTTTTGGTATCTTTTATTAGCAATAAGTCAGAACCTTTAATTATGAATAACCTTGGTGCCACAAAGAAAATGATAGGACTCTTCCAGAAAGGTTTTCATTAGTTAGAGACCAAATTAATTTTAATACTTGATAGTTTTTTTCACAGAGGGAATACTTTGCTTTAAAGAGTGTTTTTGTTTGTTTCTCTGATTGTTTTATATTTAGTAAATTCCCAGAAAACCCCCATCACTAATATAATAGTGTAAATAATTGAACCAAGTAATAAAGCATACAAATAATTGATCAAATCTATTTTGATTTGCCTTGGAAAATGACTTAACTTCTTAATGTTTGACTTGAAAGGTAAGATGCTAATTTCCTTTTAATTGATATTTGTTGCTTATGAAAACCATACCATTGACACATTAGTTGAGCCCCTGGACTGACCTGGTCTAATAATTATTATGACACGTGGTGAGCAAATGAACCAAGCTACAGTCCCTATACTTCATGTCTGTCCACCACATTGTCAGACTGGACCATTCATGGATCAGAGGAAATCCACCCAGTTGCCCTGCCATCCTTAGAGACAGCAATGAAGAGTAAGGAGGATTTGATGTTAGATATTCATCACTTTTTATTCTTTTAAAGTTATTTGTGCAACCAAAGGACTCAAGGTAAAAAAAAAAAATAAGGGAATAAAGTACCTATGTCATAAAATCTCTAATCAGACAAATGTTGATATTAAGTATACCTATGATAGCTTTCTACCAAAATCAAAAACCACTTATTAAGCATTATTAAAATTCAAGCTTTAAGAATCAATTTCTAGAACATGAGGTTCCAATGGTATTATCCCCAGTCTTGGCTTATCTAATAATTTTCATCGACAGATTCTGAATTATGGTCTAAAATTATCAGTGGCATCTATTCCCATAACTATATGGTAATATTTTCATTATATTTAAAGGAAACCCCATTATTTGAAACCATTGCTTTAAAGAGCATATTAACTCTTTTTTTTCTTTTATTATTATACTTTAAGTTTTAGGGTACATGTGCACATTGTGCAGGTTAGTTACATATGTATACATGTGCCATGCTGGTGTGCTGCACCCACTAACTCATCATCTAGCATTAGGTATATCTCCCAAGGGAGCATATTAACTCTTAAAAATCCCATAAGAAGATGCTGTTATCTTTGTTTTACATAAAAGATATTGAGCAAATATTTTAAAGAATTCTTGGCCTTTCTTTTTTCCCTTTGAAGATTTACCTTGACATTCACTTTAACCTGATTTTATCTCCACATAACTATTAGAACCAATCGTACCACTCAATGATACTTCTAAGCCCTACATTCTACTCCAAATGTAACCATTTTATAAGTGTTTTATTGTATACTCCCAAAACACCAAATATGGAACGATCAAAGAGTGATGTTTACTTGTTGCTTCAAGCTTGCTTCCATCTTGTAAGATGTTTCATACTTTGCCTAGGGATTCCTGTTTTCTTCCTAAAGCAAACTATTAGGCACAGTTGGAGATATTCTGATAAGTAATGTTAATGAACTCCCATACCAGGCACTATCCTAAGGATTTTATATGTGTTAACTCTTTAAATCCTCACATCAACCTGATGATGGAAATATTATCATCATTCCCATTTTAGAGAGAGGGAAATTGGAAGCACAGAGAAGTTAGTTAAGAGCATGTGGGATTCAGACCCAGCTTATCTGGCCCCAGAACCTGGCTTTCAATGGCTATGCTGAGATTCTCTGAGATTCTTACCCTAGATGTAAGAAACCATAAAGATTTTTGAGAAGAAAACAAAGTTAATATAAAAGGCCACCCAATTGTGTATTTAAGGAAACCAAACTTGGCTGTTATGTTAGTAAAAGAGCCACATTCACACTTTTCTCCAAGGATACCATGGCTAGGTTCCAATCTCATCGTTTTTTTTGCGGAAGGCTTGGTGAGTTTCTCCATTTTTAGGTATGTCCTTCCATCCACCTCAAAGGCCCAAGATAGAAGTACAGCAAGGAACTCTCAACAAAGTAGTGATTCTCAACTTCTTCTTACCTTCACAACATTCTAAAAGGAATAAATATACTTTCCACAGTAACAATGCTGATTACAGCAGTAATTCTTACCCAGGGATGAGCATGGTTCCTAGAAGCGGTATCTGTCAGTCTTATGGGGCCTCAGCCCCAGCTCATACTCTAAGCAGAAAGTTGGCTGAGGCAGCTGAGAGTCAGTGTTAGAAATAATCTGTGGGAGCAGTAGCCACAGTCACCTTGCACTTTTTTTTTTTAACAGAGTCTCTGTCTATAGCCCAGGCTGGAGTGCAGTGGTGCAATCTCTCAGCTCACTGCAACCTCCACCTCCCAGGTCCCTGTTCAAGCAATTCTCCTGCCTTAGCCTCCTGAGTAGCTAGGATTGCAGGCACGCACCACCATGCCCAGCTAATTTTTGTATTTTTAGTAGAGATGGGGTTTCACCATCTTGGCCAGGCTGGTCTTGAACTCCTGACTCCATGATCCACTCGCCTCAGCTTCCCAAAGTGCTGGGATTATAGGCGTGAGCCAGCGCATCCAGCCCTTGCACTATTTTTTACTTTCATTTTGAGGAGTACTGAGCTAGAAAGATAAAGACATTTTCTTCAATCTCATCTCGTCACTACACACACAGACACACACACGTCCTATGGGTACAGAAGTGATGAAATGTGCACGAGAGACTGGAATCATTTCTTAGAGCTGCCATTAAAAAGTACCACATACTGAGTGGCTTAAACAACAGAAATTTATTTCCTTATGTTCTGAAGGCTGGAAGTCCAAGATCAAGGCGTTCACAGGGTTGAGTTGTTCTGAGACTTCTCTTCTTGACTTGCAGGTGGCTGTCTTTTTCCTCTGTCCTCACATGGTCCTCCCTGTGTGTCTGTGTCCTAATCTCCTCTTCTTCTAAGGAAGCCAGTCATGTTGGATTAGGGCCCACCCATAGGACCTCATCTGAACCTAATTGCCTCTTTAAATGCCCTATCTCCAAATACAGTACAGTCACATTCCGAGACACTGGGGGTTAGGAATTCAACTTAGGAATTTGGAAAGGACACAAACCCAAATAGATGGTCTCATTTAGAAAGAAAAAATGAATTATAGGCTGTTTTATTTTAATTTGGGTTTCTTTTTCATGCCAGTTTTTCTCAGGTATGCTTGATACTCTCTGAGTTATCTCCCCTTTCCAATGACTGACCAGTTCTACCGATTTGCAAATTCATAAAAGGAGTAATCTGGTGTTAGGCCCAGACCATTTCCTAGCAGTGATGTTCTTTTCCTCATGCCAGAAAAAAAAAAAAAAAAAACCCTCTCTTTCACAGTAGATAATCCTCCATCTTTGCAGTTTATCACCTTAAAAACCTTGACATGAATAAGCTCTTTGATGATACCAAAATAAAAATAGTCTTTTATAAATAAGTCAGCAAAGCCTGGCGATCTGTGAAGGCAGACTTCCAAACATCCAAGCGAAGTTTGTTGTTCCTTTTTCCCTTTCTTCTTTCAAAAACAGTTATTTGTCAATTTAACCTCCTTGATCCATGGAAAATGACAGAGGCGTGCAGATTCAGAAAGGGAAGACAATAAGAGCAGGTGAAGTTGAAGATAGGAGATTGATGCCAGGGAACTAAATAACCAGAAAAGACATGTGAAATAGAGAACCGAATGGAGAGCACAAAGAAAATGGTAACCAATTTTCTCTGAAAGTGAAAGGTAAAGAAAGCTGAAGATGAAACTACCTATTTATTTTTAATAGCTGCATCAAGAGATTGCTTAGGTGGAAAAAAAAAAACAAAAATGTTGCTGGTTCTGATTATCATCCTCAGGCTGAATCCACCCCACCTGGTGTCCCAGCTCCAAAATTCTACCCAAATCGTTACTCCCGTACCCAAACCCTAGACGGTATATCCATAGCAGAAAAAAAATGCATCTTCATAGTTTGAACAAAACAAATAATTTTTGGAAACATTTTTCAATTCAAGAAACATTTACTGTTTAGTAAGTGTTAGGTACTGTTCAAAATGAATTTCTGCCCTCCAGGAAAGCAAAAGCCCAGAACAGATTAAAGGTTTCTGGTCTTAACTCCAGCTCCAGGCTGGCTTGGCTCACTGTGAAGGGGCAGATGCACTTTATCCTGTTCAGTTTTTTCCATTCTATTTGGACGGATGGGAGACCAAGTTACTGCAGCCCTTCCTAAGACAAATTTGGTTGGCACAAATTCAGATGCCATCGCTTTGTTGATCCTTCCTAGAACTTACTTACTAGTCTGAATACAATTTCCCAAGATCATCTCCTCTGTCACCAGGACCTGGAAAACGTATTCTGAAGCTTTCCCCTCCGAGGCTGGAGGTCCTGTAATACAGAGGTGGAAAGCTCCGACTGTGCAGTCAGACGCCTGCCTTCCGACACCAGCAGTTTTAGTTTCAACAACTTAGACACATGATTGAACCTCTCTTTCAGCCTGTTTCCTCATTCATAAATTGGAAGATAGCAACACTCAGAGGGCTGTTGTGGGAACATACTGGAAACATGCATGTAAATCCCTAGGCACAGTGCCTGGCTTATAGTGAAGGCTCTTCATAAATACTAACTTCTAGAAAATGAGGCTCATTAGCTCACTTCAGGTCACAAAGTTGGGATGAAACAGGACCACTACCTAAATCCAAAACCCATGATCTTCACTATACATGTTGTCTCTCTCCTAAGAAAGACCTGGTGATTGTCTTTGTCTAATTTTCATCATCATCTCAAATTTCCCCTCAGATGATTAAAGACCTATAATTCTTTGGGAGGCTGAGGTGAGAGGATCTGCTTGAGCCCAGATGTTCAAGACTAGCCTGGGCAATGTAGTGAGGCCCTGTCTTTACAAAAAATTTAAAAAATTAGCCAGGCATGCTGGCATGAGCCTGCAGTCCCAACTACTTGGGAGGCTGAGTTGGGAGGACCACATGCGCCTGGGAGGTGGAGGCTGCAGTGAACTGTGATCATGCCATTGCACTCCACCCTGAGTGACAAGGCAAGACCCTGTCTCAAAAATAAGGACTTATAATTACAATATAATGTTATGTACCTTTTCCAGAAAAAAATGTTTTTATATTACAAAAAATATTAAGTTCTGTTATTGCTAATGAGGTGATGACTGTTATCTTGGATAAAGAAGATATTTCTCTCTCTGAATCCCAAGGGTCCTCCAGGCTTCTGATTTTATAATTTTCCTCTTTGTCCTTTCTGGAATTCTACAGATTCTGGGAATCAACCTCTGGCCTATTCTATTAATATTTATCAGCCAGTTGTTAAGACTCCTTCTAACTTTGCCCAACCTTGGTTCCTGTTTCCAACATTCTCGTGAACATCTCAGTTCAGGCCTCATGGCTACCTGGAAGGGGTCACACATCCTGCAGCCTGAACTGCAGCCAGGCCCCTCCTTGTCTCAGTGGGTTCTGTTTCCATCGTGAGCCCCAAACCCTACTGCAGTGTTCCCTGTCTGACAAGTGCAAACCATTGGCCAGGCAGAGATCACCAGCAAATTCTGAATTCAATCAAAGGTAAGTGTTTGTACCTCCAGTTACCGGTTCTATTTGCATTCTTGGTTTTCTGATTTACTAGAATTTAATCATGACAGTTTTTTCCTTACTGTACATTTAAAGTAGTATGGCAAACTAGTAGACATCATTTCCAACAAGGGAGGAAAACGCCATTCCCATTTTATATTCGTGGCTCTCTTTACTGTGATGGACTAAGGTGTTCACTTCTCCCACCGAGCTGCTCAATAGACCAACAGGATCTTTCATATGCCAATCCCTCAGGACATGCTGTCTCTCTGTCACTGTGGGAAAGTTTTAAGTCCTACTAACAATGAGGAAATGCAAAATTATTTCACTCATTTAAGCTATCAGTTTTTGATGGGTACTATTATAGATCTCTCTTAAAAGGTTGTAAAGAGAGGAAAGAGAAAAGGTTTCAAAGTAAGGCAATGATTTTTCAGAGGTCTACATGATATAGAAAAGGAAGCATTAATGAAAACCACTGTGGAATCCTAGGACTCATTTGTCTGTTTAAGGATGCTTCTACGGTTATCTGCAGTGCCAACATTTGATTTTATATGCTCCAGTTTTATACGACTTGATTTTACCTGAACTAGGTGGTTACTTATTTTGACTTAAATTATGGCTTTTAACACTTTTTCCAATAGAAGGGAAAGAGGAGGTAATGAGAAGCAATGAATCAGTCCCAAGCCAGACAGTCCTTTTACTTCTCAACAACTCTTAGTGAAGTAGTTCTGAAGGAAAGAGTACAGAGCACTGACTTAAATAGGGTCCATTTAATCTATTATTGCATAACAAATTACCTCGACACTGACAACTTAAAACAGTAATAATCACTTGTTACCCCACAGGGATTCTGTGACTCAGGAATTTCGGGAGTAGTTTATTTGGGTGCTCCAGCTTAGAGTCTCTCATGAGGTTACAGTAAAGATGTGGGCAGGACTCATCTGTAAACTTGACTGGGGCTAGAGCATTTGGTTCCAAGATGGTGCACTCATGTGGCTGGCAATTGCATGGTAGCTGTTTGCAGGAGGCCTTAGTTCCTCACCATGTAGACGTCTTTACAGAGCTGCTTGAGTTTCCTTACAACATGGCTGCTGGCTTCCTTCAGAGCAACTGATCCAAGAGAATAAGGAATAAGCCAAAATGTCTCTTATGACCCAGCCTTGGCAGTCACACATTGTCATTTCTGTAATATCCCATTGATTTGCAGGTCAGCCCTATTCAGCATGAGAAAGAACTAAACAGGTGCATGAATAGTAGGAGGCAGTGATTGTTGAGGACAATTTAGGAAGCTAGGGACCACACATACCACAAAAGTAAAATGATTTTATAAATTACATGTCCTCACAGAGAAATTGGTCATTAATGGTTGGGGTCAAAGGGATTGTTTTCTTTGTGTTTGAGCCTCAGAAGCCAAGATTTAAATGCATTCCTTGATGTGGCACATTACCACCATATTTTTTATTATTATTCCTTTTATCTCAATTTCTCCTTACATTCCTCTCCTCACTACCCCTCCACTCCCAGCCTCCACTAAACATCAACTCAAAAGAGCATGAAATTTATCTTTGGATATGCAGATATGTAGATATGTATCCCTGTAAGATACTAAGATACATGAGGTTTAATGGTCATTTCTAAATTACATGAACAGAATGGTGTCATAGGTATTTTTCCAAAATGTATATTCTATGCCACTTGTTTTTTTGTTTGTTTGTTTTTTGGTTTTTGGGGGGTTTTTTGTTTGTTTGTTTTTTTGGTGTTTTTTTGTTGGTTTTTTTTTTTTTTTTTTTTTTTGAGACAGAATCTCACTCTGTCACCCAGGCTGGAATGCAGTGGTGCAATCTCAGCTCACTACAACCTCCACCTTCCAGGTTCAAGTGATTTGTGCCTCAGCCTTCTGAGTAGCTGGGGTTACAGGTGCCCACCACCACACAGGGCTAACTTTCGTATTTTTAATAGAGACAGGATTTCACCATGTTGGCCAGGCTGGTCTCGAACTCCTGACCTCAAGTGATCCACCCACCTTGGCCAAAGTGCTGGGATTGCAGGCATGAGCCACCACCCACCTAAGCCACTGGCCCACATTTTTAATATTTATCCCTGTTTCTGTTTGCTATTAGGTTCATTGCTGCACAATTTTCAATAATACACTTCTGCCACCTCTTCCCTGTCTATTCCCTTACTGTTGGTGAACTAGTCCTCCTCCAGTTTCATCCTCTATCAAGTTATGCAGTGATGAACATAGTGTATACATAGAACTGGGGCACTTGTCATCACCTTCGCTGTCCCTTTTCTAGTTCAAGCCCAATCACCTCCAGCCTGGATTATTCTGCCACCTGCTTTCTTTGTTTCCAGTCTTGTCCACTACTGTGTATTCCCACCCAGCAGCCAGCATGCCTCCAGCCACCTCCCATTATTCTTAGAGCATCTCTGAAGTCCCCACCATGGCCCATGGGCCCCACGTGGTCTGCACCCTGCTGTCTTGTGAACTTCCTCTTGCACCACACTTCTCCTTGCTTCCAATGCTCCAGCTACTCCTGTCTCCTTGCATTCATTTATTCAAGAATATTAACTGAGCAAATACCATCTATCTGACATTCTCCTGGGCACCTGGGGTATAGCAGTGAATGAAATAGACAAACAAGTCTCCCTCATAGAAGTAGGATTCTAATGATCTAAAAACCCATCAAGTACAACAGAGGCTCGCGACCTTGCACCTGCACTTCCCTCGGCCAAGAATGCCCTTTCCCAGATTTCTACATGCGTCGCACTCTCATACATCTAAGTCTCAGCTTGAACGTCTCCTCCTCAGAGAGGCTTTTTCTCATCCCCTTACACTTCTTCTCCCCAGGCCCTTCTTTATTTTCCCTCATACCTCCTGTTGTATCTGGTATTATGTGTTCATCTGCAGTCAAATCTCTACCACTGAGCTGCAACCCCCATGCATTCTTCTGTTTCATGTTCAGCTCCCTAGTCAGATGAAAGCTTCAAAAGGACAGGGAGTTTTTAATGTTTTCCAATGACTGGGCCAATAGCCCCAAACTATTGCCCTTTTTTAACGTGTATGTTTCGGCTTCTAGTGCCTGTGTTGCTGCCAAACTTCAGTTGCCTTAGTTTTCAGCACACTTGACTTACTAACACCATTTTCCTCACTGTTGTTTCAAATTCACTGTGAGATTAGATGCTAGATAACCACATTTCATAATAACTAATACTTGCTGAGTACTTTTATCCTAATGACAGCCCTGTAAGTATGGCCTATTGATGTTTCCACTGTACAGCTGAGGAAACTGGGGTGCAGAGGGTCTAAAGAGCTCGCTTACAGTGACTCACCTTGCAAACATCATAGCCAGATTGGAATGAACGCAGTCTGCTCCAAAGCCCTCACGCTTAATCGCTATTATATGTGTCCACCCCCTTCTAGAATCACGTGTGAAATAAAGATAAATTGGCTCTGAGTAGGTGTCTGATGGGACTTCCTATAAGGAAACAGCATAAGCTTTATTACATAAATTTTGTGATAAACTCAGCTACTTTGTTCATATCCGATTTATCATTGCTAAATTCGATTACTTCTGATTTAGCACTGCATCTCAGAGAGGTGAACATGTTGGGTAGCTAAACTGTAAGTGTGCTGGTTTGATATGGTTTGGCTGTATCCCCACCCAAATCTCACCTTGAATTGTAATGATTCCCCTGTATCAAGGGCGGGGTCACGTGGAGATAATTGAATCATGGGGGCAGGTTCCCCCATACTGTTCTCATGGTAGTGAACAAGTCTCATGAGATCTGATGGCTTTATAAATGGGAGTTCCCCTGCACAGGCTCTCTCTTGCCTACCACCTTGTAAGACGTAACTTTGCTGCTCATTCACCTTCTGCCATGATTGTGAGGCCTCCCCACAATCACAGTGGAACTGCGAGTCAATTAAACATCTCTCCTTTACAAATTACCCATTCTCAGGTATGTCTTTATTAGCAGCCTGAGAACAGACTAATACACGTTTGTTATCATGTTATGCAAGCAGGAATTGCATTAAATGCAATGTAGTAGCTTGAAAGCACACATCGAGTCATGAGGTGTACAGCAATCTCCTCCCTTCCTGCGTACATTATTTCAGAAGCTGGCCTCTCCAGGGCGTGCCCATGTTTCAGCCTCCATGTAGAGCTTATTCTTTCCCTGCATTACACTTTCCACGTGCTCCTCCATTAGTTCTCTGCAAACTGGTTTTAAATAAGAGCCAAGGAGCATGGCCTACATGTCAGAGTTGACTAGTTTCCAATGCCCACACAGAACAGGTGTGTGTCCCTCCCTCCACCCACCCTCCTTGGATTTCAACCTCCTGATTAGAGCTTCTCAGTGATGGTTCATCATTCCTGCTTCTTTGTTCTTGGGTAAGCTAACAGTTGCCACATTACCCCATATATGCCTCCAAATTGTGAATCATTTTGTGGATATTGAGGTACTGGAGGAACCTTTCTAGAATGCTTTTTGAGAACATTTCACTCATTTATTCATTCAAACATCATATTTAAATCTTTACTACTGGCCAGAAATTATGCAAAGGTGATGAATCAATCAATAGAACTTTATCTCAAGGTATTCACAATCTAATAGACAGGAATATGTCCTGGAGACTTTAATACAGTGTTGTTGGGAAATAATGGCTAAATGCATATGGAATTATGGAGGCACTTGGGGGAAGAAGCACCTATTCTGGAACAAGGGGGAAGCCATCCTTTTCAAATGCTGCCCCTATTAGGAGGAATTGGGGAAATGAAAATGTAAAGGTACAGGAAAGGAAGAGGCTCAGCACCAACTGGAAATGTCATGGTCTGTGGGGCAAAGAAGAATTTTATGTGTCACTTGGGGGCAAATTGTAGAGCAAGGAGTGGAGCTGAGAGAGGCCCAGGCCAGGTGATGAAGGCCTTGATCACTGGGCTTCAGAGCTCACTCTTGACCCAGAGAAAACAGATGGCTTTCAGCAGATTCACATCAGTATGAGATTGTGTCTTAGAAATACTCTTATTGTCTGTGCAGACTTGGGCTTGCAAAGAAAGAGTAGTAGGAGGCTGATGTGGCAGATAAGTCTCTGGGGGGGTTCAGCCTGTACCCCTGTCACAGGTTAAGACTCTGTAAGATGGCAATGTGACCCCAGCAGAGGCTGGAATGCCCCTCAAGAGAGTACTCTGTATTGTGGGCTGGTTAAGTCTTTTCTTGGTGCCATCAATAAAGTCCTTAAGGAAGCCAACATTGGGGGTTTGACTCTCTTGCAGAGTTTGTATAAATAAAATATTTCCTTTGCTGTGATAAAAGACAGTCTCCCAAATCCTGAAGGGAAAATGGCAGAGTGGAAAAGGCTTAGACTTTCGAATGAGAGCTCGTTTCAAACCTGTATTCTCAACACTAGCTCTGTTACCCTAGGCCGGTTATCAACTTCTCTGATCATGACAGTCCCCATCTTCAACATTTTGAAGATTCAGTTTTACTATGTAAACACAGTTCCACTGCACTGTTGATACATAGACCCCTAGCTATTATGTCATTTGTATTACTGTCATTATCTTTATCATCACTTTGCAAGGGAGGAAGAGGCAAACAAGAATAGCAGATGGACCACTGCACATGTCTTCTTGGTGATCAGGAAATGATGTCAAATTGCATCAGCAGCCCATCCTGAGACGTAGTAACTTGATACTTCTATTAGCAGCAACACCCAAAATACTTGCCTTAGAGGCATACTTGAGTAACTCCTTCTCCATCCAATTTGCCTACCACTGCCAGATTACCCTTCCTAAAATACTGCTAACCTTTCATTTTTCTGGTGTAGACTATTCAATGGTATCCTATTACCTATTGAATTAAATTCCAACACTTAATTAATCTTCAAGTCTTTGTTTGAGCTAATCGTAGAGTGTTTTTCCATTTATTTCTTTCTCTCTATTTTCCTAAGGAGCGGTGTATAGTAAAAATCTCCAAGCACCCATAAAATGAGGATATTTATACCTGCTTTATCCATGTCACAAGGTTATGGTGAAGGCCAAATGGCTAGTATCTATGGAAGTGTGTTATGTGTTATAAAGCATTGTGTACAAGAGGTAAGGGAACTGGCATTTGCCTATGCCAGGCCAGTATGTATTCTTTTCTACCATCATTACAGAAACTTCATTAGGCGGATGATTTTGTTCCAGTTCCAAAGATTTAAAAAATCTGAGGCACAACAAGGCTAAGTCACTGCTCCAGGCTACACAGCACTGAGAAATGGAACAGGGGTTTGAATTCAGAACTGCTTTGTCCTAAAACCTGTGCTTTTGATCCTTCATCACACTGCCTCGTGCTTCTTTTGAAAAGACCCCTCTCACTCCAGCCAGACTTGTGTAGTCACTGCTCCATGAACACTTTCTGTCTTTGTGTCTATACACATATTATCTCCCCTTCACGGCCTACCCAGGACCAGCCCTGGCTATGCCTCGTTGGTCAGTCATTTCCATTCCCTTGGCCTCTGTTTGGTTCTAAATCATGACATAGACAGCGTGTGTGATCTTTGATACTGCTGTCTGCCATTACTCTTAATTCTGAAAATATTGTTTTACTGTGTGTATATGTATACTCTTATGTCACCAAAAGGTCTGTAAGTGTTTTGAAGGCATAGAATACCCCTTCCCTATAATACGTATTATTCTCTCTCTCTCTCTCTGTCTGCCACTCTTCTTATCTCCCTGCCTCCCTCTCTCTCTCCATACATCCCTGCATCAATCCATCTATACCAACATATAGCAGATGCCCCTAGATATTTAAACATTTGTTGAGTGAGTGGAGGAATGAATCGGTCGATGATTATGAGTTTGAATTAACTCATCTTTGCAAGTCTCCTCTGGAGAGTTTCTCCTTTCCAGGGAGCTGCCTGGCTTGTCTAACATGTACAGGCCTTGAAAGCATTCTTTTCAGAACTAGAACCTTTAGGGAAATTCACATCACTGCAATCTACTTTTACAGTGTCGTGGCTGTGGTCACTAATTAAAATGAATGAAGAAGGCTTTAAGGGAAAAGGCTGTACTTTGTCACTACATCCTTTTAGTAAATACTGTTCCATTTTTTAGTGATTAGGCAAATTCACTAAATAAAATTACTCTTACCTAGAAGATTTACCCAGAGAGACTGCCCTCCTTGCATGGCTGCTGCCTACTGAGTGTGGCAGAGGCTCAAATCCATCATTTAATGTTTAATGGCCTCCAATGACCTCGAGTGACCCCAGACTCGGCACCTCATTGATGCCCTTTGACAGTATGACTATAGGAGACTGGGGATACTGTGGAGGAAGATAGGGTCTCTTTAAACACTATCATTTTGACTAATCTACCAACTTTTTTATGGCTACTGGAAAACATTGTATCAGACTCTCTCCTTTTAGCCAACCTCTTCCTCTATCCCTGCATTCTGTCTGAACCACAGACAGATACAAAATCTAACGGAGTATGAGAAAGGGGGCATTCACACCATGTCTTTAGTTTCTCCCCAAGGTGGGACTGGATGCAAGGGTGATTAAGGCCAGTGGCCAACCACCAGGAGGGCTAGGCTTTCAGGAAAGGAACAATAGACAGCCAGAAAGCTGCTGTGTTATTTTTCTGCTCTCAGATGCAAACCTAGAGAGGAAGAATGGAGGGGAAACCTCCCAAGAAGAGACAAGAGTCCTTTCATTAATCAATAAGCTTTGAATCCATCAAACTTGATTTCTAAATTGGCTGTGAAATTACCAAAGAGGTTATGAAAAAGACCCTTTGAACCCCTTAGCAGAAATGGGGTCTTGAGAACAAATGGAGTTCACATATGAGAAAATAGAGAACATTCCATTTCTGCAACCTGAACCGTGATGATCAATTCTCAGCCCACTGCATGTATTTGCTGATCATTTTATTCACATCCATTTTCCCACCGCACTATAAGCTACAGAAAGGCAGAAGCCATCTGAATTCCCCTCTTATTTTAGCTTTATCTCCTAGTAACAGGGCCAAGATGGTGACTCAGGAAGAGCACAGCCTCTGAAGTTAGAAGTCCTAAGTCTATAGAATATTAGTTGATTAAATGCATGAATTCCCAAGTGCAATGCATCACCCAGTGATCCACTATCTTGAACCAACTGCAACTCCCAAGGTCAAAAGTTTCCCCATGGAATCTGTAGAGATTTTCATGTTGCTCTAAGTGGGGAACTCGTTTGGACAGCAAGCTGAACCCCTAACTTCTGTCACCTCCCCGAGTCCAGTCCCCAGTCTATCCTTTGGGTGGTCCTTCAGTAGGAATCAGGCATGGCCCAGCTTTTCCTACCTGGCTTCCATGCTGCATCTAGGAGCATATTATCTAAGCTGAATCTGATTCTTTTTCTTTCTTGAATTTTTTTTCTAATGACTTGTGCACCAATTGATTTAAGTAAGTGTTTTATGTTTCTGGCCAGTTAGTGCCTAGCACCAAGTGGTCAAATGGACATGGAATGAGTATTTAGGGCTGGGAAAGTGATTGTTTTTGCACTGATCCTGTTCATGTTTTTTATCTATGAGATAGATTGACAGAGACCAGGCCGGACTCCTCCAAATGTAGCCCTGTCCTTGCTGCCCTTGTCACATTTCATACTTTCTCCCCATTGTCAGCCACACCCCCTTTGGCCACGTGGGAAGCACAGGAGGTAGATTTGGCTTCTGCTGGTGGGCAGGGCCTAGGCTCCCCCGCAAGGGTATTTCTGCAATGTTCCATCTTAGAGGCTGAAATCACAGCTTCATTCTGGCACAGTCCTTGTGGGGGTTGTTCCCATCTGCCACTGAGCTTAGAAGATGCACATGAGGCACTTTTTGTTGATGTTATTGGCCGGCTGTCTAGAGGGAAAAATTGCTCAAGGGAACTTTTTGACTCCTGCAATCTGTGGGAGGTGGGATGTCATGAATTCTTTGGCCTGGGCTATATGTGTGTACTCACCTACCAACCTCAAGCTGCCAGGACAACCTTCATCTGCCCAGGGGCCCTTTAAAAAGGGCCCTTCCCAAATGGATATTGACATGCTTTGGATTTAACCATGTGGGCGACTTTAGAAGCAGCCTTATTAGGATGCTTAAGTATATTTTAGACACCCTCACGCAACCTTTCTACTTCTGAGACCAGGCCTGTCGGTGTCTGGTGTCTGCCACAGCAGCCCTCATTATGGGAGATGTGCAGGTAAGAAAGCAGGAACAAGAGAGTGAGAAACCAAGGGTGCACAGCAGAGGATGTGAAAGCTGGAGCACTGTAGATCCATCAACCTTGCAATCTCTGGATGAGGAGATGAGTCACCATCAAGGCCAAGGTGGTTTTGGAAGTCAAATGTGAACTCCCAAATTCCTTACTGGGTGCTATATTTATAGGCCACACTTGCAAAAAGTAATCTTCTTTAACTGGTATTAATCATTACTACAATTACCTTACATTTAAAAAAAATTCTCTGTGCAAAGGTGGCGCTAAAGGGCCATTCAGGTTTACAAGAAGGAGGATGTTGAAAGCAATATGTCCTTAGATGCTTTTGGCCAGGACAAGTGACCTACTTGACCTACTCCAAATTCACTGCTTTCCAAAGGCCAGACGAGCTGCATTTGAATTACCTTGTGCATAATTAATGAATTAATTAATTACAAATGTAGACTCTCATGTCCTACCTTATCCTATTGAGACAAAGGGAAACAGGGCCCAGGAATCTAGATTTAACAAATGCCCTAATCCATGCCAAAGCATATCCAGATTTAAAAACCACCATCTGACCATTTTCCACCCCCTGCCCTTCTGCTGCAGTCCCAGAGAGGAAGCAGGTGATTCCTCATCCCCAGGCACAGACCCGGTGAACAGGGCAGAACTGAGTGAAGAGCTCCTTCCCCAGCTTCCACCAGCCTAATGGGCCAGAGCCAAAGCAGATGGAAAGACTGCTTTTGCCTATTTCAACCCCAATTCCCAAGCCAAAGCTCAAGTCTTACCTCTCCAAGCAAGGAAAGGCAATGACAGCCAGTGAGATGCCGGCGAGAAGCTGAAGGGAGCCCAGGCAGCAGCATATATGTGGCAAGTCCAGACTTGGTAGAGTGAGCCGGTGGAGGCAGGAGCAGTTCGTGGGACTGGCCCAGCCTTAAGCTTGGCACAGTGACTACACCCAGAAGCCATGCCGGGAGCTTACCGTCTTCCTGGAGGAGAGGAAGGGGTAGGCAGTAGAGAAAATGGTGGAGACGGGTAGTTAGGCCCCAGCCCAGATGCCAACATAGGAGCCATTTTAAACCAGCTTTTGCGTAACCATGGCAACAGGGTAGACAGTTTCCAAAACCACAAGAGAAATGTCTCTGCCTCACGATATTTTGAGGGCTAGTGGGTCGTTGCTGTTTTTCCTCAATCATAATCCTGTGCAGTTTTCAAGAGGTTCTTGGGTAAGTGTCCAAGAGCTCTCTGGACCACTGTGATCCCATATTTTAGTGTCACTGGAAAGTGGCATCAGTGTCCCTCAGCATGTCGGCCCTCAAGGTTCTGTCCCTTTGGGATCCGTAGAAGAGCAGGCACAGAGCAATGCCCATGGAGCACCTGGAACCTAATTCTGAGGTCCCCAGCACAGTCACAGGCCGTGGCGTCCAGGGTAGCGACTGAGTACATGTACCTTCAGGCTGGGACCCGGCACCCTTCCTATTGCAGGACACGCTCAGATCCGCACAATCTCAGGGGCAGCCTACACAGGCCCCCACTCAAGATGTTAAATGCTAAAAATGAACTAATGTAGACTTCTAAAACAGACTGCTCCAAAAACTCCCTCAAGAAATAGGAGTGATGATTTCACAAGAGGGTATTTTAAAACACAAACCACCTGGGAAAATATTTGCCACGAAGAAGATAGCAGTGAGCATAGCACAGTACCACACCCATGGCAACTACTCAGCAACTTGTACTTAGGGTTGTTTTCATGAAAACTGAGTTTCATATAAGTCAATAGAAAAATAGGAAAAGAATGTGTTCACAGCAGACAGTTCACAAAAGAACTTCCTATGGCCCACACAGCACATAAAATATTATCCTCATTAGAAATAAAAAAGTATGCATTAAAATAATAAAACACCATTTCCCCACACATTGAATTGGCAAAGTTTGCTTTTTGTTCTGTTTAAGATAATACCTGGTGTTATTAGCCCAGCAGACACTTACTTATACACTGCCTGGTGACACTGTAAGCTTTGCAAACTAGCACCATGTATCTGCAGAGTGATCTGGCAGTTCATGGTACAAGACTGCAAGCTTCAGAAATGTTTGTATAGACTTTGGTGCAGTCATTCCATTTCTAGGGAATTCATCCTAATAAAAGAAATAGAGCATGTACAAATATTTATCTACAGAATGTTCCTCACACTATTTTTTGAGAAAAAATTTAGACGAACAGCAGTTTTGCTCATGGGTAGATGACCAAAATCCACAGCATAGAATTTAAAGTTCAGCTGGGAGAAATAAATTTGGTTGTATTACTGTTTCTCCTGCTAAAATGCACATATCATAGGAATAGAACATGTTTATGGGCTTCATCTGCCCCCAGAGAGAAATCTATAGAGCCCTTTCTGTACACACACCCACAAACTCTGCACAATGGCCCCAGAGTAACGCATAGTAAGGCTTCCTGTTGCCTGCTGAAGGTTATAATCAGACAAAAGGTGGTTTAGAAGAGCACTTCCAAGTATTGGCATCTGTGTTTGCACTTAGAAAATCACAAAGATAGCTTTGACTTTTGAACCAAAACCCATGGTGGGGCTTCTCTCTTTGCTACAGAGACAGTGACCTAACTCTGTTTCTGGAGTGGTCAGAATTGTGGAATCTGCTTTGTCAATTCATTTCCTTTCAAATTCATTTGCAAATTTATGGGGATAATGTGCTACACCTTGATAGCTTTAGACCGTGAGCTCTTGGCTTAGAGTGTGATTAGATTAGGCAAACAACCTTACTTTACTCTTAAGTTTCTTCTATCTAAAAATGAAATTACAGAAAAAGGTGACTGTATTAGTCTATTCTCACATTGATATAAAGACCTACCTGAGACTGTGTAATTTATAAAGAAAAAGAGGTTTAGCTGGCTCACAGTTCTCCATGGCTGGGAGACCTCAGGAAACTTACAATGATAGTAGAAGGCGGAGGGGAAGCAGGTATGTCTTCACATGGCCAGAGCAGGAGGAAGACAGAGCAAAGGGTTCCTTTGAAACAATCAGATCTCGTGAGAACTCAATCACGAGACAGCACTGGTGGGGATGGTGCTAAAACATTAGAAACCACCTCGATAAGCCAATCACCTCCCACCAGGTCCTACCTCTAACGCTCGAGATCACAGTTCAACATGAGATTTGGGAAGGGACACAGAGCCAAACCATATCAGCGACAAAGGAAAATTTTGCATAGAAATCGTAAGGCATATGAATTCGGCATAGTGGATGAGGATCTGTACTCTGGGGCCAGACCACCTGTGTTTAGCCCAGGTTCCATGACTTACCAGCTTTCTTACTTTGAATAAGTTACTTTACTTCTCTGTGGCTCAATTTCTGCCTCTATAAATTGGGGGGTGATTGAACCTACTTTAAGGTGTTGTCAAGATTAAATGGACTAATGTATTTGAAGCACTTGGAACCATGCCTGGCACATAATAAGGTCTCTATATGACGGAGCTATTCTTATTATCATCATCACTATTAAATTATTAGTATATTTTCTTCTCTCTTCACTTGTGCTAAAAACCATCAATAAATTAAACCACTTAATTCCAATCCCCTTTCTTGCATCTTTAGAAATATTTTGAAGGCACATAATGAACTTTCAGCATAATTACTGAGGTGAGAAATATGTCTCTATGTTCAAATGCTCTTCCAGGAAAAGACTTGAGAGCATCAACATGGCAACAACTCAAGAGCCAATGGGTTTTGTTCCATAAACCAGATACCTAGCAGGTTAAATATGAAAAACTACAAGTGTGTTGTTGTAGTCAGATGAGTTCAACAAATGTCTTGAGCATTAGATGCTGCTCTGGATACAAATGCAGATAGATACAAGTGCAGACAGAATACCATAAGAAGCAGAGAAAAGAAATAGCAGTGTGTGTGGATGGCGAGCGGAGGAATGTGAGCTACTAAATTACATAAAGCATAGAGAAACCACAAATGGTGGGGTGAGCCATTTAGGGGGCAAAAATTCCCCAGCAGGTAAGTCTTCAAGGTCTTTTGGTTAACATGACTGGTATGCATATCAGATCATCTCAGCTTTGTAAAAACTGTTGCAATAGGGAGGAACTATTGATGTACAAGCCAACAGAAATCTAAATCACTCGACATTTTTAAAAAACATTCATGCTCCTTGGGAACCTATGGATTATATTGGGAAAAAATTCATGCTGCTTAATGACATAATGTAAAATGTACAACTTTTACTCCTTAATAATAAATTCACATGTTGGTATTTCCATCAGTTTACCATAGTGAGACTTCATGTTTAAAGACTCTATGAATATAAAGGAATAATTCAAACATGACTTCTTTACTCTACTAGCAGATATAGGTTTCTGTTTTCAGCATCAAAACTCTAAATTATATGTATAGCTGAAGGCCTAACATTCAAAACTTCTCTGCTGATACGATAAAAATTTATTTAGCCTAAGAAAATTGCAGCCAGTTACTCTGCTCATATGTCATGATGGCACCTTTATGATTTTGATATTGACACAACAGCCATATATTATATTTAACAGGAATATATTATTCATTCTTTTAACAAGTATTTATTTTGCCAAGCATTGATGCTGATAAAAATAATTATACTTGCTCATTTGACTCTGGACTGTATCATAATTTAGACGTCTTTCTCTCGATCTTTCAGTAAAAGCACTTAGGCGAGATGACAATCACATGTTCCTCAGTCAAGCTGATGTCTTTCCAAAAGTTGTAAGATGTAAATATACTGTTACTCACCCACTTTCACCCACTAGTTTTAGCATCCATTGAATTACTGTTGCCTGAATCAATTACTACCAGCCTGTGTGATCTTCTAATGATGGAATCATTACTATTCTACATTCATTTGTTGAGATCCATTCATTGAGTAAGGAAGAGCTCTCTTTTTCTCTCATTTATTTATTTAGTATGGGCTGTGTAATCTTATTTTATTAAATTATTATTCATTGTACTGCTTAAATTTTTTTAATTTGCTGCCCCAGATTTGGTGACAGGGAGCACCTTCAAGCAAACTCCTATGTCATTTTGATATGTCCCCATCATTTTTTGAGCTTTTCTTACTTTCTGACATAACATGTTACAGGCTCACCTCATGTTGCCCCAGCCCCAGCCCTGGAAGAAACCATTTTTCCAAAATGCCCAGGCTCTTTTTAGTCAAGAATGGTGTTACAACTCAACTCCTGGGTGCTATAGGTGCTCATTGCTACTAACATGTCATTGCTGCCAAGTCTCAAGAGACAGATCTAGGAAATATGTGAATATGTACGTATATACATACATGCAGACACATCTCTCTCTCCGTATATATATATTTATACCTATAGATATATAGAGAGCTCTATGTAGATATCTATCTGGAGATGTGTCTGCATGTATCTATCTATATATGTGTATATATATATACACACATATGTATAGAGAGAGATGTGTCTGCATGTATGTATATATGTGCATATGGTCAAATGGCATATATATTTATATACATATAAATACTACATACATAGGCACATATATACATACATGCATGTGTGTGTGTGTGTGTGTGTGTGTATATATATATATATATATATGTCATTTGCTTACACTAGTGAGTCTCCACAGGGGGCAGTTTTGCCCCCAGGGACATTTGGCACTATCTGGAGATGTTTTTGGCTGTCACAGCTGGGAAGGGGACTGCTGCTCACATCTTGTGCATAAAAGATAAAAACCAGGGATACTGCTAAATATCCTACAAGACACAGGACAGCCTCCACAACTGAGAATTTTCTGACCCAAATGTCAATAATGCTGAAGTAGTTGGGAAGACCTGGCTTATACAATGACCTCTAATTTCAATCTGACACCACACTGTTCACTCCAGCATGTCCTTCTCTGGCAATGAGAAACATAGCCTCCTTTAACACATAGGCAATCCTAGAATGCACTGAAAGTATGTTTCCGAATTGCTGTCCCATACCTCAACAGGAAAACAAACCTATTTCCTAAAACTCAGTGTGATAAGTATGATTCCGAATTGCTGTCCCATACCTCAACAGGAAAACAAACCTATTTCCTAAAACTCAGTGTGATAAAATGGGATTTTTGTGTTTTGTTTGGCTTGGGTTTCAGTTTGGTTTTTCTCTTCTTTCTGGCTTTCTTTGGCCATTAGCCTGAGGATAGTCAAACACTGTTCAAAAGTTACTTAAATTATTTGGGTTGTTTTGAGTTCTTTCCTGAATGTAGTTAATGAATGAGAACAACTTGAGCTTTATTGGGTTTTTTTTCTTCTCTGCACCTGTGGCTTTGAAAACAGACTATGTCTTACTGAGATCTGTGTGCCCGGAAGTATGAAGGTCTTTAAACATATTAGCTCTATTGACCTGTGTGATTTTCTGGATAAACTTTCATATCAAAGGAGGTTATTTTCCTAATTTTTTTATACACATTTTCATTTTCCTGAAAATATGAGGTTATGACAATCCCAGAGCACACCAGAGTGATAACAGGAAGGGCCAGGGCACCCCAAGGCTGAGCCTGAAGGTGACTGGGGAGGGTTAAAAATCAGTAGTCTAAGTGGAGGTAAGTAGGAACTTCTTAGCATGGGTAGACTACTATCAGGGGCCATGGTAGAGGGTAATGCAAAATACAACTGTCCTATTTGCAGATGACATGTTCTTTGGGATCTTGAAATTAAAAAAAAAAAAAAATCCCACAAATCTGTTATTAGATAAAAATGCAGCTGCTGGGCGCAGTGGCTCACACCTATAATCCCAGCACTTTGGGAGGCTGAGGTGGGCGGCTCACCTGATGTCAGGAGTTTGAGACCAGCCCGGCCAACATGGTGAAACCCCATCTCTACTAAAAATACAAAAATTAGCTAGGCGTGGTGTGGCACGCCTGTAGTCCTAGCTACTCAGGAGGCTGAGGCAGGAGAATCGCTTGAACTCAGGCGGCGGAGGTTGCGGTAAGCCAAGATCACGCCACTGCACTCCAGCCCGGGCAATGGAGCAAGACTCTGTCTCCAAAAAAAAATGCAACAAAAACTGACTTTTATAAAGTAATGCTACTGGGTCACTTTACTCATGGATGATGTATTTTGAACTTCCATCTACAACTCAAGAACAGATGTTAGATGTCACCATAAAGTACAAGCAAAAGGTGGGCAAAACAAACAAACAAAAACCCAAAACACAATACCTTTGACACCCACTGGCAGAAGTAAAACTAAAGAGTAGAAATTGCAAGATTCCAATTTCAGTTCCTTGGAAAAAGTAACTATATTATAATTAGTACTGCCTGGAAACAGATTTGGCTGCATCAGAAGGTCAAGTATGTGTCATCACCATCAATGTGGGGAAAAGGGCTGGGTAGCACCTTATGGGGATACGGCTGAAAAAATTCACACTTTCAGGGGAGGAAATGAACAAGTTCACCTCCAAGGGTTTTTTGTAGGGTTTCTTTTTCCCCCAAAACTTGAGATTTGTGTATGCTAATGGCATTGACTTAGTAAACTGCTTTGTGGAGAAAATGTTGGCATCTTGAAAGAGAAGGAAAACATAAACAGAAAATCTAGGGAGCTTCATGAGAGAATAGGGTGGCAGTGGGGGAGGAAGTGGAGGGTGTGGACCTAGGGCACCACACCTGGGAGAGTGTAGTGGAACTGGTTTTGTTTTCTGAACTGTTCAACCAAAAGCTTTTTATATTTCCCCATGGTTTTCCAGGCAACTGATTGAGGAGGGTATATGCAAGATGATAAATGGGCTTTTCACTTCTTTCCACTGGGGCAGCAGTGATTCTATGGCGATGTAGCTAATATGACGTGAGAGAGTCGGTTGCTTTCTAGCCTCTGCCAGGCTCACTATTTCTGTAATAGTGACACTCCATGAAATAGTTATTTCTGTGACATCACTGACACTTTTAAACAACAGATAGAGGAAAGATGTGAAGGTTCCATGTCTCTACATGTGGCTGAACTCTCAAATGTGGTTAGAGAATCATGTTTTCTCCAGTGCATTTGAGCTGAACAGTAAGCAGGATTGCTTGGTGAGTCGTCATTAGATAGTGACTCAACACCAGCACCATCTCCTTTAAGATACTGGTTTTGTCTCTAACTTAGATGCCACGACTTTGATGTAATTTTATGATTCTCCTTTCTAAAAGTGAATCAGCAATATGATAAAAATTTATTCAAAAATGTGTTAATACCAAAACAACAGGATTACTGTTTTAGTACAGAGGAATGTAAGGGACTTTGGTTATACTTCCAGATAGCAAGAGTGACACACGATAGAAATTGGTATCACCAAAGATTAAGGAATCATCTTTGGAATTTAAAAAATGGAAACTAAAGTGATGTTTTTTTAAACTCAAAGTTGGGAAAACTTTTATAAACACGATGTAAACCAGATTTTGAAGTAAAATATTTATAAATTTGGCTACATAAAAACAACAAACAAGTTAAAAAAGACATTAAACTGGAAAAATATCTGTAAAACTTGACTGACAAAGCAATAATTTCCCATAAAGCCAATGAATTTTTACAAATAAAAATTTTAATTTAATGAAAAAGAGCAGAAGTTATAAACAAAAAGTTTACAGAAGAAATACAAAAACGGCAAATAAACATGTGAAAAGTTGTTCAGTCTTATTTATAATAATGTGAAAATTAAAACAAGACATCATTTTTTAAAAATCAAATAAGATACTGATTTCATCCAAAAGATATTTAAGAGTTTATTATACCCAGGACTGGTAAGACTGGAGAAGACCCTGTTCTTCTCCAATGAACACTATTCAATGAACAGTATGAACACTGTTAGTGGGAGCAAAATTAGTGCTTTTTTTTTTTTTTTTTTTTTTGAGACAGGTTCTCTCTCTGTCGCCCAGGCTGGAATGCAGTGGTACAGTCTTGGCTCACTGCAACCTCCGCCTCCTGGGTTCAAGTGATCCTCTCACTTCAGCCTCCCGAGTAGCTGGGACCACAGGCGTGCGCCACCACGCCCAGCTAATTTTTATATTTTTGGTAGAGATGAGGTTTTTACCATGTTGGCTGGGCTGGTCTCAGACTCCTGACCTCAAGAGATCCTCCCCGCTCAGCCTCCCAAAGTGCTGGGATCACAGGAACGAACCACGACACTCGGCCTAGTGCATGCTTTTTGAAAATAAATTTGACAGTATTTATTAAATCTGAAGCTACCTAAATCCTTTTACCCAGAAGTAACTCCATTTGTAGTAATTTACTTCATGGAAATGGATATATATGAAAATAACTGAGAGATGACTTCAAATAGCACAAAGCTAGAAACAAAAAACATTCCTCCATAAAGGGCCAGTTAAATAAATCCTGATCAAGCCAGAAGGTAAAATAATATGCAGCTATTAAAAGGAATTATTTTGAACCTCTTTTTGATGATTTGCAATATGTCCAAGATCATGTAGTATTAAGTGAAGAAAACAAGTTGTAGATTATTTTGTGCATGACACAAAAGAAAAACCGTTAACAATGGGGAATGGAATCCAAAGATTGTAGCTTTATTTTTCCTTTATCCCTAGAGAGTAATACATGAGCATTTCATCTTAAACACGCACAAATGACAATGCTATTACTGAGGAATTCTTCTCCAGGGGTAAAGACTTCATATCCCTAGTGCCTGGCTTAATGCCGGGCACCTCTCCTTTTCATTCATTGTCAAGATCCTAAAAATAATTGTCAAACCTGTTTTTCCTCACTTATTTTCTTTTAATTTATTATTTATTTAACTAAAACGAAGCTTTTTTGGACCCTTAACTGCAGCAAAACTGCTCAGATAAAGGAACTCAGCAATCTCCCAATTGTCAAATTAAATGTTCTTTTTTGGTCTTGATCTCACATTTCCTATTTGTGGCATTTGCTACTGATGACCACTTGCCTCATTTTAACCTGCTGCCTTCCCAATTCCCTGTCTCCTGCAGGAGCCCTTCTGCCTCTTGCTTTAAATGTTGGCATCCCCTCAGGTCTGAGGCGGCAACTGTCCTGCTCTCATGCTATAATTTTCCAAATCTAGATCTCTCAATAGAGCACTCTTCCTGAACTCCAGAACCTCATATCTAACTGTGTGCTGGTCGTCTCCTGCTGGGTCTCACAGCCACCTGACGTTCATCAAGTTTAAAGCTGATATTAGCACAGTTAATTCCAATTACTTGTTGCAAATTAACTGTTTTGATACTGAGCTTGCTTACCTCCATAGCAGAGCTCAGAAACTAGATGAGGAAATAGTTGGCTCTATGACCTATTTAAATCCTTACAACATGTGCTTCTGTGCTTATGTTCTCTTCTGACCCTAAAAATGGCTTACCTGAGTTTATCTAATTTATTCTGACATTTACACATGACTTTCCAGTTTGCAATGTGCTTTGACAAATATCTTTTGATTGTCTAGCTATGGTCTCCATTTAACCTCCTGCATTTTTTATTTTTTTTACTAGAAACTCATCCAGTTAATACATTCTCTAGTTCTTATATATAGAATTGGATAGAGCCAGACTTCAAACCTGTCTTCTGAGTCTACATTCCATGTTCTTTCCACCACACCATGCTTTCTAACTAGTGTAGATACTGCAGGCACTATTTAAGTTTCTCTGGTGGTGATTTTACCATCATGCTCTGGGAAACAACTTTGCACACATACCCATTTATTTTTTTTCTCAAATAAATAAACTCTTACAGGACTTTAAAGTTGTCTTCTCATTTTATAATTGCAGAAAATGGGGTTCAGAATATTGAATCGCCTTGCCCAAGATTGCCCAGGTAGAAAATGACCAAGCTAGAACAAAAACCCAGGTTAGAGTTCCT
Organism: Homo sapiens; assembly: GCF_000001405.40. Lineage (NCBI taxonomy): Eukaryota > Metazoa > Chordata > Mammalia > Primates > Hominidae > Homo > Homo sapiens. Next base: position 3,921,161 of record NC_000018.10, on the reverse strand, counting down.
GGTTTAATTTTCTTTCCTTGCATTTGTGATTTATAAAAGAATGCTTCCCAGGCTCATGCTGTCTACTTCTATTGAGCTATAGAATCATTCCAAGTTACATTACTATGTTGGAAAAATAAATAATCCCTTTGGCCATGTTGTGATTATAAATGTAGCAGAACTGCAGTTTTATAAACATACAAGTTGGATTTTTGATGGCGAGAGCTGTTGTTGAAAAGGCAAAAGTTACCTAATAATCCTTTCTAGCAGTTACCAGCATTGAACATTTCAGTTTTGCCAGAGAAACATAAAAACTCATAAAATTCCTAACATGAATCAGACTTTAGCTCTCAATGTTTAGTGAAACTATTGAAAATGGGAAGCAATTAACAAGAAGTAATTCTTTCTGGAAATAAGATGTGCGTATTGATCGCTGTCAGGTCAACAAGACCTTTTACATTAGTAGACATTGCTTCCTGGGTACCTTGAAGTGTATCCTTGGGTGGAGCGGAGTGGGAGAGAGAGAGTTTCGCCCTAACTGAACGCCAAGTGCAAGGCAATGCAATGCAATGAGATGCAATGCAAACATATTTACCTCCTAGCTATTGGGGAAAAATTAAGGGGTGAGAAATGTGAAGATAGACGTACTGAATATACTCTGGAAAAAAAGTGGGGCATAAACTGAACATGCCCGGTGGCAGCAGAGGGGAGGTAGGAAACCTGAAGATGCTCCACTATAATTTTAGTAAGTCTAATGGTAACCTGGTATATAACACATCACGAAAACAGATCAGGAAAATACCCAGTGCTTTTTTTTTTTTTTTTTTTTTGGACAGAGTCTCCCTCAGTCGCTGAAGGCAGAAGTATAGTGCCGCAATCTCTGCAACCCCCGGCTCACTGCAACCTCTGCTTCCCAGGTTCAAGCGATTCTCGTGCCTCAGCCTCCTGAGTAGCTAGGACTACAGGCATGCACCACCACGCCTGGCTAATTTTTGTATTTTTAGTAGAGACGGGGTTTCACCGTGTTGGCCAGGCTGGTCTCGAACTCCTGACCTCAAGTGATCTGCCCGCCTCGGCCTCCCAAAGTGCTAGGATTACAGGCATGAGCCACTGTGTCCGGGCCCAGTGAATTTTTAAAATGCTTTTTTACATTCAAGGTGTTTGATGTGGAAAGGAAGATTTCATTTCTCAGGTCTATAACATCCTGCAGAAAATCCATCTGGGAGATGACTGTAGTCTCCCAGGCAGTTGTATCTAACTGCGCCTCTGTTTCACAGTGCTATGTGTTCACTCTTTCTTATCTTTGTCCCTTTCTTAGCTTACAGGCTGAGAGCACAGATTTGAAGTTCAGCCATGGCTTTGTCACTTACTAGCTGCTGTGTGGCCTTGGACCACATTTACTGAGCTTCCATTTACTTTTTCATAAAATGCTAGTGATAATATTGTAGAACTGCTATCAAGATTAAGTGAAATAACATAGATGAAGCACTTTACTTAGCACAGTGCCTGGCTTGTGATAACATGCAATCACTTGTAGCTATTACAACTTATCACCTTAATACCTAGCACATTTCAGGCAGTTCCTGTTTATAGCATGACTCAAGAATTCTACCTTGACCACTGGATTTTTCCACCACTGCCATATTAGCTTGTTAAAGTAGTACTATGGCTCTGGGACCTCCTTGGGCAAAAATCATCCGTAGCTCCCTCTTACCAATCCAATAAATCCAAAATGTAAAGTCATTCACTAGCCTCAACCTAACTTTCAGTTTTATCTCCCAGTTAAACTCACCAGGAATCTATACGCTTTGTTTGTGATGCATTCTGCATTTTTAGTGAACTAAAGGACTGCTACCCTTGCACTTGAAAATTTTGAAATGTCAGTAGATGGTATCAAGTTCCCTTGCCTGCTAAGGGTTACAAATTTGCCCATAGGTACCTTCAAACAAAGGTAAGGATTCGAAGTGTGTGAATTTCAAGTGTTTCTCAAGTGCCTACAAAGGAGATTAAAATTACCCAAAATGCCTATGAAACTAAGCGCCAGAAAAAGGTCAAAGCCATTTGACCAATCTTTCTTGTTGATCAACTTACCTATATCCAGGCGTCTTCTTGACATGGTATTAATGTTATTTTGACAAAATTCTCATTGGACTGTGCATGTCACAAAGCATCCAAATTCTTTTTTCTGTCACTTTTCCGATAGACTGTGTGTATCTCTTGAGAAGCCTGTGTAGATCCGTGCTGGTAGGCTGCCCTGTGTACAGGTTCCTAAGCTACGCATCTCTAGTGCTTGCAACATCTTTCATGAGCTTTGTCTTTCTTCCAACTTCAGCTTCACAATATTTCTTCCATCTGCCCCCTTCTTTCCAGTCTCTGCCTCCAGCCACCCTAGTTCAAGACCTCATCACTAAGATCTATGGTCTATCGTCACATTCAACTTCTTGGTTGCCCTCCTTCCACTTTCTCTTCCTGCCCACGATCCCCAGGAAGGGTAGTCTTTGCTCAGAATGCCAGTCCCTGGAACAACCCATAACACAGGTAGAAACCATTCTTTCAGAGAAAACTTAGGGGGAAAATCTCCAGAAACATATTTAATGGCTTTTCCAGGGACCTCTAGTTCCTGAATCCAAAGTTCTGTGATTCACTTCCCTGAATGGCATTTTTTTCCCCCTTTGATGTCTGTGTTTGGTTCATTGTTTGTTGGTTTCTATCTCTTCTCACCTAACTTTTATATGTTAAAAACAGCCTGGAAAACGTCTAGCACAGTATTTTTATTTCACAGAAGAAACTGAGACTCAAAGGTTAAATGACTTATTTGGCATATACTCATTCAAAATTAGAATTATTCTGTGTGCTGGCTTCTACCGTGTTCAGTTTACGTACTTGAAATCTTAGTCTGGATGGCTTCATTTTCATAGCAACAGACACGATATTGGAATAACAACAGCAAAGCATATTTGGTCCACTAGCCCAGTAATAACAGGTATGGTGTATTTCACAGCTCAGCTTGAATAGAGAGATGATTGCAAGAACCAAAGAAATGCAAATATGCAAGCAATCTTGATTCTTCAGAATGTTATCCTAGCACTTCCTTCTATATAAGATCCTCTAGTTCATTGTCAGATTTAAGGAAACTTGTAAAACTGATTCCTTTCTTTTTAGTACAACTGCTGATGATTATGAAGGAGGGAGAGCCAAGGAGTGGGGTACAGCGGCTCCTTGAACCTGGTTTCCTTTTCTTTATCTCCTTTCTACAGTCTTCACCACCACCACTACCCTTTCATATCCACAATATATAAAGAAAAACGTGCTTATTTTAGTTTTTTTTCTGAAATTTTTCCTTTTCCCCTAGGTACTGACTCTCCCATATACACAATTTTCACAATATAAGCAAATTTAAAATGATCATTATCGCTCTAGCAGAGTATTTACTACATAGCCTTACATATCTATAATGCTGCATTAAAAAATCATCCAACGTATGCCTCACAATTGTCAGAGCCAGTCTTCTCTTACTTATACTGAAATTTACTTGATAGCAAATGATGGTTGAATAGAGCAGCTCTTTGGTGTTTACTCAGTACATGCCTAGTGACTTCACAAACCCTCACATTTATAAATTCTAGTGTAGATCATTACTCTATAAAATGATGTCAAATATTATATAACATATACAGTAATATTGTAGCTGACTCCTCCAGAAATGAGAACACATAGGTAACAACAAACTGACTGAGAAATGGATATTGGCCTCCTTGGACTTTAGCCATCACTCTTAGACTCACGTCCAGTGCTTTCCCTTTGTAACCCATGGGTGCGAGAGCTGGAATGCTGCTGACTGCCGTCTGCAGGGTCCTCAGCCCCTAATGCAAATCCCTGCCTTCTATAACAAACACCGCATTTGCTTTCTGGGAAATTTAGTAAAGATGCTTCTCAACTTATGACGGGTTTATTTCCCAATAAACCTATTGTAAATTGAAAATATCATTAATTCAAAAATGCATTTAGTACAGCTAACTTACCAAACACCGTAGCTTAGCCTTCACCTAACCTACTTAAATGTGCTCAGACCATTTACATTAGCCCACAGCTGAGCAAAATGATCTAACACAAAGCCTATTTTGTAATGAAGTGCTGACTAGCTCATGTAATCTGCTGAGTATTGTACCAAAAGTGAAAAACAGAATAATTGTATGGGTACTCAAGGTACAGTTTTTATTAAATGTGTATTGCTTTTGCACCATCGTAAAGTCAAAAAAATCCTACACCAAACCATCATAAATCAGGAACTGTCTGTATAGTGTATGTGCAACATGGAACATCCTGATGCATTCTCTATGCTGTTTCTTCCTACCCTTTCCACCCTCTCCTCCATGCACATCCCTGCTACAACGATCAGCTCATTCCCCACACCCTTCTACAAACATCAGCTCCTAGATTAGGTAGGAGGCGGTGAAGCCTAATGGTTGCAAGCACAGACTCTGAGGTCTGTGTCTCATTGGTGAAGATATTACATTGTGCATGTTCTTAGAAGCTAAAGGGAAGAGTTCCAGGGTAGCAGTTCAGTAAATGCTGTTGTTTATAATGATACTGATGATCATGATATTATAGCATGTGAGTGAATGTTCAAGCTCCATACCAACTGAGCAATGGGTCAGGATTTTCTTCCCTCAAAGTCATATAGGTTATGACTATGAGAGCTTTAGGTAGATCTGAGAGGAGTGGAACCGAGTTGTGACTGTTGTACAGTTTTTCATAGTCCCCATTTGAAAGCTGTTCTTATCTGAGGCCAGCAGACCTTTCCCTGTGGAAAGTGTTATCTACCAAGCATTGGTGCAGATTGGGATTGCACGTGCTGTCCTGCCCACTCTTGACAGATGGCAGGGAGCCCAAGCCGTCCATATGCTGCTCTGTTCTCCGAGAAGACACGGGCACAAAAACAGATTTGGCTGGTGCAACTGTGACCGTGGGTGTCTCTGAAGCAGCGTCCCTGTCCTTGGGCTATTCAGCACCAGACAAGGTTCCAGCAGTTGAATATAGTCTGTGGTGGACAGCAGAGAGCAAATCCAGCCCTCAGATGTTGAGAGGGAAGCCTTATGGATGTCCTTGGGGATATTAATTTGTTTACTTGAGCAAGGGTGACCATAATTCAGTGTCAATCTGCTTCTACACTGTCCTTTTCTGCTGATGGGCATCTTGCTATAGTAGAGTAGGGAATTTTCTCTGTTTTCATTGACTTTTACTTTATAGAAATTCCACAAAAAATTAAAAATAGAACTACCATCTATCTAAGGTCTAAGACTTGTCAGGACTTACTATTCTTTCCTAAAAGCAGTAAGATGTCTTCAGATGACCACAGAGGAAGACTACAGGAAAAGAAAAAAAAAATAAATAAGGTTTCAAAATAAGTTTTCAGAGAGATGACATTCTCCCAAAAAGGAAAACTTGAAATTTTGCATCCAAATGTAACTGATATTTCAGAAATAGCTTGTTCTATGCCAGTATGCTGTTTTCCTTGTTTTAACTTTTCTTCTTCCTTGTGATCATTATTTTTAAGATGCAAAGATTTAATTGATCTTAAAACCCTCCAAGTGCACAAAAGAATTCCCAGGAACAGATCAATCATATCTTATGTTTGGAATTAGGTTCTAAATGCCCTTTTTAAGTTGCAATTAGCAGCTTCCATCTTTGTTCCTTTTTAATCTCCTCAATTACCTTGCTAAGTCATAACTGGGCCCCTCCTTCCATGAGCTGCACTGCAGTGAACTGCCACTTTACCAAGTCACCCACTATTTTAAGTCTGCATGAGGTTCACTTCACAGGGACTTTGACTAAAGCTCAGCTAGTGTGCTTTTGGCATTCTCTTATTTTTATACATAATTGTCACAGCTGAGCTTATTAAACTCAGCTTATGATAAAACTAGTAAAATTCTTATTAAAAGAAGCCATAGTTTCCAGAGCAAGGAAACAAATCACCCAGTTTAAAAATGGGCAAAGGACCTGAATAGACATGCCTCAAAAGAAGACATACAAATGGCAAACAGGCATATAAAAAATGATCAACATCACTAGTCATCAGGGAAATGCAAACTAAAACCACAATGAGATACCACCTCACACCTGTTACAATGGCTATTAACAGCTGAATGTGGTGGCTCATGTTTATAATCCCAGCAGTTTAGGAGGCTGAGACAGGCAGATGGCTTGAGCCCAGGGGCCCAAAACCAGCCTGGGCAACATGGCGAAACCCTGTCTCTACAAAAACACAAAAATTAGCCAGGTGTCATGGCATGCACCTGTAGTTCCAGCTCCTTGGAAGGCAGGAGGATCGCTTGAGTCCAGGAGGTGGAGGTTGCTGTGAGCCAAAACTGCACCATTGCACTCCAGCCTGGGTGACAGAGACCCTGTCTCAAAAAATAATAATAACATGGCTATTATCAAAAGAATGAAAGATAGCAAATACTGGCAAGGGTGTAGAGAAAAGGGAACCCTTGTACACTATTGGTGGGAACATAAAATAGTACAGCTGCTATGGAAAATCATATAGGAGTTCCTCAAAAAATTAAAAACAAAACTACCATCGAATCCAGTAATCCAACTTCCAAAGGATATATCCAACTTCCAAGATATATATTCAAAGGAAATGAAATCAGTAGTTGAAGGGAGAGCTGCACCCCGTGTTCACTGCAGGGTTATTCACAAGATGGAATCAATCTAAGTGTCCATCAACAATGAATGGATAAAGAAAATGTGGTTTATGTATTAAAAATTGAACACTATTCAGTCTTAAAAAGAAAGAAATCCTGGCACTTGCAACAACATGGATGCATCTGGAAAACATTATGCTAATAAAGAAAGCCCAGCACAGAAAGGCAAATACTGCACGACCTCACTTAGATGTGGACTCCAAAAGACTGGAGCTCGTAGAAGCAGAGAGTAAAATGGTAATTACCAGAGCCTGGGGGAAAGGGAAGGATGGGGAGTTCAGAAAGTATACAAAGTTTCAGTTAGACAGGATAAATAAGTTCTGCAACCTACTGTACAGCATGATGACTATAGTTAACCTATGCTCCACTGTACTTGAAATTTGCTAAGAGAATAGATATTAAATATTCCCCCCACCCATAAATAAAATAAAATAAAATTACCTATGGTGGGGAAAAAGAAAGCCATAGTGACAATTGGAAGAGCTTTTCATTAAGGCAGCATTGGTGAGTAGCTGTGAAAGTAAAATGTAATCAGTTTCCAGTTCAAATTAGTAACAGGTTTCCCATTTGTCATTTAGTTCAGTATTATTCTTTTGGTTTCTGTTTGGAAAAATATATATCAACCTTGTAATGTTTCATGTAATGTTCCTTGTAACATCCATGCAATGTTTCTAAGCTAGCAAGACATGCCGTAGTAGATTAGGGAGAAGACATCATTTTCAGCCATAGTATATTCATACATAGAAAGATAACTAAAGAGTGAAACTTAGTTTTAAGGAGCAATATTAATGAGAACCTAAAACTATCAGATATTTTGCTTCCGTCAGCTGAGATTTGATCTATTCTGAAATTTTAAGTCCAAAAGAATCTATATTTCAATCCAGCCATAGAAAAGTAATTGTTCTCTCTGATCTTGTATTAGCATAGAAAGTAGAAAAAGTAAATATATGCTTCTTAAGGAAAATTCAGAAATTTTTTATATTCCATGTAGAGTGATAAACAGAGGCTATGTTTAATAGAAATATTTACCATTTTACCTGTAGTTCCATAACAGCTTCCTGCAAATAATTCAGAATATCTCTTTCTGGCTGAGCATGGTGGTTCACGTCTGTAATCCTATAACACTTTTAGAGGCCAAGGTGGGAGCATTGCTTGATCCCAGGAGTTCAAGACCACTTGAACAAAGTGAGACCCCCTCAAAACAAAAAAATTTAAAAATTAGCCAGGTGTGATGGTGCATACCTGCAGTCCCAGCTACTCAGGAGGCTGAGGCAGGAGGATCACTAGAACCCAGAAGGTCGAGGCTGCATTGACTCCAGCCTGGGTAACAGAGTGAGACCCTGTCTCAAAAACAAAACAAAACAAAAAACAAAGTATCTCTTCCCACTAAGGAATCCTAAGGAAGAAGTAAAGACTATAGAACCACAACTGGTACAAACCTGAGATCATCTAGTTCAGTGGTTTATTTTTTTTCTTCAGCTGTGGAAAACATTTTTTCAAACAAAAACTTACACCAAAGGGCTGATCTATAAATAGCTTATGGTTCTGGATGGAGCAGGAAACACAGAGTTCCCCCAGCTTGGCTTCCCACCACACCCAACCCTACACAGTCACCAAAGGACTTTTTCAAATCACAATATTAGCCCCACCTCAGACTCTTTTAGAACCAAGGAAACAAAGACATGGAAAGAAAATTTGACTTGGTCAAATTCACCTACCCAGCCACAGAGCTGAGGCCTCAGCAAGTCAGGACGCTTGTGGACACACCAGCCTCCCACAGTTCCATATGTTTCCATCAGAGGCACGCCCCTATCACCTCCCTGGTTTGGCATTTCTCCAGAGCACTTGTGACCTGCCAGATATTTATTTTATGTATTTATATATTTAAATATATGTTTATTCTTCTAACATGTTCGTTCTGTTTATTTTCTGTTTCTTCCACTAGACTGTAAGCTCCCTGAGGGAAGGGCTTTGTATTTGGTTTGTTCCCTGAGCTATCTCCAGTGCCTAGACTAGTTCCCATCTCATAATAGGCTCATAATAAGTAATAGTACCTGGGAGAATAAACCTCGCACACTAGGCCTCATATTAGGTCAGTCTCCCCGACTAGATTGTGAGACCCTAAAAGAAAAGAGCGAGTTTCCTTCATTTGCATTTCCCCCACAGAACTTAACACAGTAGGTGCTCTGACAACAGTTATTGATGTGAATTGACATTGTCTCACCTAAAACAACAAAACATATGAGGTAAAGCATTAGAGTTGTTGGGAGCACAAGAAATCTTATTTTGGTTTATTAAAGTTTAGATATCCATAAAGAACAGATTAATATGTAACAAACTTTATTTCCAAAATATAAATGAGTCAAGAAGAATAAATCCTTTGTTGTTTCTTGGGGCATTAAATACCATACATCAGCAGTTTCAAAACTTCAGCACATATCAGCCTGAAGCGCTTACTAAAACACAATTTTTGATTCGACAGGACTTGAATCTGAGAATTTGCATTCTAACAAGCTCCCAAGTGATGCTGCTGCTGTGGGCCCAGGGACCCACTTTGATAACCAACTGCCATTGAGTGACTTTTCACTGCTGTATGCTAATTTGACATTAAGTAAATATTCAACCTCTGGCACATGCTGAGCCTATAGCAGCTAAGTAGATGTATCAATTCACATCTTTGGCAGCCCAGCTGCAATAAGAGAGGAAGGAGAAGTGCTATGATTCAGTAAAAGGAATCAAGTCTTGTTCATTTCAGTTCCTGCTAAATAGTTCACAAAAGAGCCATCAATCAGCTCATTAGAAAACTGACTTGGATTGCTTTTCTGTAGGATTGAAAATTTATGTAATGCCCTTGCTGGGTGATTCAATTAGCTAGAGCATACCATGTCACCACACACCCCACAATGAGATATATTCTAGTCACTGAACAACTTGAAAATGAGCAAACAACTTCCTAGTTATTCCAAATGTTCTAATCCATCTACTGACAGAGTCTAGGGAATACATTTCTCCTGATAATCATATAAAATGAAAGTTCCAATTATGAGGGGAAAAGAAGAAACTTTCTTTAAATAAAGATCCAATCTTGATTTATTTGCATGACTAATACCTCTATTCCCTTCCCTTACCCTCAGAAAAAGGGTTTATTTAATTCATTTGAGATAATTTATGCAAAATCAATTCATTCAACAAATTTTATTGATTACAGTTGATAAGCCAACTACTGTGCAAAAAGTAATCAAATATGTATAAGATCCAGACTTCATCCTAAAGAACTGCACAAAAACTGCACCCTAAACATGGCTCGAAGTAGGTGCCCAGTCAACGCTTTTGTCCTCAGGGAGAACACAAGTTTACCTGATAGGCATTTACCATCTAAAACTTTCTAACAGGAATTTGCTCTGTTTGTACTCATCTAAGGCTTTCTCAACTCGCAGCTGGAGAAATTAAACTCTAGAGTGTTTAAATGTCTTATCCTCCAGCAGTTCGTGGGCCAAAACCAGGATTAGAACTATGACTCCTTCTAATTCCCAGCAAGCAATGATCCTTACAGGTTTTATAGAAATCTTGTCCCACCTCCACCCAGCCTTCTCTGTTGGTGGCTCATTTTTTTTAGACACTGTTGATGTCATCAGAAAGATTCCTATTCTAATTTTCTGCAATATTTTTATATATTTAGAAAATGAGGTATCCCTTCCCAACCCTTTATTTTTGTCCAAGAAAGGAGGTGAGTCACTCCATTGAAGCTTGCTACAAATACAGCTCCATAATCAACTTCCCCCGGACACCGCAAAGGCAGGCACTAGCAGATGGCAATGATTCCGAATCGCCAATTTTGCCCTTTTGCCAAGCAGCCATTTTCAGTTTTCATTGTTCTGGAGTTCACTAAGAAGATGGAAAAACTTCACTTCACCTGAGGTCACCTACCCAAATGTTTCTGTTTTGTCCTAGCTAAATGGCTATTGAATTTGAATTTGGCCTATAGGAAGCAGCAGGCTTTAATGGATGAAAATTTTGGTCTCAGACTACTTGTTCATTTGTTTCCTTAAATCCAGACATCACTCTCCATGCTTTGTCTTAAATCATCAAATTTCTCTCTCTTAATTTCCTCTCATTCTGCAGTGGATAATAGTAGTAATACAGAAATTGCCATCAAATGTATTACCTTCTCACTACTTGGAAAATGGAGATGTAGGGAGACAGCTATCCTCAGTTTAGTAAGATAAAACTCCAAATCACTGCTTTTGTGACTCTCTTTAGCATTTGAATAATAATGTGATAATCCACATGCTCATTGGAAAGAGGATATTTTCATTATTCCTTAATATTAGCCAGGGATACTAGATAGCCGACAGCAGGTATTCATTTTCGTAGTCCAACTATTAACTTGTAAAAGTTTTTAATCATGAAAAAAATGGCAAATGATGACTTCCTGTTCCTATGCTTCTCGGAAGGACACTCTCAGGAACTTCTCATTGAACCCATAAGAAATGACACTAGATCAAGAAAGCTGCAGTTTTTTCTGTGTGATTCCTGAACTTAAATTGACTTAAAAATAGGTTGTGGGGAGTGTATTTTTTCTCAAAAACTCAAAATTGCTTAAACATATTATCTAGGCAAGAGAAAATTATGTAGGTAATAATCTAATATGGAGTTTTCCAGAATTCTAGGTAAATAGAAAGGTGAAGTTCATTGAAAGTGTCTTTTAAGATGGGCAGTCAACAACAACCAACCAGTGGTGTGCAATACACTGGAAAGACACCAAAAATAGAGCATGTATATGATCCCTGCTGTTCAAAGAATTTTCCGTCTATTGACTGTTGCACTATTTATTTGAAGAATCAAGAGAAAGAGAAAGAGAGAAAGAGTTTTTATTTTAACCACTATCTCAGTGAAATAAAAGTAATTATCATCACTAATTAATAAAAAAATCAAAAGCAAGAAAAGAACCCTAATCAATAATATCAACAAATTAGTATCCAGTGTTCTTGGGTGTTAGTACTAGACAGTCGGTCCCTTTTGGAACACAGCTTGAGACTTACAAATTGCAGTTAATGGTTCACAATATGACCAGTGGCATTAATGTGATACAAAAGTGCAGGTTAACTTTATTGTCAAAGACTGAAACCTTAACTTTAACCACTTTGTTTTTGGGATCTTGAGTCTTGAATAAGGGAACTTAGGTGCTTAAAAACCTGTAGGCCATGACCCTAAGCAATCTTTCTTACCTATGGTAGAAAGTCTCACTTAGGAAAGATCTTCAGCAATTGGTTTCAACTGTTTAGGACAGAAACTACTTTTACCACCTTTTGCCTCCTATCACTAAAGGCTGTCATGGCAACAAACACTCAGGTAATTTTTGGTATAAAATTATCACTGTTCCTTAGATTTTCCAATGTAGAGAAAAGTTCATTTCTAACTTGTGATTCTAAATATCACCACCATATTTTTATAGAGTATGCTTTGTTTCTACTGATTTCAGCAACCCAGGCTAGGATTTTCCAAACACAAACTATACCTTGTGACCAGAACAGTAGAGAAGAAGATGAATGAGGGGTCCTATTACTGTGCTGTAAGCATTTTACAGACTGAAATATGCAAGCCTTTGCCTCTTCATATTTATTAGTCTAGATTTTAGGAACATGTTACCCCTGGCATGATACTTCAAACACATTTTTGTAGGTTTATTACTTTTCACGTAGTTTACTAAAAATGTATTATAATCAGTGCAAAATTGGATGTTACCTGCTAATCTTATCATGTTTAAGGATGTTTTCTTATGGAGAAAAAGTATATTTGTGAGTTAGCCTAAATGGTTTATTTCACTCTTCTTAAGAGTGGCAGATAAACTTATAAGCAAGCATAAATAGTGTATCTATTAAAAACACACATGGCCTCCTATGACAGTGGCCACCAACCTGAACTGCACATCAGAATCATCAAGAGAACATTCTGAAAATACAAATGACCAGGCCAAACCCCAGGCTTTTAGGAATGGGGGCCAGAAATCAGTAATTTTTCAAGAGTACTGATGAGGATCTTGAATCACAGCTCGCCAAATTTAAGAGCAAAATTCTATAGTTATGCACTATTTTTGAGATATTTAATCTATTAAACTATGAGTGCATACTTTTAATCCTATATGGCAACTACCTCTAAGTAATATATCATGAGATTATTTATACCTCTTAAATATGCCACATTCATAATCATGCATATATCCCTCTCCCCCATTACACTGTCTCTTTGTATATTGTGTTTTTCTCATTTTGCCCATGAGCCAAGTGAACAGGGAATTCTGTCCTACTCTGTTCAGTACAATGCCTAGAACATTGGCACTGAATGACTGTTAAAAATAACAGCAGGAACTGCACATTGCTTTCCTATGCCAAAAATTTTTTCAGTGCAGGTATAGCAGGTTGAAAATTTACAGTCACAGATTATATGTGCAGGGGCATAACTTTTTATTGGTTTCTACAACTAAGTTAGACCTAGCTCTTAAGGCTCCAATTACAGTCAACACATAGAACTCAGAATTGTGCTGCCATGAAGCCTGTCTCTTTTAGATAAATATTTGATGAAACTGAATATTCTTCCATCCTGCTGGGAGGCTCACTGAGCATCCTGAATGGGTTACGTCCTCACAGCCTGGCCTCGCTGGCCTCTGATCTGTGGCTCATCCCTCCTGGTCGTTGGCACCTGCTGAGAGGTAGCCTGGCCTTCGAGTCTTCTATATGATCAACTGTTGATGACACCTGTGGTCTCTTCCACAGCCTTTGATCTTGAAGTGGGTGTACCTGTGTCCTCCATGCCCACCCACATGCCTCTTCCTGCATGTTTACAACTGCTGGGGAATCTTCACCTCTTCCTTCCTCCTCTAGCCAAGAAGTGAGGGGCTCTCTGAGGTCACTCATCCTCCACATCAGCTCCAGCCTGAATCAAGCCTACACTGGAGGTTTCTATTACAGGCTTGCTGTCTTCCCCAGCTTGGAATTTAGGCAAGAGATCTGGGATAGTTTCCTTACATATTTTATCTGGGTATTTCTATTGCCACACCAGGTATTGACCCTAGGAGTTGGTAGGATGAGATATGAACCTTCTGGTAGCACCAGTCATTATTTATACGTTGTTTTATAAACTGAGGTTCAAGAAATAATTTAGTGTTCATGGCCAGCATTTTTAAGTGAAACAGAAGAGGATATAGGCTAGGAAAGATCAAATAGAGTAGAATATATTACTGTAGTGCTTTGGTTTTCCTAATACTGTATCAGGAAGTAAACTGCAGTCACCCGATTTGGGGGGGTATTGGTCCCAGGACCCCCGCCCTGCCCCCACTGACGCTAACATCCATGGATGCTCATGTCCCCAATATAAAATCGTATAGTATTATAATATTTACATATAATTGCATATGCATATCCTCCCATATACTTTAAATCATCTCTAGATTACTTTTAATACTTAATACAACATAAATTGTTGCTATACTGAATTGCATTTTATTTGTATTACTATTACGGTATTGTTGTTTTTTTAAAATACAAACGTATATTCATTCGCTAATGTTTTCTTGAAGAAACAAGGTGGTTGTCGTTTTTAAAGGAATCTATTGATTGGAGTTCCAAGTTCTCTTTCTTGCGTAAACCACACTCATGGTGTGTTATCTATAAATTCCAATGTCAGTTTATTTAAATGTAGACATGCAAAGTAATTTGAGTCCAGAATCTTTCTAAATTTTCACCATTTTTCCAATTATTTACATTGGTCTCACCCACAGCTACTTTGGCAGCAACCTTAACAGCTCATGTCTATCCAACCTTTACACAGCTTACCATTTTATTTTTAGAAAAATGACTCTTGTTTTCTGCACTCATATTTCAGCACTTTTTGTAACATTTAAATTACGTAATTATAATTTCAAATTACACTAACATAAATAGATTTGAGGAAACGTCTAGAAAAGCTCTAGAATAGCTTATTGGTGTGAGAGTTCCTGTACTTCAGGCAGCCTGACTGTGTTTTCAGGGGGAATAAAGAGTGTCCCTTAAGCTGGTGAGTGGATTAGGTGGAATTTTGTGAAAGGACTTCAACTATACTGAGAGAAAAAAATAACAGACTCAAGATAAGATAAAGCAAAATGCAAGCTATAATAATTTCTGAAAAGCATTCCCATAGCATGACAACAGCATTTTTCTGATGGGCAAAGGACAAAGCAGAAGTGAAGACATTCTGGTTTCTAGACCCTGGTTAATTAGTAACCTTGGATAAATCAGCTAAACTTCCGAGATGTAGTTCAGTTCTTTTCTACTATAAAGATGGACTAAGTTTACATCAATTTCAAAAGCCTGTTATCCACACTTACCCAAGATTCTTGGGAGTAAACTACGGATTAGGTGAAAGGAGAGTGAATCACACTCCGTTTCCTAATCTATAAAAGGAGGGACTTGGGATTGGTCTGCAATTCCTCAGGTATGTTTTGCAGAACAGTCATAGCAGTCATTTCAAGCAATGGCTAGAGGTACTCTTCAAAAGGGTTCAAGGACCAGACTGTTTTGCAAAATGCTGTGGTAAAACCATTCAAAAGCTTTCTTTGCAAAACTTCGAACCCTTTTGTAGAGTAAGGCATGCTGTACCTCTAAGTGAGGATTATGATAACCAGCTTCCCCCAAACACATTGTGCCAAACCTCTTCTCACAGAATATCTCTCAGGACTAGAGATCCACATAACACACTTTGGGGATCTTCTGACATGGCTATTTTTATGGTCCTTTTCTAGTTCGAAATTCACTGCTTAGCTGGGGCCTATCGCATTGTCTCATTAAAACTTTTAACAAACAATTGATTCGAAATTTCCAGAGGGGCAATGGGAATAACTTTTAAAAGGCAAAACCTTGAACTAAGGAAGAAAGAGGGAGAGTTACCATAGCCTTCTTTAGATGTTTCCTTGTTACCAAGTAATGAATACCCCTCAAGTTGGTAATTATAAACAAATTTTTGTACGGAAATGGTATTGATAAGGGTGACTTCCCAATTCTCTTTATACTTTTTTTGGTTCTTCCCTTTATTCAGGTACATTTCTTTTCTTTTTTTTTTTTTTTTTTTTTTTTTTGAGATGGAGTCTCACTCTGTTGCCCAGGCTGGAGTGCAGTGGCGTGATCTCGGTTCACTGCAAGCTCCAACTCCCGGGTTCACGCCATTCTCCTGCCTCAGCCTCCCGAGTAGCTGGGACTACAGGCATCTGCCACCATGCCAAGCTAATTTTTTGTATTTTTAGTAGAGATGGGGTTTCACTGTGTTAGCCAGGAAGGTCTCAATCTCCTGACCTCGTGATCCGCCCAACTCAGCCTCCCAAAGTGCTGGGATTACAGGCATGAGCCACCATGCCCGGCCTATTCAGGTACATTTCAACTATCCTGGTTTATTTTTCTAATGTCAGGGTAAGAACTAGATAGAGAAAATGGAATAGATATTAAAATAATAATAATAATAATAATGAATAATAGGGCCAAGGTTTCTATTTAGAAACCCTACAAAGCCATGCATATTCAGTAGTCCAGAAAATGTATCTACTATGCCAAATGAGTGGGGTACATGCTTTTATTACTTTTATATTTTATGTACAAGATGTAAGTGAGCAAGATCCAAAGTAAGTCTTGAAAGACGGAGTGATCTTAAGGTTTCTTAAGGAGTGAAAAGCATTTTCAAACATTATCAATTAACATTTGTATCAATTATATTCCTTTATAAAAATAAAATATTTAATCTTAACAGCCTTGCTTTAATTATGAGGGCTGTGTGTCCCTCAAACACTGATTCATTAAGTGGTTAAACTATAGGAAATCAGGAGCATTTTCTCCTGGTTTGAATAGATTCTTTAATCATCACTAAAAACCCACCAAATGGTAAGTCCAAGAATGCCGATGATCAATGCTGTTACAGTTCAACTCCATAGACTTAGGCTCTGGGACGGGACTAGGTGAAACCCACGGGTTACATTTTGTCTTGGCTTAACCCCAGGCTTAAGGACTCCCATAAGAATAAACCCAACTTCTAAAATTCTATTTCCCTAAAGGGTTATGTCATTCTGAAGCCAAGCCAGCATTGCCATAGTGTTTGCAGACTTCCTTAGTGCCACCTACCACATCGCCACTATTGACCACAGAGCCATCAAAACTCGTCTAGACCTGATCTTGCACTGCTTGGCCCTTGGTGGGCTGTGGAGCAGTGCTACATGCCCTATTTGGCCCTTGTTCTGGGTAATCTCCTGAAAAAGGAGATCAGTCTAACATGCTATCATTCACAGCCATTGGTTACTTAGGGGATTTATCCCCACTTAATGTAAATGCTCCTGAGAGTGCATCTTCTCAATTCTGTTGATGGTGTAAAAGGAACAGAAGGAAATTCTCACTAGACTAGGGTCAGGAAGGAAAATTTTTCCTTAAGCCCAGAGTTTTAGGCTTGATTAATGATGTTTCCTTACGAAAGTAACCCATCTCTCTAGGAGATCATGCAAAAGAGACTCACTCAGGCCAGTATTCAGCCCCAGGATAGTGTCTCTTTGTTTTTTGCAGAATAGTTCTAGAAACACTAATGTTACTAACATTGCTGCCTTTGCCATTTCAATATTGCTATTTTTCCAATGAGGCATCTGGTATGAAACAAAACAACAAATTAAATGTTAGAGTCAGCTATTGTAGGAGGATCTTCTAAAATGTTTTTCATGGTACTATCACTTCCCCCTGAAAGGAATGGTCAACCTAACAAACTCACAGACATCTTAGATTTCTCCATTCTTCCTATAAAACATCCAACAAATATTAGACCCAGTGGAGTGAAATACATGCTGTAAATATGGCTCTTATTGTTTGTGGTTGTGTCTAGGGTTAAGAGAATTTTATAGTGTGATTCATCTGAGGTTTAAAAGATCTGCTGCAAAAGAACCCTAGGACCATTTTCCCCATGCATATTTGCAGCATGAATACTGTGCTAGTCATACGTAAATCCATGGGTGTCCATACATTATGCTTGTAATGTTATCTCAATTTTCCTGCTTCTAAAATGGAGGGATTTGGACTTAATTACAAATAATGGTTTTTGAAAAATATTTTTAAAAATACGATTGCATATCCTTTATTAAAAGGAGGTAGGTTTCTGTGATCTAATTGAGTCAATTACCACGTTCATGTTCCCAGTGAGCTTCACTTTCTACTGGGTTTGCTGTTCATTTCTTCAGCTCAGGTAGCATCTGTAAGCAGGTCATTGATTTTTCCATATTTCCTTCCCTCAGTACATCCCCAAATATCTCCATTCATTTATTTAATTCAGTCAGTAACAAGATTAGAGATAGAAAGATGTATGAGAACTGGTTCTTGCCTTCCAAGAGCGTGCAATTGAAAAGAGAGTACAGGGCGCTAAAGGAATATCTTAAACACAGTGTACACATGGTGAATGTTTCCTCACAGGCAAAGTGCTTCTGGGTCTCAGAAGAGAGGCAGATCACTCTCAGCTGGAATTAAGAGAGCTGATCACTCTCAGCGAAGGTTTCATGGAGGCAGGATTTGAATGAGTCTTAAAAGGTCTGTAGGATTCTGAGGGCTTCCCACTGAGAGGAAGGCTCAAGGCCAGGAAGACTCTCCCTAGTGTCCAGTCTAGAAATCACAAATATATGCATAGTTTATATATGAGAACTTGGGCTGATACACATGGAAAGATAGATTGGAGCCAGCTTCTGGAGGACTTTGAATGTCTGACTAAAACTAAAATGTCTTTTAGTTTTAGTCTTTAAAGCTAAACTAAAAGAAACATGGCACATTTATGAGTAGGTCATGCTAATGCACGGTGGGGGCCGAGCAGAAAGCAGATACAGTACTATAGCTCAGAATATGAGACAAGTACAGTAATACAAATTTGAGGCCAAGCCAGATCTATTGTGAAACTTATAGAAATTGAAAGAAGAGAGAAGATGGAAGAGAGATTCATTTATCCATCAAATGAGCATTTATTGAGCACCTACTGTATGCCAGTGTTTTCTAAACACTCATCCTTTATATAGCATCATCATGATTTTGGCCAGGTCCATTTCTACTGATGTTGTATTTTAACTTAATAGTTTTCCACAAATAGACTTAGTTTTATTTGAATACATTTGTTAAAAGCAACTCGATATTACTTCCATTTGCCTTGCCATTTGGGATAAAATTAACCTTAAAAAAAGAACAAGGAAAACAAAGCAAGTTACTCATTTCCAGGTAGATACTGTGCCCACTGAAGCCTGCTTAAGAGGGAGGAAAAACAAATGTTAAGGGGTGTTCAAAATACACAATCAATTTTTTCTGCTCTGCCTGAACTAAAAGGATTAAAAGAGAATGGAAATGGAAATAACTTTCTCACTGTGAAATTCAATGCTGGTATTGAGGTTCTGTGCTCTAGGCAGCTACTGTGCTGGGAAGTGGGAAGGCAGACATGCACTTCACTTTATTCTCTGAGAGCTTGGTGGAGCGGAAAGACAAGCCCACAAATGAATGTTGCAAAGTGTGAGAAGAAAAATCTCAGAGTACCACGGACACCTTAGGGGTCTGTTGGCCAACTGAGAGGTTGAGGCATTCCTATTAGACTTCTCCTTCAGCTCATTTTCACTTGGGAATTATATCCTAATTCTAGGGTTTAATTTAATTGCCACTCCATATGTATGGATTGCTTCCCTCTCATTGCTCAGAACTAATGTAATAACCCATTTGGTTTTCTGAAAAACACAATTAAGGAGGGGGAGATTTCTTAGACTAAGCAGAAATGTTAAAGTAAAGTGAAAATACCCCATGTAGGTGGTAAAATATTGCCACCCATGAGGATGTAGGGGACTGTGGGTCAGGTGTCAGATCCTTCTCCCTCACCATATCTATGTGCTGACATAGGTGAGCAATCACATGTCTCACAGCCAGCAGCATGGTGGCCAACATCCCTAGGGAACCAGCTCCAGGGTTCCTTCATGTGGTTCAGCTTTTATAGTATTGGGAGATTATAAAGCTTGTTATTGACAAGCAGTGGACGGGGTGTAAAGCAGAAAGTGTATTGTCCTTACGGGTAACCGTGGTCACCCCACAGTGGGAGAAGAGAGGATGAGAAGGAAGGAAATGAGTGTAGGAGACAATTGCAGAGCCTTACTAGATTTGGACAGAGCTCAGTGTGAAAAGTGAATGAGAGATGGTGGGCAGAGGAGCAGTTAAATTTTGAAGGATGAGTAGGAGCTGTGTAGGCAGGGAAGGGCATTGCTTAAGTGGAGGACGTAAGCACCATCCTCAAAGTCGTAAAGAACAGGGAGCCAGGGTGGGTAAGGAAAACTTCAAGTCGTTTGGTGGTTGCAGCCCAGGTTTGAGGGAGCAGCAGAAGGGAGTAGGGATGAGGGTGGAGGGCGTTCACAGCAAGATCACGAGGGGCTGTCAAGCTGCGCAAGGGTCCTAGTCGTCATTTTGAAGGGAATAGAGACCGTTTTGTGCAGGGAAGGGACATGATCAGATTTGGAAGTTAGAAAGATCATCCTGGAGGACGGAAAATAACGAGGTCGAGGGGGAGATGGGAGAGGCGAGGTGGCTTGGACAGAATATCTTTTAAACCATTTCTAAATATCTTTCTCCTTGTCCTTTTTGTTATCAGTACCCGAAACCAAATAAGGAATATCCAAAGGCGGGATTCTGTTACATCAAACTCCCACATTGAAGAAAATAGCTTTCTGAGGCCAAATTCTTTTTTTCCTCTAACCAACCCAATCTAATCTAACACAATCATGTGTGATTCCTCCTGCATCCCAAGGGCATAATGTTCCTCTTTTACAAGTCTTGGAGTATCCATTTATTTATGAGATACAAAAATGAGCCCACAAGCTGATAGGCTTTCTTCCACTCCTTTTGTTTTATTCATTCAGGGTTTACTGAGCGCTCACTCTGTGCCTGGCATTGGGGTAGTTGCTGAGCAAACAAGTCTGACTGTTAAAGAATTCTCGTTAGGAGGGAAGACAGAATAATGTGCAAATAACTACTCAGTAGTGAAGCAAATGTTTAAAAGGTGCTAAAGTGTTATTTCCAAAGGACCTGGTGCCCAGAAATACAGACATCTGTGCTGGAAAGTGGAGAGATAGTTGGGGGTCCTGAGGAGGGAGCTGATGAGAAACAACAATGTCGGTATCAGGGCAGACAGAATTGTCATCAGTTACCTCAAACTTCCAGTAACTCACAGGAGAGACACGCTGTGTTGCCAATATCAGATTCCCTTTCCACATCCCCTGTTCAATTATTTTATAAGCTTTGGGGTACAGAGTACATTTCTTCGGTACAGTCCTCCATTACTTATGGGTCCAGTCTTACAGCTTATCTACCTGCCACTGGATTCCAATCCTTTTTGCAGAGTTCATATTTGTACTTATAAACATTTGTCTCCACAATTTATTTCTTCAGGATTTTTTGTTTGTTTGTTTTTGGTTTTGTTTTTTGTTTTTTGTTTTTGCATATATGCCATGATGCAGAGCCATTCCCAGGGTCTAAACAAAAATCAACCTTGATAAAAAGTTTAAGTTACCTAATTCTAACAGGACACAGGATGTTGATCATGTTTTTAAAAAGGTGAAGTAGCAGCCAGCTATACGCCAAGGATCTTAGCAGGAAAACTTGCAATTTATAGCGCTGATTTTTCCTACCAAGCTTCCCCAGAGGAGAAAAACAGAGGGAGAGGGAGAAAAAGAACAATACATTTCTAAGCTCACACTGGCGGAAAGTGGGATAGTAAGAGAAGATGGCTTCCTTCTGGTTAAAGATGCTATGGTAGAAGGAAACTAGACAGAAATTCAAAGCAATGGGAAGGACATTTTCTGAAATTGGACCAAACCTGGATACAGAGTGTAAGGAGAATAAGAAAGCAATAGCAGCCCGAATTTTGAATCTCATTCCCTAAGTAAACATCCAAAAGGTTTCCTCAAATATGAAGTTAATGATTTTCCTGCAAGCAACATCCTTTTAACATTCTTGCTGTTGCCCAAAGCCACTTCTCTGACTTACACAGGTACCACTCATTCTGGCCACAGGCACTCTTGCCAGCGCCAGTTGATCATACTCAGATCTGGTCTGCTGGAATATAGGCTGCTTGTTTATTTGTCTGGGAGATGAAACTTATAACCATACTTCAGTGGAGTTTTTTCCTGACACAGATTTGGGTAAAGGAAGCAAACCCCTTCAGCAGTCAGAGGAAAAGCTGCCATGGGCGGAGGTTGCTAGACAAACACCTGTCAATGCAGACTGCCCATAGGATGCCACCCAGTGAAGTGTTCATTGTGGGCTCATTTCCCCCTCCTTATTTCTTTCACTTGACTTGCAGGTCTTTGCTCATAAGTGTAGTGTAGGATGCCTCCCTGAATGAAGTGAATTGCCTCCCACCCTGTGCCAACATAAGCAGATGGTGAGAAGTGGCCATACGGAAATTGAAAGCTGCAGGTTAAGCTGAGAGGTGTGAGCATTTTGTATGGAGAAGTTCATCATTTCCTCCAAATTGCTAGAATCCTTTACTTTACTTTACTTTACTTTAAATGGCCTATCTAAAGTGTAGATGATGTATGTAGTCAGCCTATGTACATGTCTCTGGAATATATATGGCTTCCATGGTTTCAATTATTGTCTTATTGGAGAATAATAATAATAATAGATGAATAACTTTATTTCTAGTTCATGTTGGAAAGCGTGATTTTTCTCTGGTGTCTTCTTATTATGCTTATGTTAAGGTATATTCAAGTTAAAGGACATTGCCTAACTGCACATCAGTGATAGCAAAGCAACAGATTTGCTGCACCACACAAGGTCAGCTTGCCACCCCCATCCCCAGCTGTGCTGTATGCAATTTATGCAGCCATATGCTGCAACCTTGGTAACATCCCATCACTGTGTTGAGTGACAAAAGGTAACATTTGTCATTGACAGTGTAGTGGTGCCTAAACTGTGAGCTCTGGAGTCTGACTTCCTGGATTAACTACAAGTAAATTATTTAACTTTCCCATACCTCATTTTCCTCCTCTGGGAAATGAAGATAATAAGAGTACCTGCTTCATAGGGCTGCTGTGATAATTAAGTGGGATAATACATATAAGATGCCTAGGACAGGGTTTACCACAGAGACATATCCATTTTTCTAATATTTTCTGGAACATATTGCTGGTCAAGCATCTCAAATACAAAAATCCAAAATCAAAAATGCTGTAGAATCCAAAGCTTTTTGAGCACCAACATGAAACTCAAAGAAAATTCTCATTGGAGCATTTTGGATTTTGGCATTTCAGATTTGGGATGCTCAACCAGTAAATAAAGTAAATTGCAAATGTTCCAAAACATGAAAAAAATCAGAAATTCGGCCGGGCGCAGTGGCTCACGCCTGTAATCCCAGCACTTTGGGAGGCCAAGGCGGGCGGATCACGAGGTCAGGAGATCGAGACCATCCTGGCTAACAAGGTGAAACCCCGTCTCTACTAAAAATACAAAAAATTAGCCGGGCGCGGTGGCGGGCGCCTGTAGTCCCAGCTACTCGGGAGGCTGAGGCAGGAGAATGGCGTGAACCCGGGAAGCGGAGCTTGCAGTGAGCCGAGATTGCGCCACTGCAGTCCGCAGTCCGGCCTGGGCGACAGAGCGAGACTCCGTCTCAAAAAAAAAAAAAAAAAAAAAAAAAAATCAGAAATTCGAAACACTTCTGGGTCCCAGGCATTTTGGATAAGGGGTACTCAACCTGTAATGAGTGCAAATTTTACTATACTTCCTCTTTGATAAATAAGCCAATGTTTTTGTAAAACTTTCAGTGCCTCCAAGTCAGCAAAGAGTTTATAAAAGATTGCTTACAGAAGGCAGTTAATATGTCATCACCTAAGACATGATACCATCATCAACATTTTATACACAATATATTTGTTTATTGTCTGTCTCCCAACACAAGAATATAATTGTCATGAAGCCATGGACTTTTGGAATTGTGTTCATTACTGGACCCCTGTTCCTAGAACTGTACCTGTCATTTAGTAGATGTTGAATAAATATTTGTTGGGAAAAAAAATACATGAATGTTAGCTCTTTTACTAGCTTTTGTGGATAACTGAGAAGTTATTTTCTGCATTGGCTCCCTTCTATATCAAGGTTAAAATTATTCACATTGTATCTACAGGTCTTGGTAGTGGAGAGAAAAGCTTGTGAGTAGCTACGGCCTTGAGCTTAGCAGCATTCCTCGGCCAACATTTTTGGCTTTGTAGGGGCAGAAATGTGTGATATCTTTCCTCACCTATCATAACGGTCACTCCTATAACAAAAGACAGGTTAACAAGAGAAAAGCATAATGAAGGTAATCAAAGTTTTATGTAACATGGGACTCCTCAGAAATGAAGATCCAAAGACCCAGGGAAAACTTTTTTTATTCTTCGGTTTGATGAAGAATGGACAGCGGTGTAGAAATGTGATGGACTAAAGGGTGTGATCTAATGCTGATAGACTGAGCAGGGAACCCAGCAAGGCCTGAATGTTCAAATTCTTCTTAACCTCTTTGTGTAACCCTCCTGAATATGGGGCAGGGCCCCTCTGGAATGAGGGTCTTCAAGGGAGAAGGGGGAAGGCAGAGAGTGACCTTTCTAGGTTTCACGGCTTCCCTTGGAGGAGAGGGGTTCTAGTTTCTGTGACACACCTTGGGAAAGAGGAATTATGGTTGCCATGACTCACTTCAAGGGAGAAAGACAGGTAGGAGACAGGAGGCTGGGAGAAGGTCAAAGAGACATAGCTTCTGAGACATTTCCGATGTCCTTCAGTCCACAGTACTCAGCACACCAAGGTGCCATACTTTGGGGTACCATGTTCTGAGTCTTGACAGCTTGTACAAAGCTGCTGAGTTATGAACATGATCTCAGGGCCACTGATCCATACCTGATGGTATGCATTCCCAGAGGGCAGCTTGCTGGTTAGCTTCTTAAACATCAAATGTTTAAGCTGGATGAGTCTTCTTGTATTAAAACGAGACAATATGATGAAATATGGTAGTATTATCCTTTTTGTATATTCATCTTTTCTTTTAGCAGCTAAATCTTTCTTCAAAAGAATGTCTAAAAGACGGTGGAGATGCATTGATTGACGGTGGTCTCTGCTGTGATGTTCCTGGCAGCCTAGCGTCTCTTGGTGCTTAGCAGGAAAGCTATTGAGGAGCAGGAATAGCATGTGCTTTAAGTCTTACAGACCTCAGTTGAAGTCCTAGCTTAGCTGCCTACTAGTTGTGCCCTGTGGGCAAGTTATTTAACTTCCATGAACCTCAGTTTCTTCATCTGTGAAAAGGGAAGAAACCATGTCACACTTGCAAGCATGAGAAGGAGCATATATCAAGTTTTCAGCACATACATGTAATAAGCCCATTAATAAAGCAAAGCTTGTATTTTTTCTAGATTCAAAAATACTAGTTAGATAATTCTGTAGCTTACCGAGTGGCGTTGTTGCTCACTACAGAAAGAGAAAAAATCTTCCCTCCTGGCAAGAGTGGATTAGCAGCCTGGTTCTACCCAAAATGTCCTTGTCTTCAGTGACATACCGAGAATTTGGCGTGGACTTTTCAACAACAGTTTCTTCAATCGTTGCCATTGTAGTTCAGGAGCCTCTAACTGTGGAGGAGGTTGAAGAAGGACAAATGAGCCCCAGGACAGATGCGGCCTGTGTGCTGCGGATGAAACAGCAAAGCAGGCTTTAGCAGTCTTCATTAACTGCTGGTCCAATACTTCCCCATCAGCACAGTGGCTCTGCTCTGTACGGTGCTGGCACCAACAATGCGTTATTCCCAGTACAAAAATAGTCATTTTACTTATAAATTGTCACACTTTTCCCATGAAAATATCTTGTTTACCGAGCAGGAAAATTCCCATTCATGTATTTATTTGGCTAACATTTATCGAATGCATCTATGCGTTGGGACATCCAGCTGATTCTGATGCAAACTCGAGTTTGAGAACCATTGTCACAGTCAATGGATGATATCAAGTGAGGGAAAAAGCATATTGACATATTTTACATAATACAGAGGTATCTGGATGTAGATTTGCTACCTCTACTACAATTTGTTTCCACGAGAGATTAAAGTGGTTTATGAGATGATGATGATGATGATGATGATGTGTGTGTGTGTGTGTGTGTGTGTGTGTGTGTGTGTGTGTAATAAACATCCAAGGGAAATACAATGATAGTAGGATAAAAATGGAAAAGTACTAAAACCATCATGATTTTGCCATAGCTTTTCCTGATAACCTTCCTGGTATTCAAGCTGGTGGAGCACGCACTGCTCGAAGTGGAAACATACTCATCTTACAAGAGTAATAGCACCTGCACGATTAAAGGCAGCTGTTAAGCACACAGTTTTGTTAATACTGACACCTGAGAGGAATTTACCACATGGCACTGCACTCTTTGCTGAGACAGGCAACATCTCGACAGTAAAAACCATAGCAAGTATAAATGCCTATTTCGTATAGTTCCCTTACATAAGCTAGTGGCTTAACATCTAAGAGCAGTTGAAAGGGACAAACAAGGAGGTCAACTCTGTAGCTCTCAGACAATCTGGCCAACATCTGAATAGTATCATCAAAGATCATATCAGAGGTAGAAATGGAAGGCCTTGAAAAAGTAAGAGGAGTACTCACTTCAGCAACACATATGCTAAACTGGGAATGACACAGAGAAGATTAGCATGGCCCCTGCACAAGGATGACATGCAAATTCATGAAGCATTCCATATTTTTAATCCGAAAATTCATACAGAATCAAAAAAGAGCCTAAACTGCCAAAGCAATACTAAGCAAAAAGAACAAAGCTACAGGCATCATATTACCCGACTTCAAATTATACTACAAGGCTATAGTAACCAAAATAGCAAGATACTAGCATAAAAATAGATCAATGGAACAAAAAACAAAACCCAGAAACAACTGATCTTTGACAAAGTAAACAAAAACATACACTGGGGAAAGGATACCCTATTCCATAAATGGTGCTAAGAAAATTGGATAGTCATGTGCAGAATGAAAACTAGACCCCTATTTCTCACTGTATACAAAAATTAACTCAAGATGGCTTAAAGGCTTACATGTTAGACCTGAGAGAATAAAAATTCTAGAAGAAAATCTAAGAAAAACTTCTGGATGTTGGCCTAGGCAAAGAATTCATGACTAAGACCTCAAAGACATAAATGCAACAAAAACAAAAAATAAACAAATGGGATTTCAATTAAATTAAAAAGCTTCTGTACAGCAAAAGAAATACTCAGACCACTTACAGAATGGGAGGAAATATTTGCAAATTATGCAACTGACAAAGGACTAATAACCAGAATATACAAGGAACTCAAGCAACTCAACAATTTCAGAAACCAAATAACCCCATTAAAGAGTGAGCAAAGGACATGAACAGATATTTTTCAAAAGAAGACATATAAGTAGCCAATAAACATATGAAAGAATGCTCAACATCACTAATCATCAGAAAAATGCAAATTAAAACCACAAGGAGATACCATCTTACACCAGTCAAAATGGCTATCATTAAAAAATCAAAAAATAACAGACGTTGGCAAGGATATGGAGAAATGAGAAAATGTCTATACACTTTTGGTGGGAATGTAAATTAGTATAACCTCTATGAAAAACATATGGAGAGTTCTCAAAGTACTAAAAGTAGAACTACCATTTGATCCAGCAATCCCACTACTGGGTGTCTACCTAAAGAAAAAGATACCTGCACTCATGTTTATTGCAGCACTATTCAGAATTGCAAAGTCATGGAGTCAACCTGTGTTCACCAATAGATGATTGAATTGTTCTTATTATTATTATTATTATTATTATTATTATTATTATTATTTTGAGATTGAGTTTTGCTCTTGTCGCCCAGGCTGGAGTGCAGTGGTGCAATCTCGGCTCACTGCAACCTCCACCTCCCAGGTTCAAGCGATTCTCCTACCTCAGCCTCCTGAGTAGCTGGAATTACAAGCACCCATCACCAGGCCCAGCTAATTTTTGTATTTTTTTAGTAGAAAGGGGATTTCACCATGTTGGCCAGGCTGGTCTCGAACTCCTGACCTCAGGTGATCCACCCGCCTCAGCCTCCCAAAGCGCTGGAATTACAGGCATGAGCCACCACACCCGGCCAATGATTGCATTTTTAAATGTGGTATATATACACCATGGCATACTGCTTAGCCATAAAAATGAGTGAAGCCATGTCTTTTGCAGCAACATAGATGGATCTGGAGGCCATTATCTTAAGTGAAATAACTCAGAAAAAGAAAGTTAAATACCACATGTTCTCCCTTAGGAGATAAATAATGTGTACACGTGGACATAAAGAATGGAATAATAGACATTGGAGACTCAGAAGCATGGGAGGGTGGTGAGGGATGAGAAATTACTTAATAGGTACAATGTACACTTTTTGGGGGATGGCTACACTAAAAGCCCAGCCTTTACTTCTACACAATGTAACAAAACTGCACTTGTATCCCCTAAACCTATAAAAAATTATATATATAAATATATATATTTATATATATTTATAATTCTTTATATATATAAAAAGCCAGAGGAGAAAGTGGTTAGATTTGAACAAAATATGGAACAGGAATTGCACACTGTCCTAAAAACCTTGTCTTTGAAGAATGTGCTGCTCTGAGCCAGCTACACCTCCTAAATTGAGATGTTTTCACACTCCTTAACTCTTGCATCTTCCAGACTTCTTTTTTCCAAAGGCTTTCACTTGGTGCATTATATATGCGACATGTACCATACAATCTAGCACTTGATTAGATTCTGACTTGTATTGTTTGCTGATTGTTCACGTTTATGTGATTTATTTTCTCAACTAGATCGTAAATTAGATGAAGCCTATCATCTCCATGATTCCTTTAGTCAGGGAATATTTTAAGAAGGAGGCTATATTTGTACCTACTCTTCAAGAAGGGATAAGAATTTGTATAGAGAATGGAAGTGAGTATTTTAGAGAGCATGAAACACAGAGTCAATGGGGAATGTGGCATGTGGGGAAGAATACAAGGAGCCCAGTGTCACTGGAGCTGAGCTGTGTGGGGTATGGGGTGGGGAGACAGGGCTGTCTGGCAGATGGACGCCGGGTCAGGGAGCCTCCCACCTTGAGTCACATTCAAAGGCTTAGATTATATTGAAAAAGTGTAGAGGGTCTGAGAAGAATTTAAAGTGAAAGAATGGCATAATCAGGTAACAAAGATCATATTACAAATAATACTCTTAGCAGTATGAAAGACTGTGTGTGTGTGTGTGTGTGTGTGTGTGTGTGTGTGTGTGTGTGTGTGTGTGTTTTAGAGGTGATAAGAACAGTCATTATGGCCTAGTGATTAAGAACATGCTGTGTTCAAAATTTAGTAACAATGGCTGGATACGGTGGCTCATGCAGGTGATCCCAGCACCTTGGGAGGTTGAAATAGGAGAACTGCTTGAGGCCAGGAGCTCGAGACCAGCCTGGGCAGCATAGTGAGACCCCCCATCTCTACAAAAAAATGAAAAAAATTGTCCAGGCATGGTGGCACATTCCTGTAGTCCTAGCTGTGCAGGAGGATTCCTTAAGCCCACGAGTTCCAGGTTACAGTGAGCTATAATCCTGGGCATCAGAGTGAGATCTTCTCTCTAAAAAAAAATTTAAAAATTACTAAATATATTATCTCAGACAAGTTATTTCCTCTTTAAAAGTCTGTTTTCTTATCCAGAGACTAGTCCGTACCATATTGGGTTGTTTGAGATTAAAATGAGATCATGCATTTAAAGTGGACAACACGTGCCTGGTATATAGTTATGATTCCTAGAGGCAGAGACCATTCCATTTTTATTCACTTGATATTTATTGGTTACTACTTTGTTTTCCCAACCAAGTCTAGATGAGAAATAAGGAGTAGACTTGAGGGCTTAGGGCAGCTGGAACAGAACCAGGAGACCCATGATACTATTCCTAATCAGCTTTGGGAGTAGAGCCAAGAGTGGACACCGGGAATTTGCCATGGCACCAGTCCCATCCCCAGCGACACTCAGCAGCCTCTGTGTGGAAAGACAGAAGGACAGTAGCATCAGTCCTTGATGTATATTGTCCACAGTGAGTGAGGTAGAAGGATCATAGAGCAAGGGACCTGAGGGGGCTAACAAAAAAAGTTTGACCTGCTGTCTCTCCTAGGCTGGCAAGGGAGGAAGTGAAGACCACTAGGGATGGATGGAATGGGAGAAGAGGGCAGAGCTGAGGAAACAGTGTATGGAATAAACTGTCATGAGAACCATCAGAGGGCAGGAAAAGTGGGAGCAAGAGAACAAGAAAACTTATGAGACAGGAAGTTGAAGGTGTAATGTTAAGAATCTTCAATTCTTGCTACAGTGCCCAGTGCACTGCATGTAATAATAGCTATTCAATAAATAGTTGTTGAATTAAAGTCATATGTATTGATTTGATTTGACTTCATGCTCAGTACAGTCAAAGACTATTTGGCTGATAACTTACAGGCCAACACTCTTATCTGCCAAAACTTAATCCAGAAATAAGCTGGCGCAGTGGTGCACATCTGTAATTCCAGCACTTTGGGAGGCTGAGATGAGAGGATTGCTTGCGCCCAGGAGTTCAAGTCTGCAGTGAGCCATGATTATGCCAATGCACTCCACCTTGGGTGATACAGCAAGACCCTGTCCCTAAAAAAATAAAATGTAATACAAACAAAAATACTTTAATCCAGAAACAATGAATGCCATCATACTTCCTTCTCTATCACAGCAAAAAATATTTCAGAAAGTTGACTGGATGTGGATTTGTTTGTTTAAAATTTAAGACTGGGGGTAGAATTCTAAAAGACAATAAAAACCAGTTCCAAAATGAAAAAAGTTAAAAGGGTCAGATTGCTAGATGTGTGAAGAGTCAGAATAAGGCACTTTAAAAATGATGGGAAGACAGAAGCAGAAGGAAGGGGCAGTGTTTGAGGAATTACAAATCTAATTCCCATTAACAGCAACTATTGCAGAGGTCAGGGCAGGCCAAACTCACTGAAGGAAAAATACTCTGTAAGGTTTCAAAAACAGCCGATTGCAGAGATTGTCCTTCTCACTTCTTACATGGTATCTGACCACCCCTCTCTCATGCAGGCACTGATGATAGTTTTCAAAAAGTGAATGTATAATCTGAATTAGCATGCATAATGTATCCAAGCCAATAAATACTTAAATGGGTATAAAGCTGTATGAGGATAACTTAGCCAATTCTGTTGGGGCCACTTCAGAGACTGACTCACATTGGCCCCACTTGGATGTAGACCACAGTGGTGGAGGTTCTGTATGCTTGCAGTTACCCACTGGGCAGGAGGGTCCCCTTTACTTGGATGAGTAAGCTTTTGTGGGCCTGCCTTGGTTCTGCTGCAGATGACCACAGAGTCTCACCCTCTGGGCAGGGAGCCAGGCCTGACTAGACCTACAAGGCCATTAGGCAGCTTCTGTCTGTTTCTTTCGCTGGGGTTCCATGGACTCTGGACTGGCTCCTCTCTTCCCTCCACACACACTCCCTCTGTAGGGCCCATGGCTAACGCTGCCCCACAGTTCAATAGCATCAACTCTGGCTTCCAGTGGGGCCGACATGGGCCCTTCCTTTACTTGACCTTGAAGCTTACCAGAGTCCAGTGATTCTAGGAACATCCCCACCTAGATTTCCCAAAGTGAGCATCTCATTAGCTCAGTGAAGGCTCTGCATGGATGCCCCTGAGTCCAGTCTTCCATAAGCTCAGAAAATGTGGTGATCACCTTCAACAGTCCTGGCCACAGGGTCACCAGGAGATGCTGTGAGTAGGGAAGAAATTCCCAAAAGCAGGTGTCAGCTGAACAGCTACCACAAAAGGGCTTAATGTCTGCACTTTTGGGGTCTCAGCACTAAGGAAAGTAGATTTGTACAGCAAACTTGGTAAGAAGAGCAACAGCTTTTAAAGAAAGAGACTTTATAAGAGAAAATTTGATTCAGGTAAATATATATATATATATGCATGTATGTATATATAAAATCTGGCTGTGAAACAAGTTGTATAGAATATGCCAGAACATGTTCACAAGACTACTCAGCTAGTCATGAGCAATCTAGACAAAAATAACTTGGTTTCATCAGAGGCTATTTCCACTGCTCCTTTTCAAGTTGTATTGTCATATTGTTTTGATTGTCATTGTTTTTGTGTTTTTCCATCTTCCATCACGGCTGTCTTTAGGTACCATTAAACAGGTTTATTCTGTCATCATTTCTTCTTTCTCCTAGATTCATCAGTAGTTTGCAAGTTTTTCCCAACTTTTTTTGGAGTAAACGCTGATGGGTTTTTCTCTTCTCTGTGAATATTCTACCCCCATCAATTGTACCCGCATAAGACAGGCTGTCCCCCTGCTGCAGCACCTCCTGAAGGGCACTGTCCATGGCTGGTTAAGGTAACCACATTCTCCTAGCTGGCTCCCAAGGGAATTCATCTGTCCATTTAGCCGAGATAACCAACCCTCTCCTGAAAATCCAGATAAGAACAATTCCATAGGAAGCATATCTCCGAGGTCCCATAGAGTCAGCACAGGCATATTTGAACTCTGTCAGTCCAAAATAAGATTAGGAGATTTTATCGTTTACTGCCTGGATTATCTTCACATAAAAATCACTCCTAAATCCTATGACATTTTGCTCAACCACCAATATCAATAATGACCTATTAATCATTTTTCAAAGAACACTACCTTCCACCTTTTTATTCTCAAAAACTGTTATGAAACCACTTTTTAAAAGCTTTGTATGGAGATGCAGGTGATTGTAATTGTGCTGCCTACTGTGACCAAATTGGAGAAGATTTCAGTTGAGTCGTTGGTTTTTTTTTTTTTAACAATACCATATCTTTTGAAAAGGAAATGCCTCCGAAGGCATTTATTTGTAGGAGCAGACTGATTGACAGAGGTATTCACAGACGAAATCAAACTGCAGATGATTAGGACAGCAATTAATGTTAATGAAAAGCCAAAATACATTCTGCATCTATAAAATGGCTCAGCATTGTACTTTGAGTAATATAATTGGTATATTTCAGAATGTGCTTATTCAAAGGTGTTCTAATAGTACTTGTATAATTTTAAGCACACAACGCATGAAAATCTTCAAGTAAGGAAGCCTGGAAAAGTGAAAGAACATGACATTGAGTTATCATCTTCAGGTACAATTTCAAAAGGTCAGAAAATATCCAAACAGTGGGCATTTGGACAATGTTAACTCACATTCTCACCTCTGTTAAGTTTTCTGTTTACTTCTTTTTTTTTTTTTTTTTTTTTTTTTTTGAGATGGAGTCTCACTCTGTTGTCCAGGCTGCAGTGCAGTGGCGCGATCTCGGCTCACTGCAAGCTCCGCCTCCCGGGTTCACGCCATTCTCCTGCCTCAGCCTCCCAAGTAGCTGGGACTACAGGCGCCCGCCACCACGCCTGGCTAATTTTTTGTATTTTTAGTAGAGACGGGGTTTGACCATGTTAGCCAGGATGGTCTCGATCACCTGACCTCATGATCCGCCCACCTCGGCCTCCCAAAGTGCTGGGATCACAGGCATGAGCCACTGCCCCCGGCCGTTTTCTGTTTACTTTTACGCAAAAGTGCCATGGTTTCATTTTTTAGTAGTAAGAACCATTTTCTTATTTTAAAAAGTAATAATTTAAAATCATCAGCCTGTTGGGCATTCATCATTCTCAATCTCTGTAGAATTGGGATTTATTATAAGTAAACGGGAAAATTAATTTTGTTCTGTCTAAAAAAAAATGTCATGTATGTGTTCAGACTGTGGTTGGAGCATGCATGTGTGAGCAAGGAGGTCTGAATCAGGAGACACTGCCGTAGCTGGCCAGGACATTGTCCTCCTCTCTTGGTATACTCCTTCTTTTCTTCCAGTCTTCTCTCATAAACTGCTCTTGCAAGAAATCATTGCTTCTTTGAGATCTTTTTGCCCCTCCCCACTCCCACATGTATTCTCTAACTACAGCTAGAGAAATCTTTAGCACAAGTGTGACCATGCCACTGTCTTGTTTAAATTCCTCTAATGGATTACCACCACCTGCAAATACAGTGCTGCATCCTGACATAGCTTCACCAAGGGTCTCATGATTTTGCCCTGACTACCTGTCTCACTTAGGAACAGGTGCAGGTGCAAGGTTCAGTACACAAAATTACAGAAAGCAAAATAACCGCGAGCTATTTTGTCTCCTCTCTCCACACAGACTCCCTCTGCAGAGCCCTTGGCTAAAGTTGTCACGTGGTTCAATAGCAAGGGACTCTGGCTTCCTATGGGGCCAGCGCAGGCCCTTCCTTTACTTGATAAGATAAGGAAACAAGATAAAGGTCTATTTTTCTCTCGACTAAACAAAATGCAGAGGTGCACATCCAGGGCGGATATGGCACTCCGCTGTAGGTCAGAACCTTTATCTTTTGTTTCTCTAATCCTCAAACTGTAACTTCCACCTCATGGGAAAGATCACTATTCACCCAGCCCCCACAGCTGCGTTCCAGCCAGAGAAGGGGTAAAGAAGCGTATGCCCCTCACTTTAGAGATGTTTTCCAGAAATCACACATGCCGTTTCAAGTTATGTTCCATTGGCCAGCATAGTCACCCAGGCACATCTAGGGAGAATGGAAAATGTAGTCATTGTTCAGGGCTGCTTGTACTTTTCAACAAGAAAATCTTTTCTTTCTCTTTAGTGGTATGTTATAACCTGGCATGGACAAGCTTCTGGCAGGTGGAGGGATGCCAAAAAGTTGACTTGAGAGATAGAGAGTTAGAAGGATGATCATTTAGAGGCTGGGAAGGGTAGTTGAGAGGTGTTGCTAAGGTGGGAGAGTGAGGATGATTAATGGGTACAAAAAAAATAGATGCAAGTCCGAATGAATGATAAGATCTAGTATTTGATAGCACAATAGGGTGACTATAGTCAATAATAATCTAATCGCACTTTTAAAAATAACTATAAGAGTATAATTGCATTGTTTGTAACAAAAAGGATAAATATTTGACGTGATGGATATTCCATTTACCTTGATGTGATTATTAAACATTATATGCCTGTATCAAAATATCTCATGTACCCCAGAAATATATACATGACTAGGTACCCACAAAAATTCAAAAAAGAAATTTTTAGGACAGCTTGACCCTGAAAAGATTCATGGAGATTTCCTCTTCCTGATGTCTCCTCAAACAAGAACACAGTGCCCCTGTTCTCCTGGGCAGGGTCCACCACTTTCTTTCTAAAGTAAGTCGCAATTGCCTGCCTGTCCATCCTCATGGGGTAAGACAGAGGAGGGCCTTCAGTATGCTCTTATTTCTGCATGTAAAGAAAAATCAAGAAAAGCAGCTCTAAATAAAGACATGCACAAAAATCAAAATGGAATAAGGACTTGCCAGCTTTGCAAGACTATTTCCCCTTTGTCAGCATCTTCTAATATGTGGTGTGTTTGTGTTTTCCTTGGGTCTAATAAATTACCTACCTTGAAAATTTCCTTTACAGTGCTGGATTATTCTTGTTTTGGTCATCATCTGGACAGTGATAATTCTGCTCCAGGTGTTGGAACTCTGGAAAAACTGTGCATCTCACACTCTGAGCTTGTCTCATGGCTGCAAACAGAGTCAACAAATTATCCAAGCAAAAAAATCAGGAGACATGGTACAATGGTAAAATTGAACTTAGAAGGACAATAAAACAGAATGTTGAAGTCACAGCGAACAAGAAGAAATTAGAGCTAATCACTGGTAGTCACAGAAACCCTCATGAAGACATGCTGACCACAGTCCCCATCCTTGCTCAAAGAACAAGGCCTGAAAGGCAATTTCCCTCTCTATTTCCAGCAATTGTTATCATTACTTAAAATCTAATTGAGAGGCTAGCATCCTCTTTTTTCAAGAATGCATAGAAGAATGAGAATTGTTATTTATCTCTTTTCATGTTTTTTTGTGGCTAGGTCATGAAGTGCATACATTGAATCCCTAGTGGCCAAAAGGCTTATGACATGGCTCTCACAATATATCATAAGCCCTCTGACCACTAGGGATTCACTGTAGGCATTTGGTCGTCTTTGCAGCAGCAGGCAAGGAAGCTTTCTAATGATGCTCTTGGTCACACCACAGGTGGCAGCAAGTGGTACCCATGGATACAACTTATAAACATTAATTAGGAGAGGGGGGAAAAAAGAAGTGACAGAGATAAATGTGCTGGAAAGGGAGTTTAAGAGTAAGGCAAGAGGAAAATGAAGAATGAGAGAAGGAAGAGCAGGACCTCCATAGTAGGTGCCACCAGCAATTGTCTACCCATTGCCAATGGCCTTAGGATTTTAGATCATTTGCCCTTGCTCACCAAGAAGTCACAGAATGTGTTTTCTTTTATAATCACAAATTGACCTATTTTCATTTTAAAATGACAAGACGATAGAAGAGAGTGTAAGATTTGTTACAGAAAGGGCCATGGTATTAAGTTGTTTATTTGGCCTTGACCAGAAAGATAGATTTAGCATTTAGAAATGTTTATTGCCATTTTTTATGACCTTCTTTTCCCACATCATAGAGAAAAAAGATCAAGATCTCAATATCTCTTTTACAAATACAAGTAAGGAAGGAGGAATGTTAGCTTATTTATTCTGGATGCAATTTGTTACCCTCCAAGAAAATAGAGGTGCTTGTCCTGTGCTGAAAATAGCCCAGTTAAATTTTAGTAAAAAACACACTGTGTATGATTAATTTACAGAAATTATCATTGGTTACATCATTTAACTTAAATCATCATTAGTGGCCTTAAACAGCTCTTCGTTTGCTCTGCTTGTCCTCAGGTAACGTCATCTTGCATGGAATGTTGCTCACATATTAAAGATAATTAAATACTGAATACCTGATTAAAATAATCTTGTATATTTTGGAGTAAACATGTATAATTCATGTTTTCAGCTCTTGCCAGTTTCACATTTTATTTAGCAGAAAATATCTACCCAAGATTCAAACTGCTTGAGAAGGAAAGTTCGAAACATTATTCCACATCATTTTATATATTGAGATTCTACTATATGTGATCATAAAAGTTAGTATGTGTCTATAATCCTAATAGAATCTTGTTTTTGCTTTTTATAAGTCTGTATTTGAAAGGCAAAAATGTCCTCAGTGGAACCTGATTTGTAGAGAGAGACTTTCTTATGCAATGGATTTTTGCATCTAAGTTAGTTTGTGCCACAGTTTTGCTAAAAACACATACTTAACCCTCTTACATTCTTCCTTGCCACAGCCTACTTTTAGGACCATAACTTCATACAAAGCAATCCCAAGGTTTTCTGTTTCATTAGTCTGTCACCAGTGGACACGTTTTTTACCTATCGGTTCTTCCTTATCCACAGGTATCATAAGTCCTGAATTCCTTTTTTGTCCCTTCAAGAGTCAGTTTCTCTCTCTCTTCCAGGCGGATTGCCCTCTGTCTAAGCATCCTGTAGTCAGCAGGTTAGGCAAACTCCCCAGACTTTACTTCCAGACAGGTAGAACGGCAGAAGGTACGATATTGCCCAGTGAGTTGCAGAGTTAGAAGTCAAAGGTATATAGGTCAGAAGGAGTGTTCACCAGTCTGCTTCCTGCCTTGCTCTGAAGACTGGTCTTTGGAATGGTCACCCTGATGGAATGGTCCCCCCAACTATTGGGCATCTTTCCTTGGCCTTGCCCAGCCTGGCCTTTGCCACACAGTCATGTTTTCATTAAACAGATGCTACTTGAATCACACTATGAACCACTTTGGGAAATTTTGCATTAATGCATTAAGTAATTGAGTAAATATTCTACTAACTTAATTCCCACTATCCACTAGGATAGCACTTTGCCAAATACTAGGTGGGTGAAACATAGTCCCTACCCTTAAGGACGTCACAATTTAGTAGACTAACAAATTTTGAGTGACTGTACTGATTAAAACCTTTCATCATTATTCCTGAATGGTCAATCCAGAAACTGGGAGACAGGAGGAAGAAAGGAGCTTCACAAAGCATGGATAGAGATTGCCAACATTGTCATGAGCGCTCCCAGATGCAGTATGTCTCATGGAATAGACAAGACCTGGCCTCTCAAAAATCTTTTTTCATGAGGTCCAGTGTGGGTGTTTTATATGTTTGTTTGTTTTTGTTTGTTTGTTTGTTTGTTTTGAGATGGAATCTTGCTCTGTCACCCAGGTTGGAGTGCAGTGGCACGATCTCGGCTTGCCGCAACCTCCGCCTCCTGGATTCAAGCAATTCTCCTGCCTCAGCCTCCCAAGTAGCTGATATTACAGGCTCCCGCCACCATGCCCAGCTAATTTTTGTATTTTTAGTAGAGACGAGGTTTCACCATGTTGGCTAGACTGGTCTTGAACTCCTGACTTCAGGTGATTCGCCTGCCTCGGCCCCCCAAAGTGCTAGGATTACAGGCGTGAGCCACCGCACCCAGCACTATATGTTTTGTTTCTTAATTAAACCACATATCTATCTCTCTAGGAATATCTGAAATGACATTAGTGATATTTTAGAGAGTCATGTTGGCTTTCCAAGATGACTCTTTATATGGCAATTTTTGTATTGTAGGAAGTCTTGAAAGAAAATCAGGCTGTCAGAAGGAACTTGGTCAGGCACTGACTCTAACACTGTTTTGGAGTCCAGAGAAAATACTCTGCCCTGATGGAATAGCAGCCTCTGTTAGTTACTAAAACTCCGGAAGATCCGAGCTTGGAAATGGACTGAGATACCCTACATGGGATATGAATGAGTGACTTTTCCCTGAGGCTGAGCTATTAGGTCTGGGGTCCTTCACTCATGTCCTCAAGAACTTTTCAAGGGCCATCCTTTGGTCATTTTGCCATCGGCTATTAACTTTTTTTTTTTTTTTTTGAGACAGGGTCTCATTCTGTCACCCAGGCTGAAGTATAGCGGTGCATTCACAACTCATTGCAACCTCAACCTCCTGGGCTCAAGCAATCCTCTCCCCACTTGAGTAGCTGGGACTACAGGCATGCACCACCACTCCCAGCTAATTTTTTTTTTTTTAAAGACTGGGTCCCACTATGTTTCCCAGCTTGTCTCAAACTCCTGGGTTCAAGCGATTCTCCAACCTTGGCCTCCCAAAGTGCTGGGATTACAGGCGTCAGCCACCACGCCTGGTCTTGTGCGTAAATACTCAACCAGAAACCTTAAACTAGGAAGAAGAGATATATGATCCTCAAATTAGCCTAGTCAAGCTTAACTTGTTCTCTGTTTGTTTAGAGAAAGCTCTTGACCCTCAATTGACAGAAATACCTGGGCAGATTTTCTCTACATTTATGATTTATTTGCCATATCTTTACTTTTTCCCACTCTGAGTAACCTGGGGGGATTGTTTGTGTGGTGAAGTTGTTCCTACAGAATTCAAAAAGGAAAACATGCAACAGAAGACAGAGATATCCTAAAGATACGAGGTGCCATTGGCTTCTATTATTCATCTTAGTGTTTGTTTGTTTGTTCTGAGACAGACGGAGTCTTGCTCTGTTGCCCAGGCTGGAGTGCAGTGGCACGATCTCGGCTCACTGCAAGCTCCGCCTCCCGGGTTTATGCCATTCTCCTGCCTCAGCCTCCCGAGTAGCTGGGACTACAGGCGCCTGCCACCATGCCTGGCTAATTTTTTGTATTTTTAGAAGAGACGGGGTTTCACCGTGTTAGCCAGGATGGTCTCGATCTCCTGACCTCGTGATCCACCTGCCTCGGCCTCCCAAAGTGCTGGGATTACAGGAGTGAGCCACCGCGCCCGGCTCATCTTGTTTTTTAACTCACATTTTCATTCACACTTATGGAGTGCTATTACTGTGTGCTTACATGGCTGGATCGACACTAGGTCGGGGTACATAATGAGACTAATAGACTGGGAGGCAAGGAACATAAGCCGGAAGAGAGATCCTGAAGCAAGCAACTCTGTAGGTTCTGGGGAGTGAGTTTCAGATGTGGTGGAAACACAAGAGAGGAACTAATTCTCTCTGCTAGGAGAGCCAGCAGAGGTTTCCTAGAGGAACTGAGCCCCTCTCCAGTTCTATCTTTAACAATTAACATGTAGAGACTAGCCTGACCAACATGGTGAAACCTCATAAATACAAAAATTAGCCAGCCATGGTGGCAGGCACCTGTAATCCCAGCTACTCTGAAGGCTGGGGCAGGGGAATCACTTGAACCCGGGAGAGAGAGGTTGCAGTGAGCCGAGATCGTGCCATTGCACTGCAGCCTGGGCAACAGAGCAAAAACTCCATCTCACAAAAAAAAGAAAAAGAAAAGAAAAAGAAAAAAAAGAATAAGACCCAAGAAGCAAGAGAACGATACATCCAGTTATTGGGGTCATAGAGGGAAGGAGAGTTATTGTTTCAAATAATTTAAAAACAATTTGGTTTTTTTTTAAATATAGTTTTCTTTTCCTAGTTTTCTTTTTCTTTTTTTTTTTTTTTTTTTTTTTCTGAGATGGAGTCTGGCTCTGTCCCCCAGGCTGGAGTGCAGTGGTGCCATCTCTGCTCACTGCAAGCTCCGCCTCCCAGGTTCAAGCAATTCTCCTGCCTCAGCCTCCCGAATAGCTGGGATTACAGGCACCCACCACCACGCCCAGCTAATTTTTGTATTTTTAGTAGAGACAGGGTTTCACCATGTTGGCCAGGCTGGTCTCAAACTCCTGACCTCAGGTGATCCGCCCTCCTTGGCCCCCCAAAGTGCTGGGATTACAGGCGTGAGCCACCGCGCCCGGCCTCCTTTTTCTAGTTTTCTAGCTTTACCTCCACCTTCTCTCCCTACAGGCTTTGGAGTCAGCTTTCCTGCCCCACAGAGGTGACAGAGCTCTTCCAATAATGCGTTCAAGCTGTTTTAGGGGACACTGATTAAGTTCTGCCAAAAAAACACGGTCGCAGATGGCACCCTCAAGAGATCAATACCAGGCCTGCAGGGTTGCTCACGCCTGTAATCCCAGCACTTAAGGGAGGCCAAAGTGGGAGGACAGCTTGAGCCCAGGAGTTCGAGACCAAGCCTGGGCAATATAGTGAGACCTCCTCTCTACAAAAAATTAGCCAAGCGTGGTGGGGCCTGCCTGTAGTCCTAGCTACTCGGGAGGCTGGTGTGGAAGGATGGCTTGAGCCCAGGATGTGGAGGCTGCAGGAAGCAGAGATGGCGCCTGTGCACTCTAGCCTGGGCAACAGAGCAAGACCCTGTAAAGTGCAATACCTAATTTCCAAGAGAAATGTTAACGACTTTGCCCTTTTCTTCATTCCCCCAGATCCCTGCCCAAGACGGGTCTGGAGCCTGACTTCCGGGTGTCCATGACCCTGGCGGCTGCTTCCGGTCCGCCATGAAAGGGCTATCAGGCAGCCGCAGCCATCACCACGGGGTCACCTGCGACTCGGCCTGTGACTCGCTGTCGCACCACTCCGACCGCAAGCCCTACCTGCTGAGCCCAGTGGAGCACCACCCCGCAGACCACCCATACTACACCCAGCGGAACTCCTTCCAGGCTGAGTGCGTGGGCCCCTTCAGCGACCCGCTGGCCAGCAGCACCTTCCCCCGCAGGCACTACACCTCGCAGCAAGAGCTGAAGGACGAGTGTGCCCTGGTGCCCCGCACCCTGGCCACCAAGGCGAACCGCATCCCCGCCAACCTGCTGGACCAGTTCGAGCGGCAGCTGCCACTCAGCCGCGATGGCTATCACACCCTGCAGTACAAGCGCACGGCCGTGGAGCACCGCAGCGACAGCCCCGGCCGCATCCGCCACCTGGTGCACTCGGTCCAGAAGCTCTTCACCAAGTCGCACTCCCTGGAGGGGCCGTCCAAGGGCAGCGTCAACGGGGGCAAGGCCAGCCCTGACGAGGCGCAGGCGGCGCGCTATGGCAAACGCAGCAAGAGCAAGGAGCGGCGCGCGGAGCCCAAGGCCCGGCCCAGCACCTCCCCGGGCTGGTGGAGCTCGGACGACAACCTGGATGGTGACATGTGCATCTACCACGCCCCCTCGGGCGTGATGACCATGGGCAGGTGCCCCGACCGCTCGGCCTCACAGTACTTCCTGGAGGCCTACAACACCATCAGCGAGCAGGCGGTGAAGGCCTCCCGGAGCAACAACGACGTCAAGTGCTCCACCTGCGCCAACCTGCCGGTCAGCCTGGACACCCCGCTGCTGAAGAAGAGCGCCTGGTCCTCCACGCTCACCGTGAGCCGGGCCCGGGAGGTTTACCAGAAGGCCTCGGTGAACATGGACCAGGCCATGGTGAAGTCCGAGTCGTGTCAGCAAGAACGCTCCTGCCAGTACCTGCAGGTACCATTTCTGTCAATGATGGAGGCTTAGAAGTAGTACCTGGCATGCTTGTGTGGGCATTTCTCCTGGTTCTAGTCTTGGCACTACTCTGAATTGTCTATTAAGATAGGAACCTGTGCAAATTATTCGGCATCTCTGTGCCGAATTGCTCCTGTAGGGAAAATGAAAAGAAACAAATGCTACCGACCTCACCGGGTTATCTTAAGACACTAGATATCCAAGTGCTTTGAAAAGCACGCCTATGGAAAGGCAACCAGTTATTATGGGCTTCCTCTTTTGTCTGAGGGATCATAGGATGGGAAAGAGAGGAAAGGGAAGTCTACAGAGAATTTTAAAAGAAGTCCACCTTTCTTTAATTCAAAAATACGTGACGATCGTTTGAATTTTGGAAAGAGTTTCATTAGATCTATTCAGGGTTTTGTGGGGTGGTTTTCATTGTGAAATCCTGCCTGAAGCTATGTTAGAATACTGCGATGGTCATCATCATAACCATCAGTAACTACACCCCGACCTGAGCTTCCACATCGAGGGCACAGCAAATCAGGAAGACGCCCTGTGCCCTGAGGAGGTGGGGAGCTAGCCAGTTTGGGGACCTGACAAGCACAGCTGCAGACACCCAGGACAACAGAGAGGAGGAGGAAAAGGAGGAAGGATTAGAGAAGTAAAATACAATTAGTGTCAGCATGTAAATCCCACACACTTACAGAGCCACGGTAGGCTGCTCTTCCCCTGCCACTGTCTCCTTGTGTTTTCCTCCAGTTCACTGAAACCAGATGTTACCTGGATAAAAATATAGGAGAGAGATGTTTTTCTTCCCTACCTCCTTGCTGTAGTATTGTAATTTTTCCCAAGGCACATTTTTCCATAAGAACTCTCATCTTTTCCTTTTTCAGAGTGTCTTTTCTTCTCTGTTCTCTCCTGGTAGCCTCATCTTAAAAAAAAAAAAAAATTACTGAGCTATAAAAGTATAACATACCCACTCCCATTTTACACTCCCACCTTAAGAAGAAATGCAAAGAAAAATTCTTCCTTTGAGGAGTTCATCTTTTTTGCTCCCTTTGAACTCCTCCTGACAAGTCTGGCTCCCTTGGGAATGCCTCCATCAATCCCTGAGAAGACCCCAAGCTGGCAATCCCTGGACAAGGGCAGTGCCAGAGCCTGTTCTTGGAGTTCAGAAGAAGCCACCAGCACATGGACAGTTTTCATACACGACACACAATTATGTGGTCAGTACTTCCCACTGAAGCTGGTGTTGCCTAATTTCCTGTAAGGTTGCTACATGTTAATAAGTTATCAAGAACTATAACAATTTCAGAGCTCAAAGAATCATTTAATCCACTTAGCATATGAAAAAGTAGACACAAAGAAAGGTAAATACTTAGTGGGTTAAACCGTTAGCATGTGGCAGAGGTGGGACTAGAACCCAGTCTCTTAACTTAGAGAAATGGCCATTAATGAAAGTTGCAACCGAAAGCTCTAGAAACTCTTTAAGAACATAAAGCTTCACCCACCACTGAAAGTAAAGTATTTCGATAAGGATATCTGTCTTACAAAAAGTAAGGAGTAAAGAGATAAAAGCCCTAGAGTACCACACATTTTGTCTGCGAAGGTTCTATGACCAGTGGCAAAAACAAAACAAACTGAAAGGAAACAAAAACAAAAACAAAAACACCTGTACTTAAGTAAGTAATGATGAGATTAGATGAGAAGTATCAGAGTAAAGGATGCTGTGTATGGATCTAGCATAAGCCTTTGTTAGTAATGAAATGTTTTCGTTATATCTGCCTATATGCCTACATTCTTCCTTCCTTAGGTTCATTTTTCTTTCTTTTTTATACCTTTTTGGAGTTGCGATCTCAGGTAGTGGTGAAAAGTGGAAAGATAAGGAAAGTGATATTAATTGAAAATCTACTATATACCAGATGCTATAGCAAATGTGTTCCCATTTCTTATTTCATTTAATCTTTGTGATAATCCCAAGATTACTGAATGTAATAATATTCTATTTTTATAAGAGAAGAAACTGACACTTAGAAATATCAAGTCATTTAAAGCCCCACAATCTGGAGGTTGTACAACTGAGATTTAGGCTCAAGTATGTTTGATGCCAAAACCAAGCTCTTTCTAATATGCCCTAGCACAGACCTGAAATCAAGGGCATCAAAAATGGTGAGCAAGAAGAAAATAAAAATCTTTAAAATAAGCATATTATTATTAAAGTTTTTCAGTAAAATGAGAATGAAATCTTAAAGGCTTAAGTATGGGATTTAGTAGTAGCATTATTGGATCTCCTACTATAAAGATTTGGAAATTCTATTTTCAAACTATTTGCCTTCTTTAAGTCATTTTTGTAATGAAACGTTTGAGGCTTACAGAAAGGTATAAAGAAAAAAAATAAAACACCCATGTATACATCACCCGT
This sequence comes from Homo sapiens, assembly GCF_000001405.40. Taxonomy (NCBI): domain Eukaryota; kingdom Metazoa; phylum Chordata; class Mammalia; order Primates; family Hominidae; genus Homo; species Homo sapiens. Next base: position 3,876,689 of record NC_000018.10, on the reverse strand, counting down.
CATACAGAACTAAAACATTCATTACAATGGATCACAGACACACTCATATTAATCCCTTTACTTCCCTTCTTCCCCAGAGTAATAGCTCATCTGTCTTTGACACCAAAGCACCTTTGTTTTCAATTCTGAAATTATTGAAAGGTTGAAAACAGTTTAACATATTCTGTCCTACATTGGGAAATAATTAACCAAGCTAGTTCAACCTTTTAAACTAAACTCCAAGTTAATCCTTATTAATAGATATTGAATGTATTAAGCTTCTATTTATGCAAGACTTTCAAACTAGGGGAAAAAATCTATATTTCAATGTTGGGAGGTAGTATGTTAGTAAGAGAATTAAATGTAAAACAGTGTAGACCTCCCAACCCCTGTGCTGAGGCTGAAGAGATGCTGTAAAGAAAGGGAAGAAAGAGCCATATATTCATATGGGGTCAGAGGAGAATAGAAAATACCTCCTGAGAACTGGGCTTCTGGCTCCCTTCTTGCTTCTAGGAAATGAAAAGAGGATCTGCCACCCCGTGCAAGCTCTGCTGAGGAAGATAGGGTTAGCCCGTGCCAGCTAGCTCCAAGGGAATAATTTCATCTATAGGCTCATTCTTAGAAGTAAATTTGGGAAAACAGAGAGGGAAAGAGGGTTTCTTTGGAGTTCTTTTTTTTTTTTTTTCAGCTCTATTGCCTTAATTGCCAACTAATATTGAAGCTGGATTTACAAATGGATTTAACTTCAATATTAGAGACTTAGTAGGCAAAGCACTATTCTTCTAGTTCCCGGAGCGTTCTAGTCCTTATTTGCTGCTAACTAGTAACATGACCTGGAAACATGCTTTCAGCTCTCTGGACCTCCTTCCTCTGCTAGAAAATGAGGCGCTTGGTCCAAAAGATGTATGATCTCAGTATGCATTTTCAAACTCGTAAATTACATGTGTCAGAGTACTAATTAGAACTATTTTCAAGAATTGGAAGTCCCAGGACTCTCATTTCAGAGATGCCTACTGTATGTTTTTCAGATGTTGTCTAATTTGCTCTTTAAAATTCTAGAGATATTTCACAGTTGAAGAAGCTAAGATTTCGTAAATTAGGTTAAGTAACCTGCCCAAGGACACACAGCTAGTATGTGGCAACACGTTGGGTCAAAACTGATTTGTCTGCTTTCAAAGTCTGTATTCATTTACTATGCCCAATCTCTACCTCCTCCAAATACAAAGCAGAGGAAGGAAGCAGTGTATATCAAATATCTATTATGTGCCAGAAACTGTGTATGTCTCATTAAGTACTCAAAACAACTTTGTAGAGTATTATTTACTTTAGTTTTATAGACAACAAAACAGGCACAAATGCTTAAATCATTTGCCCAGGAACACATAAACAGTAAGTGGGGGAGCTAGCACTTGATCCCAAATCTACCCAACTCCGTAATATGCTTCAGTAATGGAAATGAGTGCGTATTTTTTATTTTATTACTTGATTTATTTTGTGGTAAATGTATGTGTGCATTTGACCTCATATGCATGTGAGAAGTTAAGAGGGCATGGATATGAAATTAGACTAACAATGAAACAACTGATTATGTCCCTAATTTGATTCAAGACTAACAAAGATGAAATTAGTAATCACCAATAATAAAGTCTAAATACTAGCAAAGCTCTGCTTCTCTCTTTGCGGAATTATCACTTAGAATTCGCTTAATTTAGGCCATTGCCATGATTCTATAGAAAATGAGAAGTCTATAAGTATTTAGCCTCTGCCTGACATTGACTTAGGAATCAAATACTGTAGCTTGAAATCGTTGCAAGTCCCAGTTAATACGGTCAATTGTATTATGAGTGATAAGTGCTCACTCACAAGCTGTCTGCAGTTAATAAAAAAAGGGACTCCTTTTTTTTCCAATATTGTTATTTTTAAATGTCAAGAATCAGATGTCTGCTGTTTAGAACTATTGTACCGCTGCCAGTGACTGTCTGTATTAGGGTTGGGAGCAGGAACATGGATTTGAAGACATTAAAACTGTTTAATTCTCAGTTGAGATGTGGTTGGCTCTTATACATTTGGAATAAAGCATTTATGGCACATCTCAGGGTAAGTGCTTAATAGTTAAATAAATAAAATAGGAAGAGGTTCAGAGATAGAATAAAAGGTGGTTTTTGTTGTTGTTTTGTTTTTGCTTTTAAAAAGCAGAATTCTTGGTTCTGTTTATGCCTCTTTATGTAAATGTTGTATGTTGAGTGACTGACATATAAAGCCATTCAGAAGAGCAAGATTTTAGATTTCCAACTGTTAACCTAAAAGAAAAATCCCTTCAAACAGTGTATTTTGCATTCATTCAGCCGTAGAAACAGGAAAAGGGAAACAAAACGCTCTCTCCGCGGTAGAAGTGGAGAGAGAGAGACAGAGGGAGCGAGAGAGAGAGCAAGACAGACCGAGAAGGAAAGCACTCCCAGAGATGAAATTTTAGGAAAGCAAAATGATCGACCTTTTTAAGGCTGAGTGGGTTTCTTCAGTTTGTGTGCAAGTTTCAAGAAATGGAAGGACTGACCAGGTTTGGGTATAACTCTTTTATTACTTTGTATTTGGTAATAGTGTGGTGTTGATTTGGATGGTTTTTGTGGTAGGGAAAGGAAGGGGTAGTATTTGTGATTTTATTTCTCCTCTAAATAATGGCTAGAAAGACTGGAAGAGCTGACAAATTAATGTGTGCACAGATAGTAAAAAAGCAGATGGAGACATCAGATATCTACAAATCTGTGTCTCCACAAGGGCTTTATAAAATCTTTAATTGACACATGATCTCCTTAGATCTGCTAGGTGCTCTTAGAGGATATTATATGGCTGGTGATTGAAATATGATCGGTTGTTTTCCAGGACCAGGATTCTGAATAGTTACTGTTGCTTTGCAAAATTAACATTTATGATGATTGCTCTTTTTGGGGGTGGGGGTCTGCTTAAATAAGGTACCACACAAGATCACTGAGGAAGCATTCATAAGCATGAATCCAGGATCTTTTAAATACAGGTAAAATTATTTTTTTCAATAATTGGTTCAAGATTATTTCCATCTTTGCCCAGTGGGAGTTTTCTTTCCCTGGCTGAGTTTTCCTCCCTCTTGTGTTAGAACAATTTTAAGTCTCCCAATTCAGTTAAAACTACTTTACATGCAATTTATGAAAGTGCTGAACAGTTCTGCTAATGACTTTGGCTACTGGGATGTTTCTTTGCTGCCTTTTTCTGAAATCCCATCCACCACATTCATTGATGATTTTCTTTATTTTTAATTTAAATTGCCCTAATAATCCAGCAAGTGAATGTCAAGGTTCCTGAATGGATTTCCTATTGGGTTTGCACAATCTTCTCCCTGTTTTTCACTGATCTTGGTAGAGATGCCCCTCTTCATTCATAAAAAGATGAGATTGCTCCTGCCTGGTGCTAACTTTGGATGTGGAATCAGTGATCAGCAGCAGAATTCTGTTAATTCTCTCTCTCTGATTCTCTTTTATTCTCACTATTGTCAGGTCCAATTAATAAAGGGAAAAAAAAATTGACAAAACATTGTGAGAAAGCAGCAGTCCAGAAAGACTCAGTGGTAGTAAAGGGAAGATCAAAAATATATAGGAAAGCCTTCTTGGAAGTTATTAAAGAAACTTTATTATTCTTGGCCTTCAGTTTCACTGTTTTCTAAAGACATTTTCGGCAACACCAAAGTGCTTGGTTAGCCACAGTCAGAGGTTTCTGCCTGTAACACACACTTTCTGATCTCACAGAATTCCAATCTACTAATTAAAGGCATAGCATTAGTTAGCAAAGAGTGAAAGAGAAAAACTAGCCTTGGATCTCTCAGTGGCCAGTAGATTTCGTTTCCCCTTTTTCCATTCTCCTCAGAAGACAGTTTGCTTGATTGCAAATTAAAGACAGTAAATCAAGGTAATCATTCACCATTCTTTAAGAGAACTATTCACCCACAGTCTCTAGCCCACATGAGATCATGGCATTACACAATTTTACACAGTGATTTGTGAATGGTAGAACACATTGCTCTTTTGTGTCAGGTTTTTTAGGAACTGCTAAAAAATATATGCAGTATTGCCAGGCTGACTTTAATTTGTAATTAGATTATGTTTTCCACCACTTTGGGTTTAGGTTCAAAGACAACAATCTGTCTTAGTGGGTTATCACACAGGGAGAATTTTTTTTTCACATTATTTTGGTAAATTCATATTTAAGTGTTTTTCCAAATTCTTAAATTAAAACCACAATAGGTAATTGCATTAATTTTTTTTCAGTGACTGATTTACTTATATTCAACCCAGTCCTCTATGTTTATAAACTAAAAGGTAATGATATAAAGAATCAATTAATTACTGTTACACAGAGATAAAGGAGAAAATATTGTGTAAAGAAAGGCATAACATTTACTCTTACTGTTACTTTTGACCAAATTCTTGTTTTTAATTTTTTTTTTTTTTTTTTTTTGTCTTGGAGAGCACTCACGTGATTAAAGAAAGACCTCTTCTGATTCCCTGATCTTTTAAATGTAGGAATATTTAGGACTCTCATTAAAAACTTTTTGTTTCATTTGCTAAAGTCTAGCAATATGCCTGCTTTTTTTCCATTTCTAAGATATATTTATACAATGAATTTTCTGGATATGTGGGTCCTTTTGTGTATATTAGGTCACTGTTCTCTGTCAACTGGAGTTTCTACTAATTGTTTCACAGAATTAGGAAACTTCCCACAAAAATCAGGCTTGTGATATCACAGAACTGTCTATGAAGCAGAATTATGTGAGCCTGCGGTTACTGCATGCCAGGTGCATGTGTGCAGGTTTATATATACACCTTCTATCTGCATAGGTATCCCTGCAACAATACTTCTAAAATATGCATTTATACACATGCTGTTTTTGATCTCTGATTCATGAACTCAGATCCATTTTAAGAGTGCCATTTCACAAAGTCCATGGAAGAGGTATGACTATGAAGTGGAGAAACAGATTTTTCATAGACGTTGGAAAATTCATTACTGTGCTTTTCCAGTGATTATATTGAACTTCACCTTGGACCATTCGTGTAGACTAGTTAGGGATGTCCTGCTTCTCTGGTGTAAGAATAAAGAGGTTTTAGTCCCCTTAATAAGGGAGAATCCAACAATTGTAAAATAAATGACTTTTGCTCTCCTTAATTTTTTTAACCACAATTTAATATACGCTTGCAAGATTGTCTAACTCCTCCCTGATTTAATTCTCCGAGACTCTAAAATCATAAGATACATAATTAAAGGACCAGGCAGAGTTGGGTTTTTTTCCCCTTAAAATGACAATTTTAGAATAGTAGAACCTCCTGATCAGAAGGTCATCTGGTGTAGCTTCCCATTCACACTAATCTCCCTGCAATGCGGACATTGTATCTTCCTATCTATTTTTCATCTAATAATCTCCTTGTAAAAGAAGGCTTTGAAATTATTTAGTCCAATTTAGTTTTTTGAAAAGAGAAAAATCCTAAGGAAATACCTCGATGAAATCAGTCATCTTGCCAGTGGAACCTGGCACTCGCAGGCTCACTGCCTGGCTACCAGTGCTGTTCTCTTCCCATTATGTTGTACATATTCTATTATCCATTCTCATAACATCCTTTTAAGGCAATGGGGCCAAGGCACAGGGAAGCAAAGGGAGAAGCGACATTATCTGAAAGTTAGAGTTGAAGCAAGTTTGTGACTCAACAGTCTCAGAAGAGGCAAAGATTAACTAAATAATGCCTGCAATTATTTATTTTAACTTCCAAAGAAAAGAAATTGGTGTGTTCCTCCTTTAATGGATGAGTTTTCCCTGGATCATGGTAAACCACGTAGCAAAGGAGGATGCATAGAGCAGAACACATTAGGATATGTGATCTTTAGGGAATTTGCTCAGAGCCCTGGTTAGATTTTGAAGACAGCATGCATCCTTCCAGCATCTTCCACTCCTTTGAAATCAGCATCCCTCATCTTACTTCTCCAGGATAAAAATTAACATAGCTGTTACCATATTTGCAAAGGCCAAACTTTATTTGATAGATAGATAGATAGATAGATAGATAGATAGATAGATAGATAGATGTATTTATGTATAAAATATGTATGGTGTGACAGGTAGGAATTACGTATTGGAACAATGGGACCATGGGACCAAATATATTAAATGGGAGCAACTGCAGCAAATCTGAGAGGAATAGTGTGCAGGATACATACGCTAAAAGCTACAAGCTAATCTCTTAGTTATTGCCCCCTACATGTAAAAGTAAGTGATTGGAAAGGATTTATCTCTAAAATTGGAAATGCTACATGAAATATTGTAAAGTGGAATCAATACGGGTACATATGGGCACAATAATATCACATGTATGCCTGTAGAGAATCATATATATGTATGGCCACTTGCTCTATCATTGAATATTTAGAGGTAAAGCTTCCTTAATTTTATGTGCACAAGAATCACCTTGAGAGTGTCTATAAAATGAGGATCTCTGGCATCCACCCAAGAGATTCCGATTTCATAGATATGGGATGATTCTGACAGTGATCAATCCCAGAACTGCATTTTAAGTAACCCAGTTCTAGGGAACTGTAAGGCTTAATTTCTCATTGTATTTACTGAAGGGGGCAGTAGAGCCTAATAGATGAAAATATGGGATTCAGGCGCTCTGACTGCAAGCTTTATTGATGCTGGCTTGCTACATGACTTTGGGCTCTACTTAGCACTTCTATTTCTACATCTGTAAAATGGGCATGATGATATGACTGTGTTTGCTTCAGGTCTTAGAAACAAATTTAACTTCAAATTTGAGAAATAAATGAAAAATACAGTGTGAAAATATTCCAAGTTTGTAGATCCTCAAACATTAACAAGCTTTAGCTCTTTCCCATGTTTCATGTACCATACCACTTTTTCCTTTGTATTTCACTTCATCTAGTTTTTATTAAGCTGGCATTGGGATTAGCATGTCTGATTCTGTGGTAAAGAAAAGCCCTTTCCAATATGGGATGACAGTAGGTCTTAATCACAGTGTGGGTGTAAAATTTCACTGTCTTGTGTGCCGACTAAACGCAGAAAGCTTTCGTCTGAAGTCGAGAGTATCACAGTCAATCTTTTTTTCTTTTCTTTTTTGAAAGACAGTGTTTCCCTTTGTCACCCAGGCTGGAGTCCAGTGGTGTGATCATGGCTTACTGTAGCCTTGACCTCCTGGGCTCAAGCGACCCTCCCACCTCACCCTTCAGCGTAGCTGGGACTACAGACTCAGGTCACCGTGCCAGACTAATTTTTTATGTAGAGACGGGGTTTCGCTATGTTGCCTAGGATGGTGTTAAACTTTTGGCCTCAAGGGATCTTCCCACCTCGGCCTCCCGAAGTGCTGAGATTACAGTTGTGAGCCACTGCACCAGCCTGGATTAATCTTTTGATAGCTCAGCCTCAGTGGATCAGGTTTTCCCATGGCTTGATATTGGCTGATGGAATATAATTCTGGCTTCTTCAAGCTTTAGTGTATTCATACAGGGAAAAAAAAAAAAAACGCAATACACACTTGCTTTTGTTTTCATACGTTAAGTCTGTCAAGCTCCTGCTGCCTTATTCCAGACAGCTCTGGTAAGTCAACAGGACAAGCTTAATTAGTAATAACAGTCATAGGAGGTGTCTACAAGGGAACTCTATCCACCATCATCACCTCTTTAATTGGCTTAGGAGAACCAGGTTCTCTGTGGAGTGTTTCCTCCGTGGTGCTTTTCCACCATTGATAGAAGATGACCAAATGTCCTTGGCCATCACTCTTCTTTGCTCGTGCCCAAAGTCGCTAAGCCAGGTATATCATTCTTCTAATGTTGTAGAAATTGAAAAGAGCAAGTAAACACTGAAGCCAGATCTCTCTCATGACCTCTTCTCCACAGAACCATCGGAAGTTCAAACTTCTTCTGTGAGCCCTGTGACTTTGGGCAGTCTAAATTCTACCTCGCCTGCTTCTCCAATGTCATCAAAACAATGAAAACAAAACCATTCAGAATTCACAGGAAGGGTTTAATACATTTAATGAAATTATATCTCTTAATTATGAAAACTTGACCAAATAGGCTTGCCATTTTTGGTTATAAAAGTGGAAATTAGTGATGATAGAGATCATCCTATGGACACTATAAGACTCTGTAGGCCATCCCAGGACCTGCAGTTTACACTCTGAATGCCACCTGCCAGTCTAAGCTCCTCTGTGGACGTCCATCTGGCTAGCATCCCCTTAGGCAGTAAATAAGTAGGGAGAGAGGCCTTTCTACAGGACTTTTCCTTTTAAAGTCCTTTAAAGGAACCCTACCTGTAATCCTTAGAAATTTTATGTCTTTGTCTTCTCTCCTTAACTAGCAAAAGTTTCAAAGGCTTATCTGTAACTCAAGGGGTGTCAGTTCATTTGTTTGCAAATGAAACCTGAGCTTTCTGAAAATGACTCCCCTGCAAAATCATTCCCCCATAACACTCCTCCAGCCTTCTAGTCGATTTTAGATCGTTTCCTGTTCTCCCACCTCTTGGAAGTATTCCATGGCACGCTGAGCAGACACTTTTAGTCAAAAACGCCTATAAATAGCTGATTTTCCCTGCTTACTGCCTTCTCTCTAAGGCTTTCACAAAGGAGGTGAAACGAATCCACTAGAAACAAGAGCTTTCTGTGAGGGGTGTGTGGTGAGGCTTATGAAAAATCAAATCCACAGGCCGAAAATTATCGTGTAGGTAGCTTTGCCATATTTGAGTTACGCAATCACTGCATGGAAAAAGAAACATTTTATTTCATGCCAGAAGATCTCATGAACTGAACAAGCCATCAAGTGTGTCTCATCTGAACTTTCATGCTTCTTTAAAAACATGTACTTTGACTTTCACACTGCTATAAAAACAAAAAATAAAAAAAAACAAGTTTTATTTATTAGATTCTATTTGTAAATCTAGATAACCAATTCCTGTAGCCTTTCCATCATGGGAAATTTGAAATGATTTTCCCCATCCCCATTTCTCCTCCCAACAGCCCTTCTCTTTTGCCTACGAGGCCCCACCCATGGTCCACATCACAGAGCCCCCAGAGTGGGGCATGACACTCCTGGAACACTGTGCCCATGCTAGGCAGGACCTTAATTTCTTCGTTCACTGATCTTACTGACACAAGCCTTAGAAACCCATACCAGTGGTTAATTTCATCCCCTCCTCCTTCCTTCCCCACCCCGTGAACCCTCTTTAGCAAGAGAGCTGAGCTCAGCAATACTTTCCCCTCCCCAGTACTCCCTTCTCTCACTTCTTTTCCCTTTCCTTTTGTGCAGCTATTTTATTACATAATTTGGAAGGGAATCCTAGTCCAAGATTGTCAGTTTACAATGAGACAACTGAGATCTGGAGAGGCTAAGTGGCATTTCCATGGCCCTCAGTTGTGGAGAGAGGCGGGGAAAAGCAGTGGCACTCAAAAGTCTTCCTGAGCTCCTCTTATTTTCAAGTTATCTTGATGTTACCCACACTGTGACTCACAGTGTTAATAACACTGATTCTGGCTGGGCGCAGTGGTTCACACCTGTAATCCCAGCACTTTGGGAGGCCAAGGCGGGCGGATCACGAGGTCAGGAGTTCAAGACCAGCATGGCCAACATAGTGAAACCCCGTCTCTACTAAAGATACAAAAAAATTAGCCGGGTGTGGTGGCATGTGCCTGTAGTTCCCAGGTCCTTGGGAAGCTGAGGCAGGAGAATTGCTTGAACCCGCGAAGCAGAGGTTACAGTGATCCAAGGTAGCACCACTGCACTCCATCCTGGGTGACACAGCAAGACTTTGTCTCAAAAAATATATATAAATAAAATAAAAAATAACACTAATTCCACACTTGATGGATATTCAAGACATTTCCTTCCAGTCCCAGCCCCTGCCCTTTCCACTCTGGTGGCTGGATCTAATTTGCTGTGGCCTACGCCCTGTCTATTGCTAAAGTTTCTAGAAAGAGCATCTCATTATGCCTTTCTTTATTAATTTTCCAAGAACACACACCATCAATAGAAGCAGGTGTCTGGAACAACTCAAAGTATCACTTAGCCCAGTGCATTTTGTACTTTTTAACCACCAAAGTCTGTGTTCAAATAAAGCAAAACATGTAAAACAATTTAAAACAGCACTACTCACATGGACGCAAGAACAGGAGGTTTCAAATCTAAATTCTCTCCCCAAGCCACCCCACCCCACCCTGTACCTGGGCTGTCTATAATTTGAAAACTACTGCCCATTCCTTCCCTATTAATCAATCTAAGCTGTCTAAGAAAGAGTTTAATGATCCAGGAGGGAAACTTCTGTATCTGTTCTTAATAAGCCCACTCTTAATAAATGAGATCAATCGGAAAACTCTGATAAGTTCCCCCCAAAAAATTGGGATCTGTATTCTGAGCTTGGAAAGTTATCCGTCCCCAGTGTGGTAAGTTGTATTAGCAGCAGCAGCAGCAGTCCAGACTGCAGCCCTGGTGCCCTGCCCTTCATTAAAAAGACAGCAATTGATCCTGGGACTCCAGGAGTTCCTGATTGACTCAGACTACAAAATCACTTTTGGGCTTTAAGCTCTGATAGACAAATTCTTATGTTACCTTCATACCTTTTCTCCAGCTGTGACCCAAAAAAAGAGGAATTGACTTTTTTAGGAACACACAGGCCCCTTGACTCCCAGGCTAGTGCTCTTTCCACAGCACCATACTGAACATCTTTTCATCTCCATCCCATGCTGGATCCACTTTTATGTGACCATGACTAAGAATAAGATGAAGATGGGGTAAAGGGAACAAGAAGGAGAGTAAGAAGAACTTTAACTTACTAAGAAGGTTCTATGGACTTGTGTTTACCATACATTGTTCTTCTTACATTGTCTTTATTTCTGGAAGTTTCTGGGGTAGCCGTTCTGACCCCTGTTTTATATGAAAAGGAGGGTATTAAATTTGCTCAAGATTATTCTCCTAGTAAGTGACAAAACTGAGATTTAAACTCTGGCCTGTCTGATTCCACAATCTGTTTGCTTTCCACCATAACATGATGCCTCTGCTTTGCAAATATTTCCTTTGGTCTTCTCTTGAAGGATTTTTAAATGAGAATTTCTTTTAATAACAATTAAAAATGAATAATTATGGTTTAAAAAACAGGTTCTACTTCTATGATTAGGTGTAAAACTAAATCTAGTTTGGAAAGTAGTCATGTTTGAAAACAAGTAATATATGAGGTTGATTTGCAAAGTGAGATATATAAAAAGGTTGTAATAGGACATTATTTCATGTCAGTGGAAATGTATATCTCAACCTATGAAAGAACCTTTACTCAAGGCTCCTTGTGTTTATTTGCTTGTCTGTTTCAACAAGAAACAATACTACTGACCCCATGAGACTGCCAGCCTAATTGTAGTTATAACATTGTTAATAACACTGTAAGGTTCTTACGGACAAATATGCACTGTCTGCCCATTTAATATTCTTTGCTTAATTTAATTTTGGAATGTCTGCTTCTGAAATGATTAGGAAGTAAACTAGGAGTCTTCAAACCCAATTAAATTAAACCCAAACCCAAAATCCAGACTTACAGAGATAAGTCAGTGTGATTTTATATTTTGTCTGTCCTTACTTTTTGGGAGACCAGATGGTTATCTCTCAGCCTACTGTGAACCAGAATTCTGCTTGGTACATGAGCCTCATATATCCCAGAGTGTTAACTAAGTGTTTGGGAGATTTACCCATTTTACTATTTGTTAAATTACTAGTCCAGGTTTGAAGGAAAAGATATGTTTCTCTAAAGATCTACCCTTAGAATGTTGCGTAATTACCCATCAAAGTAAAATTGAATTAGTGAGTCATATACTATCCAAGGTGGAACAGTTACATGTGCCACCTTAGAGGTGGCTGCAGGTATCCAGTGCATAAACGGTGCTGTTAGAGAATATCAGTAGAGTTTATATTAAATCCTTATAACAGACAACAATGCAGAATAGTAAGACTTCGGAAGTCTATCAGAATAAAGGTGCCATTCTCAGTGATGAACTTAGAAGTCAAAGTCAATGTAGTCTTCATAATCCTTCTTCTTAGCTGGTTTTGGGTATTTCCTCATGTACATGTATCACACTGCAGATAGTTCAGTGTTCTATAGCAAACTCTTGCTTAATTCTCTCCCCTCTTTGTTTAAGCCCAGATGAAGTTAATTTAAAATAAGGGTTAGTCCTAATATGGCATGTTTAAAAGCCTCCACTTCCTTTTGGTTCAATGTTTTATAACATATCACCATGCATAAGAATGAAATATTAATTATTCACTTAACAGGGACTTCTAAGGAACTGAGAAGTGAAATAATTCCCTAAAATTAAACCATGCCAATTTGATCTCTTGTATGTTTTTGAAGGTGTTATTAGATGAATAGATGAATAGAACTAAGCGTTGCATTTCTTCGCTTCAACCCATCTTGATTCTACCTGTTGTAACATGTATTCCCCTCACATTTTCTGTCCACAAGCATATAATGAAAAATTCTGTTAAATGATTTTATAATACTGTCATTCTCCCTGAGTCTTTTATTCAACCAAGATTTCTTTAGCACTTGTTTGACCCAGACTGAACTCTGGGGGCAGTGGCCAGATAAAAGCAGGAGGGAAAAGACCAGATGGGTAGCTGACCACTCAGCTGGTAGAAATAAGCAAGTGGAGAACAGAATTTATTCCTAGTTGACAAGATAATACAGGATTTTATTTTCTAAGGTACCCAAGTTGCCCAAAGATGGAAGATATGGTCTAGCCTGGAGGCCAGGCCAAAGGAATTTAACCTCTGGGCAGCATTTCTCAGGGGAACCAATGGTATGAGGATAGGAAAAGAGCAGGGAGCTGCTTCCTAGAGGGGCCTGGGAGGTTGCAGGCTCCCGAGCCCAGCCACCAGGCAGCTGGCTGCAGAGGTGGTGGGGCTGAGCGGGCCCTGGGGAAGAAACCTAGCAAGCAGCACTGCACTGTTGTGAGGAAAATACCCTCAGATTCACATCGCATCCATGCACTCAGCATCAGTACCAGTCAGCAAGATGGAATGGCATGGACGCTGTGGATAGCAGTAGCAACACTGTGCACCCAGAGAATTTAGATGCCTCTGGGGCCACCCTCAGAGACCTAAATGCTTCCAGGTGTGAGAAGAGCAGAGCTAGCTAGTTAGGAGATAACCCCAGGGAATAATGAACGGGTTTATTACCAAAACTTAACTTTATCTCCAGATTATAACACCTGAGGATGTAGCTATTAGATTGGGATGATTTTTCTAACAAAGGCATCAGATCCCAAGTAAAAGGAAGAGTTTCTTGTTATTAAAAATGTGCTATGAGAAACTGGATGAACACATGAGGCATAAAGCAAAGGACATTTCCCTATTTGGTGAAATGAGGGCAAATGAGCCCTAGGGTTCCTTTTAAATCAGGTAGTCTAGTTCTCTGCTGTCCCACGTGGTAGCCACTAGCCACATGTGGATCTGTAAATTTCAATGAATTAAAGTTTGAAAAAAATAAAAATCCAGTTTCTCAGTCACCGTAGCTACGTTTCTAGTGGTCAGTAACCATGTTTCCTGTTGTTTATTAATCCCTCAATCAACATTTCCGTCATCACAGAAAGTTGTATTGGACAGCATTGCTCTAATTGTTTTTTACTCTCTTGACTTCTAGTAGATTGGGGCTTTGCCATAAAAAGGTAATACCCTGTGGTGATGTCCCAGTGATTAGAGGTGTCCAAATTGCCTGGTAGTTTTCTGTGTGCCCAAAGCGGGGCAGGGAGGCCCAGTGAGGGCGAGGGCCGCCCTGCTTGAATGCCTGTCCTCCATGCCCTCACAGTGTGGCATTAAATAAATCATTCCACCATTAAAACTTCTTTTTCTTCATTTGCAAAAATACTTACCTCGTAGAGTTGTTTTGAGGAGTCAATTATGTAACATACCTAGCTTTCAATAAGTACAACTCACTTCCCCTTAGAAACATGAGGACTAACATGGGCCTGGGGTTTTGGTGGGATTCTTAGCCACCTTTTATTAGTCACTCATGACCTGCTGGCCATTGTGCTGGGCACGTCATGTGCATTATCTCCCTGGATCTTCCCACCCACCTGGCGCTGTCCCCTCCACGTGCCTGTCGGCTCCTCTGCGTTTTGTACCTCCCTCACCATCAGCCAAGTAGGCAGCACCTTACGTGATATCTCCATTCTCACGCTGAGTTTTGGGCGGTAGTTGCTGAAGCTCTCTTTTGGACAGTAATCCTCATCTGTGATTCTCTTCCTCATTTAAGAAACATGTCTGCAAAACTTTTCTTCTCCTCACATTTACTTGTAAATTACAATGTTTTGACACCTCTAGGAGCAATATCTGGGTGCAGATGGATATGGCAGTTGGCAATGCATCATCATATCTGCTACAGCCAGTCCCTTGGCTGGTGCCGTTCAGACAGGGCCCCTCATCCTCTGACAGGTTCAGTTTACGTGTTACCCAAAAGACTCCTGTCTACCCCACATTGCTTATGCCTTTGGCCAAAGGGAAAGGGCTTTCCAGAAAGGCCCTTGGAGTGTCCATTATGGCCTATCCAGGGTACTGGTTTAATTGAACCCTGTTTGCTGAGACAAGTGAGTCTCAAACCTTTCCAATGCACATTGAAAAATGAACATGATTGATGTACAAGTGTCAACGTCTGGCTTCATTTGTTTACTCACCAGACTTCCAAAGCTGCATTTTTCGTATTGCTCTCTGAAACCAGGCACTCTTTCGCCATCTTTGAGGCCTGGAAAGAGAGAGATCACTTCAGCCCAACAAATCAGAACAATGCCATTGGTGGCAGGCCCATTGGAAAAGCTTATTGAGGCAGGATTCCCTAATGTGGACTGTCAGAGGAAGATAATGTTTAGGATTGGAACATCAGCAGGGTTGTCACTAGTCAGGCTGGGGCAGCACAGAAGCAGAACTGCTGAGATTGCACATTTGACTGACTTCTGAAATAATCCTATCTCAAAAAGACCTTTGGATGGGGTAGAGGGCAGGGTGGGGGCACTGGGCAGAAAGTCAAGCGCAGAAGGGCAGGGCATCTCATCCACCTAATTCAGGTGTTCTCTATCTGAGGCTGTGTGCCCTGTAGGATGTGCAAGATTGGACTCTACACAATCAGCAAACTCCTGAAATTATATAAAAGTCAGGGGAGTGGGTGAGATGTTCATCTTGCTTAGAAGAAAAGTTCTTAGCCTTTATCATGTGCCCAGAAGAAATAAGGGGTCACTAACAAGTTTAAATTATGACATTTAAAAAATTATATGCTTTTTCCTTAAAAGCATAAAATTGATGGCTTTCCTTCTTCCTTATGATGACAGTTTATTAGGAAAGCCTGTAGAATAATTTGAGGAATATAAAGTTTTTAAAGAATTATTATTGTGGATGAATATTAGCTGAAGTGAACAGATCCTCTATTGGAATTTGGAGCTCCTATAACAATGTAATCCCTGTCATAGGATTTTTTGTAAAGGAGTTTTTCCTGAATAATCGATTCAAGTAACAAACAATGAAGATCTTCTCTATATAAGCGTCGAAGTTGATAGGAAATGGGAATTCAAAGACTTCTAAAACAGTTCCTACTCTGAAAAAGTTTATAGTCCAGTGGAACATTAAATAACTAAATACATGGGCAAAGGGAGAAGCATAAAGGTATCTGAACAAAGAATAGGGAAGTTTACAGAAAGAATTTAAACCTGGATTGTAAGTAAGGAAGGATGGAGGATAAGGACGTTTCCTCATTTGAAATATCATATCTCTGAAGCCTTGAAAGTATTTCTATGGGAGTATAACGGGAGAGATTTCTCTTAGCATTTTCTCATTATTTGTTAATCTCTCAATAGTTCAGCCCTATATCCCCCATGCCTGACAAGTACCTGAAAATCACTTAATTCCATCTGCAAAGTCCCTTTTTCCATGAAACGTCACAAATTCAAGGGCATGACACCAGGAGGTGGAGATCATGGGAGCCAAAATTCTGTCTGCCACAATAATTCAACAGTCAACATAGATGGTAAATTAGTGAGGCGTTCACCTTCATTGACAGCCATGCAGTTCAAGGGCCATGAAGTTCATTCTGGGAAGAGTAAATATAGCTTTGCTACCAGAAAGCTGTGTTCAAATCCTGTGTTTTAGCAGTTATACAACATTGAGTGAGATATTTCATGTCTATCTGCCATGGTCTCCTCCTCTGTAATGTGGAGATAATAAAAATACCTATCATACAGGGTTGTCAAAAGAATTAATTGTGTTAATACATGTGGAAGGTGCAGACCAATGCTTGGAAATGGGACATTATATGATGCCTCAATAAATCCTATTATTATTATGCCTGAAAAAACACAGTGTTAGCAGTGTGAACTGAAGCAAGAGAGCAGATTTAAGAGACATTGCAAAAGTTACTGTTAGAGATTACAGTTTCACTTATCAGGGTTTTGAGCACATGAAACCCTTCAGCATCTGTATTAACTTCCTATGGCTGCAATAACAAAATGCCCCCAATTTAGTGCCTTAATACAATGCAAATTTATTTATTTATTTATTTTTTGAGACAGAGTCTCGCTCTGTCGCCCAGGCTGGAGTGCAGTGGCGCAATCTCGGCTCACTGCAAGCTCCACCTCCCAGGTTCACGCCATTCTCCTGCCTCAGCCTCCCGAGTAGCTGGGACTACAGATGCCCACCACCACGCCTGGCTAATTTTTTGCATTTTTAGTAGAGACGGGTTTCACCATGTTAGCCAGGATGGTCTCGATCTCCTGACCTCATGATCTGCCCACCTCGGCCTCCCAAAGTGCTGGGATTACAGGCGTGAGCCACCGTGCCTGGCCCACAACGCAAATTTATTATCGTACAGTTCTGCAGGTTACAAGTCCACAATGGGTCTCAATGAGCTACAATCAAAACATCAGTAGGGCTATGTTCCTTCTGGAGGTTTCTAGAGAAGACACCCTTTTCTTGCCTTTTCAAGCTTCTAGAAGCCACCTACATTCCTTGACTCCTGGCCTCTTCCTTCATCTCCAAAGCCAGCAATTGCATCACCCTGATCTGTGTCTGTGGCCACAACTCTCGCTCTGACTTTCCTTCTACTTATTTGTGATTATATTGGGCCCACTTGATAATGCACGACAATCTCCCCATCTCAAGACCAGTAAATTACTCACATCTGTGAAGTCCCTTCTGCTATATAAGGTAACATTCACAGGTTCCATGGATTAAGACATGGGCGTCTTTGGGGAGTCCGTAATCTGCCTACTACAGAATCTACTATCTAAAACATAAGCTATTTCTTAAACTTAATACCATTTTTTTAAACTTGGTGTGAAAGATGTGTGAAATTATATATCTATTGCCTATCAGCTAAATGAGATCATTGTATATATGCACTGGTCCCTGGATATTTCACGTATATGGTGATGAAATGAAAATACCATCCATTTCTGTGTTTTTTAGATTATTTTAAAAGAATACTCTTCTAAAATAGTTAGGCAGCATGTCCATTCAAATCACTATTTGAAATCAGAGCACTTGTAGATGGTGTACTTACTTACATACTCTGCAGTATACAGTCATTCACTCTTAAATATTGTTAATTTTTGAGTTGCAATTAATTTTTTAGTCCCTGTTAAAAATTGTCACCTGCTCTAACATCTCACTTAAAATATACTTATAACCTCATGTATGGAAAAAGCTCTGAAGCATGAAAGTTCTATTGTTCACTCTTCTTGAAACATAAGCATTCAATAGCTTCATCCACCACTTTTCTTCTTACATTTAAAGTGTTAACTCTTAGTGTCATCTAAAAGGAGTGTTCCTTTCTTGTGAGATGGTATGCCCTCTAATGTTTATCATGTGAAAGCTCATTTAGTAAGCTTTTTAGAGCAGAAGAATCTCATGCCAGACAATTTTTTAGTTTATTAGATCTAGATTCCCCTTTGCCTATGAGTAACATATTTGCTGCTTCTTATTTGAAATTTTTATCAGTCTCTTAACTTTATAGTAAAACACCAATTATTCATGTCATTTGAAATCCCCTTCCAGTATCTATACATGTAAATGCATACATCTTGCACATTTGCAATCAGGTGTTTTATATATATATATGTGTGTGTGTGTGTGTGCATATATATATACGTGTATATATATGTATATATACACGTATATATATATATGTTTCCCTTTTGTTGTATATGATATAATTTTTAATTCAGACACTTGTGAGCACTAAGTATATTTCAGATTAAGGGCTCTGTTAAAGGCTGGGAATACAAAGTTGAAAGGACATGACTCTTGCCCTCAAAGAGCTCTCACCAACCTGGGAGGAGAGGGGAACTGATGGTTAAAGTTTTTTAAATAGGAAAAAACATGTTTTAAGTATAGAATCACCTGGACTTAGTGATTGAACTACTGAGGTGTCTGGAAAGAGAAAAGTAAAAATGATGAAAAATTTATAGTTTGAAAAATTGGGTGCCTGTCAATACTTCCAACTGAGATAATTAATGTAGGAGAAAGAATACATTTAGATGGAGAAGTTGGTTTTGTTCTCGGCCTGCTGAATCTTATATGCCTGAAGCCTATTCAGTTGAAGATATCCCGTAGGCAAATGTTCATTTATTCAGATACTATTTGGGAAGTTATTATAGTAAACCAGATAAGAAATGATTGTGTTTGGAATAGGATTGAAGCAATAAAGATGGAGAGAAGTAAACACACCTTTCTACTGTATCTTGAGAGTATCAAGTTGGTCAAGAATTGAGTGGGGTGGATGAGGAAGAGGGAGGAATGAAGGCAGCTGGATTTATGATTGTGCAGTTCTGGAAGACATCAGAACTGGAGAAAGGCACTGGGGAGTTATCACATAGGAGGCTGAGAGGAGTTTGAGAGTGAATGAGGTCACACTGGGGCATGTGTAAAGTCAGAAGATGAGACATCACAAGCCAACTTCCTGGGCTACACAGCAGGAATCATAGGAAAAGCACTAAGAAAGGTCATAAAAATAGGCCAGAAAAGTGTGGGAGTAAAGGGAGACGAAGAGGATTTCAAGAAACAGGGAAAGTTTAACAAAGTCAACTACCAAGGAGTGGTCCAGTCAGACAAGGAATGGAAAGCTTGATCGTGAACTTGGCAATTGGGAAGTAACTACTGCACATGCCAAGAGTTTCCTTAAACTGGTAGGGTAAAAATCATTTTGTGTCATTTTGATAAATGTTTATTATTTTCAATAATACTCTATCATTTAATGAAAATATGTATTGTTATTATAGTATGTAAATACACCATGGCTAGAATATTCATTTCTATTTCTATTCATTGTCATTTGAATTTTTAAACAGCTTTTTACCATTTTGAATAATACCATAAATGTCATTTTCAATGAAAGGCTAAAACTCTTTTCCTGGTTAGAATTCCCAAATATTATGCACATCCTTCAATTTGAAGAAAGTAATGCAAGTAATTCTTAGCATCTTAAAATAATTTAAATATTCTAATTTTAAATAATAATCTACAGAGGTTTTCGGCTCTTTTTGTTATTTTCAGATGGAGACATCACAAATGTCTGGGTCAATATCTAGCCTAGAGTGCACACTTACAGAGCAAGCATCTTCTTCATACTACATACTGAAGTCCTCTATGGATGTAGCATTATACTAAATAATCAGCTGTATTTCTTTATATTATAAATAATTTAATACATAGAGCAAGCACTTTCTTCATACTATATACTGAAGTCCTCTATGGATGTAGCATGACACTAAATAATCAGCTGTGTTTCTTTTTTTTTTTGGAGGGGGACGGAGTCTTGCTCTGTCGCCCAGGCTGGAGTGCGGTGGCGGAATCTCGGCTCACTGCAAGATCTGCCTCCCAGGTTCACGCCATTATCCTGCCTCAGCCTCCCGAGTAGCTGGGACTACAGCTGCCTGCCACCACACCCGGCTAATTTTTTGTATTTTTAGTAGAGACGGGGTTTCACTGTGTTAGCCAGGATGGTCTCGATCTCCTGACCTCGTGATCTGCCCGCTTCGGCCTCCCAAAGTGCTGGGATTACAGGCATGAGCCACCGCGTCTGGCCTGTATTTCTTTATATTATAAATAATTTAATACCCATTAGTAATAGGTTTCTTCTGTTTCAAGTGACTAAGGTAATTTCCCACCTATTAGCTATTTCTGTTGACCTCACTTCACCAGAGTTCCTCAATCTAAGTTTAATTTTAGCAATCACAATTCTCTCATCTAATTAACAAAAAAATTGGGCCATTGCCTCAGTGTCTTGCATTCAACCTTATTTTGACTGGCCATTTTCTAATAATGTCTCACACTCTTTTTTACCCCAGTGCTTATAATTGTAGTTTCTGTTCCGTTGAGTTCATTCTCTTTCCCAGCTCTCTTTGCTCTCGTTAATGTTTCTTTCACATTTCTTTTTCTTTTCTTTGTATTTACTTAGTAACCTATTCAAATCCCTTACTGTTACAAACTCTTCAATAATCATCTAGTTGTTTATTCAGGAAAAATTCCTGGAAGTAGATGAGCCAGGCCAACAGTCATGCAAAACACTAAATATTACACATAGATTGACTCCTTGCACATATTACCAGTGATCTCTAGAAAAGTGGCCTGGATTCCCACCCCAATGGCACTTTCCATTCTTGACATGCTTTGTAGACGATTCTTCTGTATTGTGAATCCAAATCCACTTCTCTTTGAATTTGTCTTGGAGCCATAAAATAAGAATAAATTTTTTGGCCAGGCGTGGTGGCTCACGCCTGTAATCCCAGCACTTTGAGAGGCCGAGGCAGGCGGATCACGAGGTCAGGAGTTCCAGACCAGCCTGGCCAACATAGTGAACCCCGTCTCTACTAAAAATACAAAAATTAGCCTGGTGTGGTGGCACGCGTCTGTAGTCCCAGCTACTTGGCAGGCTGAGGTGGGAGAATTGCTTGTACCGGGGAGGTGGAGGTTGCAGTGAGCCGAGACCATGCCATTACACTCCAGCCTGGATGACAGAGTGAGACTCCGTCTCAAAATAAATAAATTAATTAATTAATTAATTTTTTAAAATCTACCTCCCTTTTGTTGATTGTAAAACAACAGGAAATATACCTAATTACTCCTCCACATGGCATTCCTTCAAATGTTTAATGCAAACCATTATTTGCCACTTAAGTCTTCATTTTTCCACCATCGATAGAACTAATTCCTTCAGCTTTTTTTTTACTTTTATTTTAGGTAAGGGGTACATGTGCAGGTTTATTACATAGGCAAATTGCCTGCCAAGGGGATTTGGTGTACAGATTATTTTGTCACTCAGGTAATAAGCGTAACACCCGATAGGCAGCTTTTTGATCTTCACCTTCCTCCCTCCCTCCACCCTCAAGTAGGCCCCAGAGTCTGTTGTTCCCTTGTTTGTGTCCATATGTACTTAATGTTTGGCTTAAGTGAGAATATGCAGTATTTGGCTTTCTGTTCCTGTGTTAGTTCACTTAGAATAATGGCCTCTAGTTCCATCCATGTTGCTGCAAAGGATATAAGTTCATTCTTTTTTATGGCTGCGTAGTATTCCGTGGTGTATATGTACTGCATTTTCTTTATCCAGTCTGTCGTTCATGGGCATTTAGGTTGATTCCATGACTTTGCTATTGTGAATATTGCCTTCAGCAATTCTTTAAGAACAGGACTTTGAGCATCTCATCTGACAAATTGTATCTCATCCCAAGAAAAGCATCCCTCTTAGCTTATGGTGTCATAGCGTGAATATTATTATTTCATTTGGGTCCAGACTTCACAGCATTCAGTGGAACTCTTTGGCCATGAACTTCTATCAAAGTACCAGCTTGTCTGGTAATCATGTCAGGCTGCCTCACACTCAGGTAAAATTTCTAGGACCATTTTTTCACACGAAATCATACTGATAGGTTTCCCCACACTGTACTGCACACTCAGGTGGTTTAACACAATGTAGAGTATTACAATTACATGTATCTGTATTAAATATTATTATATAGATATGAGTGTATTCTAGGCAAGGGCCACTGGTTACTGATGTGCAGCTTGTGCACTACCTAACTCTAGGGAGCTCCACTTACGTTAGTAGTCATCTTACAGTTATTCGTTTATTACTATAATTTTCCAGAAAATGGCAGTAGAATCTTGAGGAAAGAACAACTTGTTTCTAAATCGCTCATCTAAAAGTGTCATTTGAATTACCAAAAAGAATGTTTTCAAAACAATAACAAAATTGGGGAATGCTAAATCTGAGATCCAATATTTTAAATATTTCCCCCACCAATGTATGTATGATATTTTAATACTCATAATTGTATCCAATATCTCATTGTTGAAGTTGGCAATTTTTAAAAGTTCAGAATAGGGCTAGAAAGAAAGACTCTGCTTCTCGCTAGAGACTGTCCTGTTCTTTTTCATGAAATTATTTAGATACCATTTAGGAAAAGTCATTCAACCAGTTATGAATCTCCTATCCAGTCTACATTTTAAAATTTTATTTAAAAGCATATTACTTTGTTACAGGTGTTATTAGGGGGAGGGGTTCATAAACTTAATATGCATTTATTGGGTACATTTTGTAAAATACCTAAGAACATAAAGAAGATAATAGAAATCCCCCAGACATAATCACTGTTAGCAAGTTTGTGTTGTTGTTGTTCTTTGGAAAGACTGATAATATTAATAAACCTCTGAGTAAAGTCACCAAGGAGGGAAAAAAAGAAAGCACAATATAAACACTAACAGAAATGAAAAAAGGGCCGTGGATATATATGCAGTAGATATTAAATCTATCATATGAGCAAAAACAGAAACAAACTTCATACGAGTGCAGGTTGAGTGTGCCTAATTTGAAAATCTCAAATCCTAAATGCTCCAAAATCCAAAACATTTTGAGAGCCAACATGACACTCAAAGGAAATGCTCATTGGAGCATTTTGAATTTCAGATTTTTGGATTGGGGTTGCTGAACCAGTAAGATGGAAACACAACCAGGCATCACTTAATGACGGGAATACCTTCAGAGAAACGCACTGTAAGGTAACTTGGTTGTTGTGTGAACATCATAGAGTTTACTGACACATCCTAGATAGTAGAGCCTCCTACACCCCTCAGCTATGATATAGCCTATTGCTCCTAGATCACAGAATCTTACCGCCTGTTACTGTGCTGAATACTGTAGGCAATTATAACACAATGATAAGTATTTGTGTGCCTAAACATAGAAAAGATACAAATATGGTATTATAATCTTATGGGGCTACTGTCTTACATCCAATCATTATTGACCAAAATGTCGTTTGGCCCATGACCGTGTTCTAAAATCCGAAAAAATCTGAAATTCAAAACCTTTCTGGTTCCAAGCATTTCAGATAAGGAATACTCAACCTGTACCTTGAAAATGTAAGTGTTCAGTTTCCTGGAAAAATAAAGCATTCAAAACTCAGTAAAAACAGAAACCTTGAATATATCCATAACAACTTAAGAAACTGACATATTAAAATTTAAAATTTTAGTTTAAAATTTACTCAGAAAAAGACCAGACCCTATTAATTTTTATAAAACCTGCAAGAAGAGGTAATCCCTGTCGTATAAAAATTCTTCTAGAAATTAGAACAACAACAACAACAAAAAATAAATGCCCAACTAGTTTCAGGATTTAATATAGACTTAAACCAGACAAGGGCCATTTAAGAAAGAAAAATTTAAATGCAATTTCTTTCATGAATCTGACATAAAAATTCTTAATAAACTTAAAAATACAATTAAATAATTAAAAATAATGTAAAATAACATGGCCAGATGACAATTATTTATTAACAAAAAGAAAGGTTAACTTTGGAAAAGATATTCACATAACTCTCAGTGCTTAAAGATTAAAGGATAAAAAGCACATAGGATTGTCTCAATATATGCAGAAAAGGTATTTCCAAATATTCAACAGCCATTAATGATCTAACAAAAAAATTATTATAACAAATTGGGAATAGAAAAAAATTCTTAAAGGGTATATATATGTAGCCAACAGGAACTTCCTGTCATGTTGGATCATTTAAACACTGGCCACAGGTTCTTTTGCCGACATTTCTCTGTTGATTCATGTTAGTCTATAGCACCTCCTTTAGGATCTTCCCCTAGAAAACATGAGGAAACAGTGTTACCCAAATCCTGGCAGGCTCAAAGCTGCCTTTTTCCTTGAGTCTTGATACTGAAGGGGAGCGTTATTAGAGAGAAAATCTTTGACTCCTGCCTTCTAACTTGGTATCTTATGGATCCTGCTCCACTCTTTGCTGAGGTTAGATATTTCTGTGGATAAATCTGATGTCAACTTCATTTTCTCTTCCTTAACTGATTTTTATCTTTTTCCTTGACTGCCTTAAGGATTCTTTTCAAAAATTTTTCTGGGATGTGTCTTTGGGTTGATCATTCTAGACGACTTTGCACTGATACAATGGATATCTTTTTCATAAGTAGATTTAAGGCTTTTTTATTTTAGAAAAGTTTTATTGAATTATATTTTAAAGTAATTATTCTATTCCATTGTTTTGGCTTTCTTCTTCTGAGATCACAGCTATGCATATGATGGCTCTCCTTTGCCATATTCGATACATGTCCTTTTCTCTCTAATCCTTCTTTATCTTTTTTGCCTCTGTATAATTTACTTGCATTTTCACTTTTTATCTTTTATGTCCCTTCCTTTACCTTCCTTTCCTTCAATTCCGCCAGTTCCCATTTGACATCCTCCAGCAGTGTACCAGTAACCTCCTGTTTTCTTCTCATTTCTTCCCTGAGTTCTTACAACTCTGCTTTGTGATCTTCTTTTATAGCTATAACTGCTTCATTAATTATTGGTTTAATTAATAACAATGTTGGGTTATGCTTTTAATCTTTTTTGTGACAACATATATTTCAGTTGAGTTTTCATTATTTACAAGAAATTCCTGACTGGTCTTCTTCATGTTTCTTTTATTTTTTTACTTTTAAACTTTTATTTTAGGTTCAGGATATTGTGCAGGTTTGTTATATAGGTAAATTCATGTCATAGGCCATATTTCTTATCATATCTGTATGTGTATTACTTGTATATTACTCCTATTTGAATGAGTTGAATTTTCCTAGGAAATCAAAAGAATGTTCCTGTAGAGGGAATGATGGGCAGTAGTTTTCCAAGCATCAAAGGCTTCCTTTGCTGCTGCTACAATTGTTTCTTCATAATATGATCCATCTATATAGTCACACATCATCTGACTCAGAACCAAACCTAGTTCTGTTCTTCCTCAATTACTTCATGGATCACTTCACAGGCTGCCTGTCACATGGGAACACAAATGATGCCGTCACTTTCAGTAACACTTTTAGAATTTTCCTGGCCCTAATGAGATTTGCCATTTACCCTCCACCTGCTGCGTAAATTTCAGTCTTTTCTGCAGCACTTTCCTCTTGGATTAAGGCCCTTACTTTTGGGGAGTGGATATTCAACAGAGATTTCTGAGTTCTGCTATATCTAGAACCCCTTCATACCTCCCACTTACCTACCACAGTATTAAGACTTTTCTCCTTGGCTTTCTGCCTGACTCTGACTTTGGAGTCTGTGGATTTTCTGCTGGTTTTGCTGAAAATGTAATTTGTGGGTGTTTCTTTTCATTTTGTTGTATTGTTGTTTTGTTGTTTGGAATAGATTCCAGGAGAAGTGAGAAAATTCAGCTCCTGTGAAAACCAGTCCTGTTACCATTTAGAAATCTTTTTCTCCTGTTTTTTTTCTATAAAGATGATTTTTTATAAGAAATCTCAGTGTGTGTGTTTACCTATCAACCAAGTTAATCTTCAAAAATAAAAAATAAAAATAAAGCACAGTCAGCTTAGCATACTACTTCTTTGTAAATGTGGGTTGCTTCTTTAAGCACTCACGGACCTTCCATTTAACAGCCTGTTCTAGGATGATGCTGAGGTATAAAGTCAAGCCTATCATGCTACTATATACAGAACATATTTCTTTAAAGCTTCAAAAGTCTTGTCTATCTTCAGTGTTTTGCCACCACCGTTTCTTTTAACAATCTTTAAGAATGCCCAGGTTGATTTTGGGGGCCCTACCAAAAGTTCTTTGTGTTATAATTTGTCAAGCACAAAAATTCGAGCTTAATATTTTTAGGTGTGTCCTCTTTTTAAAAAGAAAAATGTCTTCATTGGGAAAATTAAATCATTCATCTAATGGATCTTATAATATTTTAAATCGACATCCCACATGCTAATTTTTTTTTTGAGATGGAGTCTTGCTCTGTCACCCAGACTAGAGTGCAGTGACACAATCTCAGCTCACTGCAACCTCTGCCTCACTAGGTTCAAGTGATTCTCCTGCCTCAGCCTCCCGAGTAGCTGGGATTACAAGCAGCCACCACAATGCCTGGCTAATTTTTGTATTTTTAGTAGAGATTTTTGTATTTTAATTTTTGTCTTGTTAGTTTCACCACGTTGGCCAGGCTGCTCTTGAACTCCTGACTTGAAGTGATCCGCCCACCTCAGCCTCCCAAAGTGCTGGGATTACAGACGTGAGCCACTGCACCTGGCCTCAACATCCCACATGCTAATTTTCTAAGCAGAATGTATGTGTTTGACTAATATTGAATCTTCATGCCTTAATGGCATCACAGTGTTATTGGCCAGAGAAAGATATAGAAAGGTCAGATTTATAAACAAGACCACTAGTACTAACACTCTATATAAAACACTTGGTTTCAAGTGTTTTGCTAATCGCAGTTAATGCTGTCATTACCCTCTCAGCACAGCCTAGCAATTTAAGAGCTCTGTCATTCATTCATTCAAAAATATTTATTAAATGCCTACTATCACTAGGCCCCGAGTAGAGGCAAAGGATAACAAGATGATCAGAAACATATATGATTGCTGCTCTTGCGCTCCCATTGTTCAGTGGTGAGATAAACATTCTCAAATCAATCACACAAATGAATGTCAGTTTACTACCATGGTAAGGGCTGCTGTTGAACTATTCTGGGAGCTCTGCCCTGGTTCTCTGGCAGTGAAATGTCTGCAATCAGGGCTGTCCCTTTCTTCATTGGGAGAAATGATAGCAGAATTCAACTTTCCACTGGACTAGGGCCCTATGGAGTCTAGGGCATGCGGAATTGGTATTTCTTAGCACTCCCCTATGCATCTAGTACCTGAGATCTTCTGTAGTGTCCTTGATCTCAAAGTGTTTATTTCCTGCCTCCCTCCATGCAATGCACCCCTCATACTCATCCTATTAGAAGGGTGGCTAGCAGAGAGTCAGTTCTCTCCACAGTGAATTTAACAAAGAGACTCAACCTTAGGTGAGTCTCTTTGAAGATACTAAGAGTGTAGTGACCCATGCACCTTTTGAGCCTTCTGCTCATAAGTAAAGTTGATCCCAAATGATCACTTGGCTCAATACCTACAGAAGAGATTAGATAATCGCATATTGACTTGAGATGTTCAGCAAAGCATGCCCTATGAAGTAAGACTGGGATGAGGTCTGAAGAAAATCTAGACTTAATCAGACAATGAGCCAAGGGAATCATGCCTCCAGTAGAGGGAAGAGCGTTTGCAAAGGCAGAAAGAAACAAAAGGGTGAGAAATGAATCCAGCACGGCTGGATCACCAAGATAGTGCTAGATAAGTCTGGAAAGATGCAGGACCATGTCACAGGGCCCCAGAGGTCACGTTTAACATTTGAATCTTTATATCCTTGCTAGTGTTGGGGGGAGGAGCAAAGAAAGCTAATATCTACTTTGCCCTCTGAAAACATCCTTTTGGATGGAGTGGAAGGAGAAGGACAGTGGAAGAGGAGAATCGGTTAGAAGACAAATGTAATATCCAGGTGCAAGAAAATGGTTACTGGGACTAGGATGGTGACAGTGATATTGGGGTAAGTGGGTGGTTTCCGGAGATTCCAAATCAATATCTCTTGGTGATATGGCAGGAGAGGGAAGTGTCCAAAAAGAGTACCCAGGTTTCTGACCTGCGTAGAAGACAGTTGTTCCATTCACTGAAGTACAGAACTCTACAGGAGCCCAGTACTTTTACTGCTGGGGTGGAGATGGGGGCGGGAGAGTTTGGTTTTGAAGGTGCTATGTATGCAGCACTTTGAAGTATCTAAGTGAAGTTGGCAGGTACCTGACTCTCACATGGGAGTTCTGGAACAAAAATATAAATGCATGAGTCATCTGCATAGAAGAGGTTTTGCTGGAGTTCAAATTTCTCTTTACCATGCGTCTTCTCCCTTTTAAAATTTGAAGATCATGTCCTCTGATAGAGAAAATAGTAGAAAAATAAAAGTGTGAGAGTTTGATATTTGTCCTTCTCCTCCCTCCTCCCTACTGCTCCTCCTCCTCTTCCTCCTCTTTCATTATCATCTGTTCACATTGTACCATCTGGAACAAGCCTTGGGATTTTCCTCATTCTATTCATTCTAAGCCATCTCTTTTAAAAAGTCTTTTTTGTGTTTACTGTCCTTGGCTTTTTTTTTTTTTTTTTTTTTTTTTTTTTTTGAGACGGGGCCTTGCTCCATCATCCAGGCTGGAGTGCAATGGCACGATCATGACTCACTGCAGCTTCAAACACCTGAGCTCAAAGGATCCTCCCACCTCAGCTTCCTAATCAGCTGGGACTACTTGCATGCTAATTTTACCTGGTTAATTTTTTTATTTTCTGTAGAGACAGGGTCCCACTCTGTTGCCCAGGGAGGTCTCAAACATCTCAGCTTCCCAAAATGTTGGGATTACAGAAGTGAGACACCGTGCCTGGCCCTTGTCTCTTTTTAAAATTCACAAACCTCATTTCATTCTGGGCTTTAGCCCTTTTGGGGCACTTTGTGTAGGCACTTATCACTTACCTGTGTTCTTTCTTGATTGTGAACCCATCTCTCATGTTTAAAACAGGTTTCTTTCATTGGAATACTTCAAAACCCTCATTGTGCAATTCTTTTGGTTTCTTTCTAGGCTTCCTTTATTCTCGTCTGGATCATTTGGTAGGATGTTGCTATAATTACGTTTGGTGATCCTACCTTCCCCTGAATTGCCTGCCCTTTCATGCTCTTGATCAAACACAGCTCTCCCCCTCATCTTATTCTCCTCTGTCTTCCTCTTCCTCCTTCTTTTATTCCTCCCCTTCATCTTTATTCTCTTCTTCCTCTTCTTCCTAGTCCTCCTCTTTTTCCTGGTGCTCTTACTCTTGCAGATTTGGAGATTTGTTTTCTTGCTGAAAATTAGCCATGATAAAACACCGGCACAGGTGGTTCTTGAGATACGTCTGCAGCCTTCTAGTCTTCAAGAGCATCCCACATTTGGGGTCATCCTTTCTCTTCCCCAACCTCTCCCTATCTGCCTTGTGTAGAATGTGTTATATAAAACTCATTCATATAATTATAAACATATGACAACGTTCTTTTGGCAAATTAATAATTTTATAACATCTCTTTTTTTCAGAAACAGGATTTATTTTCTTAGGCCAATGCTATCCTGATACCAAAACAAGAAAAAGATATTACAAGAAAAGAAATTTACTGACCTAGCTTCCTTATAAAATAGACATGCAAGCCCTTTAACAAATTGAATACATCAATATATTTAAAAGATCATATATCATGAGCAAGCAAATGTTATCTTAGGGATGTAAAGTTAATTTAACATTCACAAATCAATGTAATGCATCATGTTAAAATAAATTTTATTGTGATATTATTTACCCATTTAAAGTAGACAATTTAATGGGTTTAATGTGTTCACAATTGTGCAACCATCACCAAGATCTAAGATAAAAATATTTTCTTCACTCCAATAAGGAATCCTGTACCTGTTAGCAATCACTTCCTGGTCCCCCTACCCCAGGTCCAGGGCAACCACTAGTCTACTTTTCTGTCCCTATAGATTCTGCCTTTTCTGGACATTTCATATAAATAGAATATTGTAATATGTGATCTTTTGAGACTGGCCTCTTTCAATTATCATACTATTTTTAAGATTTATCCATGTTATAGCAGGTATCAATATTTCATTTCTTTTCATTCCAAATAATGTTTTATTGTATGGATATACTACACTTTTAATCCTTTCATCAGTTAGTGGATACAAGGGTTGTTTCCACTTTTTGACTATTGTGAATAATGGTGCTGTGAACATTTGTGTACAAGTGTTTGTGTGGACATTTGCTTTCATTTCTCCTGGTATATGCCTAAAAGCGTGATTGCTGGGTCATATGGTGACACTATACTTAACACTTTGAAACAAACCAATCATTTAATTATAATTTTCCTTATCATTTCTTATTAAATGCACCTGTGCTTTTATTAATTCAGTAGAGGAAAGTTTTAGGGTTTGGTTTTGTATGGTGACGAAGAAAGGAAAGGTGTAAGTCTTTGCTCTACTGAAATTGTATTGTCCTTGTCTATTGATAACCTAAAAGTGATCTTGCTGATGTGGTTGCAGATTGCACTCAGTAAAGCTGGATTTTAGTAAATGCTGCCCACTTAAAACTTATAAAGTGAAATACTTGGAAGAGGACGCTGCAACAGTTCCTTTGCCCCATCCCGAAATGAGACACACACACACACACACACACACACACACACACACACCACACTTTCAATAAGATTTTCTGGGATGTTTCTCTATGGAAGTCAATTTTTTAAAAAATGAAAAGTGTTTGCCAAGAGGTTTCTACAACACGTTTAATTCTTTTGAAGAAAATGAATGAATTGTTGAGAAGTATTACTTAATTTTTCTCTAAAAGAGAATTTGATATCTCAAGGATGGAAATCTATTGTTATTTTACTCCTTAAAATCTCTCTGTTTGTTAGCTGACTGAATGTTCTATCCAATTTGTGCATGTGCACACTTCAACATTGTAAAAGGCATCTGTCTTTCCATCACTAGTCAGACAATCAGGCATGCTTCTTTTAGCAAGCTGCAAGGATCGTTCCCTGATGGGGACTTCCATTTGACAGAATATACGTTACCCCCTATATGGGCTGCAAAGTGATCAATAGCCCAGAATTTACTGAGATAATGAAAGATAGCAATATGATTTTGCTGGGACAGTGAGCATGCCAGACTCTGTAAGTACAACTGCTATGCAAAATTGCACAGGCTGAAAAATCTGCACTAAGTATTCACTTAAGTGTTATTCTTCAGCTATAGGGTTTTATTTCATTAAGTATCTTTATATGAATGAAAATGTAAAGTTGCAAATCTTGAGTTGTGAGCCATGACCAACCACTCTCCCCCCACCCCCAAGTCCTGTGTTTACTGCCTCACTCAACCACTTAGAATCGGCAAATCATAGAGAGAAGCTAAATGCTCTCAGCTGCACTATACCAAATCAAAGCTGAGATGAATAATGAACTTAATTTTCCATAAAGACATTCTGTTTGGCATTCCAGCTAATAAGGTAAGCTAATAGCAATTCTGGGCTATGGAAAGGAAAATAAATCGTTTCTTTGTGCTTGATTTCTGTGCTAATCTATCATCTTTCTTTTAACATACTGGAGTTAATTTCATGTTTCATGATGTCTGTGAACTGGGGATGAACAATTTTATAAAGAGTAGCCCCAACATACCCTTTTCCTCTGATTTGGTTGCTTATGGTACTTGCAGGGCTAAGGGAGAAATCCAGCTTTTTAATAAGAATGAAATGTGTATATTAATATTTTTATCATCTATAGTATGGAGTGAATTTAGTTAAACAGCAGAATATTTAGATGCAGCAAAGACAGGCTAAATTACTTAAGCACTGATTGTTGAATATATTTACTATGATATAGTGTAAATTGATGTTGAATTTGCTCTAAGCTGCAAAGAAAAGCAGAATACGTACATCATGTTGATTTCTGAATCATTTCATTTCTAAGTACATGTTATTCTAGAGAAGGTAGTAATTTTCAATTGCTAAAATTATTCCACAGCTTCAGTTTAGGTGAGTTTTATTTTGTAAAATTGGATTTTTAAAATAACAGCGTGCTGGTAATGTGAATTTTTGTTATTACTTTTTTGATTCACCATGGCGGCAATGATTTTGGTTCATGTGGAAAATGTACTTGTCCACTAAGTTTATGGAATTAGAAACCATCAGCTCTCTCTGAGACTTCTATTGCTACCTTGGTTACTCTATCTCAAAAACAAGAAGTGATGAGGCACTTACTAGGATGGCTTCACTTTTTTGTGATATAGCTTTTTGGTGTTTAATACGGGGATTTTGATTTTCATCAGATGGTAGCAGAAATTCCTGAAACTAGCAAAGGCTTAGCAAGCTGGGGAAGAAATTATCATATTTTTCTTTTCTAGCAAAATGACAAAAATGGAAATTATAACTAAGATTTATGTTTTCAGACATTCGGGCTTGCTGCCATGTCACCTGAAAAATCAGAGACTTTAGGTTCACAAAGTAGGTGACCTCAAAAGATATTTCAGAAGGTCTATTCAAAAACAGCCAAAGCATGTGGGAAATATTGGAGAAATAGAAAATGTTCCTCCTATTCCTACTGTCTCATCTTTGTATTCTGTTTTTATGCACGGGAGACGAGCTGTGGGCACAGGTGTTTTTGTTTCATGGAAGCCTTTAAACACCACAATCAGACTTTTATAGATAAAGAAGAACATTTATTTCATTCCTTGAAATTGTTCACATTTCATATGTCTTTCCTAGAAGTATAAACAGGATGCTGAGAGCTTGAGCACAAGTATTTAGCTACCACATATAACTTACTTCCACCCAAAATATCGTCGATGGTTCACCTAAAATTTTTAGGCATTTCTCTTGAAATGCCTGTAATTTACTAAGTCATCAAGAAGTAGGAATGTGGAATGGAATTTCAGTCTATCACAGTTAATTTTTAACAACAATAAGACAGACATATGTTACCTATTTATACTTAAATGTTTGATTTCATGGCTATTCTGTCTTTGTAAAACTATATTGGAGGCTCAAACGTGGTGCATTGTTTTGGATTTGAAAGGTGTTCATTTTGTTTTCTTCTTTTCTTCCTTTCTCTCTCACCCCTCATCGCTCCAGAGCATGCTGGGCTGCCCCGTGCACTGTTATGCTTATTTAATTCTGCTATTTTTCTCATTTCATGTCTCCCCAATATTACTAATTCAGAACCTATAGATTGATCTATGTTCAATTTAAAGCTGGCAGAAACAAACTAGGAAACAAATTTTTGTAACCACCGCAATGTTGTCTTCTATTTCCTGCCATTTGTACAATAAGAAGATTTTTATACCAGCAGAGCTTTTTATCCGCAATTGCTACATAAAACCAACTTGAGGGTGAAAATGTGCAAGGCTCTTTGGCCAGCATCAGCTTCATGATCTTTTGTCTGTAGTGGTCAACCCATGCATGCTGGGAGATAAGATGCAAAGTTGTTAGCCCTTGAAGGTATTTTTAGCAATGCCAAATGCAAGGCATGTGTTATTTACAAACTCACATATTAGCTCTGTGTTAGTTAATTAATAGAGAATATCTAGAGAAAGAAGCACCCCCACCTTCCCTATATACACACACACATCAAAGGCCACAGAGCAGGTACCAGCTGAGGACAGTGGTGACTGAGGCAGCAGCATCAGTACAGATGGCCCACAGTCATAAGAAGTTCTTGGCACCATTGCAAAAAGGCCTGACAGAAGGCAGCAAACAGATTTGTTCCCAAATACACGTGAAGCTCATCCTTGTGGACAATCAGAATTAACTGGGCGAGGAACAAAGATGAGAGAGAACTAAAGTATCACTGGACTTGGTTATTACTGTTAATATGACCTCATCTATTCTCACAGGTTGGGGTACACAAAGATATCGAGGTTACAAAAATAAAGGCATGACACAAAAACCTATCATGTCAAAAACTGCACTCAGTATCTTCCCAAGAGCCTGCTACCCCATGTTTCCTACCCCTGTAAATGGCACCACTATCTATGCTTTTTTTTAACGCTGAAACATGGGGCCAATCTTGATACCTCTCTCTATCTCACCCTCGTGTCTCTCCTCTAAGGCAGACTCATAAAAGTTAGTTGAATGAATGAATGAGTGGAAAAAAAAAAAAACACCAAATCTTATTTCTGTCCACTTCTCGCCATTCCTTTTGCCACGATCCCAGTTAAACCTCCATCATTTCTCAGCTAGACTATTGTAAATATCTCCTAGTGGTCTTCCTGCCTCTAGTTTCTCCTAAATCCAGTTCATCCTGCACATTATAGCCCAAATGATCTTTCTAAAATACAGATAAAATCATTAAATCTTCTGCTTAAAAATCCTTCACTGGTTCCTCTTTACCCTTGGGATAAAGTCCAAACTTTTAAACATGACTTAGAGAGTATGATGTAGCTGGGGACCTTTTTCCTTCACAATCTCATTTCCTAACACTCCCTCTGTCCACTCTGCATTTCAGCCATACTGGTCTGCTTTTCTCTTTCTTAGCAGTGCCATGTTCTCTTGCCCAGGACCTTTGCATGAGCTGCTTCCTCCTTTGTCTCTTCTGCCTGCCTACAACCCCCTCCACCCCTCACCCCCCACCCCTGCCAAACTCCTCTCTTCCCTACTTAACCTCTTCCCAACTTTCCAGTCTCATCTAAGATAATGTTTCCTCCTGGAAGCCTTCTCTGACTGGCCAAGTTTAAGTGAGGTATCCTCTCCCAATATGCTCTCATAGCACCCATCATTTCCTTATCATGCTTCTTCTATCTTAGGTAGGATTGCCTGTTTTCTTGTTTGACTCTTCCACTAGATCGTTTCATGAAAGAACATAGCTGGTCTCTTATTCATAGTTGTGGCCCGTGATCCAGCACCATGCCTGGCACAGAGTGAATTCTCTCTGAATGCACTAGTAGCTAGCTGGACTCTTTAACAAGCTGTATTACCTTTTGTCTTGCTGAGGTTGCAGAAACCAGATGCAATGATTTTTTATGCTACTCATTCCTGCAAAGTACTGTGCTAAGGTGGTTCATATAATTTCCTTAATCTTCGTGTTGTTGTTCCCATTTTGTAAATGAAAGAACTGAGGCTCAAGTTGTCATGTATGATGCTGATATTAAGGAATGGGACCCTCAGTCTGTTTGACTCCAGGGACCAGTTCTTTCTATTTTCCACGTGATTTACTGCCTCCTTAGAATAAAAGAAAAAGTTTATTCTTAAAAATGTATAAGGATCATTTTTTAAATCCTTAATTTCTCACTGCCTGCCAGTGTTCATTTGCCTTCTGATCTCCAATAGTCAGCCCTGAGTGTATTTTTCCCTTAAATTAAACTGAAAGTACTTCCCTTTGTGCTGTATTCTTTATTCTCAAGCTTTCTTCTTCAAGCCTTATGTCTACAGGAGTTTTCAGCCTTTCTCACTTTCTCTACAGAGAAAGTAGCTGGGCCTTACATTTCTGTTTCATTTCCATTGTCCTTTTAAACAGGCATTATTTTCCTGGACCTGCTCTGTGATTACTGTTTCCATAGCACTTTGCCTGAACTCAGTTGGCCCTTCATGTTCTTCAACCGTAGCCTGATGTCAGACTACTTAGGGGGGCTTCCACTGGTATTTCACTGGGGAAGCAAACTGCTACTTGTTACCACTTAACCAGTTAATTAGCTATGCTCTTTGTGGAAGAAATATCTACAAGTACAGCTAGAGAAGAGACATGTGCAGTTTCTGGGAAATTTTCCATTTTGTGTTGACCATGAGAGTTTTTAGGTTCCTTTAATTCAAACCAGAACACAGACGCACACAGTCAGCTGGAAAATGTGAGAGGCAACAGGGTGTTCCGTGAATGAGTGACAGCTTTCCAGTTGAACAGACCTAGATTTGAATGCTCTTTCTACCACTTCTCTGTCTATATGACTTTACTAAATTACTAAAGCTTTCTGTGCCTCAACTGCTTCATCTGTAAAATGGAGATAATGATGGTGCCTATCATAAAATAATGCCTGGCACAGAGTAAGTACTCGATTAACAATGGTGTTAGTGTGGGTGGTCGTAGTTAGTGGAATAGAGGCTCCAGATGGGGCCACACTCTAATCTCAGGAAACTGAGGATGTTACCTTATGTGGAAAAGATGACTTTGCAGATGTGATTACATTAAGGATCTTAAGGTGGGAGATTGTCTTGGATTATCTGGGTGGGCTCTAAATGTAATCACAAGTGTTCTTTTAAGAAGGAAGCAGAGGGAGACTATGTGGCCGTGGAAGCGGAGAGAGATTTGAAGATGCTTTGCTCTTGGTTGTGAAGATGGAGAAAGGGACCATGGGACAAGGGGAAAAGGCAGGGAAATGGATTCTCCCCTCGAGCCTCCAGAGGACGCCCAGCTCTGCTATCTTGGTTTCAGCTCAGTGAAACTATTTTGGACTTCTGGCCTCCACAACTGTAAGAGATTAAATATGAGATTTTTTAAGCCACTGGGTTTATGGTAATTTGATGCAACAGCCAAAAGAATATAGTGGTGATATTTTGGGAAATGAAACATGGCTCCAAATGAGCTGATAAAGAGGAATAAGATGTTAATATAAAAAAGATGATATTACAGGGTTAAATGTGGAGTAGAGAGGCCCTCTAAATATTATATGTGTGCCTAAATACGTGGTCAGAGGAATTGCAACGCTGGCGCTAGAGGAAGTCTAGAAAGAGAGGGTTTTGAAGGAGTAAAGCCATTTGTGGGGCTTTAGACATAAAGAGAAGTGAGGTCTCCTTGAGAAGGGAGGTGATGCCTGGTGATTCAGGGTGGGGCTGACAGCCAGGGTGTCTGAGCAGATGGCGGAATGTCCTGTTCAGAAGAGAGTGATCAGCTCAGAATAAAGGCTGGTTTGAGGAATTTCCCTGGGCAACCAGGCATGAATCTTAGAAAAGAGGAGGTGTGTCCCAGAAACAAAAGGAGCTGTTTTCTATTGTTCTCAGTGCCATGTTGGTGATAGAAAGAGGCTGTTCAAGAAAATACATTCTGAAAAAGACCTCCTGGGTCTTTAAAACAAGTACAGACTATTAGCACAAGCTGAATACCTTCAACAGAATCTGTTTCTAGCAGTACCCTGAGAGGCCCTAGGTCCGAAGTGAAGCTTGCTGCTTCCCATGAGTATATATAGTGCCTGTTTATGTGCTCATGTTTCTGTTCCCACTTCTGTACTGCCCTCCTCTCTTCTCTTTGCCCAGTTGCCAAAGTCTTTCCCATCACTCAAGTCCCAAGACAAGTATAACCTCCTTAAACTAGCTCCCATGCTACCAATGCCTACGTGTGGATTTTCTAGTGATTTTCACACTTTGCTGACACCAAGTTTGAGGGCTTGTTGCTCCCTCCCCTCCAATAATTCTACCTGTCCCCCAATAGACAGTAGACCCCCTAGAGACAAATATAAGTCTATTGATTTTATTGATTCTTGTGGTTTCTACTCGCACAGTGCTTGGCACACAGGAAGCATTCGATAAATGTGAATGAGTGGATTGATGAATTAATTCATTAATTGTACCCTGTGGGCATAGTTATCATAAGATAAAGAGAATAATGAAGTTCATGAATCCCAGGATCAGTGTCTAAAGAAAATAAGCCCTTCCACCTTAACCTCTCAAAAGCAAGAAATTATAAAAGCACGTAATAGAGCTGCTTCATGCATGAAATAGACATTAATTTCATTATCATCTATTTAGTAGTTCAATATCTAAGATAAAATTTAGGAACAAGTTTTCTTCACTCCCAGATCTAATTTGCCATCTCTTTTATGACATGATTTTTTTTTAACCAAAGCAGGCTATGAAAGGAGAATAACAAAATACCATGTGAAATGCATGCTAATTTATTTTCAAGTACAGTAAAACCAGAGTTTGGTTTTTGCCTGGTGTATTGCACATTTGAGGAAAATTTTCTAAGATTAACAATTATTTTCTTTGAAAAGATAAATGTGTCATGTTTAATGCAAAATTTATAAATGGATGCAACAATTATCTTTTTATTAAATAGTAAAAGTAATGGTAAAGCATCATGTTCACATTTGAAACATAAATCATCTTAGATGAATTAAATATATCACTAATGAGTTATCAAGTGATTAAATGTCTACAGCATATATCCACAACAAGCAGTTCACAACCTGGCTCTAAGAGTTTACTCATTGCTGTAAGCACAAAAGAGTGCTGCTCTCTATCAAATAGAGTGCTTTCAGGGGAGAGTGAAATCCTTCACTTTTAAGCATGTAGTTTTGAACTTTTTGTGTATGCAAGGGACAATGCCAGGCACTATCAGAGATACAAATATGTGTAGCAACCATGCCCAGTTACGATGCTTTACCACTGCTGAGAATTTCTAGTCATATTTACACATAAACCATACAACAGAATATTTCTTAACA
Source organism: Homo sapiens (assembly GCF_000001405.40). Classification (NCBI taxonomy): domain Eukaryota; kingdom Metazoa; phylum Chordata; class Mammalia; order Primates; family Hominidae; genus Homo; species Homo sapiens. The sequence goes on along the minus strand of NC_000018.10, from coordinate 3,838,314 downwards.
ACTGAAAGAATCTGATTAGCTTGACTAAACTTGGGAAAGAACAATTGACATTTTGATATTTCCTTAGCTCAACTGGACTAGTTACATTTTTACTAACTTCAAATACTTTATGATCAAGCCCTGTGCATGTGGTATGAGGGTAATCTTAGATGAAAACATCAGGAAAACTCAATTCTTTCATTCACTAACTGAAGCTCCCCTTTTTCCACAGACAGTTGACTATTATTCTAAAATTGTCTCTGCCTTCTATTTCTCTCTTCTCCCCATTGTTGAATTCTGTGGCTCCATCCCAATCTATATTTTTTTTAATTACTAAGACATTAGATGCCATCCATTAGTAATATACTGGTTTTTAAAAAATGGTTCTTTTCCAAACTATCATAAAATCAAGAGAGAGAAATGTGTACAATTTGCATTTATCCTTGTCCCTGACTTTTTTTTTTTTTTTTTTTTTTTTTTTTTTTTGACAGAATCTCACTCTGTCGCCCAGGCTGGAGTGCAGTGGCTTGATCTTGGCTCACTGCAACCTCCGTCTCCCAGGTTCAAGCAATTCTCGTGCCTTAGCCCCCCAAATAGCTGGCTTTACAGGCACACACCACCACGCCCAGCTAATTTTTTTTGTATTTTTAGTAGAGACGGGGTTTCACCATGTTGCCCAGGCTGGTCTCAAACTCCCGAGCTCAGGCAATCTACCAACCTCGGCCTCCCGAAGTGCTAGAATTACAGGCATGAGCCACTGCGCCCAGCCTTTGTCCATAACATTTACAATCTGGGTTACTTTGCTTTCTCAAAGTGAAATTATCAATTATGTCTATCTTTTTAAAAATTTAGTATTGTTTCAAGTTTTGTTTATGAAAAGAAAGAGCCTACATCTATATAAAGTGTAGGATTTATAATATCCATTGCTGCATAAATTAATATATTTACAGCTGAGTCTAAAACCATATACAAATAGAACTGGAAGGATCTGAAAGGGGGCCATATGCCTAATATCACATTTCTAAATGCTTCCTTTTTATAGAAAATAAACTCTAAATTATTGAGGAAGGAAAGCTAATTCATCATAATGGAGGTTTAAACATAAAAGGAAAAGAAGAAAGAAAATAACATATGCTTGGATTTCAAAATCCTGTTACATCATAGCACCCAAAATTGGAAGGAAGATAGAAAACACATCTTGAAAGCCTATTTCGCAGGCTTGGCTCCACCTCACAAAATCCCTGTGCCATTTTCTTAACAAACTTCTTTACATGTAGCAGTTGGATCTAATGAGAGGCTAAATCTTGCCTTTGTGTTAGAAATTGATTTATTTTTTTCCCTCGTTCTGAGTTCTCCTGTAGCCAGCCCCAGAACTCAAGAGCCTGCTTCATTGTTCATCATTTGTATTTATCACTTTTACAGACTGCCACAGGGTGCTCAGAAATCTACCACGCTCTTCAAAAGAAAACACAAAATCCCTGCTCTTCGCAGGGGACCAGCCCATTAAAAGCATTGGCAGAATCTAAGAAAAGAAAGCTGCAGTCGTGATAAAACAACGCATCCGGTAGGAGGGCCACTTAGGCTACCTCTGAGAGGTGGATTCTGAGGGGAGATGGAAAAATGTGTGGCTGAGAACACTTGCTCCCTCTTCACCTCACCACCCTTGCGATGCCTTTAGGTCAGCGGCTACCTCAGAGCAGGAGCAGGTGGCAAGCCCAACATGGAACAAGCCAGGTATTCAAGTCACATCCTAGGAGGGTCGAAAAGTGCAATTCCTCCTCAGTGGACAAATCTCATCCACCTGCGACGTGTGTGACAGTATTCAGGGTGAGGAAAACATTTGACAAAGGAAGAAAAAAAATCTAATCCCATTACCTTTGATGAGTGCTCAGAGGAAACTCCTATAAAAACTGAAGATTAAAATGTTGCATAGTGATGGCATATACCCATGCCCTCACACAGACCTCATTTCCTCTTTCATATTACCCGATAAATGCACTTTTCTCCTAAAGTGTATTTTTTTAATAAATAAAATCAGTAAGATCCTAAGATAGGTGTACTATTCTGAGTAGGAAAGTGATGTGTTTGCTTTCATTTCCTCCTGGTGTCATCATCCTTTGCCATCAGCAATGCTACCAAGATTGGAACACTGATTTGAATATTTCATACTTTAATTGACTATCGTTCTCCTGTATACCTACCCAGTTTGCAATTTCAGGTGACAGTATATTTTCAGCTTAACTTATGTTAATTCTTATCTTGAACTCTGTGGAATCGTATGACAGCAGGTTTAGGGCTAATATTAATCACTTCTCATTTTTGGCAGGTTGCTATAATTATTAAATAGGTATATAAGGTCAAGTTAAATATAGTCAACATCAACTTTATATTTGTTTTATAACAACTGTGCCTCCCACATAGCAGACACACAATAAATAATTGATAAAAGAATGATGGCGATGGCGGGGAGGCACTACATAATTGGAAGGGAGAAGGGAGAGAAAAATCTTCCTATGCTATTATTGGAAACTTTCCAACCATGTTTATGTTTCCATTAAATTAATTATAATCATCAAATAATGAAACTTATGTGGGATGCCCTCATATATGCAATGATTGTGACTGGTTACAGAAGAGCTATAGCTTTTATGTTAGAAAGGAGGATATTTTCTTTTTTTTTTTTTTTTTGAGACGGAGCCTTGCTCTGTTGCCACACTGGAGTGCAATGACGCGATCTTGGCTCACCGCAACTTCCACTTCCCAGATTCAAGCGATTCTCCTGCCTCAGCCTCCCAAGTAGCTGGAACTACAGTCGCGCGCCACCACGCCCAGCTAATTTTTTGTGTTTTTAGTAGAGACAGGGTTTCACCGTGTTACCCAGGATGGTCTTGATCTCCTGACTTCATGATCTGCCCCCTCAGCCTCCCAAAGTGCTGGGATTACAGGCGTGAGCCACCACGCCTGGCCAGAAAGGAGGATATTTTCTATGAAGCACTCATTCTATAAAAACTTGCCATTCTTATATAATGTAAATGGTAAATATGGCATTAGTGTTCTGCTTCTTTCTCCAAAGGGTATTTTTTTAAAGAACCCACAAATGTCATCTCATCTATTTTTAAGTATAGGGCTGCTGGATAAACAGCTAAATCATCTAAACCCAATGGGAAAATTCAAAGTTTAAATAAGCTATTTTATCTCATTGAAAATAAGTGGTACAGACTGACACAGGCCATATGGGTTTTTGCATACAGTTACATGTAAATTTTCTTAACTTTGAATATAAAATTCTGGTTGAAGCTGAAGAAATGGAAAAGCAAAATATAATCTGTAATGACGATTCTTTGAAGATTCTAATTTCTGATTCTGTGGTCCAAGTTTCATCAATTTCCAGTCAAAGCCTGTTCCTTAGGTTATCGTGTACATAATGGAGTTGTATCTTTAAGGTGAGATAATGTAAAGACAACACAAATTCTAAAATGCAGATCTCCAGTGGTCGTACATTTGGGGTTCTTTCACAGAATTCATTTTTTAATAAAAGTTACATATGCTAATTGTGAAAAAAATTCAAATAGTACAGATTGATACAGGGTTAAAAGTAAAAGCTCCCTCCCCCACCGTGTTCCAGTCTTATTTAACCAAAGGCAGCCATCACTGTTACCATTTTAACATTCGCCTTCTGCTATTTTCTACATATAGTCAAACATACAAATATGTATATGTGTACGTACACATTCACCTATGTACATATATTTGATTATATGGAGTGTCCATTCATTTGGCAAATGTTTAATGCTCATCTACTGTGTGCCAAGCTCACTTCCAGACACCGGGAACACAGGATTGAATCAAATCAAAACTCTTTCTTTAATGAAGCTACTTTGTACTATATTAACATCACATGTTAAAGAACTAGTATATTAGCAATACATATTGGGGAACAGTATTCACTACCATGCATTTTGCTTTTACAACCAGTGCTATGATTAATCATCTATTACATAAATCTTTTTTTTTTTTTTTTTTTTTTTTTGAGACAGAGTCTTGCTCTATCTCCCAGGCTGGAGTGCAGTGGCGCGATCTCGGCTCACTGCAAGCTCCGCCTCCTGGGTTCACGCCAGTCTCCTGCCTCAGCCTCCTGAGTAGCTGGGACTACAGGTGCCCGCCACCACACCCGGCTAATTTTTTGTATTTTTAGTAGAGACGGAGTTTCACCGTGTTAGCCAGGATAGTCTGGATCTCCTGACCTCATGATCCACCCGCCTCGGCCTCCCAAAGTGCTGGGATCACAGGTGTGAACCACCACGCCCGGCCCATAAATCTCTATACCAATTTATGAGTTGGATAAATTGCAGAAATTATTTGTGTATAGTCAGTCTTTAGGTAAATGTTTTATTTGTATTATCAACTTCTTTAGAAATGGATTCTGAGTTTTTCATTGCTAATCAAATTAATGCAACAATAGAATTTTTACACTGTGGTACTTAATCTTTTGTAAACCAACACCTTCAAGTATCTTAATAAAGGTATCAAAATTTTATCATTCAGATAAATTATTCAGGTAAATTTATCATTCAGACAAATCATTGTATCCTTGTAGATTCATCTATGAGAATGCTCCAAAAGGAAATCAGTTCAGAAGTCCTAGTTTCCCTCTATTTTCATTGATCACACGTGCTAGAAATCTCTGATTTAAATATTTCATGATACCCAAATGCCTCCCAAACAAAATAATTATCTTTTTGTTTGTTTCTGTGTAACAGAAGAGAAAAATAAAAGCTGTTTAGTAAATCAAAACAAAACAGTCCAGATGCGGTGGCTCACACCTGTAATCCCAGCACTTTGGGAGGCTGAGGCGGGCAGATCACTTGAGGGTCAGGAGTTTGAGACAAGCCTGGGCAACATGGCAAAACCCCATCTCTACCAAAAATACAAAAATTAACTGGGCGTGGTGGCATGTGCCTGTGGTTCTAGCTACTCAGGAGGCTGAAGTGGAAGGATTGCTTGAGCCTGAAAGATCGAGGCTGCAGTGAGCTGTGATTGCACCACTGCACTCCAGCCTGGGGGAGAAAGTGAGACCCTGTCAAAAAAAAACAAGGAGGAAGGAAGGAAGGAAGGAAGGAAGGAAGGAAGGAAGGAAGGAAGGAAGGAAGGAAGGAAGGAAGGAAGGAAGGAAGGAAGGAAGGAAGGAAGGAAGGAAGGAAGGAATCTTATAATTCATAGAAAATTAAAGAAAAAAGAAAATTACACCACCAATGTAATAGGGCACAACAAAAGCTACTGTTATTTATGAGATTCTCCTTTAGAAAGCTATTTGAGCTTCTCTTACTTCTATGCCTCATGTATTTATTACAACTGAAAGCAGGTCAAAATTTACATCCAGGAGCAGCCTCAAATGGAAGGAGGAAAGTTGACAGACAAGTGGGTGTACAAAGGAGAAAGGTGCTCTCACTCCTCTGCCTCAGTGATGGGGGGGGCACCTAAGCTGCCTCCCGTTTTCCACCCCTGCATCCCCCACAAGGGCCTTCTTGCCCCTACTTTGTATTTTCTGTTTCAGACTTCTTCCAGTAATATTGAGAGCATATGGCTGGTTTGGGCAGAAACTAGGAAGCCACATAAATTATTTTTCCTGACTTAGAATTATGTTCCCTCCTGGGAAAAAAAAAAAAAGAAGGTTCTCTGTGGCCGTTCCAACACAAAACATTTTTTTTTTCTGGATGTTTATCTAAATCCACTGCAAGGAAAAATAACATGATTCCTTTGTCAAATGAGATATCAAAAATGAGGCTTAATTCAATGTTTTTCTATTGATTCAGAATTTTTTAGTCTAAACGAATAATTACTAACTGGAGTAGGTGGCTAAGTGCCTACTCGTGCAGCTGTAGTGGGTCATTTGAATTGCAGAAAGCCAGCATCGTTACTAGGAGGAAGCATGAATATCTGAACCATCTCACCCAGCAGGTCAGCTTGACTCATCACCAAAAAGGTAAAGAAAGAAAATGACAAAAGAAAGCCTTTCTCAAATGAAATATATCTGCATTATTACTGTCCATGGGTAGTTCACAGTTTTTGTAATAGGAAAAACATCATCACTGAATATGAAGTGTGCTTGTGCGTTCATGTGTGTGTGACAGAGAGAGGATACTAAAGACTGAATTCCAGTCAATGTCGGGAGACAGAAGGAATAATGGAGTGTGCATGCATGGGTTCTGGTTATTTCTATATGCAAAGGTAATCATTTATTATCTTGACGAAGCATTCTTCTCTCATTACAGTTTTTACCATCAAAAGGTTGGCATGATCTAGGTTCTTGGTGTAAAATACAAGATGTGACCCAAACCTATTTGTATAGATCCATGTCACTTACATGTCTCTATTACCACCTCTCATTTGCACTGATAACTTGAATGAAACATATCCTGGCACAGGCTTGACACAAAATATGAAGTTTCCAAAGGCTGAGTCCCTCCTATACACAGTAGCCATTCCTTCATGTTTGTCTTCTACATGTTGATATAGGGAGATCAAAACAGTTTCACAGAATTTGTTGAAAGGTATTCATGAAGAGTTCAGTGGTGAGATAAATAGTTGCAGTGTGATGAACTGGGAAAGTGCAATGGGCCAAAGGAGATCTGAATTCTAACCCAGTTCTGCCACTTATTAGCCATATAAGCTGTAATTTACATTCTGGATGTCAATTTCTTTGTTTGTATGTGAAGAAGCTGACATTTCCCAAAGGATGATTTGAATAGATATTAATGTGAAGAAAAGGAGTTGAATTTGAGAAACTGAGTACTGTATTCAGAATTCTATATTGGCAGACATCCTAGAATCTTTAAGATGCTCATATGGATGGAAACTCTTTAAGAGAACAATACAGTATAAAGCATCTCCCAAACCCTCTTGGAACCACATTTCACAGAACATTTCTAAGGACTGGTGATCCAACAAACCTGCATGTTCTGCACATGCATCACAGAACTTAAAGTATTAAAAAAAAAAGGATTGGTGATCCATAAAATGTGCTTTGGAATACACAGGGTGAGATGACAGTCTTCAGATTCTGTTTGACTCGTCCTGCCATGATCTGGTGATGGGTCTCTCTGGGCCTAGTAGAGTTCAGTTGACCCTGCTGGGGGTTGTGGCCTTGCTTCCCCAAATATCTCCACAGCAACATCCAACTGCAGCTCCTTGGATGCCAAAAGAGCCTCTCTTCTGGATACTGGTCATTCATACCCCCTCTACACACATGCACCAGCAACTTCGTGCACGGAGATGTGTTCCTCCATGATCCCTGTTTGCCCACAACCATTGCGAGGTTTCTTCCCTGCCCTTGGTAGAGGAAAATCTGGGATGAAAGGTGTCCATACTTTATTTCTCAGTTGAATAAAATAGGTACAACCTGAGTGATGTAATTAGAGATTTCATGAGCACTTTTACTTTACAATATGTTGTTTTCTTTTATACTCTGCTTAGAACTAGAATTATAGGAATGAATATTGGTCTCTGCCAGACAAATGACATCATCCCTCCTCTCAAGTTGCTTACAGATTGGTGGGTGAGACTGATCTATAAACAAATGGTTTTAAAACAATGTGATCAGTGTTACATTAGTAGTATGTGCAAGTTGCTACAGTAAATCTTGATTTTTTTAAGGTTAGCTCTATATTTGTTTTATCAAGGCCGGGCATTATGGAATTCTTTGTCTTTCAGAATACAAAGGGCTTAAATAAAAGATGAGTCTATAAATTTCCTGTTTATTTATTTATTTTTGAGACAGAGTCTTGCCCTGGTTCCCAGGCTGGAGTGCAATGGCAAGATCTCGGCTCCCTGCAACCTCCGCCTCCCGGGTTCAAGGTATTCTTCTGCCCCCAGCCTCCCGAGTAGCTGGGATTGCAGGCATGTGCCACCACACCCGGCTAATTTTTTGTATCTTTAATAGAGATGGGGTTTCACCATGTTAGCCAGGCTGGTCTTGAACTCCTGACATCGTGATCCGCCCACCTCAGCCTCCCAAAGTGCTGGGATTACAGGTGTGAGCCACCACGCCTGGCCAATTTCCTGTTTATTTACCATGGTGGGATGTTTCAGGTGACTGTAGATTTTCCTGTTCATTTGTCAACAAGAAATAAAAATTCCATGAATGACTCTTTTGCCCTTAAAGAACATTGTCAATGAAATTGACATGCCAGGCACCTTGCTAGGTGCTGGTACAGAGCCAGTAAGAGTCTCACTTTGCTTACATGGCCTTTGTGGGTCTCCTGAACAACCAGTGAGGAGATGGTCTTTACACTCACGTCTTTGACCCAAACCATAGTTCCTCAGAAAATGAACGGAGCATATGCAGCTCACAGCTGAAGAGAATCTGAATATCAATAAGCACTGCAGCGGCCCTGTCTGCCCATCAAGTCTCCCTCCCACTGCCTCAGAAGCTGCCCACCCGAATTCCTGTCTATATGGTTAGTTCTGTGCAGCCACCTGCTGAGTTTAGAGTACCCAGTGCCCAATCAAACCCTAATCTAGGTGTTGCAGTAAAGTAATTGTATACACGTGGTTAAAATCTATAATCAGTAGACTTTATGTAAAGAAGATTACCCTCCATAATGTGGATGGGCCTCAACCAATCAGTTGAAAGGCCTTATGACCAAAAATTGAGGTTTTATTGACAAGATTCTGTCTCAAGACTGCAGAATCAACTCCAGCCTGAGTTTCCAGCCTGCCAGACCACCCTGTGGATTTCAGACTTGCTACTCACCACAGTCATCTCTAAAATAAATCTTTTTTTTTCCTGTTCTCTTCTGAGAACCCTGACTGATCCACAGTCCCCTATACACAGGCCTCTAGAGATTCCCCCAAGTGTACTAACCTTCCCCACCCTCCACCCCCTCCCACCCCCAAGCTCAGAGAGTCTTGGATCTATTGCACAATCCATTAAGGGTCAGCTCTATCATGAATGAAACAAGCTTTAAGGGTTTGCACCATGTGGGAACTTAACCGTTATTTAAACATGATTACTATATGAAAAAGCAACCTACAAATACACTTTGAATGAGTTAGCATGTCATATGTTACTTTATATCATCTCTATCTTTATAGTCAGTCTCTGAAGTAGGTATTGCTGTCCTCACTTTATGTTTGAAAACCTGAAGTTAAAAGATGTTCAGGTAATTAGGCCAAAATCACATGTCTGGTCTAAGTAGAGTCAGATTTGAACTCAGGTTGACCTGATGTACTGTATTCATTGCACCATCCTCCTTCCTTATAAGTGAAAAACTACCTAAGTAAGAATTACATGGTGGAAAAATATTTTATTTTCTTCAGTGCCACTTTTATAAGCATTCTCTATAGAGAAGGATTTAAACATTAGCTAACATTTATTGAGGACTTTACCATGTACCTGGCTCTTATTTTAAAGATTCTTTAAATGAAATGTCTGGGTTAAATTATATATCATTTCTGTAGTTGGGCATTTCAAAATTCTAAGACATTGTTAGTACTAATGATTTTCCCAGCTCCATCGACTTTGGGTCATAGATATTTAATGAAAGATTTCTACTCCCATTTTTAAATAATCAATATTTCATATTGACATTGAATACTATGTAAATTATAATAAAAAGATGGGATTGTTCTTGAAAGTTTTTTTTTTAAAGGTTTTGTTTTGTCTTTTTGTCCTTTTTTTTTTTTTTTTTTTTTTTTGAGATAGAGTCTTGCTCTGTCACCCAGGCTGGAGTGCAGTGGCCTGATCACAACTCACTGGAGCCTTCAGCTCCTAGGCTCAGGAGATCCTCTCACCTCAGCCTCCCAAGTAGCTAGGACTACAGGCACATGCCTCCACACCCAACTAATATTTAAATAGTTTGTTGAAATGAGGTCTTGCTCTGTTGCCCAGGCTGATCTCAAACACCTGGGCTCAAGCAAGCCTCCCGCCTCAGCCTCCCAACGTGTTGGGATTACAGGCGTGAGCCACTGTGCCTGGCCTGTCTTGTTTTTAAAAATGTTTTGAACACCACTGCCCCTGGCCCCCAGAGGCTGATGTACAAGAACATGAAAAAGCATTCAAACTTCAGGATTCTTGCCCTAACTTTGCACATGTGATAACCCAGATGATGGACTCACTTCATCTGGGCTGTCATCTCCAACCCTGGCTGGTGTTTTGTCTGACTCTTGGCTACACAGGGACCTCTTTAAAAAGACATGCAGGTCTGTGTTTATTCTGAAGACACAGAGGTTTTAAGAAATATTCTTCTACACGACTACAATCAGTACAGAAGTACAATCAGTAAAAGTAAAGGTAACTAAAGACCAAGGAGCCCAATTCAAGAAGTATTACTTTAGGGTCTCAAAACTATTCATTTGGCAAGCATCTATTAAGTACTTGCTTTATAGAAGGTACTTGAGAAGGAATGAAGATGAATAACAGTGTCTCTCTGATTAATAATGAATGTGGCAGAGCACTGTGGCAGACACTCTAACAGTAGTGCTTTTCTAAGCAATGGTAGCAACTAATTAGTGGTAGTGAAATCAATTTAATGGGTCACAAACACCATTATTTTTAATTAAATAGAATACAACAGAAGAGAATGAAAATAAAGACAGTGTGTGGCATGCCAAAAGGTTAAGTATTTCTCTCTGTCTTTCACTTGTATACGTGCTTATACTGGTTTCCAAAGTAAGATGTATTTCTTGCTGTGAGATGTAGCCAAAAGCTATTTAAAAGCCACTGCTGTAGAGAGAGAGAGAAAAAGAAGAAAACAAAAGCCTTGCTCTCAAGAAGTTTGCATCTTGCTGGGAAGATAAAGCTATTCATGAACAGCAGAATCCTTTGTCTATGGCAACTGAGACTAAGAGATAAAATTAACGTTGCTGACTTAGTGTCCCATGGGATTAAGATCACGGGAAGAAGTCAATGTGACAGTACGTTACTCCTTTCTCTTTGAAAAACTTTTTTCACTCAGCTTCCAGGACCGACAACACACCCTTTGTTGATCGTTTTAAGCCTGCCTAGTTTGTGGTTTCTTAGCTCCAAACTTCTAAGGGTGGAGCAATGCTGAGTGGACATGGCTCTTGGACCATTTCTCTCTTCTACCAACACTCACTCCTTAGGTCACCTCCTTCATTCTCAGAGCTCTAAGTCCCAGGTGTATGCCCACAGGGATGTTTGCAGCCACCCTGAAGCCCCAGTCTTAGATAGTAAGCTACCCTATTCAACATCTCTGCTTAGATGACCCATGGGCATTTCAAACTTCCTACATCCCAAACTGAACTCCTAATTTCCATCCTGAGTCTACTCCTTCTTTAGGCCTTGTCATCTCAGCTAATGGGAATTCAGTCCTTCCAGCTGATCAGGTCAAAAACCTTGGAGTCGCCCTTAACTACTGTTTCTCAGTCCACACATCCAGATCATCGTTAGCAAACCTCTTGGCCCTATCTTCTCCCTCCACCGCTGCTCTGCCCTGGCTCCTCCCCTTTAGCTACAATCTAGGTTATTGCATGAGCCTCCAAGGGTCTCTGATTCTACTCTTGTTGCCCTTGAGCCATTCTCAACTTAGCAACCTGCGTGATTCTCTTGAACTAGAATGTGTCTGTATCTCATCAAAGCCTCCATTCTACTCCCATCTCACCCCAAGTACATGCCACAGCCCTTACCACAGCCTGTAAAGCCTCCTGAAATGGACCCCCACACTCCCCAAATCACTGTCCTCACCTTCTGCCACCTCTCACTCCACTCCACTCACCTGGCCTCCCGCTGTGTGCATGGCAGTCCTGCCCTTTCTTCAGGACTTTCTCATCTGTGCTTCTTTGTGCCTTGAGCACTCTGCCACCAGACCCCAGGGCAGAGTCCCTGACTCCAGTCAGTCGGTACCTAGAGGTCTCTTAATGTAGCCTGCGATGATGCCACTATTAACATGCCTATCCCACCACCCACCTCTCCTCCACACAGTCTTCCCCCTTTCCTGCTTTCATTTTTCCATAGTACGTATCATTGCCTAACATACATTTTGCCCATTTTATTAGTGTCTGTCCTTTCCCTTCCTCATGACAGCAGAGCTTTATTTTTTAACTTTAGATTCAGGGCATACATGTGCAGGCTTGTTACGTGGATAGATTGCATAACACTGAGATTTGGGCTTCTATTGAACTCATCATCCAAATAATGAACATAGTACTCAGTAGATAGTTTTTCAACCCTTGCCCTTCACCATCCCCTCTTTTGGAGTCCTCAGTGTCTACTGTTGCCATCTTTATGTCTGTGTGTAGTCATCGTTTAGCTCCCACTTACAAGTGAGAACAGGCAGTATTTGGTTTTCCGTTTCTGCATGAATTCATTTAGGATAATGGCTTCCAGCTGCATTTGTGTTGCTGCAAAGGACATGATTTTGTTCTTTTTTTATGGCTGCATAGTATTCCATAGTGTATATGTACCACATTTTCTTTATCCAACCTACGATTGATGAGCACCTAGGTTGATTCCATGACTTTAGTATAGTTTAATAGGGCTGTGATCAACATGTGAGTGCAGGTGTATTTTTGGTAGAGTGCTTTATTTTCCTATATATACTCAGTACTATGATTGCTGGGTCAAATGGTAGTTCTATTTTTAGTTCTTTGAGGAACGGAGATTTTTTTCTCTGCCTGTGAATTGCGGTATCCCCAGTACCTAAAATAGCACCTGTTTCATGATACAGTCCTCTCTATGTATCCATCAGTTCTGCATCTGTGGATTTAACCAACCATGGGTCAAAAATATTTGGAAAAAAAATCCACAAAATTGCACAAAACAAAACTTGAATTTGCTGAACCCTGAGTACTATGTTGAATCCACACAAATGAAGTGATGTGCAGGCATTGTATTTGGTATTACAAGGAATGTAGAGATGATTTAAAGTATATGGGAAGATAATGCATAGGTTATATGCAAATACTACACCATTTTATATCAGGAAGTTAAGCATCCACGGATTTTGGTATCCTGGAACCAGTCCCCCACAGATACCATAGGATGACTGTATATACTCAATAAATATGTGTTGAACAAGTGAATGAATACTTCTAAAGCATTTTGATAAAGTCACAGAAGAAGTGGAACTTTTAACTCCAGCTTAACCACAAAGTAATCAGTTTAAAGTGAAAGAAGAGAACCCTGTAATGAATACTCCAGTTGGAACATTTCCTTTCAATGGACCTTGAGCTAGCCTGGAAGCACTGATTTGGATAACTATTGAGTGTATCATACTCATCTGTACACATGTTTGTGGGACATCCTCTGTTCATTATAGATATCTTGCTGCCTGTGGAAAGTAGATTGAAACGTAGCTTAAAGTACACACCCTCAAGAGGCAACTTCCCTGTATGATGATTATGAAAGTGGAATTTTGAATCACACATGTGCATGAGGACACCAAAATATTATTCAGTTATTTTCCCGATCTCAAGAACTAGATGCATGTGGTTTGACGGTTTCATTGCATTAGAATGGATGGGATTCAGGAAGGAAAGATTATTTTGGCCCGTTTGAATGCCGTATGCTTTCAGGTGTTATAAATGTAGCTTGGAATAAAAAGTCCAAACAGCCCCAAGATGCAGTGGGAATCAGATGATGATGACGAGAAGCAGGAGGCTCTGAGTTGTGTCTCTTCTTAAATCTATTGAGATTTTTCTTTGTTTATAAATGTCAAATATGTAAGTTAATGATTCACAAGTAAGCCTCATTTAAGAAACTTAATATTTCAAAATTGATAATAGACTAAAGGAAAATATTTGCCGAAACCTTTTTTAAAATTTTTAATTTTAAAATTAAGTATTAATACTTGAGATGATTGACTTGATATTTTATAGACTCTAGCTATACTATTTGTTAATAATAACATTATCAGATTTTGTGTCCTAAGGAAAAAATTAATATACAAGTTTGACAAGTAGTTGGGTGTGTATAGCAACAGACAGATGTGCTGAGAGGTTTATGTGATTTTAGACAACACCAAGGATTAGTGTTGATGAATGATGTTTCCACATGTGGGCTTCTATTGGCAGCAAGAGGAAGGTCACTAATCTTCTACCCACATCTCTGCTTCTGAACACCAGACACAAAATTCTAGTTTGCCTCAGGGAATTCAATGTTTGCAACTAGGAATTATAGCCACAAACATCATAGGATATGGTGGATAGACACCAGCACACTAGTAACTATAACAATAATGGAAAGCTATGATGGCTCAACTAACAATTCCAAGCCAACAGATATGCCTCCAATACACCAGAAAATGAAGTTATCTTAAAAACTAAAAAGGGGCTCTAAGTTAGCTTATCTCCTATATAGTCAGTGGAAAAAATATATTTACCATAGACCTAGACCTCTATTTTTTTTTTTTTTTTTTTTTTTTTTTTTGAGAGGGAGTCTCACTCTGTCACCCAGGCTGGAATGTAATGGTACCATCTTGGCTCATTGCAACCTCCACCTCCCAGGTTCAAGCAATTCTCCTGCCTCAGCCTCCTGAGTAGCTGGGATTACAGGTGCCAGCCACCAAGCCTGGCTAATTTTTCTATTTTTAGTATAGACAGGGTTTTACCATGTTGGCCAGGCTGGTCTCAAACTCCTGACCTCAGGTGATCTGCCCGCCTCGGCCTCCCAAAGTGCTGGGCCAAGCATCTAACACTCAGTACTTGTTACAAGTTCCAAAATGCTATGGGATTGTATCTCTCAGCAACTTAACACTTGAATTTTAGGTTTAATAGAAAATTACTATAACAAAGTTTTGAAACTCTTATAGACAGCAGCCTGGTGTGAAGAAGAGTGTAGAAATTTGAGTAAGACAAACCTGTCTTTCAATTCTGACAAGCTGTAACATTTGGTCTAAGTTATTTAATACCACTAAGTCTCAATTTTTTCATCATTGCAATGGCATTAAGATAACATAAGGTTTTTGTATTACGTGAAATTATGTTTGTGTATTAGATGTTATAAAATGGCTACCGACAAGTCCTAAGGTCACATGCATCCCTATTAATATATTCAGTGAGAGAGGAGGTATCTTTGTCCTGGCATTTCATGCACAGGTCCAGAGATGCTTGCTGACTGAGTAAGCTTAGATCATTCACCTCTGCCCTGAGCCAAGCAATGAAGCCAGGAAGTGTGATTTGCTGATTGTCCTACCCCAACTCTTGGGCTACTCCTGAAATACATGGACCTCGAATTGAGGAGAAAGCTTTTCCCAAAGCAAAATCAGGAGGCTTGGCTACAAGAACCAGAAGTGGAACTGGGATAGCTAAACCTATACGTATTCACTACCGTCAAAATAGTGGGTGAATAATTAATAAAATTCATTTCCCTTCCTGTCCCTACATCATACTAGAATCTTAATATCTTGTCTCACTGTGTTGCCCAGGCTGGTCTTGAACTCCTGGATTCAAGTGATCCTCTCACCTCAGCCTCCCAAGTAGCTGGGACTACAGGTGCATTCTACCACACCCAGCATCTTAGTTATTATTTCTTGATGTGATATCACGAGAGTGTCTTATCCACAGTTAGTGCCCCTTTTGATGTCATCCAGCACCTCAGTAACATTTTCTACTAGTCCCCAAAGGCCCATGGCTCCCCAATCCCTTGGGGACTGCAGACCTAGGCCCTCTGCCATTCCCCTGCAGGGCTATTTATCAGTGGCATTTGCACTTCACACACATATGTTCAATTTTTAAGGAACAGTTTCATCACCAGGAAAGGGGATTTATGGGAACAAGCTTCAAACCCAGTAGGAAATTCAGAGGTACTGAGATTTAATACTCGACTCAGCTTGACTTACTTAAAGCTGCTCTTTACTCGTTTCCTTCCTCCACCCTCCAGATTCACCAGATCCACTCAAAACTTATAAACTCCTTTAACACCAGAGACTGTGTTTTATAAAATGCTTTTGGTGTATTTACCCAGCCCCTGCTATGGTGCTGGGTACCCTGCAGATACTGTAAATGTTTGTGGGTAAGAATAATTCTACAGGGTCATGGTAAGCAAATTACCGTATGTATCACTGTTTACAATGTTCTATTCTTTCAAGATCATTTAAAAATGTTATTTGGAAGAGCTGTGACAAAGGGTATAAATTCTATTTAAAGAGGTAGGTATTTACTCTTATCCTTAAAAGGTAATTTTAAGCAATCTAAAACAAATTAAGTTTTCCACCAATTTCGGGCTTCCAGGGGAGTAAGAAAGGGCGGTTGCCAGGGAAATCTTCTCCTGATTGGGAAGCAACAATCATGCCTAGGGATCTGCACATTGCATAATTGTAATTTTCCTATTCTTGCTCTTTTTTTTTTTTTTTTCTGTTTTTGCTATGAGAAGAGCAAGCTAAAAAGGCTAAAGGGACATTTAAGCCAAGTCGCATTTGTCAAGGTGAAAGCTGTGTGGAGCAGAAAAGCAGTTCTCCCAGCTGCAAAGAAGATGCAAAGAAATCGAGTGAGTAGGGAATCTGAGAGCCCACTAAAAGTGCTTAGAAGGCCAACACATTACAGCCATTTCTCTAAAAAGTTGTAGGCAGGAACCTAAAGTCCAGGGTGGAGCCTTCTTACAAATGCTAAAACGCTGTTGGGATGCTTCAAGGCTCCCAAGCCACCCTTAAAGGTGTGGCTGTCCTGCAAGTTTTCTAATCACCCACTCCCTCCTCCAAACTGTTCATGCTTGTTTAAACAGCAGCTGCAAACAATACTTGGTAAGGCAGCCCCAGACCAGGAAACAACAACACTCTTTCACTTCAGAATTAAGTGTTTATTATTTTGAACCCTCTTTTAGCAGTGCTAGAAAATTAGTGACACGAGAACGTTTATGCTTATTTGAATGGTTACATTTTATTTTAAAAACCACGACTGTTGAGTGGGAGCGTGCACCCCATTCTCTTCTTCTTTTTTTTAGTTTATTGGTTCATTCACTTAATCATCACGGATTCATCAGAGGCAAGGTAATATTATTAAAAGCTTTGATGTCAGACAAATGCACATTTCTACCAATTATTATGACCTTGGGCAAGTCGTTTCATCTTTTTTTTTTTTTTTTTTTTTTTTTGACACAGAGTCTCACTCTGTCGGCCAGCTGGAGAGTGGTGGCACCATCATAGCTCACTGCAGCCTCAAACTCTTGGGCTCAAGCAATCCTCTTGTCTCAGCCTCCCAAATAGCTAGGACTATAGGCACATACCACCACCACACCAGCTACATTTAAAAAATTATTTTGTAGAGATGGGGTCTTGCTATGTTGCCTAGGCCGGTCTCAAACTCCTGGAATCAAGTGATCCTCCTGCCTTGGCCTCCCAAAGTGCTAGGATTACAGGCATGAGCCATTGCATTTTACCTTTTTGAATCTCAATTTTGAAGCAGTAAGATGGAAATAGTAATGCCTATTTCATACAACTGTTGCAAAGATTAAAATAAAGTAACATAGGCACTGCCCCTAGCTCATTGAGATTATTCCATAATTGTCAGATTTTTTCATGAATGTCAGATGCCTAACTCTCCTTTTTGAATCTCAATTTTGAAGCAGTAAGATGGAAATAGTAATGCCTATTCTATACAACTGCTGCAAAGATTAACATAAAGTAACATAGGCACTGCCCCTAGCTCATTGAGATTATTCCATAATTGTCAGATTTTTTCATGAATGTCAGATGCCCAACTCTCCTTTCATAATGTACATTTTTCTCCTCCTATTTACCATTCCTTTTCAAGCACAGGAAAGTCAAACAGGTTGATCCCTAAGTCACTGCCAAGCACCCTTATTTACCTGGCTGCTGTCATTGAAATACCTTGTGCTTGGGAAGGAATCAACAGCTGCTGAGGGGTAACTGTGCAAATAGAAGCCTATCCCTCATGCCCACCATTCAATTGCTACTTTTCCTTGCTCTACTGCCTTTGTTTTCACCAAATCAACCAAATGCCTAGGTTCCTTCCTCCCAGTTCTTTGGTTCCTGATGAAATAGAACTTTGCTTTATGTACTCACAGCCTTGGGTTCATCAGTTTTCCTCCCAAATCTCTGCAACCCAGAATAGCTCACAGAATCGCACAGGCCTGCCCTTGTATATTTTCAGGACATATGCTTCATTTCAGCTGTCCCGGCTTTCTAAGTGTCTTCATTCCTTTTGTGGCTCTCAGATTTCCCAAAATCTCACGCATTCTCATTACTCCACACCTCACCATGCAACTTCCCATCCTGAGATAATCCGCTCTCAAAGAGTCACGTGCACATGGCTTCATCTCTCAATCATCGTCTCACAGACCATCATTGGCACAGACTGTAATCTATTTAGCTACACTTTGATAACTGCAGCCCAGCCAAAGTGGGGCACTCAAGCTAGATGCCCTTGGGGAGAGACTTTTAAAACTAAGCGTTCCTACATCTGATAGAGTAGTTCTTGTAACTTTTCTTTCAAAGGGTTGTAACCCACTATTTGTTTATTAATTTTTTCCTTCAAACAGACCTTAAAACACTATGATATTATTTTCTTATCTAAAATATGTGCTTTGTAGTTTATCAAAAAATAACAATTGTTACCCAAAAGACATGTCAAAAGACATATATGAATATGCTAGAAGGGGGCGGGGGAGATTCCTGAACTGTGAATGGCAGACCTCAGCTTGGGCAGTGTCACCCTACACTAGTTACTAATCTCTCCTGACCTCAGTTTCTCTATTTGACAAACTGAGGTTATAATATTTACTCTTCATATCCTTCATGATAGTTGTAAGGATCATAAGACATTATGTGAAC
Source organism: Homo sapiens (assembly GCF_000001405.40). Taxonomy (NCBI): domain Eukaryota; kingdom Metazoa; phylum Chordata; class Mammalia; order Primates; family Hominidae; genus Homo; species Homo sapiens. Next base: position 3,819,589 of record NC_000018.10, on the reverse strand, counting down.
TTATGTTTTTTTCCAAACTCATGACATGATAAATGTAATTGCTTATATTAATTTGGTCATTACTAAATATGAACATTAAGTTCAACAATTACTATCCCAGAATAAATTCATTTCTTGTTTTTCTTCTCATACATATTTTTAAAAGGTTTTTAATTGATTCTAAGAGCCATAGTTTACACGTTTTAGCATTTTGGATATTGGGATAAATTATATATTCTATGGAGTGTCAGAATTTATTGATGATGTTTATTTCTTTCTTAGTGACACAAAAAATGTTGGGACAATTGCATTAGTATCTTAGATTCAGTAAAATGCGCAGTGGCACGATCTCAGCTCACTGCAACCTCCGCCTCCCAGGTTCAAGCGATTCTCCTGCTTCAGCCTCCTGAATAGCTGGGATTACAGGCACCCACCATCACGCCTGGCTAATTTTTTGTATTTTTAGTAGAGACGGGGTTTTATATGTTGGCCAGGCTGGACTTGAACTCCTTGCCTCATGATCTGCCCGTCTCGGCCTCCCAAAGTGCTGGAATTACAGGCATGAGCCACCGCGTCCGGCCGTGTGTTCCTCTTTCAACTGAGTTTAGGAAAACCTAAAGTGGGGGGAAATGTCAGCACCAAAAGATACTCCACTTCCAGCAGAGCCCATCCTTCAGTGCAGTGACATCATTTCAATTCAGAAAGCATTCTCATCCTGGCTGGGCACGGTGGCTCACCCCTGTAATCCCAGCACTTTGGGAGGCCGAGGCAGGCAGATCATGAGGTCAGGAGTTTGAGACCAGCCTGGCCAACATGGCAAAACCCCAATCCTACTAAAAATACAAAAATTAGCCAGGCATGGTGGCGGGCATCTGTAGTCCCATCTACTAGGGAGGCAGGAGAATCTCTTGAACCCAGGAGGCAGGGGTTGCAGTGAGCTAAGATCGTGCCACTGCACTCCAGTCTTGGTGACAGAGCGAGACACCACCTCAAAAAAAAAAAGGTATTGAAATAGTTCTTTCAATATGTTCAAGAGCAGCCTGGCCAACATGGCAAAATCCTGTCTCTACTAGCAATACAAAAAGTAGCTGGGCATGGTGGCACAGGCCTATAATTCTAGCTACTCAAGAAGCTGAGGCAAGAGAATCGCTTGAACCTGGGAGGTGGAGGTTGCAGTGAGCTAAGATCACGCCACTGCACTCCAGCTCAGGCAACAGAGCAAGACCCTGTCTCAAAAAAAAAAAAAAAAAAAAAAAAAAAAAAACCATCCCTACATCCCTATCCTGTAATTAGAGGATGTTAGCACTTGATTATGGCCATTTCTTAGTCAAGGGCAGGTCTTCCAGTTTTCTGAATGATAACATATGGTTTCAGTTATAGACGGGCTACCACTGAAATAGACAATGCACACTAATCCTCATTTTGTTTCATCAAAAATTAAGATCTCTGTTGGAGTGCTAATGCTTAAACATAATAATTAAAAAGCAATTAATCCTTTTTTCTCATCCATAACTACTATAAAATCTAACCTGTATTAGTTTGCTTTTATTATTATTTGTTTATGTTTGTTGAGTCCAACCCCCTCCTAAGCTGGTGCACACAAGCAGGGCATCCCACCAGCCTGAAATCAATGAGGACCTGCACTCTTTGTCTCTGCTCCAGCTTTCCTTCTACCAAGACTTCCAGCTCCTGAAACTGCCACCACAGTAATAACGCAGGCTTTTCAGAGACAGCTGCAAGGTTATCTTTTTCTTTGGATTTTCCTAAATCTTTTCTCTCTGTGCAGCTGAAATGGAAAGACACAGCAACCTCTGCCCAGCTCACAATAGCAGCTGCAGCCATGTAATTCTCCCTTTCTTTACAATCAAAAGGCAGTAACATTTCACTCTTTGGGCCTGGTATGCTTATCACTTTATATGCTTTCTTCTAAAACTATCTACCTAAGCAATGTCTCCCTTTTGCTTTAGGGTTTAAGAAACAAAAACTAAAAACTGACTCGATTATATCGATGTTAATGGCCCTTACAGTTCAGCAGTTGTGTTTTTCTTCTCCAAGGTCTCGATTTTCTGTCTTTACACTTTCCCTAGAACGGATTACTGTATTATTTTATGTGTAATCTTGTTGTATGCTACCTTTAGGTATATAAATAATGTATTACTATTCAAATTCCACTCCAATGGAAGTCACTTCCACATAACTTCTTAGCTGCTATCATTTGAAAAGTAAGATTAATTGAAAGATACACAGGTTAAATACTTCTCAGCTGGTTCCCTAAACAACAGTTACAGACTGTTTCTAGTATGAGCCCAAATTTCTACCATAAACTAACTTTGAAAAAAATATCTGAACAAAATTTGCCATGTTTTGTTGCATAAGCCATATGAGCTAATCAGTTTGTCATTAGTCTCTGACATACTCCAGAGAGCAATGCTTATGAACTTCACATCAGGATTGAGAAATAGCAAGTGTGGTGTGCGTCATCTATGACCCTCAGCTGTACCAAGTTAATTTTTAAAATGTAATTGCTAAACCTATAATGAGGCTCTGAAGATGATCATATCTATGCAGTGAGTCACCTGCCAATGCAAGGAAAACAAGACTGTTCTCAGCATTTATAATTTCCTGAGAAATCTTTGTTGCTGTGGTGATTTTGATGCTTTTACCTACAAAAGTAAAAACATTACATTGTTACTAGCATAATTAATAAATGACAAGTGTATCAAATGTGATGAGCACAAAGGTGTCCGGGACTATAATTGCTCAGTTCTGCAGGTGCCACAAAGCACAGCCTAGAAAGACAAGGAGCATTAAACAGTGGTCAAGATATGGCCCTAGGAACTGCCTCATTGAAACTCAGCCCCTTCTTAGCTGTAACTCTGAGTGAGCTACATAACTTTAGTGTCCTCATTTGTAAAATGGGAATAATAATAATACCACCCCTCCGCTGTGTGGATCAAATGAGCTGACATTTAAAAAGCACTTAGAACAGTGCCTGCACACAGGAGCACAATATAAGAATTTATTAAATAAAATGAACATGCTGCAGGGTGATGCTTCATCTTGGTTAGTACTTTTCAGAATTAGAACCTACAAACCACTGTTTTCAAGACCATGAATAGTAGCATCTCTTCAATCTGAAGTTCTTAGATCTAAACTTTCCAGTTATACAGGTGAATTAACAATTAAAAAGGAAAGAATTATGCTCTTTTAGTAGAACATCTATTCTCACTTCCTTAGAACCTATAATATTTAGAAATCTGTGTCTGATATGTGTGTGTGCTATTGTGGACAATTTTCTTAACACTTTAGGTTTCAAAGTGACATAAATCATAAAATTTTGATTAATATAATTTTGATCTTAGGAGTTAAACACCTCGAACCCTAGTGCTGCCGTTTTAGCTGTGTGTCCTTTGGCAAGTTACTCACCTTCTCTGACCTCCTGCTTCTCACCTGAGAAAAACAGAAAAATATGCACAGGTTGTTGTATTGATGAAATGAGATCTTATAGGCAATTTTTTTTTAGCACAGTTAAATGTTAATAATGAAGTACCATGTTATTTTAATGGATAAGCAGTAAATAGTTAACATCAAAATATTAAAAGCCTTTTTATTTTCTCATTGCAAACCTGGCCAATTCCAGGGAGCCTTTCCTGGATCCTCCTTTCCCATCACCATTACTGCTAACTCTCGTTTCTCTTCTCGTCTCTGTTATAAATATGTTGAGGGCAAGAACCAGCCTCCCCGTTTTTTGGTCTCTTTTACTTAAGCCTTGTGCAGTGCTCTGTCCACTATAGTATGTTTGCTATGTTACTTCTTAATGAATAAAAAGAGTGGTTATTATGCATTTTTTTTCACGTCATGAAAAATGAAGAAGGAATGAGATCTAGGTTGAGTTCATGTTGAAGTGGAAAATCTAAGAGGAACTGAAGAGAAAGTCATGAAGATGGCTTCTAAAACGTAGTGCAGTGCTCTGCTGAACTCAGAAAAAATGACTGTGGAAAGAAAAAAGAAGAGCAGTGCACTGACAATATGATTTTGTTGTGGTATCCACAGTTAGGGACTTAGAGTAGGATCCAGCAAAGCAAAAGGAAAGGAACAATTCAGACAAGTAGTAGCTACACCAGGTAAGTCAAGCAATCAGAAGGCCAAAAGGGGAGAAACTTGCAAAGAGGTGTTATTTGTGTGTATGTGTGTGCACGGGTGTGCAGAGGCCAAGAAAAAATAAAAGCAAGAAAATGCCATTATCTTCCATTAGGAGATCATTGGAAACCTTTAGAGAGTGCTTTAAGCAGATCTAAGGAAGCTGAATCCAAATTAAGAAAGATTCAGAAAGAATAAGTGACTGGGGAGTAAATGCAGCTGGTAGAGACCACTGGTTTAGGAAGAAGACAGACTGGATATGAGATGGTAAAGTCGAAAGGTTCAAGGAAGGCATAGATCAATCAGTAAACATTCCCGAATCTTAAATGGCAATTGAAAACAAATCACTGAAAAGCTCAAATAAAATTGCTCTCCTTTCAAATGGCATTCTTATGCCTGACTCAACTATTATCAGCATGAGAAAACTGAGATGTACAAATGATTCAAAGCCAATGGTTTTAATTTTTCCTACTACATGAGTCATGTTAAAGACTGAGAGACGTGGATTTGTACATATTCAAAATATTTATGAGCCTATTACAATAAAATATTGTTATTGAAAGGTTAATGTCTAAAGTTTCAGATAATTATATTACCAATATCCAGCACCATACCAAAAAAAGAAAATACTTGGTCTTATTTATACATTTTTAAATAACTAAGACGATAATTGGAATGTTTGTAACACAAAGAAATGACAAATGCTTGAGGTGATGGATACCCCATTTACCCTGATGTGATTATTACACATCGTATGCTTGTATCAAAATAGCTCATGTACTCTATAAATATATACACTTACTACGTACTCATAAAAATTAGAAATGTTAGCCTGTAATCCCAGCACTTTGGGAGGCCGAGGCGGGCAGATCACGAGGTCAGGAGATTAAGACCATCCTGGCTAACACGGTGAAACCCCGTCTCTACTGAAAATACAAATAATTAGCCAGGCGTGGTGGCAGGTGCCTGTAGTCCCAGCTACTCAGGAGGCTGAGGCAGGAGAACGGCATGAACCCAGGAAGCAGAGCTTGCAGTGAGCCAAGATTGCACCACTGCACTCCAGTCTGGGCGACAAAGCAAGACCCCATCTCAAAAAAAAAAAAAAAAAATAGAAATGTTAAATCTAAAAAAAAAGAAAAAGAAAAGAAAAAGGTAGGCTTTTATAAAAAGTGATTTATCTGTTTTCTATCTGAATAGGTTCCACAAGATGAATGGACAGGGTACACCCCACGAGGTAAAGATGATGAAATTCCATGCCGAAGAATGCGGAGTGGCAGTTATATCAAGGCCATGGGGGATGAAGACAGTGGAGACTCAGACACGAGTCCTAAGCCTTCTCCAAAAGTTGCTGCGCGGAGAGAAAGCTATCTCAAGGCTACTCAGCCATCCCTTACAGAACTCACCACACTCAAGTGAGTAGTCCTAACCCTGCACTTGCGATAGTCCAGGTGCTTGTATTATCACCGAGGCTCAGATGGTGTGTCTCCTAGAGTAAGTGGGGCAGAAACATCCTACAGGTGGAGCAGTGCAGTACATTGATTGTGACTTTAGATCTGACGTCCGTACCCCAGTCCCTTTGTAGAGAGAGGCAACAGATGTGTTCTGCATTGATCATAAGCTGAACCCCTCATCTCTAAGAAGCAGAAGAAATCCCATCTTTTCAGAAGCCATTCTGGATTTAAAAGAATCCAGAATGGCTTCTGAAAAGGATTGAAATTTCTGGTCAATGAGAATATACATGTATCCCAATTCTTGAACGTTTGCTCAGGCACGAAGTACACACAAGAACTTTTTCTTAAGACTCTTGAATTTTTCAGATAATTGAGTAACATAATAGAAGAGATTGTCTTAGAGAAGCTTATAGAGTGTGACCGTGCTTTAAAATTGGATATGTGAAGGTTCTTGACATACATTTTTAAATTTGGGCACTCGATATGTATTACAATTGAAGGCCTTAAAAAGGTTTTGTTTTGCAAATATAAATATAGTCATACATCATTTAAGGACGGAGCTACATTCTGAGAAATGCATCATTAAGCGATTTCACTGTGCACACATCATAGAGTACACTTACAAAAACTTAGATGGTCTAGCCTATTACACACTTAGGCTATATGGAGTGGCCTATTGCTCCTAAGTTGCAAACCTATACAGCAAATTACTGTACTGAATGCTGTGGGCGACTCTCACACAATGGTAAGTATTTGTTTATGTAAATATATCCAAACATAGAAAAATACAGTAAAAACACAGTATTATAATCTTATGGGACAACCATATTATATGCATCATTAACTGAAATGTCGTTGTGCAGCATATGACTGTAGTCCTTAACTGTATTTGTGCTGTTTGTAAACAAAGAATAGCGCTACGCAGGAAACCACTGAGATTGATTATTTTAAGCAAGACCTGATTTCATTCTAAATGCTGTTTATAGAGAGTAAATTCTTTAGAGTCTTGGAATGTAGAAATAGATAGAATTCCATTTGGACCTGAAAAATATATTACGGATAATTCGTATTTTTAAGTGCCTTTGATTCCATATTTTGATGAAATGAACATTACTATTCATGCATTTATGTTACTAAATAAAATATTAAAAGGCAAAATAAAACAAAAAATCAAAGCAGTCGAGTTAAGGAAAACAAACCCAATTGTTAATCAAGAGCACTGAAAAACAGCTGACTATTGTGCGATGGGAATTTATTTAAATAGCAGAGTATGTTGTATTTTAAAGATCCGGACAGAGACGGCCTCCCATGAATTATTTTTCAAGGGTTCATGTGGAACAATTCTGGATCATTTTAATCAAAAATTAATACCAGTGCATCAGTAAATTAAGCCAAGAAAAAAACCTCTTCCTTCTTTCTTTGGCTTCCAGTTGCCCTTCCTCTTTGCCTTTATTACTACATGTGTTACTTTTCAAGAATCATCAGAACAAACTACCACAAACTTGGTGGCTTGATTAGATCTACAAAGACTCTATTTCCAGATAAGGTCACATTCACCGATAGTAGGAGTTAGGACTTCAATATATCTATTTGGAGAACAGAATTGGACCCAAAACATTGCCACACAAGGTAAAAAAAAAAAAAAATTCGTGGAAATAAAAAACAGAAACAAGTCTTCATTGCACTTTGGCGCGCCTAGCAGAAGCTCAGAAAATTAAATTAGAAGAACTGGATTTGTAAGAAAGGCAGTGGACCAAGGTGACATGAAATGAGGGAGGCCAAGGACCCTTCTGAAAAAAAAATTCTTCTATGGACCTTAAAATATCTCTCCACTAGACACAATGTTAGGTAGTCATGGCCATAGGGTTAACATCTTCCAGAAGATGCAAGAAAAGGATTGCAATGGGCAAGAAAGTCACTTAAACCGGCAACCTCCAGAGTCCTTTCCACCTCCTAAGTATCCCGTTAGGTTGTCATCAAGATGCATTGGTCACATTCACTGAGTGACACTTTGGGTCTTGGGTGATAAGATAGAGGAATTGCTCTTGTCCACAGCAATACCCAGGTAAGAGGAGAACAGAAAGATGTAGAGCCATGAGGAAGATGAGAAGAGTGCTCTGAGGAGACTGAGGACAGGGCTAGAGGGTAGGGGCTGAAATCAATGTCACAATTGTGCCCTGGGCTACTCTCATAGCTTCAGGATGTGGAGGATCACTCTGAAGTCATTGAAACTCTTTCTTTCTCATTTGCCTTCTTCACAATATGACCCTCCTCCAACGTCCTGGACCGTATTTTTGTGACCACCATATATTTCTTTTACTGCTCAGAAGTTTTCAGAGCAGAAAGAGGCAAACATGCAGATGACAGCTAGGCTGATGGTAGAGGGTCAGCTCCTTCAGACGGTGAAGTTGTTGAACTGGGTATGAGTTAGTGACTGCTATTTCATCCCTCCCCACTTACAGAAATTCAAAGTGGTGATAAATGGACAGGAGAACACCTACTAAATTGAAAACATTTTACTTAGGATGGAGTTTCCCCACACCATTTCTGTTGTCCCCTGTTCTTTGGCAGGAAAGAGAACTTTTTTTTCCTATGTTTATGTAAGACGGATAGTGTGCCAACATCATAACAAGGTTTGAAGGAAGCACATCTCATATATTACTGTGAAAACTCAATCATTATGATTATGATCCACAAAAGGATCACAAGAGAACCTTAGACAACCATTCAAACATATCTTCCTTCCCTGTGCTACCATCACATCCCCTAGAATCATTTCTCATAGTTCCACTTACCTCCATTCGTTTCACACTCACCTATTTTATGAGTTCCCTTTGTCATTACAGTCTACACATTAAACCTCCGTCATCTTCAACTGCATACAATTGTTAGTGACCTCTAGTTTAACCAGATTGGCCTGGCACGGTGGCTTACACCTGTAATCCCAGCACTTTGGGAGGCCAAGGTGGGCAGATTGCTTGGGCCCAGGAGTTCGAGACCAGCCTGGGCAACATGGCAAAACCTTGTCTCTACAAAAACTACAAAAATTAGCTGGGTGTGGCGGCGTGCACCTGTAGTCCCAGCTACTCGGGAGGCTGAGGTGGGAGGATCATTTGAACCCAGGAAGTCAAGGCTGCAGTGAGCCATGATTGAGCCATTGCACCCCAGCCTGGGCAACAGAGAGAGACCCTGTCTCAAAATTAATTAATTAATTAATAGTTTAACCAGATTGAAAGAGATACAAAAGAAAAAAAGGAAAATACACTATAGAGGCAAAAATTCAGACATGACATGACTCATAATCAATTCTGTCTTTCATTCCTTGATGATGTTTTGACTGCAGATCATTATTTTTCTAGAAGTTTGAAGGATTCAGTCCCTTATGAGAAAAAAGATCCCTATATCCTGGAATTCTAGTTCCTCAAAAAAGAAAACTATATTTATGTTCCTACTTCTTTGACATTTAAGTCGATTTTTTTTTCCCTCCTTCCTCCTCAGTAATTCACAGCTTTAGGGATGAATCATAGCCCTGAACCAAGATAACTAAAATTAGGCAAGTGAGATTGGGGCAACATTTTGTTTAAGGTTTTCAACTCCCATCTTCTCTCAGAAATGTTGAAGAGAAGGCACTCCTACACTTTCTTACATTGTTTTTCTCTTTTCTTTTCTATTTTCCGAAGGCATCTTGAGGGTTTATTTATGTGGGTGGTTTTTCATCAGCTGCTTAGTGTTAGTTATTGGGTCCTCAGACATATAAGGCCTAAGGTCAGTTAAACATTCTGGTGTTAGGAGTAGTTTTGAGACAATGAAGTCCATCTTTGGGCCAGCAAAACCCCTCCTGTAGCTACTCTTGGAAAACTATTATTTCGGTCACTCTCTTCTCTTATCCCACAGCTATTAACAAATCACTCCACCTCATCACTAGCTTTTCCTTCTTCCTTACTTATTAGCTAACAATAAATTTGAAATGGCGTATCACCCAAGAATATTAGCATTTTCAAAAAAATTCTGAATGTTTAATAGTAAATTTCCAGGCAAGTAGAGGAGACATTTAGGGGCCAGAGTTCCCTCAAAGCATGTTGTTGCAGCCTGGCACTGATGAAGAACTTAAGTCTCTTACTTGGAGTGCCATTTATTCTAGAACTGAGACTACTGCCTGCTACCATGATTAGTTAAAACCAAGTCCAAATCCCATCTGGGACTTTTATTTGATACACTGCAGAAAGAACTTTTTAAAAATTATATTAAGTGGGGTGTCATTTAAAAGATTCTGAAGTTAAATTCAAATATCTGTTAATCCTACATGAATAATAGTTTAAAGTGTCTTAATACTTCATCTCTTTATCCAAGCACTAAGAAAAATTCTCCCCCTGGAAGAAATAGTCAGTCTATAATATTACAGATTTTGAAACTCCTCTGAAACTGGGGAGAAGGATTCCAGGCTGTTGCAAGAGAGCCAGTCAGAGCTCCTAGCAATTTTGATAAAGTGTCTAACAAAAGGCTTCAGGAAGATTTATTTTCAGTTCTAAATGCCTTGAAGGCAAATCATTTTTCATTTTCAGGATGGTTAATCCTCTTAATCTTCATTTTTCCCCCTGGCCCTGAACCTTTGTTTGTTTGTTTGTTTTAGATAAATTGGAAAAATTTAAATTTAAATTTGGAAAAATACTAAGTAGCTGTGTGCCTTTTGGCAAATTGATTAATGTCTCTGAACCTCCTCGTAAATGAGAGTCTCAGTCTCTTAGCGTGGATGGCACCACTTGGGCGGCTCTCCCTACAACTCCTCCCACCCCAAACCTGTGGAAGACAGCATTAGCCAATCCCAGCATTGATGGATTCCATCACCCTACCCATTGAGAACAGACTGAGCCCCTGAACCAGTCTCAATGCAGTGCTCCAGCCACCATGATTCATCGATCCGAGATGCCCACAGGTGCTATCCTTAGTCTACAGGAAATGTCTCCCAGGAACCTTTCAGCACTGACGTGTATAATTGTAAGAACAAGGCACAGTAGAGTAGTGGTTCACAGTTTAAAGACAAAAGGAAGTAGTATTGGTAAAGAAAATAATTTGAGAAGAGGTAGATGGAGTGTTCTTCTTCAACTTTAATTCTGGATATTTTAAATGCATTGATTTCTACGTGAGGAGCCCAAAACCATAGCCTCTTGCTGGAGTCTCTTTTGTTGTTGTTGTTGTTTATCTTGTATACGTTTTTTGCTCCCCTTTTCTCCTCCTGGACATGCTGTGTCCTTGCCTGTTCCTCACGTCATACACTCCCCTCCTACCTACCTACTGCTCCTCGTTTTCCTTTTCTTGTTAGAGAAAGAGGGGGATGGGATGAAGATTGGAGCATCGCTATTTTTTCCCCAAAGATATGAACTGTATTGGGAACATAGCAATTTGTATCATCCCATCTCTGTTCTAAGTAGTATGAAATGTCTCTGTTTTGCCTAAATGCTTTTTTGTTCCTCTCCTACCTGTTCCTCCGTATCATTGTAACGTATAATAGCAAATGCTCCTCACAAAGTAGGGAGAACAAGAAAATACAACCTGCCACACGAAATTGTGAATTTACGTCCTCAGTGATCAGTGATATAAACCCAGGGTAGTGTCCCATTCTTCCCTGACTATAATACTTTCTTCTATTATCCTCTATACTTCTAACTCCCCACTCCCACTTTCCAATATAATAAGAAACGCGACCTGACTATAATACTTTCTTCTATTATCCTCTATACTTCTAACTCCCCACTCCCACTTTCCAATATAATAAGAAACGCGACACGTTTAAAACAGGGAAAGTCATTCTTGCTCACAGAAAAATTATCACTTGCTCATCTACAAATTATCTAAATACCTTTCAAATATTTGTTAGAAATCAGCTTTATTTAAAAAAGAAAAAAACAGCTAATACAAGCAATCGCCTATTACATTGAGTCCCAGATCACCACTCCTAGTTTTTAAAAAAATGTTCCTTCATTGGGATATGAATGCCCTCCTCCAAATGATGTGGGCATGTGTGAGTATTGTAGTCTGTACCAAATCCTGGTTTCTTGCTATATAATTACTCTTTAGAAAAGCCTGTGTTGAAAGGAAGCCTGTGTTGAAAGGAAGCCTGCGTAGACTGAAAAGTCTCTACAATGATCATGACTATAGAGAGGAGAGAACTCCTTGTGTGCCTTTAAAGGAGGCAAAAGAATAAAAGAAAGTCCCGATACTTTTCTAGAGAGAAGGAATGAGACATTTTTAAAAGTTAAGAGTCAGGGATTGGGGGAGGGAGAGAGCATCAGGATAAATAGCTAATGCATGCTGGGCTTAATACCTAGGTGATGGGTTGATAGGTGCAGCAAACCACCAGAGCACACGTTTACCTATGTAACAAACCTGCACATCCTGTACACGTATCCCAAAACTTAAAATAATTTTTTTTTAAGTAGGAGGGATATTTACATTTTAACAAGGTTCTAAGTGCCTGACTGAGTGCTACGGGCTTTACATACGTGTTTTCTTTTGATCATCAGAACTCTATGCATGCAATTTTGCCCATTTTACAAATGACAAATTTCCATCTCAGAGAGATTAAATAACTTTTTTAAGGTTACCTATCAATCAAATGTCAGAGCTAAGATTTGAGCCCAGGTGTTGAAACCAGAAAAGATAAAAAGCTGGACGGAAAGTTGAACTTACTAAGACTGCAGTGATGAGCTATTTAAAAGATGTTTAATAATGGAGGGGAAAGGAAGATCAACTGGGTGTGGACAACTGAGAAGTGGTACCCAGGAAAAACAGACATTCAAAACAGATTGTGAGAGTGAAGCATGGATTTGAAGGGGCGTCAGAAGCCTGCAGTGAAGTGAGTTCTGAGTCGCAAGTGTAAACATCAGACATGCAGCTGAAACAGGAAGGATCTTGAGAACATCTTGACTCAGGCTTAGCCTCAGGTGCAGGAAAGAAGGACCAATGACCAAAGGATCAGAGCTGCAGAAGGCGCTGGCTGACAGAGGACACAGGAAGAAGGGACGGACTCTTAGGAGCCTGGGTTCAGCTCTGTGGAGACTAATACAATAATGAATCCTGGGCCTTCTCTGTTCTGTGGCTTACCATGTGTAACCTGAACCTTCTTCAAAGGATGGCAGACCAGGTTTGCACCCTTGACAGCTGGCTTCAAGGGGCTGTGTAAACAAAGCCCTAAGACAGCAGAGGGAGGGGAGCAGGGAAGGCCCTGGCTAAGGTTTCTGGCAACAAAGACTCCTCACTTCCTTTAGGTAGTGCTGATCAGAGATGCTGCCCACTGTCCTTCCAGGACGGCTTCTCTTTGCAGAGAGCCTCAAAATTCCTTCGTCTTTTCTGTCTGCCACCTGCCATTTATTCAATTTAATATCTATGTTCCCGTTAAAGTGCAGACAACGAGGTAAAGAGAACACCCTAATTACAATCACAAATTATATTCATGCAATCACTCACTCACTCATTTATTCATGCAACAAACATTTGGTACCTTTAATAATTTAAGTACTGTGTCCATCATTTATACCTTGGTTTCAATATTCACTAAATGCTTTACTAAAATCTGGTTTTCCAGAGTCAAGTGGAAGAGAAAAATACACACAGACACATACACACACACGAGTCTAAGAATGGCAAAAGCAGGCACTACAAAGAAGAAAGGAACTTAAAATTCAGAGGCTGGCGGTGTTAAAATTGATAGTTTTGGTCAAAATTATTTTCTGATGAGAAAAATCTGCATTGCCTGGCATAAGAAAGGATTGTGGTTTTTTGTTTCTTTTTGTTTTTGTTTTGTTTTGTTTACAGGTTACTATTTTGTCAGCATAGTTCGTTATTAGCTTTACTTTTGCTGTATCATTTATTATTAAAGAAATTCTTCTTATGCATGCAGATGGAAGACATTTTGCAGGAATGAGAAAAGCTTCTTTAAAAGGAAGCCTAGGTGGACATATTAGGAGCTGCCTCTAATCCTTTTTAGAAGCAAGCTGGGTGTAAGTCCTAAATAAATGTATCTTTACAGAAGATGCATTTGAAATAGCAACATCATCAACATTCCTATCTATAAACCAGGAGGAAATGAGATCAAAATTGCAGCCCAAGGAATTCAGGTTAGCTGCAAGGAGGAACTTCTAAGTGCAAAGTTATTAATTATCACATCAATTAATTTGGAAATTGTTAGAGAAAACTTCCAAGGCCTCTTTTGAAACAAGCTGAGTTATATTCCTCTGAGACCTTTGATAATTCTGCCTGAGCAAGACAGACAAAATATCTATATAAGATCTTTACAGCCTAAAGAGTCTAAGACTTTAGCATAAGATCTGCACCATCGTCTGATCATGTGCATTGATCCTGTATTTTCAAGCTCAGCATTCAGGAAGAAGAGATTTCAAAGCACCCACATAACACAGTACTCCCTAAATATATCACTTCTCTTCCTGACACTTCCCTTTCTATCAGTGGAATGACCATTTTTTAAATACAGTCTTGAAACTTTGCAACTCACCTCTTACCTCTTCCAGCTTTACTATTTTTCACTTGAGTGATTGCAATGGACCAATTTGTATTGACGCCCCCAGCCTCTCTCTGCTCCAACTCCTTCTCTAAGACTTTCTACCAGGTTGCTAAAAAATTATCTCTGAATCCCATGTTGTCTAGGCACAAAGTTCCAAATGTAACATTCAAAAGTGTCACAGTAAGACACCATTCTCCTTTGAGATCTTCTTTCCTGCTATTCCCTTACAAGCACAGAACACTTGTATGGGAAGTAACATCACGCCACTTCAACAAGCCACTGGTTGTTCAAGGGTAATTATGCAGATTCGAGAAGGTGCAGTGTATGTGGCGCACTTAGCACAGTCCCTGGCACACAGTAGTTGCTCCACATATGTTAGCTATCGCCATCATTATTATCAGTTTTGGCCACCTACTATGTGCTAAGCATTGGGATATATTATAGTAGTCAGGATTCCCAGTACAACAGAACTTGCGATCTAATGGGGGAGAAGATGAGAAGAAAGTCTCCATTCTTTTAAATCTTCTTCTCAAATTTAACCTCTGGCTGTCAGCCATTATTTCTTCCTCCTAAGAATTCCCGAAGCACTGTGTTAACATTTCTCAAGGTAATATAGCTTTCTTAAGCACTGGTTTATTTTCTCTGTCCCTCGTGTAGGAAGAGATTCAATGCTATCTGAAAGAATGTTTTTGAAGCACTTGGCACAGAGTCGTCATCCCAGAGGGGATGTTGAACAAATGCTAACGCATCATTACACAATCCCTCTATGCCTAAAGTGCCCTGAACAGTACCCTCCATGAGTAACTTTAATGCGCAGTGGTTGAGTTGAGCTGCCATCTAACATCTGCCCAGCATCCTTTCACTGCGTCTGTGTTCTCTTCAATTCTTCCCCCTCCCTCTGCTTCTGAATCTGTGGTTCTCTGAAAAGCTCCCTGTTCCTTCTCAACCCTACTTTGCATTGCCAGCCCACCTGGAGGCTGGGAGCTCAGTCTGGCAGGTACACATTAGCATGTTAAAAATATCCACGCAGCCATCCCTAGTATTGTTATCCACTTTGAATATTAGCGTATTTCCTTCAGTTCATCTGGGGAATCCCAGTTCCTTCTAGTTCTATGAGGGGGCAGGGAGCACCAGCATTAACTAGTCCTTTTGAAGTTGGGAAGGGTGTTCTTCAATGATCACATTAACTACTGCAACATTCTTTAAAAATTATCTGTGGCTGGGCTTGGTGGCCCATGCCTGTAATCCCAGCACTTTGGGAGGCCAGGGCAGGCAGATCACTTGAGGCCAGGAGCTCAAGACCAGCCTGACCAATATGGCAAAACCCCATTTCTACTAAAAATACAAACATTAGCTGGGTGTGGTGGCGTGCGCCTGTGATCCCAGCTACTCAGGAGGCTGAGTCACTTGAACTCGGGAGGCAGAGGTTGCAGTGAACCAAGATCTTGCCACTGTACCCTAGCCTGGCCGACAGAGCCAGACTGTCTCAAAAAAAATTATATATATATATATATATATATATATATATATATATATATATATATGAACCTACATAAACCAATGAAGAGAAAATATCATCTATCCTGATAGCTAGTAATATTTTAATTTTCTTCCTATTGTTTAACATAAATAAGTATAAATAACAGTCATCAAATGTTTTTAGTACATATGATAAGATCCTCCCAACGGTGTCAGAAGGAATTTCGAGTTGATTTTTAACCAACACTTTACTGATACACCAAGGCTTTCTCATGGTTGTGAGCCTCACGAGGCAGAGCCTGGGTCTTCGGCTCCAGCCCTCTACTTTCTCTCCAACTTCTTTCCTCCCACTGACTCATGAAACTCTGAGGACTTTTCCCTGAACAGTCTGGAGACTGTTTCCACCATCTGTACATTGTTCTTGACTTACAGCTCAGAACCTTCTTTTAGTTCTTTGGACCACACCTCTTTCCCAGAAAAGGCAGAGCTGAGAGCTCTCGGAACAGATCCAAATTACCAACTGCATATAAAATTGCCACCACCTCGGTAGCATCATTCCTGTGCCAGATTCCAAAAGAGATGGACACTGCTGTGGGTACAAGTGCCTGAGAAGACTGGCCTCCTCCTGGGGTTTGTGCCTTCAGAGCCTGGGTTTGAAAAGCCAAGCTGGGAGCACTTTCCATTGTCGTCGCCTTCTCCACTCAGTGAAGAAAGATTGTGTTGGAGTTTTAGAGTGAGAGAAGCTGGAGACGAAGCTAGCTGGCTGTGCTCATCTAGCCTGAGGCTGCATTTCTTCATTGAAAGGAGCCACTCCACAATGCTAGGGGGGGTCCAGTCGTCCAATGAGAGCCAATGGTGGACATCTCTTCCCAACTCCATATTCAGTTTTGTCATCCTGGGAGCCTGATATTGGCCGTGATGGAAATATTTACACCATGGAAATCGACACGCTCTACGAGGCAGAGCTTCTTCCTCCCAAAAAGTCAGTTTCTAAACATTTACCACTTTACCAATGGCATTATTTTTAGGTAGCCTTTCTTCAGAGAGAGAATGAATAAAAAATCTTAGAAGCAAAACTAAAAGGATCCTCAAAGATGATTCCAACCCTTTTATATTGCAAATGAGGATATGGAGGCCCCAAGTAAAGAGGTGCCTCGCTTAAGCTCTTCAGCAAGGTTTAGGACCCAAGTCATCTCACTCTCAACCAAGACTTCTTTCCAGAGGAATCAAAGTTTTCAAGCTGCTAAATGCCCTGAGGGAGACAAGAGAGCTATAAGGCTCTGTCTCCACTGCACATATACGATTCAGTGCCGCCAAGAGCAATGAAAACAATTTTGTATCATTATTTGTAAGTTTTGAAATTACATTATGTATGTTACCGCTAACTAAAAGTGCTATATTTGTCCAAAAAAAAGAAAAACTAATAGGAATTGAAAATAGGAAGGGATGACTTCATGAAAGAGAAAGGATTCGATTTGGAATCTGAATAATCACTGAGAGGCAACAGACTACGGAGGAGGAATTTTGTCTGAGTATAAAGAAATTAAGCTGACTGATGTATTAGAAGAGTATTTAAAAATGGGAAGCCATCTTTGGATAGAAAGTGAGGACTTTTCTAAGTAAGATCCTTACATATCCAGAGAATTCATTTTGTTTTAATAAAGTGAGCAATAGGAAACCACTGATAGCCGAGCCAGATAATGAAGTGATGTAAGTGTTGTTTTAGAAAGATGGCCTGCGTGGCGGGGTCGGTGGCTCATGCCTGTAATCCCAACACTTTGGGAGGCCGAGGCGGGCGGATCACAAAGTCAGGAGTTCAAGACCAGCCTGGCCAATATGGTGAAACCCCATCTCTACTAAAAATACAAAAATTAGCCAGGCATGGTGGCACACACCTGTAGTCCCAGCTACTTGGGAGGCTGAGGCAGAATAATCACTTGAACCTGGGAGGCAGAGGTTACAGTGAGCCAAGATCACGCCACTGCACTCCAGCCTGGGTGACAGAGCAAGACTCCATCTCAAAAAAACAAACAAACAAACAAACAAACAAACAAAAACACAGATGGCCTGCGTGGCGTGGAGTCAAAAAGCCAATTACAAGAGAGATTTTTTTTCTTATTTAGATGAAAGTATATTCTATATTATTTACATGAGTATATATGTATGGAAGGATATCTTCTAACATCTCAGCAGTCATTCTTCTCGTGAAGAGGCTTTCTGGGTGGTTTTTGCTGCATTTCTTGTGCTTTTCTCTTACTTTTTTCTTTTGGCTTCTTTATTTGTTTTTCTTGTTGAAATATATCTAATTTTAACCCCCCAAAAAATCACCTTGAAGAATAGTAATGACTAACACTTAGAAGCACTTCCTCTGTGCCAGACACAATTCACATAATAACTAATAGTACCTATAAGACAAGAATCATTATTAACTAGGTTATACAAGGAGGAAACTGGGGCACATAAATTTAATTGACTTTCCAAGGTCACAGAGCTAGAAGTGTCACAGTCGGGATTTGAATTCAGAGCCCATGTTATCAACCACTATACTAGCCTGCCTCTAGATGAGATAGAGAGAGACAAATTGGAGACAGTTTGAAATCAAGTAAGAGACAAGAGAAAGTTGTACTGCTGCAGGGAAAGAATGGTAGAAGCAGAGATTAGGATGGTACCGGAAAGGGCTGATATACGAAGTTACACAGATAAATAAGGACACCAAAAATCAAAAGCCAACCAAGGACAGGTGGTATAGTTTGGGTGTTTGTCCCCTCCAAATCCCATGTTGAAATGTAATCCCCAGTGTTGGAGGTGGGGCCTGGTGGAAGGTGTTTGGGTCTTGGGGGCGGATCCCTAATGAATGGCTTGGTGCCGTCCTCATCAACACGACTGGGTTCTCACTTTGAGTTCACGCAAGATCTGGTTGTTCAAGAGTGTGGCACCTCCCCACCCTCTTGCTCCCTTGCTCTCACCGTGTGTCATGCTGACACCCTGTCATCTTCAGCCATGATTGTAAGCTTCCTGAAGACTCACCAGAAGCAGCTACCAGCACCGTGCTTCCTATAAACCCTGCAGAATCATGAGCTGATTAAAACCCTTTTCTTTATAAATTACCCAGCTTCAAGTATTTCTTTCTAGTGACCCAAAAACAGCCTAATACCACAGGTCAGATCTCCTTGTTGCTGCTGCTATTATTTTGTCTTGCTTGCCGTAGTGATACGCCATTCTCCAATATACACCATACCCACATGTCTCTTTTTTATTTAGAAATAATGGGAAGATTTCCTTTTTTATTATTACAAAATATAATACTCATAAAAATTTTAACACCACCAAGAAATATTTTAATAATGTGTTAAAGTCCCCCTCCCCTCTTCATTCCCTTTTTAGCCCTCCATAGAGGTAAGAATTCTGTTTCTTATGAATCTTTTCAGAAATGTTCTAAGCATATATTATATATACCCATGTCTAAACTTTCTTTATACATACTGTTCTACAATTTGCTCTTTTCACTTGAAATTAGGTCTTAAACATTGTTTTATATAAATGCTTGTGGGTTAACCACACTCTTTTTAACAATGGCAAAGTATTCCATTATATTCCTGTACTATAATTTATACAACCACTTCCCTAGTTGAATGGGTAATATTCTTTATGCAAAGGAATGGAAGACAAAAAGGCCTAGTTATAACAAAAAGAGATATTCATAACATATCAGCATGGTCATGGGAGTACAGGCCTTGGACAAGAGTGCAGGAATTAGCTAAAAGTGTAAAAGTAACTTCAATAAACATGAAGGCTTGGCATCTCAAAGCACTTAATCACTTAAAGAAAATGAAAATGAAGCAAAAAGCAAGATATAAAGTAAAATATGTTCCCACCCACCAAAATAGGAAAGTATAATCATAAAACCTGCTGTTCCAATTCCCTGCTGGGAAGACTGGGTTCTGAGACTATGCCACTCGGGGTTGAGTATAAGCAATCTACCATGGGAAGAACAATCTAGGGGCCATTTTAAAATTAGGTGGATTTTTTTTTAACTTACAGCAGTGGTAATATTTGATCAACAGTTAGAATTTTCCAGCTTCTCTTCCTTTTTGAATATTTTGAGATGGACTTCACTATTCAGATAACAGGTTAAGATCCTCATTGTCATTTCTCTTTCCTTGGCTGTCTTAAAGAAAACAATCATCTCAGGTAGAGGAGTATTAGCGGGAGGGAGGAATGATCCTTGGGGAAAAATTTATAGGTGTTTTGTTTTGTTTTGAATTAGGTAAATCCATTAACTGCCTGCACTCCGCAGCCCTCACTCCCCAACACTTTCCCTGAGTTTATTTAAGTGGTTGCCCATAGCAACCACCTACACTTTAAGTAGCTGAGCTGAGTATTGCGGGGAGACAGCTTGGCAAGCCTCTGTCTAGCTTCCATGATCATTCACTGTGCCCCGGAGGTAACAATGTAAAATTCAAATGATAATTTTAAAATATTAACAATGTTTTTGTGTTTCCTGTATTTAAAAAAAAAAAAAAGGCACTACGTTTTTTAAGTGACATGGTACAACAGGGTCTGCTGGTCACCCTCAATACCACTGGAAATGGAATAATTTCAGGAATGAGAGGAACGCTATGAAGAAACCCCCGCAGAAGGGACAGCACGCCTTAGCCACACTCCTCTTCTTCCCTCTCCCTTTCTGGTAGCACCCATGCCTGTAGGGTCCCAGTCCTGCTGACTTAGAGGCAGCCTGAAATAATAAGAGAAGGCAGAACAGTGTACAAATCTGGACTTTACAAATTTGCAGCCTTATGTGAGTGACTTCTCTGGTTGTGGCTTTTTCTTTTTCATTTTTAAAATGGGTCTATTGCCGGACACAGTGGCTCACGCCTGTAATCTCTTTAGGAAGCCAAGGCTGGTGGATCACGAGGTCAGGAGTTCAAGACCAGCCTGGCCAAGTTGGTGAAAACCCCCCGTCTGTACTAAAAATACAAAAATTAGCCAGGTGTGGTAGCAGGTGCCTGTAATCCCAACTACTGGGGAGGCTGAGGCAGGAGACTCGCTTGAACCTGGGAGGTGGAGTTTGCAGTGAGCCGAGATTGCACCACTGCACTCCAGCCTGGGCAACAAAGCAAGACTCCATCTCAAAAGAGAAAGAAAGAAAAAAAAAAGTCTATTGAGGCCATTAAGTGAGATCAGAATGTTAAAATTTTTAAATTAAAAATGGTTCTAATTATCTATTATTAAATAAATATTGTGAGAGTTAACTGAGCAACTTATGTTAAGCACCTCACCTGGAATGCCCTATACAGTAAGCATATACTTAGCATCTCCTGTGTGCAAGCTACAAATGTTACTCAAAAATACATAAGTAAATAAATAAACAACCTTAGAGGGAATAGACAACGATAAAACCATAGAAACAGATACGCTCAGAGACCAGGGTACTCAACCACCCTCCATGTGCCAAGTCCCATGAGGCTCTTCCTCAGGGAACTGGAATCCTACTTTCCTCTCCAAGTCAATCCCCCAGGGTCGGCCCTGGACTGTGTTTTTTTCCTACATTGTAGCTGCCTGTAGCCTTTGATCCCTGTAGGTCCATCTCTGTCCCTGTCCCTGTCCCTAAAAGGAAGGTACTTCCTTCCCTCATTGACCCCAAAGGGCTCACTGGCTGACCATGAAGCAACCTGCTCCACCAAGCTGCCTCCAGCTTTGTCCTCTGACTATGGATCTGTGTGGCTGCTTTTGTGTCTCTGTCCTTTATTCGTCTCTCACTGACTCCTCTCCTCTGTTGGAAGCGTTTCACTGGCAAGTTGAATGATTAACCTCGGGTTTGGTTACACTAAGTGTTTTACCTATTCTAAACTAATGTGTTTGCCTGTGTTTACAGGAATTCAATGACTGGGGATATTAGTCCATTTTCATGCTGCTAATAAAGACACACCCAAGACTGGGTAATTTATAAAGAAAAAGAGGTTTAATGGACTCACAGTTCCATGTGGCTGGGGAGGCCTCACAATCATGGCAGAAGGCAAGAGCGGCAATGAGAGCCAAGCGATAGGGGTTTCCCCTTATAAAACCATCAGATCTCTTGAGACTTATTCACAATGACAAGAACAGTATGGGGGAACCTGCCCTCATGATTCAATTATCTTCTACCAGGTCTCTCCCTCAACACGTGGAAATTATGGGAGCTACTATTCAAGATGAGATTTGGGTGGGGACACAGCAAAACCATATCACTGGGGAAGCAGGACTTACAGTATCCCAGATTGTTTTCCCTAGTACATTATGATACACTGAGTCCTTTTCTCATTTGATCAATTTGGGCAAAACACACTCTTCCAACACTATGTGTAGTGACCCACCTGACCCCTCCCTCCCGCTTTAAAACTGTTCAGAAGCTTCTGTTTTCATGCTCACCAGCCTTTAACAGTACAAAGCTTTCTTTCTTTTGTTATTATTCATATTTTTCATCCTTTGACCTACATCTGGTAGTATTCTCAGGCTGCTATAACAAAATACCATAGACTGGGTGACTTAACAAAAGTTTATTTTCTAGAGGCTGGAAGTTTGAGATGAGGGTGCCGATATGGTCAGGTTCTGCTGAGGGCCCTTTTCCTGGCTAGCAGATAGGGCCACCTCCTCACTGTCTTGACGTGGCAGACAGAGAGAGAGCTCTTGAGTGTTCTTCTTCTTTTTTTTTTTTTTTCCTGAGACAGTCTTGCTGTGTTGCCAGGCTGGAGTGCAGTGGCGCGATCCCGGCTCACTGCAACCTCTGCCTCCCGGGTTAAAGCAATTCCCCTGCCTCCTGAGTAGCTGGGACTACAGGTGTGCACCACCACGCCCAGCTAATTTTTTGTATTTTAGTAGAGTCAAGGTTTCACCATGTTAGCCAGGATGGTCTCGATCTCCTGACCTCGTGATCCACCTGCCTCAGCCTCCCAATGTGCTGGGATTACAGGCAGGAGCCACCGTGCCTGGCCTCCAGTGTCTCTTCTTATAAGAACACTATTCCCATCATGAAGTTCTCACCCTTGTGATCACATCTAAACCTAATTGCCTCCCAAAGGCCCCATCTCCAGATACCATCACACTGGGCATTAGGGCCTCAACATATGAATCAGGAGGAAAACAATTCAGTCCATAGCATCTGATACTATTTTCTATCTTTGAGTATAATAGCTCATGGAAGGGTCGTGATGCACCTCAGCCATGAAGAAGAAACTATGAGTAAATGCATTTTAAGTGATTAAAATATGAATTCTGAGCATTATTTTTACCAGCAATGTGCCTGCTGCTGGAATTTGCTTTGATAGCATGGTGAGGATCCGACAGTTTCCATCTCCTGCTGACTTCAGCTCTTAGCTCAGTGGCTAAGCGGCTGTTACTGACAGGTCTAGAGCATATTCGTGGATCGAGCTCACCTTACGTGTCTGCTTCCTCCTGGGCTGTCACTCAGCGCATGTTCCCTCTCTTTAGGGCCTCTTAAGAGAACACACTACCTGAATCCTACCAATGGAATGTTACAATTATTAGAAACATTTTTCATATACAGTACTCATGAAATCATTAAGTTTTCATGTAGTTTTTACAATTGTAAAAGTTTGTCATTTGTATCTCATTTGATTATTAAACAGCCCCTTTGTATACCGGAGAATCTGTTGCATTAATGACAGGTCATGGGCAGAACCAAAAGCCCAGGACTTCACACTCCACAACCAGAATGTTTTCCATAGTATTAAATGCCAGTGAGAAATGAGAAGAGAAGAGTTGTTCCCTCCAAATCTTCACTATGGAAGATTTCCCAGGACAATCTTGAGTCTACAGTTCTGAGTGCTTTGCCTGTCTTAATCACAAATTAATTTCTCTCTCTCTATGTCTGCATTAGAACCCAGAACAGAGATACAGAAGGGCGATATCAGTAATCAATGCTGGTGATAATGTTTGCTTGGGGCTGCTGGGGAAACCTGGCTACTAATTGGCAATAACTCAGTGGGCGATGTTGGTCCTTAACTCCTTAATCGTATTAGCCCTTTGACCATCGGATAGCATCTCTTTAAGACTGGCCCAATCCTGCGGCTCTGCTCATTCCACCTGCTCATTCCTCCCAGCACTGCCAGATGTCCAACGAGATCATACAATACAAGGATAACAAATTTTTTTGTGGGTTTTGGTTGGTATATATGAGGAGAACCTTTGTGTTTTATTTGGATAATTTGTATTCAACAAGCCCTGGAACCCTAAGAAAATAGGTGATGTGCCTATCTATCTATCTCCCGGTCTAGCTACCTGGGAGGCTGAGGTGGGAGGATCGCATGGGCCCAGGAGTTGGGAGTCCAGCCTGGACAACATAGTGAGACCCTCATCTCTAAAAATAAACAAACAAATAAATAATACAAGTAAATTTAAAAATAGAAAACAGGCCAGGCGCGGTGACTCATGCCTGTAATCCCAGCACTTTGGGAGGCCAAGGTGGGCAGATCACGAGGTCAAGAGATCGAGACCATCCTGGCCAACATGGTGAAACCCCGTCTCTACTAAAAATACAAAAATTAGCTGGGCGTGGTGGTGGGCGCCTGTAGTCCCAGCTACTCAGGAGGCTGAGGCAGGAGAATCGCTTGAACCCAGGGGGCGGAGGTTGCAGTGAGCCAAGATCATGCCACTGCACTCCAGCCTGGCAACAGAGAGAGACCCTGTCTCAAAAAAAAGAAAAGAGAAAAGAAAACAGATGAGGACAAGGGAGAAAATATATTTTTAAATAAGTGTTTAGCTTAGTTTCCAATAAGAAAATCTCTGTGTCTGTTTCAAGGAATTTGGGGGTTTCTTCCTGGCTTTTCATGACATCCATCTCCCCTGTCACTTAGGACACTCAGTGGGTGTCTCTGTGATCCTCTGGATCCTGGCTAGAATGAGTTATATATGTCCACGGAGTCTTACACTCATGCCAATTTGGAAGTAAGTGAGTAACTCACAAGGGAAATTGGCTTCAGTTACATTCTCCCTGACCAATAAATAAGTATTCATTGGATCGTTTGCATCTCTAAGATATTCCATATTCTTCAGGATGCTGACTCCATCACACAGGAATGAATGCCTAAGGCTTCGCAGTGGGAGATAAGTGGGAGAGAAGCTGCTTTGCAGAAGTCAGGCGTGGTGCGAGAGGAAACCAGTGACGCACTTTTTCTCCTCCATATGTTATCAGATTAGCCAGATCCTATGTGCTGAGAACTGGCAGAGCTTCCTCCGCTGCTGAATAGATTGAGCAGTAACTCCCAGCCACACAGCCACCTTGATAATTAGGTGACATTTCTGCCAACTTCTGCAATCTGCCCTCTAGGGGGGCAGTGGGCCAAGTCACACCTTTGTGGCTACGTATGGTCCCACATGAATGACTCAATCCCATTGTTTTATGTCAGCCTTTCCTGTCCCACACAAAAGCCCCGAGTGTGAGAAGCTCTCTTTATACATAGAGGAACCTTCCACCTTCAGCCCCATGGTCAGTGCTGACTGACAGCATCCTGGGTGGGTTCTCCACGGGACCCTTTCCAGGTGCCATTCCCCATTGCTATAGTCAAGTTCAACAAGGTAGTAAGAGCAAGACTTTGACACGGAGAGTTTTGAAGTCAGAAATAAATGAATCCATGCCTATAATTGAGATGGGCTTTGAACATGTATCACAATAATGCACACTGTCAGCTGCACTGAGTCTCTTCTGTATATGTTCTGTCCTAGCTAACAAGTTTCCTGCCTCATCACTGACCTCCAAGCTGTCACCTTCCATGCTGCCACAGTTAGAGAAGGGTTAAAGGAAGTTGTGCAGCCAAACAGGAGAGTCTGAGGGCAGGTGGAACTAAGAGACAACTGGGACCTAGCCAGCCAGGCCCTTCTTGACAAAGGAGAAGGGAGGAGACGTGCAGAGTTAGGAATGAAGCATTTAAGTATATGTGGTGTCCTCGTTCATTCATGGGTTCATTTGTTCAGCTGGTACTTAACCTTGCTGTGTACCAGGCACTGTGCTGGACACTGGGGATACCACAGTGAACAAAACAGGCAGTAGCCCCTGCCCTTACAGAGCTTGCATCCTAGTAGGGAAGACAAAAACCAGCAAGACAGATAAGTGACATAAAGAGCAAGGAAGACTAGGATAACGGCTAAGAAGGAAAAAGTTAAGCAGGAGGAGGTGCTGTTCAGAGAAAGTGATTACGAAAGGCCACACTCACAAGGGGATAGTGTCAGGGGGTCGCAGAGTGGGGCATGCAGCTGTGCAAGGGGAAAGTGAGTCAGACAGAAAGCAGCAAGTCCTGGAGGTGTGCCTGGTGTGCAGGAGGCCATGCAGGAGAGCAGGGGTGGCCACAGCAGAGAGCGCAAAGAGAGAGCTAGGCTCAAGAAGGCAGGAGGGAAGGGAGCCAGACAGCATGGGCCACGGGGAGCACTTCGAGTTGTACTCTAAGTGACATGGGACTCTAACAGCCTTGGGTGGAGGACCAGCACTTTAAGGGGATAAATCTGGCTGCTCTATCAAGAAGAAATTGGAAGGGGGAAGAATGGAAGTCAATACTTTGGGTTGTACTCTGAGTGACACGGGGACTCTGACAGCCTTGGGTGGAGGAGCAGCACTTCAAAGGAATAAATCTGGCTGCTCTATCGAGAAGAAATTGGAGGGAGGCAAGGATGGAAGTCAGGGAAAGCCACACAGCCCTCCGGGACAGTGAGAGTGAGAACAGGGTGGGGCAGTGGACAGGTATGTGCCCATCCTGAGGGCAGGGCTGGCAGGGTGCATTCACGGATCAGACATGGGCTGTGGAAGAAAACAGAGCTGGCCATTGGATCACATGGATGACTCTGGAGAGGCCATATGGAACCGTGGTGTGCTGAAACAGTCCTTCTCAGAGAGAGAGGGCAAGCAATTCATCTGCTAATTCCTCCTGGTCTCCTGCCTTTCATTGGTCGAGTCGTATTCCATGGGATATTAACAGCGCCGCACTTGTGAGCTGTGATACTTACTGAGGGCCTTGAGACTCCTAGTGAAAAAGCCTCCACAGGCCCAGCGGCTCAATGGGGTTGGGCAAACCCGTCCCTGAGGGAGGTCGAGACACCAGCAGTGCCGCAGGTGGAGGAAGAAGCACGGTGGCCAGGCTTCACAGATGGCAGCAGCATGAGCCATCCTGAGGCTGCTCTGTCCAGGAAGCAGGGCCAGAGTCCAAGGCTGAGGGGTCAGGCAGGACCAACAGGATCTGGAAGGTACATGCACAAGCCCCAGTACATTATTCCAGCAGTTCAGCTAACACAGGCTCAATCTGGGCTGACACAGGTGCCCAAAGAAGCTGGCCTGTATGGTGAGGTGTGGCCGCAGATGGTGGTGCCACACATTGTCAGGTTAGTGGGACCATCCCATTCCTTCTGGTCTGCAGTGGAGGCCAAGACAGCAAATGGAATTGCAGAGCTCAAGGTCCAAACTCCATGCAGAAGGGGTTGAGAGAAGGGAAGTAAGAGGTCAAAGTTTCCATCAAAGAGATCAGTATGACGCCAAGGCAGATGTCCCATCATAATATCTTTTTTTTTTTGAGATGGAGTCTCGCTGGAGTGCAGTGGTATGATCTTGGCTCACTGCTGCAATCTCTACCTCCTGGGTTCAAGCAGTTCTCCTGCCCCAGCCTCCCAAGTAGGTGGGATTACAGGCCATGCACCACCATGCCTGGCTAATTTTTGTGTTTTTAGTAGAGACAGGGTTTCACCATGTTGGCCAGGCTGGTCTTGAACTCCAGGCCTCAAGTGATCCATCTACCTCAGCCTCCCAAAGTGATGGGATTACAGGTGTGAGCCATCGTGCCCAGCCCCATCATAATATCTTAAGTACCCACAGCTGGAGTTAGGGAAGAGGGCTGCTGCCCTGCAGGCCCGTGAGTACACAGGGCCAGCTGGTTACAGGGCTGGGGCATAGGGCTTCTGCAGTGCGATGATACCAGGTTAGATGTGGCCTGGGGTAGGGCTCTAGCCAGCCAGCTATAGTGGGGTGGGGGGTGGTCCCCAGTGTGGACGTGGGAGCAGACAGGGATTAACACATTACTTTGCTGTTAAAAAATGATGAATTGCCCATTTGCCTTTTTTTAATTTTATTTTTTAAATGCAGAATCTCGCTCTGTTGCTTAGGCTGGAGTGCAGTGGCACAATCATAGCTCACTGCAGCCTCAACCTCCTGAGCTCAGGCAATCCTCCTGCCTCAGCCTCCCGAGTAGGTGAGACCACAGGCGTGTACCACCACACCCAGCTTCATTTGCTTATTTCAATTGTGCTTCATTTCAGTAGATTACATTCAGTATTACTGAAATTGTTATACTCTCTAGGAAAATACATTTTAATTCACATAAAATACATGACTGTGTATAATGCCATGTATTGCATAATGATTATCATTGACTCCTAAGTAAATATTGTGTTTTTGTCTGAATAAGATTTCTATCAATCCATCTCTTTCCCTGTCTAACACACACACACATGCGTGCACACACACACACACACGCACATGTGCACATCACCTTCCTTCAATAAATGGCATCATACAGTGCAGACTAAGCTTTGACAGCTCTGGACTCAAGCCAACTTTTGGATCCATTGTTCTTATAAGCCACTTTGAGCTTTCTGACACCATTGTAGTAACAACTGTATATGAAATTACAAGAGAAAAAAATGCTGGTTTTCACAGCCTTCCCATCTGCGCTGATTTCTAGTGAGTACTGCTACGCTATATTAAGCCAATTTTGATTAGTAATTATCATCATGCCTTGCAAAGTTCCTAGAAGATAAGGTGCTTGTCAAGTGTATTATTACAATGCCTGTGCCTACTTTTCTGAGGGATATCATTTTTCATATCCTGAGGAGCTGCCACATATTCCCCCACCGTTCCCCAGAAACATCATCATAGTTGACAGGTCTTTATTGCCGCAGCCCAAAAGCCATGTCCATGGTGTACCATCTAGGTGAACCTGCACTAATTGATTCTGTCATTTCTGAGAGGCAGAAACCACATCTGCGGGAGCCTGGTTGGTTCTTTTGTTTTAATGAAGCGAAAGTAGCCTCCATGTTTGTCTGTGCCTGTCTGCAAAGTGACAGTGATTTATCTCATGCTGAAAGCAAGTTCAGGGGCCTCCTAGAGAAGCACATAAATCTACCAACCCCCTTGTGACAGATGCTGAAGCCCTGCCAAACCCCTCACAATGACTCCTGCAAAGGAAACCTTCCCCACTGCCTGCCGCCACAAATGCACTATCCACTTCCCTACAAGCCATGAGTCCTTCCCTTTTCCCCAACTTCTTTCGTGGATATATCCAATTTAAAAGGAAATGCAGGCAAATACTCTTCCTTGAGTTAAATCTGATGTCTGTTTCCTGCTTTCCTCTAATCAACTAGATAATGAAAATCATGACCTAATCCAACTTATTCATTTTAAAGATTAAAGAAACAAAGACTGGCCAGGCACAATGCCTGATGCTTGTAATCCTAGCACTTGGGAGGCCAAGGCAGGAGGATCACTTGAGCCCGGGATTTTGAGACAAGCCTGGGCAACATAGCAAGACCCCATCTCTACACACAATTTTAAAAATTAGCCGGTCATGGTGATGCACACCTGTGGACCCAGCTACTCAGGAGGCTAAGGCAGGAGGATTGCTTGAGCCCAGGAGTTCGAGGCTACAGTGAGCTATCATCATGCCACTGTACTCCAACCTGGGTGACACAGTAAGATCCTGTCTCAAAAAAAAAAAAGAAAAAAAAAGTAAAAGAAGCAAAGACTTAGGAAGATTTTGAAACTGTCCAAACAAAGAAGAGCCAAGTTCCACCATTCACTGGGCATCTGCTTGTCTACCAACTGAACAAAGAGAAAGAAGGTCATTCTAAAATTTTTTTTGGAGACTGAGAATTTTACAATTTTCCACTGATTCTAACATACCATCTGGGGGCTAATAGGCATCTCCTCAAACTAAAAGTCAGCTACTGTACCTAGTTGATATTTGAAAGCCATGAAGAACTTACCAACATTTGCCCACAGTTAGGCTAAAAGAATTTTCTTTGACTCTGAAATAATCTATGTATCAGAGCTACTGCTTATGATATTTCCTAAAACATAGCTTCTGACCATTAAAAATATCATTGCTAGTTATCTTAGCATGGTGCCTAAATTCAGATATTTCCTTTTTATTGTTGTTTCATATCTGTTACCTCCTTGATATTTCTCATTAACTCTTGGGTCCTCATCACTCTTAACCTCACTCATGTCCTCCCAAATGCCACAGCCGAGGGATATTTCTGCAAGCTCATCTTTTTTGACATTTCCTTAATATTTTACACTGTTGACCACTATCTTCTAGGAACTTTCCTGTTGACTTAAGTGATGCCCCTCTCTCTTTGCTCTCTTCCTAAAAATCAGACATTTTCTCAGTGTCTTTTGGGGGTCCCCTTCCTTCATTGTCCCTTTAAATATTGATACACCCTATGGTCCTGCCTTGATCACTGCCTCTTCTTATCCAATATAGTCTCTTTAGACAATCTCATCCACCCTTGCAGATTCATCTATTATCTGCTTGACTTTAACCCCCAAACTTACCTCTTCGGCCCCGGCCTTCCGTCTGAGCTCCACATCTCTGAGAAGTTTCCAGCTTTTTCTGGATGGCTCCCTGGCACCTCTGTGTTGAAACTTATCACAAGGGGGCTTTTCATGCTCAGACTCTTACTTGTTCTTTCCTCTCTGTTTGTTGCCATTCTTCCCACAGCCTCTATTGCAGTAGGTTATTAAAGTCTGTTAATTATATCTTCTAAACATTTCTCTAGTAAATTATCCGAAAGGCCCTCATTACGAGACATATTGCACTGTGTCAGAACTGTTCGTCTACATGTGTCTCTCCCCTGCTAGACTCACAGCGAGGGCTCAATCAAGGACTAGCACCATAATATCCATCTGTTTCTTCTGTGATATACTAGCACTGTAGGTGCTGGCACAGAGTACGTGCTAAATTAATTGTGCGAATGAATCGATAAATGTATAAATGATCTGTCACATTAGAAGAATGTTTGAAAATGAAACAATTAGCTGTAATATCACCACAGAACAGGAATGGTTTTGTTGTGGCTGTTGTTTGTTTTCAGCATGTGTTTTCACTGTTTTGTTCATAGCACACATATTTTTAGGTGGCTGTAACAATAATGGACATGTAGTTTTGTGTTCTACCCTTTTTTCACTTAAACATTGATTCATAACTATTTCTCTGTGTATTTACAGGTGCTTTGTAGCTCTCCTTTATAATGGCTACATTATATGGCAAAAGTAGCTCTAGAATGATAGTGATAGGATTGCCAAGCCCGACCCTGTAAGGATTACATCTGATTCACAAAGCTGAGTGCCAGAGGAGCCTGCCAACGTGTAATGACCTTGAAAAGCTACTTAACCCAAAGAGCAAATTTTCCCATTTGCCAGATGAACCTAATCATAGTTGTTTGTAATCCTCAGAAAAAAAGGTGTTGTAGAAGTAGAAATTATTTTTAGTATCTCACAGGTTTGAAATGTTTGTGGGATAGAAACAACTCACTCTCCATGGTCTCTTCCTTTGAAGGCAGGGCAGGTTAGTGAAAATTGACCTTTCCCAAGCAGTGAGGATTGAAAGGATTAAGCAGGGGGGAATGAGGCAAAAACATCTAGCTTATTCTGTTGTTTTGGAGTCACCTATCTTCATCTTTTAAAAGTTTCCTCCCTATCTTTCTGCCATATTATCATCTTTTCCCGATACGATCAAATTTTAGCACTGGAAGGAAACTGAGGAATTATAACTAGTCCAACTCTCATGTTTCAGATGAAGAAAGACTTTGGAAAAAGCACAGATGCTTGTATACCCCTCTTCTTAGGGAAAAGAGGATGGAGAAGTGTGGATGCTTTTACAGGGGTAGTAAATTCTTCTTAGGGGAATCCAATGAGCTTGAAGAACATGCAGTGGCCTGAGACAAAGTCTATTGGACCCACAGAGCAGGCAATGGTTTGTGACAGAAGTCAGTCCAGGCGTGTTGACAGATTTAAGTCTTTCTTCCTGTGATATAAGTCCAGTTAATAAAGACTTGGGAAAGAACCAAAGGGAATTGTTTTTTTGACAAGTCCAGACTTTAGGCAGGTGAGGGCACTTCAGAGAACTTCATCCTGTGTTTTGCAAGAGACAGAGGATAAGAGCTTGGGGCGGGGGGTCAGAGAGACCTTGAGAGCCTTCTTCAGTTCGACATATCAAAGTGCCATATTTTGGGGTATCGGTTTCTGAGCACCAACAGAGTCAAAAGGAAGCCCACATTTTGCATAGTTTTCTGGTAATATTTTAGAAGGAATGAATACCGGTAAGAACGAGGTAAAACTGCCAAGAGGATCATGCAGCCTCCATTGTACTCATGGTAATACTACTTTCGTATGACTCATCTTAGTTAAATAATACAAACCACAGTGAAGTCACGAGGAAATTCATATTAATAGAAGTTCATTTTCCACTAGTTTACCTTTTTTTTTTTTTTTTTTTTTTTTTTTTTTTTGAGATGGAGTTTCGCTTTGTCACCCAGGCCAGAGTGCAGTGGTGCAATCTTGGCTCACTGCAACTTCCGCCTCCCAGATTCAAGCAATTCTCCTGCTTCAGCCTTGCAAGTAGCTGGGACTACAGGTGCCCACCACCACGCCTAGCTAAGTTTTGTATTTTAGTAGAGACGGGGTTTCACCATATCGGCCAGGCTGGTTTTGAACTCCTGATCTTGTGATCCGCCCGCCTCGGCCTCCCAAAGTGCTGGGATTACAGGTGTAAGCCACCACGCCTGGCCCCTCTCATTTACTTTAATGTGACCATATATCTATGCCCAAAAAATCTAAAGCCATTTCATGATGTTCCTATTTTGATTATCATGAGCATTTTTCCTAAACTTGTTTTTAGAAACCTAAGTTCTCTTGTAATACTCATTACTTCTGCTTGTTGCACAAATAACCACTGCTAATTCTCCCATGATGGGTTTCAAGATTCACCATTTGGTACTTATTCACTGCTTTCATCTAAGACAATGTAAAAATGCGAACAACACACTCCATGAAATCTCTATTAGGTTGTGGTTCCTCATTGAAGCACATTCATTTTCCACTGTTCTTTGACTTTGAGCTAGAAGCCAGAGTTCGTCATTAATACCAAGTTTCTGATAACTAGAGGAGACATTGTCCAAAAATTTATTGAGCTGAAATGTCTTGTTTTATACAACAGATGCACCACTTGAAAGCAATTTAAAAATAAACACTGCAGTCATTCACTCCTATTTTCCATTAACTTAGCTTATTTTTGAGGTACACTTAAAAGGCTTGGTCTTTGCTCAGTGAGGGCCCCATGTTCTCACCTGTGACTGCAGGTGATTGGTCAAATGCTGAGAGTTCCTTGTCAGAACCAAGGACTGCTGAAGTTGGAGAGTTCCATGCTGGCACGCACCATAGCTAGTCCAAACCCAAGACCACACATACCACTGATAGCCTTTTCCATGGATGACATCTTCTCTGCATTAGAAAGATATTATTCACTAAGCCCACATGTGCCTCTGTAATTTTTACTGGTTTATTCTCATTAAGTATTTTAACAGGTTTATTTCTATTTTCTGTAACTATTTTTGGTTTCCTAGTACTACATAGGGGCCTATCTAGTCATCATCATCGTCATCATAAAAACCAAATGGGAGCATTTGGTGCAAAATAATGCATTTGAATTATCTCAGCCTTTGACCTCTGTGGATGGGAGAATAATGCCCCCCAAAGATGTCTAAATCCCAATCCCTAGAACCTGTGAATTTGTTACCTTACATGACAAAATGGACTTTGCAGATGTGATTAAGTTCAGGATCTTGAGATGAAGAGATTATCCCAGTGAGATCAATGTCATCTGAGGGATCTTATAAAAGGGAGGCAGGAGGGTCTGGGTCAGGGGAGGAGATGACAGCAGAAGCAGAGTTGGAGAGAGAAGGAAGCATTGGAGGATGCTGCACCACTGGCTTTGAAGATGTAAGAAAGGGCCACAGCCAAGAAATATAGACTGCCTCTAGGAGGGAAAAAAGGCTGAAGGAAGCCAGCACACTTTACCCCAAAATATGACTGAACTACAGAAGTAGCCTCAAAGTCCTCAAGGTCTCTCTGACCTGCTCCCCTGCTCCCTTTCAATCCTCTGTTTCTCCTAAGGCATAGGGCGAAGCTTTTCTTCGGTATTCTCTTATCCACCTGGGAACCAGACCCCAAAGAGAACCACAGTTGCCTTCCACCTCCCATCCCTGTAAATCTCATTCGCTATCTCAGAAAAGAACACTGAGGATGCAAACCCACCTGGACAGACCTTTTCACAAGACAATACCTCCCAGGTTCATTCAAAATCCAAATTCCATTTACAAGTTAATTTCTGTCTTCTAGGCCCATTCATTCTCCCTAATGATCATTTACTGCCCCTCAAAAGAATGGTCTACATTCCCCCATGTCCCCCTCCCCTAGGCAGAAGGCTTTATAAGATCTGTACTCCACTGAGTTATTGAGTACTCATTCTCCTGCAATTCTCCCATGCTATGCACATTAGAATAAATGTTGCATGCCTTTTTTTCTATTAATCTGCTTTTTGTCAGCCAGTTTTTCAGTGAACCTTCAGAGGGCGAAGGGGATGTTTTCCTTGGGCCCCTACAAAGCAAAGGAACAGGCTGTCCCCTCCAGCATCCGTAAGCAACTCAGCCCTGCTGAGACCTTGACTGCAGCCCTTAAGACCCATTCCAGCCTTCCAGCCTCCAGAACTGTAAGATAATAACTCTGTGGGTTTTCTAAGCCTCTAAGCTTGTGGTAATTTGTTACAGCAGCAACAGGAAACTAATACAGCCTGTTCTTCAAAACTACTTCCATCAGTGGGAGCACAAATGAAGTGAATGAATGCACAACTGCTGCATAGATTATTTAAAAACATATGAGAAGGGAAGCAGTCATTATTTTTCAGTCTGTAAAGTAAGGTGGATTTTTTTTAAAGGGAGAAGTACCTGGGTTTTCATTTTACAAACCCAGAAAAGGCCTTGCAGCAGGAGCGTGGTTGTATGATACAGGGAGCAGCAAGAAGGCCAGTGGCTGGCAGCAGGAGGACAAGGGACAAGGGGTAGAAGACGAGGCCAGGGAGGCAGCCAGAGCCCTGTCACCTGCATGTTTACAGGTTTCACTTGAATTTTAGAACCAATTCTAGAGATTATCTTTGTTTTCTCAATACAGTTTTTAACAAAATAAAATTCTGGCAGCGCCTTTTCCCCAAGGCTCTCGCTCATTGCACTGGATCCAGACTGGGCCTGGAACGTCCCCCTTTTTTCCTCGTCAGGAGCAGTTCTGTGT
This sequence comes from Homo sapiens, assembly GCF_000001405.40. NCBI lineage: Eukaryota > Metazoa > Chordata > Mammalia > Primates > Hominidae > Homo > Homo sapiens. The sequence goes on along the minus strand of NC_000018.10, from coordinate 3,784,647 downwards.
GGGCACCCCAGGAGCATCGCGGGCGCAGAGCCGGGCAGGGATCCGGCCGTCATCAAGAGGCCTAATCAGAGAACGCACTGACATTGTGGGTGGGTTGCCGTTGATTGGGAGAAAATGTCTTCAGCATTTGGACACCTGAACAGAGGAGTAAAAATAGATTCTCCAGGATTCTTAAAAAATAACACATACACGGCAGACCCAAGTCATTCCAGAGACTATAACAGCTTACGAAAAAGAAGAAGAAAACGGAAAACAAACCTTGATAGAAAAGAAGGCTAGGATAGAGGTTGGTGAGTACCCGGCCCCCAGGTTGTTGCTACACATCGAGACCCAACAACTAGGGGGGGTCCAAGAAAGAAGCAGCCGAGATGAGGTGCCTTGTGCGCCTAAACAGGCCAACTCGGGGGAGCCTAGGATGCAGCACACAGGAACAAACAATGGCTTGGGGGCTGACACTTCTCCCTTCATCGGCCTCCCACTTACACATGGATTTGCAAACATACACACAAACACAATTTGTTTCTTTACACTCTAGTCTGTGCAATGACTTCCATTGTAGACAAAAGACCTCATGCTCAAATTTGGAAATTATGCTTTTGTTGGACACACAAGATCAGCATACAGAGAGAAAAATGAGCCCACCAGCCAGGGGCCAGGAGCAAAAAGCAGACAAAAAGCAGATTAATTTAAGCACTTTACCTCAGTGCTTAAACATCGGTTTCACTTATGAGGACACATAAGATTCTCACCACCACCAGTATTACCCCTCTCGAAATCGCTGTGGCATCCATAGAAAGGGAAAAGCCTTATATTCACATGTAAGCAACTTCCAAAGGATATTGCTTTTTGTAGTAACCACTTTATTTAGATATAATGCACATACTATATAACACACCCATTTTTTAAGTGTACGATGCAATGGTTTTTTGTATCTTCACAGCTGTGCACCACCACTATCAATTTTAGAACATTTTCAGCACCCACAAATCCCCATGCCTATTGGTAGTCATGCCCCATTTCCCTCCAGCCCTCCCCACAGCCCCAGATAGCTCCATTCTACTTTGTCTCTATGGATTTGCCCATTCTGGACATTTTGCACATGTGACCCTTTCTTTCATTTAGCATAATGTTTTCAAGGTTAATCCATGTTGTAGCATGCATTAGTAGTTCATTTCTTTTTAGAGCTGCATAGTATTTTACTGTGTGGAAAACCCACATTTTATTTATTCATCCATCAGTTGATGAACTTTGGATTGTTTCACTTTTGGCTATCATGAGTAATGCTCCTATGAACATATGTGTACAGGTTTTTATGTGGGCATATGTTTTCATTCCTCCCAAGTATATAGCTAGGAGCAGAATTGCTGGTTCATATACTAACTTCATTTATAACCTTCTGAGGAGCTGCCAGACTGTTTTCCAAAGTGGCTGTACCCTTTTTCTTCCCACTAGATGTGTATAAGCGCTCCAATTTCTCCACATCCTGGACAACATATTCTTATCTATCCATTTTTATTGTAGTTGTCTTAGAAGGTGTGAAGTAGTAATTCACTGTGGTTTTGATTTGCATTGCTCAAATGACTAACCATTTGAGAATCTTTGTATATGCTTGTTGGTCACTTGTATATTTTCTTTGGAGAAATATCTATTCAAATTTTTTACCCATTTTGATTGAGGTATTTGTCTTTGAATAATTGAGTTGTAGGAGTTGTTTATATATTCTAGATATAAGTTCTTTATCAGAGATATGGTTTGCAAAAATTTTCTCCCATTCTTTGGATTGTCTTTTCAATTTCTTGAGGTGTCCTTTGACTCACAAAAATTTTTAATTTTGGTGAAGTCCAACATTTAAAAAACAAGAAAAGTCATAATAATTGAGGTCAAAGGCATTTTAAAAGACATTCAAATATAAGTTTGAAAAGATGGGAAGTCACGTTCTTATTTAAAAGAACAAAGAGGAATTGTGCATTGAAGGTCTGTAAAGATGTTTGATAGCTCATCAGTACAGTGAAAACATTTTGGTGGACTTTGGTGAGTCATTGCCATTGCATTTTCTTCCCCCTACCCAGAAAAACTTGGGCCATTCTAAAGGGATTTGGCGTCTCCCTTGAGTTCTTCTGATTTATGCATCATCAACACCTGCAAAGTCTCTCTTCACATGATTAGTCTTTGTTTTGTGCCGAATGCTTCATACTTTAAATCTTGGACCAAGGCCGGGCTCAGTGGCTCACGCCTGTAATCCCAACACTTTGGGAGGCCAAGACAGGCGGATCACTTGAGGTCAGGAGTTCGAGACCAGCCTGACCAACATGGTGAAACCCCGTCTCTACTAAAAATACAAAAATTAGCCAGGCGTGGTGGCACGTACCTGTAATCCCAGCTACTCTAGAAGCTGAGGCAGGAGAATTGCTTGAACCCAGGAGGCGGAGGTCACAGTGAGCCGAGATTGCACCACTGCACTCCAGCCTGGACAACAGAACAAGGCTCTGTCCAAAAAAAAAAAAAAATCTTAGAGCAAAAGTGAACTTTAATGATCATTGAGGCATTCTTTGTGTCTCCACACCAAGATGGTCATTGGGAACAGCTTGGAATACTGTTCCAAGCTTGGAATACTGTTCCAAGCTTGGAATAGAATCTCCCGTAGAGTTTTTAAACAACAAAAAAACAACAATAACAACAACAAGGATAGCTGTATTTTAATCAAATCAAGCATGTTTAATCAAATGTAGCGGTGTGTACCTTGTACCTAGATGAGAAGTAGTTGAATCCATCAAGAAAAGATCTGAACTTGTTGAATTTATAAGAATTTGAACAGCAATATGTTTTTAAAATTTCTACTTTATTTAATGGTATATAATATGTAAATATAGATCAAAATTTGTAAATGCCCTTTGAAAATATAAATTATCCTTTGCTCCCAGCAGGTCCCCTTACGGGTATCTCTGCTGTAGACAATCTTATCTAAGGACACAAACATATACACACAAGGTACAAAATTGAAAGCTGCTGGCTCACGCCTATAATCCCAGCACTTTGGGAGGCTGAGACGGGCAGATCACAAAGTCAGGAGCTTGAGACCAGCCTGGCCAACATGGTGAAACCCCATCTCTATTAAAAATACAAAAAAAATTAGCCGGCATGGTGGCAGGTGCCTGCAGTCCCAGCTACTCGGGAGGCTGAGGCAGGAGAATAGCTTGAACCCAGGAAGGCGGAGGTTGCAGTGAGCCAAGATCGCACCACTGCCCTCCAGCCTGGGCAACAGGAGCAAGACTGTATCTCAAAAAAAAAAAAAAAAATTGAAAGCTGCTACAATTTCTGTCCATTAGTAGGAAAATATTAAGTAAATCATGAAATATTCATGCTATGGGATACTGTGCAACTGCTAAAAATAATGAGGGCCTCTGAATGAACTGACATAAAAAATGTACAAGATAAATTATCTATTAAAAAACAAGATACATAATATCATATGTCTGGTATCTCACACCTTTAACAATCACATATTTAAAAATAAACATTGGGCCAGGCAGAGTGGCTCATGCCTGCAACCCCAGCACTTTGAAAGGCCAAGGCAGGAGGGTCACTTAAGCCCAGGGGTTCAAGACCGGCCTGGGAAACATAACAAGACCGACCACATCTCTACAAAAAACGTTTTTAAAAATTTTTTTTAATTAGCTGGGCATGGAGGTGCATGTCTGTAGTCCTAGCTACTTGGGAGACTGAAGTGAGAGGATCACTTGAGCCCAGGAATTCGAGGTTGCAGTGAGCCAGTGAGCTAAGATTGCACCACTGCACTCCTGGTGGGCAACATATAGCATGACCCTGTCTCTAAAAAATATATAAATAAATCCTTTTCCATATTGATATTGATATTATAAAGTAGGAGAAATACATGAAAGGATCTTGTGGCAGACAGAATAATAGCCTGCAAAGATATCCACATCTTAATGCCGGAACCTGTGAATATGTTACATGGCAAGGAAGAATTAAGATTCCAGTTGGAATTAAGGTTACTAAACAACTGACTTTAAAATAGGGAGATTATCTGGAATGATCCAGTTGGATAATCACAAGCAGCCTTACACGTGAAAAGGGAGGCGGAAAAGTTAGCGTTGGAGGGGGACCTGGACAGACCCAGCCAACCACTGCCGGCTTTGCATATGGAGGAAGAGGCCACACATCCAGGAATACAGGAGGCCTCTAAAAGCTGGAAAAGGCAAGGAAAGAGCTTCTCCCCTAGAACCTGCAGAAAGGGACACCGCACTGTTGACACCTTGATTTCAGCCAATGAGACCCATTTCATATTTCTGACCTCCAGGAATGTAACATAATAAGGTAATGTTGTTTTAATCCACTAAGCTTGTGGTGATTTATTACAGTAGCAATAAGGAATAAATACAGATACATGATAATAACTTATCTTTAAATAACTAAACTGTGGAGAAAGGATACCTTTATTTTTTACCCATGCCAGTTATTACATTTTCCATATGAGCATGTCTATATTTTGTAATTTAAAATTTTTTTTAAGCCTGTGGGGTGGTCTATGAAAGAGTAACAGGCCGGGAGCGGTGGCTCATGCCTGTAATCCCAGCACTTTGGGAGGCCTAGGCAGGTAGATCACTTGAGGTCAAGAGTTTGAGACCAGCCTGGCCAACATATAGTGAAACCCCGTATCTACTAAAAAATACAAAAATTAGCTGGACGTGGTGGCGTGCGCCTCCCAGCTACTTGGAAAGCTGAGGCAGGAGAATCGCTTGAACCCGGGAGGTGGAGGTTGCAGTAAGCCGAGATCACACCACTGCACTCCAGCCTGAGTGACAGAGCAACACTCCCTCTCTCAAAAAAAAAAAGAAAAGAAAGAAAGAGTAAAAAAAAAAAAAGGGTGCACTGACCACTCTATATAATAGCCCATTAAAGATGTGGAAAAGATGAAGAGGCAGCTTCCTTCTCTTTGCATCAGAGCAAGCAAGCTTCCTGGAGGAGATGGGATTTAAACTGGATCTTAAACAATAGATAGAATATTGCCATGCAGAGATGGAGGAGATCAAAACAATGGGGCAGCATGAACAAAGCAATGAGGCAGGCCCACTGGAGGACAATCAAGTGTCGTCTTTCTTGTCCACAGCAGTGCAGTATTACCTGTATCCTCAGAGAGTGTTCAGGCATGATCCGAGAGGGCTTGGATGGATTACTATGGGTTTGGGCTTAATTTGGTAGGCAATGGAAACCACTGAAAGTTTTGGAGTTTTGGGGAAAAAACTGATTGCTGGGCCAGACATGGCGGCTCACACCTGTAATCCCAGCACTTTGGGAGGCCAAGGTGGGAGGATCACTTGAGCTCAGGAGTTCGAGACCAGCCTGGGCAACATGGCAGACCCTGTCTCTAAAACAACAACAACAACAACAACAGCAAAACTGGTGGCATTGCCTTTTAAGGATTAATCCTTCCATGCAGAGAGATACAGGGAGACAGGACAGGAGAACTCTACCAGGATCTAGGCTCTGAGATCGGGACAGAAGGAGGGAGGACAACACAGACAGAAATTTGGGAGCTAGATTTGGAAAACTTGCTCACTCACCACCTGCGGGTGGTCAAGAAAAGGAACGGTGGTCTTTGGGCCTGGGTCGTGGGGGGATGACCTAGTCAGAGTAATATGATATGGAGGGTGAGCTCAGGTTGGGATAGACTGGGTTTTGCATGCCTCTGCAGTTCCCTGTATAAACGCCACGTGACTTACAAGGCTGCAGGACTGGCTGGGGCCAAGGAGAGAGGACCCTGAGCCACGCTATGTCTCCAGGGCAGGATCTCCCTTTCTGTCAGGTCCTCATCCCCTCTGCTTATCCATTTGCTTCCTGGCCAGCTCTCCCAGGGAATATTTATCCTTAGAACATAATGATCATTTCTTCCTCTTTCCCGTATCCATGCCTAGCCTTTCTGCTTCACAAATGGAGTTGTCTGGCTCCAAAGTCATCCACTCTGGTGCTTCTTAAGGGATTTGAATCTCTCCCCACTTGCCGCTGCTGTGCACAGGTCTCCCTGCCTGGGCCTTCTAGTGAGAGATCCCCAGCAGCCCTGAAAAACCTGCCTATACAGCCCACACTATTGAGAAACCTGTTTTTATTGCTAACCTAGATCCTTTGGTCAAAAGTCTTATCTTCCTCATATCAGCTAAAATAAGAGGCATGACCTGCTTTTTTTTTTTAAGATGGAGTCTTGCTCTTGTCGCCCAGGCTGGAGTGCAATGGTACAATTTCAGCTCACTGCAACCTCCGCCTCCTGGGTTCAAGCGATTCTCCTGCCTCAGCCTCCCAAGTACCTGGGATTACAGGTGCCTGCCACCACGCCCAGCCAACTTTTGTATTTTTAGTAGAAACGGTGTTTCACCATGTTGGCCAGGCTGGTCTTGAACTCCTGACCTCCGGTGATCCACCCTCCTCTGCCTCCCAAAGTGCTGGGATTACAGGCATGAGCCATCGTGCCCAGCCTTGACCTGCTTTTTACCTGTACCCAAAAATATAATTAGTTCAAGGCTATGATGCATGCAATTAAATTTTTCTCCTAAAGATATATCTTTAATCAGAAATTCTAGAGTAAGTCTCATTGATAAGAACACAAAGTAAAGGGCTGGTAAAAAGCAAAAACAGAAGAACAGATGTGAGAGTCTGCTTACTTACGAAGGATTCATTCCATTTGAGTTCTACAAACACACACACACTACACATCCCCCCAGCTCAGAAAAGGACCACCTACCCAGGACTCTGACTTTAGATCTAAAGAATTTGTTTCTGGTCAGCCTTTTCTCTTAATATCTGAGGGGTCAGGGGGCCAATTCCTATTAGTCCAATTATGTCATTGTACTGAAAGAAACAGTATTGAACATCAAAATGCAAAACATTTTTCTTGTCTTGCTGACCCAAATTTATCACTGATTTGGAACCCCTTTCAGAATTGAAACATACTCTCTACCCCAAATGCCCTTGGAATGACATTTACATCTCTTTTGTTTTTTCAAGAGGAGATGATCATCATAATATTGTATGAAAAATTCCAAATAAAAAGGCTTAGAACTGCTTTGCTTCCTTTATTCTCAATATGAAATAATAACAAACAGAGCTCTAAGAAATTTATTTTAAGATATAAACTTATATAACCCATCGCTCCCTTCTCTCCAGCCACATCCGCGTATTCTTCCACCACCTCCACTTTTATAAAATTATCTACACTTTGTTTTTGTCTCTAACATATTCAGTTTCTTCCCTGAAATGGTCACTTGATTCACATGGGCTGGTTTTGAAATGCCTCTCCCTGTGGAGGATGCATTTTATCATGAAGTTTCTGGTCCCTGGGGGTATTTCTGAATTTCCTTCCGAATATTCATCTAAACCCTTTCCCCGCTCTCTGCCAAAACACCCCAGCCATACCTATGAATGGGTGTTTAAAAAGAAACTGAACTATTGTTTAAATGTAAGTTTTTTTAATGTATGGGGCCTTGAAAATTTGCTTTTATAAGCATATATAAAATAATTTTCCCAAAAAGCACATAAAAAATAATTTTCTGACCAGGTGCAAAAGCTCACGCCTATAATCCCAACACTTTGTCAGGCTGAGGCAGGAGGATTGCTTGAGAGTTTGAGACTGACCTGGGCAACATAGTGAGACCCTGTCTCTACAAAACAAATTTTAAAAATTAACCAGGCATGGTGGCCACACTTGTGATCCCAGCTGCTCATGAGGCTGAGGTGGAAGGATAGCTTGAGCCTGGGAGGTTGAGGCTGCAGTGAGCCATGATTGTGCCACTGCACTCCAGCCTGGGTGACAGAGTGAGAACTTGTCTCAAAATTAATTAATTAATTAAATGAAATAATTTTCCCAGTGATCTCTTTGAATTGTTTTTGTTTTGTTTTTGTTTTTGTTTTTTAAATAGCAACTGAGCAAATGTTACATAATTTCCTCTTTATCACTTTCAGGCTTAGAGAAATAGCATAATGTCCCTAAAGAAATGTGCTGGCACTGGCGCAGGGAAGGCAGGGGGTGAGGAGAAAAAGCATCTTCACTTTCTGGTTATAACGGAGAGTCGGCACAGCCCCAAGAGTGGTCATGCTCCCTAAGCAAGGAAGCCAAGAACTGGTCCCATGTTAAAGGTTAAGCGTGCATTTGTTCATCCAAGAGGCCGGTCTCTTGGATCTAGACTGAGGCCCATGCAACCTGGAAAATGAAAAAACAGAAGAGACTGACTACTTTCAGAGGATTCATTTCACTGGGGCTGTACAAACACAGAAGAATACACTCCTCCTGACTTGCTAGCACTACTTTCCCTGGAGACAGAGAGCTCCAGATGATGGTTATGAGACTGGTAACCTTTAAAAGCCAAAGTTAATGTTTCCTCTAAAATTAGCCACATATCCTCTTCTAGATTTCTGAGGATCTATAGTCCCTTTCTGAATGCTGTTTTCCATTCAGTGCACACGATCTGTTACTCAGAGGCTGGTGATCCCGTATGCGGAATGCACAAACTTACCATCTTCCCCGTCTTTTCCCTCAGGCTGCTCACTGGTCATTTCTCTGCTCATCAATCCTGTGCCGGATGGGGGTGGGAAACTCACAGAAGCTGACAGCTCTTGAGGGCTGAGTGTCTTGGCAGAATGTACAGTGACATGGGCATTCGTTCTGAATTCCAAGGACGTGAGTTCAAGCTGCACCTTTACCATTTACTAGATCTAGACATCATTTATCTCAAGTTCAAAAACAGACCAAACGAATCTATGGTATCAGAAGCCAGGGTTGTTTATCTCTGGGAAGGGGAAAGAAGGTAGCAAGCCTCTGGAATATAACTAATGTTCACTTTCTGGACTGAAAGTTGATTCCATGGGCATGTTCACTTTGTGACAATTTTTTGAGCTGTTGTAGGGGCCAAGGGGAAACTTCCCCTTCACCCTCTGAAGGTTTGCTGAAAATCAACTTTTAAAAGGCAGATTAATAGAAGAAATGGCACACAAATTTAATGTATTAGTTTGTTCTCACATTACTATAAAGAACTACCTGACACAGGGTAATTTATAAAGAAAAGAGGCTTAATTGGCTTAGGGTTTCACAGGCTGTACAGGAAGCGTGCTTGGTGAGGCCTCGGGAAACTTACAATCATGGTGGAAGGGGAAAGGGAAGCAGGCATGTCCTACATTGCTGGAGCAGTAGGAAGAAAGAATGAAGGGGGAAGTGCTATACGCATTCAAACAACCAGATCTCTTGAGAACTCTATCAAGAGAACAGCAAGAGGGAAGTCTGCCCCCATGATTCAGTCACCTCCCACCAGGCCCTTCCGCCAACATGTGAGGATGACAATTTGACATGAGATTTGTGTGGGGACACAAAGCCAAACCATATCGATGTGCATAACACAGGGGAATGGAAGGAGAATTGTTACAAAATAACCCAGTGGGATCCAGATGCTTACATACCCTTCTTAAGGAAAAAGAAAGATGGGGAAGTGTGTATTATTTTAGGGAGGTACTAAATGATTTTTAGGAGAGTTCAATGGGCTTAAAGAACACACAGTGACCTGGGACAAAGCCTGTGGGGCCTGCAGAGCGACAGTGGTTTGTGAAAAAAGTCCGTCCAGATGAGACTTTCTTTACCTGGACAGACTTCAGTCTTTCTTCCTGCGATATGAGTTCAGTTAGTGAAAACGCAGGAAAGGGACAGTAGGCAGGGAGTGCAGGAGGTGGTGGGAGGAAGGGGGTGGTTGTTTTCTTTGGCAGGTCCAGACTTTAGGCAGATGAGGGAACTTTAGAGAACAACTTCACTCTATGTCTTCAGAGAGAGCCAGGATGAGAGACTGGGACTGGGAGCTCAGAGAGACTTGAGAGGCTTATTCAGTTCAGCATGTCCGAGCTCCATATTTTGGGGTACAGGTTTCTGAGCCCCAACACTGTAAACTTATGACCTGACCATGTACTCTTGCATTTATGTTATATTTCAGTAAAACCGTATTTTTAAGAAGTTAGGCCAAATAACCGAATGGAACGACTGGGCCCACCACCACTATCCCCCACTAGCCCGTTTCATAAGAGACATCATCTCCAGGAGCGAGAGGCAAAGCAGCGGTGAGCAAGCCAGCCCTTCCAGCAGGACGAATATGTCACCTTTCCATGACACAGCTCCTGCCATCTGAAACAGAACCCCTCAGACATCCCAGACACAGTCTCTCCTAAATGGGCTAAGAAAAGGCATCACTAGTATTCCATCCATCTATCATGTCCTATATGATACTCACACCATAACGACTTCTCAGCACCCCTGCCTCTAAGACTCCACAGTTACCACAAGTCCTGCCGTCACTGACCATTACACATTCTTCCTCTTGAATTACCTTGTCACTAACGAGAAAAGGCTTTGGGTACCTGGCAGACCCAGGTTGAACTTGACCAGGCTTTTGCTAAGTCCTTAACAGGAAATCTCAGCTTTTTTGTATCCTGGCACTCACCAAGAGGAACTTTTTGGCACTGAGTTACTGGAACAGCTTAAGGATGCCGCCTAAACCCAGAAGTTGGCGACTGCTGCAGACCTTCCCTCAGAGAGCAGCTGAAAATTATTCCTATTAAGTAGGAGGAAGGAGGTGAGGTGGCAGCTGCTGGGAGATGTTGGGGAAGGTGAGCACCCCAATTTGAAAGTAGAAGACAAGGCAAAGAAGTCTCATTTCCCAGCTTGGATTCCCAATCACAGAAAAATATTTTTTGATTCTTCCTGTTACTTTTTAACTTGGCAATTGAATACTTCTAACATCTGACTGTCAGGCTACCTGGAAATATTAGCAGAAAGTTTATATCCATTTCCCTCTAATATATGCTTGAATTAATGTAGCACCAGTCTTTCGTGCTCCCAGAACACAGTGAAATAGATTTACAAATATGTGGCATGGAAAATCAGTTAAAAACAAATAGCACTTACTATCAGTTAAAAATGAATTTAGCTAGATGTTTTTATCAGTGTGGCAGGAAGTTATTTATGAACACTATTGTTAGGTACACCAGAACTTGCTCTGCCAGTTCTTGTTTTCAGCACTAGGGGATCAAAAGTCATCTTATCCAAAAGCAAACCAGATAACTGAAATCATCAATCCCAATTGCTCAATTCTTGCATGAATAACAATAAACTATTAACTATTCTAACTAATTAGGAAAACATTTTGTTCCTAGAGGGTACTGTTTGCACAGCGTTCCTTCCATAAATATTTATCTACTGTTCTTGCTGCCAACAATAGTTAGTCACCTGGTATATACAAAACACTGTGTTATGCTTGGTAGTATAATAAAACAAAACAAAAAAGATAAATTATCTGCTAATATTAGTTTATTACCAAATGTTCTTATATCCTGAGAGCCCAACAGAGTTTATGTGTGTGTCAGTTTATGAGTGTGTTATCGGTGAGTGAGTCAAATACAGGCAACAGAGCCCACCTAGAAACTGGTTTCCTTTTTTCAGTTCCCACGAGTTCCTTGTGTATCAATAGTGCCCTTTCACATTAAAAAAATAAAAAAAAATTTTTAAGTCCCATCTAAGAATACACAAGGAGCTCATTAAGAACTCCTTCATTCCAGTATTCTTTCAGCCTGATCTTAAAGCACAAGTAAAAATGTTCTCTTCTTTTAAATGGGCTCTGCCAAGTTAATTATGGACAGGAACACTAAGGTAAGGACCAGGGGCTCCGTTCAATACCATGCTGAAGAGGTGAGGCCCTCTGCCAAATGTTCACTGGAGTTATCGGGGGCTTAGAGTTGGTCTTTTCAAACTTTAGTGCAGTTAAGAATCACCTGGAAGTCCTGTTACAATGCAGATGCTAATTTAGCGGGTCTGAAGTGGGGCCTGTGATTCTGCATGCCTAACAAGCTCCCAGGGGGTGCCAATGCCACTGGTCCAAGAACCACATTTTGAATAGCCTGTTTTTAAAAACACCCTTAGAGCCTAAATTAATTGTTCTGGGGTGGGGCTCAGAAATTGAGGATATAATAATATTATTAATAAAATTCCCAAAATGATCACATGAATGTAAAATTCACAAAGCCTCCTTATTCCTAAATATATTAAAAGACGACAGGCAGCTACACTAGACCAGAAAGAAAAGAAAGAAAGAATACACAAGGAGCTCATTAAGATCTCCGGGACAGAAGAAAGAAAGAAAGAAAGAAAGAGGGGGGTGGGGGGGAGGGAGGGAGGGAGGAAGGAAGGAAAGAAAGAAAGAGAAAGAAAGAAAGAAAGAAAGAAAGAAAGAAAGAAAGAAAGAAAGAAAGAAAGAAAGAAAGAGAGAGAGAGAGAGAAGGAGAGAAAGGAAGGAAGGAAGGAGAGAAAGAAAGAAAAGGAGAAAAGGAGAGAAAGGAAGGAAAGAGAGAAAGAAAGGAAGGAAAGAAGGAAGGAGAGAAAGAAAAGAAAGAGAGAAAGAAAAGGAGAGAAGAAGAGAAAGGAAGGAAGGAGAGAAAGGAAGGAGAGAAAGAAAGGGAAGGAAGGAAGGAGAGAAAGAAAAGAAAAGAAAGAAAGGAAAGAAAAGAAAAGAAAGAAAGGCTTAGGTTTTAACTGTTTTTACCATCAGAGTCTATGGTTGTTATAAAATAGTCAAATATTGCAATCTATTCATAATTCTATTGTATTTTAAATTTGCGCTTCTGTTCCCGAAATAAGCTTCACCACTTGCAGCTTAAGCCACAGAAATGCGAACTCAGAAGGGACCGGGAGAGGAGAGAATGTTCTTTCAGCGTTAGAAATTTATCTTGTAAATAGAAGCTGGCAGTGGCCACATGGATTTTTTTTTTTTTTTCAGAGCTAGGGCAGGCAGTTAGTAGACCTCAGTTACAGCGTCAGCTCTGCCACTAACTAGCTAGTTAGACCCAGAGCTGCTCTGAGCCTTAATTTTTTATCCGTTGAAGGAGAGCCTTTGAAAGAAGATAACAGCAATCCAGGCCCCTGACATCCTTTGATTCTTTGATTAAGTCACCAACGTCAAACATGGAAAAACTTGAATGAGCAACTCGCTCAGGATTTCCTGGAAGGCACCCTGACTTGGAGAGTGGTATTATGCAAGTCCCGCAGTACACACGGCACGTCCCGCCCGGGCGGTCCTGCGCAGTCCTCAGCCTCGACCGCCCCCTGCCGGTCCTCCCCGGGACTGACGCCGCCACCCGCCCCCGGGCCGAGCGCGTCTCCGGGGAAACACAGACGCACTCTCAGCTCCCCTGGACCTACGCCGTCGTCCCCCCACCGTCCTTCCACGGGGGCGCAGGAAGGAGTGGGACGGAGCATCGGTGCCTTTTTCATTAGAATAGACACAAAGCCCAATTAATAAAGACCCAGAGAAGAGGAAGGGAAGAACAAGACCCAGGGGTTAGAAGAGAGAAGAACAAGAGCGGATTCTCAGCCATGGGACCGCAGCTTGTGAAAGGGGAGCTTTGTTTATTTATTGTCTAATCTCCTTGCTGCCCTGAGCTCGTGCAGCACGTTCCTTATCGGAATCTTGGGAGCTTGGGAATTTCCACAACAGAATATGTCGAATAGCTTATATTGCTAGCATAATAGAGTACATTTTGACCAGAAAGCTTTTATCCCTTTTCATGTGGTAGTGATTGTTCGGTGCTTCTCTATAGAAAAGTTAAACCATCCTCAATACGGTGAATATTATCTTTCCATTCTTTCACCCAAGGCATAAGAAATTACTATAATTTACCATGGCATAAAGGTAATAAAAGTGGGTAGAAGTCATCTTTCCAACACCTAAACACCTATCTGGAAAAGCTTTTGACCACCAACAGTACTCATTATTTCTGTCTTTGTACCTAATTGATTTAGTCAGAGTATCTGTGGCCATTTAAATACTATGTGATTCTGGTGATAATGGATTGATGGGGCATGTTTCCATTTCACTCACAAATGCTTTCAAATATACTTCTGCCTTATAGCGTATGCAATTATACTTTCTGTTCAGAATCTGTGAAGTTAATGATTCTTCACATTTCCTGGAAAACTTTTATGTTTTTGTTCAGATGAATGAGTAGTTATTTTCTCTAAGTATAAATTTCAGAGCTGTTGCATTTCTACAGCTAAAGCCCATGTAAAACATAGCCAATGAATGGGCATTCATCTGTGTTTCATGGCACATCAAAATGTATTTTAAATGCCTTTTCCTATGGCCACCTCCAGTCTTTTTTGCCTTAATTATGGCATCAAGGTGACTATTAGGAGTTTGCAGTAGCCAGTGATGTGGGGGTAAGGCAGGAGCAATATTCAGGACATGTGTCTGGTCATTAAGAAGTACCCAAATTTCTAGAGACTCAGAGAAGAATAAGAGGAAAATTCCACCACCTCCCTTCTCCTGCCTGCCTTCTCTCTCCCACAGTGACAGCACTGACCTATCAGACAGGGAAAATGGAAGATGCAGGCCTTATGCATAGTAGTGCCTGTCTCCAACCAGGTCCCAAGTCCACCCATGAGTACATTCTTCAAGTGTGCTCTTCTCACTGCCACACACACAGACCCTGGTTCATCATGGCAGACGTTTAAAAATTTGGAGACTAACTTGGTTCTACTTATTCTTAGGTACAAACTCAGTTCCAATGTCCAGCTTTGAACTAGATGGTGAACCACACTATTAGTTTTTCCTGCATCCTGACTCATTCATTGTCTGAAGGTGGGATTTTTTTAATTAAAATTTTATTTTGAGATTAAAATTATTTTGAGATAATTGTAGATTAACATGTAGTTGTAAAAATAGTACAGAGAGATCTCATGCACCTTATACCCAGTTTTCCCCCCCCACCCACCGTGGTAACATTTCAAAAAACTGTAGAACAATATCACAAAGAGGATATTGACACTGGTAGTCAAGATACAAACATTTCCATCATTGCATGGGTCCCTCATGTTGCCCTTTTATAGCCACACCCACTTCCCTCCCAACCCCACCACTTTCTTTACCCCTCGCAATCACCAATCTGTTCTCCATTTCTGTAACTCTGTCATTTTACATGAATGGAATCACACAGTATGTAACCTTTTGGGACTGGCTTTCTTCATTCAGCATAGTTCTCTGGAAATTCATCCAGGCTGTTGCTGAGAAGTATTCCATGGATGTACTACAGTTTAACCATTCATTCCTTGAAGGATATCCTGGTTGTGCGCAATTTGGGGCGATTATAAACAAAGCTGCTGTAACCATTCCTATAAAGGTTTCTGAGTGAACATACGCTTCATTTCTCTAAGACAAATTCCCAGGAGTACAATTCTTGGGTCATATAGTAGTTGCATATTCAGGTTTTAGACAAACCATCAAACTGTTTTACAGAGTGGTTGTACCATTTTACATTCCTACCAGCAATGTATGAATGATCCCTTTTCGTTGAATCCTCACCAACATTTGTTGCTGTCATTAATTTTTTGTTGTAGTCATTATGATAGGAGTGGAGTACTATCTTATTGTGAATTTAATTTTCATTTCCTTAATGACTAGTGATGTTGAACTCTTCTCCTGGGTTTATCTGTGAAGTGTTTCTTCATGAGTTTTGCCCATTATCTAATTGGATTGCTTGTTTTTTACTGTTGGGTTTTGAAAGTACTGTATTTATATTAGGTACTAATCCTTTGTCAGATATGTGATTTTCAATTATCTTCTATTTCTAGCTTATCTTTTCATCTTCTTAATCAGGTATTTCACAGAGCTAAAGTTTTTAATTCTGATTAAATCCAATTTATCAGGTTTTCACTTTATGGATCATTCTTTTAGTGTTGATTCTAAGAACTCTGCCTAGCTTAGAATCCCAAAGCTTTTCTTCAATGTTTTTTCTAAAAGTTTTATAGTTTCATATTTTACATTTAAGCCCTTGATCAATTTTGAGTTTGCGTAAGGTGGGAGACTTACGTCTTTTTGCCTGTGGATGTCCAATTGCTCCAGCACCATTTATTAGAAAGGCCATCTTTCCTCTTTTGAATTGCTTTTGCACTTTTGTCAGTAATCAGTTAGGGAGGTTTTGGGCTTTCTTGATTCTCCATTCTGTTGCACTGGTCTGTGTTCCTACCCTTTCACCAATACTACACAGTCTAGATTACTGTAGCCATAGAGTATGTCTTTGAATAGACTGAATCCTCCCCCTTCCTTCTCCTTTTTCAAAATTGTTTTAGCTATTCTTGTTCCTTTGACTTTCCATACAAATTTTTAAAAAATCTTGTCTATATCTACAAAAATCTTTATGAGATTTTGATAAGAGTTGCATTAAACCTGCATATCAATTTGGGGAGAATTGACATTTCTCCTATTTTTGAGTATTTCAACTCATAAACATGCTATGTGTCTCCATTTATTAAAATCATCTTTGATTTATTTCATCAGTGCCATGTACTTTTCAGCTCACCAGATCCGAACATATTTTGTTAGATTTACACCTAAGTATTTTATTTTCTAAGCAGTTGTAAATGGTATTGGATTTTTAATTTCTGCGTCCAGGTGTTCATTACTACATAGAGAAATACAACTGATTTTTGTATGTTAGCCTTATATCCTGTGACTTTGCTGAATTCACTTAGTTCCAGAAGTTTTTTTGTTAAGTTCTTCAGATTTCCTTTGTAGGCAATCATGTCATCTGCAAACAGATGACAAGACAAAACAGGGACAGTTTTGAACTAGGTGGTGGTTTTGAGCCTAGGTGAACTAGGTTCCTTTCCAACTCTATGCCTTTTATTTCCTTGCCATACTAGCTAGAATTTCCAGAACTTTTGAATAAGCATGATAAGAGTGGAAATCTTTGTCTTGTTCATGATCTTAGGGGGAAAACATTCTGTCTTTCACCATTAAGTATATCATTAGCTGTAGATCTTTTTAGATGTTCCTTATCAAATTGAAGATATTCGCTCTTATTTCTATTTTTCTTAGACTTTTTATCATGAATGAGAGTTGAATTTTGTTACATGCATTTTCTGCATCAGTTGATAGGGTCATATGATTTTTTTCCTTAGCCTCTTAATATGGTATCAATAGATTACATTAATGTTCAGATATGGAACGGGCCTTGCATTTCTGAAAGTGGAATATCCCATCCAAGCGGAGTAAATTCCACTTGGTCATGGTGTATAATTCTTTATATATATTACTGAATTCTATTTGCCAATGTTTTGATAAGAACATTTGTGTCTTTATTCATGAGGTCTATAGTTTTATTTTTTTGTACTGTCTTTTTCTGCTTTTGATATTAGGGTAATGCTAGCTTTATAAAAATTCATTTTATAATGGGAATGTTTACTTCTCTTCTATTTTCTGGAAAAGATTGTGTATAATTGGTTTTGGTTTTTCTTTAGAAGTTGGTGACATCCTCCTGTGAAACCATCTGGACCTGGATATTTCTTTTTGAGGAACTTTTAAATTACAAAGTCAATATCCTTAAGAATTACAGGTCTAATATCTGTTGAAAAGTAGGTGAATTGTGGTAATTTTTGTTTTTCAAGCAATTGGTTCCTTCCATCTATATTGCCAAGTTTACAAGTATACAGTTGTTCATAGTATCCCTTTATACCTGCAGAATCTCTAGTGATATTCCATTTCATTCCAGATATTGGTCATTAGTGTCTTTTCTCTTTTATTCTTTGTCAGGCTTGTGCAAAAATTATCCATTTTATTGACCTTTTCAAAGAAGAACTTTGATTCTTTTCAAGTATTTTATCTTTTATATTGTTTTTCTGCTTGTTTTGAGTTTATTCTGATCTTTTTTTAGGTTCATGAGGAAAAGCTTAATTATTGATTTGAGACTTCTTTTCTAACATATACATTTAGTGCTATACGTTTCCCTCTCAACACTGATTTAGCTGTGTCTCAAAACTTCTAATATGCTTGTTTTAATTTTCCTCCAGTTCAGTGTATTTGTTTATTTTCCTTAAGATTTCCTCTTTTATCTATGGCTTATTAAGCTTTGCATTGTTTAATTTCCGCGTTTAAAGGTGATCTTGTTATCTTTCTGTTACTGATTTTTCATTTGATGTCATTGTGGTTGTAGAATACACTATGTATATTTCAGTTCTTTCAAGTTTGTTGAGTTTTTTTTTATGGCCCCAAATATGGACTATTTTGGTATATGTTCCATGGGCACTTGGAAACAATGAGTATTCCGCTGTTCTTGGGTAGAGTGTTCTCTAATGTCTGTTTGAGTCTATTGGTTTATGGAGTTGTTGAGTTCTTGTCTATCCTTGCTGATTTTCTGTCTAGTTCTGTCAATTGTTGGGAGGTAGTAACTGAGGTCTCCAACTACAATCGTGAATTTTTCTATTTCTCCTTTCAGTTCTATCAGCTTTTTCATTCAATATATGCTGTTGTTTGCTGCATAAACATCTAAGATTGCTATGTCTTCCTGATGAATTAACCCATGATATATCATTATATAATGTACTTCCCTATCTCTGACTTTTTTTACTTTGTAGTGTACTTTATCTGATACTAGTAGAGCAACTCCTATTTTCCTTTAATTAATGTTTGCATGATATAAATTTTCCATCCTTTTGCTTTCAACTTGCCTACATTGTTATATTTGCAGTGAGGTTCTTATAGATGTGTTTTTTAATCACTCTGAAAATCTCTGCCTTTTAGTTGACGTATGTAGGCTATTTACATTTAATGCAATTATTGACATGTTAGGGCTTAAGTCTGCCATTTTTTATTTTGTTTTCTGTTTATTTTGTCTGTTGTTTCCCTATTTTATTTTTCCCACCTTCCAATGTGATACTTAATTTTTTCAGGATTCTATTTTTATTTATAGTGTTTTTGAGTGTATCTCTTTGTTTTTTTTCCTTTTGAGACAGAGTTTTGCTCTTGTTGCCCAGGCTGGAGTGCAAAGGTGTGATCTCAGCTCACTGTAACCTCTGCCTCCCAGGTTCAAGCAGTTCTCCTGTCTCAGCCTCCTGAGTAGCTGGAATCACAGGTGCCTGCCACCACGCCTGGCTAATTTTTTGTATTTTTAATAGAGACGGGGTTCACCATGTTGGCCAGGCTGGTTTCGAACTCCTGACCTCAGGTGATCCACCTGCCTTGGCTTTCCAAAGTGCTGGGATTACAGGCGTGAGCCACCGTGCCCGAGTATATCTCTTTGTACAAATTTTTAAGGGTAGCTTTAGGTATTATAATTTATCAGAATCTAATGACATCATCATTTTTACCAGTTTAAATGAAGTGTAAAAATCTTAAAAGTGTGCAAGTGTGGAGCCAGGTGCAGTGGCTCACGCCTGTAATCCCAGCACTTTGGGAGGCCAAGGTGGGCAGATCATGAGGTCAGGAGATCGAGACCATCCTGGCTAACATGGTGAAACCCCATCTCTACTAAAAATACAAAAAACTAGCCAGGCGTGGTGGCGGGCGCCTGTAGTTCCAGCTACTCGGGAGGCTGAAGCAGAAGAATGGTGTGAACCCGGGAGGCAAAGCTTGCTGCAATGAGCCGAGACTGCGCCACTGCACTCCAGCCTGGGCAACAGAGCGAGACTCTGTCTCAAAAAAAAAAAAAAAGAAAAAAAAAAAAGTTTGCAAGTGTGCATGGAGATTCTGAGCCTTCCAAAGCAGCCAGGGAATGCCCATCCACCACCTACATAAACAGATACAACAAACACAGCCATGCACACAAACAAACTTGAGGCTGTGCCCAGACTCAGCTACACCTCTGGCACCCACTGAGGTTGCTTTTCTCACCCCTGTTCTTCCCTGTGGCCCCTGATTCTCATTTCCTGCCCAATTCCAAGCTGACAAAGTTGACGCCACTCACCTAAGCTCAACCTAGAACAAAAACCAGATAACTACCACAAATAAGAAGTCATATAAAGCCATGAAAATTTTGTTTCCATCTGAAGGAACCCAGATATGATTGCACAATTACTATTGGTGATATTTTAGGAACCATGAGGAATGTACCAGGAAAAGAGTAAATGTCATCTCACTTTCCCGAAGAGAAGATTTTTTTAGACTGCAAATATTTACCTTCATATGAGTCTTGCAAAATTCTAAAATAAACTTTAAAATTGATGGTTTGGGATGATTTCGAAAATGGGAAAACAGCATAGATGTATTAACAAGGGGTATATGGAACTACCCGTATTTCCCTCTTTGTCTTAGTTGAGAGAGGTACATCACAGGAATGTGACTGTACTTAGGATAGCATTGGAAACAGTAGATCACAATTACCTTGCAGGAAAAACAAACAAACGAGGCCTGGGCAATAGGAACATATGTAGTTGGTTAAACAGCTTTTTGGTTAACGGACTGAGCCAACTCACTGATCACTGATCACTGGTGTTACCAAAGGAGATTACTGATTTGCCCAATCTTAGTGAATAATTTGCTAGCGTTTGAGTAAGGATATAGATGACATGCTTATGGGAGGGTACAGGATGGTTAAGACTACAGAAATTAGAACCAGCTTTCAATTTTGAGTTTACAAACTTGTCGGCTTCAGCTTCCTCATTGAAAATAGGTATAATAATACTTCGTAATTGTTATAATAATCCTTAATACTGGTGTGATAAATAAGATACTGTAGGTAAAGCACTTAAATGCATAGGGCCATGTAACGCACTCAGTAAATTGTGGTTTTGTTATTTTTGCTTTTCTCATCACATTAGCTGCTACACATAACTGGCAAGAATAGGTGATATATGCATGTATTGCATAAGAATGACAGAATAGGCCAGGCGCAGTGCTGCACGCCTGTAATCCCAGCACTTTGGGAGGCCGAGATGGGTGGATCACCTGAGGTCAGTAGTTCGCGACCAGCCTGACTAACGTGGTGAAACCCCATCTGTACTAAATATAAAAAAATTAGCCAGGCATGGTGGTGCATGCCTGTAATCCGAGCTACTTGGGAGACTGACAGGATAATCGCTTGTACCTGGGAGATGGAGGTTGCAGTGAGACGAGATCACGCCATTGCACTCCAGCCTGGGCAACAAGAGTGAAACTCCGTCTCAAAAAAAAAAGAAAAAAAAAAGATAGGCCTTTCATTTCCCGTTAACTGAAGCAAAGGATCAAAATTTGGGATGATTTAACATCATTTGATATAAAGAAGATCTAAAAGTCACCCAAAAAGAGCTTACCAGAAGTAAAAAATGAGATTATAGGCCATGTGTGTTAGTCAGGGTTCTCTAGAGAGACAGAACTAATAGGATAGATGTATATATACAGGGGAGTTTATTAAAGAGTATTGACTCATGTGATCACAAGGTAGAGTCCCACAATAAACTATCTGCAAGCTGAGGAGCAAGGAAGATAATCCAAGCCCCAAAATCTTAAAAGTAGGGAAGCCGACAGTGCAGCCTTCAGTCTGTAGTTGAAGGTCCAAGAGTCCTAGGATGAAGAATCTGGAGGCCGATGTTCAAGGGTAGGAAGCATCCAGCACAGGAGAAAGATATAGTCTGGAAGACTTAGCCAGTCTAGTCTTTCCACGTTCTTCTGCCTGCTTTTATTCTGGCTGGGCTGGCAGCTGATTAGATGGTGTCCACCCAAATTAAGGGTGGGTCTGCCTTTCCCAGTTCACTGACTCCAATGTTAATCTCCTTTGGCAACACCCTCACAGACACACCCAGGAACAGTACTTTGCATCCTTCAATCCAATCAAGTTGACACTCAATATTAACCATCACACCATGCAATCCAAAGCTTTCCCAGGCTGCATCCTAGCAGGATTTCCTACAGAATGTGGATGATAATGGCCATTCTGTATTCCTCACTTGTCAGCCACATTTGAAAGGTGAAGTATCATTCGGGGTGCCTTCTTGTCAAAGAGAAATTAACAATTTGTCTGACTTTAGAAAAGAGTCATCAAGATTATGGAGAGCCTGGAAATGTTGACATAAGAGGAGTGGAGGGTCATGTCACCTAAAGAAAGGAAGGCTTGGAAGATACATGATTGCTGTGTTCAGAACCATTGAAGGCGATTACATAGAAGAGATACCTTTTTTGTGACCTTTCAGCATGCTGATAGTGAGTTCAGATAGACATAGAGCATTTGACAATAGGGATTAGAAGAAAACCAACATCAAAAGAATTATTTAAGGGTCTCTCTTTAGTTGCTCTTAGAATTCCTAAAGTGAAGTCAGAATATGAAGCAATTTGTGAAAAAAAAATCTATCAAAATACTTTTACACTAGCTTTAACTGCTCCAATTTGTCAGTGTCAGCTTACATCTGTGTAAGTACATCTGCTCTCAAAATTGAAAGAAACACATTGTATTCAGCTCAAAGCAGCATGTAGGTCACTACTTACATCCCTTCCTAAGAATTACTATTGTGGGCTGCCTGGTACAATTTAAACTGTCACTACATCTTTCTTAGCAATAAAGTTATTTCTTTTCTTACTGGTTCATAAACTGATACTGTTGTCAACAGTCTTTCAGCAATCTCTAACTGCTTATGAAATTGTTTTTCTGGATGTCTTAATCTTGGCAATACAATGAATTCTCAACAATATTATATTGAGTTTTAATTCTATTACTGTTTTTCACCAACTAATAGAAGTATCATTTTTCTATTTTCAGCCATGGCCATAATAGTCCCTGAAGTACTACTATATTATTTAGCATCCTTAAAACTGGCACTGAATTAGCAACAAAGTGCCTCCTCAGGGTGGGGGAAATGATGGTTTGTTTTTATTGTGTTGGTCCCCAAATGTTAGTAGCAAAATTACTGAGAAATGAAATAGAAAAGACGAAGTTCTTCTGTTAAAGAGAGATTCCTACTTCTGGGTATATACCTGAAAGAATTGAAAGCAGGGACTGAGACCAGGCACTGTGGCTCACGCCTGTAATCCTAGCACTTTGGGAGGCTGAGGCTGGCAGATCACAGGGTCAGGAGTTTGGGACCAGCCTAGCCAACATGGTGAAACCCCGTCTCTACTAAAAATACAAAAATTAGCCCGACGTGGTGGCACATGCCTATATTCCCAGCTACTCAGGAGGCTGAAGCAGGAGAATAGCTTGAACCTGGGAGGCAGAGGTTGCAGTGAGCCTAGATCACGCCACTGCACTCCAGCCTGGGCAACAGAGTGAGACTCCGTCTTAAAAAAAAAAAAAAAGAAAGAAAGAAAGAAGGGACTGAAACAGATACACTCGTACTCATCACAGCATTATTCACAATAACCAAAAGGTGGAAGCAACCCAAGTGTTCATCTATGGCTAATGGATAAACCAAATCACATTCAACAGAGTATGATTCAGCCTTGAAGGAAGGAAATCCTGTCACACTCGACATTGTGGATGGACCTTGAAGACATTATGCCAGGAGAAATATAAGACAGTCACAAAAGGACAAATTTTGTATGATTCCACTTATATGAGGTGCCTAGAGTGACCAAATTCATAGATACAGAAAGTAGAATGTTGGTTGCCAGAGGCTGGGGGAGGGAGGGAAACGGGGAGTTCGTGTCTAATGGGTACAGGGTTTCAGTTTGGGATAAGAAAAAACTTTTGGAGATGCACAGTGGCAGTGATTGCACAAAAATGTGACTATCCTTAATGCCACCGAACTGTACCCTTAAAATGGTGAATTCAGTGGATTTTATATTATGTGTATTTTGCCACAATGAAGGGGGAGCACGAGAAAGACAGAGAGACAGACAGATGTTTATTACGCAGTAAATTCACACAATTCCATAAGGTGGATATTGTTAGCTCTGTTTTAAAGAGGAAGCTGTGGCTTGCACAGTGTCACGGACCCAACCAAAACTCAGACTGATGAACCAGTGTTCAACGAATTGAAGAGCCAAATCCACCAGAACAAACTTCCCGCTGTAAAACTATTTATGCTACAGGGAACCACCCCCCACAGAAAATCACATTTTTATCTGGATTGTTGTAATTGATTTGGTGATCAATTTGGTCCTACGCAAATGGAAATTAAGTGAAGGTAATTGCAGGAGTTATTTTGAGGCAATGCAAAGGATTGTTTTTATAAAACTGGCAGCCCTGGACCAGAAGGAAGAGGTGCCCCACTTAGCTTTAGTTGCTGTTCAGTTCTGGACAGTGATTTGCCCACATGTGTATGACCGCGTTCTCACACAGACCTCCTGCGATCATGAAAGCAGCCTGTAGCCCAAAACTCCTGCCTGGCATACTTTGGAAACAATTCTTTCTGTACTGCCTGCTGTATCCCCAGCCAGCTGGCAATAAAACTCTGCTAGGCACATTGAAGTATTAAGATAGATTATTTCCTTACTGCTCCCAAAAAAAGAAACTAATTCCCCTGGGCCTGACTGTACTCTAGATATCAGGTAAAAGGTGTCGCCACTTGCCTCCTGTCACCCAGGAGCAGAACTCGGCAGGTCTGACCTCTCAACTGCTTCCTCTTGGATTGGCCCTGTGTCGCCCCTCCTGTCTTCCTTCCGCAGTTCCCTGATTTTCTCCAGGCCCTCATCACAGTCCCACTGGGCCTCTTGTCACAATGTCTTGGCCAGGCTTCACACCCTACCACCCCTGCCCCCCACACACTTACATAACAAACATATAAGGAGGCCTAATACATGTCGGACCCTGTGCTGACATTGGGGATTACAATGATGTATTCCCATGATGCCAGCTGTGGTCACTGCCCTCGGGAAGCCCACGTTTTGATGAAGAAACTGACCAGCAGAGCATTACACCTCACTTCAATAGGC